>NC_000005.10:121359807-122609807 GCF_000001405.40 Homo sapiens | reverse complement strand
TTTTGACTATATTAAATATAGTATCTTTAATTTTTTTAATTTTCTAATTGCTTGTTCTTGTCCCACAAAAATATAATTGCATATTGATCTTGTATCCACTGACCTTGCAAACTTATTAATTCTAATATTTTATATATAGATGTCTTAATTTATATATATATAATTATGCTATCAGATTAAGGAAACTCCCCTCTATTCCTATTTGCTAATAATTTTTATTATTAATATAAACAGGAGATTTTCTGAATTTATTGAGATGTTTGCAGTTTTGTCTTCTTTATCCTGTTAATGTGAAGAGTTATACAGAATGATTTTCAAATTTTAAACCAACTTTTCATTCTTGAAATAAACTCAGCTTGGTTGTGTTATATTGCATCAACCTTTTTCTATATTTCTGAGTTCAGTTTGCTAACATATAAGATTATTGTGTCTATTATTAGTGAAGTGGGCCTACAGTTATCCTTTTTGTAATGTTCACGTCAAATTATGTAGAATGAAAAAGAGTTAAAAACTATTCTCTCCATTTAAATTCTCTGGAACAGTTTGTGCAACACTGGCATTCTTTCTTTAGTATTTGTTACAATTCACCAATGAAGTTCTCTGGGCCAAAGGTTTTAGTAGGAAGGTTTTAAATGATAAATTTAATATTTAAAATAGTTATGTTATATGACTATTCATACATTCTATTTCTCCTTATGTCAATTTCTGTAATTTATGCTTTTATAGGAATTTGTCCAGCTTATTTAAATTTATAATTTATTGACATTATATTCATAATATAATGTTAATAATATCCACTTATAATATTTTACTAAATAAAGCTATTATTTTAAAATAGTTTAGATTGACAAAAAAGTTGAAAAGCTAGTACAGAGATTTCCCATAATACTTCATCCTCACTTCCCCCATCGCTAAAAATTTATGTTATTATGGTACATTTGTCATCCCCAATTAGCCAATATTGACACATTTTCATTAACTAAACTCCATACTATATTTAAATTTCATTAGTTTTTTTTTTGTGTGTGTGTGTGTGTGTGTGTGTGTGTGTGTGTGTGTGTGTGTTTCAGATGGGGTCTTGCTCTGTCACCCCAGCCAGAGGGCTGTGGCACAGTGTTGGCTCACTGAAGCCTCTACCTCCCAGGCTCAAAAAATCCTCCCACCTCATCCTCCAGAGTAGCTGGGAATACAGGCATGCACGATCATGCTTGGTTAATTTTTAATTTTTTCTGTAGAGACATGGTCTCACTATATTACCCAGGCTGGTCTCAAACTCCTGGGCTCAAGTTATCCTTCCGCTTTGGCCTTTCAAAATGTTGGGATTACAGGTGTGAGTCACTGTGCTCTGCCCCTAGTGCATTTTTAAAAATTGAGGTATGACTTGGCATATAAAAATGTGTGCATATTAAATGTATACTTACTAATGTGTTCAAAGACAAGTATACACCTGTGTAACCCTTACCGTAAACAAGGCCATAGACAAGGCCATCACTCCTAAAAGTTTTCTCCCTTTCTTTTCTTTTGTTTTCTGGTAGTAAGAACATTTAACATCAGAGCTACTCTCTTAACAAAATTTTAAGTATACAACACAGTGTTGTTAATGTATTGTATGACTAACGCCTTTTTTTCTGTTTAAAGATTTCATCGAGTATTACATTACATTTAGTTGCCAAATCTCTGCTTTCTTAGACTTTCCTTGTTTTCGATGACCTTGACAGTTTTGAAGAGTACTGGTCAGGCCTTTTGCAGAATATTACTTAATTTGGATTTTCTAATGTTTTTCTCATGGTTGGACTGAAGTTACTTGTTTTTAAGAGGAAGACCAGAGAGGCTAAATGCCATTCTCATCACATCATATCAAGGGAACATGTTGTCCAGTTTTAATTTTTAAAATATTTGCAGGATCTATAATAATATCCTCTTCTTTTCATTCTTGATGTTGGTGATGTGTTATTTTTCTCATTTTTTTCTTGGTAGTTTTGACAGGAATTTTTCAATTTTATTAGTCAAATAAAAAGTCAGTCAAAGAACTGACTTTTGGCTTTGCTAATTCTATTATATGTTTGTTTTATATTTTATTTGTTTACCTGGTTCATCCTATGGTATTGTGTATTGTTAACATTTGTTTTAATACAAGCTGAATTAGTCATTGTTGTATAAAAACTGTCTTTATTATTTCCTTTCTTTTCTGTCTTTGGGTTTAATTTCCTATTCATTTTCCAGCTATCTCCTAAGGGATAATTAGCTAATTGTTGTTTCACTTTTCTTGTTTTCTAATATTTTAAATATTTAATATTCTAAACTTGGGGCTATACATTTCTCTCTAAGCAATATTTTAGCTGCAAGACTTGATATGTAGCATTTTATTACCATTCATTTAAAAATATTGTCCAATTTCTCTTGTGATTTCATCTTTGACCCACTGATGATTTAGAAGCTTTTTTTTTCTTATTACTGAAAAAATATGAGGATTCCATAGCAGTGTGTGTGTGTGTGTGTGTGTGTGTGTGTGTGTGTGTGTGATAAATTTCTAGCCTAATTCTGCTGTATTCAGAGAACGTATTCTGTAAAATTTAAATACTTTGAAATTCATTGAGAGTTGCTTGATGGCCAGCCTAGCATACGGTCAATATTAGTTAATGTCCCATGTATGTTTACAAAAAGCAGAGATCTCATTACCAGCTATCTGCTTTACATAGACTGTGTGACATTCCCACAGGCTTTTTGTGGTTATGAAACCTCTAGCCTCCTTCCAGGTTCCCTAAGCCACAGGCTCCACCAGAGTCCTCTTCCAGTCTGATACCCTCCCTGAGCCTCTACAATGTCAGTTAAAATCACTGTATTGCCTTTTTATTTTCTAGTACACTGTGATTTCCATTTTTATTCAACCTCAGTTATTTATGGAAAAAAATGCTTTCTGTTCTACTCTACGCAGAATTTCTATGTTCTTTTAGTGGGAAGCGTTCTTGCTATATTGCTGCAAATGCCCCTCACCTTCAATAAAACATATTGTCTTGTATGCAAATATTAGTTTAAGCTAAATTAGGAAGTTTTGAGGTCAGACTGAAAGAAGTTTCATTATACATATAAATGAAGCCAATGCCACCTCCTTTAAAATGCTTAGTCCTACCAAAAGCATCCTTCATGTCAACACTTATCTAAATCGACAGCTGAAAGTTTGAAATAAAGCCTTGTTCCTTTTAAGTTGGCAAATGTTCTTTCAAGTATACCAGAGACTACAATATACTTCCCTAAAGGAAAGAAAAATCTGTAAGAAATCTAAAAAGGAGATGCCTACACAGATTTTAAAAGTGGTAGCCTATTTCAAAGTAACAGTGTTTATATCAGGAGTGATAATGACGTTGTTACTCCTAAAGGGCTTTGTAAACACTGTGCTAAGTGCTTTACTGGATTCTGTTACCAATTTCTCACAGCAACACTTAGGTTCTTACTATAATGTTACATTATAGTAAGATGTTACATTGAAACCTGTAACCGAAATACTGAGATATTACAATAGGTGTTGCGTTTCAGAGGAGCAAATATGAGGGAAAGAAGAGAGGGAATTGTGAAGGCAGATTTCTTTGGAGGGAGCCAAATGCTATGATGCCTGGTCCCGCTTCAAGGAGGAAGCATGGAGATTTTCTGTCCCTCACCTCTGGATGGGTGAGAGGGGCTTAAGGAAGCCCCTGAAGGTCTTACTACACGTCCCTAGTGGTTAGGAGGACATAGAGTTGAATGTTGCCACAGTGGAGTTAACAATTCCTCATTTGACATAGCATGAGGAGCTTAAGGTCAAAAATCTGTGACTAAGGCGAGAGGTGGCAGAAGGAAAGGAACTAGCCACACTCTCACAATGGTGGGCAGCAGGAAGCCCTGAGCTTTCTTACAAACCTGATGTGGGGCAGGTAGAGAGAGCTGGACTGAGGCTCTTTTATATCTTGTTTAACAGTTCTGGCTGGGTGTGGTGGCTCACGCCTGTAATCCCAACACTTTGGGAGGCCAAGGCGGGCGGATCACGATGTCAAGAGATCGAGACCATCCTAGCCAACGTGGTGAAACCCCGTCTCTACTAAAAAT
The DNA here is from genome assembly GCF_000001405.40 of Homo sapiens. Lineage (NCBI taxonomy): Eukaryota > Metazoa > Chordata > Mammalia > Primates > Hominidae > Homo > Homo sapiens. The sequence goes on along the minus strand of NC_000005.10, from coordinate 122,605,727 downwards.
ACAAAAATTAGCCAGGTGTGGTGGCGCACACCTGTAGTCCCAGCTACTCGAGAGGCTGAGGCTGAGGTTCAGGAGAATCGCTTGAACCCGGGAGGCAGAGGTTGCAGTAAGCCGAGATCGTGTCACTGCACTCCAGCCTGGTGACAGAGCAAGACTCTGTCTTGAAAAAAAAAAAGAGTTCTGCCTGGGAGAGTAGAATGCTGGATACCAAGGGCTGGGTGGGGATGGGGTCAGGGGTGAGCACTGGAGAGATGCTGGTCAAAGATATAAAAACCTCAGTTAGACAGGAGAAATAAATTTAGAAGAGCTAGTAAACAGCGTGTTGACCACAGTCAAGAACACTGTATTGTATACTTGAAAACTGATAAGAGAGTAGATTTTAAATGTTCTCCCCACAAAAATAGTTTGATTGAGCCATTCCACAAGGCATAAATATATCAAAACATCATGTTGTACATCATTAATACGTACAGTTTTTATCAGTTAAAAAATAAAATAAAAAAATACTGTCTGGAAAGGCCATGGGATCACAGTAGTCTGTGTGGGATGAAATGCTGAAAAAATAGGGACGGAGGCTGAGCAGCAACCAGAGGGAGATGCATCCCCTGCAGCCCAGCAGTACAGTAATGAGCTCCCAGATGGGACTGCAAGAGAAGACATGAAATGCCCAAGAGAGTAGAGGTCATCTTTAAATATGCACGGGGCAGATCTTCAGAGACTATGAAGCCACCTTACAAATGGGACAGTCAAGAAAGAACTTCTATGCTCCCCTTTTTACTCTCCCTCCTTCCGGTACTCAAACTATGTTGGGGTCCAAAATAATGCTTACTAAGATGGGAAAGGGAGGTGAAAGTGTAGGTTTGAAAATAAGAAAAGGATGCTGTCCTTAACACGTATACTAAAAGAAGTTTTCAGATATCCAGTTTTTGTACCTGGAGTTCACCTGGACGATACCAGTACTTCATAGATGCAAACACCCACCCAAGTGTCCTGCCATTTTTCCATCCTATGCTCATCATCCCATATTAGGAAATCATATAGTTAGGGAGGATTATAAACAACCTCTGTCCCAGAATCAGAGACTGAAATACTGGTCTGTGTCACCCACTTAAACGACTTGTTCATTCTCATGCTACTTGGCCCTTTGGCCTCCCTCCCTTGTTTGCCTAGACCCACAGAATATTCAATTCACCAAATATTGAATGGTCCCCACTCGTGTACCAGACAATGGGGACCAATGGATGAATAACAGTTTTTGAATTCAAGGAGCTCACAATTTAATAGGGAGGCAGGTGTCTATACAGTGCAGTATGATGAGAGCATATAGGGGCAGATAGAAGTTGAGGTACAAGGGAAGGGTCACTGTATGAGAAAATTCAAGTAAACCTTCCTATGTTGTGTCTTAAAGAATGAGTGGAAGTTTATGAGGTGAAGGGCCTTTCAAGGAGGGCTGTGCTATGTACAGAATCACAGGGCATGGTACTATAAATGCATTAAATATTTTGGTCTGGCATAACTGGGTGTCAGATTGGAAGTGATGAGAGATCTGGCTGAAGAAACGGCAGAAACAGACCGTGAAGCACCTTGAGCCATGGGCTCGGCTTCTCATTGCAGACATCAGTAATCCATGATTGCACATTTTCAAGAGGGGTATATCATTCTGTCGGATCTATGTTTTAGGATGATGATTATTTACATCCTTTGTGAAGAAGAGTTTGGGAGGTGGCCACTGTCCATTAATGTTTTACACAACATAAGTAGGTGGAAACCAGATGAGAAATTCAACAAATTTGTTTACTCTCTACCTCATTTCTAATATCAGTGGAAGTACCGCAGAAATTAGCCTAGTAATTCCTGGTATGCTATTGTATTTTAGGTATAGCTCTTGACACTAGTTTTGGTGTTGATCTGGCCATCATCCTTAACTTCTGAGAACTATCTGAATGCAATTACTCCCCAATGCGTAATGTGCTAGATGATTACTCAATACTCAATGACCGTCTAGGATTCTTGAACAAGATGAATTATGCTAGAGTCTAGAGAGCCACAGGTCTTACAAATTTCTTGAACATAGATTCCTTTGAGAATTCCCAGAAAATTGCATGTGCATGAGTGCACATGCAGGCCCGCCCATGTTGCTTATATTTTCAGGAGTTCATAGACCCACTTACAGCCATCCATTGATTTCCCAGGACCATAAACTCCACCTAAAAGATGGTTACTCTAAAATCACTCAACAAACTGGAGGTTAAAGTCTTTAGTTGGCAACCAAGCTCAAAAGAACTAAATTTCAAAGTTCTTCTAGGAACTTTCACAGTTCACCAGAAGTCTCCTTGCAGGCTAGAGCTGAGAATAGTGGCAGGGCTTTATGTTTGGGAGATTTTTGTTAACTGATATCAACTTTAGAGGTATTGATATTAGATATAAACTGAGTGGCTTTCTTCTTTCTACTTCAGGTACACAGCAGTCAGAGTAGACTTGAGCCAGGTTGAGGACTTCCAAGGCAAGGCCATAAACTCTGGACATAGATGCTCAAGTGAAGGCTGGTCTTCTGTCATAGTTGGGTGGCTAAGGTGGCAATAACAGTCATGATAGCTTATTAACAGGGAGGTCCTGAGGGATATTTCATGTCTTCTATCAATGTTGGCCTCGTAGACCATCTTTGTATAAGACAAGCCAATGTAGTTCCCACATACTTTATTTTCTCATTTCATTATCACCAAAATTTTTATAGTCCCCAGTACATATTACTTGGCTCATAAAACAGCAATGTTGAACAGAAAACTAGAAAAGAAAATATGTCTAATCTCACATTACTGCCTGCCTGTAATTTGAGACCCATGAGCCACTGGAAACTTTAAGTGTCTTGCTGAGTTACTCTCTATAACTTAAATTTAATTTGTGTGTATTTTTGGCACAGTATTTGTTTTAGTAAGTATTTTTGGCACCTTGGTTTTGGCACTTCAAAATACAACTCATAGACTTTCATAAGTTTTCAGTTTGCTTCCCCACAGACTTTGTGTAAGTGGCTGGCTAAGAAATCTAGATGCTATGAACTTCTTTAAAGCATTGCAACAACCAAAAGACTGATGTGGTGTGTGCATGTTTTAGAAAATATCTAGCATCAATATAGTACACAAGTGTTTCCTTGAGGACAGAGAAGAAGTACATTTTTTAAAAAAAGTATACAAATACATATATCCTTTTTACATATCTACCAAAGGAAACTTTTAAAAACAATTATGCCATTTTGTGGTAAATAATAATAATTATAACTACAGCAAAAAAGAATCTTGCCTGTATGCAATCTTATGTGCTCAGGTAGCCAGATTTATTACATTAATATGTGCTAAGACTTAGAAAAAGTGACCTTCTGTCTAGCAGGACTTGATTTTATCATTGTGTCACTGTAGGGCCAAAATGAATGTGGCTCTGGAAAGAACAGATTTTGTTTAATCAAGAACCAACAAGGACTAGACCTTTCAAGACTGTGAGACTGACAAACATTTCCTATCACTTGCTTATTTATTTATTTTTTTTAATTTTTTAAAACTTTTTTGAGGCAAGATCTCACTCTCTTGCCCAGGCTGGAGTGCAGTGGTGTGATCATGATGCTGCAGACTTGACTTCCCCAGACTCAGGTGATCCTCTGATATGGTTAGGATTTGTGTTCCTGCCCAAATCCCATCTTGAATTATAATTCCCAGGTGTTGAGAGAGAGACTTGGTGGGAGGTGATTGGATCATGGGGACAGTTTCCCCCAGACTGTTTTCATGATAGTTAGGGAGTTCTCACGAGATCTGATGGTTTTATAAATGGCAGTTTCCCCTGAGCATTTCACTCTCTCTCTTGCCTGCTGCCATGTAAGATGTGCCTGCTTCCCCTTCTGCCATGTTGTAAGTTTCCTGAGGCCTCCCCAGCCATGAGGAATGGTGAATCAAAAAAACCTCTTTCCTTTATAAATTACCTAGTCTCGGGTATTTCTTCATAGCAGCATAAGAAAGGACTAATAGAGTAAATTGATACTGAGATAGTGGGGTGCTGCTATAAAGATACTTGAAAATATAGAAGTGACTTCGAACTTGGTAACAGGCAGAGGTTGGAACAGTTTGAGGGCTCAGAAGACGACAGGGAGATGTGGGAAAGTTTGGAATTTCCTAGAGACTTGTTGAATGGTTCTGACCAAAATGCTGATAGTGATATGGACAATGAAGTCCAGGCTGAGGTGGTATCAGATGGAGAAGAAGAACTTATTGGGAACTGGAGTAAAGGTCACTTTTTTAAGGCTTTAGTAAAGAGACTGTTGGCATTTTGCCCCTGCCCTAAAGATCTGTGGAACTCAGAACTTGAGAGAGATAATCTGAAACTGGAACTTATGTTTAGAAGGGAAGCATAGCATAACAGTTTGGAAAATTTGCAGCCTGATGATGTGATAGGAAAAAAAAACATTTTCTGGGGAGAAATTCAAGCCAGTTGCAGAAATTTGCATAAGTAACAGAGAGTCAAGTGTTAATAACCAGGACAATGAGAAAAATGTCTCCAGGGTATGTCAGAGATCTTGGCAGCAGCCCTTTCCATCACAGGCCTGGAGGCTGAGGAGGGAAAAATGGTTTCATAGGCTGGGCCCAGGATCCCCCTGCTCTGTGCAGCCTTGGGACTTGATGCTTTCTTTCCCAGATACTCCAGCTTCAGTCATGGCTTAAAGGGGTCAAGATACAGCTTGGCCCATCAATTCAGAGGTGCAAGTCCCAAGCCTTGGTGTATTCCACATGACGTTGGGCCTGCAAGTGCACAGCATTCAAGAACTGAGGTTTCGGAACCTCTGCCTGTAGTCAGAGGATGTCTGGAAATGCCTGGATGTTCAAGAAGAAGTTTACTGCATGGCCAGAGCCCTCATGGAGAACCTCTGCTAGGGCAGTGCAGAAGGGAAATATGGGGTCAGAGCCCCCACAAAGGGTCCCCACTGGGACACTGCCTAGTGCAGCTATGAGAAGAGGGCTACCATCCTCCAGACCCCAGAATGGCAGATCCACTGACAACTTTCACCATGCTCTTGGAAAAGCCACCGACATTCAATGCCAGCTGTGAAAGCGGCCAGGAGGGGCTTTATCCTGCAAAGCCACAGGGGTGTGGATATGGTTTGGCTGTGTTCTCACCCAAATCTTATCTTGAACTGTAGCTCCTATAATTCCCACATGTTGTGGGAGGGACCTAGTGGGAGATAATTGAATAGTGAGAGTGATTTACCTCATACTATTCTGTGATAGTGAATAAATCATATGAGATCTGATGGTTTTATAAGGGAAACCCCTTCCACTTGGCTCTCATTCTCTCTTACCTGCTGCCATGTAAGATGCGCCTTTTACCTTTCACCATGATTGTGAGGCCTCCTCAGCCAAGTGGAACTGTAAGACCATTAAACCTCTTTTTCTTTATAAATTACCTGGTCTTGGGCATGTCTTTATCAGAAGCATGAAAACAGACTAATATAGGTGGAGCTGCCCAAGGACATGGGAGTCCACCCCTTGCATCATCATTCCCTGGATGTGAGATATGGAGTCAAAGGAGATTGTTTAGGAGCTTTAGGATTTAATGACACATGAGCTGGATTTCAGACTTGCATGGGGCCTATAGCCCCTTTATTTTGGCCAATGTATCCTATTATAAATGGGAGCACTTATCCAATGCCTGTACCTCCATTGTATCTTGGAAGTAACTAACTTGCTTTTGATTTTACAGGCTCATAGGCAGAAGCGACTTGCCTTGTCTCAGATGAGACGTCGAATTTGGACTTTTGGGTTAATTCTGGAATGAATTAATACTTTGAGGGACTGTTGGGAAGGCATGATTGGTTTTGAAATGTGAAAGGGACATGAGATTTGTGAGGGGCCAGGGGCAGAATGATGTGGTAAGGCTCTGTGTCCCCACCCAAATCTCATTTTGAATTGTAATCCCCAGGTGTTGAGGGAGAGATCTGATGGGAGGTGATTGGATCATGGGGGTGATTTCCTCCATGCTGTTCTCATGATAGTGAGGGAGTTCTCACGAGATCTGATGGTTTTATAAATAGCAGTTTCCCTGGGCTTTTCACTCTCTCTCTCACCTGCTGCCATGTAAGATGTGTCTGCTTCCCCTTCTGCCATGATTATAAGTTTCCTGAGGCCTCCTTAGCCAAGTGGAACTGTGAGTCAATAAAACCTCTTTCCTTTATAAATTACCCAGTCCTGGGTAGTTTCTTTATAACAGTGTGAGAATGGACAAATATATCCTCCCACCTCAGCCTCCCAAGCAGCCAGAACTGTAGTCACGTGTCACCACGCCTGGCTAGATTTTTTTAAATGTATTTTTTGTAGAGACAAGGTTTCCCTATGTTGCCCAGACTGGTCTTGAACTCTGTGCTCAAGCAATCTGTCCAGTTTGGCCTCCCAAAGTGCTAAGATTACAGGTGTGAGTCACTGCACCTGGTGTTTTTTTTTTTTTTAAGTGTGAACTTAAGTTCACTTGCCCAGAAAACAGTAAGGCTCCATTAGCCATATTTACAATGAAGATTGCCCCCTTGAGACCCACTGTGTTCAGCAGAGTGATTCTTGTTATTGTGAAGTTCTATAGCCTCATTTCTTTCACTTTCTAAGTTTTCATCTTGCAAAGAAATGCTATTTTTCACTAATCCTGAATACTACAGTTTAAATTTGTAAAAACTTTGCCTGACTGAATCTTAAATCTCTCTTAAGGCTTAGTTTGGGCATTGCTTCCTCTAGAAAGTCATCTTTGACTGTCTTTGGGACAAGCATTTTTAGTGTGCTTTAAATATAGTGTATGGGTAATAACAAGCACTACAATAGGGAAGGATGATACAAAGTTGAATAAGACATAGTTCATAGTCAAAAATATTATATTTCTGTTGTATTTCCTCCAGGTTTTCTATTTCTACAAAGCATTCAATGTTATTTCCTAAAGATGGTGCTAGGTAATTTTAAAAGGAATTGGAATGGCTGAGGACATAGTTATTGAGGACAGACTGCTGGGATTGGCCCTTGACTCTTTTTGATAAAAGCTGTGTCACCGAAGATGGCTGAATAGGAACAGCTCCAGTCTACAGCTCCCACTGTGAGCGACGCAGAAGACGGGTGATTTCTGCATTTCCAACTGAGGTACCGGGTTCATCTCACTGGGGCTTGTTGGACAGTGGGTGCAGGACAGTGGGTGCAGCCCACTGAGCGTGAGCTGAAGCAGGGCAAAGCATCGCCTCATCTGGGAAGTGCAAGGGGTCAGGGAATTCCCTTTCCTAGCCAAGGGAAGCTGTGACAGATGGCACCTGGAAAATCAGGTCACTCCCACCCTAATACTGTGCTTTTCCAATGGTCTTAGCAAACGACACACCAGGAGATTATATCCCGCACCTGGCTCAGAGGGTCCCATGCCCACAGAGCCTTGCTCATTGCTAGCACAGCAGTCTGAGATTGAACTACAAGGCAGCAGTGAGGCTAGGGGAGGGGCACCTGCCATTGCTGAGGCTTGAGTAGGTAAAAAAGTGGCCAGGAAGCTCGAACTGGGTGGAACCCACTGCAGCTCAAGGAGGCCTGCCTGCCTCAGTAGACTCCACCTCTGGGGGCAGGGCATGGCCAAACAAAAGGCAGCAGAAACCTCTGCAGACTTAAATGTCCCTGTCTAACAGCTTTGAAGAGAGTAGTGGTTCTCCCAGCATGGTCTTTGAGATCTGAGAATGGACAGCCTGCCTCCTCAAGTGGGTCCCTCACCCCTGACTAACCTAAATGGGAGGAATCCCCCAGTAGGGGCAGACTAACACCTCACACGGCTGGGTACCCCTCTGAGGTGAAGCTTCCAGAGGAACGATCAGGCAGCAACATTTGCTGTTCAGCAATATTCACTGTTCTGCAGCCTCCGCTGCTGATACCCAGGCAAACAGGGTATGAAGTGGACCTCCAGCAAACTCCAACAGACCTGCAGCAGAGGGTCCTGACTATTAGAAGGAAAACTAACAAACAGAAAGGACATCCACACCAAAACCCCATCTGTACGTCACCATCATCGAAGACCAAAGGTGGATAAAACAACAAAGATGGGGAAAAAACAAAGCAGAAAAGGTGAAAATTCTAAATATCAGAGCACCTCTCCCCCTCCAAAGGAACGCAGCTCCTTGCCAGCAATGGAACAAAGCTGGACAGAGAATGACTTTGATGAGTTGAGAGAAGGCTTCAGATGATCAAACTTCTCCAAGCTAAAGGAGGAAGTTTGAACCCATTGCAAAGAAGCTAAAAACCTTGAAATAAGATTAGACAAATGGCTAACTAGAATAACCAATGCAGAGAAGTCCTTAAAGGACCTGATGGAGCTGAAAACCATGGCACGAGAACTACGTGATGAATGCACTGAAGTAGCCGACTTGATCAAGGAGAAGAAAGGATATCAGTGATTGAAGATCAAATGAATGAAATGAAGCGAGAAGAGAAGTTTAGAGAAAAAATAGTAAAAAGAAATGAACAAAGCCTCCAAGAAATATGGGACTATGTGAAAAGACCAAATCTGCATCTGATTGGTGCACCTGAAAGTGATGGGGACAATGGAACCAAGTTGGAAAACACTCTTCAGGATATTATCCAGGAGAACTTCCCCAACCTAGCAAGGCAGGCCAACATTCAAATTCAGGAAATACAGAGAACACCACAAAGATACGCCTTGAGAAGAGCAACTCAAAGACACATAACTGTTAGATTCACCAAAGTTGAAATGAAAGAAAAAATGTTAAGGGCAGCCAGAGAGAAAGGTTGGGTTACCCATGAAGGGAAGCCCATCAGACTAAGAGATGATCTCTCGGCAGAAACTCTACAAGCCAGAAGAGAGTGGGGATCAATATTCAACATTCTTAAAGAAAAGAATTTTCAACCCAGAATTTCATATCCAGCCAAACTAAGCTTCATAAGTGAAGGAGAAATAAAATACTTTACAGACAAGCAAATGCTGAGAGATTTTGTCACCACCAGGCCTGCCCTAAAGGAGCTCCTGAAGGAAGCACTAAACATGGAAAGGAACAATTGGTACCAGTCACTGCAAAAACATGCCAAATTGTAAAGACCATTGATGCTAGGAAGAAACTGCATCAACTAACGAGCAAAATATCCACCTAAAATCATAATGACAGGATCAAATTCACACATAACAATATTAATCTTAAAGGTAAATAGGCTAAATGCTCCAATTAAAAGACACAGACTGGCAAATTGGATAAAGAGTCAAGACCCATCAATGTGCTGTATTCAGGAGACCCATCTCATGTGCAGAGACACATATAGGCTCAAAATAAAGGAATGGAGGAAGATCAACCAAGCAAATGGAAAACAAAAAAAGGCAGGGGTTGCAATCCTAGTCTCTGATAAATCAGAGTTTAAACCAACAAAGATCGAAAGAGACAAAGAAGGCCATTACATAATGGTAAAGGGATCAATTCAACAAGAAGAGCTAACTATCCTAAATATATATGCACCCAATACAGGAGCACCCAGATTCATAAAGCAAGTCCTTAGAGACTTACAAAGAGACTTAGACTCCCACACAATAATAGTGGTAGACTTTAACACCCCACTGTCAACATTAGACAGACCAACGAGACAGAAAGTTAAAAAGGATATCCAGGAATTGAACTCAGCTCTGCACCAAGCAGATCTAATAGACATCTACAGAACTCTCCACCCCAAATCAACAGAATATACATTCTTCTCAGCACCACATCGCACTTATTCCAAAACTGACCACATAGTTGGAAGTAAAGCACTCCTCAGCAAATGTAAAAGAACAGAAATTATAACAAACTGTCTCTCAGACCACAGTGCAATCAAACTAGAACTCAGGATTAAGAAACTCACTCAAAACCACTCAACTACATGGAAACTGAACAACCTGCTCCTGAATGACTACTGGATACATAACGAAATGAAGGCAGAGATAAAGATGTTTTTTGAAACCAATGAGAACAAAGACACAGCATACCAGAATCTCTGGGACACATTTAAAGCAGTGTGGAGAGGGAAATTTATAGCACTAAATGCCCACAAGAGAAAGCAGGAAGGATCTAAAATTAATACCCTAACATCACAATTAAAAGAACTAGAAAAGCAAGAGCAAACACATTGAAAAGCTAGCAGAAGGCAAGAAATAACTAAGATCAGAGCAGAACTGAAGGAGATAGAGACACAAAAAACCCTTCAAAAAATCAATGAATCCAGGAGCTGGTTGTTTTGAAAAGATCAACAAAATTGATAGACCGCTAGCAAGACTAATAAAGAAGAAAAGAGAGAAGAATCAAATAGACGCAATAAAAAATGATAAAGGGGATATCGCCACCGTTCCCACAGAAATACAAACTACCATCAGAGATTACTATAAATACCTCTACACAAATAAACTAGAAAATCTAGAAGAAATGGATAAATTCCTGGACACATACACCCTCCCAAGACTAAAGAAGGAAGAAATTGAATCTCTGAATAGACCAATAACAGGCTCTGAAATTGAGGCAATAATTAATAGCCTACCAACCAAAAAAAGTCCAGGACCAGACAGATTCACAGACGAATTCTACCAGAGGTACAAGGAGGCGCTGGTACCATTCCTTCTGAAACTATTCCAATCAATAGAAAAAGAGGGACTCCTCCCTAACTCATTTTATGAGGCCAGCATCATCCTGATACCAAAGCCCGACAGAGACACAACAAGAAAAGAGAATTTTAGACCAATATCTCTGATGAACATTGATGCAAAAATCCTCAATAAAATACTGGCAAACCGAATCCAGCAGCACATCAAAAAGCTTATCGACCATGATCATGTGGGCTTCATCCTTGGGATGCAAGGCTGGTTCAACATATGCAAATCAATAAATGTAATCCAGCATATAAACAGAACCAAAGACAAAACCCACATGATTATCTCAGTAGATGCAGAAAAGGCCTTTGACAAAATTCAACAGCCCTTCATGCTAAAAACTCTCAATAAATTAGGTATTGATGGAACATATTTCAAAATAATAAGAGCTATTTATGACAAACCCACAGCCAATATCATACTGAATGGGGAAAAACTGGAAGCATTCCTTTTGAAAACTGGCACAAGACAGGGATGCCCTCTCTCACCACTCCTATTCAACATAGTGTTGGAAGTTCTGGCCAGGGCAATTTGGCAGGAGAAAGAAATAAAGTGTATTCAATTAGGAAAAGAGGAAGTCAAATTGTCCGTCTTTGCAGATGACATGATTGTATATCCAGAAAACCCCATTGTCTCAGCCCAAAATCTCCTTAAGCTGATAAGCAACTTCAGCAAAGTCTCAGGATACAAAATCAATGTGCAAAAATCACAAGCATTCTTACACACTAAGGAAGAGAGCCAAATCATGAGTGAACTCCCATTCACAATTGCTTCAAAGAGAATAAAATACCTAGGAATCCAACTTACAAGGTTTGTGAATGACCTCTTCAAGGAGAACTACAAACCACTGCTCAATGAAATAAGAAAACACAAACAAATGAAAGAACACTTCATGCTCATGGATAGGAAAAATCAATATTGTGAAAATGTCCATCCTGCCCAAGGTAATTTATAGATTCAATGCCATCCCCATCAATCTACCAATGACTTTCTTCACAGAATTAGAAAAAACTACTTTAAAGTTCATATGGAACCAAAAAAGAGCCCGCATTGCCAAGTCAATCCTAAGCCAAAAGAACAAAGCTGGAGGTATCACACTACCTGACTTCAAACTACACTACAAGGCTACAGTAACCAAAACAACATGGTACTGGTACCAAAACAGAGATATAGACCAATGGAACAGAACGGAGCCCTCAGAAATAGTACCACACATCTACAACCATCTGATCTTTGACAAACCTGACAAAAACAAGAAATGGGGAAAGGATTCCCTATTTAATAAATGGTGCTGGGAAAACTGGCTAGCCATATGTAGAAAGCTGAAACTGGATCTCTTCTTTACACCTTATACAAAAATTAATTCAAGATGGATTAAAGACTTAAAACGTTAGACCTAAAACCATAAAAACCCTAGAAGAAAACCTAGGCAATACCATTCAGGACTGAGGCATGGGCAAGGACTTCATGTCTAAAACACCAAAAGCAATGGCAACAAAAGACAAAATTGACAAATGGGATCTAATTAAACGAAAGAGCTTCTGCACAGCAAAAGAAACTACCATCAGAGTGAACAGGCAACCTACAGAGTGGGAGAAAATTTTCGCAATCTACTCATCTGACAAAGGGCTAATATCCAGAATCTACAAAGAACGCAAACAAATTTACAAGAAAAAAGCAAACAACCCCACCAAAAAGTGGGTGAAGGATATGAACAGACACTTCTCAAAAGAAGACATTTATGTAGCCAACAGACACATGAAAAAATGCTCACCATCACTGGCCATCAGAGAAATGCAAATCAAAACCACAATGAGATACCATCTCACACCAGTTAGAATGGCGGTCATTAAAAAGTCAGGAAAAAACAGGTGCTGGAGAGGATGTGGAGAAATACGAACACTTTTACACTGTTGGTGGGACTGTAAACTAGTTCAACCATTGTGGAAGTCAGTGTGGCGGCTCCTCAGGGATCTAGAACTAGAAATACCATTTGACCCAGCCATCCCATTACTGGGTATATACCCAAAGGAATATAAATCATGCTGCTATAAAGACACATGCACATGTATGTTTATTGTGGCACTACTCACAATAGCAAAGACTTGGAACCAACCCAAATGTACATCAATGATAGACTGGATTAAGAAAATGTGGCACATATACACCATGGAATACTATGCAGCCATAAAAAATGATGAGTTCATGTCCTTTGTAGGGACATGGATGAAGCTGGAAACCATTCTCAGCAAACTATGGCAAGGACAAAAAACCAAACACTGCATGTTCTCACTCATAGGTGGGAACTGAACAATGAGAACACTTGGACACAGGAAGGGGAACATCACACACTGGGGCCTGTCACGGGGTGGGGGGAGAGGGGAGGGATAGCATTCGGAGATATACCTAAAGTAAATGACGAGTTAATGGGTGCAGCACACCAACATGGCACATGTATATATATATGTAACAAACCTGCACGTTGTGCACATGTACCCTAGAACTTAAAGTATATAAAAAAAAAAAGCTGTGTGACCTTGGACAACTTACTTAATATCTCTTATCCTTGGTTTCCTTCCTTGTTTATAAAATAGGAGCAATAGTACTTACTTCATGGGTTTGTTTTCAGTATTCAATGCAATTATATATAATATAATATACCTATAATACATGTATATTATATATAATGGGTATATAATTATAGGTATATAATATACCTATAATATATGTATATTATATATATTATGGGTCATATATTATAGGTATATTACATATATATAATTGTGTGTGGTCCTGTTTAAGTGCTCAAATAGCTTTGGTTATTACTAGTTTCATTTTCATCACGGGCTGCTAAGGTTGCTAATGTCCCCTTCTCACTGCTAGCTATGTTTTCTTTTGAAGCTCAATTGAAAAGCATCACCTCCTTATTCAGGACACAAAAACCAGTTTTTTAGGCACAATAGCATTCACAACATTTGTCCCCTTTAATGACACAGAGTAGGTGTGCTGCAGTTCTAGTGAGGAGTGCCACCCACACCTTAGTTTGAAGGATCTGATAACAGCATATTTTTCTTCCTTTGCATTGTGAGCCAAAGAACTGAGAATGACTTGCCAACTGGGTGCTGGAGAGTGAAGGGCTGTGTAATGACCACTGTGTACCCTTCCATGGGAGGCACGGGGAAGAGGTGGGAAATGGCAAAGGTGGGCTCATACGTTCAGCATCTGGCAGTAGTGGAGCAGTAGAAAGAAGGAAAAGAAAATGGCTTGGGTGGGGCTGTGTTACAGAGAGTGGGCATTGTGATCTACCATCTGAGGACTACAGCCAAAGAAGGTAATGTTCCAGGACATATTCCAATGCCCCAGCAGCTTCTAGGAATGCACCTAGGAAGCCAGAACTGGGAGACTGCCTCTACCTCCCTATACAGGAAGTAGACATTGACCATGGGAAGAACATTTGCTCTAATAGTGAACATTAGAACAGCGTGGCCTTCATTGTGTGCTCTCTCCATGATTCATGCTGGCTGCTAATGTCAAATATACATGCAAGTGGTGTATATGTGCCACATTTTCTTAATCCAGTCTATCATTGATGGACATTTGGGTTGGTTCCAAGTCTGTGCTATTGTGAATAGTGTCACAATAAACATACATGTGCATGTGTCTTTATAGCAGAATGATCAAGTCAAATTGCTTTTGAAGACAGCAGGCTCACAGAGACTCAGGTTCTTTAATTATAAATTAAATTTTCTTTTTCCCAGAGCTGTTTGTGATATTTGTGTCTTTCCATTGGATTGATCCAAATATGGAGATCTGTTGGGTGAAATTGTTGAGAAATAGAGCAAGCCACTGACATCAATAAATGCTTCTGATCATAAGAGAAGATAAAATCCCTAAACAAGGAAAAAGCAAGTCAGATTTGAACCAACATGCTAAAAAGAAATCCTGATAGAAAAACCTTGAGTCTGTGTCTTTACTTCTGTTTTTACCATTGCAAATGGTTTAACGTAGAAAACTGGTTCTTACTGTTTTAAGGAACTACTCAATAATTATTCATATCAGGTGCACTTCAAATTTGGCAAGCTACAGGTGCTCTGATCACCAACCTGTAATTCTCATTGGTGAGAACCCTGCTTATGGCATAGAATCAGACCCTGCCACATACTCACTGTATGACCTGAGACAAGTTACTTAAATGGTCTGGCCCTTAGACTCCTCTGTTATAAAATGAGTATAACAACGGCCGCCTTAGAATGTTAGTGTACAGACTGTGAAAAGATGGGCGCACGTGCAGAGCATGCTGGCAGGCACATCTTAGCTGGCAGCTCTGGTTGCCACCACGTGAGCACTTCTCTTCTTCTGCGCATCAATAGAAAGGCATTTATGTAGGCCTTTGAGTGTTGGTGTGTGCTTCTTCATTGCTTATGTAAGGATATTAAGCCTTACTCCAATCAGGAACACAGCATTTCAGATCTAGCCTCAATAATTTTATCAGATTTCTGATTTTGTAGAAAAGTTTAAAAATGCCCATTTCCCCATGGGTTACAAAATAATAAGATTTTTCCCTGCTTTGCTATCTTTTCAGTTAGTTATTTCAGCATATCACAGCATTAAAACACTTCCAATGTAAAGGTCACTCTTTCTCCGATCAAAACATTTCTTTGCTGTTGTTCTCCCAGAGGTGCACTGGGGAACAACAATCAATAAGAGAAGCTCATGGAATGTTTTGACTTACCTTTGAGGAATAGCCATTAGGTCAACATGTAACGTCGTGGTTTTACCACCAATAATTTCTCTTAGAATGGCATTTTCTAATCATTGGGTGAAAAAACTTCAGTTGCAATAATAGGGTTCCATCAGGATCTTTTAAGATCTTTTCCAGAACTTTGACCTTAACATTTTTTTTTCCATTTTGGCATTTAAAAAATTATGTAATGAAAACAATTCCTGATGTTTCAGACTAAACAGATAAAACATTTTTCAATATATCAGCTGCAAAATAATTAAATATTGCCAATACACATTTACTTTCCCGTATTTCTTACTTTTTAATGTTTATGTATTTTCAACTACAAATATGGTGAATGGAGATGTATTCATTATTACAGTTCCTCATGACTTTGAAGAGTGACTTTCACCAGGGTTCAAAGACCAGAGCACAGATAACCTCTAAAGTTTCCCATCTTACTGAGAAATTAAGATAGGGTATATATAGTGAACTTCTTCTGAAGTAGAAGGGAATAACAAATATTTTTTAAAATAGGGCTACCGTGGGTATTTTAGCAGCACACAAACTGTAGGATTGTTAGTGTGTCTGTCTCCTTAGTCTGTAAGTTTGCCTGCAAAGCTCTGTGAAATCCCTTAGAAAGGTAAAGAATATGCTGTGGAGATCTCAAACGTGGATATGTACAATTTAAGTTGATATCTTAAGCATGACAATTTTAAATAATTCCTGGAAGCTTCATCAAGTAAATGTTACCCTCAGAAGTTCATTCATAAGCTATGATAGATGTGAAAAAGGCAAATAACATTGGAAAATTTAAAGCAAGACTTGCAGATAAACTCTGAAATAGTCCTGTGTGTTGTCTCTAAATTGCATCTCTCCACTGCTGGGCACTCAGAAATTATCTATTAGGATTAGGCCCATATATATGTGAATTGGTTTGAAGTCCACTAATCTTTTGTTTTAGGTAAGATTTTGTTTGAAATTGAGTTTTGTTTTTTAGCATGTGATATTTCATACATACAAGATGATATATGTATACCATGAGGCATGGTAATAAAATCAACACTAGCACAGCTACTACTCAACTGAAGACCACAAAAATTACTAATACTGTTATTAAAACTTAGGTGATGCTTCCATTCACATCCCCCTGCACTGCACCAACTCCTGGAGGTAAACACTCTTACATTTTATTTTTGTATAATTTTGAGCTTTATATAAATAGTATTATTATATGTATATATGTATCCATGTATGGATGGATGTGTGTATATGTTTTTCTGACTTGTTTTTTCATGTTTCATTATGTTTCAATATTATTATTGCATGAAGATAATATTTATTTTCACTGCTTTATAATAATTCATTGTGTAAAAGTTCCACAATTTATTTATTCACTCTCCTTTTAGTATACACTGGAAACATTTTCAGTTTTTGTTATCACAAACAGTGCTGCTAAAATGATTCTTGTACAGTTCTTTTGGTGCACATGGGCAACAATCTCTCTATGGTATATACCTGGGAGTAAAATTTCTGAGTCATTCAGATTTGAATGATAGAAAGCAATGCCAAATTAGTTTGTGAGAGATTCTACCAATATACCCTCCCCAGCTGGAGGCCTGCTTTGCCACCTGGAACACGAAGGTGCTGTGGTCATCTGCCTTGCCCCTCATTTGGAATAATTTTACTTTTACATTTTACTCAGATTCTGTGGCTAAAAGGACAAGTAAAACTTCTATATTGTGCTTCCTCCTGTAATAAGCGAGTAGAGGGAAAAAGCCTTTTACAGAGAAAGAATACACCACTGGTCATACATAATCTAATATTTATAAAGAAGGCAAAACCCCTAGTTATCTGGATGCTTGAGAACACCCAGAATCTCTCCCACAGTGGCATGAAGTAGAGAAACCACACAGAATTCATTGAAAAACAAATGGGTGTCCAGTGGAGTTGTGGCGGGGATCTCATGCTTCTTTCTCAGATAAAACCAGGTATTCAAAGTGGGACAACTTAAAGTCACACATCAAAATCTTAATTGTCCTACCTCACATATACCCTGCTTAAATAAATATGTCCAGAACCAGATCTCTAAATGTTTCTAGGTAGCTAAATTCTTTTTTACAAAATCTTCATTCCTTAGGCATGTTTGCAGAGCTGTATCTTCTCAGTACACATGTCAAGATGCTTGTGTTCAGTCCAGTCAAAACCTATTAGGAAAAACTTAATACTTTGATTGAAATTGAATTCATTTATGCCCATGTGAAACATGGCAAATAGCAACCCATAATAAATTTTCCCGTCCTTAACTGAATGAAAATAGGTTTTTATAATTGAATTTCTTTGATGTTTCTCACATTTGCATCCTGGGGAAAATGGAAAAATTTATTATAGGCATGGTATGAATTGCTCATCTGTAAAAAATATTTTAATAACAGAGGTTTCTACAATGACTAGGAAGGATAAGAAGATAAGAATAGGTTTGTCAGCCTTCTCTTATGACAAATTCAAGTAAGAAAAGGCACAACATTGGCTTTCTGTAAAGAGGATATTGGTAGAAATTTGAAGAAATCTGCAGGAATGGAGTGAGCCCTTGGATCCAAGAGTCTGAATCATTAGATTTACTTGATTTCCCATGAAGGGTACATTACAGAGGAACAGAATCTAGAACCTCTCCTTGAAAACCCATCAAGAGGTTTTGCATAGACTCAGTGACTGAAGTTTTTAGTTTTGACTCTAACCCTCATGACTATTTTGCTGAAGTATTTGCCATCTCTCTTGTCATTTTTCATAATGCTTATGTAGGGTAGGGCACTCAATAAATATTTGTGGAAAGAATAAATGATGAATGTAGCCAATTTCCCCATCCTTATCCTGTCACTACCATAATCTATGATGGAAAGTTAAAGTGCCAAAATGTCTGCAAAATTTTACACACAATCTTTTCTAGAGTTTCACATATGAAATTTACACATATCTGATAATAATGAAAACAACAACAGTGGGCATTTATTTCATGCCAATGAATGTTCTAGGTACTGGATTAGACACTTCATATTTAATATTTATAACAGGCTTACAAGTCAGGTGTCAGTATTTCCATTTTACAGATGAGTAAACTGAGACTCAAGAGAAAAATGACAGAGCAGCTGTGAAATAAAGATACCATGAACTGGGCTGTACTGCCTCTTATGCAAAAATGTGAAAAAATCCCTTCCAGTGTTTGGTTGGTGACTGAATTTTTTTTTTCTTTTGAATGAGTCTTGCTCTGTCACCAGGCTGGAGTGCAGTGGCATGATCTCGGCTCACTGCAACCTCCACCTCCCGGGTTCAAGCAATTCTCCTGCTTCAGCCTCCCAAGTAGCTGGGACTACAGGTGTGTGCTACCACGCCCAGCTAATTTTTGTATTTTCAGTAGAGACACGGTTTCACCATGTTGGCCAGGATGGTCTCGATCTCTTGACCTCGTGATCCTCCTGCCTCAGCCTCCCAAAGTGCTGGGGTTACAGGCATGAGCCACCATGCCTGGCTGGTGATTGAATTTTAAGGGAAATATTTGAAAAATTAAATATAATTTTGATTCAAAGCAAAAAGTATCTCATACATTTTATGTATTACAGGAAGTATTTGAATACTCAGTCACCCTGAAATAAATAGACATCAGAAATGAATACTAAGTTGTATTTATTACCAGAAATACATAGAAAAACTCAGAATACTCAGGGGAAAATAGGACACTGTGGTCATGTGCTGGTTGAAAAACCACATTGTCTGCCTAAGACATTCCTGAAATATTTAAATTATGAAATGTTTAAATTATTTAGCCCATGACTGAGCTGGAAAGAAATTGTGTTGTCTGGGTAAGCACTCACAGCACTCTGTATGGAGCTGAGGATTTTGCATGCGACAGGGACTTAGTAAGCCCAGGGAGCTGGCTGTCTCTCATTTCAGGACACCCTGTACATCCATCTATTTCATGAAGTTTTCCCATTGAAAATGACATGACAAAAACACAACTTCCCACAATCCCCCTTTCATTACGCACCTAACATTCACGTTTCTTTTCCTCTTAATTAAACATAGTTAATCTCTTCCCGATTTGGCCAACATCCTGCACTTTTTCAGTATTGGTTTGAGTGTGTATCTTGCTGAGACATGGCTAATTTCTGCTGGAACATAAGCAGCTAGGGGTTCCACTGCTGTCTAGCTCTGTCCAGGACAGCATTCTCTAAAGATAAGTGCCAAACACCATAATTACTTTATAAACTTTGGCAGTCACTGGCTCTTACCTTTGCCCTATAGTAGGACTAGAGATTCTAAAGTGCCATCCGTGAGCCTCGTCCTTTCCCCAGATTGGTTCCATGCTTGTAACTGGGACCAGCAAATGGCAAAATAAAGGACAGATACGGAGTACTTCTATACTGCGGCAAAATTTAGCTTGCTATCTTGAAAATAGTCATACTATTTTGGGATTTTATAGTAAACAAAATCCAGACAGCAGACCACAGGGGCCATTTATGAGTTATAAAATTGCCTGGGTAAGATAAGGCAACTCATAAATGATTCAGTGAAGCTCACAGGATAAATCTTATTCCTCATACGCACGAATCCAAGGAAGATTCTGTGATGCTCTTAGCCCTTGATAATGTAAGAGAGGAACACATGTCACATTAAGAACCTGACATGGCATTAGAGTGCTATAAAATGTTCAATTAAACATGGCAACTGCAGGACAAATGGTACCCAGGATACAGTTCTTTGTTTGCCTTTAAGAACTTTAATGTGTCTTATTTATTGAGGGCAAAGAACATAAGATAGTAAAGTGACAGCCTCCAACCCATCTGAAAATACTTGTGTTAGTGTCAAGACAAATAATAAATGGGGCTGCCTCAGGATCTTAGCCTTTTCATAAGATGGACAGAGTTGTGTTTGGTGGATTGCACCTTATGGAATTAGAGCCAACTTAAGGAAAACTGCTCCAGCATCTGTCTTCTTTCAAGCAGATTGTCAAGAGGCAAAAAGACTAGGGGAGGGGGAATAAGTGGAGTGGGGGAGAAGAGGAGGGAGAGTGAAAGGTGCGGAGGAGGAGAGAGAAGCAAGTAGGGACAGCTTGCATGTTTTAAACCTTCAAGATAAGCTGTCGCTTAGAACCTTGACGGCTCCAGAACTTGACACATGCGTTTGCTCTCTGGGGGCCTTTTCTTGCTGCTCTGTGAGCTGATCACGGCCACTGAGCTGTGACGCCCCGGCACTTGCCTGACCTGACATAATGGGCAGCTATTTACTGCAAACAAGGTAGATGGAAGAACATAGGCTTAAATGATGCTCTGGTGTAAGCAGGAATCCACTGGGATCCCTTGCAAACCAGTCCATCTTCTGGGTTTTTTTTTTTTTTTCCACCTCCTCTCCCCTCCCTCTTCTTCTAGGCTGGGACTATTTATTTCTTTCCCTCAGGACTAAACACAGATGTCTGACTCGGAGCAATGCTCTTCTTCCATCCAACCCCCTTCCCTTCCCACTCAAGATCAATACAGTGGGTTAGAGAAGCAATTACATGACAATAAATAAAATAGAAAACTAAGTTTGGATACTACCACTTCCAAAATGACTGTTTCTGGGTTGTTTTTATCCATTGCTAAGGAGAAAAAAAGAACAGCCCCAGGAGGCTTTCTGGTTATGCTGTCAGATCGCTTCAATGAGAAACCCAATCAGACTTGATTTGTGAAGTGTCAAAAGCTGCAGTGAATCATGTACACATCGTCGTCTATTACGTGAGGCTGTTGCTTTGCAAACTGAAGGCTCCTCATGCGTGTTTCTGAAGCTGAAGCTGGTGGATGTTTATTTTTCCTGCATCTAAGAACACACATTTGCACTCTCCATTTTCTGGTCAAGGGGAATGATCAAAATGGGAGCCTTGGTAGTGAATGTGAGTGAATGCACAACAAGGGGGATTTGCAGTTTTTGCCTCTATCCTCCAGACCTAAGCCCTTCATAATAGAGAAAATTATTAAAAAGTCTTTCTCCCATGGCATCCTACTTTTCAAAGAGCCAGAGATTTTATTTCTGTCATTGCATGTACTTCCAATTAACTGAAGCAAGAAGGCAGGTATACAAAGAGGAATCTAAGGCTCATTTGCCAAAGTCAGCACGTCAATAGCACAATTTTCTCTAAATTTTCTGACTTCCAAATTGGTCCCTTACAGTCACGGATTAAAAAAGAAAAGGAAAATCCTTTTCTTAAATCTTATAAATATTTAAATGGCACAAATAAGATTAAAAACTTTTTTGTCTTCAGCCTCCAGAGACTCAATGCATACCAGTTTGGCTGTGAATTTCTTTTTCTTTCTTTCTCTTTCTTTCTTTCTTTCTTTCTTTCTTTCTTTCTTTCTTTCTTTCTTTCTTTCTTTCTTTCTTCTTTCCTTCTTTTTTCTTTCTTCTTTTTTTTTTTTTTTGACAGTCTTGCTCTGTTGCTCATACTGGAGTGCAGTGGTGTGATCTCAGCTCACTGTAACCTCTGCCTCCTGGGTTCAAGTGATTCTCGTGCCTTAGCCTCCCAAGTAGCTGGGATTACAGGCATGTGCCACCAATCCCAGATAATTTTTGTATTTTTGTAGAGATGGGGTTTCACTATGTTGCCCAGGCTGATCTCCAACTCCTGGCTTCAAGTGATCTGCCCACCTTGGCCTCCTAAAGTGCTGGGATTACAGGCTTGAGCCACTGTGCCTAGTCATGCATTTCTTTACATAATATAAGAAGCTCAAAATGAGAAGCTTGGTTCCTGAATGTCTGACAAGAATGGAAGGTAAGTTCCTTTTGGAAACTGATACTGTTTTTGTTTGTTTGTTTGTTTGTTTTTTTTTAAGTAAAGCCTGCATTAGCTATAGAGGAAAGAAACATTGTATAATTTTATTATTAGATTGTAATAGCTTTGTTGGACCTTTATATCATGTTTAAGTATAAGGCCATGCGTCTTTTGCAAACAAGTTCATGAACCAAGAAAACCACCTTATAACTCCACCAACTCTCCTTATTCATTGTTTTAAATGCTTTTATAAATCTTTACTGTCACTTGATAATTATTTACAGTAACATGGAACAAAAGTGAAGCAGATATTTGAAATCTACAGATGACTCTACCTCCAATTCAGGTGATCCTTTCTAACTCATCTTTCCCCAGAACTATGAACTGGCAGTGAAATCACTTTGTTTCAGTATCATCTACTCCTTCTCTTGTGGGGATCAGTGCAGGTGGAAGGCAGGAGATTGAACAGGTTTTTATTTTTCTTTTCTTCCTTTTTTTTAAAATCCCTTATTAAAATTTTCTTTGTCGATTTCTTCTTACCATCTTCAGCTGAGTTCTTTGGCGGCTGACCATGGTTTTGCACAGTGGTAACACAAAGGCCAATTCTGTTTCTTTTTTTTAGGCTGCCGGGAATAATCTCATGTTTCTGGGCAACTTTCATATTTTCAAATACATTATTTCCAAAACTCTTATTATTATATCTACTTTAAGAAATTCCACTCTTGGCCATGAGAGTGATCTGTCAGCAGACTGGTCAGGGTACCTTTTCACCACTACAGTTTCACCCTGGAGTAATGGAATAAAGAAGACAGTGTTTGGGCACTGTGGTAGGAAAGGAAAATGGGAGTTTTATTATCCCCCACCTATAACTAAAACTCGTTAAACAATTATGTTTTATATTAGAATGTTAACTCTGTAAAGAACATGGTATGTGTTGCACAGAAAGGTAGAGTTTTAGGTCATTTTCTTCTTTTCTGACAAAAAGTTAGTCTTTCCTCAGTCCTGCAGGTGATGAGAACTCTGTATGGGACACCCATATCAACAGCTGGTAGACGACGCAGGACTCCGGAGTAGATGTGGCATTCTGCCTTCATATTATTCTCAATGTGCGTGTGATTTATTTCATAGGCTATACACACTGAAATAAGAAATGAGGAAGGTTTGAAAGTAGAATTTTGGGTCTACAGTGCTCTCCAGATGTACAGTGACATGCCACATGTGTTATCCATGTCCCCTCGCTCACCTGCCCTGCCACCTTGCATTCTTTGATACAGAAAGAACTACTTTCCTTGAAATGGAATTCAGATTTTTCTATTTGATGTAAAGCAGGCTTCCTCAACCTGAGCATCACTGACATTTTAAGCCAGATAATTTTTAAATTCTTTGTGGCGGTGGGCTGTGCCATGCATTGTAAGGCATTTAGCAGCATATCTGGCTGCTACTCACTAGATGCCTCCCCCAAACCTCCCCCAGCCACCCCCCTGCCAGAGGTGACTATTGTAAATGTGAAGACATTGCCAAATATCCCCTCGGGGCAAAATTGACTTTTGATTTTTGATTGAGAACCGATGAGGTAAAGTAATACATGACATTCACTTTAAGTTTCCCTCTTAACAGCAGACTGGTGTTTGAGTAACTCACAAAGAAGTTCAGAAGCCACTGCGCCAGCCACGGAGGTACACGGCTCAACTCTCCTTCCAGACAGAAGCTGCTGGGAGGAGCTCCAGCTACCACAGCAGTCATTCTGAGGCTACGCCTTCCCCAGGCTGCTTCTAGCCAATAACTCTGCACAGCAGGGAGACTGGAGGTGGGACATTTCTGCCAACATGGGACCCATCGAATGGCTCTCCTCTCTGGCTTGGCTAAAACATTCTCAGAACTGTACTGTCATCTGAGGCTCTTTGTACCCATTCCTCCTTCCCTCTTCCTCTTTTTTTCCCAGGTGTCAGACTTACATCATGGCCTGGGGATCTCACAGCCTTCACCTGCTTCCTCTCCTCTCTATGTTTCACAGACATTTCCCCAATAAATCTCATAAATCTCTTGTATTTCTAATTTTGTCTTGGATTTGCTTCCTGGATTACCCGGCCTGCTGCAGCTGCCATTGTGCTATTTTCTCTCCTTCTCCCCCGCCTCAATTTTATAATGCATAGTTTTATAAAAAGAAATAGCCTATGCTGGGCATGGGATGTGGGTTAAGGGTGGCAAATGAAGAGGTTCCTGGCTCTGTCTTCAAGGCCTTCTCTTAGCCTTGTGTGGGTGATGCAGAACTCTCAGGACTCAGAGATACCCTGCTGTTTGTGATTATCAGAGAGGGAGGGAAGGAAGGTAGAGAAGGCCTCACAGTAAAACATACAAAATGGTCAGGTGAGGATCTCTTTGATGTTACACACATAATATTTAGTTTTGTACTATCCAGGTTTTGTCAAATTGGAGCATGGATTAAAACAAAAATTTCTTTACACACTTTCTTGCACTCTAATTTTCAGTTTTCTACTTGGAAAAGCAACTTTACCTCTCAAGAGGATACTCTAAACCAAATGATTTTTTTTCCATTGAAAAATCAAAGGAAGCGTTAAAGGAGGTTTAGGGAAGCCGAAGAGGGGGAGGAAGAGAAAAGAAAAGAGGGAAGGTCAAACTCTTCGGTTCCTTTCCCCCAAGTTGTGAGTTATTCCCCCAGATCCCATATCAGAGAAGAAGGAGGATTGTAGATATGATAACTAGAAGGCCTATTTATGCAACAATCAATTTTTTTTTTTTTTTTTTTTTTTGCAAAAAGAATGAACTATTTTGTTTGGGCATTACATTCTTAGTCAAAATATTTAACAAACATTTGAGAACCATCTGTGTGCTAAATTCTGCTAATTGTTGGTGATAGATGGAAACAAATAGGGTGTGCCTTTATAGAACTTAAAGTCTAATGGGAAATAAAAACAAATAGGAAACTATAATTCAGTTTGATACGTGATCTTGAAGGAAGCTATGGGGAAACAGAGGAGGTACTAACTGGAGACAGGTGGTATCCAGGAAACACCTCCTTAGAGGTCTTAGATCTGAAGAACGAAGAGTTGCAGGGGTGAAGCAGTAGACAGAAGAGATTTTCAAGTAGAGGAAGCATCATGTACAAATGTCCACAGGCGGGAGTTCATGTTCATGAAAGCAAAAATAATTATTGTGGCTGGAGTATGTATGGTGGAGTAAGATGTTCAGGGGAAAGACCTAGGAAAGCTGTATTAAACAGTTTGTACTGGCCTCTAATCCCAGCACTTTGGGAGGCCAAGGTGGGAGAGCTGCTTGAGCCCAGGATTTGGGCAGCATATTGAGAACCTGTCTCTACAAAAAATTAAAAAAAAAAAAATAGCTGGGACTGGTGGCCCATGCCTGTAGTCCCAGCTACTCAGGAGGCTGAGGTGGGAGGATCGCTCAAGTGGGGGAGGTTGGGCTGCACTGAGTTGTGATTGTGCCATAGCACTCCATCCTGGGCAACAGAGTGAAACCCTGCCTCAAAAACAAGCAAACGTACTTTATTCTGAGGGCAATGGAGAAGTAAGGAAGCCTCTGGGTTTCGAAAACCCACTGTATTTGTGATGAGGGAAAGGATTGATTAGGGCAATAATGGAGGCAGAATGGTCTGGTGTGGACTGTTGCCATAATCCAGGTGAGAGATGATGGTCAGATATGTCTGTAACTGGGGATACAAGTTTCAGTATTGGGAGGTAGTGTTGACAATTTTGGTTATGGGGTGGGGGTAAGGAGAAGAGGGGATATAGGTTTCACGTTTGGCAAATGAGATTGAAAACACAAGAAGAGGCAGAATTTTGGGAAAATATAATGAGTTTAATTTGTGATTTCATGTGATTTAGGGGCTTATGGGACAATCAAGCAAATCTGGAGCCTGGTAGAGAGATATAGCAGATTTGAATTTGTGAGACATCAAAATGTAGATGGAAATGGAGGGTGTGTGTGTGTGTGTGTGTGTGTGTGTGTGTGTGTGTGTTGGGTGGTGTGGAGTGTGGAGATAAGCCATTCTGGGGCAGTGTGTGGAACATTGAAGGACCAAGCAGAAGTGGACCTTGCCCAAGAAATCAAAGGGAGAAGTCAGAGAAGTGTGAGGAAATCACAAGAACTCTGGAGGGAGGTCAGGTAAGAAGGGGCTGAAGAGGCGCCATTAACTAAGCAGCTGCAGCACCCAGAGGCTTCCATGAGAACTGGGTGGATGGCGAGCACAGGATTCTGGGGCCAGTGGCTGAGGAAGTGGGAAGACAGGAAGGGGGACTGTGCAAAGAAAAGAGAGACCCTGGCAGAGAAGACGGTGATGTCAGGGTAGTGTTTGCTCAAGAGACGGGAGTGAACTGAGTATAGTCAGATAGAGATGGAAATGAACCAGGAGAGAGAAAGCGGTTGAAGGCATGGGGAGAGAAAACACTTTGATGTGAGTGATCTTCTGAAAATTCCAAATCAAATCATGTTACTCTTCAAAGTAAAATAAAACAAAACAAAACATCCTCCAATAGCTTTCATTTGCATGTGGAGTATGAATCCGGACTCCTTTCCCTGGCCTGAAAGATCTATCCCCTGCCTGCTCCTATCCTCTCATTTCCTATCACATTCTCTCCCTTGCTCACAGTGATTTTGCAGTCCCTGCCTTTCTTGCTGTTCCCCAAGCACTCTGAAGTAGTATCGCAGTAGTGCCTTTGCAAGGAGTCGTTTTTACTTTGTGAGGTGGGCTTTTCACAGCTTTTTGCATAGCTGGCTCTGTCACTCGGGTCTCAGATTGCTTGTTATATCCCGAGTGGAGCCTTTTCTGACACACAACCTAAAAGAGCCTCTAGTTAGTGCCCACCACATCATCCAGTTTGATTTTCATCATAGAATTTTTCATTGATTTTTTGAGTGTATCTGTTTCCCTTCATCAGAATAAGCTTCTGATGGGTAGGGAACAACGTCTTGTATAAGATTGCATTTCCACTGTCAACAACAGGGCCTGAAAAAAAAATGGGTGGAAATTGGACTCCCAACCTCTGGGAGAGAGAACTGACAAGGAAACAGCAGAAATGCCAGGCAGTCCTTAGACGTGGTTACGAGTGGAAACATTGGATATAAAGAGAAACCATTTTTCATTGCTGTGTGATCAGTGGCCTTAGGAGGTACCAACAAGGCTGTCACTTAAGTAGATACAATGTCTGTGGTTTTCCAGAACAAGTAATAGGACAAAAGGGTGAGGGGGTCGATGCTAGATGCTATCGCCAAGAGTGTGTTTGAAGTGACAGAGTAAGTATTTGAAGGTAAAAGCAGTCCGGGCACGGTGACTCGCACCTGTAATGCCAGCAGTTTGGGAGGCTGAGGCAGGTGGATCACTTGAGGTCAGGAGTTTGAGACCAGCCTGGACCAACATGGTAAAACCCCGTCTCTACTAAAAGTACAAAACTTAGCCGGGCATGGTGGCAGGTGCCTATAATCCCAGCTACTCGGGAGGCTGAGGCAGGAGAATCACTTGAAACCAGGAGGCAGAGGTTACAGTGAGCCAAGACTGTGCCACTGCACTTCAGCCTGGGTGACAGAGTGAGACTCTGTCTCAAAATAAATAAATAAATTAATTAAAATAAAAAAGAAGGTAAAAGCAGAGGTTCAGTAGGCTGGAGTTGAAGAATGGGTGGTATAGGAGCAACTGATGAGAGAACTGTTAGAAAAGGAGATTGAGATCAGGAAAAAATGTGTGAATGTTTGATTTCAGAGGTGGAGAAGTTCTAGGTGATGATACATTCCAGGTTGTGGCTGGATACATTCCAAGCAGATGGCAGAATAGACTGGCCCATTGGAGGTAAGGTCATTGGAGATGAAGAAGTGAAGTAGCCCCAAGGCTAAGAAGTGGGATGGTCTATTTTTCATGGACACTAAAGGTACCTAGAGTGGTGATTGAGCTTGGAGTGGAGAGGGAGAGGCTAAGCCAGACACCAAAATCTACAGCAAATGAAACAAGTGATTGGTAGGCTAGTACGGAACAGCGGTTAGAAGGGTGGTATAACCACATTGCTATGTCAAAGATGCAGGGGTTTTTTATGAGAGAGGAAATAATCCTGAGAAGTGAGGAGGATGCTCTCCCACCTCCTGACCCTGAGATGCAAGGAATGAGGAAATAAGTGTCCTTTCCCCGGAGCCATGAGTTTAGAAGAAAGCCAGGCTTCTTGCTCTGACCAGCTGGGAACAGGACAGTTAGGGAAGTGATTAAAGATATAGGAGCTCTTTATTAACCATGGGATGGAGGTTTCTAGGCTCATTAGAAAGACTGGATCAGTGCATGTAGGAAGGACAAAAGAAAAGCAGCACAGAGCAGCAGTGGGGTGAGGGTATACAAAAGGAAAATAACTGGAGCTCGCAATCTATGCCTTGAGTAGTAACAAAGATACTAGAGATGTGAGGCACTGTGGCTTATCTGAACATGCTGGTTTATCTGGGAAAATAGAAGTCAGTTGAAACCCAGAAGTCAGTTGAAACCTGGTTGTATTGCCTTTCTGTAGGAGCATTTCCTTTGTGCTCAGGAAAACTCTCATCTTTCTGGAAAAAGCATATTTTGGCTGGATTAATGGTATGAGCTCTGGGAAAAGACTCCTCACCCCAGACTCTTGGAACCAAATTCCTGTGTCCCAAAGCTGGCTTAGGCAGAAAGCCCCCTGGTCAGAGTGCTGGTCTCTGGGAGATCAGGGTAGGACAAGCCTACTCTTGTTTTACAAGTCCACCTGGACCCAATCCCCTCCTGGGGTGAGGCCACCTGGTATCGTATTGTTGGGTGATATGCAGCTTTGACCAGCAGGGTGATGTGAGGTGATTCTTATGAGTATTAGCCCCTTCTTCTACAAAATTTGTCACGCAATATTGACTTCCAACTAGCTGGTCCTCCCTGGCTTGGAGGAGATTTCTACTTTGTTTCTTTACCAAAGATTTATATTTGGTTGTAAATGAATCACATAGTTTTTGGTAATTCAAACTATTTCACAGCACTGGACAAAGGAATATATAAAACACATTTTCTGCCAGAACATACACAGGAGTTATGCAGCAAAACCTCAATGAAACAGCAAGTAGGCAATTTTAGCCACGGTGCTGGAAAGAGGGACACAGAGAGGGATGTTTGAAGGACAAGCAGAAAGTATGCATTAAGGAAAGAACTGATTGCTGCTGAGGAGACAGCTTCTGGGAAGCTTCCAGGCCAGAAATATTTCCTTTTTTGTTAAAAGATAGGGTATGATCTACAAACATTTGCTTCCAACTGGTGAGGAAATAGATAAGTGGATGGTTTTTGCATGTGCAGGGACCTGGGGCAGGCTTATGTACTGAACCTGAGAACCATGCTTCTGTTTTGATTTCTTTTTGCATTAGCACAGCTTTCTATGACAGTAGTGAGAAGTTGTCATAGCTAATTAGTTGAAGAACTCATAACAGAGACTGCACTTTTATTAATTATAAGCAGAGAGATATAAAATTCCCAGTCATTATAAGGAAGTGACCACTTTAATGTGGCTTCATATAAATCAGCATGTCATGGACTAGCCTGAACCATAAAAATAGATGGTGGATTTATGACTCGAGAGGCATTTAAAAAAAAAGATGGTAGATGATCTGGACAAAGGTTAGTGACAGAAGGGGACATAGCCTTTCCCTCAGCTATATGTGGGGAAAGTTTGGAATTGACATAATTACTCTGTTTGTATGTCTATTTATTATTCATGAACATTTTGTGTATGTATGTGTGCATGTACATGGCCAATAGAATGAAGTAAAGTGGCATGTCGAACTTTAGTCTAGGCCTCAAGAGGCCTTGTTCCCTCAGGACCTCTGCCTCCACCACGTGAGCAAGCCCACCAGCCCTGATAGAGGTTGAGAGCCCACAGGAACCAGAGTCCAATCAGCCAGTTGTCCCAAGCAAGGACACAGACATGCAAGAGACCCCAGCCAACATCACTAGGTCTATCTTCCTAACCCACAGCTGACTCTTATGAGTCCAGTTGAGATCAACCAAACCTGGCACAGATCAGCAGAACCACACACCTGACCTGTAGACTTGTGCAACGTTAAATGGTGGTTGTTTAAGCCACCAAATATTTTTTTTTTTAACACAGCAATAGACAACTGATGAAGCACTATTCATGTGTGCTCCTTGTTAACCTTACAGTTGTGGTGGGTAAATCATATGAACACACAAAAATATAATTTTGACCAGAAAGAAGAAAACAATTAGAGTGGGCTCAGGTAGTAAAACGATACACAAAGGAGAGAAGGATTTGGGGTGGATCTGAATGGTCATGCAGACTCTAACTTGGGTCTGGATTGGGACTCCTTTCCTGTAACATAACTAGACAGGAGGCTGTGTGGGTGTGTGGAAGCCATTCCAGGCAGAGGAATAATACCTGTAAATGTGCAGAAGGGAATGAGAACACAGTGAGGGAGTGGACAGTGACAAGATAGGATTCCCTGGAATGGGTGGCTAGGAGAATACCATAGTGGCCTGCAAGGGCGGGGGGGGGGAGAGAGGGAGAGAGAGAGAGAGAGAGAGAGAGAGAGAGAGTGTGTGTGTGTGTGTGTGTGTGTGTGTGTGTGTGAAGGGGAACAACTGAGCCTTACCTAATCATATATAAAACCATGTGGCTTGTTGCCACAAGTGTATTATAGATCTAATCTCTGTTGACAATGTTTTCTGAGAATTCCATCTCCTGCAATGTTTTATCAAGAGCACTTGTGAATGGTCAGTTCTGTATTTCCCATTTGGCTGTATTTTCCTAGTGTCGTGTCAGAGCCCAGGCTCAAAGCAGCATCTTCTACTCTCCAAAGTAGCCATGGCTCTGTGTGCCAGAAGCATCTCTGCCAGGAAAACTACATTCATGCTCATTTTTTTTTTTAAGGAACTGATTGTAAGTCACAGATGACATTCATACTTTTCCATTTTGATTTTCTCTAAGAATTCAGACAGAGGTGGGCAAAGAGCTGCTGGTGCTAACAAGCAGCTTCTCTACAAGGTATTGGGACTTCCTACTGCATCTGTTCTTCCTCTCTGTAACTGTTGTTGCCATGGCCAAAGTGCCAGCAATCAGTTATGGCCAAGGCTTTTTCCTCTACTAATGGATCTTCTCTAGTAGCGTCTTGGTAGCAAGGATCCCAGAAAAGTATAACTCCTTACATTATTTCTCAAACACAAAAAGTGTTTTGCTCTCTAGTGGTATTAAGAGCACAATCCAAGATGGCTCTCTATCACTACTGTATCATTCCATCGCTCTGAAAGATTTCTTCATTGTCTAACTTGAATCTTTTTTGAAGCAACATTAATGAAAGGAGCCAACATTTTCCAATAGTGAGGATTCATTTTGCTCTAAATGTAAACAGTGTGAGCTGATAGAATTGCAATCTAGAATTCTTCTAGCCAGAAATGGCCTACAGCATTCCTTTTACCCCCCTTTTTTCTTCTTGCTCTGCCTCTTTTGTTGTTGTTTTTTAAAATATATTTTTTTGAGACAGGGTCTCATTCTGTCACCCAGGCTGGAGTGCAGTGGGGCAATCACAGCCCACTGCAGCCTAAACCTCTTGTGCTCAAGTGATCTCCTGCCTAAGCCTCCAGAGTAGCTGGAACTAGAGACGTGTGCCAGCATGCCTGGCTAATTTTTATTTTTTATTTTTTGTAGATAGGGGAGTCCCACTATCTTGCCCCAGCTGCCCTCAAAGTCCTGGGCTCAAGTGATCCTCCCACCCTGGCCTCCCAAAATGCTGGGATTATGGGCATGAGCCACTGCTTCCAGCCCTTGATCGGCCTCTTGCTACAGCAGGTGTTTTTTAAGGAACCTGTGGGAAAGGCCGCCTCCAGACTTTTTCCATTATTTTAATTACCTATTACCACTACTCTGCAATCTCAAAAACAAAAATAGCGAAGGGTTAATAAGGAGGTGAGTTTTGTGGAGGAGGACAAAATACTTACATGGTGTCTGTATGTTAAAGCTATTTGTCCCAGTTTGGTCTAAGCCCTGTCTACTCAACCTATAGCTCAGCTTTTATTGCACTCCCAGTTACTGTTTGTGTTTCAACCACTCTGGCTTATTTGAATTCCTAGAACTGCACTAGTCCCTCTTGCCATGTGTGTATGACTGAAATATTCTCCCTTCTCTCACTGTCCTTCCTACATTTCATGTGTCAGTAATTATTTTTTCCAGGTCTTAGCTTAGTTATTACTTCTTTAGTTAAGTCTCCCTTAAATTCTCAGTTAGGGGTAAAATTTCCCAATGATTAGCTCTCATAGTACCAGTTACCTCTCATTTGGAGCACTTACCCAATTTTCAAATTTCAATTTATTTGGGTTTATCATCTGATTAATGCCTCTCTTTCATATTAGACTGAATGATCCATGAGGGCAAAGATGTCTTTTTTTTTTTTTTATTCCTTGTTACATCCACAGCGCCTGGCACAGAGCCCGTGCTCAATAAATAGATGTTGAATGAATGAATGAATGAGTGAATCCTAGGATTTTTCTCTGAGAAAGGACATGGAATACCCACTTTGGCTGGATCTTCAGAGATTTCTCCTGTATACAGTACTTGCCAAGACTATCTACTGATGCCTGAAAAATGATAAGGGTATCTGGATTTACGGAAATTTGTAGATTCCGTTTTTTGCTCAGCAGATATCGTGGAAATTCCTCTGTGATGAGGTTTACCAAATGCTTTCTTGAAATACTTGTGGAACAAAATTGCAGTTTGGGCTTTCATCTTCCTTAAACTGTACAATTAACTACTGATTTTTCCCTTAAGGATTTGGATAATGGAAATTTTCCTTTAATTTTTCTTCCAGCCCTCCCTCTAAATTTCATAATAATGAATGATGCACCTCAAAATCTAAATGCCAAACAATGGAAATTACAGAAAGTACTTGATGTTAGAAAAAGGAAGAATGAACTCCATAAACGAACATTGTTTTAGTTAGAGGAGTTTTTCTAGTGTGATTGAAAACACATTTGCACTGTGAATTTAGGATGTTAAGTTCAGATATCACAAAGTGATTTCAACACCGGAGATGATCCAAAGAAGACTACAGTTGATTTCGCATGACTCCAGGTAACTCAAATGAACCACAGATTATATTCTGGCAACCTTCAGGCAGACTTAGGCAGAAAAAAATGGACTCTTTACTCTGCATACTCTCATTTTAAGTATTCAAGGTCTTCTTTGAATAGATCTACAGTGAATAGTCAAAGTCATTTCAGCCCTGGCACTGTCTTGTTAAGCCATGTGGCCTACTGTAACGCATCATTGCCACTGTCACTGACTCTGAAAAATGAGCATTCTAAAACCTATAGCTCCCTTAGCCTGAATAATTTGGCAGTTCTAGACCCAGGGTGCTCCAATGCTGGTAGGTTTTCCTCAGTTTTCTGCTCTGGCAATTAAATACTTAGGACTTTACGAGAACTCTTAGAGTCATTTGTTGCTCTGAGCAAATGATTAAAAAACTGGGGCAGAACCTCCTCAAGGACCACAGTTCAAGGGGAGTCAATGTTAAGATTAAAGTCAGGAGCTTGTCTTTGACTCAAGGCCCATCCCCAGCACTGCCTTGGCACCCTGGCCCAGAAAACCCAATCTCTTCTTCTGTCAGGTGCATAGTGCAGGTAGCCTGCTTCCTTCTTTCCTCTCCTTTTGTTCTACCTGGGTTGCTGTTCTCTCCTTGCACAAACAAGTGCTTATGCTAATAGCAAGATATAGCCCAACCTTAAAAAGGGTGTAGTGATCAGTATCCATCATCTTTCCAAGTGCCTTGTCACTACATCAATTAATACAATTGAGCAAAAAATGTCACAGGCCCGGTGGAAAAACCTTTTCACAGCCTTTCAGGGGGAAGTTTACTTCCAGCTTTTTTCCCTTGCATTAGCTCCTGTCATCTACAAAACAACAGAACCCAGTGGTGTCAATTATATTTGATTGACTGAGTAAAGCACACACACAAATAAGCGAAAACAATGGACACAAAAATCTATATATGACTCCCCTTGTCAGAGAGAATGCTTGTCTCCTCCATTTTCATGCGGCACGGTGTCCTGCTGCTCTTGGCTTAAATGTTTCCTTCAGCCCCCAAACTATCACCAATTAAGTTAGCAGGGTCTTCAAAGGTGTCAAACGACTCCCTAGGCAATCGGCTCTAACTGCTGTTCAATAAATGAGGTCTAATTTATCAGTTTAACTTCACTTCTAAAAACCTAATGCTTCACAGTGCTGGGCTCCATTTACCTACGGTGTGAGGCGCTGCGGCAGACAGCATGGAGGGTGAAAGCTATGGCGCATCTCCTAACAACAGCACACTTTGTTGGGTGTATTTTTTCCCCTGATTTCAATGTGCACTTCCTAGTTTTATACTTTTTGCACTTACCTTGTACACATGTGTATGCAGAATCCCCATGGGCCATCGTAAAGCTCAGTCAGGACTCCCTTTGAGCTGACAGTTTTAGCCACGGTCTAGGAGAAGCACAACCCTTCTCTCTTTGTCATGTTGTGCCTTTGTGTTGTCACTATGTGGAGATTCACATTTTAAAAAACTCTGCGAGGCTAACTTTGGCAGCAGAACAGGAGTTAGTAAGTGCTCAGATTCCTAACATAGACATGAATGTATAGACTCTTGCTCCTAAATAGATTAAATAGGTACTGATTTGGCAAAAAGGACCAGTTAAGTAGAAAGTCTTACAAATAAACGGAACAGAAATTTTAATGGGCAGTTTATGAGTGAAAGTTATTCAAATCCATCAATGAGACATAAAAAGCTATTTTAAAGCTCAAACTTGCTAACCACATTAGAATTGCTCATAATTAATACATCTTAACATCAAATAAAGACAATGAGTCTTTATCTTAAAATATTTTTGATAAATTTAGACAGAGTTAGATGGAGACTTGATGAGACAAACAAAAACCGAACCAAAAAAATATCACCAAACAAAAAGCTCTTGTAAGAATATTGGTTTATATGCAGAATAAGATTATATATGAAATTGAGGCTTAGGTGACTGGGCAGTATCATGTCTTAAGTGAGATAGCTGCAGGGTGCCTGATTATATGGTGACTGTGGAGATGTTTTCATTGTAATGGGAAGACACCCCATTTGCAAATATTTCTAAATTTTCACTCTATTTCAGCCAAGGAGTAACTAGAATTTGAATAAAAATCACACTTGTAAGTAAATTTACATCATTCATTCTGGAGTCTCCACATTTTTCCATGGCCTTGAAATATTTCTTAGGGATACCCACACATGATATGTATTGTGGTCAATATTTTATTATTGATTTCTTTTCCCTGTTGTCTCTGTGAGCACATTAACTTTGCCCTAATTCACCTGAGGAATCCATCTGCCTAGAAGAAAATTAGGATTTGGTTACAGAAAGAAAGCCAGTAGAACATACTCTTCAGCTCCTGACATGCACACTAGAATTTTACAGCACGAAGAATAATCATATAAACAAGGCTTGGGATGGTATTTTACAGATTCTGTTGTTTCCCCTTTAGCATATCAACAATGAGGAGAATCCAGCTCATGAAGTTCTCTCATGTTTAGAGAAGATCTGCCTCCCAAGATAGCTAGAAATGTTCTATGGTCATATTCTTCTCCCAGGAGAAGACAAGGAAACACTTCTCTTTGTCTGCCTTTCTGTCTCTCATTAGATAACCTGTTGGAGAAAGGGAACATTTGAAAAGAGAGTAGAGTTTCACTCTCCATGCTTTGGCCAGGAGAGGGGGAGTCATGTGAGATAAGAGAGTATAATGGTGGAGGAAGAGGGAGCAAATACACAAATTCAACTGGGAGGGGCAGGATGGTCAACTGGAGGGATTTAGCTGTCATGACATTTAGTTTCATTGAGTTGTTCTCACTTTCCAACTTCTGTCCCACACCTGCCATTTAAACCTTTCTGGTTGCTCCAAACTCTACAGATTCCCCCCACCACCTACCACCTCCAACTCCTCTTTCTCTCATAGTCAATGTGTATAGTGCAGAGCTTGGTTACTTTCCATTAGTGTTTTCTATGGTAGCCCTAAATCTCCAGTAGTTTGCTAATTTATTGACTTCAGGGATCATATTTTATACTTTTATGTAAAAGCACAGACTATAGAGTCAAACAGATATCTCTTTGACTCCATACTCTGCTACTTGTCAGTTGTGAAACATTAAACTGATTTCCTCATCTGAAAATTGGGATAATACTTACCCTGTGGAATTGTTTTGTGAATCAAGTGAATTAGTTTATGTAATAGCTTTAATCCAGGAATTGAACTTTTCCTACTCAAAAAATATTTGATGATTTCCCATTCACTCATGAAAAAGAAATCCAAAAACATTATCATGCATGATCTAGCCCCTGCCTACTTTTCCAGTGCCATCTGCCTCCCTTCACAAAATGAAACCTTAAGCATGTTAAACTTCCACATGTCTGTGAATGTGTCATGCTGTTTCATGCCTCCATTCTTTTCGGGTTATTCTTCCTCTGCCTGAAAAAACCTGTAAGTATCGCCTCTATGCAGCTGCAGCCTTCCCAAGACAGAACTGATCTTCCTCCTTGGGAGCATTCCTGTAGCCTATTTTCTTTTATTTTCATATCTTGCTCTTGCAGGTTGTAAACTCTTTGATGGCACAGACAATGTCTTCCCCTTCTTTATATCTTGAGTATATAATATCTAGCACATAGGAGGTTTTCGGCAAACACTGAATGAAAAATGGTCATTTCCCATGGCTCTAGCACCCAGAACATAGTGAATTCTTAATTAACATTTGATTGACAGGCAGATAATACTTTTTGTTAAACTTGGAACTGAGCTGACCATGTAATCACAGAAACATACAACTGACAATTTTGAACATGCCAAGTTTTAATTTCTTTATATTTACCCTCTCTGCCAGTATTCCAAGTATTTCAAGGACCTGTACTTCACTCCTCCATAGATTATTAGATCATATTATTTGAGTAATTTCTCATAGAAACCTGCTTATAAATCAAACATGTTACTCATTTGGAATTTTGATTTAGTGTCAACATTAATAATTTTTGGTACTATGCTTCTCCGCATCTTATCGCTATGGATAGACTGGCTATTGGTTAAAATTGGACTATAAACTGTGAAGCACAATAACAAAGTTGTTAACAGTTTTCATGCTTTTCCTGAATGACTTGAAATCATGTCTCCCATTTCATAAAGGAGAGAACAGCTAAGAGAATTTTAGAGAAATTGCTGTTCTCGGAAATCTTCCGCAAATATAATAGCATGTTCCTGCTGCAAGGCCAGCAAAACCCAACTAGAAATTATCTCGTTAGAGACAAAATTTGGAGCAGGCCCATGTTGGCATTAAAGATTTTTGCAGGCAGGCAGCAGGACCCAACAGCTCAGCTTTAGGGCCAAGCCTTCACTCTTTCTCTGGTGGAAGAATTGGGTAGGACTTGATCGACAGATTTTTAGGCCAAAACTATCTAGCCCAGAGGAACATGGCTAGGATTCACTTGTCAACATAAAATTGGAGGCTGTCAAAAATGGTGAGATAGGGCAGAGCCCTTCAGATTTTAATGTGCATACAAATATTGTGGGAATCTTGTTAAAATGCAGATTCTGATTCAGTAGCAGGTAGGGCCCAAGATTTTCTATTCCTAACAAGCTACCAGTGATGCTGGGGATGCCAGGGCTCTTTTGAGGAGCAAGAAGTTAGAGAACACTGAGGATTCACAGTAATCCTCTGACTTTCCAGTGCTCACTTTGGATAGTGAATTGAATAAAACAGGTTTCCCCAACCTGCAGCATGGGTTCTACCTTCTTGCCTTTTTTGATGCAGAGAGTAGGGGTCAGTGGAAGGGAGGACTCGCTGCAGGATTTTTTTCTGTATTTTGCTGACGAGGTGACTTATATGTGAAGATTTTCACAAGTATATATTTTTCTAGACAAAGATCAGAATCTGTATGGATGAATACTAATATTTATATAGTTCCATACATAACTCTGATGACCAGCCAGGTTGCACCAGCTAGCCCCATTTGAATGAAGATACTTGGAGATTATGCCTTGGTCACTGTGTCAGAAAAGAAGTGTGGTGGCAAGAGAGTGAGAAGGAGCTTGGTGTTTTAGTGTTTATTTTGTAATTTTACTTTATGCATACTACCATTTAATGTCTGCAAAATAATTATTTTAACATGTGAATTTTATTGGGTTTTAAGAATTATTTTTGTTGGTCTTAGTTTCCTTTAGCCCTTGGATGGTATGTGTGTGCACGCCATAACCTCACTCATGTCTCATTTCCAGTCCTAGCAAAAAGATACTGGAAGCCTCTGATTTATAGCTTAAGTGAACATTCTGAAAATTTAAAACTTACCTCACCAAAACTCTTTAAAGCAGACATAAGTGATTCAAAGAAGCCCAAGGCAAAAGCATGATGTGTCTTGTTTGTTTATTACCTGCTACTTGCTCACATTTAGTCTGGAGACTGATTTCTTGGAACATAATTGAGGCTTAATTGAATAAAAATAAGCCCTTCACTCTGTGGGAGAAGGTTATGTGCACTGAAGATAAGTTGGAATCCAGGAGTTGTTTTCTCAGGACTTCTTATGAAGCTATTACTCAATTTTTCACATTAAAAGACATCCCCTAGACAGAATCAGCAGAGACAGGGAAAGACGAAGAAAAATGACACCACAGTTCTTGAAGAAAACAAAACCCAATTCCAAATGCTGCCCATCAGCTCAAGCCATCCATC
Organism: Homo sapiens; assembly: GCF_000001405.40. NCBI lineage: Eukaryota > Metazoa > Chordata > Mammalia > Primates > Hominidae > Homo > Homo sapiens. The sequence continues at coordinate 122,566,800 of NC_000005.10, read as the reverse complement.
GTCTCTGTACATTCATGTCATCTTATTTTATTCCAATCGAAAATCCACCAGGCAGGGATATGCCTTCTGAGGGATCTGGGTAGCACCATGGATCCAATTCCTGATCAGTGCTTCTAAGCACTGAGAAACTTAAGCTGAAGGAAAAAGAAGATCCAAAGAGGGACTAGAATTAGGAGATTTGTCACCAGACAGTTATTGGAGAAAACAGAAGCAGGAGTTAGAGCAGAAAAAGTAGACAGAAGTTACTTTACTTTTTGAATTACTCGATGGTCAGGATATTTATTTATTTATTTATTTGAGACAGAGTCTCGCTCTGTCTCCCAGGCTGGAGCGCAGTGGCGTGATCTTGGCTCACTGCAACCTCCGCTTCCCAGGTTCAAGCAATTCTTTTGCCTCAGCCTCCTTAGTAGCTGGAACTACAGGCACGTCCCACCATGCCTGGCTAATTTTTGTATTTTTAGTAGAGATGGGGTTTCACCATGTTGGCCAGGCTGGTCTTGAACTTCTGATAGATGGTCAGGATATTTATATGTTTATTCAAAGATGTGATATGTTTCATATATTAAATTTTAGTTCTTCAGTTGGAATTCAGGTGAAAACTATTGAGAAAACACTGGATTTGTAAAATCCATATTTATCAGACAAATCAATCGAAGAAAACCTTCTCTTTTTTCTCATTTTTAAAATGAGAACTCCAAATGTAGTTTTAAGGATAAAACTAGATGTATATAAGCAGTTAGCATGATTCCTGGCTCATAGTAGGTACTTGGTAATTGCTAGCTATTATCGCAGCTATTTAGAAAGATTATATCAACACACAAAAACAGCAAAATATTAAGTTAAATTGTGAAATTTCTCAGTACATGAATGTATTGCTATTTAAAAATTCTCTTACATTGTTAGGATCTAAGAAGCTAAATTGTTAATTTATGATTGTAAATTCATTCTTCATTCAACTCATATTTTGAGTACATGTTATTTCACGTAGTTCCTGCTCAGAAGTTTATTGTGGTCACCTCTTATAATGCCCCACAAGTGAGACAGGTTAGCAAAGCAAGACTAAATACATTGTGGGATAAAAGCAAGGATCAAGGTATGTGTAAGAAGATATGGCAGCAGCGAGACGGGGCATCTTACTCAAATATTTCTTTGAGGAGATAAAGTTTAAACCCAGTAAAGTCTTGACAGGAAGAAAACTTACAATCTGAAGAATCAGCATGTGGAAAACCTAGAAGCAAGAAATGCACGATGCATTCCAGGAAGCCGAGTAATTGAGCACGTGAAGGAAAGGTTGCATGTTGGGGTGAAACTGGAGAAAGAGGGAACAGCGTGATCTTCAAGCAGCAGGATTCCTGACCCGAGCTAACGGGCTTGACATCTTTAAATTACAAAACTGACACATTCAGATTTGCATTTTGGTAACATCCCCTTGGTGGAGGATGGGTTGGTGATGTCGATCTCTGGTACAGAAACGAACAATTATATAGCTGTGAGTTGCTGTACATTTGTATGGTGGCTCAATATAATATAATCAGAATGAATGTTTCCAAGTTCATTCTACACCAATGTGCCTGAAGACATCCGGATAATCTGTCTGAATTCAGCTGCAGGCAAGCATATAGTGTCTGGGTGGGAGTTTGAATACATTCTTACTTAATAGCTTCTATTTTCTGAGATGTAGTTGGCAAAGTCACTTATTAAGAGTGAGGAAATGGAGTTTGAGTTTTTATTTAAGGGTTTAAAAATATGACTAGGTCACTGAACTAGTCACACCAGGAAAGTGTTCTGTCACTCATGGTAGCAGAATTATTGAGGACTTCAGTGACCATTATGTCAGGGTTATCCTTGGATCCTCTGAGGACAGACTGACCCCTAGGGCCTTTAGGAGCACGCGGCGGTTCCCCAAACATGAAATATTTACTGTGAAACTATGAAAATGCAAAGTGCCCAAGGAACCTATTCTTTACTTCAATACTGAGTCATATGAAATGCCAATTTTAACAGATTTTTAACTTCAAAACTGGCAATTTTGTATGAGTCAACCTAACTCCATTTTATATATATCGACAGCCTCAAATATTTTGAAGAATGAATTTGAAGGCAAATTCATACTGAGAGATAGCTACAGACAATCTCCACAGCTGGAGGAGGCAGGGATTTTCATGTTTCAGTGTTCCCGCATTCTGAGACTGTGAAGGATGGTTCTGCTAACCATGGAGAAATGCAACCCAGCCTGGCCAGAAGCTGCTGCAGATTCCACGTCCTCCCTCTGGTGAGAATCACATAGCTCCTGATTAATTGCTCCCCACTGTTAACTAATTAACCTTTTCACTGTGGCACTTAAAACCAGCTTGGGTTAATGTGCCTCCCTCTTGCCCCTAGCTGGATACTCTCAGGCCTGAGAAAGTCCCCTACAGCATGAGGACCTAATCTATTCTGCCTCTGATCCTTGTTCCCACTGCTGACTGCAAGCCTCTCATGTCATTTGTCATTTCCCAAACTCTCAACCCGTCTCATCCTCGCTCTTCTTCTCCATCAATCCATACCCCCTTTTCTCCTCTCTTCTAACTCCTTCCAGGGTGCTCTTGGGAACCCCCTCTCAGATCAGCCTACTTTGCAGGTGGTTGGGCGAGTCAGTCCAAATCAGTGTGCAGAGTTTGAAGCAACCTCACTGTGGCTGTAGATCCAAGCCTCGTTTCCCAATCCAGCTTTATCAGAAATTTTTCTGATGTTTGAGGTCTATTTCTGGGTCTGGTCCCTCCTGTGGGACGCCAACAAAAACAGCCAGCCTGTTGACATCCCTCTCCCCTCCTGCCATATTCCTGCTATCCTAAAACCCTTTCAGACTTCCCTTCCCCTCTGGTTCTGCTTGAAATCCATGGTATATCATTATATTCCTTGCATAAAAATGCTCTTGAAAATACCATGACCCTTGCATTAAAAATATAATTTGATTGAAATGATAAATCTGTTATTATTCAGCTAAGGAAAGATTAAATCTACGGATCCAGTTTCTCCCTCATTTTGAGAAAAAGAGAAATAGGCACACAAACAATTGGAGACACAAACAGTAGCTGAAGAGTGACTTTTTCTTTCAGTATAGTATTTTTAGATAATATTCTCCATCTTCACACCATCTACTTAACGACGGGTGGTTTCACAATTTCCTGAAGTATTGCCTTTCAGTTAAACACCAAGCCCAGCAGCCAAGCCTTACTTTCTCCTTTCCCAATGGTTTCTCTACTTTCAAAGTAGTTTGCGGCTAAGTCAGGAATCACCTTACAGAATGATGAAAAAAGTAGGAGTACAACTTACATTGGTTTTGGGCCCAAAGGCCCCAATGTCTAGAGTTCTTAAAACTCTCTGTGGTTGAAAATCTTGCTCATTGCAAATCACTGCCAAGGTGTATAAGGGTTTTCAAATGGAAAATTCTAGGAAGCCAATGGCTTCCAGGGTACCTTATAGGTTACAGGGAATGGATCTGTCATATTCTGGCCAAAGATTTTTCTCTAACGCTATCACAATGCCAGTATGCCTTCAACTGATCCCTTTCACTAATTAGAAGCATTAGACATAAGGGATTGGCCACTGAGAAGTAATTCTTGGTCCCTTGTTTGTACTTTGTCAGCTTTGTGAGAAACTGGGGACATTGTTGAGCATCAGGCAGGGCAGGTTTCCTGCAAATGGCAGGTGGGCCAATGCCTAGCCCTTTTCCCTTCTGTCAGACTTCTACTCTGCTGCTGGTCCTGGTGTAGAATTTATATAACTAGAAATCTTACCTGTAGCAGAGAATGCAAGCTGTTAATTAGAATTCATGCTTTCTTTTCTTCTCAGCTAGAACCTCTTTCCCAGATTTGTTTGGAGTTGGGTGTGGCTGAGTTTGAGTTCCAGCCAGCCACGTTGGAGTGCATGCTGTCCTGTTTCCGGGTCATGGCTTAAGAAGAACCTATCCTCTTCCAGTCTTTCTCTCTTCTCACTGGATGAAAAGCAGGAGGAGACCAATGGTAAGTCCCTAGAAGAAGGCAGAATCACCGCGTGCAGGAAAACCTCCACCAACCAGGAGAACCTCCGTACCTTCTTCCATGAGCAAGAAAGAAACTTCTACTATGTTTGTCCTTACACATTGTTGTTTCTTCGGCCTATTTACACTGATTCACTCAATACGTTGACAGATTCACTTAACTCCTTATAAAAGTTTTACCAGATTGCTTGTATTTACTTAAGAATCTTTTGTCCAGTTGAATAAAACACTGGCCCATCTGCGTGGGAGGACTTTTTAAGACTCCATTTCTTGCCATTTCAGTAATGCTATTCGCAGCCCTGAACTTCGCTTCTGCACAACTGTGCTCACTTTAGAAGCTCAGATTTCATGTTCAGCTTTTGCTTCCTCATTTGGAATTTTTTTCAATGCTTTCAATTGCTGAACCTGTTTAGGTTTGTGGTAATTCAATCCTAAAAGGATAGACATTAATGTAACCATGCATATTATCTTTTCTAGATATGGCCTCCTCAGCCAAACCCAGAGAATGTCTATAGCCCTGATTCTTGTCAGTTGCCTAATCACCATCTTTTACTTGTATTTGATTTGGTGAATTTTGAGGCATGAGAAAGAAGAAATGTGAGAGCTACAAAACTCAAATCAGAATCCCCTTTATTCAGTTGTAAAGGGCATGGAAACTTCTTATCACAACTTCATGATAGATGTAGACTCTTTTTTGCTTAGAACATGGGCTAGGCTAATGAATGTGTTGCTAACAAAAACTAAATTGGCAAAGCCCTTTATAGCTTATATGATTTTATTTTGTCTTCAAAACAACCCTCGGAGATAGTGAGAAAGGTATTTTGATTCCAGGATTCTATTTGAGGAAACCAAGGTTTGGGAAAAATAAGAGGTTCTTAAGGAACTGGCACTATAACATGGGTGGCCTGAGTCCAAATCCACTGCTTTTTGCAATTAATGTTTATATAATACAGCGGTTCTCACCTCCAAGTATATGGTTCACTTTTATGTCCTCTGGCATTATATTTCCTCTAAGAAGGGAGATCTGTATGAGGGGATTTCCAAGGTTCCTTCAGTTTACATGTTTTATGACTACATTCTGCTATCTGCTTTCATATTAAAAAAAGTTTCTAGGCTTCCATGGTGCTGAAGAACTGGAATTTTCATTTTCTGCTAATTCTGTCTTCACAATGAGGAAAATGATTCAAGTTTTATTTACTGAGGTTCCCTTCCTTTTTCTTTACTCAGTATCGATTCCGTTCCCTTAAATACATTATGTTTGAAGCTGTGATTTTTTTTCCCCTGGAATCAAGCCAGGAATGAAGTTAATCTCAGCCCATTACACTACTAATGCTTATCTTCACCTCAGGATGCTTTCCAAAGTACTTAGAAGTCATTATCCCTTCTAGGACCTAGCACTTTACTGAGTTTCCACTTTGTTTAAAATTAGCATGACCACATAATTTATTATTTTAATCAGGATATGTTTCGTGGGAAAGGAGCATCTATTAATAATTATGCTGGAACAACTGGCATTAACTGGGACTGTCCCAACCAAACAAGCACATATGTTCCTCTAGTTAGAAGGCATCTTTTGTTGGGGGTGTGGGATGTGCTCTGGCTCTGCAGTCTATCACTGGTACTTCCCTGGTTATTTTTTTCTACTTTAGCATCCAAGTATTGGTTCTCATGTCTATTATCACAATGTATAAGAAAACATTTACTTATATACTTTAAAAATACCTGTGTCCCTCACTAGACTTTATTCCATAAGGCAGGATCTAACACCCAGTACAGCATTTAACACACCGTAGATGCTCAATAAGTGATTGTTAGTTAAAGGGATAATAAACAAACCTGCTACCCAAAGGCATCTGGTCAATTATTTAAGAACACCCTAAAATACGTATGGTTTTTGCAAAGAAATAAAAATGCTAGAGATTGTGCTACATTTTAATATCTCAGGCCTATACATGCCCACCTTGTATTTTTGGTATCTGGAGAAAGTCTTATCATTTCCCTCACCATAGCAGTAGATTTGGTACTAAGAAACATTCAGTTGTAATAGTGTGATAAAATGTACTAATAGTGAATGCAAAAGGCATCAGGAAATTTTTTTTTCCTTCAAATGGAGTGGGACCCAAGGTTGTTTTCTGGCTGCTCCTGGAGCCCCACATGGTGCAGGGCTTTGGGTGCAGCATAAAGCTTCCAGGGCTGTTCATCAGGATCAGCAATGAAATTCTATCGAATTGCTAAATCAGAAAGGTTTAGACAGTAGACTCAAACAAATCAAACTCAGAAGAGACTAATTAGCGGACTAGAGTGCCAACTTTGTAATTTATAAATAAAATTAGGCCAGTCGTGCCAGAATGCTCATGTCTATTGGTCAACACAATCTCTCCTGTTGAGAAATGTGAATCAATGCCAAAAGGCTGCTTAGAAATATAGACTGCAGGTAGGTAGTTATATGATCTTAATACTGTTAGAATAAAGTTTTGAGAGTGTGGAGTGTTCAGTTCCTCTATGGATGTAAATTACATCAGGTACTTGGAAATTCACCTCACAGAAGTACTCACGTTTGCTCTTCAGAAACTCTTTTCCCCTGTATGGTGCTAGATCAGTAAAGATGTGTGTAATTTTAATGAGTGATTTAAAATTATATGTAATAATACATACAATAAACTATGATGAGATATTTAAAAATTTAAATTCAAAAATGGGATCCAAGAAGAAAAAAGGGGAAAATAATTTCATGTCTGCATAGAAAATACAGGTCTGTGAGATCCTGTCTGTTTGACAGAGGTTGGTCATAAATTTGAGTCTGAGCTTTCTGGTAGCTGGGATGGAAAGAGAAACTGATCAATTTTTCTTCTCCAGTTCCCATTCATCATCTCCTCCTGCCTGACATGTTACCAAATAACTGGGTAATTAAGTCATATCCTGGTTTCAGAGATTACATTGTATTGGAAGACAACCTAATTTTTCCACCAAAGATCTACATATTATTTCCCAGGAATGGCACTTCTATATATGTATGAGTTAATCTTTATTTCAATTCAGAGTGTTTATTTCTTAGGCTAACTTCCAAACTCTGTAAGGTGTGCCCTCCTTGGAAACTGTAGAGCCCTATGTACTGACACCAAAAAATCACTTAATAATAATTATAAAGATATAGTGTATTCTTAGGTTAAGTACAATCAACTAAGCTTTCTAATATGCAAACCACAGTTTTTTTAAAGGAAACTTTTTTTCTCTGACATATATATTACTTTTCAATCCTAATTGAAGAAATATTCTGACTCAGTTTTTTTGGCATGGTGATAGAGTGAACTTCCATCCATTATTAGCTAATACTTGAAGTTTCTTCTTAAAACATACAGACCACAGGGAAGTATAATTTTGCTACAGAGTAGTGATTCTCAACCACGATATCCCTTCTGTTCTCTGTTATCTTCTAGCCAGATGACAATTGTTGTGATTTTGAGCATGTAGCATACCCCTCAGCTGTGTTGAGTTAAAAATAATTGAAAATCACTGCCATAAAAAATACTATTTAGGTACAGATTAAAAATTTTAATAATGAAATCACTTCAACTCAGCCATTGACTGTGACTTGGAAATGTTTTAGTGAGTTCTTGGAACCATACTTATTTTACTGTGATCTAAACTATGTTTGAAAAGATAATTACCAAAAATTAACATTTATCCAAACTTTAAAATATGGAGTTTTATAGCTGTATATTGCATATACAGACAGAGCACACAAGGGAAGTCCCGCAGCAAGTCAAAGAAAACTCTACAGCATAAACACATTTTCAAAACTTACTAATGTCACATAGATGACATAATTGCTAACTTTTCCAGCCAAGGATGGATGACAATCTTCATAATGTTCAGGGATTGCGTTCAATTAAGCATTTGATAATTTCTTCCCTCATTAGAGATAATCAGTGTCTAGAAACTAGATTGATAGATGTTTCTAAAATTTTGGCTAGAATTGTACAGAATAAATTATACTGGAATTGTAGAAAGATCATGAAGAAATTACTTAGTAAACACAACCAGCTTACAAGTAAAAATACCTCTTTTTTTTCACTCTAGGATTAGGTCTTATTTATGAGGATTTTTTTTTTCTTTTTACTCCACAACATACTCTTATTGGGGGCAAAATGCAAACACTTTTACTTTTAAAAAATGTAACCAACTCATAGGCCCAAAGAGTTTTCTATAAATTTAATACCCTGATTTAGCAAATGAGGATATTAAAGCTTGTAAGGGACACAGCTTGAAATCTGAACCTCCAAACCTAAGCTCTGAACTGTTTTGTTATATGACTGTAGTAAGTACAGAAGTGAGTGTGTGCGTGTGTGTGTGTGTGTGTGTGTGTCTGTGTGTGTGTTTCCTAGGACTAGGTTTCTTGGCTTCCATCAGATTCTTGCAAGTGTTTGTAACTTCCAAAAGATTAATTAAGATGTATTGTTTTACTGGCCAATTTAGAAATTTGTATATAGCCACAGGGTTGGTAAGATAAGAATAAGACAAATATAATTAAAATTTACAGGCTTAGCTCAGAGGAAGATGTTTATTGTATAAAGAAGAAAGCACAGCACAGACCTAGAGAATAGAACTGAAGAGGAAGTCCTTGGTAACAATTTTGTTAAGCCAAAACAAGAAATTAATTAGTGAGAATTAGTTCCAGAAATTTTAAGATTCAGAGTAAAGTGGAGAGATTAGTTGGTGACAGTGACTAAAAATTGGCCATATATAAGGGTTTCACATAGTTTGTTAAGTTTCAGTTCATGACAATATTTAGCATTTTTGGCATGGTGATAGAGTGAACTTCCATCCATTATTAGCTAATACCTGAAATTTCTTCTTAAAACATACAGGATTTATTTATATCAGGATTTGCAAGCACCCTTATTGCATCTGGGTAGATGATATGGTCTGGCTCTGTGTCCCCACCCAAATCTCATCTTGAATTGTGATTCCCACAATTCCCGTGTGTTGTGAGCAGAATCTGGTGGGAGGTGATTGAATTATGGAGGTGGGTCTTTCCTGCATTGTTCTTGTAACAGTGAATGAGTCTCACAAGACCTGATGGCTATTTCAAGGGGGAGTTTCCCTGCACAAGCTCTCTTCTCTTGTCTGCCACCCTGTGAGACATGCCTTTCACCTTCCAAGGTTGTGAGGCTTCCCCAGCCACATGGAACTGTAAGTCCAGTAAAACTCTTTCTATTGTAAATTGGCCAGTCTCGGGTATGTCTTTATCAGCAGCATGAAAACGGATGAATATAGTAGATATTGTGAAAATTAAGACTCAGAAACCCATGAAATTATTATCTGTTTCAGAGTCTCATTCAAAATCATTTGGAACTCAAAAATCCAAAAGCTTACATTGGTCTGTAATTTATGTACCACATCCTAGGACTAATGTTTCTCTAAGTGAAGAGTCACTGTGTTTATATTGTTCTGCATTTGCAGCACCTGCCTTGCTGATGGAATAAGAAACTTCCATGCTATAGAAATTAGGCCTAGAATATGGATCGACTATGTCTTTGATCAACAGACTCAGATCTCTAACCTGTGTTGGTCTTAGGTATAGGAAGATTAATTAGATAGGAATAAGTGTGACTTGGTCAGTAAGTATTGGTGATCTAATTACACCCTGGGACAGGGACAGAATTGAAACTACAGTTCCACATCTTGGTTATTGTGCTGGTTACTCAAACTCTTGGTAGTCATGTTCAGGCTCATGAGGGGTTACAGAGAGATTGATGCATTACAGTTCACAACAAAGAAAGTCATCTTATGGCTGATGATGTGGGGCCAACACCTCCATACAACAATTTGTAGGGCATTCTGACACTATTAATTCAGCACGAAATCAGCTTTCCCAACCAAGTCTTCTATTTCCAACTCATAGGAATCTCAAGTGTCCCAGCTTCCCTTGCTTTGTAGGGCTTCCTTCTTTAGGGAATGAAAAGTAGACCTTCTAGGAAAATGAAGAAAGGCTGAGACCCATCAAGGAAAATGAGACTTAGAAAAAAGAAGGGAAAAATAGCACGTGTGTGTGTGTGTGTGTGTGTGTGTGAGTGTGTGTGTGTAGGTATTGTCTGTGTGTGAGTTGTATAGCTATAAAAATTATAATATATGAATTTATAATTTTCTAAATGATCATCTTTCATTAAAATTAAAGTCAATCTTTTGATTCTAATTTTTTTCTGAATATAATTTTATAGTTTTGATTCTAGCATTTATTAGGTATTTGTTCATTATTTACCATAAAGATAAGATTGAAAAATGGTATTTAGCCAAACGTGTGCTTCATTTATCAAACTCATCTGGCGTATTTTTAACAAGCATATTCAAGAGCTACAGATGGTAAATAAATGCAGAGCAATAAGAAAACTAATTTTTTAAAATTTCTCAAATTTTAAACAAACAATAGTAAAGAAAATAGCCAGGTATGGTGGCATGCACCTGCAGTCCCAGGCACTTGGGAGGCTGAGGTGGGAAGATGGTTTGAGCACAGGAGTTTGAGGCTGCAGTGCACTGTGATCACACCTATGAATAGTAACTGCACTCCAGCATGGGTGACAGAGCAAGATTCTGTCTCTTAAACCGAAAGAAAAGAAAACCCTTTTCTCTTCAGCCTAATGAAATGTTGATGATACATTTGCTTCTGGCTTTAGTTATTCCTATCCCAGGTGAGAGTTGTCCTGGTTTTCATTTCACAGAGCTACACAGTAGGTTTTCAATATTTACGTGGAAATAAGGTGCTGAGTATTGTTAAAGAAACAGGTTTTGTGCTATGTTTCAAAAATGAGTTTATCTGAATCACAAGATTTTGTGTGGTTTTTTAAGGGACTGTAATAAAAAGATAAAGACAAAATGAATTTGTCCCACTTACAGGCATACCTTGGAAATATTGCAGGTTCAGTTCCAGACCACTACAATAAAGTAAGTCACACAAACTTTTTGGTTTCCTAGTGCATATAAACATTATGTTCACACTTTGCTATAGCCTATTAAGTGTGCAATAACATTATGTCTAAAAATGTATATACTTTAATTTAAAAATACTTTTATTTCTAAAAAATACTTACAATCATCTGGGCCTTCAATGAGTTGTAATATTTTTGCTGATGGAATGTCTTCTTTGATGTGGATGGCTGTGGACTGATCAGGGTGGTGGTTGCTAAAGATTGGGGTGGCTCTGGCAATTTCTTAAAATAAAACAACAGTGAAGTTTGCTGCATAGACTGACTCTTTTGTGAAAGATTTCTCTGTAGTATGCAATGCTGTTTGATAGCATTTTACCCATAGTAGAACTTCTTTCAAAATTGGAGTCAATCCTTTCAAACCCTGCTGCTGCTTTATCAACTAAGTTTATGTAATTTTCTGAATCCTTTGTTGTCATTTCAGCACTGTTCACAGTATCTTCACCAGGTCACCAGGAGTAGATTCAATCTCAAGAAACCACTTTCTTTGCCCATCCATAAGAAGCAACTCCTCATCTGTTAAAGTTTTAGTATGAGATTGCAGCAATTCAGTCACATGTTCAGGCTCCACTTCTAATTAGAGTTCTTTTACTATTTCTACTACATCTGCGGTAACTTCCTCTACTGAAGTCTTGAACCTCTCAAAGTCATCCATGAGGGTTGGAACCAACTTCTTCCAAACTCTTGTTAATACTGATATTATGACCTCCTCCCATGAATCATGCATGTTCTTAATGGCACCTAGGATGGTGAATTCTTTCCAGAAGGTTTTCAATTTACTTTGCCCAGATTCATCAGAAAAATCACTATCTGTGGCAGCTATAGCCTTACAGAATGTATTTCTTAAATAATAAGACTTGAAAGTGGTAATTACTCCTTGATCCATAGGCCACAGCACTGATGTGCTAGCAGGCATGAAAACATTAATCTCCTTGTAAATCTCCATTAGAGCTCTTGGGTGACCAGGTGCATTGTCGATGAGCAGTAATACTTTAAAAGGAATCTTTTTTGCTGAGTAGTAGGTCTCAATAGTGGGCTTAAAAATATTCCATGAACCATGCTGTAAACAGATATGCTGCCCTCTAGGCTTTGTTATTTCACTGATAGAACACAGGCAGAGTAGATTTAGCATAATTTTTAAGGGTCCTAGGATTTTCAGAATGGTAAATGAGCATTGGTTTCAACTTAAAGTCACTAGCTACATTAGCCCCTAACAAGAGAGTCAGCATGTTCTTTTAAGCTTTTGAAGCCAGGTGTTGACTCCTTCTCTCTGGTTATGAAAGTTCTAGATAGTGTCTTCTTTGAACTGAAGGCTATTTTATCTACATTGAAAATCTGTTCTTTCATGTAGCTGCCTTCATCCATGATCTTAGCTGGATCTTTTGAATAACTTGCTGCAACTTCTACCTCAGTCAGCACTTGCTGCTTCACCTTTTACTTTTAGGTTATGGAAACAGCTTCTTTCCTTAAACATAATAAACCAACTTCTGCCAGCTTCCAATTTTCCTCCACTTCTTCACCTCTTTCAGCCTTCAAAGAATTGAAGAGAGTTAGGGCCTTGCTCTGGATTAGGCTTTGGCTTAAGGGAATGTTGTGCCTTGTTTCATCTTTTATACAAACCGCTAAAATTTTCTCCATATCGGCAATAAGGCTGTTTTGCCTTCTTATCATTCATGTGTTCACTGGAATGGTACTTTAAACTTTCTTCAATAACTTTTCCTTTGTAGTCACAAGTTGACTAGTGCAAGAGGCCTAGTTTTCAGCCTATCTGGGGGTTTGACATGCCTCTAACCAAGCTTAATCATTTCTAGCTTTTGATTTAAAGTAAGAGCATGTGTGTGCTTCTCTTCCTTTCACTTGAGCATTTAGAGGTCATTGTAGGGTTATTAATTGGCCTAATTTCAATATTGTTGTATGTCAGGGAATAGGGAGGCCTGAGGAGAGGAACAGGTATGGGAGAACAGCTGGTCAGTGGAGCAGTCAGAGCACACAACACATCCCTCCATTCACAGTCTTAAATGGCACAGTTTGTGGTGCCCCAAAACAATTACAATAGCAACATCAAAAATCATTGATAAGAGGCTGGGTGCAGTGGCTCACACCTGTAATCCTACCACCTTAGGAGGCTGAGGCAGGCGGATCACTTGAAGTCAAGAGTTCGAGACCAGCCTGGCCAACATGGTGAAACCCCATCTCTACAAAAAATACAAAAATTAGCCAGGCATGATGGTGCATGCCTGTAATCCCAGCTACTTGGGAGGCTGAGGCATGAGAATCGCTTGAACCCAGAAGGCGGAGGTTGCAGTGAACTAAGATGGCACCACTGCACTCCAGCCTGGGTGACAGAGCAAGACTCTGTCTCAAAAAAAAAAAAAAAAAATCATTGATAAGAGATCACTATAACACATATATAATAATGAAAAAGTTTGAAATACTGTGAGAATTATCAAAATTATTAAACAAAGACACAAAGTGAGCACATGGCATTGGAAAAATTGTGCTGAAGCCTTGCTTCATGCAGAGATTAGTTGTCACAGACCTTCAGTTTGTAAAAAAAAAAAAAACACTTTATCTGCAACAGACAATAAAGTGAAGCACAATAAAACAAGGTATGCCTGATTATACTAGTGGATTTATAGAATAAAATTATTAATAATTAGTGAAATAATAATCATGGTGGCTAATGGGTCTATTATAGATCAGATAACTAAACTCAGCTGCCTGTTAGAAGCATGTTAAAACAAATACAATTTTCTACAAATCAAATTGTACATAAATACAATTTCTTGCCTCACAGGATAAAATAAGGTCTGAGTTTAAGGATAGTTTTCATAGGAGATTAACTCTTTTTTTTTAAAGAAAAGGCAGAAAATACAAGAGAGCTTGTCACCTTTCTCAGCAAACAAGTTAATTGAAGACCAAATTTGAGGTTCATTTGGTGATAAAATATAAAATATGTTTAGATCTAACCAGAAACATAATCTTCTCATGTGGCTAACATTCTTTAATCTTTGTGCTTTTAAATGATCACCAATCTTTGATCTTATATTTACAAAATAGTTAATAACTAGCCCAGTGTTTTGGCATAAAGTATTTAGGTCTCTCATGGTTGTTCATTAAATACTGGGGTGGCTTGGGAATATGGTTGTACACACAATTTTAACCCAGGTTGACTCAAAATATTTGGGGCTTATAATTATTTTTTCATTTCTACCTTATAGTAACCTCACAGACTGGGAATAAATCCTCAGGTGATATTAGCATTTTTAGTACAAAATCTGTCATGGTGAACCTGGTTAATTAGAAGTTCAAAAGTGCTGAGCAGTGAAGGAGTTCTGTTCATTTTTTATTGCTGCTGCAACAGATTACCATAAGTTTGGTGGCTTAAAACAACACAATTTTATTATTTTACAATTCTGGAAGGCAGAGGTCCAAAATGGGGCTCACTTGACTAAAATCAACGTGCAGGCAGTGTTGCTGTTCCCTTGGGATGCTTTAGGGTGGAATCTGTTTCCTCGGCTTTCCCCACTTCTAGAGAACTCTTGGTTTCTTGGTTCGTGGCCCCTTCCTCCATCTTCAAAGACAGCAGCCCAGCATCTCAGCATCTTCATGTTTTTGACTCTGGCTCTCTTGCCTTCCTCTTTCACTTTTAAAGGTCCATGTGATTACACTGAGCTCAGCTGGAAAATCCAGGGTAATCATCCATTTCAATGTCCTTAATTTAATCACATCTACAAAGTCCCTTTTGCCAGGTTAGGTCACATTCATGGTTACAGGGATTAGGACATGCACAGTTTTGGGGGTCATTATTCTGCCCACCACAGGAGTGTTGACAACATTTTATTATTTTAAAAATTAAAATAAATGTATCTTTAACTGTATAAGTAATATATAAATACATTCACTTACATAAAAGACTACAGATAAATCTAATGTCCCTCTTTCACTCTCTCTCTCCATCCAGATTCCAAGAAGTAGCTATTGTTGCTCATTTAGTTTATGACCTTTATGATTTTTTAATGTACCTGTATATCTGTATATATGTAGCTAAAGAGGTATAGTTTGGTTTCTTTCTTTCTTTCTTTCTCTTCTTCCTTTCTCTTCTTTCTTTCTTTCTTTCTCTTTCTTTCTTTCTTTCTCTCTCCTTTTACAAATGCTTTGATATTTTGATGTGATTACTTTGTTGATTAAGGATCAGTTCCTTAGTGACATTAATACCTTTACAATATTTAATCTTCCTATTCTGGAACATGTTTTTATTTTACTTTATTTTTAGTTGACAAGTAAAAATTGTGTACCATGTGATGTTTTGAAATATGTACACATTATGGAATGGCTCAACTGAGCTAATTAACATCTGCATTTATTTTGTGGTGAGAACATTTAAAATTTTACTCTCAGCCTTTTTCAAAATACGATAATTTTTTTTTTTTTTTTGGGATGAAGTCTCGTTTTGTTACCCAGGCTGCAGTGCAGTGGTGCAATCTTGGCTCACTGCAACCTCTGCCTCCTGGGTTCAAGTGATTCTCCCACCTCAGCCTCCCTAGTAGCTGGGACTACAGGTGCATGCCACCACGCAAAATACAATACATTGTTATTAACTACTGTTTTTTCACCATGTTGTACAATAGAGCTCTGAAACTTATTCTTCCTATCTAATTTAAATTTTATATCCTTTGACCAACATTATTCCAATCTACTTTCCCACCTTCCCAGCCCTGGAACCACAATTCTACTCTCTATTGCTGAGTTCAATATTTTTAGATTATATATATAAATGAAATCATGTGGTATTTGTCTTTCTGTGCCTGGCTTATTTCACTTAACATAATATCCCTGGATTATGGTTTATTATTCCATTTTTTAGGTCTTATTTTAAGGACTTCAGTGAAGTTTACTAGGTTTTTTAAGGTTTTTATAGGTTTGCTATCAGCTATTTTATTTTCTGTTGTTGACACAGTGAATGTAATTTTTTTCCATCGAATTATCTAATGGATTATTACTGAGTTATAGGAAAGATTTTTTTATACTGTTACTATATCTAGCCATCTTGATAAACTCTGTGGGTTCTAAATTTTATCAATTTATTTTCTTAGGTGTTATGCAAGTTAATAAATGTATTTGACAATGATAGTTTTGCCATTAATCATCCTTTTCCAGAACTATATTCTTTAATTAATGCACTTAAGGCTATAAATTTACAACTGAGTGCTATATTAGCTGCATCTCACAGATTTTGATATGTAGTACCTGATTATTGTTCAATTCTAATATTGCATTCTACTTTTAAAATTTGTGGTAAGAACAAATAACATGAGATCTACCTTATTTTTTATTCTTTTTTTTATTTTTAAATTTTTATATTATTTTTTGTTTGTTTTTTTGAGATCTACCTTCTTAACAAAATTCAAAGTATACAGTATGGTATTGTTATCTATAAACACAAGTGGAATCATGCAGTATATGTACTTCTGTGATTGGCTTATTTCACTTAGCATAATGTTCTCAAGGTTAATCCATGCTGTCTTATATAGCAGCATTTCTTTTTTACGGCTGAATAATATTCCATTGTATGTATATACCAAATTTTCTTTGTTCATTTATCTGTTGACACTTAGGTTGTTTCCATATTTTGTCTATTGTGAATAATGTTGCAATGAACATAAGAATGCATGTATCTCTTCAAGATCTTCGTTTCAATTCTTTTGGATGAATATTCAAAAGTGGGATTGCTGGATCATATGGTAATTCCATTTTTAATTTTGTGAGAAACATCTATACTCTTTTCCATTTTGCATTCCCACCAACAATGTACAAGGATTCCAATTTTTCCACATCCTCGCCAGCAGTTGTTACTTTGTTTTCTTTTTTCTTTTATTTTACTTCATTTGAATAATAGTCATCTTAACAGATGTAAGAGGATACCACATTGTGGTTTTGATTTGTACTTCCCTGATGATTTGTGATATTGAGCATCTATTCATATATCTGTTGTCCATTTGTATGTCTTCCTTGCAGAAACATATTTTCAAGTCCTTTGCTCATTTAAAAAATTCGGTTATTTGTTTTTTTGTTATTGAATTGTTTGAGTTCTGTATATATCAATGCCTTCTCAGATGTATGGTTTGAAAATATTTTCTCCAATTCTGTAGTTTCTTTCAGTTTGTTGATTGTTTCTTTTGCAGAGCAGAAGTTTTTAGTTTGATATAGTCCCGCTTGCCTATTTTTGCTTTTGTTACAGTCTACTTTTGAATGGGGTCTCTCTCTCTGTCTTTCCCTGTTAAATATTCCTTCCTATACTCATTAGATTTATGTTTGCTTATTCCTGGCTCTTTGGAGTTTAGAAATACATAGTATTTCAGGATTTCTTTTCTGTGGTAACATTGAAAGTATCAAAGATGTTGCCACTCATCCAGCAATTCCTGTTTCTTGGACTTGGTCTTTGTCATCCTACCTTGATAATTGCAGCTCCAAAGGGACATTTCAGTCGCTTTGGCTCTTCAGGAGATCCCCATCATAACCCCTGATTTCAAGGGGGGTAAACCAAGTGTTAATCACATTGAAAACTTTTAGTTCCTGGTACCTCATAGAAGCTGTACTCTTAGCCATCTCTGTTTGATTTTAAATTTGGCCATCAGCAGACCTGCAATGTCAGTCCTGCTAAATGCTGTGTTTCTGATCCATGGAGTTATTAATATTGTTTTTGAATCTAGCGGTTTTGCTTATTTTTTTCTCTTTGTTTACCCATCTTTGGAACAGAGAGGTTACATTAAGGTAAAACCTTCCCCTCTGCTTTTCTAGGTCAGAGAGTGCTCCTTCTGAATGCCCTGATGGCTTTCCTGCTCTTTATGTCATCATTATTCTCTACCTTCAGAGGTCCTTGCTTTTTTAAAAAAAATTATTATTTTTTATTTTCAGAGGAAGAAGAGCTTTTACTTTGTAAGGGTGACCCTCTTCAGTTACTTCTAAATCTAATTCTTCCTGTTGTTCCGGGATTTTGCTCTATCAATTACTCCTCCCACCCCATCTTTGAGTTTTCCTTTTCTGCTGCTCTCTATTCTGAATGAAGACATGCTAAGGCCTCCATTTGATAAGAGAAAACAAACAGAAAGTCCTTTCCTTAACACTGCGACTCTCTTAAATGATAATGGGTCCTTATTTCTCTTTAGTGTTAAACTTTTTGAAGAATATTACCCAGTAGGTAAGTCTAATCTTTTCTTCCCATCTCATCATGCTGTTTACAATCTGACTTCTGTTCTTACTATTATAAGCAAACTTTCCCCTCAAAAATCATTAATAAATCCTTATAGACCAAATACAATGGTTATTTTTAGTTTACATCTTCCTTATCTTCTTTGTAGTACATCAAGGTGTTGGCCATCCCTTCTTGCTTATGACTCATCACTATTTTAATATGTCTTACCCCAAGTTTTTTTCTACTTAACCTTTGGTGATTTTTTTTTTTTTTTTTGACAAGAGTCTCCCTCTGTCACCCAGGCTGGAGTGCAGTGGTGCAATCTCAGCTCACTGCAGCCTCCACCTCCCAGGTTCAAGCGATTCTCATGCCTCAGCCACCTGAGTAGCTGGGATTACAGGCATGTGTCACTACGCCCAGCTAATTTTTGTATTTTTAGTAGAGATGGCTTTACCATCCTGGCCGTGTTGGTCTTGAACTCCTGGCCTTGAGTGATCAATCCACTCACCTTGGCTCCCAATGTGCTGGGATTACAGGCATGAGCCACTTCACCCAGCCGACCTCTGGCAATTCTTTGTCTACACTTTTCCCCTGAACATCTTCATCTGCTTCCATTTTTACTGTTTTAATAGATGACCTAAAAAAATTTCTTTCTATGCAACGATTTCATATCTTTCCAGAGGTAGCAAGTTGTCTTAGAAACAGTTTTGGATCCAGACAGATCCTACCTGTGCCATTGCGTAATGCTCTCACTATAGAGTGTGGCCAATAATAAGTTGGTAGGTGGTTGTTACAATTAAATGCGATGTGCAAAGTGTTCAGCAGGATGTAGGCACTGAATTGGAGCTCACAATATTCATTTCTTTTTCTCTTTCTCCTTATAGGAAGAGGTAGAACTTAAATAAACACAATAATTCAGTAACACAAATTCAATTCAATGAACACAAAAAAGTCCAGCCTTATAGTTCATACACTGTATTTCTACACAGTGTTTGTTACTCTTAGCTGGACTACTTCTTACTCTCTGCTGATACTCTAACAATGTCTAAGTTCAGTGTTCCAAAGTAAATGTATTATCTTCCCCTCAATTTTTGTGTTTATCTGAAGTTGTGTTTCTAGTAATTATGACAGCATTTTTCTGAAGTGTAATTTGGTCCTGATGCAATACCCGCATGTGTCTTGCATTCATCTACTATTAAACTTTCTATAATTAGCATCCCCGTTTAGAACTTTATTACCTTTTTCCAAGGCTACTGGAAGCAGATATCTATCTAAGTTAATTTCAAGCCCAGTTGCCAAGATGAATGTTCTTAAAGCACAGTTTGAAACCATCACTTCTTTATTTAAAAATCTTCAGTTGCTCTCTATGCTCTCTTAAGTAAAGTTCAGAACTGCTTTTTAGATTGATATTCAAGACTTTTGACAAGTGAAGTTCAGCAGAGTTTTCAGAGTTAATATTCTGTAATATCTCACTCAGTGGTTAGCAAATGTGTGTTTGTACGTGTGTGTGCGTGTGTGTGTGTGTGTGTCTGTGTTTTGTTTTTAAGCAGTGGTCCTACTTTTTCCAAGCTAAATATTAAGGGAACAACTCCTCCCCCAATATATAAAAGAATAAGAAGTAAATTTTAACTGGCTAAACTAGGGTAGGAATCCTTGTCTAATCACGACCAATCTTACCCTCATGCTCTTGGTAACTCCCAAGAGTGACAGATCCTTTGAGCCTTGGCATAGTCAATGCCCCCTTCACTTCCTGGAAGTGTCTCAAACTTCTCACTCTCTGTGCCTTTACTTTTACTGTTGCCTTTGCCTTGAAAGAGCTATTGGCACCTGTTGAAACCATACCCATTCTTTGAGACCCACCTTGGCTGCTACCTTATTGGTAGCACCCTGCCTCCAGTTGCCTGTTAATAACTAGCCCAAAGACACTTTAGATTGCGCCTCATACACAGTCTGCCATATATATAGTCATCCATTTTTACCTCTTTCAATCCTATGTTGTAATTTACCTTAGTACAAGAAGTTTTAAATTTTAAACCTCACTTGGCTGTTTATACAAAAGGCTTCAAGGAGAGGATGATCAATAAAACATTTTGCATGATAAATTTGTGTATATCACTTATAGCTTTGAGATCCCTTGAAAGACTAAAGAAAATTGTGATATCATACTTCTAATAATTATTTAATTTCATATTTATTATGGCTGGAAATATAGGTGTGTGTGTGTGTGTGTGTGTGTGTGTGTGTCTGTGAGTGTGTGTGACCTCCACAGGTTAATAAGTGGCTCCTTTTTGTTCAAGTAGCCAGTTGGGCCATATATCCAAGGGCATGTTGATGGTCCTGCTGTTTTGGTGAGTCAGCAATGCCGCATTCTATATTCTGAGGGCATAGTTGCAGTCCTAATTTTCAAGGGTGTTGATAGTCCATAAAGAACTCCCGGACAATTTATGGCATTCTGACTCTCTGTGGTCACTGAGGTTTCTTCAGAGAAGAAACTTAAAGCTTACTAACTACTATGTGAAAAATCACTTTCAGCAGTAGATTTGATTACATCTCTATCTTAGGAATTAAGTTTTGCTTTTTAAAAAAATATATAATCGATGTTGAGTTGCTTTTAATGCACAACCCATAGTTATTTTAGCATAGTGTGATAAAAATTAGTTGGCTTGCCACCAAAAATATTGTTTTTGAAGAACCCGAGGTACTCATCTTTCTCTTGTTTCTTTTCCTCCCAGTATATAATGAAAATAAGTTCAAAGCAGCTGCCTAAATCCCCAAAGTCTCTCAGAAAAAAATGAAATTTTCTTTTCCCAGACCACAGTGTAGTGAAATAAATTAGTATAATGATTTATGTTTACTCTTTTAGTCAATTCTGATGGAGATTATAGAGACAAAATGACAAACTGCCTTAGTGGTAAACTTAAATCATGTCAGCCAATCTTTAGTTTTTCCTTACCCTAATTGCTCCTCCTGTTCATTTATCTTCCCAGGCAATCTTTGGAAGAAATACTAGTTCAATCAGTGCATGTGCAAACCACCCGAGATAAAAAAGTTTAGTCTAATTTGTCTCACTAAATTGTAATGCCTCTGGTAAACAAATCTTGGTTTGAAAGGAGACTAAAGAAATTCGAATAATTATTTGTATAAAATGCTCTTTTTGCATTTCTAAAGATACCATTTATATTCAGGTTTCTTCTTCTCCACTCTTACCTCTATATTTCTTTTCCTTACTGTCTTTGAAGATGTGTCCTATTTTCAAGTCAGGGTTCAGAATTGCATGCAATATTTTTATTCACACAGTTCAGGACCTGTTCAATATACAAGTGAAAGATAAAGACTTTTTAAAGGAAAAAACCCAGCAGCATTGTATACTGAAAAAGAGTATGTTGATAAATAGCTTTTATAAGGATAATAAGAGATAGTATTTTAAAATGGAAAGAAAACCTCTAGCCACATACTTTGAAGCACATAGACTTTGAAGCACATAAGCTTTTAGGTGATGAGAACAATGTTAAGAATGTATTTTTGTCTCAACATCAGAACTTTTTAATGGGACTTCTTTGTGCCAAAAATTGTGCTGAGTTCTGAGTATGTTACTTCTCATTTAGGAGGGAGCAGGGAATCCAGGGAAATTGGTTTCATTAAATTTCTTTGTGTTTTTATTGAAAAATCACAGAATATCATTTTCATGTTAGAAAACATATTAAACCAGGGTGATTATAATTAAAGTCTTTATTTTATTTTTATATATATATATATATATATATATATATATTTTTTTTTTTTTTTTTTTTCTTTTTGAGAGGGGTCTTTCTCTGTCACCCAAGCTGGAGTGCAGTGGTGCAATCTGGGCTCGCTGCAACCTCCACTTGCTGCAACCTCTGCCTTCCGGGTTTAAGTGATTCTCCTGCCTCAGCCTCCCGAGTAGTTGGGATTACAGGCATACACAACACCTGGCTAATTTTTTTTTGTATTTTTAGTAGAGACAGTGTTTCACCATGTTGGCCAGGCTGGTCTCAAACTCCTGACCTCAAGTGATCTGCCCGCCTTTGCCTTCCAAAGTGTTGGGATTATAGGTGTGAGCCACCAGGCCTGACCAGCAAAGTCTTTTAATTGTTTTCTTTCTCCAAACTCAGAGCAAGTTTGCTTTCTCTGTGATTTCTCTCTGTGGCTACAGAGAGAAGATTCTGAATCTGAGCTATTATGTGATGCCAGAGACAAACTCGGTGGCCTTGTCAACAATAGTGGGGTGAAAATTAGTAGATGCACAGCTTTTCTTACTCTTGCTTGCTTAAGAAGGAGAAAGTCTCTAAGGCCCTTGGTGGTCTGTGGAAATCACAGCCTTCACTGGCTGCCCACCACAGAAGTGTCTGATGTAATATTCTAGGAGTTTCAGGTAAGGGTGCCTTGTCAAGCCAAGCTTAGCGGCATCGCTCAAATGCATAAGGTAGATTTTCATGCTTGTCAAAAAGTGTTGAAATGAAGGGGTCTTAGAAACCATCTCTAAAATATGAGACTGGGGTATAACAGAGACACTGTGCTTAGACAGCATAAGGGACTTTCTTAAGGTCATATGAGAAAAGAGAGCTGGGATGAAGACTTGGGTTCTACAAAACCAGATGGACTGACTCTAGACTCTAGACCTACTTATAGGAGGGAATAAAAATGACACAAACGAGAGAAGCGCATTCAAATAAAGAGAAAACTTGAAAATGTTGTAGCAAAATTTATGGTTATAAAAGTCGCTTCCTTTCTTGGACTTGGGCAAGTAACACACTTGCTTTGAGTCTTCTCTTTTAGAGGAGTAATCAAGCAATTAATCACTGTATACAAATCACTGTGCTAGGAGCTTTGGGGGAAAAGAGAGATCATGGCATGACCTCTAGGAGCTTACAGTCTAGTGACTGAGATGGATGTGTGAATGACCAGCCACGGTGTCAAGTCAAACAAAACAGGGAATAACCACATGGGGCCTATGTATAGTTAAATAAATATCTGTGAGATAGATTATTTGGACATAAAATTTATCTTCATTAGTGCATCTTAACTGTGAAGGCCAAAAAATTAACATATAAATATTGGGGAGTAACACATCTAGGCTGAGGTGATGCAATTCAAATGACACAGTTAGTTGAGTTATAAAAGTGCTTGCCTTTATTTTTCTATCTCAAAAGGAAAAAGTGTGTAATTTATACAGACAAGTAACAAACAGACCCATTGTTTTCTTATATTTTACAACATAAGTGGTCAACTTAATATACACATCATACCCTTGATATTTCTCCTTGTGGGAATTTGTTGCAGGAAGATATATCTGCCAATACAATGTTTGTGCAGGGAGAAGGGGAATCTAACATTGATCAAATACTACTTATGTGCCAAGCATTGTCATGGATATTTTTGTTATAGGAAAGCGGTCCTGATCCAGACCCCCAGAGGGGGTTCTTGGATCTTGAACAAGAAAGAATTCAGGGCAAGTCCGTAGAGTAAAGTGGAAATAAGTTTATTAGGAAAGTAAAGGAATAAAGAGTAGCTACTCCATAGACAGAGCAGCCCTGAGAGCTTCTGGTTGCCCATTTTTATGGTTTTTTTTGATGATATGCTAAACAAGGGATGGATTATTCATGCATCCCCTTTTCAGATCATATAGGGTAACTTTCTGAAGTTGCCATGGCATTTGTAAATTGTCATGGTGCTTGTGTGAGTGTAGCAGTGAGGAAGACCAGAGGACACTCTCAACGCCATCTTGGTTTTGATGGGTCTTGGCCAGCTTCTTTACTGCAAACTGTTTTAACAGCAAGGTCTTTATGACCTGTATCTTGTGCTGACCTCCTATCTCATTCTGTGACTTAGAATGCCTTAACCATCTGGGAATGCAGCCCAGTAGGTCTCAGCCTCATTTTACCCAGCTCCTATTCAAGATGGAGTTGCTCTGGTTCACACACTTCTGAAACTTTGATGTGTTTTATCTGATGCAACCAGCGTGGTGGTCCTATAAAGAATTGTTTCTATCCCTATTTTACAGATGAGAGAATAGGACTTTAGAGAGGTTAAGTAATATGCTGAAGATCATATAGCTAATAAGTGGCACAGCCAGAATTTTAACTGGATCTGAAGACCCCAGTATCCATGCTCTAATATCATCCAACTGCTAAAGCACGATGCTGCAGAGAACAGAGAAGGAAATGATTAGTTTCAACCAAAAAGAAGGGACAACCTTTCACAAAAGAGAGGAAAGCATAAGTCAGCAGGCGGAAGAAGGAAGGAAGGAGGGAATGACGTAGCACTCAGAGGCACCACACTCCTATTTCTCATTATCCTTTGTCAAGGCTCCTGTGCCAGAGAAGCATTTGCTGTGAATAATGGTGAGTGAAGGTGGATTTGAACCCTTTCCTTCTGCAAAAGCTGGAGCAGGAGGCCAGGAGTCTGAGGGGTAGGTTTGAGTTAGAATCCACATTTGCGTGCAAGCTGAGGACTTTGGCAGTGAGGCAAGAGGCAATGATCATCTTATGTGACAGGGCTGAGTTGCAGGGAGGGGGAAGGGGGAAGTCTGGAATCTCTACATATGCAACGTAGATTACTGATGCTCAAGTTAAATGACAATTTTTGCTTATTTGCTATTTCAGTAACAAAGTGTTTCTATTAAAGGAAAACAACTTCAATATTTAATAAGGAATGTTATCTTTTATTAAAAATGCTATCAACAGAAACAAAGTGAACAAAGTAACAAAAAAATCATGAACAAGAAAAAGGTCTTAGGGCAAGATATTTTGGTCTCAGGCAATAGTCACAAAATGTTTTGTGAACTCCCTCAATATAGACAGGATATTTTTTTTTGTAATTAAGAAATTAAAGAGTAAAGATAAGAGACTCTTTACTTCTGTATGAGTGAGGACATAACTCATGCCAAACTCCTGAGTTCTTATCACTTTCCCACTATATTCATTTATCATGGGAATCTATCTGCTTATCAGACCTGTGTGAAGTAAAACATCAAAAAGCACAAGCAATCTTGAGCCCTTAAAGAAACATGAATTGGCATGACCCTTCAAAATGCATCTTCATCAACTGAAGCTATGTCAACTCAACTGTCTCACGTGACAAGAGGTTATAATGCCAAAGACTGAAGACTTAATGTTGCAGGGGAAATAGGGTCCACATTAAAAAAAGAGAGTACATTTCATTTGTTTTTACTGGGCTCTTTTCATTGTTGTTGTCTGCAACCCATTTTATACAGAATTGTTTGGCAGCAGTTTTGTGAAGGAGAAAAAGCTTAAGGGAAAAGTATGTTGCTGAAAATTTAAAGGATTATTTATTTGTGTTATATTATCTGAGATCTCATAGCCTATCTGCCTAGCTACACTGCTAAACTTCAAAAATACTAGAATGAGAAGGCGCTGGGGAATTGGTTAGCAGGAAAGGTGTGGACATAGGATTCAATACAGCATGACTGGACCCATCATAGTATTTCAAAGCCTCAAACCAACCCAGTGTCACTGCATCTCACAAAGCCAATAGGTTATTCGCTGTTATTCTCAGCTATTATTACAGCAAGGACTTACAGAAAGTTATCTGTGTACAACCCAGATGAACATTGAGTAGAGAGTAATTCAGCAGCCACATTTGAGCTCTTGCTACCAAGACAATGTTTTGCAGCATTATGCAGGAAGTGCAGTGGTGTCACAGTGGTGTCTATCCCTAGCATCTGCTTCAAGCAGAGTTTGTCCCCCTCAGCAGAGTTATAAAATCTCTCTTCACCCTGGCCTGTGGAGGAAATGTTATGCTACAGTGAGAGGTGGTGGGCACAGCCTTGCAGATGGGAAGGCTGGAGATCGGCGGCAGCACAACTCAGCCACATTGGCAGTGCATGTTGGAAGGAATCCTAGCCTTCTGTGGAGGAGCTGAGATGATGTTTTGACTAAGTACACAGCAAGATGACGAGTAAGAGACAGAAAATAGGGAGAACAAACTTTGGAGGACATATAGGAGAGATACAAGATGAACCAGACTAACCCAGAACTATCAATTTCATCACATTAGGTAAAAGTTAATCTGCAGGTTCATTAGTGGGGAGAGAAAGGAATCTGACAGCAGCACTTCTGTGTTTTTTT
This sequence comes from Homo sapiens, assembly GCF_000001405.40. Classification (NCBI taxonomy): domain Eukaryota; kingdom Metazoa; phylum Chordata; class Mammalia; order Primates; family Hominidae; genus Homo; species Homo sapiens. The sequence goes on along the minus strand of NC_000005.10, from coordinate 122,540,493 downwards.
TTAGAGCATGGGGTCCACCCTTGAGACTTGTGAACCCTGGGGTTTCTTGGATGACCTCAGGAGGACCAGGAATCTTTTGAAACTGTTTTAAAATTTCTTGATGTTATTGTGTAAATGTACATTTTTTATAGGGAAAGGATGCTCAAATGTGTCCAGAACCCCAAAAGAAGACTGACTATTGCAATAGTCAATACATGCATAATACTTATGCACGTATAGCTAAGTACATTGCTCTTATGCAGAACGGGTTAGTCAACTCAATAAGTCAATCTCAGCACATATTTTATCATCTGAATTTTCATAAAGTCTTGAATTCAAAGATTCTTCTATGTTTTGCCATGTTGATATATGAAATTAAGCAGATGATACCTTGTGATGGGCACCAACAGTTCTATTCTGTGTGTAGACAAAGCCAGGAAAGCAACCCCTTTCCTGAACTGACCTTATGAGGTTTGGTCCCATCTGGATATGCAATAGATTGCAGCCAAAGGTTGCAAACTCAAATGCCTATAGGGGCAAGGCAGATTACAGAAGTGAGTGAACAGGTCAATTCATAACATGATAAAGTACAAATCAACACTCATCTTCTCTTTGGGGGAGACTCTGAGGAACAGTGGAGCACCTTGCAGGGAGCCGCTATCACTCAGGTTCAGCTGACATTTACCACAATGGAATACATATTCAGCATTTCCAGATCTTCTAGGGGATCTAGAGAATCTAGAGATCTGATTTTTTACACAAAAATGTCTCTTATGTTCAGAATATCCAGAAAAAGTTCTACAAGATGTATGGATCTTTATCTATTTAATGCATGACTGAGCCATAAATCTTTGTTTGAAATGACCTGGATTAAATGCTTTTAAAAGTCTTCTAAAACTTAAGGTTTATAAAACTCTAAAATTATTTTAACTTAAATAATATTATGTAAGAATATGTAGGCAGTTAGAAACTCACTGTTCTTTGAAGTTGGAGTTGGTCGTATTATCCACATAACATAGAATGCTACTAGGAAGGCACCCAAGGAGAGCATTCCTTCAGGTGTTTGGAGGGATGTGAACTTGATCCATATTGTCTACATGGACAGATAGAACCTGTGATGTTACTAAACCTAGAGAATAGCTGGTATTTTTAGAAAGGAAATTTTACTGTATGGGAAATGACACTATATGGAGCCCAAGTTGAAGGTCTGTTCCTTCCCTGAGATGGCAAGAGTGGGGCATGAACTGTCAGAACAGTGGCAGACAGACAGAAGGCTGGTGATCTGGTGAGTAGGAAGGCGTCGGATGCTCATTTTGGCAGTAGAGGCATCTCTACCAAACATGACAGTCAAGTTTCTAGCTTGCCTGGTGACACACACCAAGTCTGGAGACCCAGATACTTCGAACCTTACTCAGCCACACCCAGGAGACACTTACTCTCCCAAGCCCAGTAGCTAATGGGCAATGGTGGAAGAGAGCCCCAAGGGGTCATGGGGGGTTTGCACTGGGTTCTTATAGAAAGTCCCTGCTTACAGAAGGGGCTGTTTCACAGTGACCCAACTTTTAATCCCTTTGCCTTACTTTTAACCAGAAGTGTGTTCCGAAAGCTTATTTTTATGGCAGGAATTATGGCATTATTTTATATTCATTAGTCCTCTGCTCTTAGGGCTGAGGATACCACATGGTATCTGTCGTGAGGGCCACGTCTAACAAAAGAATATTCTTCTTTTTTTTTTGAAACGGAGTCTTGCTCTTGTCACACATGCTGGAGTGCAATGGCACGATCTCTGCTCACTGCAACCTCTGTCTCCTGGTTTCAAGCGATTCTCCTGCCTCAGCCTCCCAAGTAGCTGGGATTACAGGTGTCCACCACCATGCCCAGCTAAAGTTTTGTATTTTTAGTAGAGACGGGGTTTCGCGATGTTGGCCAGGCTGGTCTTGAACTACTGTCCTCATGATCGCTGTCCGCCTCGGTCTCCCAAAGTGTTGGGATTACAGGCGTGAGCCACCACGCCCGGCCCAAAAGAATATTCTATAAGACTACTGTGGACCACTGTGAAAACTGATCACTTATTTTAAAAGCATGCCTTTTAAAATAAATATCCCTAAACAAAAGGTTAATCTTTAGTGATATCAGATTACAATGTACTATAATTTAGATATGGAGTTATAGGTTACACAGTATTTGATATGTCTTTAATAGGACAGCATTTAATATGCAAAACAGATATTTATTTTTCTCATACTTTTTTCAGAGATTTAAAATTGCTCCCTAATTAAGAGTCAAATTTTTAAACCACTACTAATTAAACCAATGTTGTTATTGAGAAAGATTGCAAATCCCGATGCATTGATTCACACAAAGTAATAGCCATTATTACACTGAACTCAAACCTTCTGGGAAAGCAGAACACAAGCCCTGAACTTAAATAAGATTCAGAGTTATTCTAAAAATGGAATAAGTCAATATTTAATCAATCAGAACGAATCTGTTTTTGTATAAAAATTTAAACACACGAAATGAACACCTTGAGACACTTTTGGAATATATAAAGCAAAGAATTTCCAAATAAACATGGTCTTTGCTTGTGAGTAAAGTCCTCCGTTGTTGTGGGCTGCAGAATGGCAGTGCAGTATAGACAAAGCATGATAGGGCCATAGATCACAGTAATAACATTTGCAATAAACAATAACAGAACAAAGCAGACATCTATAAGAATCCCACGAGGAATTTATGTTATCCATAATTTTTCTTTACATTTGAGAAACTATGGCAGGAAAGACCATTACATTCAATGGCACCAATTAATTTCTGCAACTTTTAATGACATCTTTCTGAGTAAAAACCTCACATAATGCCCTAAGCATGTGATTGATGGCAGCTTATGTTTGATTTGTACTGGATTCCTGATTTTTTTTAGTATTTTTAAAGAGTCCCTCTGCAGCCAATCAAGCAATCAACGTGAAATACTCAGATTCGCTCTTGAAAAGTACAAGAAAACAGAAAAGACAATGTGGTTTCCTTTCCTGGCCAACAGACGATTGGTGATGCTATTTAAGTAGTTTTCTGGCTGATGGATTACAGAGATTTTTATTCCAAGAGAAAAAGACAGTCAAGGAAAACCACTTAATTTTTCTTCTATTCAAGATACCAGAGTATAACACTACCCTTAAATATGAGTATGTAATATACCATTTCCCTTTATTGACTTTCCTAGACTTTAGAAAAAGTATTTCCCCATATCCTAGAAAATGTCCCGAGTTTGTAATATCAATGGAAGGATTTACATTGAACAAATAGGACCACACAAGAACTCACATATGTTTTTAGTGGGCATGACCACGGGAAATGAATCCTTGATTAACATGGGGTTTGGTAGGAGCTTCTCTTTTATTTAACTGTAAAAGCTCCAGTCAAAAGCTGGTTGAGTACTTTACAAAATAAGTCTGCAACCTAAAATAGTGAGTATATTTAGTAGTAAGCCGGTAAGCAAAAATTTCCTACCCTCACGGTATTTACTATTTACAAGGGTCTCCTGAATGGAAAACCAAGAAGCTTAGAAAAAAGCTGTGTAACATTTGTGCAAGTGACACCCTGCAGAGCAAAAATAACCCAGTGGAGACCAAATACTGCCCAGAATCATTTATTATTGGTGACTATAAGGAGAATATAGTGTCTAGGAGAAACAAAACATCCATTCGCTCCATAAATATTTGTTGAGTATCTATTATGGTCCAGATATTTTACTAAATCCTTGTCTCTATGGAATTATAAACCAAAAGGGAACAAGCTTAGAATGGCTAAATGGCTCTCCCAAAGGCACAAGTAGGAAGTAGAGTTGGGATAATCCAATTTACTCTAAAATCCTAGTTAGAAAACAATATGTTTTAGTCCATCATGAAAATAAAGCAAACAAAAGGACTTTAGATTTTATAAGCTAGTGAATTGAGATGAAAATTAGTGAAAAATCTTATTATTTGATGGCTTAGATATTTCTGAACTGTTTCAACCTTAGATTTTAATCATATCAGAGGATAATAGTTCTTGTCTAAGGAGGCTCTATTTAACTGATAGCAGTCTCATGTTTAAAGAAGAATCAGTGCCTAGAAACTTGAGAAATTAAATAAACTTTTAAGTTCTCATAACTTTCCTAGAATTATCCAGGGTAACTGATATATTAATCAAGAATTCCAGATTACCCAGCAACCACTCAAATCCCACAACATCTGCTGACAAATAAGGTTTCGGATGACAGAGAGCTAGATTAGAGACGACAAAATTCAGATTTTTCTATGTCTGTCAATATTGTCACAAAATTGTTATGTGGTTTCATATGACAGCAAGTCATAGGCTACGTTCTGATGTGTGCATTTTATGTGATCTGTCAATCCACAGAACACTACATGAAATGGAATTTTTTTTTGAGTGAACTCATCCATTTTTCTACACTGCTTTTACTTACAAGATTGTTACCTAATTCTTCACTTCTAAAGTGTTGTCTTTCTAGGTAACTCTTGAAGATTATTGCATATTAAAGGGGATCCCAGAACTGGAAGGGTCCTTGGAGATAATAACTCTAACATCCTTATTTTACAAATCCAGAAATTGAAGTTTTGAGTGTTAAATGACTTGCCCAAGACCACTGAGAAACTGTGTGATAAACCAGGATGGAACCCTAGTGATGAGACTCCTGGTAAAATGGTGATGTTCCCTGATCATTCTGTCTATAACATCAAAATCAGGGCAAACGAGAAATAGGGCATTGTACTGGCTTCCTTAAAACATTCTATGAACCCTGCTGAAGACTGGAATATTCTTTTTGCTTTCTCTTCTTAAGGAGACACAAACTAAACCTTGCCCAGAAAGATCAAGATGAAACTTAAAACGATTCCTCCAAGTATTATTCTGAACAGTCAATGTTGGTCATTCTTATTCCCCTTAGCACAGGCTGAGAGTCTCATTAAGTGCTGTCTATTTTTTTCCCCTCGTAAAACAAAATGTATCCATTGTATTTAAAAGCTTATTTCCTTATTTAACTAATGCAAGCCAAAGAAATGGGGAAAAGAGTGTCAAGAAGACCAAAGACCACTTTACACCCACTCTTGATAATGGCTATTACTAAAAAGCAAAACAAAACAAAACAAGTACTGGCAAGGTTGTGGAGAAATTGAAATCTTTTTGCACTGTTGGTGGGAATCTAAAATGGTGCAGCCACTGCAGAAAACTGTATGGCGATTCTTCAAATAATTAAACATAGAATTACCTGATGATGTAGCAATTTCACTTCTGGGTGTATACCAAAAAGAGATGAAATCAGGAACTTAAAGAAATATTTATACACCCATGATCATAGGGGCATTATTCACAATAGCTGAAAGGTGGAGGCAACCCAAGAGTTCATTGGCAGAAGAATGGATGAACAAAATGTGATACATACATACAATGAAACATTATTAAGCCATAAAAAAGGAAGAAAATGCTGACACAAGCTCATATATGAATAAACCTTGAAGACCTGATGCTAAGTGAAACAAACCAGTGACAAAAAATACACTATATGATTCCTCTCACTTATATAATGAATCATAGAGTAATACTTAGGGTAGACAGAAAGCGGAATCATACAGTGATACTTAGAAAGTAAAATGGCGGTTGCTAGAGCTGGGTGGAGGGGGAACTAAGAAGTGTCTGCCTACTGGGAACAGAGTTTCAGTTGGGAGAGATGAAAAATTCTGGAGATGGATGGTGCTGATGGTTGCATAACAAAGTGAATGTACATAATGCCACATAACTGTACACTTTAAAAATGGTTAAAATGGTAAATTTTATGCTATGTACATTTTACCACAATTAAAAGAAAAGAGTTCTAGGGGAAAGTTATGAAATGCAAAAATGCAAATGACCCTTATACTTCAGGATCGACTAAAACAATTCTCTGAAGTAATATTTATTATTCTTAGCAAGGATAATTATTTTGTTTCCAAAACATGCAATGGCTTTTCAAAAACAAGTGACTTACAGGTGATCCACTTTCTTTCCCCACTGGCAGTACTTAGTAGCTGGTAAACTAATGCACTCTTTATAGCTTAACAAAGGTATCAAGGATTTGAGAGTTATACACTCTATGAAGCCAAGAGATCTTTTCCTTTGCAGAGTACAATGTTTGCTTTGATTATTTCTATTTGAAAATAAATAGACAAGCCTTTATTTTTGCAATACTCTTTCTGATCGATCCAAAGGCAGCAGGAATGAGATATTTGTTCTTTCTACTCCTTTACAGTTAGTTTTTCTTTAATTACAGGAAACTCTCATTATAAATATGCTCTGTGTTATCAGGAAGCATCAGCTATTGGATACTTAGCCTGGCTGCCAAGTTTATTTTAGTCTTTACAGCTCTTACCTTGCAAGGACATTCCAATTTCTCTGATATCATTTAGAGACTGGTTAATGTCCAAATTGCAAAGAATTATTATTTGTTAAATGATAGAAAATCTTCCCATGAGCATAGATGACATTAAGCAACTAATTTAAGATATTTAAAGCAATGCTTGTTTTTATTGGCAAAATATGCAGTATCTTGAGAGGAATTTTTAGTCTGAATTTTTAGATTGCTTAGTTACCCACTATGAGAGTATCATATAATTATTACTCTCAGAGATTTTAGGAAGCTGCTACTGTGTGCTAAATAATACGATACACTGCTGATACAAAGGGCCAACAAATACGATGCTGACCCCAGAGGATCTTACTATTCTTAAAGGCATCATATGGATAGATAGTGTTTTAACTTGTTTTATGAATTTTATGATTAGAATGGTTCAAGAGCACTTCTGCTCTCAATATTGCCAGAAAATGTGTCTTTTTAATGTATCTCTGTCTCTCGTGGTGTGAGAACCAAACTCTTTTTTTCCCCACCACAGCTTGTTGTCTATATTAACATGATGCTACTATTTCATTGCTTTCAATAGCATAACTTTACTATTTCAAGAGTCTCTTGTCCAGGTCAATAACTTGATTGCTTATTACATGAATTTCCTGAAAGATCCATCAACTTTCAATAGAAAGCATCAAAAGGTAGTTCATATCCAAGACTCCTTGAACCCTTGCCTCAAGATGCTTGCTGTTTCTACCAATCCCAAACTATTATATCATGATCCTTAACCAATCCTACTCAAGTCTCCACTTTGAAAGGACAACCTTAAATGCAGACTTCACAATTCCAGTAAATACCAGACCTTGCCCTTCCCTCAAGCCTGTCTTATTCTCAATAGCCAAATGCTGAAAACAAACAGAAAAACCTAAAAACCCAAATGCCCATCAATGGAAGAATGAATAAACAAAATGTGGTTATCCATATAAGGAAACACTATTCAGCCATAAGAAAGGCTATAAAATGGATGAACCTCAAAAACATTATGCTAAGTGAAAGAATCCAGATATAACATGTCACACATTGTATAATTCCATGTATATGAAATATCCAGAGTAGGTAAAGCTATAGACACAGAAAGCGGATTAGTGGTTGCCAGTGGTTTGGGTGGTGGTGGTAGGAAAATAGGGAGTGACTGCTTAATATTTATGGGATTTCCTTTGGGGATGATGAAAATCTTTGGAACTAGATTAGTGGTGATGGTTGTACAAAATTACGAATGTACTAAATGCTACTAAATTGTATACTTTAAAATGGTTTGCTTTATGTTACATGAATCTCCCCTCTATTTATAAATTTTTTTAAAAAAGTCTGTAGCCATCCCAACTACTCTGGAGGTTGAGATGGAAGGATCACTTGAGGCCAGCAGTTCAAGACCAGCCTGGGAAACATAGCAAGACCCTGTCTCTACCAAAAATAAAAATAAATTAGACCAGCATGGTGGCAGTGTCTGTAGTCCCAGACACTTGGGAGGCTGAGACAAAAGGGTTGCTTGAGCCTGAGAGTTCGAGGCTGCAGTGAGCTATGATCACACCAGTGCCCTCAAGCCTGGGTGACAGAGCAAGACCCTATCTCTAAAAAATAATAACAATAAAGTCTGTGAAGTTGATGTTCTCTTTTGATAAGCAATAAACTCAGGTTTGTCTTCTTAACAGGTTATTCTAATGATATTTGGGTAGCTAGCATTCAACAAGTATAATTTAAGCCAGAGACTATAGACCTATGTGAGTTTTTAAAATAGATCACAATCCCCTAGGTTGTGACTCTGGATGGCTTCCAAAGCTAGACTTCAGTTTCTTGTTTTCTCCCCCTGTGAGTAACTGATCCTCTTTTCCCCACCCTGTTTTATCCTCACACGTTTCATCGTCTTTAGCTGTAAGCTGTAAGTTGATCTTCACTTCAGCTGTAAGCTGATCTTTAAGCTGTCGTTGGTTTCGAGGCACTCTTATTCATACATTTTAACCTCTGTTTGGCCAACTCTGCATTTCTATCTTATAGTCAGCTTTTTCATTGTGATGCAACAGTCCTTAAAAATATGGTAGTGTTTAGATATATCCAGATTTTGCTTTGTTGTTGCTTGTTTGTAACATTTTCTTTTTAAAGTTAGGTTCTTATATTGAAAGTACAAAGACCCTCTCAAGCCACCTTGAACAAAGAGCTCTATTGTGAGGACCTATGTTCAGAGGAACTGGAACAGGTCTGGGATGGCGTTGTTGGGCTGGGGCTAGTCTCACTGTTTCCCTAAGTGCAGGTATAAGAGGTATGAGCATGTCAAAAAATAATTCCCCATTTCTGTCTCATTTATGCAAGTGTCTTGTTTCCACTCAGATGTCTTGTTCTGACTGACTCTTATTCCAGTTTTTTCACGATATCTTCTTAATTTGATTAAAGGATCATATAGCCAGAAATGAGTTATTGGAACAAGTATAGTGTGACGATGCCCCACGCTTTGCCATTCTATCACTCATTCCTTCCCACATTGCAAAATATACTTAGATCTAACAGTGTTCTAAGTTGTGGGTAATTTGTACAAGTATGTGTCTACTTTGTTCAAAGACAACTATTTCATCCTAAAGCCCAATTCAGTAGATTTATCTTCAACAATTATGGAGCTTTGATCACCCTGGAATAGGTGGTGTCATGTGGTATGTAGCTGTCCTTTTCCAATGCACTTCCCTTATCAGGATACATGTCTGTTGATTTGTGGGAAGCTGGCTGTTTTTCGTTCCTGACAAACTCCAGTGATTAAAATGTAGTGGCTTGCTCTTGTTCCCCTGATAAAGGTGACAACTGCAGAGTTTCCAGTGGTGGTGGATATCGTCCATGCAGATTGCTTTTTAATGAAAGCAATATATTATCTTACCTAGAGACCCTGAAGCCTTACCTTGTTAATGTATTCTAGCTTGGCACCACATTTATCTATAAATTAGTTGTATTAAACACACTCCTTACTATTTATCCAGCCTTTAAAGAGTTTTTTTAGTGAGAGGATTTTGCCCTCTTTCTTCACCTTAAATATTATTATACTCAATGACAACCCCACGAATATTTTAAAGTGTAGCTTTGTATAAAACATTCCTAGGCTGGAAGAATATTACTACAACTACCTCTCTACTTAATAACTTGATAATCCTTTGCCACATTTAGACATTAAAATAAGAGCAAAAAGATGGAACTGATTAGGGCACTAGCTTTTCGTTGAGTCTCCTAAAAGTTTGCAAAGTTCTGAAAGCAAAGCTCACTAAAAGGCATGGTTAAATAGACAAAAAAGAAGAAATCAATTGAAAATTTAGGCTGTAAAGATTTGAAATGTGAGATTATAGGAAATTTCCTATCCATATGTAGGAAAATAAAGAATAAATTCTGTCATAGCTTAAGACTCAACTATTTCCCCAACATGCAACTTTTTTCTATCTTTCTATGTCACGTAGGATGTGTATAATAGCATGAGGTCTACTGTGAGTGCTCACAATTCTGGGAGTGAATAACATCTATTGTATTCTTAAAGGAAGACTCCATAGTGAGGTGCAAACTTCATGCTGTGGCTCTGGAAAGAACTACAACACCAAGGCCTTGTAATGATCCATGAACCAAAATTGGAAACAAACAACTATTTTGCTGAATGTGTCCTCTCTGACCTAAACCCAATATTAAACTTTTTACAGAACTATAAATCAAATCCATTAAAAACAAAAAACCCAGTGAACCACTCTGAACTAAATCCAAACCTACATATTTTCTAAAACAACTGAACTGTAACAAAACTAAAACATCAAAATATTCTCCAACCTGAATCGATATTTCATTTGGTTCAAGTCTCTGAACCGTAGTTTCTCTTTCAAGACAGGATTATTGTTAAGTGTTAACCGTCACTTTAAAGAGGAAATACAGAAAAGAAGTTAATGCCGTATTTAGTACTGAGGAAGAAAATAATCCAGTAAACTGTTTGTGTGAAAATATCCATTTTATAAATAATTTAAGTGAACATATAATCATTAAAAGAAAAGCTAGAGAAAATTGTCAAAAAGAAGTAAATGCAATTATCAAATTTGTGAACAATTGAGAAGGCACAGGGGAGCAGGTTTCATGGTAGAGGAAACATGCAAACATATATTAAGCACTGTTAACAGCAACTTATATTTTAGATTCCAGGGAATTATATTCACCCTTGTTAGAATTTGCCTTTTTTTGCTGGTTATTTTTTGTAGAGAATACATACAGAATAAAACATAATTTCAGGATGACTTTTGGTATGTACGAATAAGAAACTACAAATTCAAAAGTATCATATTTGAATTTTTAAGTTATAGGCATATTCAATTTTTAAAATAATTTTTCAGAAGAAATTTATATTTAAGGAAATGATTCTCTTACATGTAAAATTTTGTAGAAATGTGAATATACCTCTAAAAATAACTGGAATGCATTTACATATGATATTTAACTATACTCTGGTACACACACACACACACACACACACACACACATACACACATTTACCTAAAAAAGTCTAGCTTCTCATCAATGTTTTATTATCAAGAAAATGATCACAGGGCATAAAGTCTGCCAATTCATGATTTTTTCCTACAGCTTCAAGTAAACCAGGACTCCTGATAAGAATCCGAACATATTCAATCTATATCTTAAGGCTGTGATGAGAAGTTAGAAATCTGATATATGTTCAAAATATTTGTAAAATAATAAAATTATTCTTCATTTCTGGAAATTTCTCTAAAGATATAATTAAGACTTTGAGAAGATTTACCCACAAGGATTATGTACAACCAATATGTAGCAGAAATGGTTAGCTAACCAGCAAGCCTGTTTCCTCATCTTCCAGGACACACAGCTAACATATATGTCATAGCCTTCCTTGTGGTTAGAGGTGGCCATCTGATTAAGCTCTATCCAATGGAATGTGAGCAGAAGTGATGTGTGATGTGTGCCACTTCCAGTCTTACTGAGGAGTGTTTATACTCTTTCCCTTTCCATGGTGACCCTGGAAGCCATATGTTAAAGATGGCGGAACCATGATATGAAAGGATCTTGCATCCCTGGATCATCATTTGGAAGACAGTCACCTGATGATCAGAAACACTGGTTGGGATAGTACATGAGCAATAAATAAAGTTATAAAATTCTACTGTGTTAACCTGTTGAGATTTAAAAGGTTTATCTGTCATAGTGCTATTTTTATTTTTATTTTTTTTTGAGACAGGGTCTTGCTCCATTGTTTGGGCTGGAGTGCAGTGGTGTGATAACGGCTCACTGCAGCCTTGACCTCCCAGGCTCAAGCTATCCTCCAACCTGAGCCTTCTGAGTAGCTGGGACTACAAGTGTGCACCAACACATCTAGCTAGTATTATTTTTTTATTCTTTGTAGAGACAGATTCTTGTTATGTTGCCTAGGTTGCTCGTGAACTCCTGGCCTCAAGTAAACCTCCTGTCTTGGCCTCCCAAAGTGGGATTACAGGTGTGAGCCGCTGCACCTGGCCTACAGTGCTATCTTAACATACAACATTTAAGAAGATAATAGCAAAAAAATTGAGAACAACCTAAATACCCAATAAAATTGTAGTGACTATTCTATAATAGTGAAGATCATTGATAATTTCCTTCCTTGTATTGTTCTGGGTAGTCCTCATTTTCTACAACACATACCTACAATATTTGTAATTAATACATAAAATAATTTTGATTTTATAAAAATCAAATCAAACATGTATAATTTGATAGCATACAGTGTTGATGGCATCCAGAAATTAATACTTTTAATAGGAGACAAGTATTATGCTCATAAAATGTAGTAAGTAGTTGGATAGAAGAAACTATGCCTTTTCATTTTCCTCACAGTTTAATTTGATTATATCCAATGGAAAACAGACGATTTTATGTGGAAGGAATGTTATATGGCGACTCTTGCCTATACTCTCTTAAAAGTCTTTACTTTCATATGTGTGTTGTGACATCTAATAGGAATCAAATCTAGACTTGACCAAGCAAATGACTATGGCATGGCAGGATTGTTAACACTCCTAAAAATCCTATTGAAGGTTGCCTAATTGTTCTGGAAAATACTAAGAATCAACTATTATTAGGGAACAAATCTAAGAATAGAAGAGCATATCTAATTTTCTTTTATATTCATGAATTTTTATTTTGGGACCAACTATATGGTTATTACCCCTTTTCATGATGGTCATTATTTATATGATGTAATCAGCTTCAACTCACTCACTCTTATTAAAGTGAGATAAGTATTGCCCTTTATTTGCATAGTATGTGCTGTCTAAACTGATTGTACATAATCATCTTAACCAGCATAAACCTGCTTCGACTATTATTCACAGCACTGCAAGCAACAGGAGCATCAGCATATTTGCATCAGTTTCTTTCACTTCTGAGTCTCACCAGGGCAATGTTATGGGCACCATGGATGCTACAAATGCATTTAGTTTGTATTGCAGATAAGGAACATTGAATTTAGGGAATCTTTCTCTTTTATAGCAAGCAGTAAGCAAGCCTACCCTTTGTCTGGGAGGAGACATTATCTCCTCTCTCAAAGTTGCTGCATAAACAACCCTGAGAAATGGCCTGAATGAAAGAGCAGTGAGGGTTTTGCAGTCTTGGTACAACATGTTGTTTAAAAAAATTGCCCTCAAATATAGTACAGGCAAGAGAAACTATAAAAAATGGAAAAATATTTCATACAAATCTAGATGGATCTTGGACTAAGATTACATCATAAGCTCTCAAATTTCTCACTGTGTTTTAAAGAAACTGGAGATAGAAATGACAGATGATGCATTCTGGGTCTGGTGTGTAAATAAAGTCAACAAAGAATTGCAATTAGTACATACACAGTGTTAATAAATAGCGTTAAATGAAGAAATGGACAAATGCACATGTCTATGTCATAGGTTAAACAATAAGGAATATATTCATAAGTGTTTTTCACTCAGTGCTTTAATCCACTTTTTCAATTAATTGTAGTTTCAAAAATTCTACTTTTCTTCCTTTTCAAGATCTGCTTATCACTAAGTGATAATATTGAGCCTATTGATAGACTTACTAGTGGTATAGAACTAGAATCTTTGTATTTTCCATAGAGTGCTTCAGCAAAGAGTTCCATAGCTGTATGATGTCCAGAGCCACCCACCTCATTATTTAAAGGATTTCCTTTCATAGACCATTTTTCCTTTCTTTCAGATAAAAAACACCTTTTCAAGTTGTTGCAGATGTTAACAAACCCAGCTACCTTAGAAGCTAGTTTCCAGGTTATGAATCGCTCATGGGAAGACTTTTGTTGTCAACATGACAACTTCCAGATTGAAAGTTCACTACAAATTTAGAAGAAAGAAAGTGTCTTGGTAGCTACAGTATGTATCATAATGCAGTTATTTATGGGGTGTTTTCCCAGACTTTTTCATGAAGCACCAGCTGCCTTTGACTAGGCTGCTGCTTTTTCCTCAGACAGTTGATATTGATGTTCACATCTATGCTTGCATGTAGCATGAAGCTTGGAACTGATGAAAGGGGATGTGGATGCCTGATGAAGAGTTCCAAACCACAGCCATCGGTACTAATGCATTTATGAGCACCTCAACTGTGGCAAAGCATACTTTCATTTTATAAGCCTAGAGGTTCTCATAACAGGGCTGTAAGCCCATAAACACAGTGACACATTTACACGGATCAAGTTCAAAGATTTAAAAATGTATCTAATGTACCACATGGATGTGACTTAGAAATAGCTTGCTTTCAATTCTTATTGAAAACAAATTGTATTGAATATGCTGCAACCCAATCCAAGTTTGGCAAACTAATGCTTTGACCTGAATTAATATTTTATTAAGAAATATTAGGAAATCAAAGGACTTTGAGAGAAAAAAATAAATTTGGTCATGAATTTTCCACAATTACAGAGTTCCATAGAACACATGCAAACAAACCCCAGAAAGCCCTAACCAGCACATTTATCTTGTGCTTGTACACCAGTGTTCTGCTTTGTAAACTCCTAGCCTGCTGGGACTCTTCTTTCTGCACCTTTTTTTTCAGGCTCAGTTTCTGGTGCATCCGGATAATTTGATTGACAAAAATGACCTCTTGAGGCCAAAAAAAGTGAGTATTTCCAGATTTAGATTACCATTGAAAAGAAGAAGATTATCAAAGATCTAAATAATGCAACCAATAGCAAAACATCCTAGTAAATCATACTAACCCAGCTAAATTAGATAGCACTGTCCATATACAATTACACTGTTTGGCTCCCATGACAGCCTTTAAATGTGACATGTTATTTGACATGTTTGCAATTAGGGCTTAGAAAAAAATCAATTTTTTTCTATTCCACTTAAAATAAAAAATGTACTGTTCTCCAATGAAATGCACCTTTTTTAAAATTCCAGACAGACAAAAAAGTAATACCAGAATGAATATATCACAGCTGCATTATGAATATAGACATTTAAAGTGCAATTTTCTTAGATTTTATGAAAGGACAGAACCTAGGAGTAATTACCAACATGTTGTATTTACTTTCACATCATTATCCTTATTCACTTTGTCCCCAGACTTTGAATAGGCAGTGAGGTAGGTAGGAACCTGGAGGGCGTGGGCGAGCTTCTGAAGAAGCTCTGTGGGAATTATATCTGTCCCTCTTCACACAGAGGGCAGGCTCCTCTCTCCACCAGCTTCAGACTCACTAGTGGACTAGAAAAAGGCAGTGTTAATCTTTCTGCCTTCTGCTTTGCTTCAACGCTGATTACAAACTGCTCTGAACAATCCATATACAATGGATATGGATAAATACTCCAAGGTAAGATTATTAAATGAATAAAATGCCTCCAACTTATTGCCATTCTTCCTTTCCCATAGATCCTATTGCTTCTTGCACACTTTCTAAAATCTGTAGTAAACATTTGACTTTTTTTCTCTTTCAGGAAGACATTTTGACTTTTACCATACTTTGCCCCATCATTATGTATAAGAGATATATAATAGTAATAATAACAATAATAGTCATGATGATAATAATAATAATAATAAACCAACATTATTTGTGCAGTTTCTATGTGTCAGGTACTGTTCTTAGTGATTTATATTAATTGTCTCAGCTGATCTTTACATGACCCTATAGCTGCCATTGTGAATAGATTAAGGAATCTCAACAATAATTCCCAAGTAAATAATTATAATTCTTGTTAGTTACTTTAATGCAAATAGAGGGTTTATGATATCTAAATAAACTGTGAAGTGAATTTTGGATTAAAAAATCAAGCATTGTGGTAAACAGAATAATGACTGTTCCAAAGAAGTCCTTGTGTTAATCCTCCCAAACTCTCAATATGTTGCCTTACGTGGCAAAAGGGACTTTGCAGATGTGGTTCAGCTAAGAATCTCGAGAAGATTATCCTAGATTATCTGGATGGTCCCAGTGTAATAGCAGGGGTCCTTATAAGAGGGCAGCAGGAGTGTCAGAATAGGAGAGAGATTTGAGTGTACTGTGCTGCTGGCTTTGAATCATGGAAGAAGGGACCACAAGCCAAAATATGCAGGCAACCTCTAGAAACCAGAAAAGGCAAAGGGCAGATTCTTCTCTATAGCTTCTAGAAGGAGCACAGCCCTGCTCACAGCTTGGTTTTAGCCCAGTAAAACCGATTCTGACACTATAATATAATAAATGTGTGCTGCTTTAAGCCACCAAGTATGATGATAGGAAACAAATATAAGCATAAATCCTGAAATAAGTGTTATTATATGGTATGAAAAGGCATGGGGCACAGAGGAAGGGCCTGGAGAAGTCAGAAGAGTCTCTTTAGGGGAGGCCACACTGTGAGAGTTAAACCACGAAGTTAGAGGGAGCACAGTCTACACAAGGCTGCCCTCACTTCTAACTCAAATTGAAAGTTCAGGGGGTCCTCAAACTTTTAGGTTTGATAGTTCTGTAGAAGGTCACAGAACTCATTGAAAGCTGCTACACTCACAGTTACAGTTTATTACAGGGAAAGGACACAGATTGAAATCAGGCAGGGAAAAAATAGCCAAGTACATAGAGCAGAGCCTGGGGAAGTACTGAACACAGAGATTCCATTGTCCTCTCCCTGCTCAGTCATGGACAGCCTCACTTTCTCAGCACTGATGTGTAACAACATCAACGTGTGGCGTGAAGTATTGCCACCTAGGGAGCCTCAACGGAGTTTTCACTGGGGCTCCGTCGCATAGGCATAATTAATTGATTGCCCATATCGTTGATCTCAGTTTCTAAGTCAACTGATACCATGTGTCTCAAAGCCTCCACCCTACCTTATAGTGCTGGTCTTTTGGTCAGCCCCCACTCTAAATATTAGTTGGTGTGGCCAGCCTATACACTAAATTCACAATGTCAGACTATTCTGCATAACCAAAGGCCCCAGGCAAACAAGGATACTACTCCTACCAGGCATGACACACCAGGGTCCCAGAGGGCAAGGATAAATTCCTTATCACACACACATACACAAAGCTGGATTTAAGAGATGAGTGGGATTTTTCCAACTGGGGCAAGTGAAAGGAAGAGCATGGCATCAAAGACAGACAATATTACGAAGCAAAATGTAAACTTTCATAGCATTTCCAAAGAAAAAGCTAGTAGTTGGGTGTAATTTGAATATGAGGTACTGAGTACTGAGGGTTGGGAGTAGTTGGAGATAATTCTGATTTTAAAGACCCTAATGCTATGTTAAGGAGTTCTGTATCAAGAGCAATGGGTGTTTGGAAGATTTTTCAGAAGGGAGTGATTTGGACAAAGAATCCTTTTAAAATGTGAATTGTCATATTCCACTTTATTTTTTATGAGTCCATGTTTTGGTCTATTGAATTTATTTTTTAATAGGGCAATTTGTATTTATAAGGAAGGAGGAAATTCTCTTTTTCTGTAAGAATGCTGACAACAGAGTCACATAATCTGCTCAGACCAGAGCAGGCCAAGTCCCAGACAGAAACTCTGGTAGGGGTGCCCCACCAGGGTTGTGTCCCCCTACTTTTTCACACCCACTGGAAAATGCAGTGTAACTGGTAGATGCCCAGTTTTGGGTAGAAATTGCCAGATTTTTGTACCACCTGGTTGCTCAGTCTTCTTCCAATTCCCACCCAAAGTAGCTTGGCCAGCCACTAATGTCAAACAAATCTATCATTTAAAAGCCATTGCTGGCCGGGTGTGATGGCTGATGCCTGTGATCCCAGTACTTTGGGAGGCCAAAGTGGGCAGATGGCTAGAGCTTAGGACTTTCAGACCAGCCTGAGCAACACCGTGAAACCCCATCTCTACCAAAAATATAAAGAAATTAGCTGGGCGTGGTGGCATGTACCTGTGGTCCAGCTACTCGGGAGGCTGAGTTGGGAGAATCGCTTGAGTATGGGAAGTGGAGGTTGGAGTGATCCGAGATTGTGCCACTGCACTCCAGCCTGGGTGACAGAGTGACATCTTGTCTCAGGGGAAAAAAAGAAAAAGCCATTGCTGCCCAGTAGCAGAGAATTGGTTAAATACTCTATCTTTTTACATTGGCATAATGGTTCAATTAAATTAATTTATTAAAATTATTTTAAAAGGGATTAAAACTTAGGTTATAAAACAATATATCAAATATGAGGCTAGGCACAGTGGCTCACACCTGTAATCCCAACACTTTGGGAGGCTGAGGTGGGCAGATCACTTGAGGTCAGGAGTTTGAGACCAGCCTGACCAATGTGGTGAAACCCCATCTCTACTAAAAATACAAAAAATTAGCCTAGTACGGTGGCACATACCTGTAGTCCCAGCTACTCGGGAGGCTGAGGCAGGAGAATCACTTGAGCCTAGGAGGTGGAGTCTGCAGTGAGCCGAGATCGAGCCACTGCACTCCAGCCTGGGTGACTAGTGAGACTCTGTCTCAAAAAAAAAAAAAAAAAAAAAAAAAAAAAGAAGAATGTGAGCTCATTTTCTTAATATATATATTTGAGTCCAGTTTATACATACATAGCATACAAACACAAACACACACACACACACACAAAGTGAAGGGAGGAAGAGAGCGAGAGAGAAACCGCTAAAACGGTAACAATATTTATCTCTGGATGATGTGATTATAGGAGATTTTTTTTTCTATTGCTGTTAAACAATATTTTCTAAATTTTTTTACAATGAATGAGTGTTATATTTTTGAATTACCCAGTATAAGTTATTATAATTTTTAAAAAGCCACTGTAATAATTCTTGGCCTTTTCTTCCATTCTCATAAGAATTAAATATTTTTCTACATTTTAGATTCAAAGTGTAGTTGGAACTTGCTATAGGAAAAGTTATCACTCCTTACTTGATTCTACTAGAGAGAGTGATCTAAGCAGTTTCCTGGGATTCTTCCTTTTAGAACACTATACATCATTACAGTGACAGCAGGCAAACCTGATAAATGCTGGTGGTCACAATAGAGATGATCTTGCCTTTTTTCTTTTCTATAGAAGGCAGAAGAAGGAAGGAAATGAAGTGTCCTTGTTACTACCGTCTCTCTTCTATTTTTTAACACTTAATCTGTTTTTCATTCTGAGAAACAAAAAGATCACTTTACTATTTCAACACCTTGCCTTTGTCAAGAAAGCTCTTGGATTAAAGAGCTAGATATGGAATCTAAAAGCTTGTAATTGTTTTATTTATTAGGGATGTGGATGGCTAGTTTATAAAATATGAACACATCTACATTTACTTTGAAGACGTGCTGTGGTTTTCTTAGTCCATATAAAACTCTGTCTTTAGTAACATTATAAGAAGGAATTAAATACTCTTGAGAAAATAAGAGAGAAAACAAGATCTTCTTTGGTTTGGATTTTTGGAGTAACTTCCTTGTCACCATAAATCCTGTGGATTTTTTTTCTCATTTTAGGAAGAAGGTTTAAAATTAGAAAAAAATTAGATGGATCCCGAAAACTCGTGAGTCATACATGAATAATGTCTTCATTGGAGAAATCAGTAATAGGAAACTGAAGATCTTTTAAAAATGAGAAATCTCATTTTAAAACGAGATTTCTGTATCCCTGGGAGCGAGGATTATGTTTCCACAAGGGCCCAAGGGAAAGTTCTCAACCTGCCTCCTTCTGATTAGGCAACTCAAATCAAGTTGACAATCATGTATGGTTTCCAAAACCATAACCTCTGAACTTGGCTATAAACTTTTGGACATTTATTCAATTAAACAACATAATGAAAAACTACTGCACACCAGGCACTGAGGTGCTAAGGATACAGGCTGTAAGATGCTCTCTTTAGAGGTGGAGTAGGGGTTAAGAGAGTCCGGTCCATGATTGCTGAGATTCCCTTCAGCTTTAAAGTTCTATATAACATAATATCATCAAAGCAATCAGAATTGGAAGGTAGCCAAAATCAAAGAAAACTAATGGTTAAGCCAAATATGAAGAAAAAGTAGGCAAAGGACAAAGAGATACTATGAAAGCTTCCTGGGAGAGGAAATTACCTAGTTGAGTTCTTGCAGGACAAAGAGAAGATAGACAGAAAAAGGAGAGCAGAGAGAGTTCCATGCAGAAGGGTTTTGCAGTAGTATAAGGGTCCTCAGTGAGTTTGGGGATCTACAAATAGCTCCATATGGTTGGAGAGTAAGTGTGGCTCTGTCAGAGAGTTCAGTGTGAGAATGCAGGTAGAGCAGGAGCTGGTGTAGATGTCTTGCCACAGCAAATTAGGAAATTTGGGGAGCATCGAAGCTTTTTCAGCAGAAAAGATCACTTGATCAGGTTTGAATTTTAGAAAATGACTCTGACAGCAGCTCATGCAATGGGTTAGAGGCTGGAAGTTGGTGGAGTGGGGGAAGCTAGAAACAAGGAGAAAGATGGTGCTGAATTTGATGGCCTGAATTAAGGCAACAGGGATAAAAGGAGGGGATGGTGCTGTGGATTGAATGTGTCCTCAAAAAAGCATGTGTTGGACACTTAATTCCCAATGCAACAGTGTTGAGAGGTGAGGGCTAAAGAGTGGTGATTATGCCATGAGGGTAGAGTGAATGGATTAGTGCCATTATTGCATTATAAAAGGGGGAGTTCCACCCACTTTAACTCTGTCTCTCTCTTTTGCCCTCTCTTGCCCTTTAGCCTTCTGCCATGGGATGATGCATCAAGAAGACCCTTACCAGATGCCAGTCTTGGACTTCCCAGCCTCTGTTACTGTGACAAATAAATTTTTGTTTATTAGAAATTATAGTCTGTGGTATTTTGTTATAGCAGGACAAAACAGGCTAAGACATATGGGTTCCAGATATATTTAGAAGGCAACATTAGAAGAACTGGGTAATAAATTAAGTGAGCTTGGAGGGGTTTTTGGTGTGACTGGGTAGGATAGGATTCTATATTGACTTCTAAGCTTCTGGCTCAAGTGACTGAGGGATAATGGCATTATCTCTAATAATAAAAAATAATAACACCTAAATAATAATGAGCATTATTCACTAAGGCAAAAAATAAGGAGCGGGCATACTAGGGAGGCAGGAAAGGTAACACTTTTTATTTTGAAAGTACTGCATTTCAGAAGTGTGGTTGATTGTATTTTCCAGAGATGGTTCAAATGTTGTTTTGTATTCCACATGCTTTTCTCACAATGTGTCTTTGACATGTCCACCATGAGAGATAGGGCGGTCTACAGTCCTTTCTATTGAGCCTGGGTTGGCCTTTGTGACTGTCTTGAACAATAGAATATGGTGGAATCAATGCTATGTAACCTCCAAGGCAAGAACATAAAGATTCTATGCACTTCTACCTTGTTATTTTGGGATGCTTACTCCAGGACACAGCTACCATATTGTGAGGAAGTCCAAACTAGCCCATGTGGAGAAATCACGTGGAAGGGCCCTGTGCAAGCCTTCCAGCCAATATCCCAGTGGAGGTCCCAGCTAACAGGAACATCATCTCACCAGACATGTGAGAGAAGGTATATGCAGATGAGTTCTAGGTCCAAATTGTCAAATTTGGACATTGAAACTTCTCAGTTGAGTTCCCAGGCATGATGCATTACAGACCAGGCATCTCTGTTGTGTCCTCTTTGAAATCCTGACACACAAATCTGTGAGCATAATAAAATGGTTATTTTACATTGCTAAGCTTTGGGGGATAGTTTGGTGTAAAGCAATAGTAGTTGGGGCAGGATACACATAAGATAGTCATGTGAACATGTCCAGTCTGGATTTGGCTGTCTGAATTTGGGAGTTCACAATAGGGGTCTGGGCTGGAAATGTTAAACTGGGAGTTATCAGCACATGGATGATAACAGAAGCCGTAGATATGTGATATCCCAGGAAATGTCTTAAGTAAGAAGACAAGAAGGGTGGGCCTGGGATCTAGCAGTAAATTTATAGTTAAATAGCATTTACAAGAAAAGAAGCATGCAGAAGAAGGTAAGGACAACACTGGTCAACGTTCAGACAAGAAACTGGAAACAACTTGAAGGATTTCAAGCAGAGATTTAGGTGCTTACAAAATTATTGGAAAGGCTAGGCATCTGCTATCAGCTTTCAGGCTCCCTGCCATAATTGTGGTACAGAGTCAGAGAGGTGCTGACTCTGAGGATACCAGAGGAAACAGATCTACAGAAAACTGGTTCCAAATTCACAGAACCTCCTTAGCATCGAGATGGGGACCAGGAAGAGGGCATGGATGTTGCTGCACAAACTTTTCTCTGTGCAGCCCATGCCTCTGTGCCAAGGCTGGGAGGAGAAGAATAGCTTCCACTTTCAAGTTGAATGAAATGCATCTCATTGCATCCAGAATGCAAATTTTATCCAGAACCCTGGCGCAAGGGAGTATAAGGAAAAGTATTCCAGGCTTCTTTCAGGAGAAAGCATAATAAAGGGGTGAAAATGAATGCCGATTACAAAATCCCAGTCCAATGACTTTCCAAAGAAATGCAGTTGCTTGAGGTGCAGAATAGAGTCCACTTCGAGGCCAAGCCATGAAGTGAAATGGAGGGGTAGAAGGGCAGTGGATTTTGGAGTCCAACAATCTTGATTGCAAATCCTTAATTCAGTCACTTACTTATGGGGCTCACCACCCTTTAAGCTTCTGTTTCCTCAACTACCAACCAGGAATGACAATACAAACATTGCAGCGCTGCTGAGAGAGTTGAAAACAATACGTGTTGGGTGCTAAGCACAGTGATGGAAACATAGAGGCAGGCATAAATGGTGGCTTTCATCCTTTCCAAGGTGGGAAGTGAGGTGTGACTCAATCCGGCAGTGGGATATTCCCTGCCCACGTGGGAGCTTCCATGTGCCTGGCTGGCTGAAAAGCAAGAGTCTCAAATGCATTGGTGGAGCAGAAACTTTCTGAATGGCATTTCCAGACTTTATTCAATAGCCCTTGGCTTAACTCTGCACCTTTAGAGATCTTTAGATAAAAGGTGACTTATTATGTCCTCTTAAGGGAATTAGTTTCAACAAATACTTTGAGGGGTGAACAAAAGTGGGCCAAAACAAGAAAAAGCAGCTAAGAGCATGGTTTATAGCATTTCATTTCAAACTGCAAGTTTTAAAGCTGACTCTACTTACAGCTTGCTCTGACCCTAGTAAGGCTTGCTTAGCTTCGAACATCTTATGAATGCCAGTCTGTCTCCCCTTCCAACTGGACTATTTCCATTGCTAAATTATAGACCAAAAAGATGGAGCAGTTAAAACACAGTGTGTTATATCTTTAAGAATGGTTAACTGAAATACTATTCAGCCTTAAAAAGGAAGGAAATTCTGTCATTTGTGACAACATGGATAAACCTGCAGGACATTATGCTATGTGAGATAAGCCAGGCATAGAAAGATAAATAGCACATGATCTCACCCATATGTAGAAACTGAAACAGTAGAATCTCAAACTTATAGGAGTAGAGAGCGGCATGGTGGTTATCAGAGGCTAGGGGATGGGGTGAATGGGGGTGAATGGGGAAAGGGAAGATGTTGATTAATCAGCACAAAGTTTCAGTTAGACAGGAGAAATAAGTTTTAATGATCTACAGTGCAGAATGATGAATTTAATAAAGAAAAATGCATTGTATATGTCAAAATTTTGAAAAAAGAATGTTTAGTAGAGTATAGTAGAAAGATTGCATCTGGATTAAAATCCAGATTATACTACTTTTGAGCTGGGTCACCATAAGTCAATTCTGAACCTCCCTGACCCTCAGTTTCTTCATTTATATTATGGGGAAAGTGTACTAACTACCTTACAAGATTGTTGTGAAGATGAAACGGAACTAGTAAATGACAATAGTTGCCAATATTACATGTGCCAGCCGCTGTGCTGAGTGCATTTACTTAGTTTAATCCTCAGAAGAATCCTGTGTGGATCCATTATGGCTAATCTGTAGGCAAGGAAACTGAGGTTTAAAGAGGTTAGTAACTTGCCCCCAAATCACATGGATACTAAATGTGCTGCAGAGATCGGATTTGAACTCCTGCTGTTGGAAGGACCTAGCATGAAGTGGTATACAGCAAGTACTCAATAAACGGAATGCCATTTTTTTTTTACTAGTCCAGCCCTCCTCTGCCGCATTCAATACATTTAGTAGACCCTAAACTGATTCACAAAGAGTGACTTGCGAAGCTGTGCAGCTGGGGTTAAAACCTAATCTCCTGACCCTGCATGTAGTGCTTTCTACCTTGCCTTAAACTGTCTTCCCTGTATCAAATCCTTTTCTAGGAAGGCTAACTTGAGCTCAGACAGGCTGGATGCGAATGAGCACATGTGCATGACAACACCGCTCTCTGCTGGCTTCTAAGGAAAGTGAGAGGGGCCATCTGGTTGTTGGCTTATTACTGAAGGTTTATTTACTATTGACTTTTCTATCTCAGCAGCTTTTGATCCTAACCTACCTGCCCCCACTCCCTTTTAAATGGGAACTGTTGTGTCCTTAAGTTTTTTATTTATATTTTACTAAAAAGTGATCCTTGTTCTTTGAAAATGTTGTGACTCTGCCCAGAGGGTGTTGGGCCCAGTGTTATGGGATTTCTCTGAGTCTCCAGGACCCTTCCTCTAAGATTCTAGCATGCTCGTTTCCACCCCTGCTCATCGAGGGTCAATACCTCTGTAAGTACTGTAGCGGATGCCTTTGGGTGTGCTGGTGAGTGAAAATGAGAGTGAAAGGAGCCCAATCATACAGAGGTCATTGCGTTGCATGGTAGAAGCCCCTGTTGTCTCTATGCTGCTGAAGTCATATGGGAGAAGCAATATGAGCAGGCAACATCTGACTCCAAAGTAGGATTTGTGCTTGTGCATACACCAGTTAACTGACAAAGCACACACTCCTTCAGATGGAGTTGGAATCAGTGTCCTCAACTATGTGGCAGTAAAAGTTCAAATTTAAATGCAAGTGCTCAAAGCACAATTTTAGAAAGGATTTTTAAAGCATTAGTTAAATGCTCATGAACAGTTTCAAAAAGAACTCACTGGGGGAGGAGCCAAGATGGCCGAATAGGAACAGCTCCGGTCTACAACTCCCAGCCTGAGCGATGCAGAAGACGGGTGATTTCTGCATTTCCATCTGAGGTACCGGGTTCATCTCACTAGGGAGTGCCAGACAGTGGGCGCAGGTCAGTGGGTGTGTGCACCGTGCGCGAGCCAAAGCAGGGCGAGGCATTGCCTCACTCAGGAATCGCAAGGGGTCAGGGAAGTTCCCTTTCCTAATCAAAGAAAGGGGTGACGGACGGACGGCACCTGGAAAATCGGGTCACTCCCACCCGAACACTGCGCTTTTCTGACGGGCTTAAAAAACGGCGCACCACGAGATTATATCCCGCACCTGGCTCGGAGGGTCCTACCCCACGGAGTCTCACTGATTGCTAGCACAGCAGTCTGAGATCAAACTGCAAGGCTGCAGCGAGGCTGGGGGAGGGGCGCCCACCATTGCCCAGGCTTGCTTAGGTATACAAAGCAGCCGGGAAGCTCGAACTGGGTGGAGCCCACCACAGCTCAAGGAGGCCTGCCTGCCTCTGTAGGCTCCACCTCTGGGGGCAGGGCACAGACAAACAAAAAGACAGCAGTAACCTCTGCAGACTTAAATGTCCCTGTCTGACAGCTTTGAAGAGAGCAGTGGTTCTCCCAGTACGCAGCTGGAGATCTGAGAACGGGCAGACTGCCTCCTCAAGTGGGTCCCTGACCCCTGACCCCCGAGCAGCCTAACTGGGAGGCACCCTCCAGCAGGGGCACAGACACCTCACACTGCAGGGTACTTCAAAAGACCTGCAGCTGAGGGTCCTGTCTGTTAGAAGGAAAACTAACAAACAGAAAGGACATCCACACCAAAAACCCATCTGTACATCACCAACATCAAAGACCAAAAGTAGATAAAACCACAAAGATGGGGAAAAAACAGAACAGAAAAACTGGAAACTCTAAAAATCAGAGCGCCTCTCCTCCTCCAAAGGAACGCAGCTCCTCACCAGCAAGGGAACAAAGCTGGATGGAGAATGACTTTGACGAGGTGAGAGAAGAAGGCTTCAGACGATCAAATTACTCTGAGCTACGGGAGGACATTCAAACCAAAGGCAAAGAAGTTGAAAACTTTGAAAAAAATTTAGAAGAATGTATAACTAGAATAACCAATACAGAGAAGTGCTTAAAGGAGCTGATGGAGCTGAAAACCAAGGCTCGAGAACTACGTGAAGAATGCAGAAGCCTCAGGAGCCGATGCGATAAACTGGAAGAAAGGGTATCAGCAATGGAAGATGAAATGAATGAAATGAAGCAAGAAGGAAAGTATAGAGAAAAAAGAATAAAAAGAAATGAGCAAAACCTCCAAGAAATATGGGACTATGTGAAAAGACCAAATCTACATCTGATTGGTGTACCTGAAAGTGATGGGGAGAATGGAACCAAGTTGGAAAACACTCTGCAGGATATTATCCAGGAGAACATCCCCAATCTAGCAAGGCAGGCCAACGTTCAGATTCAGGAAATACAGAGAATGCCACAAAGATACTCCTCGAGAAGAGCAACTCCAAGACACATAATTGTCAGATTCATCAAAGTTGAAATGAAGGAAAAGATGTTAAGGGCAGCCAGAGAGAAAGGTCGGGTTACCCTCAAAGGGAAGCCCATCAGACTAACAGCGGCAGAAACCCTACAAGCCAGAAGAGAGTGGGGGCCAATATTCAACATTCTTAAAGAAAAGAATTTTCAACCCAGAATTTCATATCCAGACAAACTAAGCTTCATAAGTGAAGGAGAAATAAAATACTTTACAGACAAGCAAATGCTGAGAGATTTTTTCACCACCAGGCCTGCCCTAAAAGAGCTCCTGAAGGAAGCGCTAAACATGGAAAGGAACAACCGGTACCAGCCGCTGCAAAATCATGCCAAAATGTAAAGACCATCGAGACTAGGAAGAAACTGCATCAACTAACGAGCAAAATAACCAGCTAACATCATAATGACGGGATCAAATTCACACATAACAATATTAACTTTAAATGTAAATGGACTAAATGCTCCAATTAAAAGACACAGTCTGGCAAATTGGATAAAGAGTCAAGACCCATCAGTGTGCTGTATTCGGGAAACCCGTCTCAGGTGCAGAGACACACGTAGGCTCAAAATAAAAGGATGGAGGAAGATCTACCAAGCAAATGGAAAACAAAAAAAGGCAGGGGTTGCAATCCTAGTCTCTGATAAAACAGACTTTAAACCAACAAAGATCAAAAGAGACAAAGAAGGCCATTACATAATGGTAAAGGGATCAATTCAACAAGAAGAGCTAACTATCCTAAATATATATGCACCCAATACAGGAGCACCCAGATTCATAAAGCAAGTCCTGAGTGACCTACAAAGAGACTTAGACTCCCACACAATAATAATGGGAGACTTTAACACCCCACTGTCAACATTAGACAGATCAACGAGACAGAAAGTCAACAAGGATACCCAGGAATTGAACTCAGCTCTGCACCAAGCGGACCTAATAGACCTCTACAGAACTCTCCACCCCAAATCAACAGAATATATATTTTTTTCAGCACCACACCACACCTATTCCAAAATTGACCACATACTTGGAAGTAAAGCTCTCCTCAGCAAATGTAAAAGAATAGAAATTATAACAAACTATCTCTCAGACCACAGTGCAATCAAACTAGAACTCAGGATTAAGAATCTCACTCAAAACCGCTCAACTACACGGAAACTGAACAACCTGCTCCTGAATGACTACTGGGTACACAACGAAATGAAGACAGAAATAAAGATGTTCTTTGAAACCAGCGAGAACAAAGACACAACATACCAGAATCTCTGGGATGCATTCAAAGCAGTGTGTAGAGGGAAATTTATAGCACTAAATGCCCACAAGAGAAAGCAGGAAAGATCCAAAATTGACACCCTAAGATCACAATTAAAAGAACTAGAAAAGCAAGAGCAAACACATTCAAAAGCTAGCAGAAGGCAAGAAATAACTAAAATCAGAGCAGAACTGAAGGAAATAGAGACACAAAAAACCCTTCAAAAAATCAATGAATCCAGGAGCTGTTTTTTTGAAAGGATCAACAAAATTGATAGACCGCTAGCAAGACTAATAAAGAAAAAAAGAGAGAAGAATCAAATAGACACAATAAAAAATGATAAAGGGGACATCACCACTGATCCCACAGAAATACAAACTACCATCAGAGAATACTACAAACACCTCTACGCAAATAAACTAGAAAATCTAGAAGAAATGGATAAATTCCTCGACACATACACTCTCCCAAGACTAAACCAGGAAGAAGTTGAATCTCTGAATAGACCAATAAGAGGTTCTGAAATTGTGGCAATAATCAATAGCTTACCAACCAAAAAGAGTACAGGACCAGATGGATTCACAGCCGAATTCTACCAGAGGTACAAGGAGGAACTGGTACCATTCCTTCTGAAACTATTCCAATCAATAGAAAAAGAGGGAATCCTCCCTAACTCATTTTATGAGGCCAGCATCATTCTGATACCAAAGCCGGGCAGAGACACAACCAAAAAAGAGAATTTTAGACCAATATCCTTGATGAACATTGATGCAAAAATCCTCAATAAAATACTGGCAAACCGAATCCAGCAGCACATCAAAAAGCTTATCCACCATGATCAAGTGGGCTTCATCCCTGGGATGCAAGGCTGGTTCAATATACGCAAATCAATAAATGTAATCCAGCATATAAACAGAGCCAAAGACAAAAACCACATGGTTATCTCAATAGATGCAGAAAAGGCCTTTGACAAAATTCAACAACCCTTCATGCTAAAAACTCTCAATAAATTAGGTATTGATGGGACGTATTTCAAGATAATAAGAGCTATCTATGACAAACCCACAGCCAATATCATACTGAATGGGCACAAACTGGAAGCATTCCCTTTGAAAACTGGCACGGGACAGGGATGCCCTCTCTCACCACTCCTATTCAACATAGTGTTGCAAGTTCTGGCCAGGGCAATCAGGCAGGAGAAGGAAATAAAGGGTATTCAATTAGGAAAAGAGGAAGTCAAATTGTCCCTCTTTGCAGATGACATGATTGTATATCTAGAAAACCCCATTGTCTCAGCCCAAAATCTCCTTAAGCTGATAAGCAACTTCAGTAAAGTCTCAGGATACAAAATTAATGTGGAAAAATCACAAGCATTCCTATACACCAACAACAGACAAACAGAGAGCCAAATCATGAGTGAACTCCCATTCACAATTGCTTCAAAGAGAATAAAATACCTAGGAATCAAACTTACAAGGGATGTGAAGGACCTCTTCAAGGAGAACTACAAACTGCTGCTCAAGGAAATAAAAGAGGATACAAACAAATGGAAGAACATTCCATGCTCATGGGTAGGAAGAATCAATATTGTGAAAATGGCCATACTGCCCAAGGTAATTTACAGATTCAATGCCATCCCCATCAAGCTACCAATGACTTTCTTCACAGAATTGGAAAAAACTACTTTAAAGTTCATATGGAACCAAAAAAGAGCCCGCATCACCAAGTCAATCCTAAGCCAAAAGAACAAAGCTGGAGGCATCACACTACCTGACTTCAAACTATACTACAAGGCTACAGTAACCAAAACAGCATAGTATTGGTACCAAAACAGAGATATAGATCAATGGAACAGAACAGAGCCCTCAGAAATAATGCCGCATATCTACAACTATCTGATCTTTGACAAACCTGAGAAAAACAAGCAATGGGGAAAGGATTCCCTATTTAATAAATGGTGCTGGGAAAACTGGCTAGCCATATGTAGAAAGCTGAAACTGGATCCCTTCCTTACACCTGATACAAAAATCAATTCAAGATGGATTAAAGACTTAAACATTAGACCTAAAACCATAAAAACCCTAGAAGAAAACCTAGGCATTACCATTCAGGACATAGGCATGGGCAAGGACTTCATGTCTAAAACACCAAAAGCAATGGCAACAAAAGCCAAAATTGACAAATGGGATCTAATTAAACTAAAGAGCTTCTGCACAGCAAAAGAAATTACCATCAGAGTGAAGAGGCAACCTACAAAATGGGAGAAAATTTTCACAACCTACTCATCTGACAAAGGGCTAATATCCAGAATCTACAATGAACTCAAACAAATTTACAAGAAAAAAACAAACAACCCCATCAAAAAGTGGGCGAAGGACATGAACAGACACTTCTCAAAAGAAGACATTTATGCAGCCAAAAAACACATGAAAAAATGCTCACCATCACTGGCCATCAGAGAAATGCAAATCAAAACCACAATGAGATACCATCTCACACCAGTTAGAATGGCGATCATTAAAAAGTCAGGAAACAACAAGTGCTGGAGAGGATGTGGAGAAATAGGAACACTTTTACACTGTTGGTGGGACTCTAAACTAGTTTAACCATTGTGGAAGTCAGTGTGGCGATTCCTCAGGGATCTAGAACTAGAAATACCATTTGACCCAGCCATCCCATTATTGGGTATATACCCAAAGGACTATAAATCATGCTGCTATAAAGACACATGCACACGTATGTTTATTGCGGCATTATTCACAATAGCAAAGACTTGGAACCAACCCAAATGTCCAACAATGATAGACTGGATTGAGAAAATGTGGCACATATACACCATGGAATACTATGCAGCCATAAAAAATGATGAGTTCATGTCCTTTGTAGGGACATGGATGAAATTGGAAATCATCATTCTCAGTAAACTATCACAAGAACAAAAAACCAAACACTGCATATTCTCACTCATAGGTGGGAATTGAACAATGAGATCACATGGACACAGGAAGGGGAACGTCACACTCTGGGGACTGTTGTGGGGTGGGGGGACGGGGGAGGGATAGCATTGGGAGATATACCTAATGCTAGATGACGAGTTAGTGGGTGCAGCACACCAGCATGGCACATGTATACGTATGTAACTAACCTGCACGATGTGCACATGTACCCTAAAACTTAAAGTATAATAATAAAAAAATAAATTAATTAATTAAAAAAAAAAAAGAACTCACCATCTCTAGACAGAAAAGTTTTTGTTTTGTTTTGTTTTTAGACAAAGTCTCCCTCTTGTCCCCCAGGCTGGAGTGCAAATGGCACGATCTCGACTCACTGGAACCTCCGCCTCCTGGGTTCAAGTGATTCTCCTGCCTCAGCCTCCCGAGTAGCTGGGATTACAGGTGCCTGCCACCATGCCTGGCTATTTTTTGTATTTTTAGTAGAGATGGGGTTTCACCATGTTGGCCAGGCTGGTCTCGAACTCCTGACCTCAGATGATCCACCCATGCTGGCCTCCCAAAGTGCTGGGATTACAGGCATGAGCCACTGTACCTGGCCACTAGACAGAAAAGCTTAAAGGGGTTTGTTTAAAATATATCCATGGGTAGAAAAATGTTTAACAATACATACTGTAGGGAAGGAACCCAGAATATCTTGGCATCAGAGGTCAGATAGACTGATGTACAATGACCACTGCACATTCATTTGCTAATATTTTGAGCAAACATTGGTGTTTCTAAATGATGAATGCACTGATAATTCAAATCCTTGCTCTTATTGAGGATTTAAGGAGTTAATGCATGTAATATGTATTGCATGGTGCCTGGCACACAGAAAATGATTAATAAAGAATTGCTAGAACAAAACAAAAGAAATCCACTCCATTCCCAAGACCAACACAAGCTCCCTAATCTTCAAAATTCTTTCTGCAGATTGGGCATTGGCAGGCTTTTGGAATGAGGATCTGCTTGCTGGGCACTCCATTCCCAGTGCCAATCACCTGACCTGGCTAATGCTGGAATAAGTCAGCCTTTTCCTGGCATTGGAAGCTGATGTGTTATTTAAATATCCTCCTTTTCCATCTTCCTGTAATTACAAAGAGAGTTTGTTTTTCTGGTTTTTATTTTCAAATTAGAGAACATTCTCCAAAACTTTTTCTTGATAGCTCACTTCCTGAACAAGAGAGATGGCAGGACTACAAGGAGGGAAGGAATTCACTTATAGCACTGACAGAATCTGCCAATGCCAACCTGGAGGTGGTTTTCTATCTTATTTAGGTGGCATTTTCACCAGTAGGAACTGGGCAAAGTCCTTGTGATATATACAATTTGACAGGAAATTCTGCTACTACCTCAGGGTTGACTGTATTCATATAATCATTTAATTTAAGAAAGTTAATTGGTTAAGAGCTCAGAATAAGACTGTCCTGGGCTCAAGATCCATATCAGTCACTTACTCTCTAGGCAATCTTGGATAATTTATTCACTTCTTTGAGTTCTTGAGCCCTAAAATGGAGATAATGATAATGGCATCTTGCCTGGCAGCTCTTGTGAGGGTTATTAGCACACAATGTATGGAAATCACTGGTCACTGTACCTGGCACAGAGTGAGCATTCAACTCATTTATTCAACAAAAATTGATTGAGTACTTACTATGTGCAGGTACCGATCCATGTTCCGGGAATTCAGCAGTGAATGAAAGAGTCGACCTCTCAGCTCTGAGAGCCTATGATTTAACTAAGGGAGAATAATAATAAGCTTGTGAAATATAATATATCTGAAGCTATGTGCTGTGAAGAAAAATAAAGCAGAGTATGGGATGGACAGTGACAGTAGTGCTATTTTTGACAGAGGGAAAATTTTTTTTTGGTCAGAAAAGACTTCTCAAGGAAAATGGCACTTGGGCAGAGACCTGAGTGAGGTACAGGAGACAAGCCATGGGGCTACCTGCAGAAAGAGTGTTCCAAACAGAAAGATGAGTAACGCCAGGCTCTGATGAGTAAACGCCAGGTGCATGCTGGGACTTTGGAGCAGTGGCAGCAGGCTAGCGTGGCTGCAGTGAGGGGGTGAGACAGAGGAGTCAGAGATGTGGCTGAGAGCCAGCCTGTGTGCCTGGACCTGGGAGGCCATTGGAAGGATCATCAATGCGTGGTCAAGGTGTGTAGACCAAAGAACCATACGAAGCCACAGTAGCACTCCCTTTCCTTGTCTCCTTCTCATTTTCCCTCCTTTGCACCTGGTGTAGTCATAGGCAGATGTCTGTATCCAATACCAACTTTGGAAATTGTTCCATTTTATGATCATCTTTGGACCGCTCCTTGATTCCAAGAGAGCTTAAGGATTCATGAGAATTGGAACTTGGGAAATCCAGTTGAGAGAAGGCATGTGAATCAACTCCATCCCAGCCCTCACTTATTCTGCCTTCTTGATTCCTTACTATTTCAAATATTATTGTTATTAATATGAAGTGCTTCTTGACAATAGACTGACTTTCTTTACTGCCCAGGAGGGTTTTATATTTGTATGTTTGGAAAACACCCTGATAAGCCTTCCTGAAAATGAACCCAGATTGTTTGCTTATTCAACAAATATGAAGGTCACATTTTACCTTTTCCAGGAACAAAAACTACAGTTATTGATTGCCTATTTCCTTCAGGACACAGAAATAAATGGTTTATTTCCAAACTCCAGAAATGTCACAAAGTAGAAAATCGACTTATAAATGTAAGCCTGTCTGTCAAGAATGTGTTTGATGACATATAACAGACTGATAAAGCTACAGGAACCATCTTCTCTTGTCAGAGACAGAATCTTGTTTAGGAGCATGCTAAGCTGTGCCTCGATTCCTGACCCACAGGATCTGTGAGATAAGATTTGTTGTTTTAGGTCACTAAACTTTGGAAATAGTTTGTTATTCAGTAATTGATAACTAATACATATACCAAACATGAAATCTTTTCACCTTTCTTCAATGTCCTGGTACAAAGAAATACTTTAGAAATATAATGTTTACTAAAGCACAAGGTTTACACTGTAAGATGACATCAGAAAGGTAAGCTCAAAAACCGAAGATCTAGGTTCTCTTACTACAGAAACGAAAAAGCACGTAAACAGTGAACATATTTTGAACTAAAATAATGAAACAAATGCTTTAGAATTCTTTCCACTGTTATTCCCTGCTGTGAAATATATTAAAATATACATCGCATCCTGCACATATTGGCATTTACACCCTGTGCCAGCCATGGGGCTAGGTGCAGAGGATGTAAGATGATATCATATGGCCCTGCCTTCAGTAGCTTACAGTTAGCTCACAGTTGTCACAGTTGTCACTACCACTTGTTCTGTAGTGCTCACACCACCATCTCACAGGCCTGGCAAAAGCTCCTGATTCCCTGTAGGAAGGTTCCTTCAGTTTGAAGGAAAACTTTATCTCTTCTGATATTGGCATTTGCTCTTATAAAAATTGAGATAATTGGGATGATAAGCCATAAATTGGGTCTACAATATGGATATGAGGTAAAACAAGCACTGATAAATCGTCCCTTCCATTCACCTGAAAAATTCCAGCAGGCACAAAGGAGTTATAAATGTTGTTTTAGATTCCAGAGCTACGTAATTACACAGGACTATAGAGAATGGTTTCCTTGCCTACTGATAAACAGCTTGAGGTAAAACAAAAAATATCCACCTGAAACACTGAAATGGCAGCAAAGCAAATAACCCTGTTTATGGAGGGAAGATGGCCTCAGATAAACATATAAAAGTACTGACATAATCATGCACACTTTTTGCTTAAAGAGAACTGGATTTCTGCAAACTATATTTACTTAGCTAAATGTGACTGCAATATAGCCAAGGCTTATCTGAATAGTCAGGAAGGAAATGAGAGTAGAATTAAACAGATATGTGGGCTAGGATGCCTCTAAAACTTGCTCTCAGACTCATAAAAATCATCTGGAAACCAACGCTCATAATAAATATTTGTTTATCTCTACTTTCAGCTCCTGGTCTGTGATATATGTGCACGTGCACTGTGTGCAGTCACAGCATTGTTCTTTAAGAGACCTCCACTGCTGTTCTGAGCATTCACTACTCCATTCACGTGTCTTTCTTACTCTCTAAACTATGAATGGCCCGAGAGCAGTCTAATTCATTTTTTGAATCCCTAACTAGTACAATTCCTGGCACATGGTAGATGATCAAAAACTGCTAATTGAATGAATAAATGATAACGTGAAGGAGCTGGATGGAGATCCTATGTGAAGCTTCAATGCCACAATCCTTCATCCAAGGATGGTCTCACTGGACCTTTACTTCCCCTCAAAGAACCACCATCCTCAGTGTGAACTGAGGGGTTCTTCCTTGCATGGGAATCTTCCTGCCCCTGTGAAGCCTGTGAATCGACAAAAGCATTATCATCACGAAGCCTTTCATAATAAACTCTAGGCTCTTGACTTACAGAATATATGCAAAAATTATAAAAGACTAAAATTAAGAAGAAATAAACATGAGAATCAACAAGTAATTTTTGAAATAATTGAAAAACATAGTTAAAACCCTAGTAGTTTTATGACAGAGAGCTTATCAAATATGTATTTTAAAAAGTATTTCAGAGCAAAAAAAGAAAAAAAAAAAGAAAAGGAAAAGTTTCTACCTTATTTCATGGAGCTAGAAAACTCCTGATACGGAACTAGAGAAGAGAGCAAAACAAACAAGCAAAAACAACAAAACCAATAACAGAGTTCCTACAACTTTCATCTTCCACATTCCTGAGCACTAGGTTTGGCACTTCAGGGCGTAGGGCAGTCGCAGAACTCATCAGTGGAATGAACCTGCTTTGGGATTTGGTGGTCCATTTGGTGGGGCAAAAATGATGAGAGGGAAGGAGCATCAGAGCTCAGCTGGCATCCCTGACCATCCTAGAAAATGTGTTATTTTAATGGGGAAAGTTATCTCTGCCAGAAAAAGGTTCAGTTGCTGATAGGTAGACCCTCCTCTCCTCAACAAGAATTAGCTCAAGAGACCAGGTAAGTGTTTTATATGTAGCAAGAGCTGCATTTATTTATATGAGGACATCTTCAGGCTAATGAAGGCCTTGCCATTTTAGCAAGCTGACAACCAGAATATCATATTAGATTTGTGGATTAGTAGCAAGAAATTGAACCAGGAGGAGTCAGAAGAGTCAGTTCTGACTATATCCTAATTAGATCTCTTACCAGCTTGCACAGCCTTGGGAAATCTTCTAACATCTGGGATCCTGTCTCTTCTGTAAACAGATGAGGTTACCTAAGGCTAACCTCATGGGGTGTTGAGAATCAAATATGACAACAGGAAAGAACTTTAGAATTTTTAATATTATATTAAAGAGGACTGTTTGTGTAGGGGAACCTTCAGAAGATGTTGATAAAACACACTCTAATGCTGTTATTTGTTAAACCACTCACTAACTTGTAACCTTGGGCATATTACTTAGCCTCTCTGGGCCTCAGCTTCCTTATCTGCTAAATGGGGATAATATTACTTACTCATCTGGTAGTCCTGTTGTTATGATTAAATTAGTGTTTTAAAAATGCTTACATGTGTAAATGTTTAAGTAAAATAAAATATTTATTAAATAAAACAAAAATTAGATTAATGAGGTATCTTGAAAGCTGTTTTTCATAAGATTATGGCTTATTGGGTAATAAATAAAAACAATGAAGTAAGATTTGATGCAAATTATAGCTAATCATTTTTGATGAATGTGAGAGTACTTTGTTGCAGGCATTTTAATCTTGTGGTAGTACCCTACCTTTGAATTTGGTGACAAAGGACTTGCAAACGCCTATCTTAAAACAAATAGAAATGTGGGCATAGTTAACACACCACTGGGATAAGGTCTGAGCCATATGATGAATTTGGGCATAAATTAAGATGAATAAAAGCAGAAACTTGGCCTCTATTCTATTCCTGAATTTTTACCTGAGTCAAATATTTAGAAGTCTAGATCACTGTCACTGCATTTGTATGCATTTATGTTCACCAAATTAGGTGACAATGTTTTAGGACTCCTATGTGTTATCATTCTTTGGAGGTCATCGTGGCATTTGTGCACAACCATGTAAAAGAAGTTTAAAGTGTGGAATCCCTTCAGCATTAGCCAAACACTGTCACTTTGGACCTGAAGCCATCTCATCGAATCACTGTCAAAGCTCCAGTCTGTTTGGCTTCAACCATGCCTTTACCTTTAACCTGGCATAGTTTCTAACTATTGCTTTCTCACTCAGGACTCCCCATCATTCCAGAAGAAATGCACACATTCTTAAATTGCAATTTTGTGATCACATATTCTGAATGCTACAGAAAGATGCACAGAAGATATACAGTCTCAGGCAACTTGAAACATACCTCAAGATATTGTCAAAAATGTCCATATGCAATTATTTTCCCATGGCAAAATTCATATCAACAAAACCACTTATTTACAGGAAAGAAGTGTTGAGCCACTTTTGTAATTTTAAATACAGGGACTAAAATTACAGACGCTTATAATTATTGAATCCATTTCTTCAATGTGTTAGTCTTATTCCATCAAGATTAATGAGATCAGAGTGAACTGTGGTACCCTTTAGGCCCATACCAGCAGTATCTACCAATGAGAGATTCATTTATACAGATGACTGTCCCTAAGGGATAGGGTGGGCCTGCTCAATGAGTAATGGCAAGTAACCTCAGTCCTCTGGCCACAGCTGTTTAGATTAGAAGTTAACACTTGACCGAACCCAGGCCAGGTTCTGAGTTTGGGGAAAAGGATTTGGTACACAGTGACAGTCAGGACCTTGAGTTCAGAGGACAGGTAGGACTGCTTAGAACAGCCACTTTCTCCATCACAGACAATGAGGCAGATAAAGCTGATCTGCAGGGAGAGAGAAGCAGATGTATGGGGGGAAAAGGACGTGTGTCAAGGGGATGAGAAGTAGGGGCAAATCAAGGTTGCTTAACTTCCTTACTGTGTTTCTGTTACTACTCCCAGGCCTTCTCTAGAAGGTGGATGATGCTTCCAGCCCTTGATTCTGTGTAAGACCCTTGAGTCCTTCCAGTGTCATCTCCGCCCTCCCCTTTAGCCTAGTTTGGGTAGGTTTTTGTTATTTTTAAATAAATAATTCCTGACCAGCACAAGTCATTAGGCAGAAAATAGTGAGGGGAAGAATTAGTGGACTGATTACTACTGTGGTTCTTTGAGGTAGTGTGTTTGATCAGGTCCTCCTCTTGCACACCTGTCTTCTTGGGTGGGCTACCTACTGGTTTGGCAAGGGTTGGCCTTTCTTTGTAGGCATGGGGTTTGTGTTGAGGAAACCAGGTAATCACAAATTTGTCATCCATTAATCAATCTGAGAAATATATAGTGAGCATCTTACTAAAGCTAACATTCTCTGAGAGCCTTCAGAGATGTCTAAGTTAATAAAATCAAGTTCTTTCTCTCGAGGAGCTCACTGTCAGTAGCCTAAACCTCTTCTTTAAGCAGATCTGTGACTCAAGAGCAAATTTTGTGTTAATTCTATTGATTTTTTTTTTTTTTGAGATGGACTCTCACTCTGTCGCCCAGCCTGGAGTGCAGTGGTGTGATCTCAGCTCACTGCAACCTCTGCCTCCTGGGTTCAAGCAAATTTCATGCCTCAGTCCCCTGAGTACCTGGGACTACATGCCTGTACCACCACCCAGCTAATTTTTATATTTTTAGTAGAGACGGGGTTTCACCATGTTGGCCAGGCTGGTCTCAAACTCCTGAGCCCGAGTGATCTGCCCATCTTGGCCTCCCAAAGTGCTGGGATTACAGGCATGAGCCACCATGCCTGGCCTAATTCTACTGATTTTTTTTTCTTCAACTTTTATTTTAAGTTCCAGAGTACACGTGCGGAATGTGTGGGTTTGTTAGATAGGTAAACGTGTGCCATGGTGGTTTGCTGCACAGATCAACGCATCACCTAGGTATTAAGCCCAGCGTCCATTAGCTATTCCTTCTGGTGCTCTCCCTCCTCACTTCTGCCCCCTCCTTTCTGTCCCCACCACCACAGGCCCCGGTGTGTATTGTTCCTCCATCCCCCATGTGTCCATGTGTTCTTATCATTCAGCTCCCACTTCTAAGTGAGACTATGCAGTGTTTGGTTTTCTGTTCCTCCATTCTTTCCCATCGTGTGGCAACTATTCTAATGAGAAGCTGTAAGAAAGTTTAAAATCCAGAAACTAGGTAATCAGTTCTTTAAAAATAGACTTCTGATGGCATGAGTATAATTTCACATACCCTTAAAATTTTTGAATCGATTTCACATGTCCATTATTTATATGGAGCATTTTGATATCTAAAACTCCAAATTGAAATTTCATGGCAAAAATTATACAGATCAATTTCACATCAAATCCTGTTTTGCCTTGGCAATGTGCAATTTCTTCCCTTAAAAAAAATATGTATCTAGTGTTGCTTCTGAGTTTCTGCCAAGAACGCTGGGATCTGACACAGGAGTTCTGGGAACTCTGTTCATGAGTGTACTGTAACTCAGAAAGTAGTGTGTTTTCCCAGACTTCAGGCTCTGGGCAGAGGGAGGAGATTTAACCTCTAATTTCTCCTTTGGATTGCACCCTCTGGTAAAGCAGCCACTGGTGACTTAGAAACAAAGATAGAAAAAAAAAATGGGGAAAGAGGAAGAGAAGAGGAAGAGGAAGGAGAAAAGGAAGACGGAGAAGGAGAGGAATGAAAAGCAGCAGTAGAAGAAATTAAACCAAAACAAAGGATTCTGTCTGCAGTTGTTTTCCTCCAGGCTCTGTGCTTTGCCGAATGAGATGCTGAAAAAGGAGGGTCCGTGATGTCTCAAGCTCTGTCTCCCTCTGGTGACCAGTCTTACTATCTCGGGACTGCAGCACAGGCTGTGGTCATCCCCGTTTTTTTTTTTTTTTCTGAGAAGCAGAAGCCACACTGATTAAAACAAACAAAAAATTCTCAGTCTTTCCCTTTGAGGACTCTAAGGTTAGCCTCGGTTGGGGTGGCAGTATATAACCCCACTCACAGCACATGCTCTGAATTCAACTGCCTGGGTTTGAGTGTCAGCGCCACTGTTAACTATGAGGCATCCAGTGCACGATTGAAACTCTGCGTCTGTTTCCTCATCTGTAAAATGAGAAGGAGGGTGCAAGTAGCTCAGAGGTTGCCGTGAGGAATAAATGAGATACCGTACATTGGCACTTTGCACTGTGCCTGGCAGAGAGAAGGCACACTGCTGTCGTTTTGATTTGGGCCTTCACAGGGGCACCATTGACAGAGGGCTCTGGAAGCAGAATCTGTGAAGACACTCTTAAGCAGTAGGGAGCACAGCTTTTCCAACAAGACCAAAGCATCTGGAAATGAGGCATTAGGCAGGAAAGGATGGGGTGTGTCTGTTAGGATTCAGTTTCCACATGGGAATTCACAGCTCATGGTTTCAAATCAGATCCTAGACGGTAAAAACATACAAAAAACATAAAATCTTTTCACACCCTAGTCACCAGAAGAATTCAGAAATTTCTTTCTCAGGGAGATTCTAGAGTCTGACTCTTCAGGCCAAATTCTGATTCTACTACTTTTGTACTGTTTGACTTCGGGCAAATTACTTGGATTTTCTGAGCCTTAGTCTCTTCCTCTGTAAAATGGGAATCAGATTTGCTCCTCCCCACCCACAATGTTCCTATGATAATTAAAAAGACCATCTGCATGAAACACCTAGCAAATATTTGCTCAGAGGAAGCCCTCCATATGTATGTTACATATCAACTCCAATCCGAGCTGAGCTTCTCACTCTCAGAGTAAATTCAAGCCCAGTATCAAGGGAGAAAACTTGCTAACTGTAATTGCTGAAGCAATGGGGTTAGAAGGAAGTCCATGTCCCTTCTTTACAAAAGAGATTTTCAGAATTGGCTGCAAATTGGAATTGCCTGGAGAGCTTTAAAAAATGTCAAAGCTGGGTCCCCACCCTCCAAGGTTCTGATGTAATTGATCCAGGGTGTGTCCTGGCATGGAGATTTATAGAAGCTCTCCAGAAGATGATGATGTGCAGCCAAGGTTGAGAACTACTGCCTTAAGAATACTTTGCTACACAATTGCATGCTGCTAGATATTTAGATTTTTCCCCTGTACTTTGATGCAAAATTTGCTAAGCTATGCAAGCTAAAAAGCAACTTAAGTACAGAGTAGACTTGGAATCTGAGCAGTTTGACTGGCTTTCAAGGGTCAGAAAAACCATGGATACAGACATTCAAGCCACAACAAGTATTTTTGCAAACAGCCATCCTCTTCAGAACTGTAAACCTGACCCCATTCTCTTTGAAATCCCTTTCATTTACACAGGGGGCTGAAGTCCTCTGCCATCCATCAGAGACCTCAAACCTAGGTCATCATTCACACACGTATACACATGAACTCAAGTCAACAGTCAACACTAAGGAAAGCCTTAAAAGGGTTGTCTTTGTGAAAAGAGGTGAATGAACTCATAGGAAAGGGGAGGGCTGGTCTGGGGTCAGTGGGAAGAATCTGTCTCTACATCTATGGCAAGGGACTTAGAAGGAAGCCACCAGTGTTCTATTTGTCCAACATCCAGAGCCCTCTGGGAATAACTTAAGGGTCAGGCAGTGGCTATGAGTCAGCCCAAGAACCCAGTGATGTTCTTGGGTGAGTGGGGACCTGGGGTGCCGGGGAAGTACAGTCAGCAAGGGTTCCCTTTCCAACCAAGGAGGTAGGTGCAGGCACACAGGAAGAAGTCACCTTGAGGGGAGAGAGGTAGGGCATATCTAGTGAGTCTGGGGATTGCATTAGAAATTAGAGGAGAGCTTTCAGGGACAATCCTGCAGTGTCCCTGTCTCATTTTCCCTCTGGAGCCAGACTACCTGGGTTTGAATCCCAGCTGTGCCATTGTGTGACCTGGGCTTGCCATTGAACCTCTCAATGCCTGGGTTTTCCCACTTGTAAAATGGGGATGGTAACAGCACTCACCTAACAGAGTTGTTAATGAAAGGCTTAAATGTCAATTAATGCAATTAAATGTAATCAATGTCAAGTGCTTTAAAGAGTGCTTAGGGCATACTAAGGACCATATTCAGTGTTGATAATTATTTCTGATCTAGTGTGGAAGAAACATGTTTAGGTTTGGGCATACTAAGGACCATATTCAGTGTTGATAATTATTTCTGATCTAGTGCGGAAGAAACATGTTTAGGTTTTAAAACACAAGTGACTGCAATGAAAGGGGCTGTACAAAAAACAAAAAACAAAAAACAAAAAAACTAAGAGCAAAATCCTTGGCTTGGGAGAATTCTCACACTTGTGCAATAAGGACCTTTCCTTTAACTTCAGCGGTGGAGGTGTTGGAAGGAGGTGATGGCCGAGATCAAGCTAGGAAAAGAATGCCAATGTCAGGCCACAGCCAGCTGGTGTCCTCCAAAGTGACAGCAGGGGATGCTGCAGGAACAAATGCAGGCTGAGCTGTATCCCTTCTGCCTCACAGGAAGACTTTATGTGTTTCACAGAGA
Organism: Homo sapiens; assembly: GCF_000001405.40. Taxonomy (NCBI): domain Eukaryota; kingdom Metazoa; phylum Chordata; class Mammalia; order Primates; family Hominidae; genus Homo; species Homo sapiens. The sequence continues at coordinate 122,498,283 of NC_000005.10, read as the reverse complement.
ATGCTGGCTGCTCTGCATTCCTGGGTTAGGAATTTGTTTTTAGCAATTTTGTAATAGGGATAAAACTAGTTCTCTCTATTGTTAGGTCTTATAGCCTTTTGTTGTTGCTGTTGTGGACCTAAGCTATTGAGCAGCTGGCCCCTGAAGCATGAGGCCTATCAAACGCGGAGGCAGAGTGCTCCCATCTTTGAGGGCAATTCTGCTCAAATTCGCAAGAGCAACTACAAGGGTCTTGGAAACTTTTGGAATGCAAGATAAGATGAAGCCCGCTAAGGGGAGACCGAGGCCCTCATCACTTACTGTGACAAACTCACAGACTCTGTGACTTGGCTGACATTGCTCTGGGGAAGGCAGCGCTGGGACACTGCTGGTCCCCAGGCTCAGACAAGACAGTTAGATGTTTGGTCAAGGGTGTTAGAATAACCGATTCTAGGTCCAGCAAAGCCGTGATTTTGTCCATGACATGTAAGCATCATAAACACCCAAAATAACTTCAGTCCCGAGAAGATTCCAGAAATGGTAAAAGGTAGATTCAAAGTGTAGCAGGATAAAAGGAAAAGCTATTTCAGGGTCTCTGTTAATGAGGACATCAACCAAAGTTTTCCCAGAAAAGGCTTTTCACATGGCTTCAAAGTTTTTAAAATTAATTAACATTTTACATTTAGCATCCCACGAATTTCACATCTGCCACTGATTTTCTTACTAATTAGAAAAGCTGTTGGTGGAGGAATTGTTAGGAGATGTTTGCACAGCACAAATTAGGGCATAATTAGAAGGCAGGGTGTACGCTAATGAGCAGCAAGGCTGATCCATCAGCATTTACACCAGTGGAAGGCTCTTCCTCCTCTTGGTTCTTTGAGCTAATTTCTATTAGAATCCTAGATGAGTGTAGGTATAAATCCCCTTTGATAGTTTGTTGGGAGTTGTTTGAAACTATGCAGTCTTCAGAGAGAAGACTTACCTTCAGAAGTCTTTTAGCCTCAAAATCCAATGCAGAATATTAGAGCCACCTAATACCTGTTCTCAGGTGTAATCAGGTGAGACCTTGTACCACTTCCATAACTATCTGATAGTTAGATTTTAGAATGCTGTAGGTAAACATCTGAAATCTTCTCTTTGTGGAATCCTTAGCCAAATTTGTAGGTAGCCCCAGCTATCATGGAAAACATAGCAGGGGCCCAGCTTATTATTCTGTGGCTCCAGCTGCAGTTCCCATCATCATTGTTCAGCCATTTTGTCTTTAAGATCTTACTCAGGCACTGAAAACAGTCTACTAATTCAATATAGAACAGATAGGGAGTATGAACTATATACCAAACACACAGTAATTTGTCATAGAAAGTAACAGTGAAATGGAAGGTGTTTCACCTGCCCACAGGAAAGTAACTATTTTATTGAAGAAATAAAACACACACTGGAAGCCAATGCCAGACAGGCTATGAATAGTTGTCAAAATGAGGAAACTGTGAAGGTTTCTGAAGCCAGAGACTCTGCTCCAGTCTCAGAAGGTAGCCATGATATTGATGAGAACCTGCAGCCCTTGAAACAATGTAGCACAGTGAGATCCCTGTTGTCATGTGGTTCTGATTGCTTTGAATGCTTTGTAGAAGGAAATCCCCACGACATAGGTCATGTCAGAGGTCATGACTTAGGGTTCCCAGATGATACCAGTATGTTGTTAATACAAAAATTGCCGTTGCCCCCTCTTGGAACATCCCTGTCCACTGTCATCCAGATCATCCAGCAGCCATCTGCAACCTCCACAGACACTTCCTGATTATCCAAGCCTGTGAGTCTTCCCTCCAGCTTTGTGGGGTTGGCTAACTCATGACAAAGTTCTTTAGTCCAACATGTGTCAGGAAATTCTCAGCCATCACTTCAGCCTGCTTACCCACATCACGTATGCACCAATATTGTATACACCTGACCATTCCTTAGGCCAGTGGTTGCAAATCAAAGCTCACAAAGGCCAGGAAAGTGACAAATGATTGTGAAAATGCTGGCAAGCTAGAGGGCACAAGCCCCTTCTACAGAAATCAGCCACCACTTGGTTCTAGCCACATGGGTACATGCACCTAGCATTGCCAAATCTTTCTGATTTTTCAACAGAAACCCAAACACTGTATCTGTATAGAAAATTTAAAAATTTATCAATTTTGAAAATATTAACAACAAATTCAAAACTTAAAAAACCTGCAAGTCAAACAAAATCACACACACACACACACACACAAAACTCACGCTACATTTATTTTTACATGAGGCCTAGATTGCAGCTGCTATAGGTTGATGATCCCAGTCTCAAGAGATGTAAACTGAAAATGCCAACAGGATTTAGAGATGGGCGATTTTGGGGTTAGATGAAAGAGTCATAGGAGACTGAAAGAAGAAGCACCATGACAGCTGGGTGCAGTGGCTCACGCCTGTAATCCCAGCACTATGGAAGGACGAGGTGGGCAGATCACCTGAAGACAGGAGTTCGAGACCAGCCTAGCCAACATGGTGAAACCCCATCTCCACTAAAAATACAAAAAATTAGCTGGGCATGGTGGCAGGCACCTGTAATCCCAGGTACTCGGGAGGCTGAGGCAAGAGAATCACTTGAACCCAGGAGGCGGCAGTCATAGTGAGCTGAGATTTTGCCATTGCACTCCAGCCTGGGCCACAGAGTGAGACTCCATTTCAAATAAACAAATAAATACATAAATAAAATAAAAAGAAGAAGAAAAGAAGCACCATGACAAATTTTCTGCTTTGTACTAAAGACGTGATATCTGGTGCCCTCTTTATTATTCATTTTTACCATTCAAAAATTGGAGATTTTAAAATATTATGAAATGCTTTTATGAATATATGAACATATTCTGTTAATATATTCCCATAGTAACTCTCCATGTCCCTAGAAAGCTATTCCTGCAAGCATATGCAGGAAAAATGATGTAACATGTTGGGATAGAGGTAAATAAATCCCTCAGGCAAAACAATTTTTAAAACTCAGGAATTCTAACACATATCATTTTTTAAATCTAATAGAGTGATATCCTGCTAAAAGAACATTTACTCTCTGAAGACATATCTGCAGCTGAATGATGCCTTTAGGAGCTAGAAGTGCCTCATTTTTTACCAAGAGCTTCCACATAAAATAAAATTACACTGGAATTCCAGAGATAGCTATTAAATGTTCCTTCTGGTACAATAGTGAGGGGATGCAACTAAAATAACATACATCTTTTTTGTACAACATTTTTAAGGGAGGAAGTTGCTTTAAAATTTTATAGTGATCACGATTACACCTCAGAAAAAAGGGATTTATTTTTTCTGGTAACTTTTTTTTTTTTTTTTGAGACGGTGTCTTGCTCTGTCACCCAGGCTGGAGTGCAGTGGGGTGATCTCAGCTCACTACAACTTCCACCTCTCAGGTTCACGCCATTCTCCTGCCTCAGCCTCCTTAGTAGCTGGGACTATAGGCGTGCACCACCATGCCCGGCTAATTTTTGTATTTTTAGTAGAGACGGGGTTTCACCATATTGGTCAGGCTGGTCTTGAACACCTGACCTCGTGATCCTCCCAAAGTACGGGGATCACAGGTGTAAGCCACCACGCCCGGCCTTCTGGTAATTTTTAAATACTCTTTCACATTAAAAAATTAAGCTATTTTATATACAGCAAAAGTTCACCCTGTTTAGTGGACAGTTTTGTGAGTTTTGATAAAACACATACAGTTGTATACCCTCTGGTGCCCTGTGTTGACATTGGAGTAAAATATAAAGACAGTCTCAAACCTAGATCCATTAATCACTTCAATTTATTCTTTTCACTTATTCAGCCACTTCATATCCTATTAATGTACTGGGCATTGGTCCTAAACTCCTGGTTTCAAGGGATCCTCCCACCTCAGCCTCCCAAGGTGATGGGATTACAGGTATGAGCCATCGTGCCTGACCTATTAATGTTCTAGGCATTGGGAATACAAAGGAACCAAAACATAACCCCTGACGACAACCAGCTCTTTGTTTTGGAGAGGAGCCAGACACCTACAAGTGAGAATGTCAAAAGGTAGCTGCTATAAAGGATTTCTGTACAGATATCACACCCACTTATTCATTTAACTAATCTAATCTGACCAACCCATCAGTACCGGGTCTACTGCTACATGTTGAGCGTGCAACTGTGGACAAGAGAGACCCTCAAATTCACAACCTTGCTGCAGAAACAAACAGGTGAACAAATAGATACAGTACAGAGCATTCTCTGTTGGGGAAGGGCAGAGATTTGTGGAGTCACATGGAAGGAGCACTCAACATCCACTCAGGGTGGGGGCCTGTGCAAAGCTACATCTTCAGCTGAGAGTGGAGGGGAAGGCGTGCTGAGAGAGGCATGCAGGCTCTTGTTGAATTCCCTTTGTGACTCCTCCAGCATAGCCCAATTCTGGAAGGGCTTGAGGAAAACTGCACAGGGTGGTAAAATAGTTGCTTACTGGATTGATTTATGACTAGTTAATGATGGAGAAAATGTGTGAGAAAGCATTTACACAAAACTACAATCCAAGGGAACTTCTGTTTTTCATGCTGCAATCAGGCATAGAAAAATGGCTGTCTTGCCGACAGGGAGTCTGTGCTGCCACTGATCCATGTGGTGGCAGCGCCAGGAAAGTCATTTATTAGTAGGGGGAGGACACAGAGCAGGCCTGGGTGTCTGGTACCAGCTGCCCCACCCGGGCCCCACTGGCCCAGCTCCAGGTGCTGACAGCCAGAGGCTGAGCTTGTGATGAAGTAGACACTGGCGGGCCAGTTCCCAGCCAGCCAGCCACGGGGTGCTGAGATAAGCAGGTCTAATGGGCTGCCTGGTTACCCTATCAATCTCCAGGCAGGCAGGCAGGCAATGGTCAGAAGGCGGCCAGAGCAAAAGGCCCCTGGACTGGAATGCTTGGTTTTGTCTAGCTCCACTGGTCTGGTCTTCTGTATCCTCGATCATACTGGCTGGTATTCATGGGCTAACAAGGGGGAGAGTTAATATAAATGATCAGAAATGTATTGGCTTGAATGTTTATTCCCTGCTCCCTCCCCACCCCTCTATTACAAACTAATGGAACTCTCCACCACAAGTCAATGACTTGCCTTCAGTCCTCCTTTACCCCTGGCCGCACCTTCACAGTCTCATCTGTTTTCCTGTACATCTAGATGCTGGATGCTTTTTATAAAGTCAGCCTTGGAAACAAAAAGACCGGGGGTTCTCAGCCTCAGCAGCTCTATTGACATCTTGGCTTACAGAATTCTGTGTTGTGGGAACTGTCCTTGAATTATAGGGTGTTTAGGAGCATCCCTAACCTCTACCCACTAGATACTACTAGCACCCACTCTAGTTGTAGCAACGAAAAATGTTGCCAAGCCTTACAAATGTCCCCTAGGGGGCAAAATTGCATCTTGTTGAGAAACTCTGTGCTAGACCTGGGTTCTTATTCTGCTTCTGCCACTTAACACGTTACTTAGCCTCTCTGAGACCCAATTTCCTTGTCCATAATATATCTTCTATGTTTGTTATAAAAATTGGAAAAATGAAAGTTGGTTAATTCCTGGCATGTGATATGCCTTCCAAGTGTAGCTGATAGTACCATTTCAGTACTCTGTGAATTTTCCTAATTTATTTGTGATTCCAGATTTCTAGTGACCAAACAGTTCAGGGAGGATTGAAGAACTGACAGAAATTTCCTTGGCTCCACAGCCTGCCACGTGAGGACGCTTGGCTTGGGTTGCATCACCTAAAAGTATAGTTAGGGGTCTTTGCCTGGGAAAGCTGCTATTTTCAACATTCCTGCAAAATGGGATCAGTGGCGTCCTGAGCCTAAAGAGACTTCTTCCTGGTCACTGCTGGCTCTGGGCTTTGAACTGCCTCCTTCACTTCCCATGATGAGCATGTAGGTCACTGGTGGTTTCTGAAGTCAAGATTTGAATTCCCCAGTAGCTGAGATTTAGGACTTGAATCCAAACCAATTTAGTGGTAGAGTATTTGCAAGGGGGAAACTATTTGAAAGGGGGAAACTATTTCTTGGAATAAGTTGTAATTTTGAAAAAAAAAATGCCCTTTTAGGGTTGTTGAGCAAGGTTTAAGGAATCTCTTGCCTCTACCTCCACCATCCCAACACATACACGCTTCTCTTTCTTATTCTGAAAATATACACAATTTTGTACAGCACATTGACAGGTGTTCTTCAAGAAACCAATGTTCTTTTGGCTGGTTGATATAAGAAAATAAAAGCAGCAGCATAGAAAAGGAGACACACTTCACAGTTTATCAAAAGTATGAGGTGGCCAGATGCGGTGGCTCACACCTGTAATCCCAGTACTTTGGTTTGGGAGGCCAAGGTGGGCAGATAACCTGAGGTCAGGAGTTTGAGACCAGCCTAGCGAACATGGCGAAACCCCATCTCTACTAAAAATACAAAAATTAGCTGGGCATGGTGGCAGGTGCCTGTAATCCCAGCTACTCGGGAGGCTGAGGCAGGAGAATCTCTTGAACCCCAGGGGGCAGAGGTTGCAGTGAGCCAAGATCGTGCCACTGCACTCCAGCTTGGGCGACAAAGCAAGACTCTGCCTCAAAAATAAATAAATAAATAAATAAAATAAAATGTATGAGGTGACAAGTCGCCCTTTCTTCTTCCTACTGCCTTCTCTCTCATTTTTTCCTTTTATTTCTTTTTCCTTCCTTCCTTCCTCCCTCCCTCCTTCCCTCCCTTCTTTCCTGTCTCTCTCTCTTTTCTTTCTCTGAAAATCCTCTGTTCTAGGACATGCCATGCATGATGATAGTCGCAGAGCTAGGACATAATAACCGGACTGAATAAGAATGGCAAAATTAATTTTTCCATCATATTGGAGTGAGCCACATGTCAAACACAAGTGTACACTTCAGTTGTGTACAAATTTTGGTCCAAGTTTTACTCTTTTGGAAGAATAAGCATGTCAGGTACCTAGGATCCAAAGAGGAGTAAGGTGGTCTTTACAACCAAAAAGTAGAGAATCTAACAGGAACGGATTAGATCACAGATTTGTGCAGATTAGGTTAGAAAATTGACTGAAAAGAGACTACAACAGTGCTCGCACAGAGTGAGTGGTCAACACATTTTAGGAGAAAGAAAAGAGGAAGCAGAAGAGAGGAAGGAAGGAAGGAGGGAGGGAGGAAGGAAGAGATTAAGGAAAGAGAGAGGAAGGAAGCAAGCAAGGAAGAAAGAAGTTAGAACCTTATAGGATGGTATATGTCAAACGGAAAATGAGTGGACCAGGCAATTCTTTAGGAATTCAGAGAAGGTTCCAGGGCATGGGTTAGTCAGAGAAAACTTCTTGAGGTAAACAGGGAGAGATGTATGAAATGTCAAATAGTTGAGTAGAAACAGAGGCCTCACTTTAGCCAATGACTTAAATATTTCTAAGAGATTCTATTAAACACAAACTTTTTCAAATGGCTAGAATTCTCTTCTGAGTTCCTCAAAATATCTAGATGACGGAGGAAAATAAAAACCATTGTCTCTTAGATACGTCTTAAACCACGTATTTTTAGAACACGTGAACATGAGATTTGCCTATGTAGTAGACATCCCGTGAATTTGAGGGAGACCAAGGCACATCTAGGAAAGCGCACAGCTGTCTTCCCTAGAGGTAACCAGAAAAAGCCAGAGATGTGCCCTTATTTACCTACTCTAAGCTGGTGGTCATGAATTTCTATCAATGTGGGGTTGTACGTTCTGCTAGGTAAGTAGTAATTTCTTATATTATTCCTAAGTTTACCTCTTTTGGACTCTTAGATTTATATCTGAATCCCAAAATATCATATTTTCCATATGAGGAAAAACATATTCAACTCCATGTCTTTCATTTACCTGTTGGCCAGCACTGTTGGTTCTTTCTCAGATATGAACTTAGGATCAGCTGGGATCGAATCTTCATTTCCATTTAGGGCAAGAGCTTCCTGGATCTTGGTACATTTGAGAAAGTGAGATGACAATAGGGCTGGACCCAGAAATATGAGGCTCCATGCAAGGCGAACAACTTGGTATCCCTTCAAACTGATAAATTATTTGTATATTTGTTTAACATTTATTTAGTAAGGTTGAGGAGATATTGATTTTTTTTATTAATCAAAGTTGTGTACTTTTTACTTAATGCTCAAAATTAAGACATTATTATATGGGAAGTATGAATTTACTTCATTTTCTTTTTATTTTGTTGCAATCGTCTTGGAATTTCCGTTTTCTGGACTAATTTCTTGGACAACATATTCAGGTATCCAAGCATTAGATAATAAAATAATTCCATTTTCAATAAATAGTATTGTCCCATGCATTAGTTAAATTAAATTAATTAATTAATCTATTTATTTTTGAGACAAAGTCTTGCTCTGTCGTCCAGGCTGGAGTGCAGTGGCGTAATCTTGGCTCACTGCCACCTTTGCCTCCTGCCTCCTGGGTTCAAGCAATTCTTGTGCCTCAGCCTCCCAAATAGCTGGGGTTACAGGTGTGTGCCACCACAGCAGGCTAATTTTTGTATTTTTGGTAGAGATAAGGTTTCGCCATGTTGGCCAGGTTGGTCTCCAACTCCTGACCTCAAGTGATCTGCCCACCTCAGCCTCCCAAAGTGCTGGGATTACAGGCGTGAGCCTACACAGCCTAATATTTTGATTTTAGAAAAATATTAACTGGCTGGTTTCAAGATTTGTACTGGGCAGACAGCTTTTTTGGAGGAATGGTTTTTATGGTTCCACTTGATATGTCTACTTTGTTGAAAGCAGTACCTACTTGTATTTTAGCAGTGTGATCTACAATCTGGATAGATACCCAAGTTGACAGGTGCCATGTTTCTAATTTACTCTGCCCAGTTGGCCTGCCAATGGATCCCGCTCTGGATGACAGACCTGGGCACTGGCTCTGCAGATCCAGTGCCTGTTACCTGAGGGCCTTCTCTGGCCACTCCTTGAGGACTCACTATATGGGAATTGTTCATGAAAGACTGAGCTTCCAGAGTCTTCTCTTTACACATCTGTAAAAATAAAATTGACTATACATTTATTGGAAAGACATATTTAGGAACAGGATAAAGATAATTCCATTAGGATCCTATCACATTTTCCATGGCATAAAATTTCAGTTAAATCTCCCAGTGTGTAGCTTTTCTTTTCAAAATTTTATTACTCATCTCATTCCTTTTAGGGTTTACTCATCCTTCTCTCATTCTGCTCTGCTCTTACTTTGTGGTCTACTTTATAATGGATGATAACTGGGACTATAAGATATAAGGACAGACTTTGACTTCAGAAACTTAGGGTGACCTTAGCTTCTAGGTTACTTTTAAAATACTCTGTGGAGTATAGGGGAAGTGGGACAAATTATACCTCTGACCTTAGAAAATTACTCAAAAATTTCCCTACAGGTCTTTTAGATTCCTACATCCCCACATGATTTGTCCTCTGCTTGTTGCTGATCTTACCTTCTATCACTTGGCCTTATTCACTCCATATTAGCCATAGTGGATTTCTTGCTGTTCCTGAAGTATGACGAGCTCATTCCCACCTCAGGCTTTTTGCATTTTTGCTCTTTCCTTGGTCTGGAATACTGTTTCCAGATCTCTACCTGGTTTATTCTCTCACTTCATTTAGATATCGATTCAAGTATTACTTCCTCAGAAAGGCCTTTTCTAACCACCAGTTTAAATAAGTCACCAGCTCTACTGTCATTCTCTAGCCCCTTACTTAACTTATACTTTATTTCTTATCACTATTTGATTTAGATATTTATTTTTCTTTGTCAATTATTTTATTCACTAGAATATAAGCTTACTTAGACTAATTTTTATCTGTTTTTTATAATACTAATATACTCTAATCTCTGTAGTCCAAAAGAGGTAAGTGTAGGAACAATATGAAGAGTTACTGCTTACATAGTAGGCAGTGGCTTAAAGAACCTACAACTCCACATTGAGAGAAATTCATGGCCACCAGCTTAGCACAGATAAACAAGGGACATTGTGATGTTTGAGGGTAAATCTCTAGCTCTTTCTGATTCCTGGCTCAGAGTAGAGGCTTAATAATATGTAGTGTTGTATAAATGGTTAAATGCTTCAAAGTAAGAGTTGGGAATACACAACTAGGGAAATTCTGCCAATATCGTATTGACAAGGGGGAATGTTTAGGTGAGTAATTGGCTTGTCTCTATTTTTTTCTTTTCATTGGCGAGAATCAGGAAGACATGAAAACAAATCAGAATTTTTACTAGTGGAAATTGTACCGAATCATGGCAGATGTACTCTATTTTCCAAAGTGGCTCTGTTGGCAAAAATGTAGAGAAGTTGAGTTAACAGCTGTCACCAGGGCCCCAGGCAAAGTTGTAGAGAAGGTCAAGCTTGCATTCTGCGTTCCACCACCCTCTTGCACTCCATTTATTGTACTCTAGCTATTGAATTTTCTCATACTGCCATCTGCTTTCTAAACCCTTTCATCTCTGACTGTTCTACTGATCTGCACAGAGATTTATCTTGTTTCTTCTTCACTGAGCTAGAGTTCCAATCCCCGAAGTTCTCATCAATAGCCTGTATCCCAATTGATTAAAACATTTATATTAAAGGGTGAGTGAGGCCTAAAGAAAATGTGCAGTTTGAAATATGGTCCATTGTCTCGTCTATTCTTCTGGGACCTGAGAATCATAAAATCAGGATTGCTGTCTCACACACACCCATTTCCACCCGAAGCTTTTTTGGTAAAGTCAGCCATGTAAGCTAGGGGGAGGTAAACAAAGCCTTGCTTAGGTGGACATCATCAGCGAACAGTCATGGCCCTCTACTAGGGCCATGCTAGGAGTCTCACATACATCTGTTCTTCATGTACAATCTTCAATATTTTTCTAATCAGACCAAACAAAGGGATTTCCTAGTCACCATAATTTTCATGGTCTTGTGGCATAGGCTTCAGAAAACAAACTCTATGAATTAACAAACTAGTTAAATAGTAAGGTTACTTAGCGTCACCTTGACCTGGAACCAGAGCAGAGTCCTCCTTCTCACTTTTGCCATTAAAGGATTTTATCCTTAATCTTGGATTTCAAGGGAAAGTCTGGGTTCCCACTCCCCTGACAAGCAGTGGTGATGAGTAGGACTGATTCCTGCATTTATGTAACCTTTCCTAGAGGTTCCTGGGATTGCTAAGGGGAGAGAACCCCAGAAAAAGACGGGGCTTTCTGTTCATTTTTCTCAGAGCCCTCATAATTTGGTGTATAAATGATAAGAGTGACATCATTTGTCTTCTGAGCTGCTTAAATTTGAAAAAGGCAGTTCTTTAAACAGTGGGGCAAGTGTCCAATGGCAGCCCCAGACACAAGGGAGAATTGAGTTTCAGCAAAGAGCCTTGCAGCAGTGACTTTAAATATAGTGCAGTTGGATGCAAGCAATGAAAGTAGGACAGTGTGCCCTTTGCCTTGGATTTAAAGCAGACCTTGGACGGGCGTGGTGGCTCAGGCCTGTAATCCCAGCACATTGGGAGGCCAAGGTGGGTGGATCACCTGAGGTCAGGAGTTTGAAACTCGTCTGGCCAACATGATGAAACCCCATCTCTGCTAAAAATATAAAAATTAACCGGGTGTGGTGGCACATGCCTGTAGTCCCAGCTACTCGGGAGGCTGAGGCACGAGAATTGCTTGAATCTGGGAGGTCAGTCGAAATTGCACCACTGCACTCCAGCCTGGGCAACAGAATAAGAGTGACTCAAAAAATAAAATAAAATAAATAAAGTAGACCTAAGATCAAAATTTCTAGGGATAGGGCCCAGGAATCCGTATTTTTTTTTTTTTTTTTTTTTTTTTTTGAGACGGAGTCTCGCTCTGTCGCCCAGGCTGGAGTGCAGTGGCACTATCTCCGCTCACTGCAAGCTCCGCCTCCCAGGTTCACGCCATTCTCCTGCCTCAGCCTCCCGAGTAGCTGGGACTGCCGGCGCCCACCACTACACCTGGCTAATTTTTTGTATTTTTAGTAGAGACGGGGTTTCACTGTGTTAGCCAAGATGGTCTCGATCTCCTGACCTCGTGATCCGCCCGCCTCTGCCTCCCAAAGTGCTGGGATTACAGGCGTCAGCCACCGTGCCCGGCCGGAATCTGTATTTTTAATGAACACCCCAGGTGATTGTCATATGCATCCTGATCTGAGATCACTGCCTGGAAGTTCTTCTCCTGGTGGAGCACACAAGGGCTGGGAGATGTGTGTGCTGATCCTCAGAATCATAACTTCGCATGAGCTTTCATTTGGGGCTTATAGTGTGCAGGAGGTCTCACACAGTGTGGAGCAGCAGTGGGACACTCTTTAGAAAATGTTTAAAAAAATCGACTTCATTGAGGTATGATTTTTAAATCATCAGTTTTACTGTACAGTTTGATGAGTTTTGAAAATATATATATATCTCTGTAACAATCACCCCAATCATGATATAGAATATTTCCAGCACACATAGAAGTTGTTACATCCTACTTTGCAGTCAATCCACCTATCACCCTGACCCACACAGTAGACAACTACTATTATTTTTTCTTTCAGTATAGTTTTATTTTTTCTTGAAATTTATATAATGGAATCACACAGTGTATATTCTTTTGTATCAGTCTCCTTTTGCTTAGTGTGATGTTTTTGAGAATAATCTATATTGCATATACCAGAAAGAGAGAGAGGGAGAGAGATTGACTTATTTTAAGGAATTGGCTCACACAGTAAAATGGCTTGGTGAGTCTTAAATCTGATGCAGTAGGCTGGAGAATCAGGGAAGAGTTGCAATTCAAGTCCAAAGGCAATCTGCTAGTAGAATTCCTTCTTGCTCAGGGGAAGTCAACCTTTGTTCTATTAACTACTTATACTGATTAGATGAGGTCCACCCATATTATGTGGGGCAATCTGCTTTACTCAAAGTTCACTGTTTTATGCTGGTATAACTGGCTAACCATATGAAGAAGATTGAAACTGGATCTCTTTCTTACACCATGTACAAAAATCAACTCAAGATGGATTAAAGACTTAAGCGTAAAACCCGAAACTGTAAAAACCCTGGAAGATAACCCAGGCAATACCATTCTACACATAAGAACTGGCAACGATTTCATGACAAAGATGCCTAAAGCAATTGCAAAAAAAGCAAAAATTGACAAATGGGATCTAATTAAGCTAAAGAGCTTCTGCACAGCAAAAGAAACTATCAACAGCATAAACAGACAACCTACAGAACAGGAAAAAATATTTGCAAACTATGCATTTGACAAAGTTCTAATATTCAGCATCTTTAAGGAATTTAAACAAATTTACAAGAAAAAAACAAACACCCCCATTAAAAAGTGGGCAATGGACATGAACAAACACTTTTCAAAAGAAGACATACATGGGGCCAATAAACATATGAAAAAAGCTTAATATCACTGATCATTAGAGAAATACAAATCAAAACCACAATGAGATACCATCTCAATACCAGTCAGAATGGCTATTACTAAAAAGTCAAAAAATAACAGGTGCTGGTGAGGTTGTGGAGAAAAGGAAACATACCCTGTTGGTGGGAGTGTAAATTAGTTCATTGTGGACAGCAGTGTGGCAATTCCCTAAAGAGCTAAAAACAGAAATACCACTTGACCTAGCATTATCATTACTGGGTATATACCCAAAGAAATATAAATAGTTCTGTCATAAAGACATGTATGTGTATGTTTATTGCAGCACTATTCACAATAACAAAGACATGGAATCAACCTAAATGCCCATAAAGGATAGACTGAATAAAGAAAATGTGGTACATATACACTATGGAATACTGTGCAGCCATAAAAAACAATGAGATCACGTCTTTTGCAGGGACATGGATGGTGCTAGAGGTCGTTATCCTTAGCAAACTAACCCAGGAACAGAAAACCAAATACCACATGTGCTCACTTATAAGTGGGAGCTAAATGATGAGAAAACATGGACACAAAGAGGGGAACAATAGACAGTGGGGCCTATCAGAGGGTGGAGGGTGGGAGGAGGGAGATAAGCAGAAAAAATAACTGTTGGGTATTAGGCTTAGTACCTGGATGATGAAATAATCTGTACATAAAACCCTCATGACACAAGTATATCTATGTAACAAACTTGCGCATGTACCCCTGAACCTAAAATAAAAGTTAAAAAAGCCCAAGTTCCTCATTTTAAATGTTAATCTCATTTACTAACACCCTCACAGAAACATCTAGAATAATGACCAAATAATTGAGCACTATGTCTCAGCCAAATTGACACATAAAATTAACTATCATGCACACACTGATGTCCAGTTGTTCTAGGGCCCCTTGTTAAAAAGGCTACATTGTTCCCACTTGGGAAAATGTATTACCTTGGGACCTTTGTCAAAAATCAATTTACCATATATGTGTGGGTCAATTTTTGCACTGTCTATTCCATTGATTTATATCTCTATCCTTATATTCATACAACTGTCTGATTTCTCTAGTTTTGCAGCAAATCTTAAAAGGTGTAAATCTAGGCCAGTCACGGTGGCTCATGCCTGTAATCCCAGCACTTTGGGAGGCCGAGGTGGGTGGATCACGAGGTTAGGAGATCAAGACCATCCTGGCTAACACGGTGAAACCCCGTCTCTACTAAAAATACAAAAAAAATTAGCCGGGCGTGGTGGCGGGTGGGTGCCTGTAGTCCCAGCTACTCGGGAGGCTGAGGCAGGAGAATGGTGTGAACCCGGGAGGCGGACCTTGCAGTGAGCCGAGATGGCACCACTGCACTCCAGACTGGGCGACAGAGCTAGACTCCATCTCAAAAAAAAAAAAAAAAAAAAAAAAAAAAAGGTGTAAATCTAACTTTGATCTTTTCCATATTTTGGCTTTTCTCTGTCCTTTGCATTTCTATGCACATTTTAGAATTAGCATACCAATTTCTCAAAAAATAAAATCCTGCCATGCATTTGACTGTTATTGAAGTTACAGATCAATTTGGGGACAATTGACTTCATAACTATATTGAATTTTTCAATTCATATACACAGTTTATTTCTCTACTTTTCAGGTCATCTTCAACTTTTCTCAGCAATATTTTGTAGTTTTCAGTGTATAAGTCTTACACACGTTTTGTTAACTTGCTTCTAGGTTGTTTGGCTTTCTGATGCAATTGCAAAATTTTTCTAAAATTTTACTTTCCAATTATTCATTGCTAATATATAGAAAAGCAATTTATTTTTACTCACCTTGTATACTGAAACCTTGCAAAATTTTCAATTAGTTCTAGTACTTCATTTTGTAGATTCCTTAGGATTTTCTGTGTACACAATTATGCCATTTGTGAATAAAGACAATTTTAATCTTAGTGAAGGCAGTAATTCTTTCACTATTAATATAGAATGTTAACTATAGGCCTTTCTTAGCTGCCTTCTATCATGTTAAGAATGTTACTTTTTTTCCTAGTTGGCTGAAAGTTTTCATTCATAAATGTGTATTAAGTTTTCTTAAATGCTTTTACATATCTATTCATATATGGTTTTCTCTTATTGTCTCATTATGATGCATTACATTGATTGTTTTACCAAATCAACCTTTTATTCCTGGAATAAACCCCACATGGTCATGATGTATTATAATCTATATATATTGCTAGCTTTAGTTCGCTAAAGTTTTATTAAAGACTTTTTTGCTTCTACTTTCACAAGGCATACTTATCTGTAATTTTCTTTTCCTTCAATGTATTTGTCTGGTTTTAATATCAAGGTAATGAGTCAAAAAATATTCCCTGCTATTCTATTTTCTGAGTTTGTGTGGGATTGGTATTATTTCTTCCTTAAATGTTTGACAGAGTTCACTAGTAAAGCCATCTTGACTGGAGGTTTTCTTCGAAGGAAGTTTTTTTTTTTTTTTTTTAAATCACACATTCAATCTATTAGATGTACTACTCTGCTATATATAGGACTTTTCAGATTTTTATTTCTTGTGTCAATTTTGATAATTTATATCTTTTATGGAATTTGTCTATTTCTTCTATTTTGTCAAACTTACTATCATAGAATTGTTCATAATATTCTTATTATCTTTTAAATTGGCCATAGAGTTTACAGTAATAATGACAATTTCATTTCTGATATTAGTGTTTTATGGTCTTTCTTTTTCCTTTTTCTTGGTCATCCTGGGGTTTATCAACTTTATAGATCTTTTCAAATAATTAACTTTTGTTTTCATGAATTTTTCTCTATTGTTTGTTTTATTTTTCATTAATTTCTGCTCCTATTTTTGCTACATTTTTTATTCTACTTTGAGTTTAATTTTCTTTTTTTTTTTTGACAGAGTCTCACTCTGTTGCCCAGGCTGGAGTGCAGTGGCATGATCTCAGCTCACTGCAAGCTCCACCTCCCAGGTTCATGCCATTCTCCTGCCTCAGCCTCCCAAGTAGCTGGGACTACAGGCGCCTGCCACCATGCCTGGCTAATTTTTTTGTATTTTTAGTAAAGAAGAGGTTTCACTGTGTTAGCCAGGATGGTCTCAACCTCGTGACCTCATGATCCACCCTGCTCAGCTTTCAAAGTGCTGGGATTACAGGCATAAGCCACCATGCCTGGCCTGCTTTTCTTTTTATAGCTTCTTAATGTGGAAACATATAATTATTTTAAATGTTACTTGTTTTCTAGTGTAAGCATTAAAATCTAAAAATTTACTACTAAGCACTGCTTTAGGTGCATGCCACAAGTTTTGTTATTTTTTCACTGTCATTCATTCAAACTATCTTTAAATTTCCTTTGTAATTTCTTCTTTGACCCAGACATATGCACACAAAGATACGAACATGTAAGAAAATGAAATCATACTTTCTTTGTATTTATTACCTGTGTTTTTAATAATATCAAGAAAATCTTTCCACTAAATAAATTTTCTGCAGCATCATTTTTAATGAGTGTATAGTTTTGCACATTGTAGATATGTCATACAAAATTTATTTAAACCAAGCACCTATTAACTTGGTAGTTTCTAATTTTTCAGTTACAAATTGTTGCAATGAATATATTTATATATTAATCTTTGTGCAATTAAAATTTTTTTGTATGGTTTCTAATAAGTGGAATTGTTGGGTAAGGGTATCCTCTTTCAAGATAGTTTCCTATTTCATTCTGATTTTTTCTCGGCCTGAGACTACATTTTTTATATGTTTAGTTGAATTCATTTTTTTGCAAAGTTGCCACTTGTTTGATTTCTTCTAAGCCTTTTTATTTGTTGGTGAATGGTTTTTGCAGAAAATTCTTTCTATTGAATATTCATATTGAATCAAGTAGAGACAAAATATTTATATATTATATTCATTGCTTCTTGAAGGTTGATTATTATTATTTTTTTCCAGGAGTGACGTAGTCTGTGAGCTGCATCAGCCCACAGGTGTGGCTATTTGGTCGTCATAGTGATAAAAAATATTAAACTGCCAACACCTAAAATTTGAGGAATATCACATATAGCATTTGGATTTTCAGGCTATCTTGGAACACTGAGAATCTGACAATACTGAGCCAGCATTCCTACATGATAAGAATTAGTAGAAATAGAAAAATTACTCCTGCTTAGATAGGATATGTTCTCTCATATTGCCATAGTTATCAGTCTGCCAATGTCACTCAATTAGGACACAGCCTGACTCTTCTAAGCATTTGGATTCACAATCCCCAATTTTGCAGGATAGAACTTATTAGAAGATGAATGCTAGTCATGTATATGCAATCCCTGATTTAATATTCCAAACCATGAGACAATGTTCTCTACATGCAGGTATGAACATTTCCCATTGTCCATGACTGGCATTCTGTTATGGCTCCTGCCCCTTCCTTCTCCAAGAAATTCTAGACCTCCATTTGGTAACCTATTAGATTTATAGTTCCAAAAGGAAACTTGACTCTTTTGAGGTACGAAACAGAGATGTCCTTCTCTGTACTTTAATCAACATGAGTCATTCAAGGCAAACATTCATTATCACTAGAACTATGCAAACAGCATGTATCCATATAATGTCTCCCAGATTTTTTAGGTCTCAGTTTTAGGGTACACTGAAGTTACAGCTCTTACCCTTCAGGAGTTTTTAATTCATGATACAGTTAAATATATAAGTTGGGATCATATTCATCACGTGGGTTGTTTTCCATCTATTCCTCTACCCTACCAAGCCTAAGGGAATTCTCTATTTACCAGATCAATTTCTAGATCCTTTTTCTTCCTGTAAGTAGGGATTCTTTTCTGCTAGGAGAGAGGTAAGGTCAGTCTGAATAATAAAGTGATATAGAAAAGAGAGGGTAAAGACAGACAGAAAATAGAATAAAGTGTTGAGACAAGTTATGGGGAATCATGAATTGTAATGTGTTGGATTGGCAGCAAGTTTGCGGGGGAAGGGTAGAAGACGAAAGGGGTTTTAATAAATATTGGTATGGTCTTTGAATGTAGATCCCCTTTATGGTTCTTAAGAAACATAAGTGAAGGGTTTCAGTTGTTTTGAAATTACTTTTGGCTGTGGGCAGCTGTTTCTTGACTGCAAACCTGCTCTGAGATTGAGCTGTGTCCATCCCAGGTTTATAAAAGTTATGCAGACTTATGAATAGGTTTTCCTTGTTCATATACTTCTTATTTTGTGCTATGATTATAGTCATTTGCTGTTGATGATAGTAAGAACTGAGCACCTGTTTAAACAGATTTAAGATTGTTTCTTCTGGCCTAGGGTTTTGGTGTGTACCCTCTTTAAAAAAATTAAATATCTAGACAATTGAGATATATATTTCTGTTCTACTTTTCTGTTTATATTTCTCATTCTATGGTTTTTCCGAGGTGGGGAGTCCACATTAAAGGTTATACTGCTTCTGGCTCTAAGATTTGATTTCTTAAACACATCCCAGGTCAACTAGAGTGCTAGAGTTTATTACTTTTCAAAAACCAAACCCCTGCCAAGTGAAAGGAGAGAAGGGCATATTTAGATGAAAGTGCTTGATGTTCAAATTCTGCAGTTTGTTGACATTTTATTGCTCAATGCAATTTCTCCTACCCTTCAGGGCATTTTGCTTAATGGTTTCCCAAGAACAGTATGATGAGGCTTCAAAGCAAGCGGCAAGTTTTAGCAACAATGCTGTTATTCCAGTTTATATGAGTCACATGTCCAAAACCTTGTATAAATCTGAAGTTTTTCCCATAAACACTTATGCCCAGAAAATATGGTAAGCTATGTTAACAAGCCATATTAGATATCAAGCATTAATATGGAAATAAACCAGGTAACTCCTGTGTAATTGATCTTTGTGGGGACTTGGAGGAGGGGAGGTGAATCTAAACTAGGTTTAGTGTGTGCTAAACTTAATTAATGGTTAACTAAATTCATTCAAAGATATCTGTAACTTGTGGTCTGATAGTGCTGGTTTTTGGATATGAATTTGTCATTAAGACTACCTGGGCTGACTCTCTTTTCGGACTCAGCCCACCTGCACCCAGGTGAAATAAACAGCTTTATTGCTCACACAAAGCCTGTTTGGTGGTCTCTTCACATGGACGCGCATGAAATTTGGTGCCGTGACTCGGATCGGGGGACCTCCCTTGGGAGATCAATCCCCTGTCCTCCTGCTCTTTGCTCCGTGAGAAACATCCACCTATGGCCTCAGGTCCTCAGACCGACCAGCCCAAGAAACATCTCACCAATTTCAAATCCGGTAAGCGGCCTCTTTTTACTCTCTTCTCCAACCTCCCTCGCTATCCCTCAACTTCTTTCTCCTTTCAATCTTGGCGCCACACTTCAATCTCTCCCTTCTCTTAATTTCAATTCCTTTCATTTTCTGGTAGAGACAAAAGAGACATGTTTTATCCGTGAACCCAAAACTCCGGCGCCGGTCACGGACTGGGAAGGCAACCTTCCCTTGGTGTTTAATCATTGCAGGGACGCCTCTCTGATCATTCAGCCATGTTTCAAGGGTGTCAGACCACGCAGGGACGCCTGCCTTGGTCCTTCACCCTTAGCGGCAAGTCCCGCTTTCCTAGGGGGCAAGAACCCCCCAATCGCTTATTTCTGCACCCTGACCTCTTATCTCTGTGCCCCAATCCCTTATTTCCGTGTCCCAACCCCCTCTCTGCTTTTCTGGAGGGCAAGAACCCCACTCCCCTCCTCCGTGTCTCTATGCTCTCTTTTCTCAGGGTTTGCCTCCTTCACTATGGGCAACCTTCCACCTTCCATTCCTCCTTCTTCTCCCTTGGCCTGTGTTCTCAAAAACTTAAAACCTCTCCAACTCACACCTGACCTAAAACCTAAATGCCTTATTTTCTTCTGCAATGCCGCTTGACCCCAATACAAACTCGACAGTAGTTCCAAATAGCCAGAAAATGGCACTTTGAATTTTTCCATCCTGCAAAATCTAAATAATTCTTGTCGTAAAATAGGCAAACAGTCTGAGGTGCCTGACGTCCAGGCATTCTTTTACACATCAGTCCCTTCCTAGTCTCTGTGACCAGTGCAACTCGTCCCAAATCTTCCTTCTTTCCCTCCCGCCTGTCCCCTCAGTACCAACCCCAAGCGTCGCTGAGCCTTTCTAATCTTCCTTTTCTACAGACCCATCTGACCTCTCCCTTCCTCCCCAGCCTGCTTGCTCCTCGCCAGGCCGAGCTAGGTCCCAATTCTTCCTCAGCCTCTGCTCCTCCACCCTATAATCTTTTTATCACCTCCCCTCCTCACACCTGGTCCGGCTTACAGTTTTGTTCCGTGACTAGCCCTCCCCCTCCTGCCCAGCAGTTTACTCTTAAAAAGGTGGCTGGAGCTAAAAGCATAGTCAAAGTTAATGCTCCTTTTTCTTTATCCCAAATCAGATAGCGTTTAGGCTCTTTTTCATCAAATATAAAAATCCAGCCCAGTTCATGACTTGTTTGGCAGCAACCCTGAGACACTTTACAGCCCTAGACCCTAAAAGGTCAAAAGGCCGTCTTATTCTCAAAATACATTTTATTACCCAATCTGCTCCCGACATTAAATAAAACTCCAAAAATTAAATTCCGGCCCTCAAACCCCACAACAGGATTTAATTAACCTCGCCTTCAAGGTGTACCATAATAGAAAAAAGTTGCAATTCCTTGCCTCCACTGTGAGACAAACCCCAGCCACATCTCCAGCACACAAGAACTTCCAAACGCCTGAACTGCAGCGGCCAGGCGTTCCTCCAGAACCTCCTCCCACAGGAGCTTGCTACATGTGACGGAAATCTGGCCACTGGGCCAAGGAATGCCCGCAGCCCGGGATTCCTCCTAAGCCGTATCCCATCTGTGTGGGACCCCAGTGAAAATCGGACTGTTCAACTCACCTGGCAGCCACTCCCAGAGCCCCTGGAACTCTGGCCCAAGGCTCTCTGACCGACTCCTTCCCAGATCTTCTCGGCTTAGCGGCTGAAGACTGACACTGCCCAATCGCCTCGGAAGCCCCCTAGACCATCACGCACGCCGAGCTTCGGGTAACTCTCACAGTGGAAGGTAAGCCCGTCCCCTTCTTAATCAATACGGAGGCTACTCACTCCACGTTACCCTCTTTTCAAGGGCCTGTTTCCCTTGCCTCCATAACTGTTGTGGGTATTGACGGCCAGGCTTCTAAACCTCTTAAAACTCCCCAACTCTGGTGCCAACTTAGACAATACTCTTTTAAGCACTCCTTTTTAGTTATCCCCACCTGCCCAGTTCCCTTATTAGGCTGAGACACTTTAACTAAATTATCTGCTTCCCTGACTATTCCTGGACTACAGCTGTATCTCATTGCTGACCTTCTTCCCAATCCAAAGCCTCCTTTGTGTCCTCCTCTTCTATCCCCCCACCTTAACCCACAAGTATAAGATACCTCTACTCCCTCCTTGGCGACCGATCATGCACCCCTTACCATCTCATTAAAACCTAATCACCCTTACCCCACTCAACACCAATATCCCATCCCGCAGCACGCTTTAAAAAGATTAAAGCCTATTATCACTCGCCTGCTACAGCATGGCCTTTTAAAGCCTATAAACTCTCCTTACAATTCCCCCATTTTACCTGTCCTAAAACCAGACAAGCCTTACAAGTTAGTTCAGGATCTGCGCCTTATCAACCAAATTGTTTTGCCTATACACCCCGTGGTGCCAAACCCATATACTCTCCTATCCTCAATACCTGCCTCTACAACCCATTATTCTGTTCTAGATCTCAAACATGCTTTCTTTACTATTCATTTGCACCCTTAATCCCAGCCTCTCTTCGCTTTCACTTGGACTGACCCTGACACCCATCAAGCTCAGCAAATTACCTAGGCTGTACTGCTGCAAAGCTTCACAGACAGCCCCCATTACTTCCATCAAGCCCAAATTTCTTCCTCATCTGTTACCTATCTCGGCATAATTCTCATAAAAACACACGTGCTCTCCCTGCCAATCGTGTCCGACTGATCTCTCAAACCCAAGCACCTTCTACAAAACTCCTTTCCTTCCTAGGCATGGTTAGCGCGGTCAGAGTTTTTACACAAGAGCCAGGACCACACCCTGTAGCCTTTCTGTCCAAACAACTTGACCTTACTGTTTTAGCCTAGCCCTCATGTCTGCGTGCAGTGGCTGCCGCTGCTTTAATACTTTTAGAGGCCCTCAAAATAAGTAGAGGCTTTTCCTACAGGGTCTGAGAAGGCCACCGCAGTCATTTCTTCTGTTCTGTCAGACATAATTCCTCAGTTTAGCCTTCCCACCTCAATACAGTCTGATAACAGATGAGCCTTTATTAGTCATATCAGCCAAGCAGTTTTTCAGGCTCTTAGTATTGAGTGAAACCTTTATATCCCTTATGGTCCTCCATCTTCAAGAAAAGTAGAATGGACTAAAGGTCTTTTAAAAACACACCTCACCAAGCTCAGCCACCAACTTAAAAAGGACTGGACAATACTTTTTACCACTTTCCCTTCTCAGAATTCAGGCCTGTCCTCAGAATGCTACAGGGTACAGCCCATTTAAGGTCCTGTATAGACGCTCCTTTTTATTAGGCCCCAGTCTCATTCCAGACACCAGACCAACTTAGACTGTGCCTCAAAAAAAAAAAAAAAAAACAAAAAACTTGTCATCCCTACTATTTTCTGTCTAGCCATACTCCTATTCACCCTTCTCAACTACTCATACCTGCCCTGCTCTTGTTTACACTGTTTCTCCAAGCCATCACAGCTGATATCTCCTGGTGCTATCCCCAAACTGCCACTCTTAACTCTTGAAGTAAATAAATAATCTTTGCTGGCAGGACTATGCCAAATCTCCTTAAGCACTCTCTAATCAGACATCAAGTCGTCCCATTTCTTAGACCTTTTATACCTGTTTTTCTCCTTCTGTTATTCCATTTAGTTTTTCAATTCATACAAAACCGTATCCAGGCCATCACCTATCATTCTATACGACAAATGTTTCTTCTAGCATCCCCACAATATCACCCCTTACCACACGACCTCCCTCCAGCTTAATCTCTCCCACTCTAGGTTCCCACGCCACCCCTAATCCCGCTTGAAGCAGCCCTGAGAAACATCGCCCATTCTCGCTCCATACCACCCCCCAAAAAATTTTCGCCGCCCCAACACTTCAACACTATTTTGTTTTATTTTTCTTATTAATATAAGAAGGCAGGAATGTCAGGCCTCTGAGCCCAAGCCAAGCCATCGCATCCCCTGTGACTTGCACGTATACGCCCAGATGGCCTGAAGTAACTGAAGAATCACAAAAGAAGTGAATATGCCTTGCCCCACCTTAACTGATGACATTCCACCACAAAAGAAGTGTAAATGGCCGGTCCTTGCCTTAACTGATGACATTACCCTGTGAAAGTCCTTTTCCTGGCTCATCCTGGCTCAAAAAGCTCCCCCACTGAGCACCTTGCGACCCCCACTCCTACCCGCCAGAGAACAAACCCCCTTTGACTGTAATTTTCCTTTACCTACCCAAATCCTATAAAACGGCCCCACCCTTATCTCCCTTCGCTGACTCTCTTTTCGGACTCAGCCCACCTGCACCCAGGTGAAATAAACAGCTTTATTGCTCACAAAAAAAAAAAAAAAAAAGACTGCCTGTTTTAGTGTGATGCCTTAACCATTGACTTATTGGAAATTTACCAACAAGATGATGCATAATCCCAAGAACTTTGTCCTTCACGGGTATTTATTCCACAGGTCAAGGAGAATATGAAGTATTTATTAGCTTTAAGGTGGTTTTTACCTTATTGAACCACATACATACCAATAAAATGTGGCTTTATGAGGGATATATTTTAGTTCTTTTATGGTTAAAATATGAAGTGCCAATTCTTACACTAAAAGAGCTATTCAATCCCTCTCTTACAATTCTCTGCTTTTAGAATTGACTCTTCCCCCCCTTTCTATACTTGTACTGGATTGGGTACTTGTCTTGGTCAAGTGACTCGGTTCAAATTGGAACATTTCTGTGCAGGTAGGCCCATAGAAATGATTATGCCTGGAGAAAGACTGTTTGCATTAATGGTTGCACCAACCTAAAAATGTCAGTAAGGATAGTGGAATCTCATTGTCTGCAGGTTTAGTAAAGAAGGTGCATGCTTTCGTGTGTCTGGAATCATGTGTATGAGCTACGTCCGGAAACACCTGGGAGGCAGCTGATCTCTCAGGTCTCTGCCCAGCATACCATACTTTCTCAACATGTGTTTATTACTGAAAAGCAGAAGAGAAAATCCTCTTGACCATATAATAAAATAAGAGGCTATAATAGCAAGTAGTCACTTTATTGCTGATGGTTTCTAACAGTGTAATCTTCCAAAAACTAATGTCAGCCAAACCTGCAACATTTAGGAGACTGGGGTGCTCTGAACTTGTGCTTTGGAAAATGCTAATACTTCCTTGAAACTTCATCTGAGAGTTCTCATTCTGCAATACTCATTGCACAACAGAGGAAATTTTCAGCTCTGGTTTTACATTTTCTTCTCTTTTGCGGGCTTGGGGACAGACCTCAATGTTATTTTAACTTAGTTTCCTCCAGGCAAGGAGATTTACTTAATTGGGTAGCCACTCAAGAAACCCTGTTCCTGCACATTTTGTATAACACAGGCCGTGTGCTCCTTTTGGTTTGTGGTGTGTCTGGAAAACAAAAGGAACACAGGAGAAAGGGGAAGCTCGGCCTGTGAAACATGTCTGGAAGGAGGCTGAAGGATATTTAAATAAAGTGATTATTTTTAAGTGTCCATTGGGCCTAGGTAAGTCCCAGCAAAATGGCCCTAAAATCAGAGGTGTGATTTTTCTGGGTTGTCAGAGTTTAAGTCTGGAAAGGAACAATATCTAGGCATTCACTTGGAATGTGGCTATTGTACATATAAGCAGAAAGAAGGATTTTCCATTCTCTTCTTATTCCTCTAAAGCTTAATGATGAATTGCTTCCTGCTGGAGACTTACTACAATCCAGCAGTTGTTGGGAATATGACATCCCAGAATTGTCTTGCAGATGTGTGTGCAGGTCCAGAGAGACATGGAGGTCTGTAGCCAGGATGCCAGTAACCCAGTCAGACAAGACACAAATAGAATGGTTCCCTTCTTGAAGTCTTTACAGGTTTTGGAAATTGGCTATGACAATTAGTCCTACATGTGTGCTGAAAAAGGCAACCACCAATATAATGACTAGTAACTTCTCAATCTAACTTAATATTTACTCCCCATACCTGCTATTTACTGCCTGTAACTAGTTTATTAAAACTTTAAGTATATTTATTTTTAAAAGTACATCTTTTTCAACATAGATGAATTAAGAAAATCCATGCTATCAACAACGATAGATAACAACTTTAGTAACTTGCTTACTTGTTTCTTGTGCTAAATTAATGTAAATATGGAGAGTGATTATGTGAGAGAGAAACTTAAGGGAAGAGACAACAACTATGAGTTATTCACCTACAAACAGCAAAATTTTTTGAGTAAGAGACAAGAAACGTGAGAAGAAAAAAATTGCAGGGAGCTTAATGTAAAGCAGAAGTTCTCTTCTACCTCTTACTAACCTTTATTTATTTATTTTTTTGAATGCAGATAACATATTTTAGCTGTGCTGTAGGGTGAGTCTTCCTCAATCACATATCACCTGCCCCCACCCCACTAGCCTGTCTTCCTCCCACTAAGCCAAAACCTGGTCCTTGAACCTGGAACTTATGAGGCATAAGCGAACAGCAGATGGCTCTTTGTAATACAACTCAAGTTGAGAAAGGAAATAGACTCAGCATAAGTTACAGGAGACATAGATATCAGCACTAAGTTAATCTTTGCGGAGAGGAGAGAAGGCCTGTGCCACTGCCCCCTCCACTTATAGGATCTTAAGCACCATCCTCACCCCAAACTACCACCGTACCCAGCAGGGGAGGGAGAGAGAGTAGCGAGAAAGGACAGCCCAAGGTGAGTGCTTAACCCAGGAGGAGGCTGACCCTTGGAAAAACAGGGGGAGTAGAAGGATGAGGGTGAGGAGGAGGGTCAGGGGAGCGTGTCAGTTCAGGCGGTCTGAGAAGCAGCCCTCCAAATGGGACTAGATGTGCAAGAGATTTATTACGGGCCTTGCCTCTGAAGGATAAAGGAGGAGGGCGCAGGTGTAGGCAGCAACGTCTTTCTGATACTGTGAGAGTGGCTCGGAAGGAGGATGGGGTAGGAAGAGCTCTAGACTGCAACACATTCAGAAAAAAATTTAGCCAGGTCAAGGGGAGTCCCAGACCACAGTTTGCCCTTGGAAGAGTCTCAGGGTGGGAGGATATGCCCTGGCTGTCATCCCTCTGCTGTGCTCAGTCACTGGCCTTGGGGTGAGCGCACAATAGAGCTGAAGGTGTCCCTACAGCAGGCTTTCTTGCAGAGAGCTCTTAGCGGGGTAATTCAGGGCTGCCACAAGGAGGGGTACATTGCATTGACGTGGAGTGCTCCTTAGAGGGACTCTCAGGATCTAGGACTAAGGCCCTGGATCTGGGTCAGAGCAAGGAGACGAATTAAACAGAGAACTCCCTTTTGAATCTCTGCCCACCTGTCTGTAGGTTGGAAAATATTAAGGGCTGTTTGACTCTTTTCCAAGATTCTCTGAGCTTGACAAGCTACCAGTAAGGCCATTTGGCTGTGAACACGTAGTACTATGCTCCTATCTGTGATTCTCATTTTGACACTTAATCACATTACATGTGGACATGGGCAGCCAGTCACTGCATCTGAGTATATATTGGTCAGCCTCTATTAAATGCAAACCTTACAGGGCACCTGCTTGGCCTCAGCCAAACCAAAAGTGGTTTCTCCCTCCTCTCAGCTACATTGAGTCCCTCCACACATATTGTTTTTTGTCTTGCACTTTATATATTTGCGTATGTGATTTCTCCCAGCGTCCACAGACAGTAAGCAACTTGAAGATAACAATTGTCTTACACTTTGAATCAGCACTGCCTTGCACACACAATTGGTGTGGACTTCAACATCAGTTATTAGGTTGCTGCAAACATAATTGCAGTTTTTGCCATTAAAGGTAATGGCAATTATGTTTGCACCAACCTAATAAATAAAACAAAGGGGCAGGATTGGGCAGATAGAAAGGTAGGGTGGAAAAAACACGATGGAAACATTTATTTTTATTTCAGCCTACTTATTCTCAGAAGGTCTTTAAAATAGAAGACATAGGTGTGTTACAGCCATTAAACAGGATAAAAATGTAAGAACAAAGGAAGAGGGTGGAGTTGGAGACAGCTTGTTATACCAGAAAAAACTAGGCTAAGGATTGCTACTGAGATTAAATGCAAACTTTGCTTTTGACCTTTTCCTGGCAAGCAAGACAAAAAGGGAAAACACGAGTTATATAAGGTTCTTATTAGCTAATAAAAAGAAGCATGCCAGTTTTTCCTATAGAAGCATTTTTTTCTCTAGTACTAACTCTAAGAGGAATTTATTTTATGGCCCCTTATAGAGCCATTGAATTTTAAAATATATGATGGTTTCAATAAGAGTTTTATAAAAAATATATGGAAACTTTTTTCTATATGACTATTTCTTATATTGATTTTTGATAAATGCCATAGTTTATAGATGACATTTCTATGGAAACTTAGGGTGTAGTTTAACCATCAGCAGTGAAATGAATTTGAGCCCATAGCTTTTGGAAGGACCCTGGAAATGGTACATTTCAATAATAATGACCACAAAATTATATCCAAATAGAATATAACTTTGGCTGCATTTCTTTGACATTTGGCTTAATAGCTCTGTTCCGGTATACACATTTTGATTTGACATTGGGCTTTCATGATAGTTAGAATAGTCTAAATTCCATATATGTGTAATGACCTAAAATTGATTCCAGCACATCCTAAACTAAACATTAGTAGAAATCACTCTGGGGGATGTGAAAGGTATTCTAAAAGACCTCTGGTTTATAAATCAGTTTAAGCACCCAACCCAATTAAACAAGTTTCTTTTGTACTCTGGGACTTCTTCGAGATATGAACATGATAATATATCATTACAGACTGGATTCCCTGGTAAGTAGACTCTGACCTAGAGATTAATGTGCAGGAAGTTTATTATAGATGGCTCTTGGGATCAACGTCTATATTACGGAAGAGAAAGAGGCTGTGTCAGGTAGAGGAAGAAGTTGGGACAAACCCGTGGGGGAGGTCTGAAGCTGGGATGGCTTTCTGGGATTGTCCAAAGTTATGTTAGGGGCTGGGTCTATATACCTGCACATTGACCACTACTGGATATGGGCTGCCCAGGGAAAGGTTGTGCTCTTGGGCAAGGTGACTTTCTTCAGCCAAGGGCAGTTCCTGGAGAAGGCTAAGACCTGAAAGCTCTGGGCCAGCAGTACCGCCAGCAGCTGGGGGACTATGTCCTTTGTTTCTGAAGGTGGGGCTTCACAGTGTATGTCAGGACTTTGTATGCACTGTTTACCTAACTAATTAGCAAAATATACATTAATCCTGGAGCATAGCCAAACATCCCCTAGTCCTAGTGGTAAATAGAATATGATTTGTGAAATGCTGCTTTATTCCAGTGGTGTATTCTTTATTCTGTCAATTGAGTATTTCAGTTAGGTTGTATATTTGGCTGCTCCTACCAGAAGACAGATATCAGTGATTTAGTCAATTAGGAGAGTTTTTTTACTCAATAAGTAATATGTACAATTCAGGGCTCACATAGCTGCACAAGGAGCTGGGTTCCTTATCTTTCCTTTTTTTCTTTTTTTTAAAGAATCTGACTTTTGTCTTTATGGCTAAAGAAGCAGTGCTGTATCCCACAGTAGTACAAAGGGCAAAAGATGAGTGCCAGGTAAGCTTTGTCCTCTACAAGATTCTCTAAAGCCCCACTCTACGAATTCCACTTCCCTCTCATTGGCCAGATTGAGTCACATGGCCATTCCCAGTTTCAATGGCATCTGGGAAAGTAATTTTACCTGGGAACATTTAACTGTGTTCTTTTAATCAGAAGAAAGGGAGAAAGGACATTGAGGAGATAACTAGTATTTTCTACCACAAATAATAGAATTTAAATTCTTCTGCCATTGTTCCTAATTGGCTGAACAACTGTGAGAACAAATTCCACAGAAAAAATATACAGTTATAAAATACATATATGAGTATAACATCATGACAGATCACTGTACTTCTCAGATTCATTCTGTTTAATTAAGACTTTCCACATTTCATCAAAAATATTTCTTATGAATTTATCGCTAATTTACTTCCACCACTTGGGGCAGAGCTGTGTACATGGTAGGCATTCAGCATGTGTGTGTGTGTGGTGTGTACAAAATAATATGTTTGACATATAACAGTGTCCTAAGCAACAAGGTAATAAAATATCATATATCTTGGTGGTTTATCAAGAAGAGCCCCTCCAGTAGCAGCTAGGAAATGGTATTGAGAGGTGGGGTTTGGTCTTTGCTTTGAGTGTGCTTTGTCTTGGTTATGCTACTGCATAATGAGTCGTTTTCTGGTGATTTGACTTCTATAAACATTGATTTTAGGAAATTTAGAGAAATATTTCATAACAAGTGAAAACCTAGCTACATTATGTTTAAACATAAAAGTGTAATGACCCTATCCTGGATTGAAAAATTATTGCTGTGTCTTCTACCTCTCCCCTCCAGAAAAGAAGTTTCACTTTCTATAACTTTAGGATTTACAAAATTTCCAACATGTGAATTACAACATGGAACATGATTTTCAAATTGTATACATATTACACACACTCCCTTAAAACACAAAATAGGTTCTTCTCCACATTCTACCCCAGGTTTAGGGATATACTACTCTTCATTTCTCTTTGAGGTCAGGGTAATTTTTTGCCTATTCTTCTGAAATATTTTCTTGATAGACAGCTCACAGAATCACAAAATTAAAAGTGGAAGCCATGGTGAATGCCAGAAGATTCTGCATTGCAACATGCTCCCAGCCGATGCCAATGCTGATGGGTTCTGACCACGTTTTGAGTTAGCAAGGTGCTGGTTTTAAAACTTAGTTGCACAAAGAAGTGTTAAGTATTTGAGGTGATGGATATACTAAGTACCATGACCTGATCGCTGTAAATGATATGGTTCCAAACATTACTATGTACCCCATGAATATGTATAATTATTGTTAACTTAAATCTGGTTGCATATGGAAATCCTAATATTTGTTCTTCTCCTTCTTCCTTCTTTCCTCCTCCTCCTTCTTTCTTCTTTTTCTTCTTCTTCGTCTTCTTCTTTACAAATACTGAGGCCTAGGTTCCACCACAGAGAGGGGATTTATTTGTTGGGGGTTTAGCTTGGGCATCCAATATTTAAGAGCTCCCCTAGGTGGTATAATGTACAGCAAAATTTGGGAATCACTGCTATAGACCAGTTGCAACAGTTTTTTCCACAAGTCTCTCCAAATGCACAATTTGGTAGACTTATCTATCTTTGTTGCTACTATGGCTGATACCAACTTCCAGGTCTTTTTTGTTCAAATGGAATGCCTAGCACAGGGCCTCATTCTTTGGCATGGGTTCAATCACAGTGTGTTGAATATATCAGCATGTGGGACACTTGTCCCACTCACATGCTCTGGCAAGAAGGGAGAAGCAACTTGCTTTTCACTGTAAACCTGGTCCAGCACATGTGTACTTACTGCAATTTCTTTGCCAGGTTTCTTTCAAGGAAGATCCCATATATATAGGGTTTAGTGATCTTGTAAACAGAAGGCAGAGAAGAGAGAGAGAAAAAAGGAGGGAAGATGACAGCAAAGAGGGAGGGAGGGGAGAGAGTAAGGGAGAGAAGGAAGGAGGAAGAGAGAGAGAAAAGGAGGACAAGGAGAGAATAGAAGAAGACTGGGGAGGAAATGAAAAGAAAGATGGCTGTAAGTTGTTAGTAGATACTAAACACCATCTGTGAGAGGTGATACTAAGATTCTGTTGAGATTAACAAATTTTTGGTCTCATTAGGAGACAGGAATCAAGTGCTTGAAAAGTTACATAAAACTATGCAATAGTTAAAGAATAAAGGGAAATAATACTGAGATAACATAACAATAATGACAGACCTATCAACCAATGAGAGTTATAGGCTAAGCGTGAATTCCATTTTTTATGAGGAGCAATGGTACCAACTCTGTTGCAGTAGTTCCTTAGGCTTACTTAGCTCTATTAACTTAATTCAACATTAAGGATATAGGTGGCTGCTGAAGAAAAAATATTGAATCTAGTTTGTATCAAGGAGTCTTTTAGGGAGTTATTTAAATATTTATAATTATTTCCTCTAGCCTGTACCATAATTTTGCTTATAATTATTCATTTTGAGAAAAATAATTAATTGTCAGTCTTACTTGAAGATATCTTTTGAAAGCCTCATCCCCACTTCCAACCCTGTGATGCACATCTAGAACTTTCTTATTTGATTTGAAGTCTTGATACTGTTTTACAAGAATAAATAATGGGAATTTAATCCACTGAAAGCGGTGACAGTTTGGTATCTTGTTATCTTTTCTAAGAAACATTCTTAATTTGCTGCGTTGAACTTTGGCAATATAAGTCCCTTTAGTGACATAAAAGAAGCCAGTCTTTAAAAGATGCTGACAGATGTGATTGTTTTTTTTACAATGGAGCTGAGTTTCCTACTCTGCTGCATGTAATTAGGCATGCAGATAGAGCTTTACTCATTTTACTAGCCCATTGGGTGGCAGTTGGGACAGGGGCCTCAAAGCTCTGCTCACTAAAAGGAAACGCACTCTCACTTTCTTTAACATGCTAATGCTTCTCAATTTCTAGAAAAAAATAAACGAGTTTTGTGTATTTTCATTTAAAAAATGGTGGACAAAACTAAGTTTGTTGTAAGGAAAACATCATTTGTACTAATTTCAAGCAACCATAATGTATCAATTTCATAAGGAACTTAGACAGTAAAGATAGGTACATGTATAATTTAAGGGCCATTATTTTTAGTATCCTAGCAGCATCATTAAACAGAATGCATTATCAGCCCAGATTTCTTGGGCTGATCTGAATCTGCTCAACTTCCCTATTTTACCTTTTTTATTCTTTGCTCTTTTGTACTCATACTGCAGAAGCTAAAATGCTAGTGTCACTGAACAACTGAATTGCCAGGGTTTTCTAAGTCAAAGTAACATCTCTTTCTTTCAAACTCTTGAAATTTTCTTTGCTATGTTTAATTGGGAACTCTATGTGGCTTATGAAATCTCTGCCTAGCCCCCTTCATCTTTCACATTTAAAAACACAGTTTAAGAACAAAACTGGGACCTCTGGGAGACATAGAGAGCACTCGCTGGGTCCTCTTTCTTTGAGGCTTCATTTTGGCCAAATCCCAAAAGTGGGCTGTGTGACCTCACCATCACCTCCTCTGCACTAAGCAGAAAGAAAACACAGGAGTCTACATTTCACATGTGCTTGCCATAAATTCTCTATTAGAATCTCAAGCAATAGGACAAAGTAGTGAAATATGAGGAAGAAATCAAAGTGGGTGGATAGGGCCAAGGGGCCATAAATCAGAGCGAGGGCATCTCGTTTGAGAAAAAGACCATGTGATAAATGAAGGTTCACACATGGCACCAGGCTCTAACAGTAGCAACTCACAGGACCCGGACAAGGACATAGCACATGGACTGAAATTCACAGATGTGTTGCTCTGTAAGTTCGAAAGGAAACTTCTCCTCGATGTGCATGTAGGCCTGTCTTGCCCTTTCCAGATTTCTTGGGCAGGGCAACGTCCCTTTCCTGAGATCAAAGGGCTGTTAGAAGAAGAGCCAACACCAGAACTCATGCCTCCTGTGTGCGAGTCCAGCAGTCAGTGCACTAGGGAGACAGCACAGTGTAGGTTCATTAGTGCAGTGGGGATAATAGGCAAATACATACCAAAGCCTAGTTATACGATTTACTGGTAGTGTTACCTGGGAACCAGGTCTTAAGACATTTCAAACTTTTGTTTTCTAATCTATAAAATGAGAGTAGTAACATCGCCACATAATAGTGTCTGGTACATAAAAGGCACTAAGGTATTATTAGCTCATTCTATACCTAATTGCATCTCATCAAGCCCAAGTTTGTCAGATGACCTACATATGCAAGATTATCTCTTAATTCAGTGATTTTATCTGCTCTCTGCACCAGGATACAGGAATGGTTCACATTCAACTGATTTGGCTGCAGTAACATTGCTACTAACTATAATAGCATACAGTGTTCCCTCCTACTGGTAAGAATACATTCTACTTTTAAACTAAAACTTGACAGGCCTCTT
The DNA here is from genome assembly GCF_000001405.40 of Homo sapiens. NCBI lineage: Eukaryota > Metazoa > Chordata > Mammalia > Primates > Hominidae > Homo > Homo sapiens. The sequence goes on along the minus strand of NC_000005.10, from coordinate 122,464,539 downwards.
ATAGGCCATGCCAACACTTTGAAAATAAAACTCTTGAAGTTTCAACAGAAATATATTTTTACATGATAGGAGGAAGCCTTCTGGAACTTACCGCTTACATGGAGTGAAGGAGTTGCATCAACAATGGGGCTGTTATGAACTCGGGCTCCACACTGTCTCCTAAAGGGATTAGACAGGTCTCATAATGTGTCAGAGGCAGAAAAAAGTGACCCAAGAAGGGGCTAAATCCTTAGTTCTCCTTAATATTTTCCCATGTCAACACTGAGATTTGAGAAGGCAGAAGGAACTGACTTACTTTATATACTTGTCTGATCCTTTAGTACTTAATGAAATATAGAATGTTTTATTTGACGCCTATGGGAAAACTGCTAAACTGAGCAGTTTGTTCCTGAAATCAAATATCAGCAATCAAAATACTTGCAAAGTCCCTTAGAAATCAGAACATCACAGATTTGTTAGAAAGTAGGTGCCCCAAGCTTATAGGTGGCTGTTAACATTGTTTTATTTCCTTTATACAAAAAGTAGAAATGACAGAAAAAACACTCTTGACAGAAACAATACCACTGACCTGATCTCATGAAGGAGCTGAGCCAAATCTGCCCACATTATGGGGAAAGGGAGGTTCAATCAACATTAGCAAATACTCATGCAATTGATGAAATATAAAATGGTATCAGTGGCTTGGTGAATGTCCTGTGGGTAGGGTGAATCAATCTACTCTTAAAAAACATACATTTTCCCAATCATGCTTTTAAACGGCATCTTTTAAAAAAACAAGTTATATATACAGATATCACCCCAAAATGAATCTTTTACAGTCTACTACTATAAATTTAAGGCATCCTGATATTCTGTTCTTCTGCTGGTGAGGCATTGTTTTCATGGTTCTCTTTCCAAAGAGGATAGTCCAGAAATTTCCAATAATTTCCAAAGGGCATCAGTGAGAGAAAATTTAAAAAGTGATTTACAAGAAGAGTTCTTTTGACTCTGGCTCAGCAATGTGCTTTATGCTGTAGGATTTCTTCATTTTTCTATTGATGTCATTATGCCTAAGCAGAAGAGAAACCACAGGCCAAAATTAGATAAAACTATGGTCAAGTTACAAGACAATACCACTAAACAGCTCACCAAAAAATGGAAATTATCCTCACACAAACCACACTGAAGAACACTTCATTCCAATACGCAAATTATTCTCTTTTCATGTAAACTACTCTTTAAACAATGAAAGCAATAGTCATGTAATAACACACAGTTACTAAACACTCTTTAACTCAGCTATGGAAATAATTTCTCAACCATACTGATTGAAATACAGGCATTTTACAGTCAAGGGAATTTTATCAAAGTTAAACAAGATAGGAAGTATAGTATTGTTGGCTGAGTATAAACAAAATATTTTTATTTTATTTAGATAGATTCACTGGTGACACTTTTATTCTCCAATAAGCTTGAGCCTTAAAAGTTTAAAGAAGAATGCTTTTTGGTGTGTGATTACTGAGTAATAGCATGTTGAAAGATCATAAGTAGATAAATCTATGGGAAAAAGAAAAAGCTAAAGAACAATATGCTCCTTTTCCCTCAGTACTTGATACCTGCTAAGTCTGCGGGAAAAGAGTACAAACTCGAGCCTTGGAACAGCTTTGCTTTTCAAATAAATTTTCCCTTGGGTAGGTGCAATCATTTTCATGAGGTATTACTCCCATTCTGGGTGTAAAATCTTCAGAGAGGAGCTATATTCTGAGGGTGGACAAGGCCACATATTACTAAATTACTTCTTGTTGCTACACCAGACAAAAACACTTTCTGGTAATGATACTAGCTATTATGAGACCACATTTGGATGCAGGAGAACCCCAGGCATGGCTCCAGAGTCTCAAAATTGTGCTTGCTCACAAAGACCATGAAGCCTATTTTCAGTGTGCTGGAATATATTTGATCATCATCATCATCATCTGAAAGTTATAATTCTTATTTTTATTTTTCCTCTAACTGGAACTTTAGAGAGCTGTCCATGGGCAAGAAAGGGAAAGGGAAGAGGTGAAAGAAAAATCTAGTTGGCTAAAAGATGTGCGAGAGATTCCAATTAAACATGATGGATTGAATACACACATTTGTCCTCCATATCCTGCAAAATAACACTGAAATAAAATAAATAAAAAAGGCACAAATTTAGATGAATAAGGGAAATGGGAGGAGAGGATACAACAGACAAAATGTCAATGGTATTTCAGAAACAAAAAGGTGGATGAACATTTAGAGTTGATTTAGCAGAGGAGAAAAAGCAAAAACCCAAGCTTACAGTCAGGGAATCCAACTAACTGATTTGCACTACCAGATGCAGGAATTAGAAGCACCGTGTACTTCTGAAGATGATAGCAACTATGTTAAAGAATGAAGAAGCTCTCTATATACTAACACATAAAGTCCTCCAACGTGTCAGATAAAAAAAAGCAAGAAACAAAACTGTGTGTACAGTGCGACACCTTTATTGTAAAAAGGAAGATAAAGATACGCATTTGTATTTGACTGCAAAAATTTAAATAAGATTTGCACATAAAACTCTATAAAAGCCGGGCATGGTGGCTCATGCCTGTAATCCCAACATTTTGGGAGGCTGAGGCAGGTAGATCAGTTGAGGTCAGGAGTTCGAGACCAGCTTGGCCAACATGGCGAAACCCTGTCTCTACCAAAAATACAAAAATTAGCCAGGTGTGGTGGCTGTAGTCCCAGTTATGGAGGCTGAGGCATAAGAATCACTTGAACCCAGGAGGCAGAGGTTGCAGTGAGCCAAGATCACACCATTGCATTCCAGCCTGGGTGACAGAGCAAGACTCTGTCTCAAAAAGAAAAAGAAAAAAAAAAAAAAACAGCTATAAAAAAGGAACAAAGAGAAGACCAGTAAAGTGATGTTGGAAATTAATATTATTATAACAGAAATAAAAAATTCAATAGCAAGATTGAAAGGCAAGTTTCAGTAGATATATTAGAGATTCAAACTAGAAAAAGTCAAAGTATGGAAAAATAGAGAAGAATCATTAGAAAATCTGAGGATCAGTCCAGTGTGTCTAACATTAGAATAAGAGGATTTTCAAAAGAGGGAACAGAGAAATTGGAGAAGAGAAAATTTTCAAAGAAATTGTACAAAACATTTCCCAGAACTGAAGTACTGAGGGTTCCAGATTGAAAAAGCTTGCTGAGTGCCCACAGCCCAGGAATGAAAACAGACCCACATCATGGCAAAGCATCAAAAAATCAAAATATTGGAGATAAAGAAGAAATCATAAAATCTTCCAAGCCATTGGCAGAGAAGAATAGGGCTTCTCAACAGACACATTAGAAGCAAAAGAAAATGAAATGATGTGTTCAAGATTCTGAAAGAGAATAATTTCCCACCTAGAATCCTATACTGAGTCAAACACTCAATCTGGTAAATTGAAGATATTTTCAGACTGTCAGGGTCTCAAAAAAATTAGCAACTGTTTACCTTCCTTGGGTGGGAAGATATATGACTGAAGCATGAGAATAAACAAAATAGAAAGGAAAAGACAGGTTCAGGAAACAGAGTCTAAACAGGAGAGAAGCACAAGGAATTCCCAGGATGATGTGCATGAGAGACTCCAGGATGATAGCTGTGTGGCAGTGCCAGGAGGCAGCAGTGAAGATGGGGGCAGGAGGAGGGGTCTCCATGAACAGAGAGTAACTGACAAACACCTGAGCTGTCTGAGGGTGCTAAAAGATGGTTTGGTCTTCAGCAGAGTGTTTAGAAACGCATTGTAAATTAAGAAACCAAAATTATTTCCATGGCAAACATAAAATTGTATGAGAAAGAAAATATAACATAGGACAACATAATGAGTCCTTGTGATTAATATTTAAATAACCATAATGATAATTAACACTGAATACTGATTTAGCTCTTGAGAGTGATACAACTATATTCATGGGGGTGGGAGGAAGAGGAAGCAGGAATGTGTGCATGTGTGTAGGTGCGTGTGTGAGAGATAGGAAAGAGAGGGAAAGAGAGAGACAGAACAAGAGAGAACAGGTGCAGTGTTGGATTGTTGGATGCTAAAATGGAGCTAGACACATTTGGATCATTGTTAAAAATACGGATTTAGGAGCCAGACTGAGTTCAAATCCTGGCTCCACAATTTATTGCCATCATTACTATGTAATCTTGGGCAAGATATGTAATCATTCTATGTCTCAGTTTCCAATACGCAAAATTAGGATAATAATAGTATCTGCTTGGCTGGGTGGGGTGGCACATGCTGGTAGTTCTAGCTGCTCAGGAGGCTGAAGTGGGAGGATCTCTTGAGCCCAGAAGTTAGAGGATGCTGTGAGCCAAGATCACACGACTGCACTGCAGCCTAGGTGACTGAGCAAGACCCTGTTTCTTAAAAAAAAAAAAAAGTATCTGCCACATAGTGTCATTGAGAAGATTAAAATAGTACATATGTGTAAAGCACCTGAAATATTCTCTGGGATACTGTACGTGCTTTATAAGTGTTTATAAGTGCTATCATTTTGATTTTCTATAGTAGAATGCCAGTAGATAACAGGGATACTATTTGAAACTGAAAATCTGTATGAGCATGTTACTTAGAAATAGAGAATACTAGAGAAAACACCTGAAGGAAAAGTGAATGGTCGATTCAAAAGAGTGAGGCTAGGGAAGGGGGTGGGTTTGGCACAGGGCACATCCAGTCTTTATTATAATGCTAGTATTACTCTTATAAGTATCTATATCACTTTAACAATAAATTAAAATAGAACACTTAAAAGAAGGTTTTGGTCATAGTCTAAAGATAATAAAGTTTAGACTTTGATGGGCATTTCTGCTTTAATATAAGAGGTGCTGTGGTCAAAAACACTAAAATGAGCACTCTTTCTGCAGGACAAAACCCCTTATGATTAGAGCTAAGTCTGTACCAAGTAAAATATTAACTTGAGGCATTTATCTGAAAAATATCAGGATAATTCAATCCTCCCTGAACCCTTCAATTACCTAGTCCCAAATTAACAGTATTCAAAGAACGAAAGTGTTTGGGTAATTCTGGCATGAATTATTCAGATAATTTGCTACTCCTCTATTTCATTTTTGGATATGAAATCACATTCTGAGTGACCAAAATTGGAAAGAAAAAAAGCTTAAATTTAAATAACAGTTTTTCAAGTGTTCTAACTTGCTGACTCTTCTAGGCATGGATTGCAGATTTCCACAGTCCATGGTGACCAGACTGCAACTTACAGCATCCATGTAGAATGGTCCACGGCACGCACGACATTTCCGCTGATAACCAAAACAGGGAAACCTTGCTATTTTCTGTGATCTCCCTCAGAGTTTTGACTGAGAGCACATCTATAAGTCTCATCTACTAAGAAATGGATTTTGGTTCAAGGCATGAAAACTTGTATTTGAAGTGCCCAAATGGAAACTCACTGTGGGTAGGTGGACTTGTGACCAGAAGGCCAATATTGATAAAGAACACACCATTTTTCCCCGCTGTGGGAAGACAGGCTCAGTCCTTTTTTTATTCATATTTTTCTCTCTTCTTCCACTTTTCCTCTCTCTAGCTTCACCTCTCTCCAAATATCTATGAAGTCTCTATCATGCACCAGGCACCAAGCAAGACACTGGGAGTACACGTGGAGTACAAAGGTGCTATTGGGGATTACTATTTTCATGAAGCTCTTAGGCCTTTTTCACAGAGCTTGCCATGTTTTACTTGAATCCTATTTTCATTCTCTCTTGATTATGATCTCCCTGAGTGAAGGAATCAGGCCTTATCCTGGCAGAGCAAAATGTGTGGCTTAGAGCTGAAAATATTTGCAGAGTGGCCCGGCCATCCAGGGATGTGGCATTAGGAAGATTGTCCATCCGCGCTGTCCTCAGCGTGGGAACGAAGAGCACCAGTGACTGGCCGGGGGAAGGATACTTGATGAAGGCACTGGAAAGTGGCTGTGTAAAGTCTCTATTTGGTATTTTTAAACTCAACTAACCTATTGCTTCTTTGAAACTCCAGCCTTAAGAGATACAGGCAGGCTCTGTTCTTTTAAAGTACAAAGATGCCTCTAGTGGTGGCAGACGTGTGGTGCAAATATGACATTAATAGAACATGTATGTGCTTTGAGGTCACACAATTCAAAACTGGATCTCTGGGGAATAAGGAAAGGAGGGTGGGGGTGGAGAAGTGAGTTGTCCTTAGGTTTTCTGACTATCCTTAAATCAGGAGCGGCTTGTTGAAAGCAAATGGTCTGGTGGGAAGATTTTGGTGTCCAAGGCAGTTCTCTTCCTGTTGTCTTCCTACTGTTGGTTCATGGGTGTTCACAAACTCCACACATTCATTTCCTGCCTCCCTGGAATAGTGATTTAAGAGAGTACGAGGGTCTTCCCTGCCTTTTTTATGTCTCAACATATCATACTTTGACACTAACTAAACTGTTTCACTGTCTTCTTGTGGTGCAATCTGCTTTCTCCTTTTCCCAGTGTAAGGAGCTTATGAAAAGACACCCCATTTGTGCATCCATCTTGGGAACTCTGCCAGCCTCTATAAAGACTTTGCTAAATTGTGCTTAGACACTGGGAAGATGTGATCATTCTGGCTTCTCATAACATGGACATTTTTTCTTTATACACAAGACTCTGCCTTATTGGCAACAATTCCCTGTAATTCTACTGTGCAATGGTCAATAGAAACCCCAAAACCTGGCACATTTGAAAGAAGGAACTGTCGCTTAATTCATGTGAAGAAATAGTTCAAGTTTAGAGCCTCCTCTTCTTCTCCAAGTCATGGTATAAAATGAGGGTTTTCTTTCTGAAAATACTTTGAAACTACAGGCGAGGCTGAGGTGGGTGTGGGCAGGACAGAGAACACAGAACACCTAAGGAAGCATGAGGAGGCAGGAAAGAGAGAGAGAGTGAGAGAGAGAGAAAGAGTTGGCGGGGTTGGGTGGGGACACAGACAGAACACTTGGGGAAGCATTGGTGGGGAGGAACCACGGAGCACCTGGGGGTACACTGTGGGAGAGCACAGAGTACCTGGGGAAGCATGGGAGCTGGGAGGGTCAGTGCTGCTCTAAGGGTTTCTGGAGCAGAGGCAATCACCCAACTTCAGGCACCTGGCTGTTGTCTTTCAACTTTTGCTCATTGGGCATGCAGCCTGATGCCAGCAGGTTAGAAAGGCAAACAGAAAATTATACTTCCGTTCAGGGCTTAGAACATGAAACTACAGGCTGGTTGCAGTGGCTCACACTTGTAATCCCAACACTTTGGGAGGCTGAGGCAGGTGGATCATCTGAGGTCAGGAGTTCAAAACCAGCCTGGCCAACAGGGTGAAACCTCGTCTCTACTAAAAAGACAAAAATTAGCTGGGTGGTAGTGGCATACGCCTGTAATCCTAGCTACTCAGGAGGCTGAGGCAGGAAAATTGCCTGAGCCTGGGAGGTGGAGGTTGCAGTGAGCCAAGATCGCACCACTGCACTCCAGCCTGGGTGACAGAGTAAAACCCTTTCTCAAAAACAAAACAAAACAAAACAAAAATAAAAAACATGAAACTACAGTTTCTGAGCAAAAACTCAAATGTCTATAGTGTTAAGCACCAACTACTTTACTAAATACTTTTTCATTAACAGCTTTAACAAACTTTTCTGAACTGTTGCATTGGTGAGATTTGTCTGTCTCTGGAAGGATGCACTCAACATATATTACATAGTTTGGTAACAACACCCACATGATTGAGTAGGTTTATCATTATCCTTTCAAGAATCAAGCATATGAGTTAAAAATAATGTTAACATTTTAAGGTCAAAAAATGAAAGCAAGATTAAAATATGGTTATTTGATAATATATAGAGAAATGATGGCAAGGAGACATTTGTTCAGCAGCACCAGGGTCTTGTTGCACTGGCTGCATTTTCCCATCAGGATTCTGGAAATGCTTTTTAGTGGGGCTGAGGATATGCTCTGGTTGGGAGCAGGTTTCAGCCAGGGCCTCACCTTTACTTCCCAATGTCTTCCACATCTTTGTTCCTTTTTCTGTTTAGTATGATGTCCTGGCAATAAGGACAGAAATGTGTGTTTGTGTGTGTTAGGGGTGGGGGAATGATACCCTAAACTCTGACTCTCTAATGGGCACAGCAGATGACCATTACTATAGTAGATGTCATCTCACTACTGGCGAAGCAGACCAGTCTCTTTGAAGTGGCTGCTGAACAACCTTAAGATCTATGCAAAATATTTGATACCAGCTCTTGGCTCTCAGTATGAAGTTCCCAGTGTGGCTAATACCTTGGCAGTAAAACCCACACTAATGGTGTTTATTGCTTTATGATTTTTAAGGACTCTATGCTAATGCTGGTGCTAGGATTAGGCGTTTCCTAACCCCTCAGGCAACTGTGCAACTGTGGTCAAAGTGGGTGTTACTGGTGGTGGCCAGGGGTTATGCCCTTTTGCCTATCAGTAACTGGAATCACTGCTCACTTTGTGCCCTAAAGATCTCAGATGGACTTAAACTCTGGGAAATGAATGTTTCACTGGCATTTTAAGACAAGTAATTGCAAACATTTCCTTGGAGTTACAATAACTTAAAAACAACTTGTCTTTTGTAAGATAAAGTAAAGATAAATCTGCTTGTTATAAACCAAGTGATCCTCTACAGTTGAATCACACTGGGGATGCTGCTCAAAGGAATAGAGTTGAATCTAATTTTAAAGGGCATTGAAAAGAAATTTAGATTTTTGCTATCAAGCTGTGAACAATTTAGAAAAATAAACAGCAAACAGAGCCCTCACAGAGCAGACATTCTTTAAAATGTTAAAAATGTTATATTTATTGTCCCTATTTTTCCTTTATCAGAAAAAAATAACAATTTCTTTTAACTAAAATGGAATTCCAATGTATTCCTGGAACCGGGATCCATCGCCTCACTCTTTTCCCCAGGGATATGCTGATAGGGCCATGTAGAGGCAATAACATTTGGCCCCAACTCCAACCCAATGACTGCCACTGACTTCCAAAGTCATACTACTCTGTGCATCCCTGCTACCTGAGAGGAGCCATTTGGTGGTCAAGCAAATTTTGGGGCCAAGATTTGGAGTCATAGCTGAGAGATGAACACTTTAGTTCCTTTCCTTCTTGCAGTGGGGTCCCATAGGCAAAATTAGGCAAGCCTAGGTATTTTTCAGGCCCACATTCCCACTCTAGTCTTAATTTATCAGAAGAATCTTTATTTCAGCCAGAGAGATCCATTCTTGCTTTATCTCAGGAGTGAACCGGCCTAGTTCTCTCTGTCTGTGTGTGATTATGAGTGAGTGAAACCTCTCCTTTCTAGCATGAAAGAACTAAGGTTTCCACTTCCTATGGAAACACATGCCAAATGACAACCATGATAAAGTATAGGTTAATTTACAGGGTAATGAGGAGAAGGGGTCAAGATGCTTATTTAAATACAGTGAATATTTTTATTTTGGGGTTTCTAAGTATTTATTGTTGAAATTAAACTCTGTTAATAAGTAAAGCCAGTGAATCTAAACTGAGCCTTTAGAAGGACTTTTCCTTAAGCTTAGAGAAGGAAAGTGTTAACCTAGCATCAGATAACTGAGTAGCCCCATAACCTCATTTTGTGCTCTGATTTTTGTAATCCTATTATAACAGATGTCTCAGCTTTGTTCCCTTTCTTATAAAAAGACAGAATGAAATGTTTCTGGCAGGAGAATCTACTGTGATACTAATTGTCTTGCTCCCTGTTGCTGTAGGAGCCTGGAAGAAATAAGAAGTATTCTTCCCCTTCCCAAGGAGTTTGCCAACTATTTGTGCTTTCTTGCCTCAGGGGGTTGCTGGTAACTTCAGCTTAAGGACAAAACCAGAATTTTCCAGGCACCAGAAAACACATTCCTCCCAAGATGGGGACAGAGAAGGGCATAGGGGTGAGGAACCCAGGTTAGGAGAAATGAAATAGAAGTGGGCTAATACCAAGGTCTAGGAGGGGAATGAGTATGTTTTTTTTCTATTCCTTTCCCACCCCAGGCATTGGGCTCTCACCATTGGCCAAGATTCCCTGCCCCGGTGAGGCCGGAAGCAGTTCAGACACCTGACTTCTGGCAACATGTGAGCCTGACCCAAGCAGATCACTGGTGACCAGTAAATATTGAAGCTCCAAGGTTCTTCCTTTAACATACTGAATTAATGAGCCCCCTAGGGGCATCCCCTAAAATGACTGAGATTTAATTTCTCTCTAGCCTGAATAAAGACTTAGAGCAGATTAAATTTGATTTAGAGGAAGAAAAAAGCAGAGTGACTTTCTTACAACTTAGTATTCTCAACTAAAATTCATACCCACAACACACAAATACATCCACACCAACACCCACCTATCCACCTACCCACATGCATGCTTTGGAGGATTTTGGAAGAGTGCTGAATGGCATGTTATAATTTTTCAATTCGTTTAAATATTTAAAAAGTGATAGTCTTTTATGACTGGGTGCGGTGGCTCACGCCTGTAAACCCAGCACTTTGGAAGGCTGAGGCAGGTGGATCATTTGAGGCCAGGAGTTTGAGACCAGCCTGAGCAACGTGGCAAAACACCATTCTACTAAAATTAGAAAAATTAGCCAGATGTGGTGGCACAGGCCTGTGATCCCAGCTACTCGGGAGGCTGAGGCAGGAGTATCACTTGAACCCGGGAGGCAGAGGTTGCAGTGAGCCAAGATCGTGTCACTGCACTCCAGCCTGGGTGACAGAGTGAGACTCTGTCTTCAAAAAAAAAAAAAAAAAAGTGATAGTCTTTTAAAATGGGTTTAGGGATGTAACTCTTCTGAAGTAAACCAATTAAGGCATACTGGTTTCATCCCACAGGGAGATGAAAGCTATGTTGCAGAAGAACTTTGCCCAAGGAGGTGGCCCAGCCACTGGGGACTCGATTCTCTCCTTTCTGTGTTATGTAGTCCATGCATTTTGAATTGTAAACGTCTTATTTGAGAAAGGCCCTTGTTTTATTAGAGGGCACTCATAAACCTGGCTCATGGACTGAAATCGTGTTCATAATGCTAACACAGAGAAATTTCAGAATGGCAAGGCCTTGCTTCTCCTGAGATCAGCAAAATGGTAATAAAAGGAGCTTTTGGTTTGTAATCAGCACTGAAATAAAATTAAAGCTCTGTTTCAAAGTTCTAGTTCTGATCGGAGGCTGACTCACTCCACCATGACAGGAAATTTAATTTCAATACTTTCTTAATACTTGACTCCATTAAAACAAAGATTGAAAGCTAAAGTCAACTAGGAAATACAGCAAAAGTTTGTGAACTGAGCAGATTCTTCTGGCTGACACTGGAATAAAGCCCTCCAAGGGCAGACTAGCGACCTAAGACCTAGTTACCATTACATCAGTGCCTGCTTCTACTTGGGGGAATAGTTGTAATTTTCTTCTTCCTTGGTGTTATCCCCTGATGAAAGGTGCTCCAAGTCCATGATTTAAAAGCTCATGCAATTCAAAGCAAAGCATGTCAATGCCGCACAGCATATCTCCTAGCACCACGTACCGTGTGTCGTTACACAGATGCTCTTCAATCAGCATGTTAGAGGAAAGATTGATGCAGCTGCTGTACATTTCCTAGAGAGGTGCAATTAAAAATCATCTGAAAACATGCAACAAGCTCAGCACATGCACAAGTCCCAGTAAACATGAAGCATGCAGGAAGATAGATAGATTAGAGGACAGTGGCTTAGTATGCACTTTAAGGAGCATGGGCAATTGAGATGATTCTTCTGTTACTACTGAGCAGCAGAACCCAGTAAGTTACCTGGAAAAGTTTGATCTGAGTGACTTAAGTTTTGACACATTTAACCCAAAAGGTCTGGTGTTTTGGGCACGAGTATGCCTTTTCTAGCTGAAACAAATACATGATATAGTCTTCTATAACAAGGACAATTTACAGAGGAATTTGATATTTAATTTAAAATTTGGTGTTCAACTTATTAGAGAAATACTCACTAAAACTTGATTTGGGTACTGCAAAAAGAATTTGGACAGTTCTTAGACCTCATTGTAATGGGATTCTAACATTATAGCTAATGATAAATTACAAAGATTCTGCAGCTCCACTGGGTGGTTTATCTGGATCACATGGAGAATGATCTAGGTCATTCCATTCCACAGAGAGTTTTGCATTTTGGCTGCTATACCATTTTTTAATGGCATGGCAAGCACAAAGCTTGCAGGAAACATTGCCTAAAAAGATGTTCATATCGCCTATCCACTGGATATAAATCACAGATTATAGTGCATGGGTTTCCAGTGAAGGCAATTATAAAATGTAGTTCATGGCATACTCTGCCATCCCCTGTGGACTGGCAAGCACTTCAGGCTCCTATAGGCTCCAATCAACACTTAGGAGTCTGTGTTGTAAAATACCTATGTGGAGGTCCCTGTGGTGTATTCATTTCAAAGGTCATCCCAAAGTTGTGTAGTTAAGTCTTTGGCAATAGAGCATCTATTTATGTACTTTTTAATTGGGCCTGAGAATAAACTATCCCATCACATGAAGAGAACAAACTCTTCCTTGGGACAGAATCAATGCCAATGCAGGACTAAACTTGCGCTAATTGGTGGTTTCATCTTGCAGAAATGCCTCCAAGTCTAGGACCCTAACACCTAAAGATTAGGCCATTTAGGGAAATTTATGGACCAGAATATAATCTCTTATTTTTTTTTTAACCTTTCTCTCTTAGAGTATTTTCCAAAAGAAGAGCAAGGGGTATGTATCTAACATGACATGTCTCATTAGACACATGAAGTTGGCTTTCCATGCATCCCTTTGGATTTTTTTTTTTCCTGGGGATTCCCTCAAGGTAGTGTGGGCCCACAATCTGTGATATTAGGAACAACATAATCCATTTGAAGGAAAAAAAAGAATATTCTCCAAATAGCACTTACTGCCTTATTCTTTCCTTTGCTAGCGGAGCTGGCAGGGTTTCCCTTGGCATCTGTCTTCCTCCCAAGTGAGGTCAAGGGCAATGTAGAGGTTTTCAGCTGGTTGGCTGCCTGGTAGTTATTATTATTGTTTTGGTTGCCACTTAGTGTCTCCATGATAGATCGAAAGGCTCCAAAAGGCCTTTTCAGTTGATCCCCCGATTCGTTACTTGTGGAGGTCCGCTGGAGAGTCCTGCCCTTATCTTTGTCTTTTTCTCCATTCAGTTCAAGGCTAGGCTGCTCCATCTGCACCACAGGCTCCTCAAAGGTAACTCTCAGTTTTAAGTTCTGAGATGTCCTACGCTTGGAAGATGGAGACTTGAGGGCACTCTTGGGACTTGTGGCAACTTTCTGGGCAGCAGTACTGTCAGGGCTGGGCTGCTGAGGGTCACCAGAGGGCTGGTTTGGAGGAATACTCCCTGAGCCTGGATACTGGGATTCTAAGTCTGGTTCGCTGCTCTCTGAGGTGGGAGATGGGCTGTGGCCATCCAGGGATTTGGAGGCCTTGATGCTGAAAGGAAACCTGCGTCCCCCTGATGCCAAGGTGTGTTTCTTAATCATCAGGTGCAGGCTTTCTGCGCTGTCCATACTCTCTACGCTTTCTACAATGGGCTGCGGCCTTGGTCGGTCAGCCTTCCTCACTGGGGTAGTCTTGGGGTCCTCAGAGTTGTTGGAGTCTGTGTCAGACTCACTCAGTGACCTCTGCATCAGCTGTCTCAGCCTGGCTAACTTCAGTTCCCTCTTCTCCAGTGGGATCTTTTTAGAATTTCTAGAGGAAGCCTGAGCATCCTGGAATTCCAAGGACAGTTTTTCCTGGGTGCAGACATTTTCTGAGATTTCCTTTCCCAATAACTGGCGTAAGATTTTATCAGAATCTTCATCTTTTGCTTTGGGTCTAGCCCGGCTGGAGGCTGACAGGCTTCCAAGAACCTGAATCCCCTCTTGGACTCCTGGCTTGCTTTTGGCTACAGAATCATCATCTGCATCTGGAGATTTCCACTGGGACTTTCTGGAGGCAGGTGAGGATGGTGAACTAAAAAGAAGATGAAGGACATATGAGATGATTTCCTACTGGGTTGAAATGACTCAAGTCACTACATGGTCTTTACTGACACTAATAATGTATAAGTAAATAAGAACAGAATACAGATAAGTACATAATTTCTTTTCGAAACAATGTGCAAATACTCCATAGTATCAGCTATAAGGTGCCTTATGCCTTCGGCTATAACTACCATGACTACTAAATTTGTCTGTTTTACTGTTTATACATCAATTTTGCATAAATTTTCTCAGTTAATTCCATTTTCAACAAACTTATCAAGCTATATATATATATCTCCTATTCCCACTTCACAGATGAAGAATTGAAAGATTCAATTCTTACAAAAGAGTAAATGACTTGTTTATAGTCGTGGAATGAAGAAATAGCAGAATCAGAGAATACAGCAGGTCTTCAGACTCTAGGTCCAGTGCCTTTTTCACTGTGATTTCTCATTTTTATTCCTCTTTATAAGAAGAAAATGTTTTCTGTTGTCATCCTCTTAAAATATATCAAAGGAAGTTCAGAAGAAGGCTTAACAATTTAGGATACTTAAGAATGCTAAACAACAATGTGCTGGTATTACCTGGGTGAAGAAGGGAGTGACTTGCCCTCTGATTTCTGGGCTTCTAGAAATTGTTGGAGTTGGTTCTGCAGCGTGACACGTTCTACTGTTTGTCTGGGGAAAACAACCAAAACACATGAGGACTCTGATACTGGTTACTGCTATAAATTAGGGTGTATAATATTTTTCGTAATAATTTCCAGTAAGTTGCAATAAATACAAAAGCCTTAAAATGTGCATAATATTCATCCTTACAGGTTCAGAAATTTTCCTAAGGAAACAATCAAAAGTACCCCAAAAAGATATGTATTGTCAATATTAATGAAAAATTATAAGTAACCTAAATGCTTAGCAGTAAGTCTCAGTGAACAAATTATAATTATTTCTATAATGACAGCTATTAAAATGATAATATGTTTGAGTATCTATGGACATAGAAGAAGTCTTCCTAATTATGTCTATATAATGTAGATATAAAGCATAGTTTCATATATATAAATATGTATATATGAAGTATACTTTACTTTCATTAAATAAAAAAGGAAACTACAAAATACTATTTGCAGCATACAATCTCTGACTTACTATAACTTGTGATTTTTCAAATTTACAGTGGTGAGAAAGTGATATGGATTCAGTAGAAACTGTACTTTGAGTATCCATACAGCCATTCTTTCTCACTTTCAGTACAGTAGTCAATACATTACATGGGATATTAAAACTTTATCATAAAGTACAATTTGTGTTAGATGATTTTGCCCAACTGTAGGCTAATGTAAGTGGTCTGAACACGCTTAAGGTAGGCTAGGCTAGGATACGATGTTCTACAGGTTAGGTGTATTAAATGCATTTTTACCTTATGATATTTTCAATTTGTGATGTGTTCATTGGGATGTAAACCCACGGTAAATTTAGGAGCATCTGTAACCTCATTTTTTTTTTTGAGTCGGAGTCTTGCTCTTTTGCCCAGGCCGGACTGCAGTGGTGCTATCTCGGCTCACTGGAAGCTCCGCCTCCCGGGTTCACGCCATTCTCCTGCCTCAGCCTCCCGAGTAACTGGGACTACAGGCACCCGCCACTCCGCCCAGCTAATTTTTTGTATTTTTAGTAGAGATGGGGTTTCACCTTGTTAGTCGGGATGGTCTCGATCTCCTGACCTTGTAATCTCATTTTTAAGAAAACTAACTCTGTCTTTCCCACATGTATGTGTGTGTGTGTATATATATATATAAAACATATATATTATATATATGTATATAATATATATAATATATATATAACATATATAATATATATAATATATATAAAAATATATATAACATATAATATATATTATATATATAAAAATATATATAATATATATAAAAATATATATAAAATATGGAAGGATATATATATATAAAAAATATGGAAGGATATACTTCAAAATGTTATATTTACTTTTCCTAAATTGTTTGAATTAAAAAATTTTTTAATTAAAAATATTTTTAGAGACAGAGTCTTGCTATGCTTCTCAGGCTGGACTTGAACCCCTGGCTCAAGTGATGCTCCCTCCTCAGCTTCCCAAGTAGTGGGGACTACAGGTGTGTTCTGCCTAGCTTGGCTTGACCCACAGAACTGTAAGATAAATTTGATGCTGTTTTAAGCCACTAATCTTGTGGTAATTTGTTACAGAGCAATAGAAAACTATTATAATAATACAATTAGCAGAAAAAAATGACAGCAGCTCTCACGAGCCAGGACATGTAACTAAACAAATATATCATAAATTTTCTTAAAATGACTGCTGTACTTCAGATATTGGCCCAATGTTCTCCTTGCTGAGTGTCACTGCATATACTCAGCAACGATTAGCTGGCTAAATCTAATTATGTGAGATCGGATCCTGCTAATACTCTTCTATAAGCTCCAAGCACTTTGTTTTTCTCAGAAGCTATCAGTTTTAGTCCAAACATTTCATCACTAAGACCAGAGAAGTCTGTGATCTCATTTTATCTCACTCATTCTTCCAGACTCACCTACTGACATGTAATTGTCTAACATGGGAACCAGCAAGCAAACTTTTTCTTAAAGGGCCAAATAGTAAATATTTTAGGCTGTGAACCATACAATTGTATCCCAACTTCTCAACTCTGCCTTTGCAGCATGAAATCAGTCCTACACAATAGACAAATGAATGTGTGTGGCTGTGTTCCAGTAACATTTTATTTATGAAAACAACTGATGGGCTAGATTTGGTCCACAGTCTATAATTTGCTGATTCTGGTCTAATGAAAAAAATAAAAACTAAAAACATAAAAGCATTCTACTTTTCCCACTTTGCTAGCTGGTATTGCAAGTCACATGTTTTTAAGAAAAATATTTATTGAGGGGATAAAACAGATGAAGAAAGATTAGCGTCTGCTTTTAAAGGGCTTATTATGTGTCTTTAAGTGAATTATGACACAGTCAAAGAAAAATATTTTGGGGTAATTGGGTTGACTGACAACTTGAATCTCAGGTATGAATGGAGAAGGAAGACTACTCTCTGGATTCTATAGTAGCCCTCAGGAAGAACTCATCAGCTTTAATTGTAGAAAAGAAAATATATGGGCAGATGGCCACTGTATTAGTTTGACAGGGCTGCTGTAAGGAAGTACCACAAACTGGGTGGCTTAGACAATAGAAGTTTATTATCGCACAGCTCTGGAGGCTGGAAGTCTGAGATCAAGGTGCTGGCCAGGCTGGCTCCCTCTGAAGGCTGTGAGGAGAAGCTGTTCCTTGCTTCTCTCCTAGCTTCTGATGGTTTGCTGGCAGTCTTTGGCATTCTTTGGCTTGCAGATGCACATCCTGATCCCTGCCTTCATGTTTACGGGTATTCTCCCCGTGTGCATGTCTGTGTCTAAATGTTCTCCTATTATAAGGACTCTAGTCAGAGTAGGACCCATCCTAATGACCTCACTGTAGCTTGATAACTTCTGTAAAGGTGCTGTCTCCAAATAAGGTCACAATCTAACATACTTTTTTGATGGGGACACCCATAATACCTAGGCTTGTTGATTAGCACTTCAGTAGAGCTGAAGGTTGCCATTTCTAAATATTAAGTATGTTTATTAACTCTGAGGAGTTGCTGAAGGTTGGAAAAGGCACTCAAGACTGTCTTCCCCCAGAATTTTGGACTGGGAAGACTAGTGTTTTCCATCCTCTCTCCTGTCCTTGTCTATGTTATTGGTGTCTGGGAGCCTGAAGGGCACAGTGTACTGTGGCTGTACCAAGTTGATTTCTCCATTCATTTCTAGTTTTGCCAACTTCACCTAGATATACAGTAGGTAAAAGACTAGGGTATACAACGTAGCCTCTCTTAGTTCATCTTGTCATTGGCCCAACTATAGCTGTCCACAGCATTCTGTTCTGGAGACAACTGAAGGACTGCAGTCTACTAGTACATATGTGTACTTTATCCCAGGATCACCAACTGAGAAAGCAGCCAAGACTTTGACTTTGAGCAGTTCACCAATAAAAGAGCGATTGTAGCTCATGAAAGTTTTGTAGATTCCATGCTATGAACAAGAAGGAGGATGTTTTGTGATTCCCTTCTCTGAGTATGAACCTTTAGAAAAAACATTCCTTTGGATCATTTTAAAGTTCCTCTTTATGGATATGTCCATACATTACTTGAGGGAGTGGACATTAGTATAGCATTTTTGGAAAGATTAGTTAACATCTATCCACATTTTAAATATGTATGTCTTTTGCTCTAGCAATTCCTTTTCTAGGAACTTGTTTTTTTGAAATATCTATACATGTTCATAAAGGCATTTGCACAGTGTGTTCACTGTGGGGAGACAGCTTACTGACTTATTAATTTGTGTGCATTTTCCCTGTGATTACGTTGAGACCTTGAAGTTTACCTAGCTCACCTAACTTGGGGAAGTTTTGTGTAACTAGGCAAAGGATGGTTGGCAGTAACCCCTTTTTTTCAAGTTTCAAATTTTAATTTATTTTTTCTAGAAGTCTAAACTCATTAAAGAAATTATTCTAGTATTGACAGGGGGAGGGGTAGAGGGGCACAGAGACTTGTAGCTTGAAGGCAAAAGAGTGGAAGGAGAGAGAGAAGGGACATTTCCCTAAGCTTAGAGAAGAGGCAGAGGGTCCAAGGCCTTGTCATATTGTTGCATGGATTATAATTAATTAATTGAGGTCTTTCACCCAACCAAGGTTGGGTGAAAAAAACCAAGGTTTTTTTCTTTTTTTTTTTTTGATTATACTTTAAGTTCTAGGGTACAGCTGTATTCAGAAAAAAAATGTGTGTGTGTGTGTGTGTGTGTGTGTGTAAAACTTAAAGGTAAGAGTATTTTCCCTCTAAAATTTAATTTTTAAGATTTACCCTCCTAATCTGTCAACATTACTTTGAATACTGACTGATTTTCAGGAAACCCTCCCCAATCTGGAAACTGTATTTAATGGGTGAGCTTTTCAAGGGCTGACCTTGGTTCCCCTCAGGCAGGTGTTAACTCCTTAGTCCTTCAACTTGCCAGAGACCTGATGACCTTTCATCTGGGACCTCTTTCTCTAAGCATATTATGACAATCTCCCAGAAATACTTCCCTGACACCCAGACATGCACTGGTACCAGTTTAATAATCTTATCAAGGGAAGAACTGACTGTAATTAGTCGTGAAGTGTTTTAAGTAACTTCATGCTGACTGAGCACTATTTTTTATTATGAAGATTCATGAATCATCTGATTAATTTTTATAAGAAATTTGCTGGTGATAGTCACCAAGTTATTTATCTGTAATTTCCCCCACACATTTTTCTTTTTGAGAAAACTGGGAAATTGGTCCATCTCTAGCCTTTTCCTCTCTCTCATGTTCTTTATGATTCCTAAAATATTAAGGACAAAAGTTTGGAGATGATGCCTATGAGTGCTTCCAGCGCTCTGTAATCTGGCCCTGAGTTGTGAACACAGAGAGAGGCTCTCTCGCCTTGTCCACTGGCTTAAATTCCCTGCTTTGGGAGCTTGCTGTACACTTTACTGTTTAGACATCCTTTTGCCTCTGCAGAGATGGCATCTTCAGCACGAACGCTGGCTGTGAGGACTTTGGATGGAAGAACAGAAGAGGAGAATGCTAGGAATTCCCTGTACAACTGGAAAGAAGAGTGCTCAGCACAGCATGGGGCTGAAGCCTAAGTACAACAATAATGAGTTAGACTTGGTTCTCATGGAACCAACAGGCCACTTACTCCTTTAGCTGCTTGGTTAACTTCACCACTTGAGAGGCCAGCGACATGCAGGTCTCCACCACCACCAGGTACCTGGAGCACAGGGTGTGCCCCTGCCGCTCGGCGCTCTGGGAGGGCTTTTCCCCAGCGTGGTTCTGCATGGTGACATTTGCTCCATATTCAACCAAGGTCTGTCAGAAAATGAAGGACATGTGTATCAGGACATCTCTGTACACATTATTTTTTAATGACTGTAACAGAATGTTGAATAGTATGAAGAGAGCCTCTAGGGACCTTTCAGCAGTCAATATCACACACCTCCCTTCAGAGTCTATGATGATGTAGCAGAGCCAGTCCTACTACTATCAATGCTCATCTGCAGCCCACATAAGGAGGGGGCTGGGAAGGAGAGGAGGAGGCTGTCCATAGTGTGCTCTCCTTTATGAGATATGCAGTGCAGTCTTTGTGGTGGGGAGTTCTGTCTCTTGTCATGGTTGGGCTCCAAGAGAATCACTCATAGTCAGAGATGCCTGTAAGAGGGGGAGACTGGAATCTTACCTGTTCTCATTTGCTTGGGCTCTAGTAACTGGATTTGGTCTCTGGTAATTGGTTTTGAAATAACACCTGTTTATTTGTTGCTGCGCCAACCTGATCAGGAATAAAAAGAACTGGAAAGAAATGACATGGCTGAGAGTGGGGAGGCTGTGAAGCAGCTCCCACCCTCCCACAATGGGCTATGGTGAGGACATGTCTGTGGATTGAGCAGGCTTTGTAGAAGAAAGCTTTGTGTGAGCTTCTTATCACCTCTTTAATGAGGAGAGGGTTCTATGGCTACAATTGGCAATAGGCTGCCCCAGAGGTGGAGAGAACTGTATGGGGGAGGAGGGGAAGGCTCCAGAGGGCCCTCTGAAGACCCCAACCATGGCACTCACTGGAGAGTCAGCATCTGAAGGTTGGCACAGAGGGCATCAGTGACCACAGCCAGCCAAAGAAGCAGGGACAACTTTCAGGGAGGTTGCATGCCTTTCCCAGTTAAGCAAAGAGATACCGGACTTTTTCTCTTCATACCTCCTTCTTGTCCTTGACACTGCAGCCCAGAAGAGATAGGGGGATAGGAGCTAAAGTGGTGTGTAAAAAGGCATGTCTCACTCCCATTCCAAGTCCCTTGAATCTTGAGTCTAGTCTGGGTGGGAAGGAGAATGCTTTGAATCAGAAGTAAGACTGAGATTTTAAAGAGGCTTGGAGTAAATTTTAATAGTCATAAGAAAGGAGAAAGTTACGGAATCTGGCCAAGGTATCATTAGTTGTGGAGAGAGAGAAATTTGATGGAACATGGTTGAAATTAATAATTTAAAAAAATCCAAACTATTTTGTGTCCATACTGTGATATTATTAGATTCCACAAAAAGTTATTACATCAATATTAATCAACCACTACAATCTGATAGATTCTTTGACAATATCATGATGAGACTGCAAACCTGGATTAATCTGGGTAGTAGACAGTGTTTTCCCCTAAGCAATAGTTGTAGTATTTAAATTTTTAGACTACTTAGACTGAGAGGTCAGTAAGGAGCTTCGTTTTCCTTTTGGTTTATGATCACTCACCATGAAAGGTCAACTCACCACAAAGCCATTGCCACCTACCTCACAGGAGTGTCACAGAGACCATGTCAGTATTGAGCTCTCAGGGCTCTTGAAGAGATGCTATATAAACACACACTGTTATTACTCCCCCTTGGCCCTGACCTCTGCAGTTTTCTTTCCATTGTTTTCCTTACTCAGTCCCCTCCTCACCTCATAGGGTCCCTTGCTCACTCTCGGTCTCTTATCTTTTTTTTTCTTTAAATTTCACACCCAGTGGACAGATCCCCTTCCAAGATTATCCAAGTTTCCACTTCCATGGTACCCAGTGCCAAAAATATCATTTGTGTGTAAGTGGAGTGATGAACGCTCTAAAAGCAAAGACTGTCTCTCTTCACATATTAAAAAGAAAAATAACTAAAATCTCACGTAGTGATATCAGCTGGCTTTCTTTGGCTTTAGTCATTTCTTAGCTGCTTAAAAGTTTGTTTCAAGACTATTAAATATTAGAGTGTTTTGTTAAATAGAAAAGCATATTTTTCAATGTTTATTCAATCATATTTCCTTTACAAAAAAATGCTACTCCTTTAATATTTCTGCAGAACCTGTTAAGAATTTAAATTTCTCTCCTATACTCTCCAATTTCATATCACTCTTTTAAAAACTTGATGCCTTAAATTAGAAGATGCACACTTTGCCAACAATAATAGAAAAACTTTCAGCTCTCCGGACTATTTCCTATCAAGTGAGTTCTCCAAACAGCAGTTTCATGTGAGTAGGCACTCTAGAGAGATTTCTGCTATTATCTCTGCTTTTTGTTTTCATAAATCTCTTGCCTTTTATATTTATAGTTTCCCCATATATTCTCCTGTCATTTCCCAAGTCTCCTCTACCTTCCTGAGCAACTGGTTCTCACCTCTCAGTTTTCTGTTTTGGATACCATCTATCTTGCACCCAGGAGGGCCTCAGTAAGTACCTGTTGAATAACTGAGCACACTGAGTTTGCAACATAGGAAAATAACACACGTGTAAGCCAAAAAAAAAAAAAAAAAAAAAAGAGTACTGCTTTCTTAAAGGTAGAAAGTGTATTACATGTTATATACCATAACATATTTTGAACCGTATGAACTTGATGAGGTAAAAGTCTTGTCTCTAATCATGACCTTCAACCATATGTTGTCAATTTCCCTATCCTATATATCAGATAGATATGGGAATAAATCCATATATGTCGGGTCACTTTCAATGATAATAATGGTATAATTGGTCTGATTCTGGTAATAATGATTTATGTCTGTAAATAAAATTCTAGACCAAGTCTAAACTTTGACTTTGTTTCCAATTCAAAGCCTTTCCTTTCCTCACATTGTCATGCCTCTTCCATCTGCTACTCCTCCTTCAGCTATCCCCTCTTTTTGCTCTGTCACTGAGGGCATTCGACATTTTCAAGGTGGAAAGATCAATTGGGTCTTATGTTCACATATACTCCAGACTCCTGGAGACCTTTGTTGGGCTTTCCTGCCATGCACTACTTGGATGGCAGCTCTGGGTTTGGCCCAGTTTCATGCAGCTCTGCATTCAACTGAGGGATGAGATGTCACCTCTTCTTCTCATAGGAACCCTACACTCTCTAGGGAGCTTTCTTGGAGCACCCTTCATGTGGCTTGGGGCAGGGGGTCGAGACTCCTTCCCCTCTCCTGTGGCTCAGCTCCCCAACTTTTTGACATCATTGTACACACTGGATATGACAATATTTAGAAGGCAAGTTAGGGTAAAAAGATAAGGCTACTTGAGGCTGTTGGGTGCAGTGGTTGGGCAATCAAGGCCCTGGGTGGCCTGCCCAAGGGCGGAGAGGACCAATATCTGAATCTACTCCCAACCAATTCTGGACCTTTTGAATGCATTTGAGAAGCTCAGTCCTACTACAGAGAAAGGGGGAACTACAGCATTCTCTCTCTAGCCTACAACTCCCTACACAAAGAATTCTAATCCATTCCTGAAAAATCTATCTTATTCTTCATATACCTGGAGGATGAAATTTACTAGTTAGGGGAAGAGCAGCCTGCCACTTGAGAGACAGATGTCTGCCTGGTAGTGGTTTCTCTGGTGCCTTGAGAACATGGGGAAATTTAATGTCTATTGTCCTCAGCACTGGGGCTTTAGAGCAGTGATAAGGGAGCAGGAAAAGTCCCTTTCAACACCCTGGGACACTGAAAGAGAAACTCTTATGGATATTTATGCCTACCTACATTTGTGTGGATTTCTGGAAACACAAATAGAGCAATAATTCCTTATTGTCTACGACCATACAAAAGGTGAATTAATTCAGACATTCTCCTAGTGAACATAATTTTAATGTTTTGTTTAATATTTGATATACTCATTTCTCATTGCAAAACAGCAGGGCCTGTGTACCTGTATGCATCCAAGGTAGCCATGCTGTGAGGCTACGTGAACGGCACTGTTGCCATCCTGGTCTACTTCATCCAACGAGATGCCCTGTTCTTGCATAAACTGAAGAAGCCACAGAAGAATCT
Organism: Homo sapiens; assembly: GCF_000001405.40. Classification (NCBI taxonomy): domain Eukaryota; kingdom Metazoa; phylum Chordata; class Mammalia; order Primates; family Hominidae; genus Homo; species Homo sapiens. The sequence continues at coordinate 122,440,632 of NC_000005.10, read as the reverse complement.
TTTCCTATAAACACAAAGACAGTTGGAATTCATGTAATATCTTGCAGAGAAGTTAGATAAAAAGACAGAGGAAAACAATACCCTAATTTGTGAAGCTTAGGTAAAACCATGCTTACCGTAGCAAGAGAAAATTCTCATTCAGATGTGAATTGAAAATCCTTGAATCTCTGACTGAAATGAATGAAAGAGGACGGCATAGAGAATTTTAAGAGCAGGAAGCTCCCTTGGAAGCGCTCTTATTTTACTTATCTATTCTATAGATGGGAAAATAGGTTTGCAGTAAGATTGAGTGCCTCATCCAAGGCACACAGCTAGACAGATCCAAAGTTGGAACTAGAATCCATGTCTTTTGATTCCAAGGCTCCCAAGGCAATGTTCTTGCTGCTGTGTTATACTGCCTGTAGGCTTCAAGAATGTTACCATAAAACCTTGAATTGTTGAGAATTAGCTTCTACTCTTAAGTTTATAATTCTTCAACCATGCCTTTATAATCCATACCTCCTGCAATCAACAGGCTTATAAAAAACAGGTAAATACGTTAAGTTGCCAAGTGTAAGATAAGTTCATTGAAATAAAACCAGGACCCTCTTGATTTTCTGACCAAGTGTTGGTGGTGTCTTAAGGTAAAGATTTCCCTTCTTTCATGTTAAAGGAAGGGAACCAAAAGCTTGGAACGCAAACCTTTCAAAAGCAAAGACATAGAGCAGTCACAGTATGTGTTGTCATAATCTGTTTGCATTTTACCCACTGAGTGTTTTGTGGTATTTTCATGTTATGCTTGGCCTTTGGAGAAAGCAGGGGGATGGGATTTCACTGTTTTAAAATAGAAGATTAAATATAAAGTTAAAAAAATATGAGAGTGGTAAAAACAACAGCATGAAGTTTAGTGGGTGGAATTTGACATTTAAAAAGATGATCATGTGTTTGAAATAACCTTGAACTTCTTTCTTCTTAGCCTTTTAAAGGATTTTTTTTTCCAGTTGTTTGCTCCGACTGCTCATGAACTTTTATACTTTTCTGGATTAAATTTGCCTTCATCTTCTGAACATGCCAACTAATCTGCTAAAGGAATGTTGGATAAAAACAGCCAAATCTTTTAATGTTTCACCCCTTATGTTGGGGAACAGGGCACTGTTTATGAAGGTATTTGTGACATCAGGGAGAGACTGAACATTTGCACCACACTTTTTCTAAATGAGCACCAGGGAGTAAGACCCCTAAAGAGCATGATGAGAACAATGTAATCTATGCCTACAGCCTTCTAAGAAGGCATCCCAGAAAGCAGGGTGAGTGTTAACTGCAAAAGGAGACAGACATGGTAGAAACTGAAACCCTCAAGGGTCCCTAGAGAATGAGGTAGAAGCAGAGCCTGGAGCTATGGCTGGGAGTTAGAGGTTGGATAAGAATATGCTGCTATGCTTAGTCCTCTTCTTCAAAGGCAAACCTAGAGAAAATTGGAGCTGATGTTTGGACCACAGCAGGTGATGTTTCATTTGCATAACGTAAAAGCAGTTCCTTTGTTTTTTTTCTAATTAGGTAGGGGAAAAACACTGGATTACTTTTAATTGGACATAGATGATTATAGCATACGATTCTTAACTCCTTAAAAATCTGGATGAATGGAAGTATCTCAGGATAAAAGACATAACCAACTGGTTGAGGTTAATGGCTCAGACATGGAGGCTGCAAGAGGATAGATTATGGTACCTCTACCAGTGAAACAGATGGACCCACCATAGGCAGAACAAATTCTCTTCAATGGGTCATTCTCAAACTTGTGGTGATTTGGTTTGCTTCAAGATATTAAATCATGGACTCCTAAACATGTGGAGGGGAGAGATTTTAAAGAATCATCCAATTCAAAAAGCCTTATTTTATAAGTCAGAAAACTGAGGGAGCGGACAATGATATACAGCAAGTCCTCATGTGATGGCATGGACAGATTCTTGGAAATTGCGACTTTAAGCAAAATGAAGTATAATGAAACTAATTTTACCATTTTAGTTCCTATGACATATTTCTGGTCACAAAAACAGCACCAAACTTCTAAATAAAGACCAAACACTTCTAAAGTGAAACATTGAAACAAATATGAGCTATACATACATTTAAGAAAGACTAATACAAACAAGTAAGATAATTATTTATCTGATCATTCCAGTCAGGGTTTGGGTGGCTGGAGCCCATCCTGGAAGTTCAGAACACAGGGCGGGAACCATCCCTGGACAGGACACCACCTTAACACAGGGTGCACTCACACCCACACACATTCACTCATGGTGGGACAACTGAGACACAGCAGTTCACCTAATGTGCACATCTTTGGGACGTGAGGAGAAACTGGAGTACCCAGAGAAAACCCACACTGAGATGTGGAGAATGAGCAAACTCCACAGGGACAGTGGCCCTGGCTGGGAACTGGTTTTTTTCTTCTCATCAACATTATAAGAAGATGATGTTGAAAGAAACCAGGTTAATGTAAGGACCTGCTGTATTCCTTGATATTCTAGAGACTTCTTTCTTTAGCAAGTAAAGCCTGGAGGAGTTCAAGATACTGAGAAGCATTTTACATGTATCTTCTTGTTGGATGTAATTCCATATTTCCAGGCCCCAATATTATGGGGGGTATGTCTATTCCACATACACAAAAAAATGCCCTTTATTAAAATCACAGTGCTTTAGTTTTAGTAGTGGGGTTATAGGCAATGGAATACTGCCCCTCATAAGAGTGGGAATGTTCCCATTGTGGAAATCTGTGGGGAGAGTCTAGGACCTCGGACTTTTCAGGGGCTTGATAATCTGGGAGAACAAGACATACATGGTCTGTGTGAGCCAAAAGTTACCTGGGCCCCTGAGGGGGCCTCCAAGTCAGGTTCAACCTATATTGTTACAATAACTTGCCTTTCCTTCTTAGGAAGGCATGGATAACTCTTCTTCCTTACAATGAAAGATTCTAACCAATTCAATATGCAAGATTTACATAAAGAAAGAACCATTATTTGACTGTTCAGAACAAGGTTTTGCCTAGCACCTCAAATCCAGTCTTGGGTTTTATGTTGGACAATTTAAGAATAAGCATAAGAATTTAAAATAAGAAGTGCGATTGGCCTGTCCACTGAGATATGACATGTAAACCAAAATCTTCCATTATACAATGCAGAGAAGTACTCCCCAAAATGACGGATTGACTATATACCTTGTCTTTTAACAACAGACATTTAGGGTTTTTGAGGGGGACATGGAGATGGCTAGAGTCTCTGGTTTTGGTAAAAGCATATTTAATATCTGCTTACAGACAAATCCTGCCCTGATTCTGGGGACCATGCCTGTGGAGATGCACAGTTCTACCATTCAAAATGACTATCTGAAAATACCTCCTAAGAAGGACAAAACTTTTCTTCAGCCAAGAGGGCACTTGTTAATATGATTAGATACATATGTAATGGTGTCCCCCTCCCCTCTTAGCCCCTCAGTGTGTGTTCTCTCAGTCAGTGTATCTACATGCAGGAGACATTAAAGGATGGATGTAACTTCAGACCTTCATTTCCCCATAAGTATTGCTTTCAGAGAATATCTAATGAAGTCACATGGATGAAGATTTCTGTATCATTTGTTTCCCAGAATGGCTCTCCAACTTACATTTCATCATCCACCCACATATCCACTTATCCATTCAACCTTCATGTACTGACTGAAAACTCCTCTTATATAGTTTTCCTCAGCAGTTTCCTCTTCTGGGGATTTTCTGCTGTTTTGGTAACCTGTTTTAATGTTGTATTTTATGTGTTCCTAAGGGCAATGCAAGTTGTTTAAAGAGGCAATTATCTCATGTGATTTATGAGATTTGCTGGACAAATTCCAATAAAAAATGTACTTGAGAAGTATGTCACAGGTTTATTGCTGGTATCAATAAAGTCTCTATAGTGTGTGGCAATCCATGTTTTAAAAGGAGTTAGCTTTGTGATCATAGATTATCAAATCTAATATGCCACCAATTATAAGATTTATTCCAGTTTTTGAGATGTAAAAATGTAAAAAATAAAGGTCAGCAATTATTTTATAATTTCATGTATTGTAAGATATATGTAGAATCAAAAGACGGTAAAATGTGAAATAAAGTGCACCTAAGAATTGATTAAATAGGTTATGGCCTTAATAATTCCTTTGCAAGTTTCTCCTATACATTACTAATGGTAAAATAAGTAAACTGAATAATATTGATAGGAATAAAAACAATAAGTTGGAGGAGATTCAATAGTGATAACAGCCGACATTCATCTAGTGCCTAGTATGGGTTGGGCAATGTGGCTTTTCTCACTTAGTCCTCAGATTAACACTGTGAGGAAGGTTCTATTATCTCCATTTTACATATGAAGAAACTGAGGTCCAGGGAGACCTATTCTTATATTTTCTCTCTTTTTAAAAAAAAAAAAAATTAAAATATCTAACCCATTGAACTAGTAAGTGGTAAGGTTAGGATGACAATGGAGACAGTTTGCTGTATGAACCAATGTTCTTCATGACTCTGTTTTCTGTCTTTTGAGTATGGATATCCACAATTGCGCATCCCCTCATGACCCCTGACTCTGTAAAGGACATGCTCCCTTTGTGCCCCTTGAGTCAAAGAAATCACAGTTAACTGCCTGTCAGTCTGTGGGTTTGTAGGGCTCTGTGTCAGTTATGCTTTGTCAAGATCAGAACTTGGAGAGCAGATGCGTGTGTGCTAATCAAAGACTCTTCTATTTTGCTTTCATCTGTGATCGCAGCACTTTCAGTACTGTTGACTTACTTCCCTATGACAGCAAAACAATAAAGGCAGGGGAATATTTTTCCTTTTTAAAGTAAATTGTGGAAAAACAACAATAACACAGCCTGCGGGAACACCCCCCTCACCAGCATGTCTACCACTGCTCATGACCATTTGCAAGAATTGCTGAGCCTTTTCTTTTTTCAAAAAGTGCCCTTAAAAAAATCTGTATTAGGGCAAATATTTAAACTACAGAAAATAATAAAAACAGTGTAGGTAAAGGTGCTGTTAGTAAATGTTCAATGCCATGATGCAGGTTGTTTTCGTAGAAGAATCTCATGACTAAAAGTCACATGAATGATTCAGAAACAAAAGGAATCACAGGTTTGATGTTGAAAGTAACATAGAGCCCACTGGACTAATAACCAGCGCAGAGCAGGCAGAGGCTCCCAAGCAGTGGAGGGCAGGAAGCTGTGCTGGGAGAGCCTGGATGAGACAATCTGAACCTTCATGTTTGAATAAAACAGCCCAAGTTACACAGGCAGTAGCTTTGAATTGAGATAATTCCATCTCAATTGTTTTGCCAGCAACATCTTTCTCAAGGGCCAGCAAAGCAGGCCTATCCGAGGACACTCCCTGCTTTTTCCTCGGGTGTCCCTGATGCTTCCACCTTCACATTCCCTGTGGCTAGTTCTGCCAGGTACAGTCAGGCAATGAAATAATTGCACCCTCTGAGACTTCATGTGTCAAGATGAAGAAAATCAATTCCTATCACCCAGGGATCTATCACTTCAGGAGAGCACTAAAAACTGTTGGCTACCCTGTGGTACTAGAGTCTTTAAAGGTAATTTTTACAAGAAAAACGACACAAATTAGGAGTCACGTGGAGCCCATTCTTTAGGAATCTATATGAAGGGCAGAGAGCGGCTAAAATAAACCAAGAGAGGAATTTTCCTCTGTACTATCCTTTCCAGGGGCATTTACTGAAGAAACAAAGCCAGGACACACTCAAATGCCTGCTGGATGTAGAAAAACTTGCATATGCTGAATCCATTAGAAAACCGTTCAATAACAGTCTTCCTTGTGAAAATATTAGGCTTGTAATGGTTCCAAGTTCAGCATCTCCACAGGTTATCTGTTACATAAGTGGCTGTGGCGGATGTAGGATGGCTGGACAGCATTTGCAGTTCTAATGGGCTTCTATATTTTCCAGTTGGGTAAGAATGATCTCCTAAGGGCACTGCTGGACTGCCCCCCTCAGAGCTGTATTTTAGGTCATAAAAAATGCATATCATCTTGAAATAACAACCTGAATATTGACACTAGCATGAAGCAAACGTTTGACACAGCTCTTCAAACAGGTCACCAATTTCCATATTTTCCTCTAGTCCCACCAAGTAAGTCACACTGTGACCCAACCAGTCCCAGAAAAAGGGCACTTTATTTTGTTCAGTCCCAATAGCTTCAAAATTATGAGAAACCTGCTGTGAGAGCTGAATAAAGAAACTGGCACATATAATCAACATTTCCCAAGACAAAGCATGCCGAATGCCCAATTATTTACTTAGAGTCTCAGAACAGCCCTGTAATTCTTTCCTCCTTTTCTTTGGCAAGCTCTACCAAAAGTGCAGGCAGCCTTTCCACTGATACTTAAAATTCCTTTTTAGGCTTTAATATAAGCAAATGAAATCGGAGACATGAAATAACTATTCACACAATTGAATAAAATTTTGTTTTAGACTCAAAATGATTAGGAAGATGAACAGTGATCAAATTCTTCCGATCATTTGAAAATCCTATTCTCTTCTTTGCCAGTAGAGATGTTCTTTGACTTACAATGGGGTTATGGCCCAATAAACCCATCCTAAGTTGAAAATATTGTTAAGTCGAAAATGCACTTAATACACTATAGGGTATTGATTGTTTACCCTTGTGATCACGTGGCTGTTGGGAGCTGCAGCTGCCACGGCCTAGCATCACAAGAGAATATTGTACTGTATATCACTAGCCTAGGAAATGATCGAAATTCAAACTTGATGTATGGTTTCTACAGAATGTGTATTTATTTCACACCACTGTGAAGTCCAAAAATCATAAGTTGAACCATTTTAAGTTGGGGAGCGTCTGCATAAGCAAAAAATGACATCCTTACGTCATGCCTTAATAACCAGTAATCATTTTCAGGACACTGTGGATGGGGACTAGTAAGTACAATGCACAAAGAACACAGAGTAAGTATAATATTTCAAAGACAGTGGCTTTTACAAATTTTAATGTAGGGCCTGCTCCTTTCTCCATTTCATAAATTTGGTACAGTTAAAAATCTCTTCAATGAGTAGTGTGAAGCACTCCAAATATTACAATGTATTGTTAGATAAAACTGCAAAAAAAAGTCTTCTTCAGCTATATCAGTGCCTCTACAAACAATCTGCATACATTTTCTATACAAATGGGGACAAAACAGGATCTGGCCCTGAAGTGAGAGAATCTGAGTTGAAATCTAGTCTTTGCTCTTACTAGCCATTAGACCATGTGCAAGTCATGTAACTCTCTTTCTTCAGTCTCCTTCCTCATCTATGAAATGGGGATAAACACAACAAGCTCTCACAGGGTTGTTTTGAGGAATAAATGAGAGAATGTACACAAAATCCAATGGCGTGGTGCCTGGCACACATAGGAAACATTTTACATGTGTATATAACATATAAAAAACATGTTTTTATGTAATATATATTATACACACACACACACACACACACACACACACACACACTACTAGAAGTTACCACAGCACAAAATAAACTATCCCTAAGCATGACTCCCACTAAAGAAAGACTGTGGTAATAGTGTTGTCTACTTTTTGAACTTGAGATTGTCTTACTTGAAAAAGCATAATCTCTTGTTGACAACGCCACAGTTTACTTCTACTAGGAAAGTTTATGAAGCCAGAGAGAATACAGTTAAATGCATGAGAAGCAATTTTCTTTGCCACAAACACAATTAAATCTATTTTAACACAGTACTATTATTTTTTAAGACTGAGATTGGTATTTTGTGGTTCCAGTTTTTTAAAAAGATAACTCACAGTCACATTCTCCAAAGGGAGGTAGTAATTTTTTTTTTTAACTGCAAACACTGGATTGTGATCTGTGTACACTAATTAATGTTGGGATTTCCTAATGTGGAAATTGATTGCAACTGAGAGCCATCTGGTTAGTGTGCTTATTCATCTTTAATTGAGTGAGACTGCCTTGATTAATGTCTTATAAAGATTTTCCTTTTAACTTTGGGTTCAAGAAAATGTATCATTGTTCCTTTTGATAAATGTTAAATGTGTTTACTGTAAAAAATTTGGAAAATACTGAAAAATTAAAAAAATAGAAAATCGAAGCCACTTGTACTGCTACTCTGAGTGATAACTACTATAAACATGTTGTGACATAATTTTTTTAGTATTAATTTCTATTTCTCTTTATCTCCAAAATTCAAAGTTGGTGCTAAATTATAGGACCAGTTTTGTATCATACATATTTGTTTAGTACTATATAATGAACATTTTCCCATAAAATGTCATCAATGGCTGCAGCTTCATTATTTATCCAATATCTGTCATGGGATATTTATTTAGGTTGTTGTAAACTTTTTTTCATTTAAAACAAAAATAACAACAAATATCATTGGTTATATACCTTTGGATACATTTTTGATGATTTCTTATGTTTGGATTTTGATGGACTAATAATAAAAAAGTAGGAAGATTATATGGTACACAAAGGGAAGATACTTAAAAAACTCCTTCATACCTGGCCATAGCAACCTGCGTAATGAATAAGGCTTGGAAAATCCTTAGAACAACTCAGTTCTGCAATGGCTTCTGTTTCGCTCACCATCCAGCGTACGCACTCCAACTGACCATTCTAGGTTTTAAAAAAGAAAGGGAGATGGAAATTCAAGGTAACTCAGGTTTGAAAAATACATTAAAGATGGTAATTTCACCAAGGAAAGAAATCATATAAATTTTGGCATTTATATCAGGCTTAATTTATTTATGATATAAAGATATCACCTATTATATTCCTGATCTGTGGATTTGGCTCGAAATCAATTGCAGAATTTTTATTTAAGTTCATTTTCATAATTGTAATCAGTTATTTTAAATTCACTTTAGTAAGGTATAATTTGTATACTATAAAATATAATCTTTTAAAGTATACGGTTTGATGTATTTTGACAAATATGTATACTCCTGTAACTATAACTTCACTCAAGACAAAGAACATTTCCATTATCCCCAGAAGTGTTCTAGTACTCTTTGGTTCTCACCCTCCTCTCATTTGTCCCAAACAACCACTGATGAGATTTCTGTCACAATAGATTAGTGTATATACTCTTGTGTCTGGCTTCTTTTACATAGCAGGCCTTTGGGACTCATCCAAGCTACTGCTTGTATCAGTAATTTATTCCTTTTCTATTGCTGAGAAGTATTTCATTGTAGAATTATACCACAATTTATTTATCCAATAACTTATTGATAGATATGTGGATTGTTTCCACTTAGGGGATATTATGAATAAAGTTGCTATGAATTTTTTTTGTGAATAGTGAATACATGCTTTTATTTCTCCTCGGTAAATAACGAAATTTCTGAGTCATATGGTAGCTGTATATTTGACTTAATAAAAAGCCACCAAACTAGTTTCCAAAGTGATTGCCCACTTTATATCACCACCAGCATCATATGAGCATTCTAATTGTTCCAAAACTAAGCCAACACACGGCATGGTCAGTTAATCAGTATTCTTCAATTAAACTTCATAAGATGCACAACTGTTTTCCAATCCCCAAAGAATCATATTTGTTAATGAAAAATCAGTAAACTCATATTTGAAATTAAAAATTTCATTAAGGGATGAGGTAAATATCTTAATTAGTAAAATATTAAACAATTTTAAAAAGGGAAATTATCTTTTATTATATACAAATAATATAACTATGGATACAGAAAGTAAAATATCCTCAACTTTTACATTTTTAAGGAAACCAACCCTCTTGACCTTTAGGATCAAGTAAAAGTAGGCAGAAAAAAAAGAGTAGGATTTTCTTATAGTCGTTTATGAGTATTTTTTACCCTCATAATTTTTAAAAAATTTCTCATAATTTTTAGAAACTTAAACTTCTCTCAAAAAGCAATCAAGGCATGTAAATAGCTACAATATAGTCCATACATGTCTGTAGAAAATGTTCCCTACCACTTATAGAGCAGTATGATATATAAACCCAGATACGTATCTCCTCGTGATTAAAACCCAGATTCTGATATGGTTTTAAATCTTAATCTGCCACTTAGTTGCAAGACCATGGACAAATTACTTTACCTATCCGATACTCAATTTTCTTATCTGTGAAACAGTGAAATAGCAGGGATAATAGTAACTACCTCATAGAGTTACCATGAAGATTAAATGAGATAAAGCATGTAAACTTACTAAGCAGACAATACTTGTTACCTTCTATTAGAATGCTCTCTTAGATTCTCGCAATAACTCTGTCAGACAAATCAAACATTCAACTGCCTTCCTAGTTTGCAGCTTGTGGGATTTTAGCCCAGGAGAAAAGAGGTATGGTTGGCAGGGAGCCAAGGGAGGCTTCACTGAGGGTAGCATTTAAATTAGTAGAATAGGATTAGTTTCTCTTTATTTTAGAATTCTATCATTTAACTGCTCAAGGGTAAAAATTTATTCTAAAAGGAGGACAATGAGGTAATCTGCTCATTCTTCATTTTATTCCATTTGGATAATGGAACTCCCAACTATTCACATGCAGATTCTATTCTCCTGAGGTATTTGCCCGAGAAGGTTGTTCTGAATGAGTTGGCTCCCTGCTCCTCTGGCTGGATCTGGCTGATGGTGACAGTGGCAGATCAGGAAAGGAAAGTGAGTTTGAGGCCCTCTCTATGGGGTTGCCATTGGCCATCTGAGTCCCTTAAAAAGCCCAAAAGTAAGCCAGTCCTTTGTACTCAGTCCTTTCTATCTCAAGTTCTTATAACCACTCCTTTCCCTTTCCCAGCTTTGGGGAGGTAACCGTGTCCTGGCTGTTAAATAAACACCCCAGGGTACTGCACTTTCCTTTACGAACCCCTTACCCTCAACCATCCTTTTATATATAATCCCTTAATTACAGACTTTCCTTAAATTTCGCAATTGGAGCATGCCAAATGTTTCCTACCAGGATTAAAAACGAAAAACCACTAACACACAAATACAATGTGCTTCATTCCCGCTAAAAGAAGAAAGGAATAGCAACCATATTGATCATTTACTAGGCAAGACGGTTTAAGCAAACTGGCATTTACACAGAACACAGAAATGTGAGGCAACATTTCTGATTTCTGATTTTAGTAATGTAGGTCTTCTATTTTTTTTTTTTTTGGTCAGTTTACCTAAATTAGGCATTCATTACTTTTTAAAAATATTTTCATAGAACTAAATGCTGTTTTATTGACGTCCTCTATTATTTTTCTATTTTTTATTTTATTTCTTTTTACTCTAATTTTTATTATTTCCTTCCTTCTGCTTGCTTTGGATTTAGTCTGCTCTTCTTTTTCTAGTTTTCTAGGGTGGAAAATTAGGCTATTAATTTGAAGTCTTTCTCCTTCCCACTTTCCTCTCCTCCTCTTTTAATAGAGGCATTTACAGCTACAAATCTCCCTCTAAGTGCTGCTTTAGTTGCATCTTGTAAGTGTTGGTATGTTGTATTTTCATTTTCGTTCATCTATAAATATTTCCTAATTTTCCTTGTGATTTCTTAACACGTTGATTTATTTTGACATGTAATTCTACATATTTATGAACATCCCAAATTTCCTTTTGTTATTGATTTCTAATTGCATTCTATTATGATCGAAGGACATAACTTTGCATTTCGATCCTTTAAAACTTATTAAGACTTCCATAAAAAAGGATGAGTTCATATCCTTTGTAGCGGCATGGATGAAGCTGGAAACCATCATTCTGAGCAAACTATCACAAGGACAGAAAACCAAACACCGCATGTTCTCACATATAGGTGGGAATTGAACAATAAGAACACTTGGACACAGGCGGGGAACATCACACACTGGGGCCTGTTGTGGGGTGGGGGGATGGGGAAGGGATAGCATTAGGAGAAATACCTAATGTAAATGACGAGTTAATGGGTGCAGCAAACCAACACGGCCCATGTATACATGTGTAACAAATCTGCATGTTGTGCACATGTACCCTAGAACTTAAAGTATAATAAATAAATAAATAAAAATAAAAGGTAAAAAAAAAAAAACTTATTGAGACTTGTTTCATAGCCTAACATTTGGTCTATCCTGGAGAATGTTTCATGTGTACTTGACAAGAATGTTTTCTGCTATTGTTGGGTAGTGTTCTATTAGATGTCTGTTAGTTCTAGTTATTCAAGGAGGCAACACTTAAACAAAATGCTGTTAGAAAGGCAGAAGGAAATATTATATCACTATTGTGAGTTTGAAACCAGTATTACTTGCCATAAATATAAATACTAAGAAAACAAACAAACAAAAAATTCTAGCAGGAGATTTTTGCCTGCCAAAGTCTATGGGCCTGGGGCCACTTGCTGTATTTAACATACAGCAAGGGGGTATCAGTAAGATTATGTGTTTGAAGTCACGTTATATCCAGATGGACACTTTGCTTTTTGGCTTAATCAAAAGGACTGAATGAGAAGTGAAAAGGGAATTAAGATTATTTCATTCCTAGACTATTTAAGTCTTAAAATAATTACTTCTTCTGTCCTGTTTTAGAAAACAGACTGCTCTCACCTTTTAGAAATATTTCTTTCCAATTACTTTGCTTAATCATTTCTAAAGAAAACTCAATAATACCCTGAACTCCCACAGTATGTACTCTTGGGTATCCCAGAAGTGGTGAATAAATTCTGTATGTAACTGGCAGAATTTATTACGTTCCATTCCAGGAGTTTAATAGTGAGGGAGATGTTCTTAAGTCCTGATATGACTTCAAAGCCCGTTCCCAGGTAAATCTTTCTATTTGATACCTTATCCCTGACTCTGCTTCCTGTTAGCCAAGTCATATTATCTTAGCAACTTCTGTACATTTGTACCAACTTTGTCTTTCCATGACAGCAGGGCCCTCAAAACTGTGTTTAATGAGGTGAAACACCACTAGTTGGTTACTGGTGTTCAAAACAAGGTCCTAAAACAAAATGGTGACTCTTTAGGACTCTCTCAATGTCATCAATGTTCATCAAAATACACTGAATGGACTGAGACAAAATATGCGTCAGGACAGATTTCTAAAGAGGGAAGCACTTGTTATAAAATATTTGTATTTACTGCTTTTGTAAATTCTAGAATAAAGGAATAGAACATTCAAATCATTTTCTGGAAGTTAAGTATGAAAAGCCTGAGACCTCAAACCTGTAAAAGTTTTTGAGTCTTATGGGTTTGAAATCTTTTTCATTAAAATGAAAAAAAAAAAAACACTGCTGTTTAAGTTTGCACACTGATGGTATGATGGCAATCTTATGTTGACTGCAGGAATATAAGAATGAATTGAAACTTAATATGGATATCATAGAAGGTGTTTATGCTGAAGATTGGCGTAACAACCACTAAGTTTCTTATGTACCTTCTACTCAGAGATTTTTAATCTATCAAAACAAGCCCTAGGGCATACAAATTAAAAAAAATTATTTTCTTCTACCTATATAAATAATCTACCATTAGGAAGACTAATGAGAACTGTATTTTATAAACACTAAAACAGCAAGGCAAATCTTAACACTCATTAGCACTGCAAGAATATTTATCACTGACACATGCTCATTGATGTCTACAGAACTCTGTCACAGGGCTATATCCCAAATTTGCCATCCTATACTTGTGTTACTGATAACTTACCAGTCTTATCCACTAGCAATAATATTAGCTCCTTAAGAGTAGGGACTATGACTTATACAAATTTGTATTGCCAGCCACCAAACGCAGTACCTGGTAAACTTGGTACACTTTGTTAAGCTCAACTATATTAAATCTCGACTTTACATTTGACTTATCTTTCTTCATGATAGCTGCCTGTAGTTTAGTTCTATTTATCTTTCTTCATGATAGCTGCCTGTAGTTTAGTTCTATTTATCTTTCTTCATGATAGCTGCCTGAAGTTTACTTCTTAATTCAACATCATATCACTTACAACCAAAGCAAAATAATACCTACCAGGGTCATAGATTTATTTTATTTAAAAAATTATCTTCTATGCTAGATTTGAAGTATACCTTATTAATTACCTTGCTTAACCGAGCAAAATTAAATAAAATGGAAATTATTTTTTAATGTATAAAACTTTGCTGAATCATCAAATTAAAAATACAAAAAAATCAGGTTTGCGTAAAAAATATATTAAGGTAGAACAGCAGTTAATGGTTTTTTAAATGTAACGTTCTTTAGTGAATTCACATGTAGGTTTCTCTAACAAATTCCCCTCACCAATTTCAATATAATTAAATTTATAAAAATTATGATTATTCAGCTTTTAGAAGACACAACTATTATGTAAAGCAAAGCACATATGCAAAAATACAAGATGTATTATATTTCCCTGAATGTCACTTCTGGCTTTTTAATAAATATGATTGGATTCTACATTTATTTGCCAAAGATCTTTTAGGTAATTTTAGTTGAATAGCTAATCTTCTAGTGATGTGCTATATTTTGCAGAGGCACTTGCTGCAGTGCTATAAAAGTCCATGTTTCTTGTCTCACAGTTTCTAGGTTTTAACTCTATTCCAGTCGACATTAATTTGTGTAGTTTTTGGTAGCGTACTGTGCTCTGCAAGAGCTAAACTCAAACTCGGCACTGATACTCTAAAAAATTCTTGATACTGAAGACACTCAAACTTCAGATGTGATCCGTTAAGCGCCCACTTTGTGATCTGAAATACTCCCGAGTGCTAGCATCCTTAAAACACACCTTCCCCACATTCGTCTTGCTCATTATTGTCATATTAGGAAGAAATGATAGTCTTTGATAGATCCAGGTGTGGTTAAGAAGCTTAATTGCAATCCCTATGAATAACAAAAGTTGTTAGAACTACAACATATCATTTTCCTTTCTCTTTAGTAGCAGATTGACAAAAACTGGGAATTAAGTCTCAAAATCTCAAAGCAGTGACTGAAATGATTACTCTCTTAAATGCAATATGTTCATTTGCTCTTTGCTTGACAAATCACTCTCTTCTCTCCCTTCCAACACTTTAGCTCACAAGGAATCTTAAAAAATAGAAATCCAGCTTCTAGCTGTGGAGGTTCCAGCCCCCAACCAGTCACCTTAATGGCCAGGCCTGCTGGAGTCAACTTCTCAGTGTTGCGCTCATTGAGGCAGTCTTCTCCCATCAAAGAAGTGAGGTGCTGTAGACACTCTGCGTGTCCCTGTGACGCCGCAATATGTAATAGATTGTTTCCATTTTCGTCGTGAATTTTGTCTAGATTGTCTGCAGCTAGGTGTGGCTGTATAAATAGTAAGATTAGAAAACCCAAGTCAATAAATCAGAGCAAGACCCTGTAGGAGTTTTTCTCTGGGCACTGGAAAGAAGAAATGAGCTTATAGAAGCTCTGGTGGCAGCCTTGGGGATCTAATAAATCAGTTTCTTGCTATTATTCTTTGTTACAATATGCTTTAGAAAATGAGTTCTCGAGAGACAGATCTTCATACGAGACATGGCAACAGGGCTAGGGCCAATGAGGTGTGGAGGCTTCAAGTTGGCTTTCTAAAGAACTATAATTACATTTACAGTAATTGTCAGGTTCCCTGTCTGTCTCCCCTACTTGATTGTGAAGTCCTTGAGGGCTGGGGCTGGGTTTTATTCCCTGTTCTATGTTTGTTGAATGAATGAGCTATTTGTCTCTACCTGTTTATTTTGCCTTGAATTGTAGAGAACTGGCTATGGCAAACAACATGATGACTGCTGCTACTAGTGCTCTCATAGGTACCTCTAGACACTGTCATCAAACAAACTCCTGGGGGTATCTGGAGGCTACATGGCTTTGGTTTCTCATCTCTAGTGAAGTTTTTGTCCCTTGACTATGAACTCGTTGATAGAGATTGTTGGGTGAGCTAAGAGGTGTTTTTAGCATTTGGGAAACATGAAAACATGAGAAGGACAAAAGAAAGGAATGAACCAAAGAGAATTAGGGGGAAGAGCCAGGAAAATGGAAAAGACATTTTCAGGAGAAAAAATACTACTTTATTTCATAAAATTATTCAATTATATTACCCTATCACAATAGTATTTGTGATAATAGAGCAAGTACATTGTACTTAAGTATGCATGGCTTTATACTAAGTAGAATCACATTGCCAAGATGTGATGATTTTCTTGAATGAGACTTTAATTAGCATCATAGTACGAGCCCAGGCTTGCTACTGTTTGATCCAAGTCTGGAAGCCAGAAAAGAACAATGTAGGCAGATGGAGTGCTATTTAAGTTTAGCTCTCTCTAAGCCAAAGCAGAACAGACTTTTCTTACATCATGTTACTCTGTGTCTAGAGTCTTTGGAAAAGCTTCTTCATGCTCCCTAGACATGCAGAGCTGGAAGTAAGTAAAAACTCCACCTGGGTCAGAGGGCAATGAAGCCCTTGGGTAAGCTTCTATCTACAAATGCTTTTCAAACAACCTGGTCCAATTCTTCTGAATAATGATCAGGACAAAACAGAAGACCCTCTGTTTACATGTCTGGCAGGTCCACCATCAGCCAAGAATTGACATCCTCACAAATAGCTGCGTGAGAGCACTGGGAACCATTTGAAAAGCAAAAAGAAAGACATTGAGATTCAAGTTAAAGAAAGTGCCGGGCTCTCTTTGAGATTAAGAGTCTTCAGTTGAATTCATGCAAAGTTAAAATGAAATAACACTCCCTCTATAGTTATTTGTTTTCCCTGTATTAACTTCATAACTTCTTATTTTAAAACTCAAAAGGTCACATCTCCCAACTAAAGCCACAAGTAAAGATTAAGTAAAAACCAAAACAAATGCAGCATCGTTCTGTTACTAACGAATGCAGTTTATTAAAAAGGAGTCTCCAGTCTATTGACATGTATACTGAACTAGATTATACTTACCAGGAGAGAGATCTGTCCTTCTTTAACAATGTTCAAGATGCTTTTCACTTTTTTCAGATACTCACTCCTTTCTTCTGGGCCTTGGGAGCTGGTCCGGTTTAGGCCACTGACCTGCTCTTCTGGTTTGGATTCTGCTGCTGAGGATTGTAGGTGGAAGGCCCTGAGCTGGCAGTCTGGTGTTGTCTTCTCAACTTTTCGACCATGAGGATCACTAAATGTCTTGTTTAGGAAGTCTTTACTCTGGTTTTCAGGCTCATATGCAGAGCCACATTTAACCAGAGGAGGTGAGATCTCGGTTTCTTCAGTGGACAGCTTGTGCTGGTCGTGGATGACAGCTGATGCTTTTCTCAAGTGAGGGCTTTTCACGGGAGAAAGAACACAAAATGGTGCCATGTTGGATGATGAGCTCTCAGAACTTCCTGTAGAGCAGGCTTTGCCAGAAAGGCCATTGATGGTTGTGCATAAGCCCAAAATTCTTTTTTCTGAAGTCACCTTGGTAAAAGAGGCAAGCTGCTGACTGGATTTAATATAAGGCACATCCAGAATCTCATCCATGTCGAGGTCGTAGTGCTCCAGTTCACCCAGCGATGTGCTGGGCTCAGAGCTCTTACCTGGTGGGCCGCCCACTCCATCTCCAGGGCCAAGCTCCTGAGGCTGGGGGCCCAGGTCAGACTCACCCCCTTTCTGGTACTCAACCACTTTCTGGTTCTTTTGGTCATCACTTTCATTGTTCTCCAGAGTCTCTGGCTGATGTTTCAGTGGCGAAACCCGCTTCACTGGGCGGAACTTACTGTACACATCAGCGATTCCTGTGGGCTTTTGCGTGTTTGTAATAAGAGTTGAGATGCCACAATTCCAGCTAGAGCTAGAAACTGTTTTTAAAAAATTAAAATAGAAAGCTATTAATCTGGAATGCTGAACACATCTTGGCTATGCAGGTAGATGTGGTTCATTCACATTATGTTCAAATTAAGGTTCTGTGTGTGAGGATGACTTAGAGTGCACATCAATAGAACAAAAAAAATCATACTTACCATTGGAAAACAGTGAATGATCAAAGAAGGTTATAACACAGTGACTCAAAATTAATTAAAGTAATAATAATGGTACAGGTAAATGGCTAAGGAAGCAAACCCAGATAGGTATTTAGGTTTATTCCCTGGATAGATCTACCTCCCTGGCAATATTTTTATATTTGTCACCACCCTGAAAAACAAGATTAGAGAATAAGATCTTCAGTGTTAAATAAACTTCCAAACTGATTTAGGGAGAAAAGGGACGTATGCACACATGCACACACATTAGCGTGCATGTCCACATACACCCCTAATGCACAAGAAGTCCCATGAAAAGAAGTGGCAAATTATTTAATATTGAGCAAATTCAAACTATGACCTCCTTGAGTGACTCCCTAGGTGTGCCATTAAGTGGATTAGGGAAAGAATAGGAAGGAATACAGTGCTCAGGAGTTGAAAGGACTGTGGGAGAGAAGACATAGTTGAGTTAACCCCACCTTGGTCAAAGTACCCTGGTCAACTATCATGCAGCAACATTTCATGGTGCTTTCTGACATATGACACAGTGACAGAATGCACTAACACTTCACAACAGAACATGTTCTTTAGGATTCAATACTGCCCTCCATTGTTGAGAAGGCTGGAAACAAACAGGAGAAGAAAGTTCTGAAAAGAAAATGGGTCAGGCAGAGTGGTTTTTTTTTTTTTTTTTTCTAATTTCTGTGCAAAGTTTGGATAAAGATTGTGTGTTGGTTTGCATTTGAGTAAGTGTCTGGTTGCGATAGAGTAGAAAGTGAAACAGCCAGACACACCTGGAGGTGAAAGATAAGAGCCATCTCTCCTGGTTATGAGAGGCTGCCTGGTGCCTTCTCTTGAGGCAAGCAGATGGAGCAATAACAGTCTCCTCAGATATGATTATACTGCTTCCTCCCTGGGCCACTCCACTGCTAGATAAAAGATGACCCAGTACCCTTGGAAACTTGCAGGCCACTGATTTATGGGTTCCTAGTTCCCTGCCATGTAGTTCCTATCATCCCCCATCAAAGGATGAGATTTCAGGGGGCATGCCCTACAACTAGGGACTTTCCATTTACCGCTTCTCTTCTGAAACAAGTGGGAAGCATGTGTATGTGTGTGTTCTTTGCTACTGGGAACAACCAAAGAAAAAAAGAACATGAGATGGGTGTATACTCACATCTATAACTTCTGCCATAGCCTCTGGCTATGACTGATTCTTAGGGTGAAAGTGGAACATACATTATTAAAGTTCCCTAAATTTAAGCTACTGGTCATTCTTCTTCCTGCTGGGATATGTTCTAAAAGGATTCAGAGAAGTTCTGGAACCAAGCTAACGGGATGAGAGTGAGTGCTCTGAGCCTGAATGCTATATAACTATCAGTGAGTTCTTTCCCTGAAATTGACCACAGTTTTGCATGAGGTTTCCAAGGGTCTGCACTATGCAGTCCACTTCTCAGACCTTTCTGGCTCTGACATTTTAGAATCTAAGAAGAGAATACTACGAGCTGTGGAAGGAGGGCTCGATTCTCTCCAATAAGTAATGTAGAAGAGAATGTTCCAGAAGGGAAGGAAGGTATCTAGATGGTCTTAGGCTGCTGCTTTTCTTCCCTTTTGCTGGCTTTAGTTCTCAGTTGTACACAGTGCTTGGCATAGATCAGACAATTAACAAATGCTAGTATGTGAATTTGAATCTCACTTTGCACAACACATTAAATCTTCTAAAATGCACAAAGTGCATCCTTCTGAGGGATTTACAGTTTAATTTCACAGGGGACAAAATCCTGTTATAAACTCAGTGGAGTGATAATCACCAGTAAGAGATCAATTTGCTAAAGTTATTTATGAAATGTAAATATGCAAAGGCAAAGACTAATTACAGTTGGTCTCATAAATTTAAGAAGTTTTCTATCTTTTATATGAACTTTTCTCTCTAAAAATATAAAGCCATGAAAAATTAATGACTGCCAGAAATTTCTGCCAAGTCTTCTCTCCTCAAGAACACATGGTTACTTATTTAATTAAAACAGCAGATAGTGGACATAGAGTTTATAAGATGCAAATATGCCTTTAATTTTATTCATCAACTTTCGGCAAGGCTTTAAATAAAATGGAAAAAAAAATATATATATACTCATAGACATTTCTGAGATACACTCTTATTACTGAGTATATTTAGTAATATTTTGCCAATTACCTTGATTTCTTTGGAAGCTCTAGAAAATGTGCATCTCAGAATGTAATAAAAAATTTTAAAGCCACATAACTTAGTAGGTCAATACAACGAGTGCATTGTACCAATATATTTATGTATTATATAAGGTCGTAGGTTCAAAGGGCTACTCTTTTATGTTGGCTTTATTTACATGTGAAATTTTTTCCAAGTGATACAGGGAAATGGATACCATATGTTTCCCAGCTGTTTTGTTCTGACAGGAGCCATTAAAAACGCTCTATGGAAATGAATTCTGTCTGGGTCTTACGAAAACACGTCTTTTCACAGAAGGATCTAGAAACTGAAGAAGGAGTGCCAACATTTTGGCTTGTTGTCCCTCTCCTTCTTCAAACCTATGGCTCTTTTTGAGGCTGTGAGTGAGATCTGTGTTTTCTCGTCTATGTCTTGATTGCCAAGAAAAGACATCCCAGGAATGAAAAATGGATTATTTCACAGGTTTTCATTAAAAGTCTCCAATGTATTGCTATATCATACACCTGGATGGGAAGAAGGGCAACTTTGTGCTATATACAAAAGACAAAATTCAATTCCTTTATTGCTGCTAAGCTCTGTAATCATGTATTTTAAGAATAACACAGAAGAGGGGCTATTAATGACTAGTAAGATTTTCACTCGCAATTATTTAAATCTATCAAAAATTTCACTCATACTTTTATTTTATTGCAATATAATAATAAATTTCTTACCATACATGGAAACAAAGTTTAGACTTATTTTGTTACTAGAAAAATTTTGAGGCTAAATTTGCTTTTTGGAAATTATGAATAAATTCTTTACATGTCAGCAAAATTTAAATCCCCCCAAATTTTATCTATTTTAGATTTGTACAAGTTCCATGAGAGCAGAGTCTGTGTCTAATTTATCTCTCTATCCCTTAAAGAACCCAGAAAATTGCTTTACATAAGTAGATTCATAATGACTTTTTGGTTGAATGGGCTCATTTTTAACATCTTACAGAAGTAAACATGCCTAATAAGCCTTAAACCTGCCTATCTGATTACACCACAGATTTTCTAAAATGGTCAGTAAGTAAACAGACATGTATTTGCTGCTGATGTATAGGCCACAATTATCTCTTCGGATCTAGCTGACACTTGGAATGCCACTTAGCTTTAGCAAAGTATTTGCCTGCTGACTGTCCACACCCATCTATTGATTGAACAAACATGTGGTGCAGTCTTAGAATGTGCAAGGATTCCTGATAGGTGGCCTGGTCTGATCCAAATGCCTCATCTCTCTCCACCTTTGCCCACTCCCTCCCCTTCCCCTTTTCCCCTAACACATCCAGATGCTACTCCCCTTCCCAAAACATATCCCTTGTGATCGTGGCCTACATGGTGACATGAACACTTATGCAGTCTCCTAAGCAATCTATCTCCAAGGCATCCTTGACTATTCTCTTTCCTTGACCCTTCTCCTTCCTTGACCCCTGCCCTTCATCGCTCAGGCACCAAGTCCTGCTGTGTCCTTATCCTCAATCCCTCTGAAATCTGGGCCCTCTTCATCATCACTAAACTGGCTGGACCACACTGGCATCCTCTCCCACAGTCTCTGCAAGGTTTTCCTGGCTTCCCCTGGTCTCTTTTTTCAGTCCTGAGTTAACCTTCTTCAGTAAGTCTGACTTTGTCACCCAAAATCCACTCAAATATTTCAGGTAGCCCTGTACTAAACAATATTTCCCCATATGTGGGTGCATATCCCTGCAATATCTAAGAGGCACACAGGAACCATGCTAAATACCCCTGATTTACAGAGTGAGAATGCTATTGGCCTTTCAAATTCTCTTTTTTCTTACTAATTAATATAAGGAGACTCATTTTGGTGCTAGAATGAATTTAACTCCTTTCCAAAACTTACAATTCCCTATTCGAAAAATGAGACCTCAGGCCTCAGGCTCAGAGACGTTCATAAGCAAATAATGAAAGGAATGTTTTATGTTCAATTTATCACATTCATTTTAATGATGAACTTGAATTTATTGCAAGTGACCATGGCTTTCTATTTACAACCATAGTGACATGAAGTTTCCTTTAAAAACAAATATGTTTGAAAGTCAGGTGTTTTAGAAAAATATATTAAATAAACATAGTACAGGTGCAATACAGGTAAAGCAAAAATAACAGAGGTAGACTTGGGATATAACACATGTTGTGGAAATGATACTTAAATTACTAGGTTTGTGAAACTTTGGCTTCCAGGATAACAGCTAAATTCTTTAGCATGGTATGTAGCAGCTCTTGTATTTGTTTTCTAATTTGCCTTATCATCTCAGCACTCATGATTCCCAAATCACTAATTTTTCCCTGCAGCTCCACTGCTAAATTCATCCTTTCTGGATATACCATACTCTCCCTGCATTTAAGCTTATTCTTACTTTCCTACAATGCTCTTGGCTGTCTTCTCTGCCTGAGACTCAGGCTCATCTCACAAGATTACACTCAGGGGTTACCTCCTTTGTGCAGTTCCTGTGACTCTCCTAGGGAATAATTGCTCCTTGCTTCCCAGTGCCCTGATAATACCTGCACATACCTAGAGTTGGGCATTTTTGAAATTCTGTTACAACTCTTCACTCATATACCTGTTTCACCTTCCCTCCTGAGAACCCCTCAAGGGCAAAGATAGCCTGAGAACCAACTTGTGTTTATAACCAGCCCTTTGTCTAGCAGAGTGCCTTGAAGATACTGGGGACCAATGACTTAATCTTTCAATGAATGGATGAATGAATAAAAGGGGAGGTGGGGAGGGAAGGAGGAAGGGGGAAGGTAGAAAGGCAGAATGGAAGGAAGAAAGGAGGGAAGGAAGGAAGGAGGAAGGAGGAAGGAGGGAAGGAAGATGCCAAAACCAAAGAAGAAAAGTATAGTAAATAAATATGAATTCTGACACAATGAAGTCACCTTGCCACATTTCGGGCACACTAATTGTGCCAAATACTTTCAAAGATAGTGTTAGTAAGCTCTTGAAAATGTTTAGACAAGATGTGCTGCATATTAAAACACTTTCATCTATTTCCTACAAAACATTCCTCAGTTTCCTCATCTGTAAAATGAACGGGTTAGACTATAAGATTGCTAAAACCCGATCCACCCCTAAATTTCTATGACTGTATGGAATGTCTACAAATAACAGAGCTCTTTATTCTGAATGACTCACTATGAAACACTATAATTTCTCTGGATCTATGTCTTTCACCAGATCCTCACAAATTTATAATTATGAGGCTATGCTGATTGCTGACACAGAGCAACTCTTTGGCTCCTAAGACTGATAAATTAGTATTTTCTTAGGAAGATAATGGACAGTTTGCTGTTGCAACAGTGGATTCAATTTTCAGGACCAAACGTCAATGCTGGCTCCCAAAATGCCTATTTATTTTACCTCTAAATAGAAAGTTATGTGTCCGTATTAGAAAATTAGCTTGAGACATCAAGAATAGAAAGAAAAGCGGTATGATTTAGGATAAAGTAGTGTTCCCCTACTGTTTTTCATTAAAAGTTAAATGGATTTTATTTTCCATGAGGAAAAAAGGGGTCAGCTTTAGCTATAATTGCCTTCAAATGTACACAACAATATACCTCACATCCATAGCTACTGGAAACCTAGGCGCCTTCAAGGACATACTTTTGAAGTTCTCCAACATTCCATTTCTTTCCATTTTCACAGCAAAAGGAGGGGCATTATGAATGATTGGGAGTATTAATGCTAGAGTCAGGAGTTTGGTTAGTCCTATGTAAGGTGAAGTCTGTACTGCACCCACTTACTGCAGACACCTCAGGCTCTGTAAGAAATGATGACAGGTGGCTTATCCCATGTTCTGACAGTAGGAAGAAGGCATGGAGTCTGAGTGAGGACGACTTGCTGGGTGCTCTTCTGTGCTGTCCTGAGAGATGAGACCATGACCTGATCAAAGTTAAGGCTGAGTCAACTCTGGATTTGGAGAATTGTGATGGGGCACTGTCTTGGGAAAAGCAAAAGTGTGTGTGAGGAATGAGTGTTTCTGGGATGCTCCCTTCTGGCTGCTTGCTCATCCTTTTCAATGATGCTACAGACCCTCTAGTAAGGGTAATGTGAGGCTGAGGAAGGAGGACAGAAGGCTTGTTTATTATAGAAATGCCAGCCAACGATCTATCCACATTAGGGCATTAAAACACTGTGGGGAAAGCGTCATTGATTTGGGTTCTAAACTTTCTGTCTTTAAGTGGCTACTGATATCAAGCAGCTGTCGTTGAATGTGTCCGATTCATGTTTTATTATTCCCAGCTCTGCCCAGAATTGTCAAGACCTGCTCACATAACTTTGCACCCTATTTGCACCCATTTCTTTGTTTTAGTGACAACTCATTGAAATACTCAAGCCCTACTACCCTGGATAGAAAAGATACTTCACCAAAGAGGCATATTCCATCACGAAATCAGACTCAATATTTTGACAACTTTAAACCTTTGGGCTTCAAAAGTACAGTTTCCATAGAACAGCAATTGGTGGGGTGCAGAAAGTTACGTGGTCTTCGCATTATTGTGTCATCTATAAAGTATGCTGACCTTCACTTCGACACTAGCAAAACCTCGGGAGTGGATTAAGTTTTGTGTTCATTCCAGGTCCATTTACCAGGTTTCCTTTCCTTCTTTCCCTCCCTTTCTTGAGGAAATGTAGGGAGAGATACATTTCAAGGGACAGTGAAAGGCTCACCATTTGAGATGCTCTGGAACAGGGCAGAGCTGTGAGCAGGCTCAGTATGGCTTCTGGCCGTGCAGCACGCACACATTTTAACTGAAGGTGGCGATGTTTTACAGGGCTGATCTACCGTCAAGGACAAAGGACTCTGAGTTACTGCTCCTTGGTAAGAGAGAACAGGAGGCTGACAGCACAGGCTGAAAAATCCCTGCCCTCTTCTCTCCATTTCCAACTGACAACTTCCAAAATGCCTGCTGATTTTACTTCTAAATATGGACTATGTGTCCACATTAGAAAATTAGCTTTAGACACCAAGACAACAAAGAAAATGGGGTATGTCTTTAGGGTATAAGAGTGTTCCCTTCTTGTTTTATTGTTGCTAAAACTTAAATGCATTCTATTTTCCACAAGAAACAAAGTGGTGAGTCTGTGAAAACTGGTCTTATTTTAAGAAGGACACACTTTAAGGGGAGGAGAAATGGAAGACCCAGTGCTGGCCTGCAGCCTACTCTTGCTCTTGGCAGGTCTGTGGGTCTGCCCATGCAGGCTCCTACCATGGCCTGAACTCTCAGCTACAAGACTAGAGAGAGAACAGGCAGGTGCAGTGGCATACAAAGTGGGAGGAACAGCGGAAAGTGGCTCGCCCTGGGATTAATGAATGGCAGAGCTGCTGCACCTCCGTCTTCAGGTGCAGGTCACCATACACTTCACAAGTATACTATAAAGAGTGAAAGAAAGATTTAAACCTATTTTAAGAATTCCACAAAGCAATATTTCTTATTTGGAATTTTCCTAAAATGTCCTCCACTTAATACTTTAAAATTGCCGATACATTTGTGTTAAGGCTTTTTATGTTTCTGAGTACAAGGCAAGTGTATGATTTCATTAGAGATTTCCACAACTCTGGAGGATGGAAAGGCAGTTCTTATGTATTCTTACTTGGAAATAAATGAGAACTCAGAGAATTTTAAGTATAATGTGGAAAATGACATAGCATGCTGACTTCTCAACTAGGACCAAGGTTCTCTGACTCTAACTTTCTTCCCGTAACACTGGAGGACTGCCTTATTGAAATTAAATTATTCCCTAAAGATATAATTCACATTTTTCTCTATTTGGGTCACCTATATGCAATGGAATCCCAGAAATCAGTGGTCGTACTCATTTTGGATTCACTCTAACCTAAATCCAACACTGTGTTGTCTGTCTAAATTTTGGTAACCATTTACTAGGAACCTTCTGTGTGGGAGCAAAGTCAGAAAAGTAATTTATGGCTGGGCAAGGTGGCTCACGCTAGTAATTCCAGCACTTTGGAGGCTAAGGTGGGCGGATCACTTGAGGTCAGGAGTTCATGACCAGCCTGGCCAACATGGTGAAACCCCATCTCTATTAAACATACAAAAATTAGCCAGGCATGGTGGTGCATGCCTGTAATCCCAGCTACTCAGGAGGCTGAGGCAGGAGAATCGCTTGAACTTGGGAGATGGAGGTTGCAGTGAGCTGAGATTGTGCCATTGCACTCCAGCCTGGGCAACAGAGCAAGACTGTCTCAAAAAAAAAAAAAAGGAAAAATAATTTTTAATGACTTTTCTTGGCTGGGCGCACTGGCTCAGACCTGTCATCTCAGTGCTTTGGGGGGTTGAGGCAGGAAGACTGCCTAAAGCCAGAAATTTGAGACCAGCCTGAGTAACACTGAGATCCTCATCTCTACAAAGAATTAAAAAATTAGCCAGGCATGGTGGCTTGCTCCTGTAGTTTCATCTACTAGGGAAGCTGAAGCAGGAGGACTGCTTGAGTCCAGGAGTTGGAGGCTGTGGTGAGCTATGATTGTACCAATTCACTTCAGCTGCGGCGAAAGAGTGAGACCTTGTCTATAAAAAAACAAACAAAAAAATCCCCCAACCTTTCTTAAAAACAGTTGAGTGGAAGGGTTTTCTTCCTCTTTATTTTTAGCAGCATTAGCCTAAATTTAGTCATTTTATCACCGGTAATCTGTTCTTACAGCTGCTAATTCCTTCAACTGGCTAAGGGTGGTGATCCTTTTTTTTTCTTTTTTCTTTTTTTTAACTTAGCAAGGAAAGCAGGAATACAAAGCATGGTCAGAGTGTTAAAGCAATTGGTAATTGGCAGAATGCTATGGTACTCTTAGACAGTTCATTCATTCAACAAATATATATTGAACGTCTCTATGCACATGTCACTAGGGGTGCAGGAGTGAATGAAATAGATATAATCCTGCTCAGACAATGATGCAAGTACACAGGTAAATAAAAAAAATTACTTAATGTAAACTGCTTTGAAGAAATAAGGAGAGGACTGGAATAGAAAACAGATGAGAACCTCATCAAGGAGGTGACATTTAAGCTAAGATCTGGAGGATGAGAAGAAGCCAATTACGTGAGAAACTGGGAGATAATATAAGAGGAAAGATAATTTTATGAAGATCTGAGTAGGTAGAAGGAAGCACATGTGCAAGTTTCTAAAGCAGAGAGAATCTGGCAGGTTCTGTAGCTGTTATTGCTAGATCAGAGTGGGTCAGAGTCAAAGCAAGCAAAGTTGAAGCTGGGGGATGTCATCAGGGACCAACCCATTTGGGGATTTTATTGGCCATAACAAAGAGTTTGTTTTTTATTTTAACTGAAATAGGGTATTTCTGAGGGGTTTTACAGAGAAGTATTGTCTTCAGATGGCAGAAGGGGAGAGGGAGCTCTCAGCAGCTGCTTTGGTAAGACACTAATTCCATTTATGAGGGCTCCATCCTCTTGACCTAATCACTTCTCCAAAGATCCCACCTCCAAATACCATCATCTTGAGAGTTAGGTCTCAACACACAAATTCTGGAGGGACGCAAACATTTAGTTTATAGCATGGGGAAATACTTTGAGCACAGAGACTCAAGACCTGGTGATGAATTGATGTGGGACATCAGGGAAAGCAAGAAATCTGGCTTCAGCGCCTGATGAGATGTTTCAGTCAGCAGAGTGCAGTTCACTGAGGAGAGAGTCTGAGGAGGAACACGTCAGGCAGGGGAATTCAAGAATTTCTCTTTAGAATTCCATGAGACATCTAATGTAGACATTGAGTGGGCCATTAAATAGGAGGCTGGAGTATGGCGGGGATTCACAGCAGCATGTAGATGGTGTTTGAAGCTGTAAGCATGTATGAGAGACCAACTGAGAGGCTGAGAGGGCAGAGGGAGGGTCCTATTAAATATTTAGTTCCATTTGACTATTGAAAGGTCAAATTGGGAAGGAGGAGGAGTTGCAAAGGAAGACTAAGAGGATGTCAGAGTGTTAGGAGAAAAATGAGGAGAGAGGTGGTCTCACAAAGCCAAGAGAGGTGACCGTTTCCAGAAAGGAGGGGACTATTGTCTCAACTAATGCTGACAGGTCAAGAAAGATGAGAATAGCAAAGTGTCAGTGCATTTGACAGCATGGAAGCCGTGACCTTCCCTAGAGAGATGGAAATCATACTAGGGATGTTTAAGGTAAATAGGAAGTTGGGGACAGAGGAGGGAGTTTCCCATGACTTTTTAAAGCAGCTTGGCTCTAAATGGAGGGTTGGCAAGGAGGAGCAGAGAAACAGGATGGGAGATTCTAGAGGTGGTTTGTTTGTTTTTTAAGATGGAGGTGATCACCTAAGGAGGTGATCTTGAAGGTGGAGGGAGAAAAGGAATAATATCCCATGTGAAGGAACACTGCACATTTGAAGAACTGAAGGAGGCTCCTTGACGTGACTGGCAGGCAGGAGGCGTGCGAGGAAGCCTGCTGGTCCAAGAGAAGATCACTCTGGCCTTGAAGGCCACATGAGAGAGTTTCCCACTGCATATCTTGAGAACCATCCTGGGAAACCATTGCCTGGTTTTGAGCAGGGAGTGGCATGATAAGACTTGCATTTTTGAAAAGATCACTGTGCCTCACTAAAAACAATGGGCTGGTATCTAGGTGGCCCAGGTCAGTGCTTCTCAAACTTGAATGTGCATAAACGAATACCCTGGGGATTGAGCTTGTTAAAACGCAGATTTTGATTGTGAGAGTCTGCATTTCTCACAACCTCCTGGGTGATGCTGACGCTTACGGTGCTGGGGTGAGTCCTGGATCATACGGTGAGATGCAAGGGCCATTTGAAAAGCAAATGCCACAGAAGGGTCAGGACTTATGCAAGAGGACCCTTCAACTATGAGATTCTAGGATTTTGTTTCTATTACTTGTGTTTACTTTATGACTTTTTTTTTTGAGGGAAGAGTCAGAGCAAAGGAGATATGTGGATAAAAAGGGGTGATCTGAAATGGGAAGATAGAGCCCATTTAATATTGAGAGACAAAAGCAAAAGGGTATGCTTTCAGGAAGAACTGGGGTGCTGTCAGAGATGCTATAACAGAAGCTCCTAAACTAGAAATGTCCCTCAACACACACTCATACTTTTGCCTTTAAAAAGTATGGGAAGATGGGATGGGGGAAACTGCTATTCCTGTGACAGGATGGGGACTTGTGAGAAGGAAGTCACGGCAAAGCCAGACAAAGTCAAAGGGACTTGGCCGTGTATCCATTTGTCCTTGTCCCTATGTTTCAGTTCTTTCCCTCCCTGCCTAAAGGATGTCCCTCTCTGGACTTCCCATTTTTCATCCTTTTTTACTGCAGATTTCCTTTAACTCATTTCTACCAACAGGCGGTTTCTTTACTTACCAGTTTGGGGAGTGGAAGATATGTTTCTTTGAGTCCAGTAAAAATAAACCAAAACACAGGAGAGAAGACTGTGAGTTTTTACCCGTAAGTTTTCTTTCCCTCAAATACTGTCTTGTTCCTTTCTTAATTCCACTGCTGTGAACCTTGTAGAAAATCAGTTTGCTGTGCCACTTAACATTTATGGTTAAGCAAAGAAATGTTCCAGTCAAGAGAAAAAGGGGCAAAGATGCGATGTGTTTAAGCTCTGCTACCTTCAGCCCTTTTAATTATTTTCTTTTTTTGTTTGTTTGTTTTTTGAGACGGAATCTCGCTGTCACCCAGGCTGGAGTGCAGTGGCACGATCTTGGCTTACCGCAACTTCCGCCTCCCAGGCTCAAGCAATTTTCCTGCCTCAGCCTCCTGAGTACCGGGGATTACAGAGGTGTGCCACTACCACCAGCCAATTTTTGTGTTTTTAGTGGAGACAGGGTTTCACCATGTTGGCCAGGCTGGTCTTGAACTTCTGAACTCAAATGATCCACCTGCCTCGGTCTCCCAAAGTGCCGGGATTACAGGTGTGATCCACCATACCCAGCCCCTTTTATTATTTTCAATACCACCAGAATTTTATTTTAACTTTTCTCTCACCTCCTGCCCCCATCTTTATGAACATTGACCTACATCTTTCCTCTCAGAAACATAAATGAAGTGTTAATAAGTTAAAAGGGGTTAAAGGTAGAGATGATCTCTCCTTTTCCACAGAGGGGGCAGCTCGGCTTTCATGGGTAAGTTCTGTGGTCCATCCAAAATGACAGCTATGCACATTCTGGAGCAACAGAAAAAGCAGCAAAAATTGTCCTCATATTGTGATTACAACCATACGTACAAATATGCCTCGGGGAAAAAATACTCAAAAGAAGTGCAGTAATTTTGTTTTGGTGGCAAGGTTAAGTTCTTTAAAAATAATGGATCATATCACCTTTATAATTATATTTTGTTAAACAATAAAAATAATTGTTTTATTTGATAAACAATCTCATCTAGATGTCTTATCTGTAAATTTTTACTCTAGTTAAAGAAACATTTCTTTGTCATAAATGCTAGGTTTCTTGCTGCATCAGGTTGAAGTGTTCATTTTCTTGATTGAGATCTTAGAAAATGTGTTTCCCTGCTCTTTAGAGTCCAGTTTACATTACATCCTGTGAAATGGATTAATCAGCAAGCTTTTCAATTCAAACTGCCATACCAACCTTCACTTTCAAGCTTTTAGCATTAAACCTTAACAAATATTGAAAACAGGAGGTTTATATATTTAGCATCACCAACTATGTCATAACAGCATCTACAGGACAAATTTCATGTCAACTTATTTTAGGTGCTGGCTTAAATCCCTTTAATCTTAGAACATCACATATTTTATCTTTGTAGGTTTAGGGTTTGTCACAAAATTTGCATGCACAGGGTTCAAAAATATAGCGAATTTGCAATGCTTTTAAATGTACAACCTACATGACTTTAATGCCAGACACCAAGTTTAAAAAGTACTGTTTCCTTACTCATTGTCATACAAGTAACACTTTATATTATTTAGGTATAAAATTTTTTTCAGAATCCATTCTCAGACACATTACAGGGTCATTTATTACTTTTACATAACTGAACTTTCTAAATCCAGCACATCTAAATTTTCAGATGTGAAGCAGTATTAATATTTATCTGCCTTCTTTCATAAGAAAATTATACAATGAGTTTAGCAGATACAGATGTTGAAAGAATCACATTTAAAGCAGCATGAATTGAGACAAATGTGTATTTGAATGCCCAATTAATTTTTAAAAACTCTAAATCAATGAAACTGAATATGTTTTGATTTGAACACCATATGTCACCATAATGTATTTTTTGTCCTCATTTGGAGAAAACCATAGAGAAGAATTAACATTCACTGCCTTGTGGTGTCCTCTTTTCCCACATGAGTAGTAGATATTAAGCAGAGAATGCGTGCAAAAGTTCCACAAATAACTTCCTTTTTTAGGTGCATTTTTTTTTTTACACATAACTTCCTTTCTGCTAATCCTTGTCCCAAACTAGTTGCTACACATGGTTCTCTGGAATAAATTATTCCTCAATTGAGTCAGCTTACCCACAGGGGGTCTGGAGACTGTAGAGCAAGTTTCACATCCACTTGTTAGCTCTAGAACTTTGTGCACATTATTTACCCTCTGTGAGCCTCAGTTTCCTCATCAATAAAATAGGCACAGTAATGCTTCTCCCTCTGATAATTATTTTGAGGATAAATATGCTGCTTACAGAGGCCTGGCACAATGCCTGGTACACTGCTGGCTTATGAAACAACTCAGAAACCTCAATAGCACCTGTGCATCTCCATGCACAGGCAGTTCATTCTCAGGCTTCCCACTCCTAGTTTTTTGCTTCCTTCCCACCTTGTGGCATCTCCAATTCCCTTGCACTTCCTTTCTTTCTAGACCACTTTTCTCACAAAAATTTGAAACAGTCCTACTGCAGTGTAATTGATGGAGAATAGTTTAAAATATTATTCCTGTTAGGGGAAAACATAGACTTCAATAGGAATCAAAGCTTCTAGCTAAAGAAAGGGCACTCCTAAGGAGGATTTGTGGGCATTGGTGAGCCAGTGGAAGGTGCAAGGAGATGACTTCCAGGCCTCTGACAACATTGCCATTTTCCATTCTTGGAGCCCACCACTAAAGCCGCAGGGATGAAGTGAGGTGAGCCCTAGGCTGCGTGTCTCACAGAGGGGCTTCCAAGGGCCACAAACACGGCTTGTTTTACACTCTAGCTCCTCTGAGGACACTCAGGAAGCAGGCAGAATGGACGGCCCTACTTGGGAAAGCAGAAAAGATATGTGGGAAACCCAGGGGACTGTTCTGTGGGGCTGACAGGTTTCCGAGCAGACCACATGTGGAGGAACCTCTGGTTTGGTTCTGGGCACTCCACTTTAAGAGGGATGCTGGTAACTGTACTGTATCCACAGGAGAGTGAAAAGAATGAGCAGCACACACTCAGCACTGAGGAAGGAAATGTTCATCTGGAGAAGACAGGCCCAAGAGTGACTGCTGTCTCCACACACCTAGTGGCACTCTTGGCCAGGAGGGACTGTCCTTTTCTGTGGTTCCAAAGGAAGAACCAGGATCAATGAGTGGAAATTCAACGAACACTGACTTTGGTCAGGTAAAGCATTAACCTTTATGGATGTGCTGCCTTGTGAGATTGTGCTCTCCCTGTTGCTAAATTGATGAAGTACAGGCTACATGACCCTGTGGTTGGGATAAGGAGGATTACCTTCAAAGATCTGATTGGCTTTGGACTATTTTTTTTCTTTTTTGCCTTTTAGAAAACTTTTTATTTGTGTGTAACTCTTATATTTTTCACTTTTAAATAAATGTATACAATAGTTGCAAAAATGAAAACAGTACAAAAAATAGCTGTAGACCTTTTATCCACATTCATCAGTTGTCAGCATTTTACCCATTTGCTTTATTATTTGTACTTTCTCACTTGCTCTTTCTTGCAGACTAGATGATTTTGAAAGTCCTTTCTCTTAGTGAGAGTTATGATTCTACATGCTGAGGCTTCTTTCCAGGTCATAAGATTTTAGAAAAATTGGAATCCTGCTGGCATTGCTCTTCACTGCACTAAGCATAAAATCTGAACTCCCCAAGGAGTCTGACCCTGATCATCTCTCTGCCTTCATCTCCTACTGCTCCTCATTCTGATCACCATGCTGCAGCTACACTGGTTTTTTCTTCCTCATACTTGCTAAGCTCATTCCTGGCTTAGGCACTTTGCAATTACTAGTTCCTCTGCCTTCAACACTCTTTGCTGGTTTTCTCGTGGCTGGAGCCTTCTAATATTCCCTGATGCCCTAAGACCTCCCTCCCTCCCCAGCTCCTAAAAATTACCACAGTCTCTCATGTTGCCTCTTCTCTCTATCTGTGGTGACCTTGTTTATCTGTTTGCTTGCCTTTTGGCTGTCACTGCCAGTAGAATGTAAGCTTCATGAGCACAGAGGCCTTGTCTGTCTTGTTCTTTACCATGTCCTCAGTACCTGGGCCAGAGGACACTCAACACATATTTGTTGAATAAATAAATAAGAGAGTAAATGAGAACATCTGGTCAAAGATATAATATGTACAAGGATAGATGTTAACATTTGACAACCTATACAAAATAGCAAGTGTGTAACTATTCTAGAAAGGTAAAGAGAAATGTCTTTGTCTCGTGGGGTATCATATTAGTCTATTCTTGCACTGCTATAAAGAAATACCCGAGATTGGGTAATTTATAAAGAAAGGAGGTTTAATTGGCTCATGATTCTGCAGGCTGTACAGGAAGCATAGCGGCTTCTGCTTCTGCGACAGCCTCAGGAAGCTTCCAATTATGGCAGACGGCAAAGGGGGAATGAGGCATCTCACATGGTGGGTGCAGAAGCAAGAGACAGAGTAGGAGAGGTATTACAAACTTTTAAACCAGATCTCATGAGAACTCACTCACCATCACAAGGATGGTACCAAGGAGATGGCGCTAAACCATTCATGAGAAATCCACCCTCATGATCCAGTCACCTCCCACCAGGCACCGCCTCCAACATTAGGGTTTACCATTCAACATGAGGTTTGGATGGGAACAGAGATCCAAACCATATCAGGTATACTGTAAGTGACAGACGGTTGAGGAAGTTTCCCCTGAGAGTGCCCCATCCCAAAGAAGATGTGGACTTTTCTCAGAAGCCAAAGTGCATTCTGCTGCGTCTGTTTGAAAAGATAGAAATCTGCTAGCTTTCCTGGAGCAAACTCCTTCTATGTGGCTGATTTACAAGAAAGACAGGGGGAGGAGGGTTATTTCTACATCTGGATGCCTATGGAACTGATTGAGAATGCCTCAATTCTTTAGGAAACCAGCTCCGAAAACTTCATCACGTTGAGATTTCTTTCAGAGGGGCCCATGGATAATTCTACAGTGATGCTGTGGGCAGACACATTTTTCCGTGGGTTCCTTTTTCTAGGATCACTCTCAATCTATCAGAATGCAGTTTCCCAGCCTCCAAATGGTCCATCAAATTGGAAATGTACATGCAATTCCATTAAGAGTCCTGAGTCTTTCCCTCATAATCCATTTCCTGTCAGGTCTGATTACTGATTACCTTGAGCACTGCGCCTTTGCTGTGAGTAAAGTTCAAAAGCTTCTAAGTTTGAAACTGGCCTCCTCCTCAACCACGGAAGAAAAGTCTACCATCATTTATTGTGGAGATGACTAGAAATTGTAAGACCTGGAGAGAATGGAATGTACCAGCCCTGGGAAAAACTAAAAGTTTCTGTTTATTCACTTAACTTGGTAAGAGTCACCATTTAACGGAAAAAATAATTTAAACTTAATCAGGGAAAATGCTGACTTGTAAAGATTTAAAAGGATAATATCTTAAAAGTAAATTATTACCAGTAAGTCAAACTATCTGGAAGGGTAGTATATGTAAGGGATAATATAACAGAATCTGGAAGTAGACTTCCTGGGGTTTGAATCCCAGCTCTGTAACTTAATTGCTGTGTGACTCTGGGTAAGATATTTAACTTCTCATCTCTGTTCCTCAGTTTCCCCATCTATAATATAAATATCCTAATAGTACTTAGCTCACAAGTATTTTAGGATTAATGGGATTAATGTAAGTAGAGTGCTTACAACAGTACCCAGCACATTAAGCCCTGATAAAGTATTTGCTATTTTTTCTTCTCTCTTATTCCCTACATCCAATTAAAGAAAAAAGAAAATCTTGTGTCTGCAAAGTAACCTTTTGATACATCACCTAATTTTGATCCTAAGGACAGCTGGGCAACATTAGTACACGTATCTTCTCTATTTTGTAGATAACTAGTCACAGATTCAAGGTCATTTAGCTGATAAGTGCCTGAACTCTAACTCAAACCTAGGCCTGGTGACTCTGACCTTGGCAGCCTCTCCACTGCAGTCAGCTACCTGTGTCATTGATCATAGTCATTGGTTCAAGTTTGAAATGGGCACTGCCTTTTAAGAAGACACATCCTTATAAGACTTATAGCCAAGAGCCTCTATTAAATCCTATATGAACTTGAATGTTTTTGAAATAAAAAACAAGTGAAGGTAAGTAAAAGCTTTTATTTGAACTGAAAACTATCTTCTGTGATGTTTCTGACCCAAACATTGAAGCATTACTTTCACTCACACACACAAAAAAACACCAAGATAAACAAACCTAGAAAGACTAATTATTTTTCCTGTCTCTCCTAAGAAAAATGTCAAAGGAAAACAAACAGTCCAGAGGAAAAGTAAATTAGCTTTGTAAAAAATCCTTTCCATTAGAAAGGCCTAGAATTCTAGTAGCTGTATAGGTAAGGCACATCTATTTATTTTTAAACACAATACACATAATTTGAGGATTATCTGGTTCTCAGGATTCTAGTGACTATCAGAGTAGGTCCAGCTTTGGGAAGGTTAATGGTGATGCCATAGAGTAATTACTTGGAAAAATAATAAACATCATTTCATAGTTTAATACCATGGTATCACTCCCATCAATATCCTTTTTTATTTTCATTTTTGCCCATCATAGAAGGAAAAGAAGAGAAGCTTAATTTGATTTACAGAGGGAAAACAACTCAGAATGTACTTTTTTATTCTTGGGGGTTGGGGGTGTAAAGAGAAAAGGTCGACCAGCTGGTTTTCATCTATATGCCATAATTCTCTGTTTAGTTTACACTATTAAACTCCAAAGCCTTTGCTTTAATCTTAACTGTTACAGTATGCCTTATTGCAGATTCTATCATGTCGCATCTCTGATAGGGTTTCCGACTTTGGCAAAGCACCATTCCCCAAGCTGGTCCTTGCCATATGGGTAGTAAATGCATCCAACATTTTTTCATTGGCGCCTGCATCATTATGTTTTGTCACCAATGGTTTCTCGGGTTTTCAGTAAATTGCTGCATATATTGTGGTTTGGAGATGCCGAGATGATCTCCCATATTTATTTATCTGTATACAGCTGAGTCCTCATTAGGGCCTCCCTGTCCTGCTATCCTCTTTCAGATGACCTAACATCTGTTTGTTGAAGGCAGGGCATGAGGTGGGGGGTGGTGTGAGTGGAGAAGCCGTAAAGAGAAAAGAAAACTGAAAGCAGGGGGGACCAGTGTGAGGAAAAACAGCTTTCCAGGAGCCATTAACACTGAGCCAGGATAAGGAGAAGAGGGGAGGAGCAAAACCTACCTGATCTGTCTTCGTTTTGCGTATCACATCTTCGGCACAGTTCTGGGATCGTCTTGAGTGATGTGACTGAATACTGAACGGGAAGCCAGAGAAGAGAGGGCATAAAATAATTTAAAATGCGAGCATTCACTCAGATTGGCCAGAAAAACAAAACACAATAAGTGATACTTGGGCACAACATGTATATTCAGAAAATTTATCTCATTTTACCCTAAATGGGCTGCGTGGTGACCTGGCAGCATCCTAAGATCTACCTGCAGCATCTAACCACATGCAGTTTAAAAAGAGGGCTGGGCACTCCTTCTTTAACAAAAAAAGGTGGGGTGTAGCCAGCAGACACTCTCTCCCTCTTATCACTTCTGCCACTTGTGGAAGATGGAAGAACTGTCTGACCCTGAGAGTTTCAAGAAGATGGCCTTAATAATTGCATTCTGAATCCTAAGGGTGAGCTTGTGTACGAAAAGCCAAGTACGGGAGCACCTGGCTTCCTGCAGCATCCGGGGCAGTCAGGAGACATGTCTGTGCCGATGCTGACTGGACTAGGCAAAAGTTCCTAATGTTGCCACTTGCCACAGATTTTACTGTGTAGCATCCATTATCTCCATGGGAAATACCAGGGTAATGTCATAAAAAGCAAGAGGGGTGTGGTTCTGTGTTTGAAAGCTCATCTCTTTCACATATAGATTAGTTTGAGTGGAAAGAAACCACCCTCCAGGCTCAGTTTCAGCACCGACTCAGAGGCTGGCTTTCAGGATAAATTATGATACAAGGGGGCATACAATTGGAAGAGCTAAAACAAATGTAAAATCAATAGCTATGATTTATGAGGACAACATGTGATGCCAATCAGTCTTTCTTTAGAGGAGGGTGTTTTAAAATAAAATAAATAAAATGAAATTGTTCTTTAATCAAAGGCCAAGTCAGGGACTATCTTCAATCACATTCATACTTTAATTCATAAAATGCAGCTCCCTGAAACTATTTTGCTTTTTACCTCTAAGGACAATGTTCTTAAAGTAAATGAGCTTGTATCATAAATTACTTCACCATTGCAAAATTTGGGGGGATTGAGAAAAAGCATTTAATCTAAAAGAAAAATGATCACAGGAAACTCATTAGGATTACTCTAGCATTACAAGTGAAGAATGTGTAATTAGGACACATTTATCAGTAAGAAGGTACTTTAGTTAGCTTGACGTCAATACATGAAGCAAAGCGTCTGCATTGAGACTTCCTTGTGCTTTCCCCAGGATACCAGGACAGCAAGACATAGGGTGGGAACGTAGATATTGTCAGTTTGCCAACCGCATGTCACAAACAAATTAAATTTCCAGTATTTCCAAGTGAAAAGTGAAATCTCAAATGACTAATTAGGGAAATTACCCTTACCTGTCTGATGCAATAACATCCTGTTTATATTGGCCATGCCTCTGAGACTACAGGTGCTTTAGCAAACCCACCCACATGCTCAGAGGGAGGGATGACTACCTCTTAAACCCAAAATTAACCTGTAAGTATTTTTTTCCTTTCACATTATGTTCTTTGGGGGTCTGGGGTAGCACAGGTACACAAGGCATTTTTCTTGGTACTAATAAGGTACCTTATGTTTCTGGCCAAGTACAAGCTCTCTAAGGACTCTGGTAGCTTCTTGAGACCAGCTGGTACAAGTTAGATAATTACACAGTCTATAATTCAATTAAAATTGGGCCTTTTGTTTTGGTTGCCATGTGTCCCATGAAACACCCTTTGGCAAAGTCTCACTCTTTTTTTTTTTCTTTTCATCCAAGGCAAGAGTTTAGAAAGAGGAAATTTAAGATGAATTGTGTTTAAATACAGTTAATGAAAAATTCACTAAGGTTTGTTCACTGGGCTTAATGATATATATCTGATTAAAATGGGTGAGCTGCTATCTGTATTTCGAGGCACATGCTTCCTAACTGCCATCTCCCACCCCAAAGTCAGACATATCAGAATCTCTGATGTATTCGCTGTAGCTTCAACTTTTCCTATTTGGCCTCAAAGGCCCATAGTGTATAGTAAGTTTTAATTTGACGAGGTTTACATTTGAGCA
The DNA here is from genome assembly GCF_000001405.40 of Homo sapiens. Classification (NCBI taxonomy): domain Eukaryota; kingdom Metazoa; phylum Chordata; class Mammalia; order Primates; family Hominidae; genus Homo; species Homo sapiens. The sequence continues at coordinate 122,401,794 of NC_000005.10, read as the reverse complement.
GCACCTGGCTGGTGTGGGAACTGAGTTACAGGCGGACACTAGCCTAGGTGAGTCACTGCCACTGCCTCAACCTAAATCACTTGTGGCACTTTGCCTCTCTACCCAGAGTCACATAGGAAGTCACTTTGGTGAAGGCATATATTTTCATTCTCTGGTAACAATAACTGTGAAGAAAATATCATTTGCTACTCCTGGGAATAGAAATAAAAAGTATAGCAATCTAAAAAAGATGACAGTTTATCCAGAAAAATTAAAGTTTTGGAAAATTTTAAGGGTATATGAACATCAAATTCAGCAATGACTCTAATCTACATTGTGAACAAGTCCATCATTTTTTATAAAGACACAAGATAAAATCAATTTGTGGATCTGTTTCAGTAAGTATAAACATTGCTCCTTGGATGGAAGAAAAGGCTTAAGGGAGTGTTGTGAAGATTGTTAAGCTGTGATGTGAAGAAATGCACAGGGAACACATAACTCACAAAACCAACATCTAAAAATGTTTTCATATTTGCAAATTTGGGAATGAGCAAATGATCCAAGAAGTCTCCCTTACAAGTATGCATTGTGCTACCATCTGGGAGCTGAAATGGAAGGCTTCCCAGGCCTTCATCCCAGTTCACAGGACAGATGGCCTTTTATAAGTAACTGTCAGTTCGCCAACATACCTCATTCTCAGGACAATGGCAAGCTCCCAGGGCAGCAACTACTGTCAGTTTGGCCCTATGGGAACCAAAGCCCATTGCATCTTCCCTGTCTGTGTCCTCCAATCCAAGCTTTTGTAGCCTGTTCCCTTGACTCCTATTGTCCTTGGGTGAGAAGAGTGAAGAGGGGGCTTGCAGTTAATGAAGAAGCATTACATTTTCTATCTCTATAATTTATTCTTTTTCTAGAAGTCTTCCAGAGGTTATTCCCAGTGAACATAGACTTTTGATCTAAATTTGTTTTCCAGACTTCTTTTCCACTTCTCTACCATGTCTGAAGAAGAGCTCTGCCAAAGGTTGACCAGCTGCCTCAGCTTCTTCACCGTCCCTGTGCTTCCAAAATTTTGTTTACTTTCTGTTCCTTTACTTGGGGGTCCCCCATTCATGCAATGCCCTCCTCTAGCCAGGCAAATGCCACCATTTCACAAGGCAAGGCCAGCTGTGTTCTGCTTCTCCATGAAGCCCTGGCTGATTGCTTTAGCCCTTACTGACTTTTCTCTTTTCTCCCCTTGGTAAGTTTCTGCATTGTCATGTGCTGTGGTGTTTCTTATCTGTAGGTGTTGGCTTCCATAAGCACTTGAGGGAAAGAATGATATTTTTGACTTGTATATGTGCATGGCACACAGGGACTGATTAACTGTTTAACTGAAATAACAAGACGTGTACATATTGACTAATCCCTGGGCATAATATTATAGACATTCAAAGGAGCTCTTTCATGTTTAAGTAGTAAGTGGGACCTTCCTCCAGGCCTTTATACTAACACTAGAATTAATTAGCTTTCTGAAATAAAAATTTGACTAAGACTCTGCACAGCCTATAGGACAAAGACCATATGCCTTAGCATGGCACATGAAGCCTTCCATGAGCTCAGCCTCATCTCGCATTGTCTACTTCTCTTCTGATTGTGGCAATAACAAATTCTCGGTGGTTGCCATACCCATTGTTTTGCCTGTCTATACCTTTACATATGCTACTCCATCTACCTGAAATGCCATTCTGCCCATTACACTAGGCAAACTCCTTTTAATTCTTCCAGCTTTGCCTGGGTATCACTTCTACAAAATCTTTTCTGACCCCTGCCCCATAAGGAAGTAAAGCCAGCTTTCAAAGTGTGGTCTCTGGACCAGTGGTATCAACACAACCTAGGATTTGTTAGAAATTCATATTCTTGGGCTTCATCCCAGACCTACTGAATCAGGAACTCTGAGGGTGGGGCCCAGCGATCTGTTTTTTCACAAGCCATATGGGTGATTATAACGCACGATGAAGTTGTAGAATCATTGTCCTATATTATTTCCTGATGTTAGGCATATGTCCATTACAGAACTCATCATAGGATGGTTCATCTATATATTTACCTAAATGCTTTCTCTGCTTCCTGAAAGTGTGGACAATATTTTATTTACCCAAGATACTAGGCACTTATTAAACCAAATTAAATAAATTCCTCTAGACATAAGAACTAATGAGGCAGGGATATAGCTCAGTCCATAATTTTGGTGGCAGTAATAATAATAATGTCAGTAGTTAATATTTACATAGCACTAATCTTAGAAAAACCCATAATTACAAGTCTAGCAATAAATCATTTTATATTTAAAAATTCTTAATATATTAATAGCATGAGTAATGGCTGATGGCTTAAACTTTTGTATAAAGGACAATGGATTTGGAGCCATAAGATCTGGATTGAAGTCCTGGTTCTGGCACTTATTAACTCTGTGGTTCTGGACAAATAATTCATTTAATATCTCTGGGGCTCAGTTTCCTTATGTGTGGAAGACAGATAATTATATGAGATAACATAGATGCAGTCATTTTGCAAACTGTAAAGCTCTAGTAAATGTCTGTCTCTTCTCTTTATCCTGTTTTCTAAGTGTGCCCTCAGAGCTTCCCTCCTCATCTTCATTTCCGCCATGACTTTAAGCTCAGCAGATGAAGACATGAGAACTAATGAGGCGGGAAGAGAGGGGTCGAGCTGGGAATAGAAAGGAAAGGAAATATAACTTAGCCTATCTCAGTACATTATTTGGCTTTTCTTTGTTCTTTCCTCACTGAAGAGAGTCTGTGGCCCAGGGATGACACTGAAAAGTCAGCTTCAAAAACTTCACAGAGTTGATATGGCACAAGATGATTCTATACATCCCAGCCTACGCCAGTCAGTTTTGTCACCATGCCATGCAAAACAGTTGGAACATGCATGAGATTCATAATGACAGTGCGTGATTTCTACGTTGGGCTACGGGGATCTCTGACCACCCCAGATATTGTTCAGTGCTGAAAAGCTTTGGCTTTTATTCCTGAAAACTGGAGCCGACTAAGCGAATGAGCAGACATTACTCAAATGGTAATGAGCCACAGAAAATGAAAGAACGAACATCCCAAGCACCTTTGCAAGCTAGAGACTTTCAAACTACTAAGGCCCCATAAAAGTTTCCAAAAGAAACAATTAAGCCAGCCATCCAAACAACCATGGTGAAATTCATGATTTCTCGCACAGTTTTCCAAAATTCAGGCAGGTATCTCAACAGGCACACAATAAAAACAATGGCAATAATGTGTACAAACAAAGCTGGGAGTGACAGCAGAGACATGTAGCTGAAATGAAATTTTCAGAACATAATATTTTTCTAAAATTTTAGCCTCCCCTCTAAAGGCCTGCCCTTCCAGTTCAGGAAGACTTCATGCCCTCCATTATAAACTGTGTTCCATTGTCCCTTCCCTTGGGACATGGCACTAACAGTCTGCTCCTCCACTGCTAACCCTTTGCTGGGGCTCAGGTTTCCTCTTTTCTCATCTCCTAAGGACTCTTGCCTGCCACCATTCTTTCCTCTCTCCTTATCCTCAGCCCACTCTCAGCGTTGGCTTTCTCCTCTGGTCTTATAAAGATAAGCAAGCACCACTACCACCTCAAGACACTGCCTCCTTGACTGAGCATGGGCCTTCCTGCTCTTGCATTCATCAGCCGTCTCTTTTGAAAGAATTGTCTCTGTGTTTCTATTTCCTCATCTCTGCATTTACTCCTCCAGCCCTCACAATAGGATTCTGCCCACCACTCAATAGATACTGTGCTTACTAGGGCCACCAAGGGGGTCTTAACTGGAAAATCCAGACGGCATTTTTCAACTCTCGTCTTTATAATGACCTATTTGCCACCATCAACTGTTGTTTAAAATTCCTTAAATTCACCCCCCTTGTCTTTTTAGTTCCCTTAGTTTTATTTAACTTTGAAAACTTCTTTCCAGTTTCTTTTGTAGAAATGCCTTTGTCCAGACCCCACCACATGGAATATACTTCTGCACAGTTCAATCTTTTGAATATTCTTCTCTTTCCACATTCCATGTTTTCACAGATGACCTTAACTATACCCCCAATTTCAACCACCACCTCTACATAGTACAGATACTGGTGATCCACACTTTCATACCTCTATTAGACTCTGCTTTAAATACATTTCTTCCCACCATTTGGGCTCCATTAATGAAAATTATTATAACTAATCCTATTTTCAAATAAATTTGAATTTTGCTCTGGTACCTTATTTTTATCATATCTTCATTCTAAGAAGTTTTTTTTAAATTCTTTTATGCTAAGACATTGTTTGTGGTTGGTATTTGAGAAAACTCAGTAACTCTTTTGATCATTTTAAGAGTGCATCAGGAACTACTCTATTGCAATGTTAATTTAATTAATATAATGTGTAGTCAGGCAAGAGATGAAGATCCACTTAGTAAATGTGGTAAGATCACAGTATTGAATGATCTCCTTATATTGTATAATAAGAAGTGGACATGGATGGAGAAGAGACCTACCTGAACTGGGAAAACCAGAGGTGACCATGGGGCCCAGCAGATGTAATTTTCAACGCAGTGGTTACAAATATGGATTCTAGAGTCAGACTACCTGCATTATATCCTGACTTCACCATTTTCTAGCTAATTAATCTTAGTTAACCTTTGTATATCAGTCTCTTCACTGGTAAAAAACAAGGTTCTGACTGTACCTTCATTAAGGTGTGTCCGGGAAGATTATGAACTAGTAATATAAAACCTGGGAAGAGTGTCTGATGCACAGTTAAGTGTTCAATAAATGTTAGCAATCATATTATTATTTATATTTAAAAGTACCAAAACCAGCATTTTAAAATGAAGCCAAAGTAATCATAATTATACAAGCAAAAATTACAAATGACAAAAGAATTACAAGAAAAAAGTATGTTATAGTAGGGCAGATGGCCAGTCATAAACCTTGTTCAACTTCAATGATAGTCTATTTTTAATTGTGAGCCAATAATCAATCACTGTCAAAATACAAGGACTCACTGCCAAGAATGGAGTTTAGTACTATAATCAAATGTGACCTACCATGAAGTTAACCTGACTTCATAATGTGCTTAGTTATTAATATAGCATACTATACACACTTTGAGAGCATAGCAAGTCTGTGTCATTCACCCCAAGCTTAGAACCAAGTCTGATACTCTGTTAATGTTTAGTAAATGCTTGTTGACTAGATTGGCATAAAAACTAATTGTGATGAAAAGGTGAACAGTTTTTGTCAATAATCTGCATAGTCAATCTAATAATTTCTATTGACTATCAGGCAAGATAAGAACTTCCAGGACTATCTGCAGAGTAAAAGGGAAAATTTAAAAAAATCCAGCGGTTGCTCATTCTTCTTAGAAACCACTCTATTTGTAGAGTTATTCTCTACCTTCTCTGGCAGAGGTCTCCAGTCCAAGATTTGGAGTTTGGGAACCTAGATTCTAGTCCTGGGGTCTAACACTAACAATAGAATATCAAAATGTAACTCATCTTTTCTGGATTAGATGATTCCTAATTCATTTCCTGGCAGGTATTAAGAAAAACAAGATAACACATATGGCATATGATGTTAGAACAAGGTGTGAGGTTTCTGATGATGCTGAGCTGGAGAAGGGAAGAATGAGAGGCAATTTAGCCTTGAATGCAGGATATTACAAAAAAACACTGCATAAAGCTGAGGTATTCTGGACAGTTGCTGGAACTAGATCACACGGAGAAGCACTAAACAAAGTTTCCATATAGATAAGAACAGGGCGACTGCTAGGAAGGGCAGGGCTTACAGACAGAGACAGTGAAAAAGGGATTGAACCACTCAGAGGCCACATGAAAGTGTTGGTCACCTTCTAGAAGGTACAGAAGAAAGTACAATAGGGTCCATCTTATTCAATATATTCATTGCTAGAGAGAAGGGGAGGCTAGGTTCTTTGTACCTTGAATACCTTTATACTCTTTTTCACATCTAAGCTGTATTCTTTGCCCATGCCAGCTCATTGCCTGAGTCTACTTGAAATGAGTCTTTCTCAAAATGTAACAAAATCTGGGGAAGCATCAGGGGATTGAATGGAGGAAAAGGTGATGCACACAAAACAGAAGGGGGCAGGCATTTTTAGTAAAAATGCTGCACAGTCTGTGTGATAGAAAGACATGAAAACTCACTGAAAGTGAGATTATTTTACCATAAGAATTAATTTTTCTATCAGACAGTGGTTCAAGCACCTTAGGAAAATGAACCCACATAATTTTTTGCCATTACTCTAGGTTGCAAAGGCTTTGACCAAAGAGGATTGAAAAGTGGAAGGATACTTATTATCTTGATCTCATTTGACCTGTACAAAAAATAGTTTATGCAATTGCCAAAAAAGTCAACTTTCATCAAGGTTGCAGTCAGAGTTATACAGAAAGGCAACAGAATATTTCTCTCACTTCTATTTGTATGTGTGTGTATATGTCTGTATGTGTAAATACTTACATGTATATATGTGTATATATGTGGCTGTGTGCATGTGTGAGTGTATGTGTATAAATTTAGGGTAATAGGTTGAGGTGTTACCATTTAACGGATGGGAATGTTGAGGTACAGTAAAATTAAAAGATTTGCTTAAGTTCTCATTAGCTGGTTTCATTTTACTTATTTATAATGTCTATCAATCCCTTTACTTCCAAAAAACAATTTGTAATCACTACAGTGCCAATCAGGGATAGTGATGAGTGAGGTGACTGGTCTAGAGAAACTACTACTCAGCTAAGTTGCATAGATGGGGAGGAGTAAGGTGGCCAAATAGTTCTGCATTTAGGTCCTGGCCCTGTAACCTTGTGAATGTCAGACAAGCTCTCTAAGCCTCAATTTTCTCATCTGCCAAAAGGAATAAAAACAGAGTTTGCCTCGCAAAGCTGATGTATGAGGCTTGAACAAGATAACTTAGTTAAAGAGTTTATCTCAGTGTGCGGCACGGCCAACATTGGTGGATGGTGGCTGTGAGTGAGCTCCTCAGGAGATCCAGAGTTCAGCCTCTGCTTTCTTTAGTCCTGTGTGTGAAACTATTTTTAAGAGCACCACACTGGCCTCTCTTAATAAAATAAATACACCATAGCTCCAAAGAATTCCAGAGGGTTTTTGTTTTTAAGACATAGGGATCTGGCTTCCATAGGAAGAGAGAAATCTGTGAACCCATTCACAGTGACAGAAAAACCCTGCTTTAAACCTTTGTGCTTATGTGTCGTCATCTCTCCCTTGCAGACCTGCAGCTATTGGAGAATGTTCTGCCCTTTTAGATGGCAGGATTACAAGAATGTATAGTTTAAACTTTGTGTTTTGCAAAGGATGTGCGTTATTTTCTAGTCTGGGAAACTTCAAAATAAATTAGCTGCTGTGTTTTCTCTCATTAAGTAAAGGCAAAATAAGTTCTAGTTGTTTTTTCTACCAATATACAGCTTACGTTTTAATTAAAACAAGAACCAGGCTCATGACCAGAGGGAAATACCATGGAATAGAAAGCCTAGACTATGTAATAGGGCTATAGCTAGAGAGTAAGGAGAAGAGTTTGAAACTGGGCATCTTTTTCATAAACATATTTTTCAGGTGTAATGTGCAGTTTCCTCCCCCTCCTGCCACTTAACCAGGAAAGAGGCTTAGGGGCTGTCAGAGATGGAGGTTTCTGGTATCAAAAAAAAAAAAGAAAATTGCATGTTCATGGGAAACTACATTTCTTTTTATGCCAGTGAATTAGCACGTTGAACACATCTTCATTTTTTCATTTTTAGCATTTGAATAATCTCCACTTAGCCCTTAAAGAAGTTGTAATATTCATTGCTCCTAGTTTACCTAAACAGCCTGAGAACAATCATTCCAGTATTTAAGAGGTTGTCTCCAGTTCTTTTTCCATGTAATCATTAAGTTAGAACAATATGATTCTGGCTTCGCTAAGGTATGAAGTCTGGATCACACTAAATTATGATTAAATAATCTATGTTGTAGAGGTTGCCAAAGTAGAGCGTCTTCAGTTGCAAGTGGATTTAAATAGACTAGGATTTCTTATCCTCAGTACTACTGACATTTTGGGCTAGACAATTCTTGTTGTAGGGGATTGTGCTGTGCATTGCAGGATGTTTAGAAGCCTCTCTGGTCTCTACCCACTAGATGCTAGTAGCAACTCCCCGGTATGACAACAAAATATGTCTCCTGGTATTGTTAAATGTTTCTGGGGTAGGGGTGGGGCAGGTAAAATTGCCCCTGATGTGAACCACTGCAATAAACTATATTCATCCCGGAGAAGCAGTAAAGTGTTGTGGCTAAAAGTAAATACTCTGGAGACAGAATACACCTAACCAGCTGGGTGACCCTGGACAAATTACATAAAATCTTCATGCTGCAGTTTCCTCATCTGTAAAATGAAGATAAAAACAGTAACTTTAGAAGATTGCTGTGAGGATTAACCAAGATAATGCCTGTCCCATGGTAAATGTTCAATAAACGTTAGCTATTATTATTATTTCATCAATTACTATGAAATTTCATAGAATTTCAAATCTATGCAATTTCAAAATCTGATATAAGTTTAAATGCAGGTTAAAGGACCAAACAATCGAAACATGTTTAAGAGGGAAATTTTGGGTGCAGTTACACAATTACAGATGGATATCTTTGTTTATGTTTTAGAGTGGTCAAGTTATAGACACTCAACTATTGCATAATCCTGTAGCCTAGTTTGCTAAACGGTTTTAGTTATTGCTTAATGTATTTTATTATCTTTCAAGTGGAGATTCCCAATTCATCAAAATTATGGGCTGCTGCCAGATGATTCTTCTGTAAATACAACTGCTCTGTTGTATTAAAAAAAAATCTTGACTTTATGCCTAGTGTTTTCCCTTGAGTTCTTTCTTCACCATTGGTCATATAAATATTATTGTATAATTCAGTGAAATAATAACAAAAGCTACCATTTTTAAGAGCAACTTACTGTGTGCCAAGCTAAGTGTTTCACATATATTATTATTTTACTCAATCGTCACAACAACCTAAAGTGTATCTCAGAAAGGTGAAGTTAATGTGCTATTCAGCCAGTAAGAGTCAGAACAAGGTAGGAACCCAGGCTGGCTGCTTTCAAAGCCTTTGCTTTTAAAACACAACATCATTATCAAAGTTCGGAGAGCTACCACCTAACTCCCAATCATAACACAGTTTCCCTTTCTACAACACCTTCCATCCTACCTACATACACCCATGCTACCATTCACATTCCTTGCTTTTTCCCACAATGGCTGTGAGGGGAGTGATCATAAAAGAACCTTGCTTTGAATGCTTCCAAGTCAAGCATAGTGACTTAGAGAGAGAAAGAGAAACAGAAAGAGAGAGAGAGAGAGAGAGTGGCAGACAGACAGACAGACACGTAGACAAAAATATATCATGGGAAGGAAGAAGCTCACTCCACATTGGTTTTAATGAGGACTAATAAAAATTGTCTGGAAGCTGAAATAGGCAAATGTTGAATTCACATTTCTCTGGTACAAAAAAAAAAGACTCATCCAAGTTTGTATAAAATAGGTGATTTATCAAACTCATCCCAGTAATCCAATTATTGTGTACAGTATGCATATTTTACTTCAAGGTAAGGAGTAAAGTAGATGAATAAACAACTGCCAGAAGCATGATAAAGTAAGTTCATCATTTTGAGACAATTTTAAAGCAGTGACTTTGAGTGGTGACCCATAGCTCCAGGCCCTGAGAGATCCATGGAAGATAAGGTTAGAAGTTGTGAACTTGAGGGTCCTGGAAAGAAAAGTTGTATGTCTAGCTCAGAAACAGCAACCTTCTCATCACATACTCTGAGAGTTAGCCAGTTTTGCTGGGGCACTCCAGGCCAACATGTTTGCTAGCGTAGCAGAATTGATTATGTGGTCCCGGATAAGGCACAAGCAGCTCAAAGCAAGATGCATGTAGACAATCCATTCCAAGCAGTCCTGATTTAAGCAGCAGGAAGTTTGTGGCTGTTATGGGAATTAAGAGACTCATCAGCCCACAGCATTACAGGATTAAGCAGGACCTCAAAAGTCAGCTAGTCCAGTCCTTATCACTGCACGAATTTTCCTTAATATTCCCAACAAGCTTACAATCTGTGCTTTGATATCTACAGTGATTGGAAAGATTCTTTTTATTGTTCATCAATTAATAAATTCCAACTTGGCTATTCTTTAGTCAGTGTCCCTGTGAACTCTAGAAAATGCTGGCTGTGGAATAGCCAGCCACATAAGAGAATTTGGAATTAACTCTATGAAAGTGGCTGCATTTTGTAAGTATACTCAATCAATAGTTTTGACAACATTGGAACACATTAGGAATGAAAGCCTCATTGAAGTTAAATGACTCATCTTCCAAAACACACACTTAGGGAAGATTCACTTCTTGGTCTAAGAGATCCCCCCAAACCACACCGAGTCTGCCACACAGGATTTCTGCTGTGAATTTCTAAATGTAGTCAGAAAAGTTGAGGATATATAGACTATAATGGAGAAAGTAGGCTATGAAGTTGAAGGCAGATTATCTTGAAAGCATTTCTTGTATACAGTGGTACTTACAGATATGTCATCACTAAAGTCAATTTCATCCAAATCAAGGTATTCAGGGGCTTCCATTATTCTTCCTTGCACATTTTGAGTACGGTCAAATACTTATAAATTCCTGAACGAGACAGAAGCAGAAAAGAAAGGCAAAAAAATTTAGCCGTTTTACAACCAAAAATAATGTCTACATTTAAACAAATAAGATGAGAAGGGTTATTGGGTGCTAGTGTTGCCTTGGAGCACATTTCCTTCCTTCAACTGTCCACAGCCTGGCTTTCCAGAAGCAGCAAACACAGCGTCTCCATGGTCCCCAGTGTGGCTCCCCAGTGGGCACTCAAAGTCCTTTGCTTTATTTGATATGTGCCTGTTTGTCTTTGCCAGAGCAGTAACTTGGGTCAGAATCTCCCCCTAGAATCAATATTAGAATTCACACCAACTCTTACCACAGCCAGGGTAAAAGGCAGGGCTTTGGGAAATGGGGAGCCAGCCTGGAAATCTTAGGAAAGCCATTTTCAAATGTTTCCTGTGGGCATATCCTTGGGTGTTGTACATGGAGCAATGAATACTGCATCTCCACAGGAATAACACAAGACAGATACCACTAACCAAGAGTAATGGATATTTTAGAATTTGTAGCACAACCTCCAGTTCACCCCTCAAAAAGGAAGAAAGAAAGAGGATCTAAGTGCAGATTTAAACCTCAGAGTTATTGCACTGCCCTCTGCCTCAAACAGCTTTGCCTGACTGTGCCATAGTGACCTGATGCAGGCCCCGGAACGTCTTCAGTCAGCTCTTGCCTCAGGGCCGCCTGGGGCAACCCTTTAAATCTATCACAGTAGGATACATCACCTCCCACTTCATTTTCCCATCACTTATCATCATCCCCATCAGCGGCGGCAGAGGCACCTACAGATGTCAAGAGCAGAAATATAGATCTCCTGACAGCGCCTTGGTGTGCAGTTATCTTCTGCAGCGCCAACTCTCAGATAGCAAAATCAGCCTCTGCTTCCTGCAACTTGTCTTTCTTATTGTAAAAATTATCTTAAGTACCCAGATTTGAGTATCTGAAATAATTCATTTTGCCCTCTTTGATTGTCTAATCAAGATGTACCTTGCTGAACAATAAGGAGTGCATTACTGGAAAGTGAAAATACATCTAGCCTGATGAAAATGGGCCTCCCGATAAAAGACTGAAAGTGTAAAAAGACCTACTTTTTAAAAGCAAATTTGTTCTGAAGGCATTTGTTTTCCCTCATGTTGAGCCATTCTTTCTTTTTTAAGCTCTGCAAATGGTATAATTATGATAAACAGAAAAAAAAAACTTGCCATTCCTTACCTCAAACCCATCACTTGATTTAATTTTCCTGTTTCCTCTCCTTTTTTTCCCATATGTATATACCATTTTTAAAGTCTTAATTACAATAGATACAGAGTCCATCCAAGAAAGGATTAGGATGTTACTTCCATGTTTAAATGAGATTATCCATTTAGCAAATGTTAAAAATTCTTCTGAAATCACAGTAAGGCTTACAATGAAAAGAAAACCAACTTGTATTTGTAAAAAATATTTAAAATCAGAAATTTTATTATTTGTAGAAATCTGAAAATAGGTTATCAAACAAATTGCTTGGTATAAAAATGTCACTTTTCTTCAATTTACAAAGATTTTCAGAGGAAAATATATGTACTCTGCTTGGAAATTACTCAAAACAACATTCTCTCCTACTGTGATGGATTCTGATACAATCCAGACTCTTTGGATACTAGCGTGTTCACTAGGAGACTTTCTTCCAATCCAATTTCTTTTCATGAAATCTGTACTCCGTGATGAACTATTGATTTACAGACTCTGTTCCCACGGCCTTGGTGAACAACACACAGATGATGCTGGGTGCCAGGATATGGTATAAACATCAGCAGGAACATGGAAATATGGGGAGATGAAGCAGAGAAACATGCATCGAAGCTGGGGACCAAATGGATCTTTAAATAAATGAAACTATAAAATGTGGATGAACATGTCTTAATTAAGTAAATTAACAAATAACCATTGCACCCCTGTTTGAGGTGCTCCAACAATATAGACAGCAATATCCAGTTGAGTGTAGCCATTCCAATAGAATATAACCAGCGGATAATAACTCATGGCATCACAACAGGAATCTTTCAATTTGCACTTGCAGGATGGTAGTGAGGTTCTTTATTCTATAGGCAAGAACACAAGACTTACAACAGGTGCAGCTCATTATAGGAAGTCTTGGGCCACTGCCCATATTTATTTCTGTGGGTTGGATGGCCCCACCTTAGACTAAGGCTCCTAGGCATCTGGAATTTGCCTCTACTTCCCAGCAGGCCTCCACATGCTATCTCCTTTAAGATGTCTCATTCTGTTCATGATCCAATTTATTTTGTCTGGTTTCAATGCTTGTCTCTTTCAGGGTGCCACTTTAAGAATATTTACATTCTCAATTATAATGTGCAGAAATCCCCGTGGTTTTCCAATCCTGACTACATTCCCCAACATTAACTGCTTCTTTACAGGTAAGAGTGAGTCTGCAGTTGTCCCAGTGGCCAATACAATGCCTCCTCTTCTCTCGTCTGCCCTTCCACCAAGCCTCTGGCACTCTCAGGCACTCTTTTCTAAGGAATCAGTGACAAGATAGGAAGCAATAAGGTCAGGTTAGAGTAGCTGCTGCAAATGATCAAACATGATAAGGACAATGAGGTGAACTGTGGTTGCTTTTCTCATCCTGCTCTTCTGACACCTCCCACTCTGCACACCAATCCACTATGGAAACCAATAAGCCTTCTTTCAGACCCATGGCAAACATGCTGTAACAGAAAGCACAGCTACAGAGGGCATGCATTGGAGGCCTGTGAGCTGAATCTGGCCCACAGATGTGATTTGTTTGACCCCAACAGTGTTAAAGAAAAAAAAAAAATTGAATCAGTTGCCAACTTGCAGACCTTGGGTGATTTCACATAAAATTCTGGATTTCTGGCTTTGTTTTAAATACCTGAAGCTCTGGCAACAGGGGTCTGCAGTCCCCATGGCAACAACTAGCTGGAGCTAAGCCGCAGCTGCTCCTACCTGTCCATGGGGCCTGTGCTCCCCATTTTCCCAGAGCCTCTCCAAGGCTGCTCTACTCACCAACATGCCTTGGGGACATTTGAGTGTTCGACCCTTCAAAGGAATTCAGTATTAAACATAAGTACAACCATTACCCCCAATTTTGTATTGGTGCCTCCTGCCAAAAATGTTGACTTCATTTGTATTCTAAGATTTAATTTGTATTCTAAGATCATTTTAAATTATCATACCACAACAGCAACAAAATACAATTTCCTACAAATAAACTATTGGCACATCACAATTTGTGCTTTCACAGAATGTCCACTTTATCTCTTAGTACTAGGAAAAGAAAACCTTTGCAAACTTAATAAAATGTTACGAAGTGGGGATTATGTTTCCTTCACTTTACAACTGGGGGAAGGAAGGGTTCTTCTTGCTTTGTGTGATTGGTGTGGATTTACATGGTGACACTTCACTGCTGTGACTCCAGGGGAAGGGAGGAAGCCGTGCCAAGTGCAAACCCAGAAAAAGTCCTGAAGCCATCCTCTGTCTGGCCCAAACCAGCAGCTGGGAGGCAAGAGAGCCAACCTACTGAGGCCAACAAGAGTGGGTTTATACCTAAGCAAAATACATTTTTTACGCTTTCCAGAAAGGGCAGGCCAGCTTAAAATCCTTTATGTAGGGTCGGGCATGGTGACTCACACCTGTAATCCCAGCACTTTGGGAGGCCAAGGTGGACGGATCACGAGGTCAGGAGACCATCCTGGCTAACACAATGAAACCCCATCTCTACTAAAAATGCAAAACATTAGCCGGGCGTGGTGGTGGGCGCCTGTAGTCCCAGCTATTCGGGAGGCTGAGGCAGGAGAATCACTTGAACCCGGGAGGTGGAGGTTGCAGTGAGCCGAGATCACACCACTGCACTCCAGTCTGGGTGACAGAACGAGACTCCGTCGCAAAAAACAAACAAACAAACAAACAAAAATCCTTTATATAGGATTTTTATTGCTATGCATCATAGGCCCCTTTTGGATCTCAGGACCTAGTCATTTGTGAATCTGAATTTCTCCCCCATGCCATCAGCCCTGACCCTACAAGCTACAATCACTTGTTCCCAGGTTTTCTAAGGCCTTCCGAGGGCTTTCTTTTGCATGTAAGCCCCTCTCCCCACAGCACACCTTTTTCAAGATTTGTCCACCATGAGTATTGTCCACGGATTGAAATCATCCCATTTCTTTTTACTGGCATTGGCAATTCTTGATTTGTTATTTATTTAGGCAGGTATGTTATGTGTTTTAATTTTTTTTTTTTTTGAAGTGGGGAGAGATGAGATGCCAGGGAGGGTGAGTTGAGAAAGGTAAAGGAAACATTTTTCAATGGTTCAGCTCTCCCAATTTGGGTAGGAAAACTGATAGAGAGGGAAAGAAGAAACAGATTAGAATGTGGGGACACAGGGCTCGGCTGCTGAGAACTATATGCTGTGCAGAAACTGCTAATGACAGCTTGGCTCCCTTCTTTGGATGTGCCCACAGCACTGGGAGAAACCTTACTCAAACTCCAAACTGATGCCCGGCTTTCAGAACAAAACAAACAGCATCAACTACACTCAATGTTTGTAGGACTCTTCCTACTCTCACAGAGTTTTGATAAACTGCCAAGAGCAGAAGTCCCTCCAGTGCCTATTAAAGTGTGTGTGAGGGGCTTATGCCCCTAATGGGTCTATCAACACCATGTCACCTTCTCAAGAGTGACCTCAGTGATGGCCCAACTGCTACCTTCCATAGAAGTTTCCTTTTGGGAGAGAGCTCAAAATAACTGAGAACCACATTGCATAATAAAAAAATAGACAAGCAATTAAAAAAATAGCCTCCTTGCCACCCCCGTATTATGATATTCAGGTGATATTTTTAATTTTTTTGTTGTGACTGGAAAACTGACTTTGAAAATAATTCCAAACGAAGACTTCCAAAAATCTGTTGCATAATGGCAGCATCACTGGAAAAAGCTTATAGTGGCCAACAAAATTTCCTTGAGAAACTACACTCATTTTAGTGTATGCATTCTGGTGTGCTTGGCTCATAAAAGGCACATTGATTTGTGACTACAGTCACATATCACATAAATTGCTCTACTGAAAAATTTTTAAAAATGTATTGCCTCACTCTATTTTACAAGGAGTCAGCTTGGACTCATTCTGAAGGCTCATGTTACACAGATTTCTCCTTTTCTGCCAAAGTCGCTATTGCTCCATTTACCAGTATACTATGAGGCCTGGTAATTAAAAGTAAGTTGGATTTGTCAAAATAAATGAGCAGAGTACATTCGGTGATGAGGTAACTTCAAAGGATTTGCATTACAACTTATTTCTTTACCTTTTAATATACCAGCTCTTAGAAAAACACAGCCGCTCCCTGCACCCCTACACACACACACACACACACACACACACACACACACACATACGTGCGCACACGCATGCCTGCCAAATTTGTACTGGGAAAAATTTTCAATTTGAAAGCCTGAACATCGATATTGGGCTTACTTTCTTCAATATAAAAACTTAAAATGATCACAAAATAAGTACTGGAAGGTCTGGGTAGAAATGTTGTCCCCAGTTGGCTCAGTAGCTTGGCTGGCAAGGAAGCAACTCATTCCAAATGTTGGATTTGGTTTCTTTCACTCTTTGATTCAACAGTGGCCAGAAGCATGGCAGTCAGTAAATGCCTCATCTTGAAGCAGAAAAATGATAGAGGCAAGAAATTTTTACTAGAAAGAGGCAACTGAAGGAGAGCCAAGAAGTACACATGAACAAAGAAAAAGCACAAGCCCTGTGGACTTTATCCACTTCTTCATTTATGGAATATTCTGGATGCATGTGGTGGATAAGACCTACACTAGTTTCCACACCAAGATGGAGTATATGGTACCAGGGGAGACAAACAAGAAGGCATGCTATTACAATATCATGTGATGCTCGCCAGGACAAATAAATACACAGCAGGCTGAGGCACCCAATCTAGACCTTGGAGATAACAGAAGTCAGCCTGGCAAAGCTGAAAGCCGAAGGATGGAGGTGTGAATGGGAAGGGAGTGGTTGGGACAGGAGGAAGTGTTCCAGTTGTCTGTGCTTTCAGTATGGGAACAGGCCTGGAAGTGAGAATTCTGGAACAGAATGTCCAGAAAGACGCATAACATTGATTTAGCATTGATTGCTGTATTTTTGCTTCTACAAAGCGGTCTTGAAGCGTGATGGTGAGGGTGGGGTGATAAACAGGGATTGTCAGGGGAGTATTTTCAAAGCCAGAGTGAACACAGAGCACATCTTGGAATATCAAATTTCTGGCATGTTTGTAAGAATACAAGTGAATGTTTGATATCAAACAAGGGACTTCAGTGTAATATATTGAGCCTGCTCCAGCTCCTAGAGGAGAGCCTGCATTTCTTCCTTGCTGTCCTGAAGGAAACACCCACAGAAAAATTTGTGAAGAAAACTTTGTATCAAGATTTAGGACTGGGTGCTATTACATATACTTGCTCACTTAGTCTCACACAGATGCTGGGAGACAAATGTCATTATAATTTCTTTTGTGGAGATAAGGAAACCAAGGCTCAGAGAGGTTCTGTAATTGCCTCAAATTCACGCAACCAGGGCTTCTGATTTTAAGTCTAGTATTTTTCTCTCCTACTTCAACTTGCCAAAATGACAAGGTAAAGCAACACTGCCTCTGTGTCATTTTTTTTTTAAGAATCATCTTCACATTTTTTAGCTCAAATTATTTACTGCAACCTGTGATGGAGGCAGAAGGTATGCACCATAATTTGTAATTTGCAATCATATCTTTCATATTTTACAGATGGCAAACCTCAGGAATATTCCATCCAAGGTTATGCACTACTAAGTAGGGGCAAAGCCAGCTAACACAAATCATTTCCTGCTAACCAGTCTAGTGCTCTTCTGACTTGCCCTGGACTGCTCTGAATCATGGGTGTGTCTTTGAACCATCTAGGTCAGAATTCCAGACATCCCTAGCCCTGAATTGTATTGTTTGGATGTTCATGAACCTAACTCCAAATGAATTACCCTTCTTTCCTGGAGAGATTAAACAGAAATGGTAGACATCATCACCATCATCATCATTAACAAAACGTGTATAGACTTTGTGTCTCTAACACACCTTACCCACAGGTATCCCTGAACTAGTCTATAAGACAACATATTCCATAGCCAGTTGGTTTAAGTCTTCAACTTCACCTTTAAAGAAAATTGGATTATGACCATCCTTTTAATGTCTTATTAAAAAGGCAAGGAAGATGGCACTGTTTTAGAAAACTTGATTCTGGAGATCAGGATTTCTCTGAAAAATTCCTGTAAGGATTGGTCTTTTTGTAGTTTTGCCCTTTAATTTATACATTAAAATTCTTGCAAGTGATTTGGAGGTCATTTCATGGTATCTGAAACCCAAATATTGAGAACAAACTAACATATACCTGAACTTGAGAGCTTGGAGAGACTAGTTTTTAAGTCTAGGGCAGATATACATATTTTATGTACCTTTAAATCTGATCTCTCGAGGAGCCAAGATGGCCGAATAGGAACAGCTCCGGTCTACAGCTCCCAGCGTGAGCGACACAGAAGACGGGTGATTTCTGCATTTCCATCTGAGGTACCGGGTTCATCTCACTAGGGAGTGCCAGACAGTGGGCGCAGGTCAGTGGGTGCGCGCACCGTGCGCAAGCCGAAGCAGGGTGAGGCATTGCCTCACTTGGGAAGCGCAAGGGGTCAGGGAGTTCCCTTTCCGAGTCAAAGAAAGGGGTGACGGACGCACCTGGAAAATCGGGTCACTCCCACCCGAATATTGAGCTTTTTGGACCAGCTTAAAAAACGGCGCATCACGAGATTATATCCCGCACCTGGCTCGGAGGGTCCTACGCCCACGGAGTCTCGCTGATTGCTAGCACAGCAGTCTGAGATCAAACTGCAAGGCTGCAGCGAGGCTGGGGGAGGGGCGCCTGCCATTGCCCAGGCTTGCTAGGTAAACAAAGCAGCCGGGAAGCTCCAACTGGGTGGAGCCCACCACAGCTCAAGGAGGCCTGCCTGCCTCTGTAGACTCCACCTCTGGGGGCAGGGCACAGACAGACAAAAAGACAGCAGTAACCTCTGCAGACTTAAATGTCCCTGTCTGACAGCTTTGAAGAGAGCAGTGGTTCTCCCAGCACGCAGCTGGAGATCTGAGAACGGGCAGACTGCCTCCTCAAGTGGGTCCCTGACCCCTGACCCCCGAGCAGGCTAACTGGGAGGCAACCCCAGCAGGGGCACACTGACACCTCACACGGCAGGGTATTCCAACAGACCTGCAGCTGAGGGTCCTGTCTGTTAGAAGGAAAACTAACGAACAGAAAGGACATCCACACCAAAAACCCATCTGTACATCACCATCATCAAAGACCAAAAGTAGATAAAACCACAAAGATGGGGAAAAAACAGAACAGAAAAACTGGAAACTCTAAAACGCAGAGCGCCTCTCCTCCTCCAAAGGAACGCAGTTCCTCACCAGCAACGGAACAAAGCTGGATGGAGAATGACTTTGACGAGGTGAGAGAAGAAGGCTTCAGACGATCAAATTACTCTGAGCTACGGGAGGACATTCAAACCAAAGGCAAAGAAGTTGAAAACTTTGAAAACAATTTAGAAGAATGTATAACTAGAATAACCAATACAGAGAAGTGCTTAAAGGAGCTGATGGAGCTGAAAAACCAAGGCTCGAGAATTACGTGAAGAATGCAGAAGTCTCAGGAGCCAATGCGATCAACTGGAAGAAAGGGTATCAGCAATGGAAGATGAAATGAATGAAATGAAGTGAGAAGGGAAGTTTAGAGAAAAAAGAATAAAAAGAAATGAGCAAAGCCTCCAAGAAATATGGGACTATGTGAAAAGACCAAATCTACGTCTGATTGGTGTACCTGAAAGTGATGGGGAGAATGGAAACAAGTTGGAAAACACTCTTCAGGATATTATCCAGGAGAACTTCCCCAACCTAGCAAGAAAGGCCAACATTCAAATTAAGGAAATACAGAGAAAACCACAAAGATAATCCTCGAGAAGAGCAACCCCAAGACACATAATTGTCAGATTCACCAAGGTTGAAATGAAGGAAAAAATGTTAAGGGCAGCTAGGGAGAAAGGTCAGTTTACCTACAAAGGGAAACCCATCAGACTAACAGCAGATCTTTCTGCAGAAACCCTACAAGCCAGAAGAGAGTGGGGGCCAATATTCAACATTCTTAAAGACAAGAATTTTCAACCCAGAATTTCATATCCAGACAAACTAAGCTTCATAAGTGAAGGAGAAATAAAATACTTTACAGACAAGCAAATGCTGAGAGATTTTGTCACCACCAGGCCTGCCCTAAAAGAGCTCCTGAAGGAACCGCTAAACATGGAAAGGAACAACCGGTACCAGCTGCTGCAAAATCATGCCAAAATGTAAAGACCATCGAGACTAGGAAGAAACTGCATCAACTAACGAGCAAAATCACCAGCTAACATCATAATGACAGGATCAAATTCACACATAACAATATTAACTTTAAATGTAAATGGACTAAATGCTCCAATTAAAAGACACAGACTGGCAAATTGGATAAAGAGTCAAGACCCATCAGTGTGTTGTATTCAGGAAACCCATCTCACGTGCAGAGACACACATAGGCTCAAAATAAAAGGATGGAGGAAGATCTACCAAGCAAATGGAAAACAAAAAAAGGCAGGGGTTGCAATCCTAGTCTCTGATAAAACAGACTTTAAACCAACAAAGATCAAAAGAGACAAAAAAGGCCATTACATAATGGTAAAGGGATCAATTCAACAAGAAGAGCTAACTATCCTAAATATATATGCACCCAATACAGGAGCACCCAGATTCATAAAGCAAGTCCTGAGTGACCTACAAAGAGACTTAGACTCCCACACATTAATAATGGGAGACTTTAACACCCCACTGTCAACATTAGACAGATCAACGAGACAGAAAGTCAACAAGGATACCCAGGAATTCAACTCAGCTCTGCACCAAGCGGACCTAATAGACATCTACAGAACTCTCCACCCCAAATCAACAGAATATACATTTTTTTCAGCACCACAACACACCTATTCCAAAATTGACCACATACTTGGAAGTAAAGCTCTCCTCAGCAAATGTAAAAGAACAGAGATTATAACAAACTATCTCTCAGACCACAGTGCAATCAAACTAGAACTCAGGATTAAGAATCTCACTTAAAACTGCTCAACTACATGGAAACTGAACAACCTGCTCCTAAATGACTACTGGATACATAACGAAATGAAGGCAGAAATAAAGATGTTCTTTGAAACCAACGAGAACAAAGACACCACATACCAGAATCTCTGGGACGCATTCAAAGCAGTGTGTAGAGGGAAATTTATAGCACTAAATGCCCACAAGAGAAAGCAGGAAAGATCCAAAATTGACACCCTAACATCACAATTAAAAGAACTAGAAAAGCAAGAGCAAACACATTCAAAAGCTAGCAGAAGGCAAGAAATAACTAAAATCAGAGCAGAACTGAAGGAAATAGAGACACAAAAAACCCTTCAAAAAATTAATGAATTCAGGAGCTGGTTTTTTGAAAGGATCAACAAAATTGATAGACCACTAGCAAGACTAATGAAGAAAAAAAGAGAGAAGAATCAAATAGACACAATAAAAAATGATAAAGGGGATATCACCACTGATCCCACAGAAATCCAAACTACCATCAGAGAATACTACAAACACGTCTATGCAAATAAACTAGAAAATCTAGAAGAAATGGATAAATTCCTCGACACATACACTCTCCCAAGAATAAACCAGGAAGAAGTTGAATCTCTGAATAGACCAATAACAGGAGCTGAAATTGTGGCAATAATCAATAGTTTACCAACCAAAAAGAGTACAGGACCAGATGGATTCACAGCCGAATTCTACCAGAGGTACAAGGAGGCGCTGGTACCATTCCTTCTGAAACTATTCCAATCAATAGAAAAAGAGGGAATCCTCCCTAACTCATTTTATGAGGCCAGCATCATTCTGATACCAAAGCCGGGCAGAGACACAACCAAAAAAGAGAATTTTAGACCAATACCCTTGATGAACATTGATGCAAAAATCCTCAATAAAATACTGGCAAACCGAATCCAGCAACACATCAAAAAGCTTATCCACGATGATCAAGTGGGCTTCATCCCTGGGATGCAAGGCTGGTTCAATATACGCAAATCAATAAATGTAATCCAGCATATAAACAGAGCCAAAGACAAAAACCACATGATTATCTCAATAGATGCAGAAAAAGCCTTTGACAAAATTCAACAACCCTTCATGCTAAAAACTCTCAATAAATTAGGTATTGATGGGACGTATTTCAAAATAATGAGAGCTATCTATGACAAACTCACAGCCAATATCATACTGAATGGGCAAAAACTGGAAGCATTCCCTTTGAAAACTGGCACAAGACAGGGATGCCCTCTCTCACCACTCCTATTCAACGTAGTGTTGGAAGTTCTGGCCAGGGCAATCAGGCAGGAGAAGGAAATAAAGGGTATTCAATTAGGAAAAGAGGAAGTCAAATTGTCCCTGTTTGCAGACGACATGATTGTATATCTAGAAAACCCCATCGTCTCAGCCCAAAATCTCCTTAAGCTGATAAGCAACTTCAGCAAAGTCTCAGGATACAAAATCAATGTACAAAAATCACAAGCATTCTTATACACCAACAACAGACAAACAGAGAGCCAAATCATGAGTGAACTCCCATTCACAATTGCTTCAAAGAGAATAAAATACCTAGGAATCCAACTTACAAGGGATGTGAAGGACCTCTTCAAGGAGAACTACAAACCACTGCTCAAGGAAATAAAAGAGGATACAAACAAATGGAAGAACATTCCATGCTCATGGGTAGGAAGAATCAATATTGTGAAAATGGCCATACTGCCCAAGGTAATTTACAGATTCAATGCCATCCCCATCAAGCTACCAATGACTTTCTTCACAGAATTGGAAAAAACTACTTTAAAGTTCATATGGAACCAAAAAAGAGCCCGCATCGCCAAGTCAATCCTAAGCCAAAAGAACAAAGCTGGAGGCATCACACTACCTGACTTCAAACTATACTACAAGGCTACAGTACCAAAACAGCATGGTACTGGTACCAAAACAGAGATATAGATGAATGGAACAGAACAGAGCCCTCAGAAATAACGCCACTTATCTACAACTATCTGATCTTTGACAAACCTGAGAAAAACAAGCAATGGGGAAGGATTCCCTATTTAATAAATGGTGCTGGGAAAACTGGCTAGCCATATGTAGAAAGCTGAAACTGGATCCCTTCCTTACACCTTATACAAAAATCAATTCAAGATGGATTAAAGACTTAAACGTTAGACCTAAAACCAAAAAAACCCTAGAAGAAAACCTAGGCATTACCATTCAGGACATAGGCATGGGCAAGGAGTTCATGTCCAGAACACCAAAAGCAATGGCAACAAAAGACAAAATTGACAAATGGGATCTAATTAAACTAAAGAGCTTCTGCACAGCAAAAGAAACTACCATCAGAGTGAACAGGCAACCTACAAAATGAGAGAAAATTTTCACAACCTACTCATCTGACAAAGGGCTAATATCCAGAATCTACAATGAACTCAAACAAATTTACAAGAAAAAAACAAACAACCCCATCAAAAAGTGGGCGAAGGACATGAACAGACACTTCTCAAAAGAAGACATTTATGCAGCCAAAAAACACATGAAAAAATGCTCATCATCACTGGCCATCAGAGAAATGCAAATCAAAACCACAATGAGATACCATCTCACACCAGTTAGAATGGCGATCATTAAATTGTCAGGAAACGACAGGTGCTGGAGAGGATGTGGAGAAATAGGAACACTTTTACACTGTTGGTGGGACTGTAAACTAGTTCAACCATTGTGGAAGTCAGTGTGGCTATTCCTCAGGGATCTAGAACTAGAAATACCATTTGACCCAGCCATCCCATTACTGGGTATATACCCAAAGGACTATAAATCATGCTGCTATAAAGACACATGCACACGTATGTTTATTGTGGCATTATTCACAATAGCAAAGACTTGGAACCAACCCAAATGTCCAACAATGACAGACTGGATTGCGAAAATGTGGCACATATACACCATGGAATACTATGCAGCCATAAAAAATGATGAGTTCATGTCCTTTGTAGGGACATGGATGAAATTGGAAATCATCATTCTCAGTAAACTATCGCAAGAACAAAAAACCAAACACCGCATATTCTCACTCATAGGTGGGAATTGAACAATGAGATCACATGGGCACAGGAAGGGGAATATCACACTCTGGGGACTGTTGTGGGGTGGGGGGAGGGGGGAGGGATAGCATTGGGAGATATACATAATGCTAGATGACGAGTTAGTAGGTGCAGCGCACCAGCATGGCACATGTATACATATGTAACTAACCTGCACAATGTGCACATGTACCCTAAAACTTAAAGTATATAAAAAAAATATCTGATCTCTCTTTCTTTCTTTCTCTCTCTCTCTCTCTCTCTCTCTCTGTCTGTCTCCCTCTCACCCCTTTCTTGTGTGTGTGATTTAAAATGAGTTGAACATTTAAAATTCTTTTTGGAAGAAAGAAAGAATTCATGCTCACAGGAGCTGTGCAGGAGAAGATAAAAGAATGTATAATAGAAAAAAATACATGCAAACACAAATGTATACACATACACAAAGAAAAAACATATTGTATTCAGTTCTGAGTGTCACTTCTTTAAAAAGCCACAGGTTATCTGGAATACACCAAGACAGAGAAAGGAAGCCAAGAAAACCAGTGGTTGAGAAACTGTCTTATGCAATACAGCTAAGGAAATTTCTAACTTGGTGAAGAGAAAAAAGCTTTCCTCTCTAAGAATCTAAAGATCTCGCAAGTAAAAGGAGGATTTAACTTCAAGGGTAAATCTTGGAGGACATATCAGGGATGTCAGTCTCAGTAAAGACTTTGTAAGTATGGTATTTCAAATGGGCTTTAATGGAATGGGCTGCTTTGTGAAATCACACCCACCTCAGCAAGAAATTGTTCAAATAGAAGTCCTCTGAGAGAAGAAGATCAGAATCCTGCATTGTGAAGGAGGAATAGACGGCCTCCCAGCTGAAAAGATTTTGCGTAGTCTGAGATGGCATTGACAAACACCCATGAAACTAAACCAGGTCCTCAGGACAGTCCTGACCAATTTTACACCTTTTCAGAGTGCTGCCATGACCATCTCTGTTGAATTTCCCTATTCTCTTTCATCTGTCATCATAATCCCACCAGGAACTTGAGTGAAATTGGAGGTTAAGGGAGAGAAAGGAGGGAGCAAGAGAGTTAAAATCAAACTAATTTTTAAAGAGAACTGGAATATTGTTCATTCAGTGAACATATGATTTGTTCCCTGTTGTAAATGAAAACTTATCAATTCCACAAGGACAAAACTATGACCTAATGAGGTCCAAAGAAGAAGAAAATATCTGGAAAGAAAAAGAAAACATTTCAAGCACTGGGAAGTTGAGCATGGGCTTAAGCCAACCAATCATGTCTTGCACTGGCTTCTGGAAGGGAACTATGGAATAATCTGGGAACTGGAGCCCTTACTCAGTTATGTACAAGAAACTATCCAAATCTAACTTCCAAATTTTGGCACACCTGAAATGGTTATGCTTTATTTTGATTTTGCAAAAATTACTCAATTTCTACAGTGGATGTGTTTGGAACACATCACAACCCTGATTGCCATTTTAGAGAGAAGCAGACACAACAGCAGCATGCATGGGATCACTGAAGACTACATCTTCAGTCAGTTATCTTGGCTTCATTCTGATTGTTTATGAGGATTAAACTTTGGAGCAATCCTAGATGAGTTATTCTCAAACTTTAGAGTGCACGAGAGTCACTCAGATGGCTTATTAAAACAGACTGCTGGGTCCAAATCCCAGACTTGCTGATTCAATAGGTCAAGGTGGTGCCCAATAATTTGCATTTGTCATAAGTTCCCACGTGATGCTGATGCTGCTGGTCTCAGAATCACATTTTAGAACCACTACCTAAGCTAAGCTAATGGCTATCCTCAGCTTTGGCTACATCTGCACTTAATTAAAAGATGGTGACCTCTTCCCCACATGCCACATCTATCCAGATGTTAACTTCATTATACAGGATTCATGCCTAGTGCCCTTTTGATTAAGCTGCCTCAGTGGACTCAACTAAGCATTTCCCATGAAGACCACCCAGCAATCTCAGAGGGTCTTAGGTCTTTTTATTTTTATTATTTTTTTTCAATTTGTTGTGCTATACAAGAGATAGACATTGGCACACACAACTTTACACAATTTGGGCCTTGGCTACTTTAAAATTTCCTTTCTCTATAGCACTTCATGGCTACAAAGATGTTCTTAGTGTCTTCTGTTAATGAGGTCCAGTTTTATAATTTTCAATGCAGCCTTTTTAGAACCAGGTCTCAGTTTGGGGATATCTATTCACTAGAATGACAGTATAATAAATCCCAGGTCTATTAACACAGAAGAAAAATGAAAAAAAAAAAAAAAGCAAAAATCTACTAAGAATTTGCTTAAAAATCAATGCTTACATAAATGTATGTGAAGACACTGAAAACAATTTCTCACTGTATCGGAAGCAGTCCAAAGAGCTAACCCAGCTAACTGAGAAAAAGAAAAACCCAGCCATATATTTTTAATTAGAATTATAATGTGCTTATTTTTATTGAATCCAAATCCAGAGATCAAATTATTATGAAGGTTTTATAAATTCTTCCAATTTGTAAATGTACCAATTTGATAACTGAAAGGAGATAAATTCCCTATAAAATAATATCCTTTTTTCTGAAGAAAAGAGTATAGTTTAATATATATTTAGATGATTAAGCAAGGATAGTGAGTTAAATGTCTGAACAACCAAATATTTGCACATCTGTACATACACAGAGTATGACTTAGCAAGTACTAATTCTTTAATCCAATGCTTTCATTTGGCCCTAATTTACTAAAGACACTTAGGGTAGAGATGATGAACAAAATCTGCTTCCACCATAGATGAGGTACTATTATTAAAAGTGCAAAAACTGAACACTGCACACCTACCTAATATACTTCTAATATGTGGGGAAGCATTTCAAAAACAACATAAGATTATTTATGTGTACCTTTAAAATTCAGCTAGGAAGTATTATCTTCAGTTTCATCAATATGTTGTTTTTTAAACACAATATCTTGCACGAGTAAATAATATATTATTTGAGTTCATTTCCAGACTGAAAACTGTTGAGTTGCTTTATAATTTTTACATTAGAACTCTCAGTATTGTCTTAAATAACAAATGTTGTGATGACAATTTTTTAACATATAATAGCTTAATGTTCATATAGTTTCTCGCACAGTTTCCTCTGAAGTCTATTTTTGAAGAGGAGTCAGTTTTCTAGAGACCCTTTTGGAAACTGTTGATGAGCGCTATGAAAACTCTAGCTATACTCTCCAATGACAGGGTCTGTTTTCCAATAATTAAACTTGAATTCTTTGCCATTAAGCATATGGAGAAAGAATAACATTTGTAGGCTGTGGTGTGGGTTTTTCCTCTTTGGCACCACAGAAGGTCACCAACTTCATTTTGTAATTAACCAACATAAGCAAGAAAGGACTGAGAGCAGAGAAGCTTGAAGAGATGGCTGTAAGAACAGCTGGAATAAAGCTGCATGCTGCCAAGTCTTTCAAGAAACAGACTAAGATAAAGTGAGAAATCCAAAGTGGAGTGATCAGCAACATTAATAAAATACTGAACTTGGCCCCTCTAAGGATTTCAATTTCTGAATCATCATCTCCAATCCAGATGTCACCATATGTCATCTTCTTTCTCTCTGAAAGGAGGAAAGACATCCAGAAACAGACAAAGACTAAAATAGCTAAAGAAAGAATATCAATCAGAACGAAAAAAATTTTCCCATAGAAAAACTCTACCTGCTTGTTTCCAAAGACAACTGGGCAATCCATGTACATCCTGTTAGTAGACAAGGGATCTGTATCATTTCCTGCATTCGAGAATTCTGGTTTTCTGGTACGAATTTAAACTGGGATATATACCACCACACCAGCCACCCAAAGTACAGAAACCACCTTCAAGGAATGCTTCTGTTGGTCCAGGCTTGGATTTACACCCAAGGGGTGGGCAATTTGGTAAAGCTTCCAGTGGTAAAGCAATGCAAAGTGTAACATGAAGCAGATGGCCAGTGAAGTTGTCAGGGCTGATGTAAAGCACAGAACTTTGCAGCCAGCTGAATCCAATATGATACCAGAAGAGTAAACAATTTTCATAACATTCACCACCAAGTTTTTAATAAGGTGGACAAAAATAAGATTGAAAATTAGAAGAAAGGATGTCTGTAAATGCCCAGTGATACATCTTCTTGTAGAATAAAACAAACGTGTTTCCCACGATGCTCATGAAGATTAGGATGGTACAAGTGATGATCTCAAGCACGTCTGCAGAGGGCTTCATGGTAAATGCCGAATTGTTATCTCAAATGTCTTTTTCTCTTCTGTTTGTCACTAGGCTTTTGGAATACTTTTAAGAGGTCTTTAGTGAGACAACCTGGATTTTTAAATAAATCCACTATGTTGATAAAATCATCAACTGATATCACCCTAACAGTTCAAAGTCTGTAACAGAATTCTGCTTGCTCCAGTGATGAGATGCTGAAAACAGAACTGCTTCCCAAAAGGATTCTATTTTGTCATCTCCAGGGACTTGATTATGATGAGAAAGTCCTAGGTATCATCACTTAATTAAAAGTTCTCAGAAATGTATTTACAGTACTGTAATACAATTTCCTATATACAGTATAATACAGTTTTCAAAAACTGTGATGGAGAGAATAAAATTAAATTTATGACACAAAAGAAAAGCCAGAGGTTGAAAGTACACCACTCCACTCATGGAAGAAAGTTAAAGTACGGGATGTCTCAATAACAATGAAGATTTCAAAATAACAAAATGACAAATTAAAAATGAGAGCAATAACATGACAGAGATTTATACAAGTAGAATGGTTTTCTAGTTTCTCTACAATTTTGCAAAGCAGAAGTACTATTGCCTGTTCTGATGATCTTGTAGGGATGTTAGAAATACAAAAGATGGTGGAAAATACTTCTGAAGGAAGTAAGGATGGTTATAAAGAAGGAAGGAAGAAGGGAGGGAGAGGGGGAAGGGAAAGAGGAGGGAGAAAAAGAAGACATCTTTATAAACATGGGGATTATGTCCACGAGCAAATATCTAAACTATTGGTGAAGGAAACATTCAAACAATTGAGAAGTGATTAGGGAGACTTTCCTTCCTACAGCACAAGAGGCTAGGGAAATATTTCTCTTCTAAGTATGACTGGAGAGTACAGAACAAGAAGAGAAAGATGGCATTGAGATACATTGCTCGAGTAATCTGGCATGAACTCACTTTCTGGATGAATCCAAGTATATTATAGTGATCCACTCTACGACAAACTATTTTCCCTCTACTGCATTTGCTTGTAGGTTTTGCTGTTGTCAATCATCCTGTCCTATACTATCAAAGCATAAGCTTTAGCCTGGCCCAGTGGTGTAATGGAGTGGCAACAACTTGAACAGCTGTGCACATCTCTTCCAAACTCTGTGTTCAGTGACTTTGTGTTAAGAGCTTACAATTGGCCATGCTGGGAGTATTTACACCATGGAAACTGGCAAATGTTGCAAATCATAGCTTTTTCGGAGGAGAGCTCTTTTAGAAACACAACATTGGCCTGACCAAAAAAATACAGATTAGAATAAGAAATTAGCTGATGTTTTATTTACATAAAGGTATGATCAGTATTTGGTATTGATCAGCCCTTTCAGGAAGGGTATGAAAAACTCCTAGTGCTGCATGTTAGATAAGAGGTTTATGGCTGTGGAAGCAGATGGGAAAGCTGGGCCACACAACCCTACTGTGGGGAGGTGGCAACTGGGGGCTGACAGTTTCTATTAACCCCCTTTCCCCTAATTGGCTACTAAGATAGTCAACTCAGAGTCCTCACACATTTTTCTTCTTTAAGAAACATCCATTATCAGTCAAATAGAAACCCCTGTGGTTCTAATAATAAAATAACCTAATAATAATGCTGCGTATTATTTATTTAACACCAACTTGAGCCAGCCACTGTGTTGGTGTTATTCTTTACAATTTTAATCTGATTTAATCTTTAATATCACTCTCACTTCACAGATGAGGAAATAGAAGTCCAGAGAGTAAAGCAGATTGCTCAAAGCTAATAATGATGACAGGAATCAAAGCCAGGTAGGACTGATTCCAAAACCACCAGTTCTCAGTCACTGCCTTTCCACACACGTCAGATTGCAGATTTCTGTTGACTTTTCTCAGTCTCCCTCTGATGATTTATAATTGGTACACCCAACATATAACACACTGAGAAGAGTTTCTTTGAGTTTATAATATACAAATCATGCAGGTTTTTGAATGGCAATTTGTCTTCTCCCTTCTCTTTCAGAGACAGTAATAAATATGGTTGTTTACACCTCTGTACCTCATAAAGACCTCCAAGCATTCTGTACACCAGCTCAAGATGACTTGCTTGAAATGGAAAAAGGCTGTTTTCAGCAGTAGTTAGCCCCTATACTGGCAGTGTGTAAGTAAAGGCACAATGACCACCTGAAGTAATTTTTTTTTTTTTTTTCTGAGATAAGGTCTTGCTCTGTTACCTAGGTTGGATAACAGAAATCTGATCAGAGTTGACTGCAACCTTGAATTCCTGGGCTCAAGTGATCCTCCCACTTCAGCCTCCCAAGTCACTGGGACTACAGGAGCATGTTCAGCCAATTTTTAATTTTTTTTGTAGAGACAGTGTCTCACTATGTTGCCCCGGCTGGTCTCAAACTCCTGGTCTCAAGTGATCCTCCTGCCTCAGCCTCCCAAGGCACAAAGATTATAGGCATGAGCCACCAGGCCCAGCCCCAAGCCTGAAGTAACTCTGTAGAGCAGTTTAAGAAAAACTCTAAACAGCAGGCAGCATATAGCCCACTTGAGTTTGAGATTCAGTTTTGGCATGATAAATTGAGAAATTGTCTAAGTGATGCTATTTCTCAAATTTCCACAAATAGTAACAATTTATAGCAAATAATACTGACTTTCTACATGCATGATAGGAAGAATAATTAGAAAAACATATTTTGCAAAACCAAAAAAAGCTTACATGAAACTTTGCAAACAATTAGCAAACATGTCATATGTTCCTTTACATTAGGATAAAAAGGACAAAAAATATGTGCCATTTTTTCCTTCAGGGTTATATCTAGACTAGAGAAACAGCACACATTAAAATATGAGGGGAACAAAGTTAATTTTTGTGAATATTTGCTTGACTGATGAATAATACTTTCTGTTGATAACTATGAAACAGAAGGATAAAGAGGTGCCTTCATAAGACTGCACTTAATTAGCTGTTTATTAAGAAGCAGTTGTGTGCTCAGCATGGCCTGGATTCTAAGGATGGTACACAGGGTGCAATTGTCCCATCCTTCCAGAGGCATATGATTTGTCAGTAAGAACACACTAAAGTACAATACATGTCATATATGTTACATTGTATTACATACATACATGTATAAGAAATATAAAATATATTTATATTTTAATAATTAATTAATATCAATAAATATCAATAAAAAGAATAATCCAATGTAATAAACTGCATGGCTATTGAGTACAAGAGCAAAATGTTCAGAGATGTGTGGGATCCATGTGGGCCATACTATTTTTTTTGAGCATACAGATTTTTTTGTTGATATATAATAGATGTATATATTTTGGAAACGTAATATTTTGATACCTGTGTACAATGTGTAATGATCAAATTGGAGTAACTGGGATATCCATCAACTCAAACATTTAATTTTTCTTAGTGTTGGGAACATTACAATTTTTCTCTTCTAGCTATTTTGAAATATACCATTCTATTTTTAATCTCCAGTTCACAGAAAAGGAAAGTGAAGCTTGGAAAAGTGAAACCACTTGCTCTAAGTGGCAGGAAGAGGTGGCGTTGAACCCCAGGGCTCTTGCATTCAAAAGCTCTTTTGGAAAGAGAAAAGGAAAAGTGCAGCTGACTGAACTGTGAAGCAAAGGAGCTAAGAAGCCTGGATGCCAACCCCAAGGGTCCTGAAGAGTCCCATTGAGGAGCTCCTTACAGCAGAAAGCCCATTTCTCAGAGGCACATACATGGTCCAGAGCCAAGAAGGTCCAGAAAGCAAGACTGCATCCTTCACCAAGGAAGGTGATTGTGATGTGGACACTTCAAGGGGGAACAAAAAAAAATCTTCCTTTGAAAACCTAACATTGGCTCTGCCAATTCAATTTCACCGAGGTCCTTTGAGAACTGAGTTCAAAGGTTCTCTACAGCTTCC
This sequence comes from Homo sapiens, assembly GCF_000001405.40. Classification (NCBI taxonomy): domain Eukaryota; kingdom Metazoa; phylum Chordata; class Mammalia; order Primates; family Hominidae; genus Homo; species Homo sapiens. The sequence continues at coordinate 122,369,585 of NC_000005.10, read as the reverse complement.
ATTTACTTTGGCATAAGATTTAACAGAAAAAGAATTAAGGGAGAATTTATATGGGCCAGGCTGTTTTCCAAATCTCAGACTGCTAAAAGTTATTTAGAATTTGCTTTAACTTGCAATCCTATGTAAAGTGGTTCAGATGTAAATGCTTTCCGTGTGGCCTGAGGCAATCTAGGTTTCCTCAAATGCACATGTGCCATTCGAATATTAAAGATTTTGATTGGAAATCTCAAAGTACATTGGGTTCCTCTTGATTAGAGACTGCTGTTACTTTATGCGACATTGGGTCAGAGGAGGAGAAATAAAACATACTGCCTTCATTTGGGCATTATATTCTCACAGTAGCTCTAACATAAACAAACTTCACAGGCTGAGAGAAGGGCATTTGCTCCTTTAAATTGAGTATGTAATGTAAATAAATGTCTTCTAAGAAAGGATGGCTGAAACTTGATTCTGAGTCTGAACCTATACAAGGGCACTAATTTATTTTAATGAAGATCAGTGTGGAGCATCTGTGGGAGTGCTTGCCTTCTTGAGATCAGAGCTGGTCTGACCAAAGACGATCCTTCACTGACTCAGAAAAATGCCGCTTGGAACTGATTAGTTCGCTGGCCGGGAGCAAACTGATATGTGCATTTTTATATAGGACAAAATGGAAGGAATTACCAAATCTCTTACTGTGTAATCAATGGCTGCCTACAGCTATTTTCAATTCTCTCTGAGGCAGTGATTTTGTGACCAGCCAGGGTAGGACTAAAAACCCCTAACCCCAAATTAAAAGTGAATGGAGAGAAACTTCAGGCTGGCTGGGGCCAGAGCAATTAAATGGTAATTGCCTTTTAGATATACTAATGTTGCTAATTATATTACTGTGCTAACTGCTGAGAAATGTGGATAAGAGCTCCAGGCCACTCTGATGGGAGAAAGGAGCTAAGATTTATTAAGCCTGGTGCTAAGCTGGATCCTTCAAATAAGTTATCTCCTGAAATCCTTATAATAACTCTGCAAGGTATCATTAGGTTCACTAAGGCTGAGTCGCTTGCTCAGTTAGTTCCAGCTGGTACATGACAGAGTCAGGAGTCCCACCAGGTTTGTGTGGCATGGGCTTGAGTAGAAATGGGGAGAAATGTGTGATTTCTGTATATACGAGGTTCAAAAACTGGAAATCTGGTAGCAGAGAAGGATGACAGAATTTGAAAATGAGGCCATGACGAAAAGTTCTGCAAGTACAAGGGCTTGGGAGGCACCTTTTCTTGTGTGTGGAAAGGAAGAGCCCCAGAATATAGGAGGCTGGGAGGGGAGGAGCTGCCATCATAGGAAAACTGACTCTATGGTACTCAGCGAAACCATTTACTACCTGGAACACTAGGGTATCCAAAGGAGGAGCCCCCAGACTATCTGAGGCTGAAAGTCCTAGGGAACCAGGAAGTAAAGTGAAGGGGACAGTGCCTATATACTTGCCACTCTCTAGGCCAATCTATCAGAATGACAAAGTCTGTTAATTGCAATGGCAAAGTCTGTTAGAGATGGCCCTACGACTCCAAAGTCAGAAGACTTGGGTTAAATCATGTATGAATTATGAAAGGTTTGGCAAGTCCTATTTGCTGTGTGTCTCAGGCTCCTAATGAGTTTCTCAGAGACCATAAAATATATATAGACCTATGTGTGTATGTATACACTTATATTTATATATGTGTGTTTGTATGTATATATATATATAATTTATGCACACACAGGTACGAGACAATCATGGGATTCAAATGAAACTCTGAGCCCAGTTTGAAGGATGCAGAGTGCTATACAACTGCTAGTTTTTGTTACTATTTATCTCCTAAAATCACACACACAGTAATACAGGCGCTTTCTGCTTGAAACGGGAAAGTGCTACCTGGGTTCTTTGCCAAGACTGGAATTCTGAATGCACTGTCTTTGCAGCATAAGTGCAGTTCCTTGGCAAACAGTTGTGGGAAATTCCCCCAAGTGTCTCCAGGCCTGACTCCAGCCCTGAGCCTCTTAGTCTCTATCTCTACTCTATCCTCTAAAGAAACTCATCTCTGGTTTTTGGAACCTGACCACATACATCCTCAAGTCTCACCAACCCTGCAAATGAAACCCATCCCAACTTTGGATTTCATCCCGTCTTTTCTCTCGTCTTATCCAAACTCTCAAAAGACACATCTACATTTACCATTGCTACTTTCTTGTCTTCCTTTTAGTTCCTAACCCAGCACAATTTAGTTTCTACTACTTTTTCCTCTGAAAATGATCTAGAATAAGATTATCTTCTATTACTAAATCCAATCACACCTGGACCTGTCTGATACTCTCTTTTTCTTTTAAGGCTTTACATTTGTTGCTCCCTATGGTCAAGTCTTGGTCCACTTCTCTTCTTACTCACCCACTAATACCTATGTGTACAGATTCCATCTGCTCCTGGATATCTCTGCTTGATGTCCCTTAGGCTCCCAACTCAAACTTAACCTTACTTGACAATACCATCAACCTCAGCTGAGGTGACAGACTTGGGTACCATCCCTGGATCCTCCCTCTCCCTCACCTGTACATCCAATCATCCTGTCAATTAAATTTTTATGTTTTCCATCCTTCCTACCATTTTCTTACTGCTGTTTCTCATTGTTTTTTGCTTGAATGAATTTGAGAAGGACAAGACGAAGGCAAATAAATTAGATTTTTGCTTCTAAAAAATAATTCTAGGAGTCTACACAACTGTCAAAGTGACCTAAAATACAAATATGGGCTTGCCACTTCCCTGTTGAAAACCTTTCAGAATTTTCCCACTGCCTACAGGGAAGATGGCCGCAACTCCGTTAAGTCACACGAAGCCTCTCATGTTGGGTGCCTGCCTACATTCAGCTCCTATCAATCTCTGACTCATACTGGAAACTTTATGACACAGACTGAGATTCTGTGCATATCTCATGCTGTTTCTTGTCCTGGTGCTTTGGCTTATGCTGATACCTCTGTATATGTCCTCCTTCTCTTATGACCACACCAAGCCATCCAACACCCAACCTTTGGCTTTTCACTTGCCAATGAATGGTGTGAACATTTGCCTATTTACTCTCAGATATATTCTCTCAGGAAATGATATTTCCTAGGCTCCTTTGCCAACTGACTGGCTTCCAGGTAAATCTGGCCAATGGCAGACTCAATCAGAAGACTGGAGGGCTTGGAGAAGGGACTTAGTCTTTCTCTGTCTCTCTTTCTCACATACACATACATACTCACCCTGCCACAGGCAGTGTCTTCTATGTCATCAGCTCCTGTAACTGTTCAGCAGCTGAACATCATTCCAGCTTTGCTAGTGGCCCTAACTTGTGGGTGGTAATAGACCTTTTCCCTTTGTCCTTTAAGCCCTAGGGGAGCTGGTGGCTTCCCTGCTTTTGCTAGTATCAAGATTGCCTTATCTTGCTTAGTTTGGTGGCTCAGCTCTTTCAGCATTGGAGTAACGAATTCTCTATTATAATTTTCCTCTGTATAAAATATTTAGAATGGTTTCTGTTTATGTTGACTTGACCCTGACTAATTCACTTGCTTGCCCTTTAAACTTATTTTTCAAAAACTCAGCTTAGGGGTTACTTAGGAAGTAACTCCTAAGGAAGCTTTTAAGTTTACACCTGACTTCAAGTCTAGGTTGTCTACCTGCCTCTTCCTCCGTGAAAAATTCCCCAGCAAATGACGCTCGACATACTTACCATGACTTCCTATTATTATCTGTCCATGCATCTGCATCCCGCCTGATGAGATCCTTTGGCTTGTTCACCATAACCCACAGTGCTCAGCACAGAGTTTGGCATAGACACACAAGAATATTTTGAATGAATGGAAAAGTATTAATGAATAAAACCATGAGACCAAACAGGGATCTTTCTTTTTCTTTTTTTTTATGGAGACAGGGTCTTACTCTGCCGCCCAGACTAGAGTGCAGTGGCGCAATCTTGGCTCACTGCAATCTCCGCCTCACAGGCTCAAGCGATTCTCCTGCCTCAGCCTCCCAAGTAGCTGGGATTACAGGCATGCGTCACCACGCCCAGCTAATTTTTGTAATTTTAGCACAGATGGGGTTTCACCATGTTGGCCAGGTTAGTCTCAAACTCCTGACCTCAAATGATCCACCTGCCTCGGCCTCCCACAGTGGTGGGATTACAGGTGTGAGCCACCACGCCTGGCCAGAGGGATCTTTCTATAAGAAGCCAAGTTTGGCTTAGCCGTAGACGGTATCCCACATTTTTTGCACTGGTACTATAGAAAAAGTCTTATCCCCAAACAAATCATGGCCTAATTATTTAAAAATAAACATAAGACATACGGCATTTTGGGGAAAAGCATATATCATAAAATTGGTCACGATTAATAAGGTTCATGGTTCCAAAGAGTCCAGACAGGGAATTAGGGAAAGCAAAAAGAAGATGGACATTTCACAGGAGTAAATAAGCTAAATGGGATTAAATAGGGGTCGGGGCATGGGGGCAACAAAGTAGACAGGAAGCCAAGGGGAAGAGAGATCACCAATACAGATGGCAGATTCTTTTGAGATTCATTTTATGTTCAAACTCTAGTCTTACCCAAATGTTTTGTATATGTCTCTTTTTAACAGTTATTCTTTTCTATGTTTTCTTTCACTGGAAAAAGGCACTGAGCAGTATATTTTAAAAATTTAGGATTATCTCTCACAATTGTATAGGTCTACAAATGTGGAAAAAAGAGATCTAGAAGGGCCCAGTGACTTGCCTATGGTCACACAGTTTTCTAATGGCATAGGTGGGGAGAAGACAGGTCTCCTGCATTGTTCTGTCTACATTTTTAAAATTTATTGAAATATAAAAAAAAGAAATAAAGAAAATGAAATTAATGAAAAAAAAATTTTTACATGAAAGCAACTTGGCCTCAAATTGGCTGTTGACTGCACCTTTGTATCAAAGCACGTAGTGCAAATGACTTCATTAGCATGACATTCATAAACATTGTTTTATTTTCATTATAAGCAGGCAAAGGATGTGGTGGTACAAATAACACATATGTCTTGAATATAATTTTCGAATATCCAGTTAAAGTCTTCCATCTATGTCAAATAGCTGAACAATAAAATGTTGAAAATTGGCTGGGCACAGTGGCTCACACCTGCAATCCTGTTAATGGGAAAGGAGTCCTGATCCAGACCCCAAGAGAGGGTTCTTGCATCTTGCAAAAGAAAGAATTCAGGGTGAGTCCATAAAGTGAAAGCACGTTTATTAAGAAAGTAAAGGAATAAAAAGAATGGCTACTCCACAGACAGCGCAGCCCTAAGGGCTGCTGGTTGCCCATTTTTATGGTTATTTCTTGATTATATGCTAAACAAAGGGTGAATTATTCATGCATCCCCTTTTCAGACTATATAGGGTAACTTCCTAAGCCCAGCAGGTCTCAGCCTCATTTAACTCAGCCCCTATTCAAGATGGAGTTGCTCTGGTTCAAACGCCTCTGACAATCCTAGCACTTTGGGAAGCTGAGGTGAGGATCACTTGAGGCCAGGAGTTCATGGACAGTCTGGGAAACATAGGAAGACCTCATCTTCACACACATAATATTCTTTTTTTAATTAGCCTGGTGTGGTGGAGGGCACCTGCAGTCTCAGCTACTTAGGAGGCTGAGGCAGGAGGATTGCTTGAACCCAGGAGTTTGAGACTGCAGTGAACTACGATTGCATAACTGCACTCCAGCCTGGGTGACAAAGCAAGACCCTGTCTCTAAAAATAAATAAATAAATAAATAAATAAATAAATAAATAAATAAATAAATAGTTGACAATAAATGCTTATTTTTTCAGATGCATTAAATGTAGTGTGTTTAAAAAATTTCCCATTTCCAAACTATTAAACCAACCAAGAGGGGGTTTTTTTTTTTAACTCCTTACCAGTGTCTAGCACTGTTCTAGGTGCTGTGGAAAATGGATACTTAGTTTTCCTACTTTATCCTCAATTCTTAAATCATGTTGGATCCTCAAATTAAACACACTTGTGTTTACATCTGTTCTACACCCATTTTCCCTTCTCCTGGGCCTCACTTTCCCAGGTAAGGTATGGCAAGGGGAGGCAATATCAACCATCAGGGCCATGGTCTATCCCAGTGACCTTACACAAGGCCTTAGGAGAAGGAGTTCTGCCAGTTGTAGACCAAGTCCCTTCCAGGGAGCAATGCCAACTGGTAGAACAGGCAAGAAAGACAACATGGATATGTGACCACTGGAATTACTGGCACTGAATGCAACCAAGTCAGTGAGAAAAATAGAAGCAGGCCCAGTGCAGTGGCTCATGCCTGTAATCTCAGCACTTTGGGAGACCGAGGCAGGCAGATCACCTGAGGTTGGGAGTTGGAGACCAGCCTGACCAACATGGAGAAATCCCATCTCTACCAAAAATACGACATTAGCCAGGCATGGTGGCGCATGCCTGTAAAAACAGCTACTTGGGAGACTGAGGCAAGAGAATCGCTTGATCCTGGGAGGTGGAAGTTGCAGTGAGTTGAGATTGTACCATTGCACTCCAGCCTGGGCACCAACAGCGAAACTCCATCTCAAAAAAAAAAAAAAAAAAAATAGAATTTATGATACCTGACCTGGAAACTCAATCTAATGTTTTAAGCATAGGTTCTTTAGGTTCTTTCCCTCTTGGCTATATTGTTTGTCTGGGACTTAAGCCCCTATGGAACTTTTCAGAGTCCAAGGTGAGGCTAGCTGGACCACATGTTGCTGTACTGTTTAATTCATTTGCATATGTTTGTTATCATTATCTTATCAAGGAGGGCACTGCCTAGGCCGCTGAATGTAGTTCACGCTCAGTTCAGCCTCAGTTGGACCCTCTGCTTCATTCCGTCAAACTCCAACTGAGTTCTTGGCTCACTCCACTCTCATTATCTAGTGAAGTGTAGACATTCTCCAGCTCCCTCCTCCAGCTAATCTGATTCTGTACTTGGTACTAGCATTCCTATGAGTTCTCCGACTTCAAACATTCCATTTCTACTGATAAGCCTTGAATTTTCCTTGTTCTTATCCACTACAATTCTCTTCACGTCAATACTGCAGAGTTCCTCTAGATAGCTCTGGTTTAACAGAGGAAAAATGTGGTTCTCCACTGTTATTCTTTCAATTTGCTCCATTCCTGGGGTCAGAAAACACTCAGATTCCTCAATCTCCAATGTTTCCTCTATGGTGAGCCATACTGATAATCTTTCTATTTCTTTGTACCTCAAAGGCAACAGTATCCATATTCATCTCACAGTCTTATGAAATTTCTACTCCATCACCTATTGCTCATAGGATTTTAAGAGGTGGGGACTCACTGTCCTTGTCTATAAAATAGGCACACTTTTATCTGAGGGCATTGTGAAGGTTAAATAAGATAATACAAGCAAAATCCTTAGAATAGTGACTGGAACAAAGTAAGTGCTCAACAGAGGGTTAGTTGTTATTGTTTTAATTACTATTCTCATTACAGAAGGACTCCACTATTTCAGTTAATTAGATAAGCAAAATTATTTGATGCAGGCAAATCAGTGATGATTAGGAAATTAGGATTCCACAGCTGGAATTTAAAACACTCACATATATTTCTTTCTGTTTTCTTGTCCCCAAACTGAATCTATCCCCTAGGAGTAGAAAATGGATCATTCTTTCATAATCATTACTGGCCAATTTTACAGATAGCTAAAAGCTGATTGTACTGATAAATGGTATGAAAGATTTTCCTGCTTTTTTCTATGTCTAGTTTGTCATTAGGAACTGATGATGTGACAGCAGAGGATCAAAAAATGTGGGTGGAAAGGCTGTTCTGGAAAATCTGGGGGATGGCGTGAGCAAACATGCTAGAAATGATCATGCTGGGACCTTTAAGGCATCGATGGAGCTCTTCATCAGAGGATGACAGTAACTCCACACAGCAAGGCCTGATTCTCCAGCCTCCCACAGTTTCAAGGTTACATAGGGATGTAAAATCATCATGACATGAAAATATTCATGAATTGGCTGTTTTTTAAAAAAACAGCTCCTTCAAACATCCCTGCTTACAAGTATCATCTCTTTGTATTCATTAAATCAACATGTTTGGAACCTTGCTGGTTGTGGAAGGTTTTAAACCTTCCTTTGATGCAACACAAACACAATGCAAGTAAGGTTAGAAGTGAAATTGCAAAGCTTGTGAGAGATGCAGGATTCACGAGGTCAGAGAAAGTGATGCTGAGTAAGTGAAACACACACCAGGCCACTAGAAAATTTGGAGCAGTAAATAACTTCAGAAAGATATCAGCAAAGATGGAGGTGTGACAGATACTTCATAAGAGTATGATCTGACTATCAAATGATAAAGACAGGTCTTTGGGTAAGCTGATAAAGCCCAAAGACTTTTTTTTTTTTTTTTTCAAAAATGACTATCTTTGATTATGTACTGTAAATTCAAACACAAAATAAAGGATGTAATGTAATATGAATGTAAAATTTTGCTGAAAGAACTGATTGCCAATTCATTTTTAAAAACTAACAAATTTTATAGAATATAGGTATTAATAGCCTTATTTTCATAATTCATTTAGTTTTTCAAGACAAGTTTCAATTAGGTGATTTTTTTTTCACTATTTACCATGAAACATGGTTCTAGTTTTTTGTGGCTTAACTTTTTAGTGTGTTTTTCCCCTCATCTCCTGATTATTCAGATAATGAGGACCTCTGGTATATATAATTATACTTTTTCTTATGGAGTATACCTAGAGACATTTCATGGAGAAATTACAAAATAAAATTTAGGTGCTAAGTGAATATGATCCAAAAAACCCAGAGTTCTCCTCTTCTACAAGTAGATTTCCAGCTACTGAATTTCATGATGCTAAACAGACAGTACTACTTTTTGAGCAACTACCCTGTGCCAGGTGGTTTTCACATGCCTAACATTTAAACCTTACAATTCTGCACAGTTGGTACAACTGCACCCATTTTAGAGACAGAAAAATGGAGACATAGGTTAAGTAACATTCATTAATTAAAGAGCAAGAACTGGTGAAGAAAAGATTATGATTCACATTGAACTCTAAGCCTAAAATCATTCCATCTTAAGCTGATGAGGTTATGTGGGGCTGGATGTTGGAGTTGGTCAGAACCATTGGTTTTCAGTTCAGTTGCTAATACAACCCTATTCATCACCAGCGTCCACAAGAAAGAAACTGAAATGTAGTTTCTGGGGCAGGCTGAGGAGCCAGTCAGGAAGACAGAAGATCCCCAGCTCCAACATGACATCAGGCATTCTATTCCATTGGTGCCACTATAGACATCTGAAGCACTTGCAAACATTCTTACATATTTGCTTGTTGTGGGATAATCTTTAGAGCAAAAAGGCTGGCCATGTTCCGAAACGTTTAGGAATACTTAGAGACAATGAGCCAAAAGCAATTCTGACATCAAAATGTTAACAAAATCCAAAAAAGAATGCTGGAAAAGTGGTTTCAGGTGCTCCCTGGAACAAGGTTTTTCTGCATGAAAGAGCCCTACCACAAGTGCTGATAATCAACTGTGACTGCATAAAGAGGTTCTTAAGCAGGTTCTTTGGTATTGCATGTTTCATATACAGGAATCCTTGCAGCATGAGATTCTCTCTGGAGGAGCTGAAGGCATTATTATTTGTGGCTAGCAATACATGTTAAAGAACAAGATTTTTATCTTTAAGCCTAGATTCATTAGCTGTCTATCATTCGGCTTTTGAAGACATATTATGCTTTACCTTTTCCAATAAAAATAAAATTAATACAACTTTCCATTAATAGCTATTATATTTCTCTCATAATGTATTATTAAATAAAACTGTTCACTAATTCATACGCTTTCTGGAGTGAGGCATAGTGAATCTGAAAATTATATTTGCTTTATTCAAAATTTCATGTTGTGGCCAGGTGTGGTGGCTCACACCTGTAATCCTAGCACTTTGGGAGTCCGAGGTGGGCAGATTGTGTGAGCTCAGGAGTTCGAGACCAGCCTGGGCAACATGGTGAAATGCTGTCTCTACTAAAAATACAAAAAATTTGCCAGGCGTGGTGGCACGTGCCCGTAGTCCCAGCTACTCAGAAGGCTGAGGCACAAGAATCATTTGAACCCAGGAGGCAGAGGTTCCAGTGAGCTGGTATCGCACCACTGAACTCCAGCCTGAGCGACAGAGCAAGACTCTGTCTCAAAATAAATAAATAAATAAATAAATAAATAAAAATAAAAATCTCATGTTTTTACTCAGGAAAATAAGACATCAGATATAAAACTTACTCAAAAATGTAAATACTATGACATTATTTTCATTGTTTTAATCTAATACATTTCTAGAATCTACACTTCAGAACATGATTTAGTATATTATTCTGGGCTTAAGTGATTTATCTGTCTTAAAATAAAAATGACATATTATTTCTGACAGAATTCTTATTTGAAGGTGATTTTCAAATCTACTTTATGAAATTTCTTATGTAAACAATTGTATATGAAGAATTGTTCTTTGAAAACCTTATATAAAGTATAAAGGCTCCAGATTATAATTTAAAACATTAGATTTAAGAAACCATTAAAAAGCTAAGAATCAAACTTATTTTTTAATCTATGTGATTTGTTTCAGGGAAGACACAAATTCTCAGCCCTGGATTACTTTACTTCTTATTACATATATTCAGAAGTTTCTCTGAGTTCAAAAGTTCATAGCAACAATTTATAAGGGTATTAGCTCTGAAGCAAGCGAGAGGGTGCTGCTTTTAATCAACACTCAGCTACAATCCTTACACAGCAGCAGACCTTGCCAATCCGGTATGATATAGGGTGCTGCAAGTTCAGACACTGTCAAGACACTTTTAAAAACTGTGGTTTTTCACAAGGTAAACTCAGGAAAATAGCGCCAATAACAACCCACAGTCATAAGCATGCCATGTTTCTAACTTTGGTAACTGTAAGCTTTAGTGAGTGTTAGCAAAAATCTTGTGCATACACAGTGGATACAGAGGAAGGAAAAGGGCTTATCATGCTAAAAGGAGACCAGGAAAAATGTGCCTTTCTCCCGGAAGTCAGATAAGAATTTTATTTGAATGATGGAGTCCCCAGAGTGAGGCTCTAAGGACACAAGGTGAACAATGGCAAACTCAAGGGCATTAGAAGGCATCCCATTACAATGATTAAATATTCCAAGTGTCCCCTTACAGGGCCTATTGTGGGGTGGGGGGAGGGGGGAGGGATAGCATTAGGAGATACACCTAATATAAATGACGAGTTAATGGGTGCAGCACACCAACATGGCACATGTATACATATGTAACAAACCTGCACGTTGTGCACATGTACCCTAGAACTTAAAGTATTTTATATATATATATATACACACACACACACACACACACACACACACACACACACACACACAAAGAAACAAATTTTTCTTTCTTTGATCCTGAAAATTAACTCTGTTTAGGGGTATGGAAGGTTTAAAGATGAATATTAAAGTGATGAGGGCAATTCTTCCTGAAAAATATAAGGCTCTTGTTCATTCATTCACTCATTCATTCATTCCACTCTTATTTACTGAGCACCACAGATCAGACATAGCTTCTGGACATTCAGCAGTGAATGAACCAAACAGGCTGTCTGCCCTCAGGGAACTCATATTTTAATACAGCATTGTCCAGCAGAACTTTCTGGCTTATGGAAATGTTCTGTATCTGTGCTGTCCAATGTGGTAGCAAGTAGCCACATGTGGCTACTGAGCATTTGAAATGTGGCTACTACAATCGAGGGACTGAATTTTAGTCTTTATTTCATCATTTTAATTTAATTAGCCACATGTGGCTAGTGGCTATTCTACAGAACAGCACAGTTCCATTGGATTAATCAGACCATGAACAAGTAAATAAGTACAAAAAATCCTTTCAGGACGAGAAAGGTACAATAAAGAAAAAAAAAAAAAAAGAAGGCTTGTCAGGAGGAATGGGAGAAGGGTGGGTCCTTTTAAATACGGTGGGTCAGGAAAGGCTTTTTTAAAAAGGTAACATTGGCTGAGCACGGTGGCTCATGCCTGTGATCTCAGCACTTTGGGAGTCTGAGGCGGGCCGATCACGAGGTCAAGATATCAAGACCATCCTGGCCAACATGGTGAAACCCTGTCTCTACTAAAAATACAAAAATTAGCTGGGCATGGTGGTGTGTGCCTGTAGTCCTAGCTACTCGGGAGGCTGAGGCAGGAGAATCGCTTGAACCCAGGAGGTGGAGGTTGTAGTGAGCCGAGATCACGCCACTGCACTCCAGCCTGGGAAACAGAGCAAGACTCTGTCTTGAAATAAATAAATAAATAAATAAAAATAAAGAGGTAACATTAGGGCAGACATACAATTGACAAAAGAAAGCAAGTCATGCAAAAATGTAGGGGAAGAAGATGACAGGTAGAGGATGCTGCAAGGGCAAAAGCATTAAGGTGGGAGTGACCTTAGCAGAGAAACAAGACAGGAAGGCCAGCAGACAGGAGACTGCGAGAGTATCAGGAGGCAGTCAGAGATACAAATATGCAGGGCTTTATGGCCCATGGAAAGGAGTTTGGAATTTACTGTGATGCACAGGGAAGCCAGTGAATGGTTTCAAGTAGAAGAGTATTGAGCTAACTTCGATTTAATAAGGTCAGACAGGAGCTAGGTAGAGATCAAACTAGAAGAGCAGAAACAGCAGCCAGTTAGGAGGGTGGTGCATCGGTCCAGGCCTGGTACTTCAGTGGCTTGTTTAGAGTAATACTAGCGGGCAGACTCAGGATGAGGGTAGAGCCAACAGGCTTTGGTGACAGATGACATGTGGTAAGCACATATGTGTATGTGAGGAAGGAAAGGGAGGCATTGAGGACAAGCCCAAGGTTAGTTGTAGAGCTTATTACAACAACAATGCCAGCAGGCACTGGGGAGGGACTGACCCTGGAACCAAGAGAAAGAAGGTGCTCAAATTCCCAGAGGCAGTCAAACCAGGAAAGCTCTTATAAATATGTTAGGAAGCATGGAGGTACATGTGTGTATATGTGTGAATGTATATAAATAAAATTTTAAGTAAAATGTGACCAATTAGTTCAGTCTCATCAAAAAAAATTTTAATTTATATAAACTGAGTAATGATCCTTTAAAAAGGAAGCTAATGACCAGGTATGGGGCTCATGCCTACATCCCAACACTTTGGGAGGCCAGGGCAGAAGGACTGCTTGAGCCTGTGAGTTCAAGACCAGCCTGAGCAATGTAGGGAGGCCTTGTCACTACAAAAATTATCCAGGTATGGTGGCAGGCACTTGTGGTCCCAGCTACTTGGAAGGCTGAGGTGGGAGGACTGCTTGAGCCCAGGAGGTTGAGGCTGCAATGAGCTGTGATCATTCATGCCACTGAGCTGTGATCATTCATGCCACTGTACTCCAGCCTGGGTGACAGAGTGAGACCCTGTCTCAAAAAAAAAAAAAAAAAAAAAAGAAAGGCTAACTCTTGCAACATTATATTATTGTCAACCTCACCTCAGTCAGTTATTAAATAAATCTACATATATTTAAACATGCATAAATGATACCTTCAGAAAAAGTTATTCTGAACCATAATCAAATGGTATCTAACAGGAGAGTTGGGGTATAGACCACCCAATTCCCTCACTATAAGTGCTGTTTTGAAGTGTTTAACCTCGGAGTTGACAACGTATTTCTTGACATGTCTGTTGGTGTGTTATGTGCAGAAAAGCCCAACAGGGGCTTCACAGATACAGTGTTGTCACTGCATGTACACATTTAACTTAAATTCAACTGTAACGAGATAAGGAGGAAAAAAGGAAAACAACTGGCATAGTGTGGGAAATTCTACTCCATTCCCCTCTGTGAGTCTAGGCCTGACAATGAACATGCGAGGGGAGATTCCATGGTATCAGGATCTTACCATGTGAGGTACTTTTCTGGTGTTAAAGAAACATACTTTTTCCTACAATATGGCCTTACCTCATCTGATGTTCAAAGACAACGAGAGGAAACACTGGCATGTTGAGTTTATGGGAAGGTGGATTTTATGGGCAATTTTATAGGTTTCTAAGGTCCTTCTGACTAGACACAATTTTTGCCTCACACCCGGGGTTTATCACCTAATTACCTTATAAGATGGGGGTTCATTATGTACCAACATTGGCATAGGATTGCTTCAGCTTTACTGAGAAGGGAAATCATGATCTTATATTACCATATTTTAGTTTGAAAGAACTTGAAAAAAACTCTCATGAGATATTTTGGGGAAGTCATCCTATATATGAAGGACATTAAAACAAACAAAAGAGAATATGCAAACTTCAAGAGATCTTAACCATTAATTTATATCCTCTGAAACATTGTTTTATACCTAAGTTGAATTTGTTATGTGTTTGTTTATATGACCTGTGGACATGCAATAGGAAAGTCTTTGCATGAAATTTGCTTACCTCTCTAGAAATGTTTACAGTAGGAGGCTAAACTCTTGAACAAAGAACACATGCACCCTCTCACACACAAAGTTTTTTATACTAAAGATTATATGATCTCAAAACCTAAACATTCTTTTGGAACATAAAACCAGACTTTATATCCTGGCACTTGCAGATTTGGGAGTGATGCCTAGAAAAACAAACATATTTTCTTTAATTAGTCCTAAAGGAAAAGAAATACAACTGGAAATTAATATTGTTGGTTTTGAAATGCAATACAAAATATGGCTCATATACTCCAAAGGAAATCTGAATTTGTACTATGCTTTAATATGAATAAAAAGTATAAAAATGAATAAAAGTCCAGTTGATCTACTTTAAAAGGGATGTTTCATTTACTGCTTTTGATTAGTTTGTGTTTTTGCTCATGTTTAAACTCCTACTAGGCTGATCATTGAAAATATCATATAACCCGAGTCACATAATATTAACATGATTACTTCACTATATATCTGCTCCAAGACAATCATTTCAGTCAGGGCAACTTTCCTTTAAATTGCCTTTGCTGAAAAGTTGCATAAACATCCCAGGCCAGTTAATTCTTTCCATGGGCTCTAAGCCTCATTGACATGCAGATGAGAGCCTGATCAAATGACAAGCCTGGGAGCCCAGTGATGTGAATGAGTCTACCCGCACAGAAATATTGGGCACTCTAGCCTGCAAGCCCAGAGGAGCACTCGCAAGAAATCTCTCTGCTTTCATCACAGCCTCTCTGGAAGACCAGTCTCTCATAAAGAATATTAGTCTACACTCAATTCTCAAAATATTTTTCCTTGAATACAATGAAACATGCAACAAGTAGAAGTAGGAAGGCAAGTCCAGTCTGTGCCTTAACAAAATGAAGTATCTGGTATTCTGAAATAGGAAGATTAATGTGAATCAAGGAAGTGTAAACTCAAATGTCTACTGAGTCCAGACAGGTCACGTAAATGTGTCAGCTGGAAGACTTGAATTCTAAACTGTGAGGTTAGAGTCTGGCTGGGTCAGTCTGGTTTCCAACTATATTCTGGCATCTGCTCCATGTCTGAGATGTGGCACATGCTCAATATACATGTATTAAGTAAGTTAATAAATGTTATCAACAAGTAGCTGTATAATTTGGGGCAATTCATCGTCTCTGGAGGAGCTCGCCTTTCTTCAGCCCTAACGTGGTGATTTGGTTAAACCTGTGGTTTTCATACTGGCTCACCCCTACCCCATTCTCATCTTGGGCCCTTTCTGCAATCCCTGCCGTATTAGTCCATTTTCACGCTGCTGATAAAGACATACCCGAGACTGGGAAGAAAAAGAGGTTTAATGGACTTACAGTTCCACTTGGCTAGGGAGGCCTCACAATTATGGCAGAAGGCAAGGAGGAGCAAGTCATGTCTTTCATGGATGGCGGGAAGCAAAGAGAGAGAGCTTGTGCAGGGGAAATCCTCTTTTTAAAATCATCAGATCTTGTGAGACTTATTCACTATCATGAGAATAGCACAAGAAAGACCCGCCCCCATGATTCAATTACCTCCCACTGGGTCCCTCCCATGACATGTGGGAATTGTGGGAGCTCCAATTCAAGATGAGATTTGGGTGGGGGCACAGCCAAACCATATCACCTGCTTTAACTACAGCAGTTGTCTTTTTTTTTTTTTTTTGCTTAATTATGTCATAACTTTTATTATGAAGCTTTTTCTGAAAAATATATAAATCATAATTATATAACGATGAATTTTTCACAAATTAAAGCCATCTCCCTTCTGCCCCATTTCAGTCACTGTCCTCCTACCCAATGTAGGTAATCACTATGCTGAATCCCAACACAATAGATTGGTTTGCCTTGTGGGTTTTATAGAAATGGAATCACATGGTATGTACACTTGTGCTGCCCACCTCCTTTTTTTGCTCAACATAATATTTGGAAGACTTATCCACACTGTTGTAATTTTTAATTCCTTCTGGCTCTAAAATTCTGCTGATGCCAAGTACTAACTCAACCAATAAGAAAAAGTACTTTTGAAAGTACCCAAGACAATGTAATTGGTCAGGTACTAGGCAGAACCACAAGCAGGTAGAGCCTACGCAATGTCATCTTTGTATGTACGTGTATCAAAGGATTTCCCAGGTAGAAGGGTTCTGTATCCACTGGCAATGAATAACTGAAAGCTGGTGATGATTCCAGGACTGTTCTAGGTAAAGTTCACCAGAGTCCATGCTTCTCGCTTCTTCTCTTTTTTATTCAAGTTTCTTGTAGAGATGAGGGTCTCACTGTGCTGCCTAGGCTGGTCTTGAATTCCCGCCCTCAAGCAATCCTCCTGCCTCAGCTTCCTAAATTGCTGGATCACAGGTGTGAGCCACCCCACCTGGCCATCCATGGTTGAAATGAATTGTTTGGTTAGAGCCATGTCATATTGACTATGGACAACCAAAAATTTACTGTAAAACAAGATGATTTCAAGTAGCCTGTAACTCATTTGCATGGAGATAACAAAAAATAGACATTTGTTGAATGAATGGACTAAGACAAGGAACATAAAGTTGTCTTCTGATATTGCATCATTTGCCCACAATTGATGAGTCTTTTTCTTGGCTTGTAACAGAGGATTAAGGAGGCTGATTCTTTTCAAAAGGTTCATACTAAGCACATTTGTACTTCAGTAAAAGAAGTAGAAAACTCAGTAAATCAGAGAAGATAACTTAGCCAAAGGAGTGAATTTTAACCCTATTAATGAGAGCCCAATAGAAACTCTAATAATATAAGAAAAGCTGTCAAACCTATGGACATTTCTAAAAAGAAGGCTTAATAAAAACATATTCTTTTAAAAATCACGGGAAACTTTGTAACAAATGACCTTTGAGACTTTTAGGCAAGCAGTGGTGTCATCTTTTTTGATGACAATGTAGAACTGATAACACAAGAACTCGTTTTTCCGGGAGTGTCTGGGTGACATCTGATAAGGGGAGCAGAAACAAAAAGATAAGTAACTTTCACTAAAAATACCTGATTTACCAATTTAATACATTTGTGATAACATAATTAACAAACACTGAGCATCCAAGATTTTGAAAATTGCTCTTTGCTGATCATTCATAAGCCTTGTTGCTTTAAACAGAGTAATTAGATGAACCAGATGTGGCCTGCCTCCTAGAGGGTATCAGTGGGTGAGATCAGATCATCCTGCTTTTTTGGAAAACAAGAGGTCATCATCACTGACAAACCCCTCCTCCTAAGCAAAGCCATCATCTGGTCTCCTGACATACAGCTGAAATACTGTATACAAACTCATTTGGTTTGGGTTAGAGTTGGCTAAATTTGCTAAGCAGCCAGCCTTCCCCGATGAGGTCAGCACAAACATCCAAGTTACAGCTGGGTCCAAACACAGACAGAAGATGTTGCATGCTGCTGACCACTGTCTTTGTTCAGGCTTGTCTGGGTCCTAATGACATTAAATGCAAAACAAAAAAAGCTGCTCAGTGACTATGCTATGTACACAACCACTACAGAAAGAATAACATGTCTTTAATTAGTTCTTTTTTTTTTTTTTTTTTTTTTTTTTTTTTGATACAGAGTCTCACTCTGTTGCCCAGGCTGGAGTGCAATGGCATGATCTCGGCTCACCGCAACCTCTGCCTCCTGGGTTCAAGCAATTCCTTTGCCTCAGCTTCGCAAGTAGCTGGGATTACAGGTGCATGCCACCATGCCTGACTAATTTTTGTATTTTTAGTAGAGATGGTGTTTCGCCATGTTGGCCAGGCTGGTCTCAAACCCCTGACCTCAAGTGATCTGCCTGCCTTGGCCTCCCAAAATGCTAGAATTACAGATGTGAGCGACCGCGCCTGGCCAGTTCACATTTTAAATTTTCTTCTGCAATCAAATAAGCACATCTATTAATGAGGGAAAGAAGATGTAAAATAAAACGAGAAGATATCACAAAGCAGAATTTAGACAAGGTAGAAAAAGCATGAAAAAGGGTAACACTTTTATATTTGAGAGAACATAAACTAAATATGCTGAATCAATAGAAAAATGTTGGAGGCATAGCAGAGTAATATGAGATCTGGGTCATAGTAATTGATGTGCTAGACACATATTTAATATTTCTAACAATGATCTTTAGGATTAAGGAAAGTCAAGAGCACTCAACACTATCAGCAAGAATGCACTGAATGTCTTAGCCCTTATATGGTCTTTGGTGTTCCGGCTTCTGCTAAGCCTCCTTCCAAAGAAATCTCGTAGTATCACTCCTGTCTATTCTCACTTCATCATGAACACTCTGATCTCTCTGTACCTTTCTTTCATTCCATCTTCCCATTTGAGGCCCAACTTTTGGTCAGGCTTGCTGCAAAGCAGCCTGCAGGCAGTTTTGAGACCTGTCTCATGATCCTACCACACACGTTCTGTGACCTCCAGGCTTCATGCCCATATAAGCACAAAAAAGAAAAATAAGATGATTGTTGCATCAAAACGCTTGGAAGTAAGGTTGGTCAGTAATGAGTTGTGAGTCAGAGTCTGAGCTAAAAAACAGGAAAACAATTTATAAGACTTCCCCAGTAATCAACATTGATTAAAAAAAAAAAACAAACAAAAAATCCTTACTCCTTGTAAACCCTTTGTAAGGGTTTTGTGTACAAAAAGAATGCACAAATCTGAACTATAATATCTATTTAGTATACACTAAAATATACTATTGTATACTGAAATAAAATAATAATACTAAAAAATTATGTCATCTTAAAATAGTCCATTACTGGAATCAAATTCTGGGAAACTGAATTAAGATAGAATAAATTATCTTCTTATATTTGGATGGTACTTAATCACCTCTGATGCTTCTTTCCTCTGAATATAAAGATCAGCAACGTATTTATGTATTTACAAATCTTTTTAGCTGGGATGGACCCTCGAATTCAGCGATTACCATGCTTAACGTATTCCAAATGTAGAAATGGGACAAGACCAAGAAAATGCAATTCTTGAAATAAATTTGTATAAACTTTTATTACAGTTAAATGAAACTTTGAGATTCTTCCCACCATTATGTCCTTTTCCATTATTCCCTAACTTCATAAGAACTTGCTGGGTGTCTATCTAATATGAACAAATCATAATAGGGAAGAATACAACACAGCTGCTCTTTACAAAGGATATTTGGCTGATGGGGGAGCAAAGGGCTGTGGAAGTCCAGAGGTGGTCTTCAGACTTGCCAGGAGAGACTGTGATAGAGATAAGTAGTCTCTGCCACAGGCAGAGAAGAGCCCCATCAAAACATCATGGCCCGATGAAGCACCACAGCATAGGAAATAAAGACTATATTTGTGTGGCTAGAGTAGGATGCACAATGGGATGAAACAGCAGAGGGATCAGAAAGCATGAGGTCTTTTGACTTTGCTGAGGTTCTGCCTGCCAGATCTTCAACCTCTCAGAAACACAAACACTATGATAATTACTCCAAAGACAGGAAATAGCAGAAAAAGCAAATGGAAGAAATACCTAGTGTGGAGTATAGAAATTAGTTATCTTAAGAATTTTCTCTTTCTTCTTAATAAAAATCTAATTTTCTGTCATTTTAAAAGTTGATTTATATAAGGGAAATCCTTGAAAGTTTCTATGTATTAAAACAGTGTGGGTAGGAAGCAAATCATATCTATATTCATTTCGTTAGTTGGAAAGCTTGCTGGAAGTTGTAATACCCTTTAGAGGTATTATCAGTGGTAGTCATTAGAATCTCCTGGGAAGCTTTAAACAACAGTTCATATCAAGCTCTACCTCCTACCTCTCTACAGCCCTGGGATTTTGATTTAATTTTTCTGGGGTGGGAACTGGGCATCTGTATTTAAAAACACTCCTCAGGCAATTTTAATGTGTAACCAGAGTTGAGGATCATCGCGTTCCAAAAATATTCTGAAAAGACGCAAATAAATAATTTGTGGTTTAAACGAAGGAATCAACTGAGGCATATTCTATTCCTAATTAATTGTGATAGAAAATTCAGAGTGGTGGCTTTATTCCAGAGGCTTTCATTATCAGAGAATAATTGGTAACAGAAAAGGGTCAATCTACTTTTTCACAGAAATAGTGACAAAGATCACATTGGAATATTATCTTAAATGACTTTCATTAAAAATTATATCACAAGGAACAAAGTTTAAACTATAATTTAAGCTATGAACTAGATTAAAGACCAAATCAATTGTTGATTTTTCAGGACGTATTTTTTTTGTACAAAACTTTACAACAGTGCAGCTTAAACTAGACCTGTTATGGCAGAAATACTCAAAAACGTCATCAATTTTCCAGATATTTTCTCATCTTTTGATTCTGACATAGTTCTTATGTGAAACATCTTATGTCCTCATCCATTTTTGTTCTCTAATTTTCAATTGTTCATTGGTCCAATTCTGCTGGCTTCTCATTTGTCAATGGGTTTATATGTGACTCAGGCAATTTTTCAACATCAATTTCTTGGCATTAAAGAATACTTATAATCAATTTCCTTTGTTATATGGGTTGTATGTACACTATGCATAGCATTTTTACTGCATTAAATTGTTATAAGCATCTTATAATCAGCCCCAAACTGATGAACAGAAACATTAACTTGATAGGGTTTTAGAAGACTACTTTTATAACTAGTCATTTCATCAGTGAATATGTTCCTCTTCTGACAACTCCATTGTAACTGATCTGTGGGGACTCAGACGATGAGGGCAGGGACCTTTTACCATCCCACTATTCAAGAACATGAAGGTAATAAGCAATATAAATTGCCTATACCATAATTCCACACAGTGAAAGCTATTTTATATGTCTTTTTTCCTTTAATGAGTTAAGATATCTTAATAAAAAAGAATAAACTTTATTTCTAGGTTTCCCATTCCTTTAACTAATATATAAAAAATACTTGGGAACTGAACATTTTCAAGTTGTATCCCAATTGTTACGAAAATTGGAATGAAAGGCATATGTCCTTTGAAATCTGTAATAATGGATGGGGGAATCCCAATGCTTTGAGGAAAATTGAAATATATTCAGTATTTGTCAACATTTCTATCATTTTTAAGAAAAACCATTACTGACTTAAGATGTAACAACAAACTATCTATACGTTGGCTTGCTCATAACATGCTTGGTACTGTTGGATATTCAAAGGCCAACAAAAAAATGGGAAATAAAAAGGGAAACACTTTTAGCTTATTTTTTTTAAAAAGAAAATCGTTATCAGGGGAAAAATCAGAATGAATGTTTCCCAAATTCAACTTTGCCTTCTTTTGCAGAACTTCATGGTCCTATGTTAGGTGAAAAAACAATATACTTCTTTTTATAATTTCTAAAAATAAGATACAAACAGAACTGTTTGAATAAGGTGTCCATTATACCAAGGTGTCATGTCACATGCATTATTTTAGTTGAAAATGAAAAGAATTTCTAGAAATTGAAAACTTAATTAGAACGGAGACAAAGTAAGATCAATATGGATATATATTTTTTCCAATTGAGGGTATCTACTCATAGGTGGAAGTGTCAATGACTTTCAAATCATGAAACAGAACCATTGTTACATGGCTATGCTTATGATTTTAGCATGCTGTACACATGTGCCCACATGAATACACATAGAAAAACACTCACACACTATTGTTATCTTTGCAGTCTGGCCTCAAGCACAGAGGCCTGTCAAGAGAAGAAAAAAAAAAAAAAAAGGAAAGAAATCACTCCCTAAAGCACTCCTACAACCGGTCAAAAAAAGAAGAGCTGGTAAACAGATGTTCTTTGTGGTAAAGATGTTATGACCATCACTTTATCCTAGCAAGCTTTAAAAAGTGTTTCTCACATAGACCTTCCAGAAAGCTGTAATATATTATAGATGATAAAGAATTCACAGTCTATCCTTTCAAACAATTTGTGGGTAAAATAAAGTCAGGCAAATAACACTGGATTCTTGAAGGTTCTACTGAAGCACATGTTTTTTGTTCCAGTTACATTAAAACATTGAATTATCTTTAATCTAATGATAAAGATTAGCTCACTCACATCTGGAAATCACTCCTAGAAAGCTTGCCTCAACGATGTTTTAATTATTTGGTAATATAATTAATGTGATTGGAAAAATCCCTACACAATCCATTGACAATTGCTTTCATTATATCTATAATTGTATCCATATCATTAATCTCTCTTAGAACGTCACAGTTTAAATATGTCAGTAGTCAAAATTATTACTTTTATGTGGCTACCAAAAGGTCTGAAAACAGACTTTTTGGCTTAATACTACTATGGATCCAAAATGTCAAAAGACTTGCAACTAGATCATTTCAACCCTACTTTCATTTACCCAAATTCCAATAAATCATCAGAAATGAATTCAAGAGTCCTATTATTCAATGACTAGAAGGAAGATATATACTAAGTGTCTACCGATTTAGCTGTCTAGCTTATCCCTAATTTTACAGCTCTAAAATTCTATTAGTCTACAAATCTATTCTTTGCAATAGACAGGATCTAACTGGATTTATTGGTAAAACTGTCTTCTCCTTGAATAAAGAGAAAAGAGGAAGTTTTATTTCGCTTTTGCAAAAAGCATCAGCTATTTGAGACAAGCTCTACTCCCTCACTGCTAACATTGGAATCCTACTTTTAACCTCATTTAGTGATGTTAATATACTTAGAAAATATAGAGCCACACAGAGCAAATCACAGGATAAAGCAAATACATTTTTGAGTTTTTTAAAAAAGTCCCCAAGAGAAGGAATTCTAAGGAATAATAAAAATACTATTAGCTGAACCATGTAAGGTAAGCCATTCTTTTGGGTCTCCATGAGCATAATTTATTTCAATTGCTAACACTTCCAGGAAGATCTGTGGCTACGGCCTGGCTGCACTGGACCTTTTCAAGTAAGAAAATCATTAGAGGGCATGCTTTCCTGGAATGCAGGGCCAGGTCATATTTATCTTTGTATCCCTCCATATCACCTATTATATGTTTTGCACTTACTGGAAAGTTAATATGTCTATTAATTGAACAAAATGTTCTACCAGATAGAATTTCCATAATTGGCAGCCCTCTCCTCTTTTCCCTCTTTCTTTGTTCCCTGTCACCTTCACTCATCCCATCATCATTATAAAACTATACCAAAAAATCCTGAAGGCTGGGCACAGTGGCTCACAACTGTAATCCCAACACTTTGGGAGGTTAAGTTAGGAGGGTTGCTCGAAGTCAGGTGTTCAAGACCAGCCTGGGAAACAAAGCGAGACCCTATCTCTTAAAAAAAAATGTCAGGCACGGTGGCACACATCTGTAGTCCTAGGCACTTGGGAGGCTAAGGCAGGAGGATCACTTGAGCCCATGAGTTAAAGGTTGCAGTGAACCATGACTGTGTTGTCTCTAAAACAACAACAACAACAACAAATCCCCTGACTCCGGGTGTTGAGCAATGTTGGAGTCCAGGAGGGATAAAATATGGCCATATTATACCATAAACGGAGGATGGGAATAATGCTGTACAGAGATCATGGGAGTTGGGGTTTCAGGCAGGATCCATCGCTGATGCACTGTGAGACTGGGGGAGGCAACTCCTCTCCAAGCCACAGCCAACAAAGAACTGGGATAGAATATTCACTTTAGTTCTTCCATTTCTTTAAGTAATCTGTAATAAACAGGTGCCCAATCCATAGCCCTAGGATTGCTCTAGCCTCTTTAGGACTTTTTATATATCCCAGGAAGTAGGTATGGGGAAAGGAAAAACAAAAACAAATCCATTATTTTTACTAACTATTTTGACTGTATGTTTAAAAGTAAGAAATAGGTTCTTTGAAAGAGCTAAATAGGCATTATAATTAAGAAACACATGAGGGCATTCCAATAAACCAATAACAAAAAATTTGATACAACATTTTTTAAAAGATAAGTTGTCATAGCCCTTTTGTTGACAATACTAGTGAATTCTGGCATCTGCCCATGACCAGGATGTGATTCTTGTCATATAAAATTTCAGTGGTGGTCAGTACACGGCCTGAAGAGGCTGCATTCTCTACCTTGTTGGGACACATGTTCTTAATTTTTCAAGACCAGAACACATTTGGTAGAATGTGTATCTTTATTATTTGCTCAGCTTACAGCATTTCAGCCCAAATATTTCTGGACTTTATAACTAAGCTAAGAATTTTGTGTTCTATTTTCATGATGAAATTCATATTTCCTATTAAAGGCAACTACTTCAGTTCAAATTATTGAGGATAATGGCACTTAAATACATGTAACTGGTTAAATTTGGGGAGCTGAAAAAATAAGTATAAATCAAGAAAGATTTGAAAATATATAATACAAATTTTAAACTCTGAATGGATAAATTGTTACTTACTTGAAATTCAAAACTCTCAATTGTTAGCTCTGAAACTCAAAACAGCATTCAAAGGAATATTGTGCTTAACCCTCCTTACCTTCCAGTGAAACTACCCAATGTAGACTTTTGCTTATTGATGTATTTTGAGTGACTGACTGCATAAGAAATGTTGGTATTTCCTACTGTTTTCTCACTTCATGCATCATCTGAGCTTTCTCTCCTCATTTCCTTGTAGCTCAAAGCCCTCTCCTCTCTGAAGGCATTGTTTGCTTGACATGAAAAATAGACCAGCAAAACTAATTATATAAAATGAGGGAAAAGCCTAAATCTCAATTATGGATTGATTAATTAATTATAAAACCATTAAGTAGAATGATTATACTTTAAGCCATCCTTCTTCAATAAAAATTATTTCAACTATTTATTTTCAGCTATGTTTGTGATCTTTAATATCCTCAATCTATCTTTTTACAGCAAGTGTCTCTAAATAATTGACTCATTTAGTCAACAATTACTCATGGATTCAAATTATGTGGCAGGCATTGATCTGTGTTCTGGGGTAATAGCACTAAAGAAAAAATGTCCCGCTTTCATGAAGCTTACATTTTAGCGGAGGAGGAGAACAATAAACAATTCAATATGAATTTCAGGTGGAGATGGGGGCTAGGAGGACAAATTGAGTAAAGTAAGTGAGAGAGACAGTCACAGGGTTGTAATATTTTTGAATACAGTAGCCGTGGAAGGCATGGTACCCTTGGGCAGAAGTATCTGAAAAAAAGAAAAAGAAAAAATAAATTCAACTTGGCCTTAGACCTCAGCCACATTCTCCACTTCAACTTGACCATCAACAGAGCTAATGTTTTGATGTCTAACTGGTTTCTCATCTTGTTAAGACAAGAACTGGTTCTCAGCCAGAGGTGACTATGCCCCTAAGGGACACTGGGCACTGTCTGAAGACATTTTTGGCAATGACAACTGAGTAAGAAGTTGCTACTCACATCTAATGTGTAGAAGCCAGAGATACTGAAAAGTATTCTACAGTGCACAGAGATCAACAAACAACCCGATCCAAAGGGTCAGTAGGACCGAGGTCAAGAAACCCTGCCATAGCGATTGAGGTATATAACCGGCTTTTCTAAAACCCTCAGAGAAAACATATATGACAGAGTCTCATCGTTTGAGCATCTATGCATAGCAGTGATGATTCATTTACAAAACATTCTCAGTGATCCATGAAAGCAAGATATAATTATTATATTTCATTATTTCAGTTTTAAGAAAAACTGCTTACATATAAAAGGCATACTGATGTTGTTTCAAATATCCTATAGTTAAAATAAGAGCTAATCTGAACAATCTCCAGTTCTAATTATTAAAATTTTCAAAATGAGATCCAACTCAAATGATGTGTTGTTACTTGAATAAAAGATTTCAGGCAGTAACGACTATTAGGAAAGATGGGAGGTGAGGGGGAAACATGAGAAAACGACTTAATGGGCAACAGTTCAGCTCCACGAGCAAATATTTAGCTATCCACAACTAAGAAGTAAGCAGAAAAGAGGTAGTTGATTTAGCTTGAGAACTAAATTCCTAAGTTGGTTTCAGCATTCAGATGTTCAGTTTGTACTTGTGCCATTGGAAAATCTGGTTGGTATGAGGACTTCTATGACTTTAACTCATGAACATATTTGCCAAAACTATTTTAAGGTGCCATCTACCCTGGCATTTCTTCCAAAACAAGTGTAATCACTTATTTAAGAGGAAAGGAAGAAAAAGACATTCTATTTTGTTTCTTATGTAAGGCAAATATGAAGATAGCATTTCATATATCAATTGCAGATATCTTTTACAAACCATGCATAAGATAAGAATAACATATCCTAAACATTCTGCCACTGGAAAAATAGCAATGCCTTCTTATCCCACTGTCACCATGAAAACGAGTGACAAAAAAGGAAGCTAAGGTTAAGGTTATGGAATGCATCATACATACTGGTGAGTGAGGCAGATAGCTGGTGCAGGGGACACAGGGCTGTGTTTAGGACATGGGCTTTGGAGCCAGACTCGGGCCTTTAACCACCAGTTACCTGAAGAATAACATAGGCAAGTTCCTTACCCTCCCTATAAGCCTGTTTCTTCATCTGTAAATTGGGGATAATGGTCATTAAAAGTTGCCTAGAACTTCCTTGAGGGCTAAATGACACAACGTCTGAAAACACCCTCACTTCATCATAGGAGTCAACCATGGCTGACAGCTATTAAGTGGCATGTGGATGGAAATGGTCTGTGTTTTCTTTAGTTTACAAATCCACATCCAGTGATGTGAATCATGGTGGAGACGCCAGATCTCTGCTTGCAGGAGGCCCCAGGAAGCCTGCAGTGGTAATTCCTGTGGACATTCCCTGAGGACCCGTGCCCTGGGAGCAGTGACTCCATGGGATAAACGGAGTTGCTGGTTCCACTCTTCCATTCCCCAAACTGCTCAGCTCAGTCCTCCAGTTTCTATGCTTTGACCTAAGTACTCGGGTGACAAGACAACAGTGAATAGGCCATTGAGGAGAAGAGTAGAAGAGGAAGAAGGGAGAAACCAAAAAATTGCAATTTTGGGTGTAATAATGCTGATGCTTAGCAACCAATAGTCTGACCAGTGAGAGAATGGGCAGCTGATGGGCAAACAGCTAAAATCGAAAAAATCCTTGTGTGTCATCATTCACAGAAGTGTTAGTTCCACCCTCTTAGAGGGGGATGTGGCTTGAAGGAAGCAAGCATATTTTATATAAATTTGCTGCAGAAACTGCCTTTATTTTATATTCCTTTAACTTCATTCAGATTCCATGACATAATCAAGAAGTGGATTTGTGAGAGACAAAGGATTTTGGAAGCATCTAAATTCGGGATGGAGTATTGTTTTTTAAGTACTAGCTGCTCCCACCACATCCCAAGAATCTCCTCCTATCCAACATTTGCAGGGTACTAGGGGTGGATTTTACATGGTTGGAGCCTGCTCAAAACAACGGCGTTTCCTACAGATCCCCAAGAGATGAAGGCTCTACTGCTCTTTTGAGGAGGCACTGAAGGGGCCAGTGAAGGGCGGCATGGAAAATCATACTGTTTTCCAAATAAAAGGGCAAAATAAACTGGAGGTTCTCTGTACTTGTCTGAATTTAGGCAAAGTTCATTTAAAGCCTGGGATTGGGTTAATTTTCGAAGGATTAAACCTGAATCTTTAAGCGGGTTTGCCTTTTTAATACGCTAAAACAGATGAAAGGCTTACCAAACTGGGAAATATATTGTTCCCTTTGGTGAATGTAACACAAAACTATAGAAAATGAATATTGACATGAATAATGTTGATTTTTATATTTCAGAGTGTGCACTTCCGATTTTTATGTATTTGTTAGAAAATACCAATGACTAAAGTAGCTGATTCATTTAACTGACCACAGGGCTTTACCCTGACATCTGAAAACAACTTAAGTTTCAAAATCTTTGCTGAAGCCAGGGAATTGAGACTGTTCAACCTGTAAGCTCTGTATACTTCTCTTTCAACACTTTAAAAACGTGCCCTGTCAATTTTAAGAAAGACAAGGTGCTGATTATCCTCGCTGGTTAGCCAAGACATAAAGTAGAAATTTCTGGCACTAGAGATTCTAACTTTAAATATGTCCTTCCTCACGGCAAAGTAGGCTCTTGGGGTTGAATAGAAGGGGAAGGGTGGTGGGCCAGAAATGCATTAAAAAACATTTTCCTTCCCTCTTAGTCCATGATCACTTGATTCAATTTATGAATGCCTAACCCCTGTTTAAGCTTAAATGTTAAGGTACTAATGCTAATTTATGAAATCTCTCATGAAAGTAGCCTGAAAATCAACTTAATAAACAGGTATTACTGACCATCGGCAAGTGCCTAATAAATTTATCTAGATACAGGTGATGAAGTAGTAAAATTTACTCTAAAATTTCCAAGGAATTGACATATGATTATGTGCTTTTGAATAATTGAGTATAAATGTTCACATATTTTAACAAAAGCATCATTGAAATGATTACTTATGCACATAGGACAAAGTAATGAGAAATAGGATAGTATGCAATGTCAATGCTGATTACTTCAGTTCAATGTTCTAAGTTATTTTCATGGCTGCTGTAAATATTTTGAAAAATATTCGTTTGCTTCAAGGTATTGACACTACTCAATGGTTTTTTACCTAGAGATTCTTACTATTGTTAATGAAACAGGTACTGAAGCTTTCCTGGTGGAGGAACAGAGAAGTTTGTATTGGAAGAAATTGGACTATTTTTTCACTCTCTTCTACTTATTCCCATTCCCAACTACCACTTAATAATTCTTGCCAGGCAACTTAGCATAAATGAAGGGGAAAACATGATGGCTCTCTGTGTTCACATATACAATGAGGGGACAGTACTACATAGTACTATTTACATTTGGCTCCTCAGTATTTAAAATAATTCAATTGCATCTTGACCCTCCTCATCCATCACATGTAAAAGAAGCACAGCAGAATTCCCATGTTCTCCAGTGAACAAACAAAAGGAAACTCAACACATGGAAAAAATACTTCAGGTGCAACAGGGAAAAAAAAATCTCCCTAGAGTTTCCAATTCTAAGTCGGTTTTGTATAATGTCTTATTCTAAACAGCTTGTAACGGCAATTTATGAGTGCCTGATGACTATAACATATTGTGGTCTTAAAAAGAAAAAGGTAATAGGAGATTGGCTTCTTGTTGAAATTCCATTTTTTTATAGATTATATTGTTTTCAAGCTGAGTTGAGCCTGAAATTAATATAATTAACCCCCTGCTCAGTGACACTCCTCTATTTTCCATTCTCATTCATCTTTTCTCTATGCCCCTGAAGACAGACTTGGAAGGGAAGGAAACTTGTATTCAGTCGTTTAATATTCCACGTTAGTTCCCAGACTTCTGTTCTAGCAGACAGTATTAGCCAAACATGAAAACAACTTGAGAAATCACAAGAGACCCTTCATAGCCGAGCAGCTTGCGTTCCATAAATAGCATTTACATTTTCTGTTAAAAATGTTATAAAAGCATATCAAGAATATCAGACAGACAAATGATCAGATAAAAACTGACCACAAAGATTTGAATCAAGACCGGAAATCTCCTACTGAGATAGGTAAGTGTGAATAAGGAAGGTGGTGTCCAATTTTGGACCAATCAATAATAAAAGACAATATGCCAAATGAAACAGAATTCCAACTGCCTCTCCCCCTTTGGCTAAAAAGTACACACCCATGGCTTAAACCAAAAAACTGGAGGGTTACTATATTTTTGACACTTGTAGAAGAAAACTTAAATGTATCTAAAGATGGTTTTGATTCTATTTTGAAGATTCTGTTAAGATAATTAGTTGCCTACTCAAAATTGATTGGCATTCCATGTGTGTAAAATGGAAGACAACCCAAGACTTCGGTCTCTCTTTGACTTAGATGGGAATGTGAACACCGGAGGTTTACAGGCTACATGCAGCCCACATAAGGGATTGATATGGCCCACTCAGTGTCCTAAAAATCAGAAAATTTCACCAAAACATCCATATTTTTATCTTATCTTGAAAGTCAGAAGCTGTGGAGAAACTGGCATTGCATTCCCAAATGATCACAAACTCAACTTTCTCCAGACCTACACCATTCAATTTGTCAGTATCCACTACTCCTCACTGTATAATACTCAAGTGCCCCTCCTTCCTGCCTTTGTACACGTAACTTTGGAATCCCTGGCCTAGAAGCAGAGGTGCATGTGAATCTTGCCCTACCCCCCATTATTAATCTACTAGGAGAGCTCCTTGTACTAATAGCCTCATTCTCTTGGTCAAATGTCACCATTCTATTTAGAGGACTTAATATATTAATTACAGCCCTATACTCCCTCTACATACTCAACTCTCATGTTTAGATCACAAAGAATTTTAGGAAATGAGCATTCTTTTAAAGATTTGGGCAAACAGACATGAATGACACAAAACTTCTTCCAAAACAATGAAACTTGAAAGTTTAATAATCACTGTACATTATATGTGAATTCTCTAGATATTATAATCATATTTAAGTTTTGATTTCATATAGTCAATAAAAGAGAACTTAAAGGCATCCTTAATTTGGATTTCATTCACAACCTTTATAAATTGTCAATATCAGCATAACTTTATATATGTGTGCATACGAAATGGTATAACTGTAGTTCTGTGACCATTTTAATACCCAGGACAATAAAAAAGTAATAAATTATTAAATTATTAGTTGGTTTTTACTGTAGCACTAACAGTGATAATCCAATTTAGGGACCTTTAGATTAATACTGACAAATTGTGAGCATGAATTTTTAAGCTGACTGACTTGTGGTTGTTAATGAACACACATGCAAGTGTAAAGTGTTCATGATGGATTAAAATCCTTTATCTACATATATCTACATCCCTCTATCTGCATTTCAAAAGGCAAACATATCATCTGTTTTTAGTACTAAAATGCTAAATAATTTATAATTCAGAGTAATACAATATATAGGGGACACTGCATTAATCATGCAGAAGTATCCGTTCTATTTAACCGTTGGTGAAATCTTCCATTAAATTAAGATTTGAGCTGAAACTGAAGACATGAATAAAGTAATAGTTGCTTGAGAAAAGACTTAAAATACTTCCGGTTGAGATTGTCATTTACTTCAATGTATCAAAGAATATATGTGACTCAAAATATTACAATGACTCTCCTTATTCCTTTTTATATTATGGAAGATGAAATATTATATAAATATCTGATAAATGTCTTAAAGTCCTCTCGAATTTTCTGACACAAGCAGTACCCTATTAAAATAAACCAGGTAACAAGAGAACCTTTTCTATTTCAGTTGTGCTGTCAAAAATAAACCAGAGGAGGCAGGGCGCAGGGGCTCATGCTGGTAATCTTAGCACTTTGGAAGGCCGAGGTGGGCGCATCACCTGAGGTCAGGAGTTTGAGACCAGCCTGGCCAACATGGCGAAGCCCTGCCTCTACTAAAAATGCAAAAATTAGCAGGGCATGGTGGCGGCATGCCTGCAGTCCCAGCTTCTTGGGAGGCTGAGGCAGGAAAATCACTTGAACCCAGGAGGCAGAGGTTGCAGTGAGCTGAGATTGCACCACTGCACTCCAGCCTGGGTGACAGGGCGAGACTCCACCTCAAAAACAAACAAACAAACAAACAAACAAACAAAATCCTAAAAAACAGAGGAAACAGATTGTCTCAGAGCAATGAAGTTGCATCACTTGTCATGTGATTCAACTGTGGGGAATCAGGTAACTATTTCTCTCGGTAAAAGAGACACATCATTCAGGCATTCTAATCAAGAAGGCCTTGGAAGTTATTCTCATTTAAAGGAAGTTTAAAATCATTTCAAAATTTGTTTAAGTCACATTCTTAGAAGTGTATATGCTTACATTTTTCCTAATGGCCACTCAAATCATTTCTTTCTACTGGTTCCACAATCTCCTCATCATAAATAAAATGATTATTACGTAGGATCATTGAAAGGTTGACATTGTTCTGCACCCACAATATATGTGCAGTATACCTACAATATATCCATATTTTCCCTTTTCCCATGTTAATCCCATTGGAGGGGGAATCAAGCATGGGATTAGGAATCAGTAGACCCAAGTTCACCTCTGACTCCTGCCACATTTTGCATCATTTCTTTTACCTGTTAATTCATCGACTAAATGGAGGCAGAAGTACAGGGCAGAAACCATCCTGGAATAGTCCTGTTTTCATAAGATGCTAGGCCACTGTCATCAGCACTACATTCCCGCTAAAGTGCAGATAAAAATACTTGCCTTGGCCAGTGTGGTGGCTCACACCTGTAATCCCAGCACTTTGGGAGGCTGAGATGGACAGACTGCTTGAGTCCAGGAGTTCGAGACCAGCCTGGGCAACATGGTGAAACCCTGTCTCTGCAAAAAATACAAAAAAATCATCTGGGTGTTGTGGCATGCACCTGGGGTCCTAGTTGCTTGGGAGGCTGAGGTGGAAGGATCACTGAAGTCTAGAAGTTTGAGGCTGTAGAGAGCCATAATTGCACCATTGCACTCCAGTCTGGGTGACAGAGCAAGACCCTGTCTCAGAAACAACAACAATGAAAAGAAAACACCTTGCCTTTTTACCAGCCAAGGCTGTGACAAGGGCCAAAGGAGATAAACACTTAGCTTAAAGGACAAATTTCTGAGGTCTGGGAGGACAAAAAGTTATCTACTGAAATAGAAAACCTCTATGGTCCAGGGACTAGAACAATGAAGGACAGGAACAAGAAGAAGAGCTTTAATATGGGCAGATGTAGGTTAGAGTCATGACTACACCAGTAACCAGCTGTATGATCTTGGACAAGTCCCCTAGCCCCTCTGATTCTATTTATTAGCAGAATTGGACAATAGTACCTTCCATACAAGAGAGCCACAAACATTAAATGACAGAAATATTTTATGGTCGTAATACAGTACATAAGACTGAAAGTGTCTCATTCTGTGTATCTGTTACACACTCTCTCTCTCTTTCTCTCTCTCTCTCTCTTGATAACCAGTATTGGCTAAATATATTACTTCTATGCAAAATAGGCTTATTTAAATAATTTCTTTTGGTCTTATTTTGTCTGTAGAAGAAGGCCTCCCTCTGTAATAACACTATATAAGTTAAGTCTTAATAATAAAATGCAGATATTATTCTTGATTATTTCCTTTTCTGTCTTAAAATTTCAAAATATTTCAGTCAGCTACTAGAAAGGGCATTGTCATGAATCGCCAGGTTCTTTTACAGGACTTAAGGACATATTCGCCCAGCTCCTGGGAAAGATGTTGCCTGATGGCCCTTGGCTTTCAGCTTTCTATACGAATTGCCCTGGGCTAGAAAGAGCCACCTTCCTGGGGCAGCCTGTATTCATTCAATAACTGGATGGCATGGAGTTATACAGGCCAGGTGCCCTTGCTCCAACTCAGTACAATGCCGAAGAGCCCTCCTAGCTTCAGAGCTCTCCATGGGTTGGCTGAGGCTTTAAGTGAGACTATGTCAGAGCTCAACTTCTCCTTTTGCCTGCTCTGACTCCTTCCCTTCCTTCCACAGGTGTTGAATCCAACAGCAGTCCCTACTAAGCTTCCTGCACAGATTCTGTTTCCTGGAGAACCTGATGTACAACAGTTAAAGTGCAGAGAAACCCTCTGCCAAACTTTGGTGTGCTTTAAAAGTTATGGCAGTCAGGCTCCCTTTACTGTCATAACTGGAACACCTTTCACTTTTCAAAAGAGCTGGTGTATCTGCTTGCTGTACAACTACAAATATATACTTTTGATTAAGAAAGTTGAGAAAAAATAAAAGCAGTTTAATTTAGCCCAATGATTGTTTTGACTTATTTGTGAATCAAGTGGTTAACAGAATTGAACTGTTATTTTGACACTGTCAAGACAAATCCTTAGATATGTCACACACACAAAAAGCCTATCTTTCGAGTCCTTGGCAATTGTTCATCTCAAACTTCTCTATAAAACTGTTTTTCCTCCTAACAACAATTTCCACCAAAGATAAACGCTAAAATGTCAGATTTTATTTTTCTTTAAAATAAGATATTTTAGTCATCAAAAGAAAGAGGAAAAAAATCCTTAAAAATGTGTATTTAAGTTGCCTATAAGCCTTCCTCCCACCCTTTCAACTATGTTAGTTATTGAAAGTAAAGGTGATTTGTCACTTGCATTTTAGAATATCTCCCGGCTAAATCTACAGATTTAGTAATATCTCTGGCAATGCAGTAACATTTCCTGAAACCTGTAGTCCCCAAATCCACACCTATAGGGTCAATATAACTTTTGCCCAAGAGGCCTAGATTGAAGGAATAATACACAAATTACTGGACACTTATCCAAAATCAGTGGTTTATTTATATGTATAATGGTGACAATGAAATATTTACATTCTATTTAGCTTAGGTCTACTGCAAAGTTGCAAAAAATTAGCACATTTTCTAATAAGATATTTTTCAATTGTAGAATGGTCTTTAAAAAAAAATTTCTCCTAATATAAATCCACAGTTCCCAGTCTAGGCTTTGCTGTTAAAATGCTTTCTCTAATCCACCCTGTTTTCCTTCCCTCAACGTTACCACCTGACGTCCACTGACAAGAACCTGTGCTAGTCGCACGGCATGTCACCTCTCTGCTGTAACTCTCTTGAGTATGAATTAGTCAACAGTTGACCTTAAACATAGGTCAGCTGGACTTCCAGCTTATTTTTTCATATAATGAAAAGTTAAACTCTGAAAAAACATCTATTTTATTGTCACTCACATCTGAGAGAGGCAATATGGTATAAGCCTCCAAGTACGAACTTGAATCTGAGGTTCCCAGGGTTCAGATCTCAGCCAGGCCTCTTGCTGGCTGTGTGACTTGGGCAAGTCATTTGAAAACTTGCTTCATTTTTTTTTTTTTCTTTATCTGTATGGTAGAGATGTGAAATCATTCTGACCTCACAGGGTCATTGTTTACATTAATTAACATAAATAAAGCATTTAGAACAGTGCCCGCACCTGGTATATGCTACGTAAGTGCTAGTTTTTATTAGTTTGCCATTCCATTTTCATTTCTTTGAGTTCCTCTTCTTATAACCTCTTTGGAGAACTGAAGCCTGCCATACCATCCTCTCATGTTGTTGTTTGACTCATGATTTGATTCACCTCTCTCTTCTTCACAAAACTCAGTCTTCTATGCTGATCTCTTCTTTCTTGTAGCCTCCATCTCCCCCATCTTTACCACAGTATACATTCCATTTCCCCACAATTTCTGGCTTCTTATTGTCGTCTATCTGCAAACAATTCAGCCCACTGTGGCCTTACCATGTTAACACGTAAAAGGTAATTTACTAGCATGGGTAGTCTATTGCAATTAATAATCTTTAAGGCACACAACCACCCCCTGCTCAGGACTACTGCTGTTCACAGCCTGGTGCTGATTCTTTAATAAGTCATATAGTAAGCTCTGTCTTGACTTAATTTGGCAGAGAGATACCATGATTGCTTAAGCACTCAAGGGAAATGGTAGAACAATCAGAATATAAGATGTAGTTTCAAATTAGATATGAACTTGAATTTGAAAGAGACCACTGCTTTTCTGTAAATGAGATACGGTCTCCGCCAACAAAGTGCCTTCATTCTTATTTCATCTAATGGCATTAGCAACAATATCAGCTCTGGTTTAAAGAATTCCTGAGATTCTTCAGAGCTGTGTGAGGTACAAAGGACTAGATCTTGCTTTTGCAATAGCTACTGTGCATTGGCTATGCAAGGCAGGCGGTAGTAAAACCTAGCGGAAGTCAATAAACTGAGACAGGACTTGGAAAATACCTAACCAACAAATAGGTTCCGTAATAATGTGACATTTTTATAGTCACATTTTTTAACCATAACAGCACTTGAATGGTACGCATTATGGTATTTCAATTTAGTCATTTATCTAAAAATGAGTTTTATCTTTGCTCATAAATAAGCAGTGACATTCCAGCAATTTGAAAAGCTCAGCTTCACCTTTTGCTGGGAAGCTCATTTTACAATTACAGAAACACATGCCCTTTTGTGCCACATTGCTTAATCTTTGATTTATGGCTTCTATCTTTGTGCTAACCTCTTTCTGTAAACTACACAAAGTTTGTACAAGCTCAGCTATTTCATTCTTATTTCTGATTTTAATGGCTTATTTTCTCCATAGTGGCCATGTCTCTCAACCAAATAGCTTTGGAAGAAAGTATTTACCCTTTCAGTTCACCAAATACTATTTAGCATCTTAGTGTGTTCTCAGAGTCTGAAATAAGTAATGCATTTTCCTAAAAGCCTGGCCAGCTCTTTCAGAAAGCCTTTCTTTTCTGCCCCCTGCTTCTCCCATTGCTTGTTCTAATGGGCCTCACAGCAAAGCCCTTAAGCACAACTGCTGCCTGCTCTCCCTCCATTCCCCACTTCACTTTTACCAAGATCCCTCAGCCAGCAGGCTAGGGAAAGGAAAATTAAAATGGCATCAGAATGGTTTTCCTTCCAGTGCCACTGTCTGCCTTTCAGTGGTGATACTTGGATGTTTGCAGAGTCACTCTCAACTTCTCCCGCAGCTTAGCTACAGCTCTAGGTCTTGTCATATAATTCAGGGAACACTGGAGATGTCTTTCATGGCAGTACTCTTAATTCAAGGGAAATTATATTTTGCTCTAAGTCCATGGAAATAAGTATAATCTTATGCCCGCCTTCACCTGTATCCAAACATTACAGATTTGGCAGGTATGCTTCAAGGTATATGCTCTGGGGCTGTTGCCAGTGACTTGTTTCATTACACATGGATTTTCTCCTCTTTCCCCCTCATTTCTGTTATTTAGTGAGATAAGGAGAAATGTACCTTTACTCCACCATGTGTAAATAGAAGTCTTTATAAAAATTTTTGTAAAAATATAAAAAGATGCTGATGGTCGACTGTTAAGTGGGAAAACGCAAGATACAAAATAATATATCCAGGATGACACATCATTATGATATCAAATACATAAAGAAAGAAAACACATCAACATGTTAAATCATTGTCTGGAGTTGGAGAATGATTTAAAATTTTCCTATTGATGCATCTTTGCATCTTGCAAGTTTTTTATGTGTTTTCAGTCAACAAGTATCACATTCTAATCAGCCAACACTGTTTACAAAAAAACACATTCACGTGGCAGCACTCCCTATTTAGGATTGTTTATTAAGTGCAGGCTTGTATCTGTACACTTACTCATTCAACAAATATTTACTGAATTTCTGCTATGGGCCAGGCACTGTGCTAGGTTTGATGAATATATCAGTAAGCAAAAAGAAAGTCTTTCATGTATCGTCTAATATTTTGGTGGGGGAGATAGACAACAGGCAAACAAATAAACATGACATGTTAAGTTAGGGTAAGTGCTATGATGAAAAAATAATGCAAAGTGAAGTTACAGAGAACGATACGGGATTAAGTGGAGACATTAAATGTGCTGAGTCTGGCTTGCCCCTTCCACCATGTGAGGACACAGAAGAAGGCAGCAGCTACGAACTAGAAAGTGGGCCCTCACCTGACATGAGATCTGCTGGTGCCTTGATCTTGGACTTCCCAGCCTCTAACAAATGTGAGAAATAATTTTCTGTTATTTACAAGCTACCCAGATTATGGTATTTTGTCACAGTGGCCTGAAAAAACTAGGAAGGTCATTAAATCAGTGAATATGTATTTTTTTATTTCTTAAGTAATTCTCCATAAGGACACAATATTTGTACATTGAAAATATGTAGAGACTAATTATATCTTCTGAACTTCTGGGAAACAGTGTATTTTTAAGGAGCCTTTCTGTTAAGGTGTTTGACTAAGTAGCTAAAATAGTGAATAGTAAAAGGGACTGCTTAATGAACATTTAAAACCCAATGAACTTGAGATTTCACGTCACACAGGAATTAACTAGGGACCATATTTTTAATAAATTGTGTGCATTAAATCAGGGGTCCCCAATCCCTGGGCCATGGACTGATATCAGTTCGAGTCCTGTTAGGAACCAGGCTACACAGGAGAAGGTGAACAGCAGTGAGCAAGCAAAGCTTCCTCTGTGTTTACACCTGTTCCCCACTGCTGGCATTACTTCCCAAGCGCCACCTCCCGTCAGATCAGCAGTGGCATTAGATTCTCATAGGAGCATGAATCCTATTGCGAACTGCACATGTGAGGGATCTAGGTTGTGCGCTCCTTGTGAGAATCTAATGTCTGATGATCTCTCACTGTCTCCCATCAACCCCTCCACAACCATCACCAATGGGACCATCTAGTTGCAGGAAAACAATCTCAGGGCTTCCACTGACTCTACATTATGATGAGTTGTACAATTATTTCATCATATATTACAATGTAATAATAATAGAAATAAAGTGTACAATAAACGTAATGCGCTTGAATCATCCTGAAACTATCCCCTCCCCCAACTATGGAAAAATTGTCTTCCATGAGACCAGTCCCTGGTGCCAAAAAGGTTAGGGACTGCTGAATTAAATGATGGCTTACTACTAACATTTGTTCATCTCAGTAAATTTTTTCATGAATCATATGGGAAAACCAAAGGCACTTAGACTGTACCCTCACAATGCAAAGTTCCTTTAAGTAAATTTTAGTATGCAAATTGTATTTTTCATATAAAACTAGGCAAATTTTCTGTTATAACACATCTACAAGATATGAAAGCCAGGTGAAAATATAAGTTGAAATACAAATGCTGTAACTGCTCACTTTCTCACTATTGTTAAGAAATGAGGCCGGGCGCGGTGGCTCACGCCTGTAATCCCAGCACTTTGGGAGGCCGAGGCAGGCGGATCACGAGGTCAGGAGCTCGAGACCATCCCGGCTAAAACGGTGAAACCCCGTCTCTACTAAAAATACAAAAAATTAGCCGGGCGTAGTGGCGGGCGCCTGTAGTCCCAGCTACTTGGGAGGCTGAGGCAGGACAATGGCGTGAACCCGGGAGGCGGAGCTTGCAGTGAGCCGAGATCCCGCCACTGCACTCCAGCCTGGGCGACAGAGTGAGACTCCGTCTCAAAAAAAAAAAAAAAAAAAAAAGAAATGAAGTTGTACACGGAGGTAAGCCCATAC
Source organism: Homo sapiens (assembly GCF_000001405.40). Classification (NCBI taxonomy): domain Eukaryota; kingdom Metazoa; phylum Chordata; class Mammalia; order Primates; family Hominidae; genus Homo; species Homo sapiens. The sequence goes on along the minus strand of NC_000005.10, from coordinate 122,330,084 downwards.
TTCATCAAGTGCTTGCTATATCCCACACTGTTATAGTGGCACATGCTTCTGTTTTTTCATTTAATCCTTAAAACAAAGAAGGCATTTCCATTTTGGAGGTCAAGCAATTTGCCCCCATCTTATAGCTAGCAAATGAGTGAGCTAGACTTCAAATCAGGTGCTCTAATCCCAGGGTCCACACTTTTAACCGTTAGTCTCCATTGACAACTCCTAAGCTTATGATGGCTCCACTTGAAGTTCCATTTTGATGAGAGTAATTCTAAGATACATATTTCCATATTTACTTGAAAACTGCTTTTGAATCTAACTTAATAATTTGTATGTACCTTTATAATTTTAAATATCTATTTTTAAAAGCCATGTTATTTTACTCTCTCATGATATATCTGCTTTTGGACACATAAGCTGTTTCTGCTCCTCTAATCTTAATAAGCTTTTTGCACCAAAGTTATTCAGATTTGTAAGTTAAAGTAAGCTCCTCAGTGAGTTCTAACAAACATATGCTGGGCTGTCTTTTCATTTATCTATCTGTCCATTCAATACCTTTATGAATTACTATCATAAATTTTCTTCACTTGATTTCTATTTCCCCTACCCTACTGGAAATGGGGATAGAAAGGAGACCATAAATTGAGAACAATTTAACAACTAAATAAGGCAAGGCTTTTTGAGTGTTTCGATATTGGGAGACACCGGGAGGTTCAAGAGAGGGAGTATTATGAATAATTAACCTCTTTTTAATTCTCATTTGTTTTCCTGAAATAATCCTGATTGAACTCCCTGTAATAAATCTTGTACTCAAATCTTTTTTTTTTTTTTTTTGCCACATTACCTTTCCAAAGCATAGATTGATTTCTTCTCCTTTAAAGGAAATAATGTATGTAAACAAATTAGCACCTTGTCTGGTATACAATAAGTGCTCAGTAAACACTATTATTTTTGCTATAATTCTGTGCCAGACATGAAGCTAAGCATTGAAAATGTGGCAGACATGAATGAAACATGGTGCCTGGCATTGAGGAGCCTGCAGTCTAGTTGAGACAGAGAAGAGTAAATAATTTATCACCATACAATTGTGGAAACACTTTACCCCAACTTGAGTAACGGCAGAGGTTAAGAGAAATGAGTTGACAGGGTAAGAAGCATGGAAACAGGAACAGGAACAGGAAAATACCCAGAAGACTAACAAACTTTGGAAATTTTAGGAATCTTCAAGTTATTCAATAAGGCTAGAAAAGGGTAAGGGACTGGCCATGGGTCCCATGAAGCTGGACAAGTGGGCAAGGCTCAAATCATAAGGGCTTAAATGTCATGCTAAGTGTTTTAGGATTTTATACTAAAGCAAGCAAGGACTTACGAAAAATTTACTAGCAAAATCACTGATGTGATCAATTTGAGAAAGATCAATGTGTTAACGGAGCAAGAACTGATCAGAAAGGTGTAGAATTCAGTTAAGATGTTGCTGCAGTAATTGAAAGAGAAAATAATGACAATCCAAAAAAAAGATACTACAAGAAATGGGGATGGAAAGGAGACAATAATATTCAGAACAATTTAACAAATAAGTAAGCCAAGAATTGTTGAGTGTTTAGATATTGGAAAATATTGAGAGGGTTCAAGAGAAGGGAGTATTTATGGATAATTTTTTGAAAGCTGGGGCTATTCACCAAACTAGGAAATTTGGACAGAGCCAAGATTTTGAAGGGAAGGTAATGAGTTTACTTTGCGGGTGCAGACTTTGCAAGAGCTGATAAACATCAAAATGCTGATGGCCAGAAGACAAAGAGGATCTCTAGCCCAGGACTAGAAATACAAATTTGGAAGTCACCAACACAGGTGATAGTATAAACCTTGAGAATGAGTGACATAATCTATGTAGGATTATTTATTAATCACATTCATTGAAAAAGATATATAAGCTTTCTCTTACTGCAATGGGAAACAGATCAAGACTTGGCTCAAACTATCCTTTTAACATTATCTTCTGATACTCTGTACTATACATTTTACTGTGAAGTCACATCAAAATACTTATATCTAGTTTCCCAAGTTCTGTCTAATCCCAACACTGTCCCCTAAATTTTCTGCCTAGTGAATACCCACTTGGCCTTTAACCCTAAATCACATGAGACTTTTCCTGTGATGCCTTTGAAAATCTAACCATCTTCCTCCCCATTTCACATGGAGATCATAGTTCCCTCTCTCCTTCTGACTATAGCACTTGGCACATGACTCCACTACTGACATACAAATGTTTCTTCTCCACCAGACAGAAATTAGCTAGAAGAAAAAGACTGCATACACACAAAGAAATGTACCTATATAAGTCCGTTTTCACACTGCTGTAAGAACTATCTGAGACTGGGTACTTTATAAAGGGAAGAGGTTTAATTGACTCACAGTTCCACATGACTGGGAAGGCCTCAGGAAACTTATAATCATGGTGGAAGGCAAAGGGGAAGCAAGTACCTTCTTCACAAGGTGACAGGAGAGAGAAAGAGCTCAGGGGCAACTGCCACTTTTAAACCACCAGATTTCGTGTGGACTCCCTCACTATTATGAGAACAACATGGGGGATACTGCCCCTGTGATCCAGTCACCTCCTACCAGGTCCCTCCATTGACATGTAGGGATTATAATTCAAGATGAGATTTGGGAGGGGACACAGAGCCAAACCATACAGTACCAGAGCATATTTATAGAATGACTGCCCGAAATAATGTGTCCTCCATCTGCAAACATCATCAATTACTCTAAAGAACCTATGCCTACTTCTGTTTGGCAAGCAGCCAAGGAAGGTTCTTGGGTATAACGTGATATTTCCAGTATGATCCATTAGGAACTTTATTACCACATTACTGGTACTCATGTCAACACAACTGATGTGGTGAAAACAGTGAAATCATTTAGAATAGTAATGACTAGGAATACACTAGTTCCTCTCAATAAAAATTGGACTTTATTTCACTTGAGGCAAAAAATAAAAAGAAATGAAATCTAAACAGAAGTAGAGGTCTGGAACAAACAAAAGGAGATTTCACTTGGATCAACTGGGAGATCATTACGGTACTTTGATCTAGTATCTCCTCCAGAAAGGATAATTCAAAGGCAATACATACATACATACATACATACATACATACATAGTTGAGAAAGTTTATATATGTTAAGTGTCCACTCTATGAAAGCATTTTCTTTATAAAGACAGAAGGCAGGACTTCCACCTGGAGCTGGCCTTAAATAAGATGTTTATAAAAGTGAGAGGGAGACCCAAATGTTTAAATGAAAATAATTCCTTCTAGAAGCATGAGCTCTTCTGGCAACAAGATATTTGTTTTTGTCTACTCAGCTCCTTACACAGAAGGGACAATCTATAAATCCTTATTTGGGCTGACATCAAAAGACCTTGCAAATTGCTATTCCTCCCTTGACTCTACTTAATTGTAAAAAAAAAAAAAAAAAAAAAAAAAAAAAAAAAGGAGACATTTCTGAAGTTCCCTTTCTCTCTATTCTATAAGAGAATACTTGGACAATTTTTCCAAGGCAGTGAAAGATACACTCATGAGGTTTGAAATTTCAATAACTATGACAAATTTATTATCAAATGGAAAGAAGTTGTAGTAGTATGTTTTGTTTTTCAAGATGACCACTACTTCTTTAGGGAATTTGTTAGTTTTCATTCTTGAAAAACAGGTTAATGAGTGTACTATAAGTTACAGATGAGATGACTCTAAATATCACAGAGTGACCTACTTTATGTGGCTTATGAATGAGAGCTCTAAGAGAGAAGTCAGACAAATGTGTATGAGTAGAAAAACCTACTACACAAGCATTAGAATGCTGGTCTCCTATTCAGTGTTGCTTATAAACAGATCTACCCTCAAGAGCCTACAAGAAATTCATTCCTAAGGATCATCTGTCTTGAAACTACCAGGAGGATATAAATGTGAAAATGCTTAGCCTCAGCCCTTACAGTAATTAAGTTGAAGATGCTGAGCTGTCAATATTTCACCCCAATTATTATTCAGTGGTCACAAATAGAGTTTATTAGTTTAAGCATACCCAATTATCCCAATTAGGTTATGTTTTAATTTACTTAACTTTGAAGCTGCAACTTTCTCTTCCAGACATATTGTAACTGTGTACGACGTGCACAGAAACAAGATAGGAAACCCTCACTTCACTTTTTAGTTCTGCCACTGAAGCACTGTGTGACCTTAGCCCTTGACCTCTGTTTCATTTTTCCCCATCTTTAACACTTGCAAGGTAATAGATTTCTTCTCACTCAAAAAAAATTGAAGAATGCAAAAATATTGCGAATACTTTGTAAAAAAATAAAAAAGCTAATGATGACAATAATCCTTTGTTGAATGCATAGTAAGAGCTAATAGTTATACTAAATTCCTGATAAATCCTGCCATTCTTACAGTGTCCTCTGAGACAGGTAATCACTGTGTCAGTCAGGTTCCCCAAAGAAAATAGATGGCATACTCAAATGCAATTTGAGAGTTGTTTAGTAAAAAGGGCATTTGCAAAGCTGTGGCCAAGGTTTAGAGAAACTGCAAGCAATGATGTAGTACTCTGAGCTAGTAAGACTAAAAGGGAGCAGTTATCAGCTTAAAGTTGCTTGGGGAGGGCACAGTTACTAGGACCCAGAGAACAGCCATAGGGAGACAGCTGCCTGTAAGCACATGTGCCTTGTAGTAGGGAGAGGTGATCTGGTAAGATGGGAGCCCAGGGAATAAAATACCCAAACCTCTCCCTCCCTACCTGTTTGTTAATCTTTTGCTGATCCACCCCATTGGCCAAACCCAACCGGAAGCCAGAGAACAAGGGAGCCTGCTGATTGGATTCCATAAGGCTGGCCAGCCATCTTATCACACAGAGCAGGTGGAGAAAGGGAGAATGGATCTGATAATCCACTAGTCTTATTTTATCCCAAGTGTCCCAAACTTGCCTTGAAGAAATGAGATAATCAATAGATATTTGTTGATAAAAAAAAGGGAAGAAACCATATCAAAATACTGAGGGGTTCAATACGCTGTTCCAAATCACACACAGTAAGCCGCTGAGCCAGGCCTTGTTCTGAGGTTCAAGCCCATGCTCATAATCAGTTATTATGTTATTCTGCCTCCTTTCCACCACCTCGATCCCATGTTATTTCTATGCTGTCAGGTGTTTTGGGAGATAGGGGGAATGACTAGAATACCCTTAAGAAACTTGTAATCCATGTGCCAGTTTTATCTTACTTTTCCATCTCATTATTGTCAAAGCTCCAAATTCCCTTCTAGAATCAAATGTTCTGTAATGGTGGGTCTTAAACATCTTATAATTCCATCACCAATTACTACTAGTGGCTGAGCAGTGAAACCTTCCATCACATGGCATTTTGCCTACTTGTTTGACAGCACCTTGCCTCAGATGGATGTTCTGAGTGTAAATAACAGGTAACAAGATATCTTTTGTGAAACAAGCCCCTAACCTCTATTAGCTGCAATGGAATAAGCCTTAAAACTTATATTAGGAACACATTTACTTGTTAGACATGTTGAAGGATTCATTTATTCCACAGACATATACTGATCATACAATACATACCAGACACTGTGAAAGATACTCGTATACATTGAGAAAACAATTCATACCAAAATCAACAACTGGCTTTCTATAGGAATTAGTCAATAATTATCCACAGGGCAAGTAAAAGTGTGTTAATTACTGAGAGGTCATGAGCACGCATGCTGGAGTAGAGTGGTGATCCTGGTCCCCAGCAGGACCCTTCCCTAATTCTATCCAGGTTGTTCTAAGCTTGGATGTAGGATATAATTTCACAATCAGCACAAGTCATCCTACTCCTGATTTTGTTCCTTGAGACAATTAAGTATTCTGCTATTTTTTTCATCTCTTAGGAAGGACCCTGCTTTGAAATACCAGTCCCTTTGTGGAAGGGCCTGCCTCAAATAGATCAAATAGAAATTTTTCCCTGTGGGTTTTTTCTTAGTCCTGTTTTTGAGCTTGGGGAGGCCACTCTTTCACACCTGGTCCTGACTAAAATAGCACATAGCAATCTTTCATCTTATTCAGGGACAAGGCAAGTGAACTGACATGTAGCTACTCCCTTTCATGCTGTGTAAGAATCATCTTTGCATTTTTAAAAACGGTTGTACGATGTGTCACGCAACAAGGTTTGCCAAAGCAGGGAGGGGATTGGAGGGGGGAGGAGAAAGAAAAGTAAAGCAGAGTTGGTTTCCTACATGCACATTTTAATAATTTTGGAAAACCATCAACCTGGATCGAATTTCTGTACTAATTTGACAGCTTCCCACTAATGGCAGGAATGCAAAGCCATCAATTAGCCTCACGATAATTAGATTTTAAAGAACACTCTATTTTCGTGGTAACTCTAACAAATAGAAAACTTCATTTCACTGAAAACTCAAATACTCACACATCGTGATGCTTATTTTATCCAGGAGTTCTAGGTAAGACCACTTTTTCAAATATCCTCTGAACGTTGACTTAGGTGCACACACCTGTGCTTCCATTGGCAACAAAAGCTTTGAATGCACAGGACTTCCACGGCATGAAATGCATTTACATACATTACATAAGAGAGAAGCAATGAGCAAGTCTGTTGCTGGGAGAGGCTCACATCCTTCTCACCAAATCAATCTGTAACTTTCAAATAGCTCTGCTGTATTTCCTAGCAACAGGAGTAAACACTGTACTACATCCAGTGCCCAAGATTTGTAACCACGTTAATCTGTGAGTACTCAACTTAATTAAAGATTAGACTTTTAAATTGTATTTTTAGTGCACAACAGTACTGCTAAATTATGATTATCAGTGGCTAAGTGTGCTTATGTCTGCAGAACGTGGGGAATGAAAATGAATCACTTATTTTCATCTTGATATGACTGCTCTTCTCTGAGGCGCTGTTGCCCGAGTTCATGGGCCTTGGAGTTCATTGGAATTCTATGGTTAAAACACAGCTTGGAGACCTCATTTATGAAAATTCTTTTAAACCTTTCACCACTTCGACAAATCCAGTCCAAGTTCACTGAGCCAATTCAAAAGTAGCTCTCAGCCTTTTTATAGGTTTTCAATTACACCAACACAGAACACCAGAGCTGTCATCTTTGAAGAAATATATTTTAGTTGCAAAGAGGCACGAATTCTTTTTTAAGAATCCCAAATGAAAGCAGCATTCCCAAAACTGTAGCCAACAGATGCAAAATTCTATTTTGAAGTGTCCTTGTCTTAGTAAAGACAAGATCATCAAATTACTTAAACATGGCTAATGTTTAGTTATCTGCTATAGAATGTATGCTATTATTTTTAAGATTTTACTTTGTGGAATTATTGGCAAGCTACCTCACCCTCAAACTGTTCCAAATATCTTTTTTGAGGAATTGTTTAAAACATTTTCTAGACTTCATTCATCCTCCTAAAACATAGTGTGTGACAGCAGGATTTATTTTTCCTGTATGCACTCAGAAACAAAAACTCAAAGCAGGTCAATGAGCTCTCCAGGTTGAAACTGGTAATCAATGGTAAAACTGAGGTTAGACCTTATTCAACTTTCCAGTCCAATGTACTCTTTAAGTGGGCCTGAGGTAACCGTGCTGTTTTCTGAGATAAAAATCCCTTTTAAAAATGTTTATATGACTTAACAGATCAAACATATTTCCCTCCATTTTCAAACTTTGAATTTATTTGAATATGTGGTTAGTATGGTTTTATGGAAGTACCAATCTTTTAGGTTGGGTTATATGAATTATTTGAAGTGACACTTATCTTTGGGGGTAAAGTAGATAAGCTAACATGCACATTAGTTGGTTAGAAGCACTTGCAAAATTTAAATACTGCATGTGCAAAGGCAAATTGACATAGGATATAAATCTCCAGTTCTCTCAGAGGGAGTAGTGATGACTCTAAAACCACTGGAAACAGAAAGTTCATCGTGATGACTCTAACAGCTCCCTGATGCAGGCTACTCTTCTCTTGTATATTTAATGTTCTATATATGTCAGTTGGCCTTGTTTGCAATCTCAACAGGAGGCTTGTTCACTGGACGAGTTTTTGTTTTTGTGTTTGGTCTGTCCTGTTTTTTTGTTTTTTTTTTCCATGTTGTTGAATAAGACTTATGATTTCACATACTAGACTGCTTATAAGTTCTTCTAGTATTTGGTATTAAAAGAGGTGAAACAAAAACTAAACAAGGTGTATACAGTCTCAATACAATTCTAGGTTAGAAGCCTAGATGTGTGACTGGAGATGCCTCCTGTCCATTCAATCTGACTCCAATGTGGTTCTGCAGCACTGGACAAAGATGGGAGATTGAAACAGGAGCCCCTGCGATGGGGGAACAGAGCCAGGGAGCAGGGGTTGGACAGGTAAGCCTCCATATACCAAGCCCTTCAACTCCTGGAGTTACAGTTATCCCTCCTTTGTTCATTAATGATTCACCATGTACCCACTGCCAATGGTGGGCTTTCTAAACACTGCACTCTACATGAGAGATAGAAAGATGACAAAGACATATTCCCTTCCCTCAAGAACCCAGGTTTGAGAAAACAACCTTGTGAACCTTCTATTGGAGCAGCAATAAAGATCTGAGCTAAGTGTCGAGGGAGGCTGAGGAGGTGGTCACTAAGTCTGTCTTAGGCATCCCAGGGTCTCCTCAGAGTCCAAGCCTGAAGTCCACTGCAGGGGTCACCAGCCACCTGTGGCCACATTGGAATGTGGCCATTCTGAATTGAGGTAAGTAAAAAACATACACCAAATTTCAAAGATGTAATATGGGAAAAAAAGAATGTAAGGTACTTGGTTAATGATTTTTTATATGGATTACATATGGAAATGCTACCATTTTGGCTATATTGGGTAAGATATATTATTAAAATTGATGTCACCTGTTCCCTTTTACTTTTTTAAGCGCGCCTGCTATAAAATATGAAATTGCCTGCATGGCTCCCATTCATGGATCCTATTACATTTCTATCTGCCAGTGTAGGTTGGTGCAGTCACAAGACAATGCTTCAGGAGAAAATCTGGGGAGGCGGTCTCAGGGCAAGAGGGTGAGTGGGGGAAATGCCTATGGAATGAGAAAGAGACAACAGGGGGACCGACCCATCAAGGGCTACAAAGAAGGTGAATTTGCTTTCTGAGTTGTGCTTGCCTGCCGGACTCATTTGCAGCAAGAGAGACCAGAATATAAAGGCCACGATAATAACATCTCAAATAAATTAGAAGCAGCTTGTGGTTTATAGTGAGCAATGCTCTACTGGGGACCAGACCAAGCAGTTACCCCTGTCTTCACTCCATCTGTGGTTAAGTCATTTGGTCACTGTTGCCTTCTCATCTGCAAAGCGGGGACTGAGATTAACTGCTTGGCCTGCATATCCCCCTGACTCTGTCAACTAAGTTTTCGGAAACCTGAAGCACTCTAAACATCCTGGGGGAAGAAAGGGCTGGAGAAACATACAATGTTTTGTGATCAGAGTTTTTAAGCTGAAAAGAATGAAGAAACTTGAATAGAATAAATTCTTGATACTTCCTTTTTCATAACACTTACCACGCTTTATTTCGATTATTTATTAGCCCCCTTCCTAGCTAGATATAAGCTAGCTATAAATACCATGAGCTCAGGACCCACATCTGTCTGCTCACTGCTGTGACCGCAACTTAGAGGACAGAGCCCAGAATACAGGCCTCAATAAATACTGTGGAAGAGGGGTCACATGGAGAATTTGCAGTCATTTTTGCTGTTGAGCATCTGTTAAGTTAAAGTTTCCAAGTGTGCAAACTGTACTCGGAAATGAGTAAGAAGTAGAAACTTACCTAGAGATGATCAAACCAGTAGTGCTGTCACTCTAATGATGTTATCTGTCCCACTGTGAAAACATTGTCACAGGTGAAGGAGGAGAGTGAGGTGAGACCTTCCCAGCCCTTGACTGCTCTTGCACTGGACACATTCCAGGAAGCTCTTGTGGCAGAAGCAGCCACTTAACTTACTTTTAACAAGAGAAGCTGAAGGCTGAGGGAAGTCAGGACCAACAGAGGATCCAAATTTCAGTGGCACAAGTCTTAAGCTTCATTTGGTTGCATGAATGAGTGCGGAAGCAGCATGAAGTAGTGGTGATACAAACCTGGGTTCTGTGTTTAATTCTATTCTCAGTACTTTCCCAGTGGGAGACTGTGAGTTCCCTCTCTGAACCTCGTTCTCCTCCATGGCTTAAAACTGGACTCATAATGCATGGCTTAGCTATAATGTACCTTTCAAAAAGGGCTGGCATCCGGTAAACACTGAATAAATGGTTACATGTCAAACACAGTAAACATTCAACAATGGCTAATATCTTCCTTCTGCATCAGCTTTTAAAACAGATTTTTTAACCTGGAGTCCAAGGAGTCCCAGGAAATCCACAGACGAGATTCAATGGATCCTTGAAATCCCTAAAATTAAATACAAAGCGGGGTATGTGTGGACATCTTTTCTCTTCAAGGAAAGAATCCATAGCTTTCATATGATGCTCTTAAGACTCTCAGACTGAAAACAGTTTAAGAACTATTGAGTTTCTGTGGCTTCCAAAGTGTTTAGCTCCTTCTATTTATCTATGGAATAGCTCTGTGAATGACTCTCAAAACCAAGCTTTTCTGTGCCTCCTCAAGAGGCCTGCATTTTATATGCAGCAGTACAACTTCCTTCCATAAGACGCTTTTATTTTCTGGCAGCAGCAGTATCACAGGAAGATGACTGGAATTTATAAGTAAGAAACTGATCTTAATTTCAACAATAGTACTGGAGCCCTTACCTCTTTAAATACACCTTTTTCCATAGTTTTTTTTTTTATAGGATTGATGACCAAAGAAGGCAGCTATAATGTTTTATTCTCAAGATGATGGTTACTCATCTTAGAATAAAAACAACAACAACAAAAAATAACAGATGAATGGGAAGAGCCCAATCAAAGCTTTATTCTACTCCTCAACAACTCAGGTGAGTGTCTGGCCACTTGGCAGTCGCCAGGAGGAAGGAGCTTAGTGGCAGACAAACTGCTTCAAATCTCTAAATCTTTGTTTCCTCATCTGTTAAAAAAAAAAAAAAAAAAAAAAGATGATAACAGTGACGCCTCCTACCTAGGGCTGCTGTGAGAACTAAATAAGAAAGTAATTGTAAGGCATCTTTTAAGTACTCAAAACAGAGTGCCTCATAAATATTAATTATTAAATATCCTCTCTGATGATAGGGGGAAAAGGATTCCTTATCTGGTCTCTGACCCATAGATTTTAGCCTGGAGATTTACTCTGGGTCACTGATATTTTCCAGCCTCCTCCTTAAGGTTGTTATTAGTGACCAAGTAATAAGTAAGTATATAAACCATTGAGAAAACTGTTGAAAAAGTGTCTGAGCAGCAGCTTCAAAGAGAATCTGTCTTCATGTCCCAGTATCCTAAGAGGCAAATGTGAAAATCAATTTAAAGGAAATAGAATATACCTAAAGAAAGTCACCTGAAAAAATGAAAGATGAATGATTCAACACACATTTTTCTCTCATTTATTTAAAAATTTTTGAGATACATGGTGGGCAAGGCACTGTACTGAGCACAGGATGTGCAAAGATAAGGAAGTAAGTCCAGCTCTCAAGACATTTAGTCTACAGAGGGAGACACACATGTATATCCAACGCCATACGTACCACAGGATAAAGTGTGATGTGGGGAGAGGCTGGGAGGGGATGTTCAGCAGGGGCTTCTTGAAAAAGCAACACTTGAGATGAGTTTGGAAGGATAAGTAAATGTTTAATAGTTCATAGTTTGAGAAAGAAGAAACAATATTCCACAGAGACAACAGCCCATGTAAAAGCACATGCAATGAAGCATTTAAGCATGGGGATAATATGGGCAGCTAGAAGAAGGCGTTGCTGAACATACCAGCACCTACCCATCCCCTGCACCCACAGGAGGAGGCAGGACTCACCTCAGAGAGAATCTTGGAATTCATGGTAGGAGCCTGTACTTTTCTCCAGGACTATGACAAGGTTTGGAATGGTTCTTAGCAGGGAGTTATATAATTCAATTTTATCTATTCTTTAGAAAGAGCAAGCAGGCAGCGGTGAGGAGGATGGATTGAAAGCTGAGAGACTGAAGGCAGCATTTGTAGAGGTGACTTGGGAAGAGTGAAACATGAAAGGAAGTGGAGCAGGAGGTCTTGGTGACTGATTAGGTGGAGGAAGAAAGGGAGAAGGTCAGATCGAGATCATTCCCAGGTCTCTGGCTTGGAGGTGTAGTGAGAGGATGATATGCCTGTCAGGGAAAACAGGTGTTATAGTATTTAATAGATATCTGCTGTTTCTGCACGCACAGCATCTCCTATCTCTTCTTTTCAATATTTCCTTTTAAAAACTACCCCTTCCCTGCTCTCAGGTTATATGGTTTAGAAGAGTTTTGCTGACTAGTCTCCCATGTACTTCCTTCACTCCCATACACTCCTTCCCACCTGCCGTCACACATACCACTCTCCCCTTCCAAAAGCCTCCAGGACTGGGCTCATAATCAAAGCTGAGTCAAGTGGCATGGTCCAAATCTCCGGCCATAGGGTCTGGTTCAAGCATATGCATGTGATCAAAGTGGTCTAATTAAAGTTAATCCTGAATTCTCTTTTTCTCAGGAGTTAAGCCTAAAGCTGCAGATGAAAATTTTGCCACCATGAAGAAAAGAAGAAATCAGAATTGGATTCTTTCTGAACTTTTCCTTTACAGTAGCCAGTATATGCCCTTTCCTACTTGAGCAAGTATAAACTGGGTTTCTGTGATTTGCAACCAAGTGTCCTGACAAACACAAGGATGAAAGACAACTGTGTCTCAATAAAGGAAAAATAGTTTATTTTTATGAGTGGTGGATTTAAAAAACCTACATTACTGTGACAAGAGTACCTTAAAACATTTAAGTCTACAAAAGGCACTTAGGGACTTTATAGCAAACTCTACACTTATAATGAAAAGCCAGACCAGATCATTTTAAAAAAACGTTACTGCACGAGATAATGGCACATCCACTCGTTCAATTAACATTTATTGAGTGTCTTCAGGGGTTTTAGACTTGTGCAATAAAAATGATAAAAACGTATTCTTTGGTTTGAGCTGGTCCATCCAAGGTCGTTCCATAAAGAGCAGCTGTGTATGCTGTTCAGACTAATTGTGTGAAGCTGGAGAGGCCAGGTGTTTCTGTCTGGCCCAGCAGCTGCACTTTGCGGTAAGGGCACCACCTGAATTTCAGTCTGGCCATAAAATGAGGCTGAAGAAACAGCACCTTGCATGAGCTTTTAGGTGAAAGGCAGAACAGAACATGTTTAGAATTCTTCTCCCTTCTATTAAACATCCATTAACGTTAATGAAGGAGTCTGGATGAGGCATTGTGCCAGACCGTCTTTTCTTTATTTTCCACGAGAAAACTCCACCACAAGCATGGGTTCAACTATTATTCATGCATCTACACTCTATGGACATATGCCTAAGTTGTCACCTCCTGCCTTCTTACCTCTTGCTTCCCCACGTCTAGGCCGAAATAAATCTTCAAGTGTTCATCTGTGGTGAGCATTTGTTGGTCTTGTCACCCTATTTCCATCTCCACTTCTGACAGCAGTGCTCCAGTGTCCTTTAAGGGTGAACCCACCCACTTTGCATTGTGTGCTGACCTGGTGTGGCTGTCAGTCAGTGCTACTGGCTCAGGAGTGTGGATGCCACTCAAATTAAGTCAAAGGTGTTCTCTTGCCTGGTATGCTTAGTTTAAGGGAAGAGCATTCTAAGAGTAGACCTTCCATCCTGAGAGTAGTGGTTCTGACTTCCCTTTGACATCTTAGGGAATCCCTGAGGTTGTATTTTGTTTTCTGTTGATATACACATAAAGAAACTTAACTATATACAATAGTGCACTGTGATTTAAACACTAAACAATAGCTAACATTCATAGCCTACTCTGCAGCTTATAAAGTACTTTGACATTCAATTTATCTCTTTTAATCAACATTTCTGGAACTGAATTTTTCTCCTCCCCCAAATAAATCCCTTATTGATTTTTCTATTTCTTACAAAAGCACAATCATTCTTTTAGTCACTTAAGTATTTTTAAATCTCAGAATGCTTTCGACTTTTTACTTTTACTAACCCCCTATAATCAGTCACCTCATCCTAAATATGGGATCTCCCAGATCGACCCCTTTCCAATTTTCCTGCCTCCATTTTTCTCAAAAACATCAACTTTCAACAATGCTCAGCTCACCCTGCCACCAGCCTCCTGTCTCCAAACCATCCCAACACCACTGTCAGAAGGATATGACTAAAATTTTATTATCATTGTGTCATACTTCCTCTACCTGGGGTTTATAGAAAAAAAATTGCAGGACAATGATTTACTGGACAATTACTTAACCTAAATCCTGGGCTATTGCTAAGCAGGCTCCAATATGCTCTCCTAACATATTATTTTCAGCAGAAAACATCTGCTAGACACAAGTATCCTCAAAAATGTAGTAGATCACAAAAACTGGCTCTAATTTTTTGCAGCTCCTTCTCATCATAAGTGGACTCTTTCTATACCCCTTGAATCTGGGGTAACCTTCTGACTTGACATGGCTAATGGGAGAGTAGCTAATGTGATTCAAGGTGAGGTTTTAAAGTTGCTTTTGCATTGCAGGTTGTTCTTTTACTGCTCTTACAACACTATTTGATTTGCCATGTAAAGAAGCCAAGGGGAGTGTGCTGGAGAATGGGAGGTACATCCCAGCCACTCGTTATGTTACCCTGGCCAACAGTCTGATAACTGCCAGACATATAAGTAAAGCCATTCACAATTATACCACCAGCAGACTGAAAACGTCTGAGGGAACCTAACTAAGAATAGCAGAAGAACCATCTCACTGAGCCCAGCTCAAATTGCTGACCACCAGAATCATAAGCTATAGTGGCAATTTTAAGTAAATGCATTTTGTGGGGATTTGTTATCCAGCAATGAATAACTGATATAACATTTAAGCTACCTTGATCACTCTCTCCTCAGAATTCCTTTTCAATTACTATTTAGCATCTTAGGCACTCAATTATGAAATGTGTTCTTCGATGTTTAGTATCATTTAATTTTCCATGGGTCCTATTTCCTATGAAAATGTTCCTTACGAAAAGACTATGGATTTTAAATTGCTGTATTACAAATAAGCACAAAGTAAATGCACGATAACTATTTAGGAATCAATTAGTACTTTCCCAGGGCCTAGCTATCAGTCTTATCAATTAAAAATTATTTTAACACATATTTTGATCATTAATTTCAAAAACGTAAAAAACCGCTAAGATGCAAACCATAAAATATAAATCTAGTTACCTAATCTATAAAGTGAAAAATCATGCATAGTACATATGATACTAGCAAACAAGTTTTTGATTCATTTTCCATAAATAACTTCCTGCAAGTGAATCTGCATATAAATCAAATGGGCACAAGAAAATAAGTATATAAGGGTAAAAGTTTCACAGAAGCAACTATTTGATTTTCACCAGGATATCATTTTTCTCCCAAGACACATATTTCTCCTATGTGGTTTGCAACTGTAACCTGACAAACTGCCAAAAACAAAGCTTCTATTCTAAGAGTGTTACTGATTCTCTTGTTGCTATTCAATTAGATTTTGCATTTAAAAGAGAAATTCCCTTGTGTTTCCTATAATGATGCACCTGCTCCTTGGGAGATTTCCTCTTTTGACAAGAAATGCCTTAAATCTGGCAAGAAAAACAGCTCCAGGCTTTTTCTGCTAATATCAAAGATCATTTGTTTGTATTAGATGTTTGTGTGGGTTTCCCTTAAGAGCAGTAAAGTACTGCTACAATTTCTTCCAAAACAATAGCACGCACAAAGTTTCTTGGCTTGCATTTCCACTGTACACCTGCACCAGAACAACTGTCTGGAATTAGGAAAGTTGTGACAGAGTAGACAGAGAAATGCATTTGCTTTAGTCACTTCCTTTTGGATATCAACAAATGGTAACCGTCAAATTCATGAATGCAGCATCATTTCAAATCTACTATCTGTAACTTTTCTTCATGAAATGCTTGCTACGGAGAAAATGAAATTTACATTCAAAATTATACCCCTTCTTTTCAAAATCCCATGCTATATTTTATTTCTAACTGAGGTGTCCAAAAGATCCTTAAGAGAAGCACTATCTTTTACTTTCTGATTCCAGACCTGTTAATGCATACATATTTAGTTATGGGTAATCCTCAGTTAATACTCCCTTTCCAGAGAGACTTCCGCGATCAGTACCGAAATATTGCACCTTCCAAAAAGTCTTGAGGACTGCTTAAAGGTGTCTCCTTGTACTCTAACCATGCTGAATGTAATTTAACATTGAGATGCATCAGAAACAGTCAATAGACTTTCTCTCCCAGATGTGTACACATTAGCATACTGCTTTCCTACACCTTGTTCTTTGCCTTTTAAATTTTCAATATGTACAAATGAAATACAGATTTCAACCCATTCCCAATTGGGATGTCTGCTCCATAAAAGAAAAATAGGTTTTTCCCTTCCTACAGATTCAGCAACGAAAGTAGTGCTTGAAAATTACGTGTTTAGAGTGACACCTTGGAGAACTGACATACTGTGCACACATGTAATCCTCATAAACTTCCCCAGACAGCCCTTATTTCATTTTGCAAACTGCACCCTGGCCAGGCTCCACGGCACGTGGTGTGTGGCGAGACTGTCCTGCAGCAGTTCTCCCGTCCTCCGGGCTCTTTGATGGGCACTTGTCAGTAACAGCCAAGAGGAATCCGATCCTGCCTCCAGCAAGTGAAAAGGGGCACCGACAGTAATGCTTCCTTAATTAACTTTCCCAAGGAAAGCAACGTTCCCACAGGAAAAAACAACACGTTTCCCCCCTCCTAGCCGTCCATTGAAAATGAGCAACAATGCTGTTGCCTTTTTGTTTCCTAAGACTTTCTTCGCTGCAAGCAGTAGCGTGTTCCTCAAAGAATGCTAGTATTTCCTGTGGAAACTGTATGGCTGCCAGTAATGGCTCATAATTTTCCCTCTTTTCTCTTCGTAAAAATGAAATAAACAAAATGTGGCCTTTGACAATTAGCTAAAATTGGGTTCACCCCACTTACCACCTGCAGATGAAAGTCATCGCCAAGAGACAAGGCCAAGAGAGAAACATTCCCCTCTGAAATCCACGCGGACCAGCCTGGGACGCAGAACAGCACTAGAGGGAGGCTGGCGGAGCCCGGGCTGGACAGGGCAGTCGGGGAGCTGGTGCTGATGAGCGAGGGGCGGCAGCAACACCAGACGTCCCTTTTCTACAGCTATTATTACCGTTGTTAGTACTGTCGCTATTACTATTACTTCGCCCCTCCTTATCTCAGCTTTTCCGAGCCGCGGAACTGCCCATCCCTGCCTGCGATAAGATCCCGGGTGACAGCAAGAATAAGAACCACATGAGGCGGGCAAATGAAAAGAACAATCCTTTGGAAACCGAGGCGGGGGTTGTTTCCCCCTTTCCCCAGTAAAGCAGCCGCTGCCGCCACCACTGTTACTGTTACTATAGAGACCTCCCCCTCAAACCCTTTCTGCAGAGGCGCCTCTGCTGCCCGGAGCAGCCGAGACTCGCGGCACAAAGGGGTCCCGGGGCTTGGGGAGCACGGGGCGACACCCGCCGGGGTCGCCTGGTGCAAACTTGGAAAGGCTGAGCCGCTGGCTGCCCGCCTCCCGCCTCCCCGCGGCGTCCGCTTGGGACCTGGACTCACCCGGGGCGCCCGGCGCGCCGGCGGCTCAGGAGCGCGAAGGGACTGACTGACCGACCGACGGACCGCAGCGGCAGGAGCAGAACAGCCTCAGCCGAAGTAGGCGGGCGGTGGAGGCGCTGCCGCGGCCCCGCTACGTCACAATGCGGCCCGGCCGCGGGCGCCGCTCCCCGGGCCCCCCAACGGGCGCGCGCGGGCGGGGGCAGCCTGGGCGGCCGCGGCCCGAAGCCGGCGCTGGGGGACAAGGAACGCAGCGCGGGCGCCCGGCCGGGGACGGGGGCGCGGCCACCACTGCCACTGCGGAGGCTGCCGGGGCCGCCGCGCCCTCAGGCTGCGCTGCGCCCCTGCGGCCGCCCCCAGGCCAGCGAGCCCCGCTCGGCCTGACTGACAGCGACCCTCCCCGCGGCGCCCCCGGCTCGGCCCACGCCCCTCCCTCGCCGCTTCCTCACCAGGGATCCCCCGGCCTGCCCGCCGGCTCCTGTCCACGAACCTGCTCTTTCTTTACCTTTCGCTCTTTTTACCTCGACTGCCGTTGCTTTTCCCCAGCTGGGGCTCTCCTCTCCTCCCCGCCTACTTTTTGTCCGCGCTTCCCACTTTTCTCCTCCTGCCCCCCACCCCCTTCCTTGCTTCTTGGCCTCTCCCCCTGGAAATCGCCCCCTCACCGTGATCCAAGCGTTAACCGCTGCCATCTCATTGGTCCCCAGACCATTCCAGGGTTCCAGCATAAACTGGGAGAAGAGACTCGGGAAGGCGGGGAACGGAAGGTGGGCATTGCCCTGGGAAACTCATGTCTGAGAAGCCTTTTGGCAGAGTATTTTGCGTTGGCACGGAGTCTTCACCCCCACCCCTCCCCCCGAAGCTCGCCCACCCCTGAGGACGTGGCCAAGGAGAGGAGGGCAAGGGTGGCTTTGCCTGCCTGGAATGTTCTGTGCTCAAGTGTGGGTGGATGGAGAAGATGTTAGGCTGAAATAAAGACTTTTTAATTCAACGACGTTTCAGTGTACCAATGGCCCTACAGTAATATTATCTTTACTTTTATTGTCTCTTAATTGTTGAGGGATTGGGGGTGGGAGGCTGCTGGATGAGGCGTAAGCAACGCCTGCAGTGGTGACTACTTCTTTCCTTATTTCCGAAATGAAATCAGGGGTTGTGGAAGCATTTATGGTAACCTTGGCTCGCGACTGTCTCGCTGTTGCCCTCTGGAAAGCTTTAAATGGTCTTTGAGAAATCTCTTTCCCAGGCGAGATGACTTGGAGAAGTTCACTCAGCAAAGCCATTGAGGACCACACTCTTGTTCCAGGGTATGGCTGCTTGCCTGATGCTGCCCCAGAGAAAAGCATGAGGAAGTAAGTCTTGGTCAGTTTAGAGGCATCCTCATTCCCATGCCTGTTCCAGAGGACAAGAGCGACGCCAAGATCCTAGGACACCCGGCACTATCTGAGTAGTGGCAATGGGGATGTGTGATCTTGTTACAACAAAAAAAGGAAGGCTCTGGTTGTTTAAAGCTGGGGTTTCCTGGGTAACTAGCCTAAGACTGCCTGCAGTCTTTGTGGAGTCCACAGTGTACTAGGAGGGCATAGCCGGAGTAATGCTTGCCCTGGACCTGTTCGGACCAGGACCATCGTCATTGAAATGAGGACTAACTTGAATGCCAGCAGAAGACATTTCACATGCGTCTAATTCCATGTCCTACTGAAAACCTAAATTTCTTTCTCGGCTTTTGACATAAACAGCCAAGAGCATGTCCGGCGGTGTTGTAATTTGTTTATTGTAATTTATCGTGTGTAAGTCTTAAGTACATACATGGAAAGTGGCTTCACAATTTTAAAAATACACATTATCCCCCAGTAGAAAATATAAAATTGGATGACATCATGTGGCACTAAAAATACTTGAAAATATTGGGTTTAATTTGTTCACATCTGGTTAAAATAAAACTGCCTTTTTTTTTTGCCTAGTGTAAACTTCGAGAAAAGCACATCTTGCTTTCATCCAGTAGATATGGATGGGATTGGTGTCACCCTTGACATGATCTACAGAGAACATACTTCATTTCTATTCTCTTAAATATTTTGACACTCTGTTTTCTGAAAATCAGATTTTAATTTATTGAAGGAATCATTTATTGAAGAATTGTAAATGGTCATCTCCTTCCAACTGTCCTAAATATTCATTAGCTCTGGTCGAGCCAGGTGTTAATTCAGTATAAATGATTCAACAAGAAGGGGTCTGATAGTGCTGTATGTACAGAAAGTGGGTTGTCCTGGGAAATAAAGTTTCCCATTTTTGCATAGCCAAGGGAATAGCATGCTACAGTGTAAAAGAGCAATCTTTTGAGTTGTTTTTTCAGATATTTTCCTCTATTTTTTATGGTTCTTTTGTTATGTTTTTTCGGTTTCTAACATGTTTTTGATTACATATTTAGCATTGTTTCCATGTGATTGTTTTTACAGTGTGATTTAAATCTAGGCTTATATACACTTTCCCACATAGGCTGTGTGTTTGCCTTCCTTTGGACTGTTTATTGGTTTGCTTCTCCTGTGCATACCCTTGCCAAATTCAAACTACAAATTGATATACCAAAGTGTGGAAGTAGTCCTTATGTTGCTTCTTACTGACAACCAGTTTCTGGCATTCAGTTTTCTAATCAAGCAGCTGCCTCTATGGGCTAGTTATTCCCAAGACGTGGCTTAGCAGCCCAGCCACTGGCTCATTTACCATTTTTTAGGATGCCCCACCCATGCCTGCCACAGCACAGGGTGTACTCCTCTTAAAGCACTTAGCATACTTCTGTTTCTTGTCTGTTTCTTATCCTCTTCTATTCAATTGTCAGTTCCCATCATGATGACAGGGCGTACATATTACTCATATTGGGATCCTCAACACTGAACACATTTTTATACTCAAGAGTTAGCTACTGAAAATAATTAGTACAAAAATGCATTTCACTCTGTATATCATCTGCCAAAGAGCTGCCAGTAATTTGTTCATTTAATTATTACAATTAAACATCTGTCTTCTCTATCCTTTTACCCAATTTCTATAAATATATCTTTATTGTGCTACAAAAATTGGATAAAACTACCATAACACTATTGATGATCAAATAGAAAAAAATGTTCCTTATTTTTTCTATTTTTAAAGTGTAGATTTGACTTAACCATCCAAATCTGTGGTAAAAGCTCAGATTTTTTATTCTTATTAATGAGTCTGCGTCATTCTGATTCTGGTTGGGAGCTATAATTGGTCAGGCCAGGCTGCTCTTTTATTCTGGAGCTGAGTTTTATTTGCTTGGCTCCCACTGTATATATGTAATTATAAGTTATTTATATCAAAAATCAGACTAAATATTTTTGCAAATTTGATTATATCAGTCAGGATAGGTTAGACTGTGCTACAGTAACAAACAATCCCATAACAACAACCCCAAACTTCCATAGATTAATAAAAATATATTCTTTGCTCCCACTGTACAACAGTTGCACATGGGCTGCATCTTTGCTTCATGTCTTTCTCACTTTAAGACTCCAGCCCAAGCTAGGTATAGTGGCCCATGCCTGCAGTCTCAGCACTTTGAGAGGCCAAGGCAGAAGGATACCTTAAAGCCAGGAGTTTGAGGTTACAGTGAGCTATGATTCCTCTACTGTACTCCAGCTTATGAGACAGGGTGAGACCTCATCCACCCCCCGCCAAAAAAAAAAAAAAAAAAAGATGGCAGCCCAATGGAGGAGCCACTAACAACAATATTGCTGGTAATTCTAGATAGAGAAATACATCCCTCCAGTAGTTTATGCTAGGAATTAAATGCTTCGGCTCAGAAGTTACACAAATCACTTCTGCTCACAGCTCATTGGCCCGAACTAATTGTGTGGCTCTACCAAATCACAAGAGGACAAAGAAGTGCAATTCTTACAATATTAGAATAATCCTGGAATATTTGGTAATAATTAGAATATTTGGTAAATAATCCTTAGAATATTTGGTAAATAATAATATGAGGAAATATGAACATATTACACTTCACTGTAGATATTATAAAACATGAGAAAATTCTCTGGGTATTTTACATAAAAGCCAGAGAGCTTAAGTATAAAAATGGATGCTGAAGAGAAGTATAAATTCTATAGCAGTTTTAATTTCGTAAATAACTGCAGAAAAAAAAAGAGTAAAGAACTGTGGACTTTGATGAAGAATGATTAGGAACCCAGTTTTTGAACATTTTTGAGTTTTACAAGGAAAGAAATCATTATAGAAAAACATGGAGTTACCTAGTTTTCTAGCAGGTTTTAGGTCACGCTCACATATTCTCCCCACCTCCTTTTCCCTGAACGTACCTCCCTTATCTTTTTCTTTAGGCCAGGGCACATCTTTCTTGCCATGTGTGTCCCTGTGTGCTCGAGCTGGATGTGACTAACAATTTGACATTCCTCACCTGATCTGTTCTTCATGATTGCTTTTCACTTTTAAAAAGTTATTTTTTTCCTTCAGTATTTCTTTTTTTCTCTTTTCTTGTGCCAAGTGTTAGTATTTTGCATCTTCTTAGCACCTCTGATAGTTATAATGGGGAGGGAGATGAAATCCAAATCCAGAAGCTTAACTGCTTATAATATAGCAGCTTTAATAAAAGATTTAGTGTAGAAGAAATCTTATGGATTGTTAATCTGATTCCTTGAGATTATCCTGGGATTCCAATTAATTCTATTACTCTGTTTTACCTATTCCTACGTATCATTCATCGGCAGCTTTGTTGCTGGTATTTTAAATGGAAACTGTTAGACATGTGCAAAAACACAATCAGATAAATGAGTGTCTTGCCATGTGTTATGACACTCATTTTGGGGCAAAAATAGAGACTATCCACAAGGGACTAATGCGTTTTCTAGAAATCATGTGATTTGGGGGCTATGATCTTTCCCCTGTGCTTATCTTCCATAATGAGTTACCATCAGAGAGCATAGTCAATCTGGGTAGCAGCTAGAATATAGACAGAAACTATGAATTTCAAACTCCATTCAGGCAGGCAATGTATAAGCTTCATGACTGGATTTATCTACTCTTACTTTAACCCAACAGCTAGGATTTGGCAGGTTAGCACTGAGGCTGACTTGGGCTCACTCTCCACCTAGGCCTTGAGAGACTCTTTGCCTCTCCTCACTCAGCTTCATCTGTAAACCTTCAATTTTGATTTAAAAGTGGTATTTCTACAGCTACCTGAGCCTCATTGGACTGGTTGCTTTTCTCAGGGATTCTATCCACATTGTCTTCAGCAAGTTGCTTTTTCCTGGATACTTTTACTGGAAAGCCTTTACCCTCCCAAGGTGGCCTATAGTTTTCAGGTGTATTTGAATGACTCCCCTTGGGTCACATCACATCTCCCTATCTGTCCACTGTTGCCCCTGGTCTGAATCAGGTTTCCAGCGACAATGGTGAAATCTACCTGAGCCTGGTGCTTCCAGAAAACAGTGATGATTGAGAAATCCCTCAGCTTTTTAGTGTTCCAGGAAATGGCTCACCACAAAGAGCCACCCTTGCCCATGTGACTTAAATAAAACTCTCAGCCCACTCTTTCTCACGACCCCCATAAGATTCACAGATGACTCCTTTGTTTACCT
Organism: Homo sapiens; assembly: GCF_000001405.40. Lineage (NCBI taxonomy): Eukaryota > Metazoa > Chordata > Mammalia > Primates > Hominidae > Homo > Homo sapiens. The sequence continues at coordinate 122,306,675 of NC_000005.10, read as the reverse complement.
AGGACAAGACCAAACACAGACTTTCCCCTTTTTGCCTGGATCTGCTGATAAGACCAGACACAGACCCTTCAACTTCCCATTCTCTATCTTATGAATGATTAGCTGAGATTAAAACTGTTTGTCCCTCTGAAACTTGCTAGAAACAGAGATAAACATTTCCTCTTCAGCTAACTGACCTAGACTTCCCCTGACTGCAAAACGACCCAAACAATAAATCATCCCACCTGTAACTTGTCTATTCTTCCCTATAAAATCTAAGGGAAAATCAACCTACAGAAACATTCTGATATTCAGATGTAGGGTGTTCTTCTATTACAAGGGCATGAATAAAATCAATGTTCTCTGGTTCTCTTCTTTGACACCATCCTTTCCCCCTTTGTATTCTACTGTTTTTTTTCATCTTCATTAGTAACTACTTTAGTCACTAATGTAAACTGATATCATGGATCTGTTATTTAACCAAAAAGTGGGTATTTTAATAAGGAAGAGTGTTTAAAACCCTACAAATTGTACAGACTTATTCAATTTTTTCTTAGGTTTGTTTTCTCTATTGCTGAAATAAATAGCCCTCCTTCATCAGAGTATTGATCTTGGGGATAAATGAATATGCCATACCCTTGCTGAATGGGCACCACATTTATTTTCATACCATGACATATGTGTATAGCAATATCTTAGTTATTAAATATGCAGGCAAGTCCTCTAGTGGACGCTACATCATAGAATTAATATACAAATGCTTCCAAATTAGTAATTTGCCTGCTAGGTTATACTACTTTCCAACTTGGGCAATAGGAAAGAGAAATATTTTCTAAGATGCAGGCCTAGAATGGGTGCTTTCAACAACTGGTATATCTCACAGATTAAAGACTATGTAAGGCGAGGGGGAGAAGGGAATGAGAGAGATCCGTAGGGAGGGGCACCTATACTTTCCCTCCCAGAATGACTCCCTGATTATAGGCCAACATGCATAAAACCAAACATCATCTGGGGCAGTCTGACCTTGACTGGGGATTTCCATTTTCAAGAAAAAAAAGAAATGAAAAAGTTCACTTAAGACTGAAAAAATTGGGAAATCTTATGAAATTTATATTCTGTAAACATGGAGTACTCTTAGGCAAGGGCACGTTTAGACACTAGAGATTTCACACGTGTGCATAAACACAGATTAAATCTCTAACTGAAGGTTTTGGTATTTGAAATAAATTTGATTAGGTTGTTTAAAAAGGAATGCAGGTCAGCTGAGTGTGGTTAAATGATTTGAAGAGAAATGCAGGTCAACTTCCGAACACCATGCCACATGCATGTGGATCTGACATGGCTGCAGACTATGAAACCAATGAAAACACATTCCATTGATTACTTATCAATTGTAACAGCATTATATTTTTAATTGCTTCTGGTCCTAGAGGTAACTATTAAGTCTCCTTTCTTCATTTTGATAATAATTGTACTATAGCATATAATCTGTGCTTTGATATTACTATAATATAAATCCACTGATATAGTTGTATTCGGAGTTTCTGTTGTCTTTATGATACAAGTAATTTATCTTTTTACTCATCTATTCTAACTTGAGAGCAAGGACATGCATTTGGAAATAATTAGATTGGTTTATGGATGATGCACATGGCTATGAAATGGAAAAAGGGGATTTAGATCCAATGGGGATTAAAGCTATAACTGACTTTAGTCTCTGGCTTTATCTTTAAGCAGCTTTTAGTGAATTAATAGGACAGAAACTTGTTCCCCTTGGATAAGCTTCACAAATACTTTAGAATTGTTACATCTAAGTAGCAGCAGAAAGCTGTCAGTGCATGGAATGCTTAAGTAATTATAATCACCACTGTTCCAAACCAGAATAAATCCTAATTCCAAACAACTTTTGGGAAGAAAGACTAGTTCTGAAAATGAAGTAAGGTTTTCAGTCCTGTTAAATATGACTATCTTGTGAATTTTACTTTCTTCCCCAAATTTGTAGCTTCTAGTGCCAAATTCCCTGGACTGGGGACATATGGTCGTCTTTAGAAAAAAACAAGGAGAAAAATGCTGACTACATATTGAACTAGATGAAAAAAAAAAAAAAGCTGATGGCTGATTTAAAAAAAAAGTTCCTTGTAAATCATGGGGAATTTTTTAAAGGTGATTTGTAGGAATAGAAAAGAAAGTAATTATTGATGGAATAAATGGTTTTAAATTCAAAGTCCAATGTAACCCTATAGTATAGAGGACTTAAGGATATTAATCCAAGGGTCAGACTCCATGGGTTCAAACCCCAGCTTTACTTATTTTATCTTTAAAGTTATTTATTTATTAAGACAGAGTCTTACTCTGTTGTCCCGGCTGGAGTACAGTGGCATGATCTTGGCTTACTGCAACCTCTGCCCCCTGGGTTCAAGTGATTCTCATGCCTCAGCCTCTTAAGTAGCTGGGATTACAGGCATGTGCCACCATGCCCAGCTAATTTTTATATTTTTGGTAGAGACAGGGTTTCACTATGTTGGCCAGACTGGTCTCAAACTCCTGGCCTCAAGTGATCCACCCGCCTCCGCTTCCCAAAGTTCTGGGATTACAGATATGAACACCACACTTGGCCTTATTTTATCTTCAACATTATTTAATATGACCAGGCCTCAGTTCCCTCAGCTACAAAATGGGATGCTAATAGTCTCTACTTCAAAAGACTATGAGACTTAAATAAGCTAATATTAAAAAAAAATTACAATTAAACATACTAAGAGAATTACTGTTTGTTAAGTAAGTAAACTCTATAATGCTTATGGAGTATGGGTGAATCCATTTGAAATATGGACCCTGAAGCTGAGTGCTGGCTAGCTGGCTATAAATATCCTTATTTCTCCACTTGTATCACGGCATTAAACATAACTTGAATTATTTGCTCCTTAAGCCACAATAATAGTATATCTTATATTCTTATGTGGTAAGTGTATAGCTTTCCACAACCCGACTTTTATTATAGTCACAGTATGTGAAATGTTATTTGAAAAACCTTTTAGTTCATGTTTAAGTATTGCCATTGGTTCTCTGGCAATTTAAGGCACTTAATATTTAGATCTTCTCATTTGATACTAAACTTTGATTTGTAAACAGCATTAACATTCTACCCAGACCTCCAAAGATGATTTGACTCATAACTCAAGAACAGACATAGAAGAATTTTCAAAAATGAAACATCTGTAATGAGAGGAGTATCATCAGCATTTTAAACTCTGTACTGATTTTAATATGATTTTGATATGTTTGTCATTAATTTGTTATCAGTGGAAAAATACAGTTCTTGAAAAAATACAAAGTACTTTTCCATGCATTTATTCAGCAAATATTCTTGGGCACCTGCTATGTACTGGGCACTGTGATAATTGTTTAGGCTCTGTTGAGGTGAACAGAACAGGCACAACAGACTGCTCTTATGGACAGTCAATAAACATGTGTATTTCCTTGTTGCTAAGTGCTATGAAGACAAAACCCAGATAGCTGTGGCAGAAAATAAAGAGAGGATCTAATACAGCCTTGGGCAGTTAGGGAAGAATTCTGAGTTTTGAAGAACCAGAAGAAGTTAATGATGTGAATAGTGAATAGAGGAATGTTCCAGGTAGGGGAGGCAGATTGTACTGCTGAGTGTCCATCCAACAACCACCCAGAAGCCAAAAAGGTGTGCAGAGTGTTTCCCAAATTAAGTTAGTGATTAAGGAAGCTTTAATGAGGCTCATGTGCAATGTACCCCATGGACTGGCACACATGCATACAAAAACAAAAACAATCGTCACCACCACCTCCATTAACCATAGATGCAGAAAACACAAGTGGAAATGTTGACATATTAAAGTGCTTGCAAAGCCTTGGTGTGATCAATGTCACCACGTACTACTCATCCCTAGAAAGCAGTTCTAAAGAGAAAGTAGAAACTCCTAGGGCATCCTCTGGCATGAGGATCAATCACTGCTATTAGAAATGTGTAGCCAAGGTAAAAAGGAGATTAATCGTTCCAAAACCTTGGAGAATTGAGACTAGAACATAAAATAAATGTAAGAGCAAGTCAGGGGTAGCAGAAATCATGAAAGTGATGAAAAGTCTATGAGAATCATAAATAACCAGGTGGATACTTTTTTAAAAATGTCATTATCTAATATAGAATTTAACTTAAGAATTATGAGCTGTAAATTTTGAGCACTTCTCCTCACCTCTAGCTTTCCACGTTTTCTAAAATCTGTCCTGACTTTGGAAATGGCTTTTAGTAGATAGATTGACTAGGGGAAAAGAGCTTGGAATCTTGGTACAGATTTGAGGAAACAAGGATTTTTGAAAAAAACAATTTTATGTTCATAGTATCCTAAACTACTCAGAACTATGTAGTGTTATATAAAATGATCATACGTCCACAATGGATAATTTAAGTATGGCCTACAGAGTCCTTCTAGTCCTTCTATGGCACTGTTTAATACAGTAGCCACATGTAGTCATAGAACATTTGGAATATAGCTAGTCCGAATTAAGATGTGTTGTGAAGGTAATAGATACACTGGATTTCAAAGTCTTACGTTGAAATAAAATATTCCAAAGTAAAAATTCGCCAGTAATTTTTAATTTTAAAAAATTCAGCTACTAGAAACTTTAAAATCACATATTTCAGTTATGTAGTATTTCTACTGGACAGTTCTGTTCTTGGGAATGTGAAAAATCATCCCCATCATACCTGCTCCCTAAACTTCCATCCCAAACCATTCCATCAAAACAGATGGCAGTGTTGTCAAAAGGGGGAAAACAGGTGGCTAACTAGCTACAGGTTTACGTGAATGGTAACAGATGAACGTGACAGTTACACAGTATGGGAAAAATTGATGTTTGGTAGAAAACTCATCAATAAATGCTAGAAGGAAATTACTGATGTGCTCTGTAGATGTTCCAAAAGAAGGAAACTGGGAATATTAAAAAACAAAACAAAATACTATTTTATCCTTGTGCTCAGTAGCTGAGGGGCTGCAAAATATATTGCAGTTCCGGTCTGTTGTGCTTCTTCAAACAGAAAGAGAGCCTGCATGATTCTCTAATCCTATACCTAACATCTCTTTTTCTTTCTCTCTCTAAAACAACTTAATAATCAGGAAATAAGCCTTTACAGTCAGTGTGTTAAGAATCCAGTGTGCATTCTGCAAACTGCATAAAAATAGTCCCACTCCAAGTAGACTATGCAACAGATGTTGATAATACTTAAAATGAGCTGAAGACAGAGAAAAACTATTGCATCTTTATTCTTGGCTGAAAGAAAAATCTTTTCCCTTTAAAAGATCTACATAAACGTATGCCCTTAGCAAACTAGCTAATATGTCAGGCTTCAAAGTGACTAGACTGTACACTTACTGTTTTACTAATCCTCTGGCTTCCCTTGTTTTGAGATAGTTACAGAAAAGTCCATTTTGGAATATTTCCCTTTGGCTTTAACACTTGGCAGAGGAGTCTACTGTCCTCTGCTCTTCCTCACATTAGTTATAAAGCTGTTTGTCATCTCCAGTATCCGGAACACCTGCTTTTTAAAGGACTGCTGGCTCAGGAAGAAGAACATAAGTTATTTTTATGCAATAACTCACCAGCTCAAGACTTTCAAAAACTGTATCTGAAACACTGTATTTTTTTTCCCTCATAATCAAATAAGGTGTTTTAAAAATCAAAAGTTTTCATTTTACCAGAATTTCCTTTTAAGATAAATCACCAAAAGGCAAATGACAGGCCAGTTGGGCAAACCAGAGAAACAGAGCAAACTTTTTGCTCATAACAGGATACACAGGTAAGAAAACAAAAAGCAACCATGTCTTCTAATCCAGTGAGAAATATTTAGAAGAAATTATAGAAACCTTGGGCAGGGAAACTCTCAAAACATTTAGGAAGGTGGCTCTGTTACTTCTTTATATGAAGTATGACACTTAATGTTCCATGTTGTTTTTGCCTTTTAGCAGACCTTCTTTTTTCTTGTAAGAGCTGTTACCTTTTTCTTCTGAGAACTCTTCTTTCCCCCCATTGATAGATTGGTTGAACACTTGCCTCCCTCAGTATAGGGATGGGCACATGACCACGACTAGCCAATCAGGGTTTCACATCCTCTTGGCCATAAAGATTGCACAGGGACAGATGATTGGTTAGACCTATTTAAAAAGAGGTAGTCTTTCTTGTTCTCTTACTTTTGTTAGCTCAGAGGGTGATGTAAGCCTAGGGCAGCCACAGTTGCCATCTTTGCTACCCTGAAGGAACACCCTGGTTGAGAATGAAAGCAACATAGAAAAAAGCAGCAATAAGAGGTAGAAAAAAAGAAAGAAAGAAAGAAAGAAAGAAAGAAAGAAAGAAAGAAAGAAAGAAAGAAAGCAAGAAAGAAAGAAAGAAAAGAAAATCTTCATGAAAAAATTTAACGCAATTTCTCTTTTATGGCATAAGCTTTTTTGAGCTGGGTTTCTGTCTCTTGTAAGCAAAAGATTCATGAATAATACACAGTTTTAGCACAAATAAAAATTAGGTAATAAAAGAGAAAGAAATGAGGGAAGAAAAAAAAGAATAAAAAGGACCTCCCCAAATGGAGAACAAAAATAAGAAAAGTAGAAATAATTCAACATTTTCTCTTTTTTTCTCTCAGTGTGCTATCAGAAACCACACACATGCCAGACACACACATTGGCATTCTAAAGAGAAAATATAGATCTTAAGTTATCCAATAGAATTGAACATAAACTAAGCAAGTACAATAAAATTAACTACCCCTGGCAATTCAAGTGATCTGCCCACAAAAATACAGTTTTGAACCATACTTCTCAGCTCTTCCCATATTGTTTTTTTCTATTTTACCATTTCCCCTTTTTAAATAAGAAATTGGCTATTTTAAAAAATTAATAAATGAATTTATGCTCATTTCAAAACATGTAAGTAGCAAAGAGTGTATTCAGTAAGAAATAAAATCCAAATCTTACTCTTTTCAAACCTATTCCTCAAGCGTACTCTTTCAGATTCTTTTCCTCTCATATATCAAAAAAATTATTTTTTAACAAAAAATGGAATCAAAAAATATATTTTGTTCTCAATTTAATTCTTTTTTAAAAATTAAAAAAAATAAGTTTGAGACAGAGTCTCACTCTGTTGCCCAGACTGGAGTATAGCAGTGTGCTCATGGCTCATTCCAGCCTCAACCTTCCTGGGCTCAGCTGATTCTCCCACCTCCTCAGCCTCCCAGGTGGCTGGGTTTACTGGTGTGTGCCACTATGGCCAGCTAACTTTTTTGTATTTTTTGTAGAGATAGGGTTTCACCATGTTGTCCAGGCTGGTTTCGAACTCCGGAACTCAAGCCATTTGCCCGCCTTGGCCTCCCAAAGTGGTGGGATTATAGGCGTGAGCCACTGCACCTGGCCAAATTCTTTTTATTTTTAATAACTTAAGGCATTTTATGGACATCTTTTCATGCAAAAATTTATAAATCCACCTCATTTTGCTTAATGGCTGATTAATATTTCAGTGTATTGATGGCCATTTAGTTTGTCTCTAGTTTTTGAGGGTTTTTTTTTTTTTCCTGTTAGTCCCAATGATATATTAATAATAATAATAATACACAACTATGAATATATTCTTAAACTCTTTTCTTTTTAAAAGTTATGATTACTTGAATTATTGTTGCAGCAGTTCTCTAATTGCAAGCTACGAACTAATGATCTAAGGACAAGGGCCAATGAAAACCTTCACCCTGCACAGATCCTTGTGTACACTGGGTCTGATGAAATTGGCAGCAGCCAGTGAGGCATGATTTGACATGTGACATGAGAAGAAACATCAACATAAATTATCTGACACAGGATGGGTGAGTTCTATACCCACAGTCACACATGCACAGCCTTTCCTGGTGCTCATGTATAACATTCAAATCATGCTCCAGGCTTACAGGTCTTGGCAGATAACTGACCTCTTAACCTACCTCTCCGCAGTTTTCATTGTCAGCTGCTGTCAATTACCACACAAGACAGTTAGTAAAACTGTTCTTCACCTTCAGGCAGATGTCTATTGTCCATTTGTCTAAATCAAGAGGGTTACAAGTACCTCTAATTCTGAATTCTGAGGGGGCATTTGAGTCCTGGCAGGACTGACAATACAATTGCTGCTCTTTAATCAGCCTAGTGGACAGGATTCATTTATTTCACCTTCTTTGAATTCCTTCCCGAGGAAATTTCGTGAGTTTTCAAACAGTTCAGTTTTTCCTTTTTTGCTTTTGTATCATTATTAACCCTGCAGGCTATTTGGCGGGTTGCATAGTGGGTGGTATATGACACTTAAGTTACTGAAGCCTGACCCAATTACCTTTAATATTTTCCTTTACCTTCTTCAGGCAAGAAAATTTGGGAAAACAATCTTTTCTTGTTGTGGTTTGTCACCTGGCTTAATTTTCTTTACGCTGGCATTTTTATGGCGGAAAGCAGTGAGATAAAATGTGCTGACTGATGTGTAGCACGGCTCCCTCTCCTTGTTTGGCCAGATAACCTGACTGGTACAGGATGCGCAGGTGACTGGCCTGTGACCCCAGAGAGACAGCAGAGCACACTTTCATTTCTCGTTTATTGTTTTCTTCAGTTCTACTGAAAGTAAGAAAATAACATGAGAACTCTGTAATGGAATCTCCAAAGGTGGCAGATTATTAGCTCAAAAATCAGTGGCCAGTTAAAACCACAAGCCCTCCCTCTTTGTTAACAAGGAAGATAAATTCCTGATGGCAGATCCCTGTTCAACACTGACATTCAGAAGAGAGTCAGAAGCCCAAGTCAGCTAGAGTTCTGTGACTTCTCCTACTTTACTTCATTTGACAATCATACATGAGTCATAAATGGCTACCACCAAAGCCATTCCCCTCCTTACTGAAAGTCAGGACTTGACTGCAAAATTGCGGGGTAGGCAAAGCTTATGTTGGGTACTAACCATCTCACTTTGCTTTTCAATGGCCTTCTACTTCTCAAATAGGCCCTTAGTTTCATTGCCTCTAGAAACCCACTATTCTTGCCCTGGGATGGTGTGCATATGTCCACATTTTATTGTTTTTATTTTAAATCTGGAATGTTTACTACATCTCGGACTTTTCTGTCTTCACCCTACACTTGCCACCCAAATATACTTGTCTTGGGATCCACTCCCTCTGGATCCTTAATAGGATGTGGAACCAAGCTGAGAAATCTATACAGTTCAGGTCACTCATGGGTACACCTCTTGGGTAAACTATGTGTTGCTAAGAAGGACTTCCTGAGTCTGGTTAAGATCTCCTTTATGTAAGAGGAATGAATATTATGATGGGACTTCCAAGCACTTTCTTATGGGAGGCATTTGGTGACAGAAATGCTTTTAGAAACTCCTCAAAGCACATTGGAGGCAACTCCCTACCACACTAACTTAGGCCTGGCCTTCTGCTATTTGATAGGAAATTTCATGGAATATCCTAACAGAGCTGCAACTGTAGCTCAGCAGTCCTTAGCCCTCCTCTTCACAGCAGGGGAAAGGAGCTCTGCCAGAGAACATTCTCGAATATGAGGCAGCCTCTTCATGCTCCACAAAAGAAGTAGTAAAAGGTCTTGTTTGAAATGTGTGAACTTCAGTGATTACTTTTCTCATGCTTATATCTCATTTCCTTCATGGCTAACCTGCCCTTATTTGTTATAGGACACACGGTATGCTAACTGCTTCTATAGAACCTCATTTAAATGCCCATCACATGTTGTTCAACTAGAGAGCTCAAAAGAGACACACATTGGGTCAGGTTGGGATAAAGAAGACAGCATTGTTCCAACTGATTCAACTATTACCTTTGTCTCTTGTCTTTTCAACTCAGTCCCATCTTTTCTGATACTTTGAATTCCCTATTTCATATCATGATTGTTTTTTCTTTAAACCATGTAGATTCTATATAGCCAACCATATATTCTAAGCAGCTACTGAAATTGCAGTATGTGATATAATTTTTGATTACAATAATAGGGAAGAGAAGTTAAGGTTCTAATGAAGAAGATTGTCTATTTCTCTGTAATTCTTAAATATATGTAAAAATTCATTTCACAGACTGCAATAAATAAAATCCTTTAAATATAGCTCTATATTCAATTGATAATTAGTTCTCTAGCCAGTCTCTCTAGTTTCATCTGTGTCCTTTTATGAGATAGCCTGGACTAGCCAACTATCCTATTACCAAGAATATATTTGCCTGGCTACTGAGCTATTTTGGACATCATTCTATTTAAATACAGTGCTTTCTAATTTTTCTATAAGTGATGATGTTCATTCAATTTACTTAGCTTTAGTACAACATCAAGAAAATTTCATAACATCAATTAATTTTGTATTCAATGAAGTGGCTATCTGAAGGATTAAAAAATAATTAAAGACTTTGATTTGGATAGCATTAAACTCTCATAAATCAGTTTTAAAAAGAAAATTTATTTACATTTTACTCAATTAAATATGTATTTACCAATCATGGTCAGGAGAGAGGAATTACACAGTAAGGGGAGACTTCACTTCTCTAGAAATATAATAAAAATGAGATACCAGTTATAAATCCTTAATCAGAGAATCTTAATCTTGGTGACAGGATATTAGGAACCAGCTAATTGGCAATGTAAGAAAGACCTAGAGTAGGAGGCAAATTTTCAAATCAATAGTGTAAACAATTGGTTGACATTGGCTAGATAAGAGAAACTTGTTTCTGAAAGCTGTTTTCCTCTTGGTCTCAATTTGGGAAAGGCTAAATATATAATGTGAAGTGGCAAACAGAAATGAATCCAGAGATTTTAGGTTTTCAGCTTGGGGCTTTGCCATAGTTCTAAATCATCCATGTGATTTCATCACATCCTTCCCTCCTTTTTCCTTAAACCATCTGTAAAGGCAATAAAAATATCTGTCATCTTGGCATTTTGAGACAAAAGGGCAAAGGTTTAGGAATAAGGTGGAATTCCTTTTGGGAGTTTTTTCTTTTTAAGTAAAATACCCCAATGATCTGGGACTGTTTGGTTATGAAAATTGAACCCCTCCCCTCCCCCTACTTGGCCTAAAAGCATTTCCCACTCTGTAATGCAATTAACTCCCTATTAGCTATATTACCTTCTGTAGACTTCTATCATACATATGAGTTTTGAGTTATAGTACTTTAGGGAATAAAAAAAATAATTTTTATTTTATTTTTATTTATTTTATTTTTAAAAAAATTTTTGGCAGCCACAGTGTTGCTCAGTTCCAGGGACATCATTCACCCGTATACCCGTATATGTGCTTCAGAAGATGTCATTCACATAAACTACAAAGTTAGTGGTGCCCCCTAGAGCTGTTCAATGACATAACAATGACATAACCCTCAGTACTGCCCAGCAGGACATGGAGGTGGGGAAGCAGGTAGCCCAATTAGGCAGAGGAATTCAGAGAAAGAGACATGCTGGTCAAGGAGGTGAAAGATCTTTACAAGGAGAACTACAAACACTGCTGAAAGAAATCAGAGACAATATAAACACATGAAGAAACATTCCATGCTCATGGATAGGAAGAATCAACATCAATAAAATGACCATACTGCCCAAAGCAATCTACAGATTCCTGTTAATTTACCAATAATTACTATTCCTATTAAATTACCAATGTCATTCTTCATAGAATTAGAAAAAAAACTCTGCTAAAATTCATATGAAACCAAAATGATCCCAAATAGCCAAAGCAATCCTAAACAAAAAGAACAAAGCCAAAAGCATCACATTACCTGACTTCAAACTATACTACAAGGCTACAGTAACCAAAACAGCATGGTACTGGTACAAAAATAGACACATAGACCAATGGAACAGAAGAGAGGATACAGAAATAAACCTATATTCCTATAACCAACTCATCTTTGACAAAGTTGATAAAAATAAGCTACGGGAAAAGGACTTTTCAATAAATGGTTCTGGGAAAATTGCCTAACTATATGTAGAAAAATAAAACTGGACCCCTACTTATCACCATACAAAAAAATCAACTCAAGGTGGATTAAAGACTTGAATGTAAGACCTCAAAGTATAAGCGTCCTAGAAGAAAATCTAGGAAATACCCTTCTGGACTTTGGCCTTGAAAAGAATTTATGACCTAGTCCTTAAAAGCAATTGTAACAAAAACAAAAATTGACAAGTGAGATCCCATTAAACTAAAAAGCTTCTGCCCAGCAAAAGATACTATCAACAGAGTAAACAGACAACCTAAAGAAGGTAAGAAAATATTAGCAAACTATGCATCTGACAAAGGACTAATATCCAGAATCTATGAGGAAGTTAAACAATTCAATAAGAAAAAAAAACCCCATTAAAAAGTGGGCAAAAGATATGAACAAACACTTCTCAAAAGAAAACATAGAAGTGGCCAATAAACATGAAAAAATCCTCAACATCACTAATCATCAAAGAAATGCAAATCAAAACCACGATGAGATACTGTCTTACACCAGCCAGATATGGCTATTATTAAAAGTAAAAAATAACAGATGTTGGCGAGGTTACAGAGAAGAGGAATATTTACACACTGTTGGTGGGGATGTAAATTAGTTCAGCCACTGTGGAAAGCAGTTTGGAGATTTCTTAAAGAATTAAAAATAGAACTACCATTCAGGCCAGCCATCTTATTACTGGGTATATACCCAAAGGAAAATAAATTGTTCTACCAAAAAGACACATGCACTTACATGTTTATTGCATCACTATTCACAATAGCAAAGACATGGAATCAACCCATGTGCCCCTCAATGGTGGATTGGATAAAGAAAATGTGGTATATATACACCATGGAGTGCTATACAGTCATAAAAAGAATGAAATCATGGTCTCTGCAGCAACATGGATTATCCCAAGTGAATTAACACAAAAACAGAAAATCACAAAAACAGAAAAGTAGGCAGTGAAAATATCACATTTTCATTTATATCTGGGAGCTAAATCTTTGGTACACATGAACATAAAGACACGAATAATAGGCACTGGGGAATCCAAGAAGGCAGAAAGAGTGAGGGGGAAAGGTTGAAAAATTTCTTCTTAAGTATTACCTTTACTACCTGGGTGACAGGATAAACAGATGCCCAAACTTCAGCATCATGCAATATACCCTTGTCACACACCTGTACATGTACCACCTGAATCTAAAATAAAAATGAAAAATTTTTAAAAAGTTATGCTGGTAAACAAATCCCTCTGGGAAATCTGTAAAAATATAGGGAAGGGTAGTAAGACTGGAGTATTGATCCAGTTTATTTAGATAGTAAAGAAAAGGCAGTTCCAGAAGACTGGCAAGTTAGGGTAACTTCAGGGCAGACATTTTAAATATGCCTTCTTACATACACGTCCTGTCAAAATGGGTCACAGATCTGTGAATCTCAGAAAGTCTGCTCCTAGAAAAGCCCATCCAGAATGCAGAGGTCCTGGCCTATCTGAGCTCAGAAGGGGAAATCCAGAGGTAGTCCAAGGGTAGTGGCTCATCTATTGTCCTTAGGTTCTTCCTCCCTTTCATTAATTTTAGCACAAAAAGCTAGAGATTTGGTCCTGCTATCCAAGATCAAGAGTTTGAGAATTAAACACAGTACAGAGTTAATTCAAATATGTATGTAATGAATATTAGCTAAATACTTACACTCTTAGAAAAGGATTGAGGAATTAAGTGGAAAATCAGTTTAAGATATTTGGGTTTCAGCTTTATATAGGCAATTGTTTTTTCTTTCTGGCATAATTTTTCAAAAACACTTTAGTCCTTTGTTTCTTGCATATAAAACTACTTAGACTCTAAAAACATAAGATAATCAGAAAGAAAACTCACTGAACAATAAAGGTGATGAACTTGGTATCAAACGGAGATTAAATATTTTGACCCCTTTTGCCCTACAGGGAACCCCTCCCTGTTTCAATAAAAGAAAACAAGTTCTTTCTTATTTTAACTTAAAAGATTGGAATTAAGGTACACTAAGCTAATGTGAACATGATTTAAAATGTTTTGCATGTAAAAGAGCCAAGTTAGAGAAGGATTGCTTCAGCTGCAAGAATCATGTGACATCTAAAAAAGCAAGCACTTCAGAGGGGAAGTTTTTCATGGTGAAGCACAGAAGCAGCAGCTGGGTCTCCAGCATTCCTGCTCATCCCAGACACTCCAAAACTGGGAAGTGAAGCACCAGCTTTATGTGTATGTTGCAAGAGCTTATCTTTATATAGCCTTTCTCTTAAATTCATCTTTCATCTATTAATAGGAACATCACTCCCTCCGACTTTCAACCCCTAAACACACAAAGGGGCCTGAGGCTCAATAATGAGAGAAATCGTGAAGAATCCTTATTCTCTTGTGTTTTAATGACTAAGTGCCAGGACATGCCTAAATCACCATGAAGAAGTATAGATGTATAAACTGTGAAAATACAAATCTGCCATAATACTGGATTTAAAAAAAAAGTAGGCAGTTCAAAAACAAATGCCATTGAAACAGGCAATGCACCTGGTGAAGGGATTTTTCCACAAGCCAAAAGATATGGAAAATTCCATCAGGAGCTTGTCTCCAATAGCACCAGGATATAAAGGAAAGGCCAAACATGTTTTAAGCATAAGGAAAGCTTGAAGGTCAGAGAAAATGGGAAGATGTTTTAGGTATTATTGCATTTGATCCTAACTGTTAATATTGTTTGCTACAGCACAGATGTATCAACTGGTGGTCAACCTTCTGTACATGCTGTACAAGGTTTAAATAGCCATCAGTGAAGGGACAGAGGACTTGAGGTTAGGTGCTAAGATAAAGTTCAAACAAGGAGTACATTTTTATCCCCTACTGGTTGTGCAGCAGTAGCAACGTTGTAGCATCATGTGACAGCAAATTGTGTTTGGGTTTTCTAAAATGTTCCATCTGGCTTAGCTACCCCCCAGCAACAGAATTTTTTGTGTATGTATGTAAACACTCTTAATCTATATGAGTTATGGTAGGCAGACTTACTCAAAGAACAACTTGGGGACTTTGCCATTTATACTGACTATGACCCATGGAAGAAATTTGTGCTCATTTATGACAAGAGTAGGAATGTATCATCATCTATCCTCCTCCCCCCACCCCACCCCCTACCAGCTCACAACTGCCACGTAACCAGATCTATTGCATTGCAATGTCCTATAAAACAGCAAAGAATGTCCACTGAGAGATCACTCTAGCCGGGGGTGAGGACAGTCAGCCCAGACCCGCAACAGACTCCCTCCCACTTTTCAAAATGATTGTGGTCCCGTGTATTCTTCTCCTAGCAGTAGGGAAGGTCTGAGTCATACTGCAATTTGCAGGTCTATACAGGGTGGAGTGGGGAAGGAGACAAGGATCTGCAGCTGCTATTGACACTTGGGCCATGTGGTACCCCCCTCAGATACCTGCTCTTTTAGGGACTGCTCTTTGCTGCATATGCTGGGAGTTCATGTTCTCCTAGATGAGCCAAACAGTCCTAGTCCTGACATTACGCCAGTGATGAATGGCCTGGGTCATGAGTCTACCTGACCAAAACACATTTTGCAAAGCCAAATATTTTCATCAGTACAAAATAAACATGCTTGCCAAAAAATATAAACTCACAATTGCAATCTGTTAACGCTTGTAAAAGATAAAGAAACTCCCAGAACATTCAGTTTCTTTGGATTCTTTAGTCTCTTATGTTACCTTTACTATTGTTTTTAACTACCTTTGGATTCCTATTTGGACATCAAGGCAATTGCAGAGTTTAGGAGAAAACCTAAGTGTTAGGATAAAGAGTTTCCAGTCTGGTCTTTGAGAGCAACTGTCAGGCATCTGGGTGTAAAGTGATTTGTCCAACGTGAGCGATTCATAATTTGGAACCAATGCTTTAAAATTTTGCACTTGATAATAC
Source organism: Homo sapiens (assembly GCF_000001405.40). Lineage (NCBI taxonomy): Eukaryota > Metazoa > Chordata > Mammalia > Primates > Hominidae > Homo > Homo sapiens. The sequence continues at coordinate 122,290,768 of NC_000005.10, read as the reverse complement.
TCAAATACTTTGCACTTGATAATGGTTTAAAATAATTATAACCATAGTTATTTAAAGAAACATAGGCTTTACGTGTTTCTACATTAGACATTAGTCAAGGAAGAAAATTCTGATCTCATACTCATGGTGTAATGCATATCAGAGGCCAGTTTATTCAGGTGAGTGAACCAGACCTTTACATGAAGGAGAAAACTCACACTGGATTTTCTGCATGGTATCTGGTATTTGACATTACCACATCAGCTTATGTACTATTGTTTTCTTTGAGGATTCTTCATCTTGGGGCTGAGTACTTAAGACAACGTACAGCCATTTTTAAAAAATTCTGAACAGAATGAGTTTAGACATTTTGTGTATCATGTTAATGTGAAATCTGCTTGTCAGAGTTGAGGGTAAGCTCCGTGGGGCAATGTAGTAATTAAACTTCCCTGTGAAGTTGTGGGTTCTTGGTTGGTATGTCTCCCAAGAAGTTCAGTCCTGCAATCTTGTGATTAGAGGAGTTTGCTTTGTGATCAACATATGAGTAGGGATGTGTGTGTGTGTAAGCAAATGACTCAAGTCTCCTATCTGCATGGCGATTTGAAATACAGCTCATCAGGGTAAATTAAAAACACTCTTTGTTGATCTGAATATGTTTTCTCTTTTGAAATGTGCTGAGGGAAACAGGTCTGTTATATACATTCATGGTACCTCTATGGAATTAGAGAGCAGGAGGAGCAGGAATGGATATATGAAGGTTTTTTGTGTTCACATTTCAAGACCTTACAAAAATGTTTCTTATGCCACTCATTGGTCAACTTGGAGGTGGGGTATGATCAAGGCCAGCTATCTTAATGTTTAAAAAATTTTCAAGATCGAAGCCTGAAGTTTCAAAAGTTATCTGAAAAAACTGATAACTCTATTATGTTTGAGAATTTATCAATATTCACAGACAGACCAAACATTGCTTTACAACTGTAGAACTTACTAAATTTGATATAACTACTTTTTACTAAGATGAATATCACTTTCTAGTTAATGAAAGTGGTTCTTAGAGTTTCAAGGAAATTGAAGATCAGTTTACCAATAGTTAATATGTGGTAGGATCACCTTCCTTAACTACTCCTTTTGCCCTCCCCTTCTCAACACTCACATCCACTTGCATGCACGCACACACACACACACACACACATCATATCACATGCACACACACACACACACACAAAAGAGTGTCCAGATTCTGGGAGAACAGGGAAAGAGAGAATTCAAATTCATGAGCAGACATTTTGCCTGGCATTAGATTTTACTCAGTGTCTAAGATGAAAGCGTTTGGATGGACATCAAAAACGATGTCCCAAATTAACTAATATGCAGGTGGAAAAATCCCAGCAACTTTCTTAAGCTCTTCAGAGGATTAACAATAGATAAACATATGCATTCAAGTAATTTATCAGCCTGAGCTTCACCAGGTACAAACAGCCACAAATTGAAAGAAGTTCACATCGGGCAAATCCTCACACTGACTTTGGAAATGATTGTCCCTTTATAACACTGCCTCATGATAATAAGTATTAATTTCGCTTTTTTAAAAATACTCTACCTGTAAATCCCAGACTTCCTTAGTACATAAGTCTTCACTCAACCTCACTGATGGATTCTTGGAAACTGTCATTTTAAGTGATATAATTAAAATATAACTAAACCAATTTACTATACACTAATTGATATAAACAAGAGTTAAGTTCTTATGGCATCTTTTTGGTTACAAAAACATCATTAAATTTCTAAATAAAGACCCAAAATATTTCTAATATTAAACATTGAAATAAACATGAGCTATACATACATTTAAGAAAGATAAATGAAAACAAGTAAGATAACTATTTACCTAATTTTTGATGATTTGGTGAATGATGACAGTTGTAGTAGCAGTGGGTTAAATTAAGAAATAAATATTTGCAAAATGAACATTGTAAGGAGCACCTCCTACCACCATGCAGTTCAAAAACTAACACAAATATCATGTGCTCACTAAGCACTTTTGTACTGAATTGTTTATTGTTGTGCATTTGTGTGATTATCGTAGACTTTAACATTTTTTTAACTTTCAATAATTTGTATTCATTCATTCATTCATTTTCCAACCTGCTTATTCCAGTTCAGGGTCATGGGTGGCTGGAGCCTATGCTGGCAGCACAGGGGGAAAGGTGGGAACCCACCCTAGACAGAACACCATCCCATCACAGGACCACTCACACACCCATACTCACTAACACTGGGACTGTTTACACATGTCAGTTAACCTGATGAGAACATCTTTGGGATGTGAAGGAAATCAAAGTATCTGCAGAAACCTACACAGACATGAGGAGAGCATGCAAACTCCACACAGACAGCGGCTCTAGCTGGGAATCAATTTTTTTTCTCATTAATGATATAGCAAAATGACATTATTTGAGAACCAGTCATACTTCAGTGCTACTATCCTTAAACCCTAAGCCCACTGAATTCATCCTTGTTAATAATTTCCTGTTTGCCACCTTGTTTTGTCAACTTTCTCTCATTCTATCTGCATTGTCAATAAAAGTAGCAAAAATATATATTTATTTAGGTATTTTAGGTATTTGTGGTTCTTTAATTTCTGAAAAGTTCATTTTATTGAAAAAGCAAATGGATACATATAAGAAATTTACAGAATGGTTGAAAAAAATTATTTGCAAAGTAGTCCCTGATTTATCACTGGGAATCAAACGAAGCTTGACTGACCAATGTCAGAGGTAAACAAACAAACAAAAAAACAAACAAACAAAACACTTCTTTTTGTCAGCCACAAAGTGGCTCAGACTTCCCTTGCAATTCTAGAGGGTCTCTGCCACATTCTGTCGTAATCCTTTATTGTCTCAGCCTGTTTAAATCCAGCCTTCTTAAAAATCAAACCAGACACTATTCTCTTTACAAAGTCTTCCCTACTTTGTCTGGGTGGGAAAGACTCATTTCTTCTGAATACTGAGTGCCCTTTGCTTATATGAACTGCATCTTAGGGCATTTAAGACTTTTCCTTTTATATTACTGATGTTTCTGGATATGTGCTACCCTCAAGTCTACTTGAGGTGGAGCTTTATATGCCATTCTGCTCTACCTTCATGCCAAGCATAATTTTATGCACATATTATATCCTTAATAAATGTTAGCTGAACAAATGAATATAAAAATAAATGAATTAACAGATATCAGAATATACAAATGGCATGTCATGGCATGTTATGGTATCAAGGTTCATATAAAATGATGAAAAAAATAAAGGTTCTATAACATCAACCTCCAATTCTAGGCTTCAACTTCTAGACTGTACTTTTATAATTGTTTTTTCTGCACAGAAATGATGAGATTTTTCATTAAAAAAAGGCAGATAAGAGGCAGGGCTAACTTGCAGCTCCCACTCAAACAGACTGAACAGAATGTGGAAACTCACGTCATGAACTTTTACTCCATGAACTACCATAGGAACATACCAGGAAACCCGAAAGAATTCACAGACCTTTTGAAAGAAGTGGCTTCCTGCTTCTAACTCCGTGAGACAGCTGAAAACCTGTGAGTGCCCAAAGTGTCAGGGGGAAAGTCCACCTCCAAACACACATCCCCACTGGGGAACTTGAAAATCCAGATCATAGGAGAAGGATTTAACCTTACCTAGAGCTGAAACAAATTTAGAGGGCCAACGGAAATATAAAAGTAGAAGAAGCAGCAGGAAGAGCCCTGTAGGCACTCCCAGTAGCCAGGGAAGCCATTTCTGACTTTGTCTCACAGAGGTCCCTGGAAAGGGCAGCCAGTGGAATTGGGGAAGGGCCATGGGAAAAGGAGACTTCCAGCTGAACTTTGGAATAATTTCAACTGAGCACGAACTTTCCTGGGCAGAATCTGGGGTCGGGTGGGATGGGAATTGCAGACATGGAGCACAGAAGCTGTGGCAGGCAGGCAGGGAGTGAGAAAGCAAGCCTGAAAGCCCGGCTTGCTTTCTTAGCAGGGAGGCTTGTAGCCTGGGGCAGGATGTCAGCCCTGTGCACTGGAGGCCTGGATGTAAATTCAGCTCTGTTGGCTGTTGAGGAACACAGTGGGAGTGAGATTGGCCTTGCTGGCTGCATGGGAGTTGGGTGAGGTCTGTCACTGCTGACTTTACCCCACTTCCCTGGCAAACTGTACGAAACAGCAAAAGCAGCAATATTCCCCCATGGAACATAACATATTCCCCCTTGCAACATAACTCCATTTGCCTGAGAACAAACCCCCATCCTCCACAGTGACTGCAGCAAGCTCCACCCAAGGAGAGTCTGAGCTAAGACACTCATTTCCTTGCCCCCACCGATGGTCTTTCCCTACCTACCCTGGTAGCCAAAGACAAAAGGCATAAACTGTGGGGGCTCGGTGGCCCCATCCATCACCGGAGAAACCTTAATACTTATCCAGCAACCTTAGGGCAAGCTCATATGCCCCCATACTACTGCAGCTGATGCTTTCTTGCGGGTGCTACCACTTGGCTGGAGGCCAACCAACTCAAACCATTACAGCAATTCGTAACAGAACAATCCCGCTCCAAGGAAGGAGAAAACAACAGCTAATTCCACCACCTGTAACATCCTGGCTAACCAGAGGTCCTGAGTCTGTCCATGTGACAACTTCACTGCTAGCATAAACAGCATTCAAGAAAACCAGTTCACTAAACAGAACTACAACTGAAAACTCTTGCAGAGTCCACTTCACTCCCCTGTTATCTCCACTGGAGCAGGTGCTTGTATCCACAGCTGAGAGACCTGAAGATGGATCACATCACAGGACTCTTTGTAGACACTCCCCAGTACTAGCCCAGAGCCCGGTAGCTCCACTGGGTGGCCAGACACAGAAGAGTAATAACAATCACTCAGGAAGCCCCATCATTAGGGGAAGATGGAGAGCACCACATCAAGGGATGGCCCTGTGGGACAAAAGAATCTGACAGCCACCCTTGGGTCCTGGATCTTTCCTCTGACATAGTCTACCCAAATGAGAAGGAACTAGAAAAACAGTTCTAGTAATATGACAAAACACAGTTCTGTAATACCCCCCAAAATTATACTAGCTCACCAGCAGTAAATCCTAACCAAGAAGAAATTTCTGAATTGCCAGAAAAAGAATTCAAAAGGTTGACTGTTAGGCTACTCAAGGAAGCACCAGAGAAAGGTGAAAACTAGCTTAAAGAAATTTTAAAGATAATACAGGCTATGGATGAAAAACTCTCCAGAGAAATACATATCATAAAGAAAAAATAATCACAATTTCTGGAAATGAAAGATGCACTAAGAGAAATGCAAATTACACTGGAAAGTTTCAACAGAGGAGTCAAACAAGTAGAAGAAAGAACTTCAGAGCTTGAACACAAGGCTTTCAAATTAACCCAATCCAATAAGACAAAGAAAAAAGAATTAAAAATAAAAATGAACAAAGCCTTCAAGAAGTTTGGGATTATGTTAAACAACCAAAACTAAGAGTAACTGGTGTTCCTGAGGAAGAAGAGAAATCTAAAAGTCTGGGAAACTTATTTGAGGGATTAATCGAGGAAAACTTCCCCAGAAAATTTATTGAAAAAAGATAATTGCCTAGGCACACAACCATCAGGTTATCTAAAGTCAAGATGAAGAAAAGAATATTAAGATCTATGAGGCAAAAGCATCAGGTAACCTATAAAGGAAAACCAATAGAATTAACAGCAGATTTCTCAGCAAAATCCCTACAAGCTAGAGGGGATTGAGGTCCTATCTTTAGCCTTCTTAAGCAAAACAATTATCAGCCAAGAATTTTGTATCAAGCAAAACCAAGCTTCAGAAATGAAGGAAAGATAAAGTCTTTTTCAGACAAACAAATGCTGAGAGATGTCACTACTACAAAGCCAACACTCCAAAAAAAAAAAAAAAAAGAAGAAAAAAAAAGCTAAAAAGAGCTCTAAATCTTTAAACAAAATTGAAATACACCAAAATAGATCCTCCTTTAAGGATAAATCTCACAAGGTACAGAATAGCAGAATGGATAAGAATTCACCAACCAAATATCTACTGTCTTAAAAAGACTCAATGAACACATAAGAACTCACATAAACTTAAGGTAAAAGGGTAGAAAGAGATTCCATGTAAATGGACACAAAAAGCAAGCAGAAATAGCTATTCTTATATCACACAAAACAGAACTTAAAGCAACAACAGTTAAAAAAGACAAAGAGGGACATTATATGATGATAAAAGGACTAGTCCAACAGGAAAATATCACAATCCTAAAGATATAAGCTCCTAAAACTGGAGCTCCCAAATTTATAAAACAATTACTACTAGGCCTAAGAAGTGAGATAGACAGCAACAAAATAATAGTGGGGCACATCAATACTCCACTGACAGCACTAGGCAGGTTATCAAGACAGAAAGTCATCAAAGAAACAATGAACTTAAACTATAATCTAGAACAAATGGGCTTAACAGATATTTACAGAACATTTTACCCAACAACTGCAGAATATACTTTCTATTTATCAGCACATGGAACTTCCTCCAAGATAGACCATATGATAGGCCACAAAACAAGTCTCAATAAATTTAAGAAAATTGAAATTATATCAAGTACTCTCTCAGATCACAGTGGAATAAAATTGGAAATCAACTCCAAAAGAAACCCTGAAAACCATACAAATACATAGAAATTAAATAGCTTGCTCCTGAATGATCATTGAGCCAAAAATGAAATCAAGATGGAAATTAAAAAATTCTTTGAACTGAACGATAATAGTGACACAACCTATAAAAACCTCTGGGATGCAGCAAAGGCAGTCCTTAGAGGAAAGTTCGTATCATTAAATGCCTATATCAAAAAGTCTGAAAGAACACAAATAGACAATCTAAGGTCACACTTCAAGGAGCTAGAGAAACAAGAACAAACTGAACCCAAACAAAGCAGAAGAAAAGAAATAAGCATGATCAGCACAAAACTAATGAAATTGAAACAGCAACAACAAAAAATACAAAAGATAAATGAAACAAAAAGCTGGTTCTTTGAAAAGACAATTAAAATTGATAGACCGTTAGCGAGATTAACAAAGAGGAGAGAAAATCCAAATAAGCTCAATTAGAAGTGAAATGGGAAATATTACAAACATACCACAGAAATACAAAAGATCATTCAAGGCTACGATGAACACCTTTACGTGCACAAACTAGAAAACCTAGAGGATATGGATACTTTTCTGAAATATACAACCCTCCTTGATTAAACCAGGGAGAAATACAAACTCTGAAGAGACCAATACCAAGCAGTGAGATCAAAATGGTAATAAAAAAAACTGCCAAGAAAAAAAAGCCCAGGACCAGATGGATTCACAGCTGAATTATATCAGACATTTAAAGAAGAATTGGTGCCAGTCCTAATGACACTATTATAAAATATAGAGAAAGAGGGAACCCTTCCTAATGTATTCTATGAAGCCAGTATAACCCTAATACACAAACCAGGAAAGGATATAACAACAACCAAAAAGAAAACTACAGACCAATATCCCTGATAAATACAGATGCAAAAATCCTCAACAAAATACTAGCTAACCAAATCCAACAGCATATCGGAAAGATAATACCCTATGGTCAAGTGTGTTTCATACTAGAGATCCAGGGTTGGTTTAACATATGCATGTCAGTAAATGTGATACATCACATAAACAGAATTAAAAACCAAAATGATACGATCATCTCAACAGATGCGCAAAGAAAGCATTTGACAAAGTCCAGCATCCCTTTATTATTAGAACTCTCAGCAAAATTGGCATAGAATGGACATACCTTAAGGTAATAAAAGCCATCTATGACAAACCCACAGCCAACAGTAAACCGAATGGAGGAAAGTTGAAAGCATTCCCCCTGAGAACCAGAACAAGACAAGAATGCTCACTTGTACCACTTCTATTCAACATAGTACTGGAAATCCTAGCCAGAACAATCCAGATGAGAGAAAGACATAACGGGCATCCAGGTCAGTAAAGAGGGAGTTGAAATGCCACTGTTTGCTGATGATATGATCATATACCCAGAAAATCCTAAAGACTCATCCTAAAAGCTCCTAGATCTGATAAATGGATTCTGTAAAGTTTCAGAATACAAAAATCAATGTACACAAGTCAATAGCACTGCCATACACCAACAGCAACCAAGCTGAGAATCAAGTCAAGAACTCAACCCCTTTTATAATACCTGGAAAACAACAATGACAACAACAACAAAAACTTGGAAATATACCTGACCAAGGAGGTATAAGACCTCTACAGGAATATAACAAAACACTGCTGAAAGAAATCATAGACAACACGAACAAATTGAAGCACATCCTATGCTCATGGATGAGTAGAATAAATATTGTGAAAATGAGCATACTACCAAAAGCAATCTACAAATTCAGTGCAATTCCTATCAAAATACCATCATTATTCTTCACGGAACTAGGAAAAACAATCCTAAAATTCATATGGAATCAAAAAAGAGCCCACATAGCCAAAGCAAGACTAAGCAAAAAGAACAAATCTGGAGGCATCACATTACCCAACTTAATAATATGCTATAAGGCCGTAGTCACCCAAACAGCATGGTACTGGTATAAAAATAGGCACATAGACCAATAGAACAGAATAGAGAACCGATAAATAAAGTCAAATACTTACAGCCACTGATCTTCAACAAAACAAACAAAAACATAAAGTGGGGAAAGGACACCCTACTTAACAAATGGAACTGCGATCATTGGCAATCCACATGTAAAAGAATAAAAGTGGACCCTCGTCTCTCACCTTATACAAAAAACAACTCAAGATGAATCAAAGACTTAAATCTAAGACCTGAAACCATAAAAATTCTAGAAGATAACATGAGAAAAACTCTTCTAGACATTGGCCTAGGCAAAGAGTTTATAGTCAAGAACCCACAAGCAAATGCAACAAAAACAAAGATAAATAGATGGGACTAAATTAAATTAAAAAGCTTCTGCACAGCAAAATAAATAATCAGCAAAGTAAAGAGACAACCCACAGAGTGAGAGAACATTTTTGCAAAGTATGCATTCGACAAGGGACTAATATCCAGAATCTATGAGGAACTCAAATAAATCAGCAAGAAAATAAATGAAATAATCCCACCAAAAAGTGGGCTAAGGATATGGATAGACAATTCTCAAAAGAAGATACACAGTGGCCAAAAAACATGAAAAAATGCTGAACATCGGTAATTGTCAAGGAAATGCAAATCAAAACCGCAATGTGACAGGCACCTTACTCCTACAAGAATGGCCATAATTAAAAAATAAAAAAAAAGTAATAGATGTTGGCATGGATGTGGTGAAAAGGGAACACTTTAAACTGCTAGTGGGAATGAAAACTAGTATAATCACTGTATTAGTTCATGTTTACACTGCTGTAAAGAACTACCTAAGACCAGGTAATTTATAAAGAGAAGAAGTTTAATTGACTCATAATTCCCCATGGCTGGGGAAACCTCAGGAAACCTACGATCATGGCAGAAGACAAAGGGGAAGCAGGTACCTTCTTCACAGGGTGGCAGGAGAGAGAGAAAGCGAAGGGGGAACTGCCAAACACTTTTAAACCATCAGATCTCATAAGAATCACTCACTAGCATGAGAACAGCATGGGAGAAACTGCCCCCATGATCCAATCACCTCCCATCAAGTCTCTTCCTTGACACATGGGGATTACAATTTGAGATGAGATTTGGGTGGAGACACAGAGCCAAACCATATCAACCACTATGGACAACAGTATGGAGATTCCTTAAAGAACTAAAAGTAGATCTATGATTTGATCCAGCAATCCCACTACTGGGTATCTATCCAGAGGAAAAGAAGTCACTATATGAAAAAGACAGTTGCACATGCATGTTCATAGGAGCACAATTCGCAATTGCAGAAACATGAAACTAGTTCAAATGCCCATCAATTAACAAGTGGATAAAGAAAAATGTGATATACATATATATACCATGGAATACTACTCAGCCATAAAAAGGAATGAAATAATGGCATTTACAGCAACCTGGATGAAGTTGGACACCATTATCCTAAGTGAAGTAATTCAGGAATGGAAAATCAAAGGTGGTATGTTCTCACTCATAAGTGGCAGCTAACCTATGAGGACACAAATGCATAAGAATGATACAATGGACTTTGGGGACTTGCAGGGAAGGGTCGGGGAGGGAAGGGATAAAAGACTACACATTGGGTATAGTGTACACTGACTGCTCAGGTGATGGGTGCACCAAAATCTCAAAAGTCACCACTAAAGCACTTATCCATGTAACCAAACACCACCTGGTCCCCCAAAACTATTGAAATAAAAATAAAAAATAAAGAAAATAGGGTATATATACATCATGGAATACTATGCAGCCTTAAAAAAGAACAAAATCGTGTTCTCTGCAACAACACGGATGCAGTTGGAGGCCATGATCCTAAGCAAAGTAATACAGGAACAGAAAACCAAATACTGTATGTTTTCACTTATAAGTGGAAGCTAAACATTGGGTACTCATAGACATAAGATGGCAACAATAGACGAGACTACTAGAGAGGAGAGGGAGGGAGGGGGTCAAGGGTTGAAAAACTAGCTATTGGGTACTATGCTTAAAATCTGGGTGACAGAATCATTCACACGCCAAACCTCAGCATCGCACAATATTCCCATGTAACAAACCTGAATATGTAGCCCCAGATCTAAAATAAAAGTTGAAATTATTTTTAATAAATAAGTAAATAAAAGAAATGAGGAAATTTTCACTTTTCGTTATAGAATTAATCTGATTAACTAATATCCTACATAAATTATCTTAATGTTAATAGGTATACTATCATCAGCGGATAAAACTCATTAATAAGACTGACCAGTGATGACAGAAGAAGCACTGCTTAAAGCCATAATTTGAATGAGATTGAGAAAGAAATGCCATTTTATTAACATTCTATATGGAGAAACTGAGGTTGTATTCTCCCCAATTCATTTTGGTTCCTCACACACCACCTTGCTCCATATAAGATGAAGCAATGCCATATTCTGTAGTCTTGCAATATCCCATATGATGCTTCATGTTTATAATATGGGTTGTTAGTATTATTATTAGTATTCTGTAAAATAATAAGTTCTTATTTCCTCTCCATAGTATTTTATGTAATTTGACTTCCTTTTCTTCTTTTGATATCAGTACACATTTTCAAAAAATTAGAAAATAGGAAAAGATTAGAACTGATGATTTTTAGTTACACTTTTAATTTGATATAATTGGAGGTTCACAAACAGCTTTAAGGAATAATACAGAGAGATCCTATGTACCTTCTATCCAGCTTCCCTCAGTGATAGCCTCTTCAAAACCATAGTACAATATCACAACCAGGATGTTGACATGCTATCAGCAAGATACAGAACAACTCCATCATCACAAGGATTCCTTCCACTGCTCCTTTATAGCCATCCTTGCAGTGGTGACCAGTCAGCTGTTCTCCATTTCCATAATTTTGTCATTTAAAGAATGTCCTATAAATCAAGTTATACAGTATTTAACCTATTAGCATTGGCTTTCTCCACTCAGTATAATTCCTCAGGGATTCATCCACTTTGTCATAAGTATTCTTTTATTGAGGAGTAATACTCTATGATATATGGATGTACCAGTTTTTTTCGCTATACACCTGTTGAAGGTCATGTGGGTTGTTTGCAGTTTTTGATTACCATAAATAAAACATCCATGACAAGTGTTTGTGTGAACATGAAATTTCACTTCTCTGGGATTGCCCAAGGATACAGTTTCTGCGTCATATGTGAGTTGCATGTTTAGTTTCATAAGAAAATGTCAAATTGTATAACATAGTGGTGGCACCATTTTTCATTCCCAACAGCAATGTATGAGTGATTCAGTTTCTCTGAATCTCTGTCAGCATTTAGTGTTGTTGATATGTTTTATATTAGTCATTCTGATAGGTATACAGTGATTTCTTATTGTGATTATAATACATTTCTCTAATGACTGATAAATTTTCAGGTGCTTATCTGTCAAGTATATATCCCCTTTGGTTAAATACTTGTTCATTTCTTTTTTTATCTTTATTTTTATTGAGACAGGGTTTCCCTACATTGCCCAGGCTGGTCTTGAACTCCCAGGCTCAAGAGGTGCTCCCACCTCAGCCTCATGAGTAGCTGGGATAACAGGTCCATATCACCACATCTAGCTCCATGTCTTTTTGTATTTGGATTATTTGTTTACTGTTGAGTTTTGAGTGTTCTTAAAATATTCTAGATGCTAGACATTTGTTAGGTGGATGGTTTGAAAATATTTTCTCCTAGTTGGTAGCTTGATTTTTCATCTTCTTAAAAGGATTTTTCACTGAGAAAAATTTAAAACCTTTTTTTTTTTTTTTAAGACGGAATCCCGGTCTGTCGCTTAGGCTGGAGTGCAGTGGTGTGATCTCGGTGCACTGCAACCTCCACTTCCTGGGTTCAACCAATTCTCCTTCCTCAGCCTCTTGAGTAGCTGGGATTAAGGCACACATCACCATGCCCACCTAATTGTTTTGTACTTTTAGTAGAGACAGGGTTTCGCCATGTTGGCCAGGCTGGTCTCGAACTCCTCACCTCAGGTGATCCACCTGCCTTGGCCTCCCAAAGTGGTAGGATTACAGGCGTGAGCCACCGTGCCCAGCTGAAAATTTTAAAAACTTTGATGAAGTCTAAGTTATTAATTTTATCTCATATGGATTGTGATTTTGGTGTCAAGTCTTAGAATTCTTGCCTGACCCTACATCTCCAAGATTTTCTCCTATACTTTTTCCTAAAAATTTCAGAGTTGTATGTTTTACATTTAAGTCTGTGACCCACTATGAGTTAACTTTTGTATAAGGTATAAGATTTAGGTTGGATTCATTTTTTCCTATTGTGTTCCAGTACCATATGTTGAAAAATGTACTATAGTTTTGAAGCTGCTATCATTGATGGAAGCTGGGTAGAAGGTACATAGAATCTCTCTGTATTATGCCTTAAAACTGTTTGTGAACCTCCAATTATCTCAAATTAAAAATCTACCTATCCTCCATTGAATTACTTTTGCATCTTTGTCAAATATCAGTTGAGCATATTTTGTGTGGGTCTATTTGTGTGGGCTCTTTATACACTTCCATCGATCCTTATATTTATCTATCCACCAATATCAGACTGTCTTGATTACACTCTATCTATATAGTAGGCCTGAATATTGGGTAGAGTGATTCCTTCTACCTTATTCCTTCCTCGAGATGGTTTCAGCTATTCTAGGATCTATGCCTTTCCATGTAAATATCAGAATAAGCTTGTCCTGTGTATGCCTACAAAAAACCCTTAGTGGAATTTTTATAGGAATTGTAAACCTATAGATTAATTTGGAGGGAATTAACATCTTTACTATGTTGAAATTTCCAGTCCACAAATGCAGCATGCCTTTTCATTTATTTAGGTCTTTGACTTTTTTTTAATCAGCATTTATAACTTTCAGCATACAGATGCTGTATGTGTTTTGTTAAGTTTATACTTAAGTATTCCTTTTTTTCTTCTGAAAGATCCTAATGGTATTGTGATATTAATTTTTGTTTCCACATGTTCTTTCTTTGTGTATAGAAATGTGATGAATTTTTCTCTGTTAATTTTGTGTCCTACAACCTTGCTGAGCTTCTTAGTTTTAGGAGTAGTTTTGTGTGTGTGTGTGGATCCCTTAGGATTTTCTACACAGTTTGTCACCTGCAAAAAGGGACAGTTTTATTTATTCCATTCTAATATGTGTGAGTTTCTTTCTTTCTTTTTTTTTTTTTTGTCTTACTGAAATGGCTAGAACTTTGAGTACTATGTTTGAGATATGGAGCCAAAAAAGAGACCGCATTGCCAAGTCAGTCCTAAGCCAAAAGAACAAAGCTGGAGGCATCATGCTACCTGACTTCAATCTATACTACAAGGCTACAGTAACCAAAACAGGATGGTACTGGTACCAAAACAGAGATATAGATCAATGGAACAGAACAGAGCCCTCAGAAATAATGCCACACATCTACAACTATCTGATCTATGACAAACCTGACAAAAACAAGAAATGGGGAAAAGATTCCCTGTTTAATAAATGGTGCTGGGAAAACTGGCTAGCCATATGTAGAAAGCTGAAACTGGATCCCTTCCTTATACCTTATACAAAAATTAGTTCAAGATGGATTAAAGACTTACATGTTAGACCTAAAACCATAAAAACCCTAGAAGAAAACCTAGGCAATACCATTCAGGACATAGGCATGGGCAAGGACTTCATGTCTAAAACACCAAAAGCAATGGCAACAAAAGTCAAAATTGACAAATGGGATCTAACTAAACCAAAGAGCTCTGCACAGCAAAAGAAACCACCATCAGAGTGAACAGGCAACCTGCAGAATGGGAGAAACTTTTTGCAACCTACTCATCTGACAAAGGGCTAATATCCAGCATCTACAATGAACTCAAACAAATTTACAAGAAAAAAACAAACAACCCCATCAAAAAGTGGGAGAAGGATATGAACAGACACTTCTCAAAAGAAGACATTTATGCAGCCAAAAAACACATGAAAAAATGCTCATCAACACTGGCCATCAGAGAAATGCAAATCAAAACCACAATAAGATACCATCTCACACCAGTTAGAATGGCGATCATTAAAAAGTCAGGAAACAACAGGTGCTGGAGAGGATGTGGAGAAATAGGAACACTTTTACACTGTTGGTGGGACTGTAAACTAGTTCAACCACTGTAGAAGTCGGTGTGGCAATTCCTCAGGGATTCAGAACTAGAAATACCATTTGATCCAGCCATCCCATTACTGGGTATATACCCAAAGGATTATAAATCATGCTGCTATAAAGACACATGCACAAGTATGTTTATTGTGGCACTATTCACAATAGCAAAGACTTGGAACCAACCCAAATGTCCAACAATGATAGACTGGATTAAGAAAATGTGGCACATACACACCATGGAATACCATGCAGCCATAAAAAATGATGAGTTCATGTCCTTTGTAGGGACGTGGATGAAGCTGGAAACCATCATTCTCAGCAAACTATCGCAAGGACAGAAAACCAAACACCACATGTTCTCACTCATAGGTGGGAATTGAACAACGAGAACACATGGACACAGGAAGGGGAACATCACACACCGGGGCCTGTTGTGGGGTGGGGGGAGGGGGGAGGGATAGCATTAGGAGATATACCTAATGCTAAATGACGAGTTAATGGGTGAAGTACACCAACATGGCACATGTATACATATGTAACAAACCTGCATGTTGTGTACATGTACCCTAAAACTTACAGTATAATAAGAAAAAAAAAGAGTGGTAAGAACGAACATCCTTGCCTGAGTCTTTCACCATTAAGTATATTAACTGTAGGTGTTTTGTAGATGTGTTTTTATCAAGTTGAAGACATTTCTCCTGCTGAGGGTTTTTCTTATGATTGTATGTTGATTTTGTGAAATGTTTTTTCTGCATTAATTGATATGCTCATATGAGTTTTCTTCTTTAGCCTGGTCATATGGTAGATTATGTTGATTTTCAAATGTTGAAGCAGACTTACGAACCTAGAATAAATGCCACTTGGACATGTTTATAATAATTTTTATACACTGCTGGATTCCATTTGCTAATGTTTTGTTGAGGAATTTTGTATCTAAGTTCATGAGAGATATTGACCTATAGTTTTCTTTTTCTGTTTTGTCTTTGTCTGATTTCAGTATTAGGGTAGTATTATCTTCATAAAGCGAGATGAGAAATCTTTCCTCTTCTATTTTCTGGAAGGGGTTGTATAAAATTGGGTTTAGTTATGCAAATGTTTGGTAGAATTCTTCAGTGAAACCATATGTGCCCAGTGATTTTTTTCTCAGGAGCTTTGAAATTCCTAATTCAGTTTGGTGTTTGTAGGACTATTTAGTTTGCTTATTTCATCTTGGTTGAATTTGGTAGCTTGTGGATTTTCAAGTTCATTTCTTCTCAGTTATCAAATTTACGAGCACGAAGTCATTTGTGGTATTCCTTTATTCTCCTTTTGACATCTATAGGATCTGTATTGATAGGCCCTGATTTATTTCTGATGTTGTTGATTTGTGCCTCCTCCATCTTTCTTTCTCATCAGTCTTACTAGAGATTTATCAATTTGATTTTTTCATAGAACCAGCTTTTTTTCCATTGAATTTTCTCTATGGTTTTCCTGTTTACAATTCTGCTAATAAATGCTCTTAGTTTTTATTATTTCTTTCCATCTGCTCAATGATCTTAAAAGTTTATTTTCTATATTTATATTTTTCATTTTAAAAGCTGATGATTTCTGAATTGACATGATGGTTCATAAATATGATTTCAATTGTGTTAAATACTGAATAATCCTTAAATTGATAACAATGTTCTATATTTAATGTTTAAAGGTGACAAAAAGTTTAGATAGAAAACAAAAATCAGCTAATTGGCACATAATAAGTTAATGTATTTAAGTTTCCATTTGAAGTGATTCTGGGAATTTACAAGAATTCATTCTGAATCTAAAAAGTCATATCTGAGAAAAAAATTTCAACACACCTCTAAATCACTGTGCTCAGATATGTTGAGACCTAAGAAATTTCTATAAGGGTTCTTTCTTCCAAGGAGAGACAGGGAAACTGCAGAGTAGAAAATAAACTGAATTACCCACACAGGAAAGAGGGGATCTTTTAGCTGAAATATAGCTGGAAAATTTAGGTAGAGGTCTTACACGAGAGAGAAAGAAAGGCAGAAATGTCTGAGTCAGAGAAAGATAGCTCCCTAAAGAGAAGGAGGCTGCCAAAAAGAGCAGGGGCTTGCAACTGAGCTGCATTGTGAAAAAATGTAGAGAAAAGAAGACCTTTCTTTAAAAAACACATATATGTTTTTAAGGAAGTAAAGATCAAGATCAGAAGTAAAAATTCTAGTTAATTAATCTTTAGAAATTTATTAATTCAACTTACAGTCCCTGCCCTCTTGAAGCTTACAATTTAGTCAGTTGATTCTGTTTCATTAAATTGTTTTAAAGCACATTACACTTAAAATAGAAGTTTATATATTAGTTTATACTTTAATAGCTAATAAGAGATGATGTTTTTAAAATTATAACTTTTAAACTTATATGAATCCCTGAAGTTTAGCCAGTGTGTCTGCTTTAACAATGAGTCTCATTGAGCTACAGTGAACTGAATTTTCTATAGACTAAAAACTGATGAGAAGTTAGATGCTCATTGTTTATGTCTGCTGGAGTATAAGTGCAACCGATAGGTAATTCTATTCTGTTTTTAAAAGTTAGCTTCGAATATTAGTTTCTCTCCAGTCTCTGAAGAGGCTGTGTTTCTATTTTACTTCTCTTTTTTCTTTAGCTCCCTAAATATAAACCTATCTCAATGTTTCATCTTCAGGTCATTCCTCTTCTAGTCTTAAATTCTTTTTAAAAATTTTTTATTTACTTTTTTCCCATAAGTTATTGGAGTACAAGTGGCACTTGGTAACATGAGTAAGTTCTTTAGCAGTGATTTGTGAGATTTTGGTGCACCCATCACCCTAGCAGTGTACACTGCACCATATTTGTGGTCTTCTATCCCTCACCCCCGTCCCACTCTTCCCTCCAAGTCCCCAGAGTTCATTGCATTATTCTTATGCCTTTGTATCCTCACAGCTTAGCTTCCACATATCAGTGAGAACACATGATATTTGATTTTCCATTCCTGAGTTACTTCACTTAGAATAATAGTCTCCATTCTCAGCCAGGTCACTGCAAATGCTGTTAATTTATTCCTTTTTATGACTGAGCAGTATTCCATTGTATATATATATACCACAATTTCTTTATCCACTCATTGATTGATGGGCATTTGGGTTGGTTCCATGATTTTGCGATTGTGAATTGTGCTGCTGTAAACATGTGTGTGCAAGCATCTTTTTCGAATAATGACTTCTTTTCCTCTGGGTAGATACCCAGTAGTGGAATTGCTGGATCAAATGGTAGTTCTATTTTTAGTTCTTTAAGGAAGCTCCACACTGTTTTCCACAGTGGCTGTACTAGCTTACATTCCCACCAGCAGTGTATAAGTGTTCCCCATTCATTGCATCCACACCAGCATCTACTGTTTTTTGATTTTTTGATTATGGCCATTCTTGCAGGAGTGAGGTGGTATCACATTGCAGTTTTGATTTGCATTTCCCTGATCATAAGTGATGTTGAGCATTTTTTCATATGTTTGTTGGCCATTTGTATATTTTCTTTTGAGAATTGTCTATTCATGTCCTTAGCCCACTTTTTCATGGGATTGTTTTTTTTTTTTTCTTACCGATTTGTTTGAGTTCGTTATAGATTCTGGATATTAGTCCTTTGTCAGACATATGGATTGTGAAGATTTTCTCCCACTCTGTGGGTTGTCTGTTTACTCTGACTGCTCCTTTTGCAGTGAAAAATCTCTTTAGTTTAATTAGGTCACAGCTATTGATCTTTGTTTTTATTGCATTTGCTTTTGGGTTATTGGTCATGAAATCCTTGCCTAAGCCAATATCTAGAAGGGGTTTTCCAATGTTGTCTTCTAGAATATTTATAGTTTCAGGTCTTATGTTTAAGTCCTTAATCCATCTTGAGTTGATTTTTGTATAAGGTGAGAGTTGAGGAATCAGTTTCATTCTCCTACATGTGGCTAGCCAATTATCCCTGCACCATTTGTTGAAAAAGATGTCCTTTCTCCACTTTATGTTTTTGTTCGCTTTGTCGAAGATCAGTCGGCTCTCAGTATTTGGGTTTATTTCTGGGTTCTCTATTCTGTTCTTTTGGTCTATGTGCCTATTTTTGTACCACTACTACACTGATTTGGTGACTATGGCCTTATAGTGTAGTTTGAAATCAGGTAATGTGAGGCCTACAGATTTGTTCTTTTTGCTTAGTCTTGCTTTGGCTATGTGGGCTCTTTTTTGGTTCCATATGAATTTTAGAATTGTTTTTTTCTAATTCTGTGAAGAATGATGGTATTTTGATGGAGATTGCATTGAACTTGTAGATTGCTTTTGGCAGTATGGTCATTTTCACAATATTGATTCCACCCATCTATGAGCATGGGATGTGTTTCCATTTGTTCGTGTAGTCTATGATTTCTTTCAGCAGTGTTTTGCAGTTTTCCTTGTAGAGGTCTTTCAACTCGTTGGTTAGGTATATTCCTAAGTCTTTTATTTTTTTGCATCTGTTGTAAAAGGGGTTGAGTTCTTGATTGGAACTGAAACAATTTGAACTTGCTTCATTGCTGTTGGCGTATAGAAAAGCTACTGATTTGTGTACATTAATCTTGTACCCAGAAACTTTGCTGAACTATTTTATGATTTCTAAGAGCTTTCTGGAATAGTCCTTAGGGTTTTCAAGGTAAACAATCATATCGCCAGCAAACAGCGACAGTTTGACTTCCTCTTTACTGATTTGGATGCCCTTTATTTATTTCTCTTGTCTGATTGCTCTGGCTAGGACTTCCAGTACTATGTTGAAGAGGAGTGGTAAGAGTGGGCATCCTTGTCTTGTTCCAGTTATCAGAGGGGATGCTTTAAACTTTTCCCTATTCAGTATTGTGTTGGCTGTGGGTTTGTCATAGATGGCTTTTATTACACTAATGTATGTCCCTTGTATGCTGATTTTGCTGAGAGTTTTAATCATAAATCAATGCTGGATTTTGTCTAATGCTTTTTCTGCATTTACTGAAATGATCATGTGGTTTTTGTTTTTAATTCTGTTTATGTGGGGTATCACATTTATTGACTTGAGTATGTTAAACCATGCCTGCATCCCTGGTATGAAACACACTTGATCATGGTGGATTATCTTTTTGATGTGTTGTTGGATTCAGCTGGCAAGTATTTTGTTAAGGATTTTAGCATCTATGTTCATCAAGGATATCAGTCTTCAGTTTTCTTTTTTGGCTATGTCCTTCCCTGGTTTTGGTGTTAGGGTGATCCTGGCTTCATAGAATGAATTAGGGATGGTTCCTTCTTTCTCTATCTTGGGGAATAGTGTCAAAAGGATTGGCACCAATTCTTCTTTGAATATCCGGTAGAATTCTACTGTGAATCCATCTGGTCCTGGACTTTTTTTGTTGGTAATTTTTAAATTACCATTTCAATCTTGCTGTTTGTTATTGGTCTGTTCAGGGTATTTAACTCTTCCTAATTTAAGCTAGGAGGGTTGTATTTTTCCAGGACTTTGTCCGTCTCTGCTAATCTTCTAGTTTATGTCCGTAAAGGTGTTCATAGTATCATTAAATGATCTTTTGTATTTCAGTGGTGTTAGTTATATCTCCTGTTTTGTTTCTTAGTGAGGTTATTTGGACTTTCTGTCTTTTCTTGGTTAATCTCGCCAATGATCTATCAATTTTATTTATCTTTTCAATGAACTTTTTGTTTCTCTTATCTTTTGTATTTTGTTGTTGTTGTTGTTTGTTTCAATTTCATTTAGTTCTGCTCTGATCTTGGTTATTTCCTTTCTTCTTCTGGGTTTGGATTTGGTTTGTTCTTGTTTCTCTAGTTCCTTGAGGTGTGACCTTAGAGTGTCAGTTTGTGTTCTTTCATTCTTTTTGATGTAGGTGTTTAGGGCCATGAACTTTCCTCTTAGCACTGCCTTTGCTGTATCCCAGATGTTTTGATAGGTTTTGCCATTATTGTCATTTAGTTCAAAGAATTTTTAAATTTCCATCTTGATTACATTTTTTTGACCCAGTTCTCATTCAGGAGCAGGTTATTTAGTTTCCATGTATTTGCATGGTTTTGAACGTTCCTTTTGGAGCTGACTTCCAGTTTTATTCCACTGTGGTCTGAGAGAGTGTTTGATATAATTTCTATTTCCTTAAATTTATTTAGACTTGTTTTATGACCTACCATATTGTTGATCTTGGATAAAGTTCCACGTGCTGTCGAATAGAATGTGTATTCTGCAGTTGTTGGATGAAATGTTCTGTGTATATCCCTTAAGTCCATTTGTTCCAGGGTATAGTTTAAATCCATTTGTTTCTTTGCTGGCTTTCTGTCTTGATGACCTGTCTATGCTGTCAGTGGAGTATTGAAGTCCTCCTCTATTATTGTGCTGTTGTCTATCTCATTTCTTAGGTTTATTAGTAATTGTTTTATAAATTTGGGAGCTCCAGTGTTAGGGACATATATGTTTAGAATTGTGACATTTTCCTGTTGGACAAGGCCTTTTACACCTTTTACCATTATATAATGTCCCTCTTTGTCTCTTCTAACTGCTGTTGCTTTAAAGTTTATTTTGTCTGGTATAAGAATAGCTGACCCTGCTTGCTTTTGGTGTCCATTGGCATGAAATGCCTTTTTCTACCCCTTTACTTTAAGTTTATGTGAATCCTTGTGTGCTAGGTGAGTCTCCTGAAGGCAGCAGATGGTTGGTGTGTTCTTATCCATTCTGCAGTTCTGTATCCATTCTGCAGTTCTGTATTTAAGTGGAATATTTAGGACATTTACATTCAATGTTCATATTAAAATGTGAGGTACTGTTGCGTTCATCGTGTCTTTGTTGCCTGTGAACTTTGGTTTTTTGTTTTTGCTTTTTAACTTGTATTTTTGTTTTATAGGTCCTGTGTGATCTGTGCTTTAAAGAGGTTCTCTTTTGATGTGTTTCCAGGATTTGTTTCAAGATTTAGAGCTCCTTTTAGCAGTTCTTGCAGTGGTGGCTTGGTAATGGCGAATTCTCTTAGCATTTGTTTGTCTGAAAAAGACTAGATCTTTCCTTCATGTATGATGCTTATTTTCACTGCATACAAAATTCCTGGCTGATAATTGTTTTGTTTGAGGAGGCTGAAGATAGGACCCCAGTCCCTTCTAGCTTGTAGGGTTTCTGCTGAGAAATCTGCTATTAATCTGATAGGTTTTCCTTTATAGGTCACCTGGTGCTTCTGTCTCACAGCTCTTAAGATTCTTTCCTTCGTCTTAACTTTGGATAACCTGATGACAATGTTCTAAGCAAAGATCTTTTTGTGATGAATTTCCTGGGTGTTCTTTGTGCTTCTTGTATTTGGATGTCTAGGTCTCTAGAAAGGCTGCGGAAGGTTTCCTCGATTATTCCCCCAAATATGTTTTCCAAGCTTTTAGAATTCTCTTCTTCCTCAGGAACACTGATTTAGGTTTAATTGTTTAACATAATCTCAGACTTCTTGGAGGCTTTGTTCATATTTTCTTATTCTTTTTTCTTTATCTTTTTTGGATTGGGTTAATTTGAAGACCTTGTCTTCAAGCTCTGAATTTCTTTCTTCTGCTTGTTCAATTCTATTGCTGACTTTCCAGAGAATTTCACATTTCTAAAAGTGTGTCCCAAGTTTCCTGAATTTTTTATTGTTTTTTTCTTTAAGCTATCTATTTCCTTGAATATTTCTCCTTTCACTTCTTGTATCATATTTTAAATTTCCTTGCATTGGGCTTTGCCTTTTTCTGGTCCCTCCCTGATTAGCTTAATAACTAACCTCCTGAATTCTTTTTCAGGTAAATCAGGGGTTTCTTCTTGATTTGGATCCATTGCTGGTGAACTAGTGTGATTTTTTGGGATTGTTGAAGAGCCTTGTTTTGTCATATTACCAGGGTTGGTTTTCTAGTTCCTTCTCATTTGGGTAGGCTCTGTCAGAGGGAAGGTTTAGGGCTGAAGGCTGTTGTTCAGATTCTTTTGTCCCATGGGGTGTTCCCTTGATGTAGTACTCTCACCCTCTTCCTATGGATGTGGCTTTCTGTGAGCCAAACTGTAGTGATTGTTGTCTATCTTCTGGGTCTAGTCACCCAGCAAGCCTACCCAGCTCTGGGCTGGTACTGGGGGTTGTCTGCAAAGCATCCTGTGATGTGAAAGGGTCTCTCAGCTGTGGACACCAGTGCCTGTTCTGGCAGAGGGGGGTGCGGTGGACTCCATGAGGGTTCTTAGCTTTGGTGGTTTAATGTTCTATTTTTATGCTGGATAATCTCCTCCTAGGAGGTGCTGATTTCCAGAAAGCATCAGCTGTGGTATTATGGGAAGGAACTGGCAATGGATGGGGCCCTAGAACTCCCACGATTATATGCTCTGGTTTTTCTGCTACCAAGGTGGGTAGGGAAGGACCATCTGAGCTCAGACTCTCCTTGGGCGGATCTTGCTGTGATTGCTGTGGGGTATGGGGATAAGATTCCCAGGTCACGGGAGTTTTGTATCTAGGAGGATTATGGCTGCCTCTGCTGAGTCACGCAGGTTGTCAGGGAAGTGAGAGAAAGCCACCAGTCACAGGCCTCGCCCAGCTCCCACGCAAACTGAAGGGCTGGTCTCACTCCCACCGTTCTCTCCCTGCTACAGCACCCAGACAGTTTCCAAGCAGAGAGCAATACAGGCTTGAAAACCTGCCCCAGGCTATCTGCCTTCCAACTGTGAAAGGAAAGGGCTTGGTTCTTCCCCAGCTTGTGGAGTCTGCACACTGGATTTGCACACTCCCCTGAGTTCTGGCCAGTAGGTTTCTCACCCCATTCAAATTGTTGCAAATTTCAGCTAAAGATTTCCTTCTCGCTGTGGAGTTTTACCCCCTGTTCCTCTCGTGTTGGATCCCTGTGGTGCCAGGCAGGAGTGGCCTGCTAGGGGACCCAGCAAGCTCCCAGGGCCTTTCTGCTGCTTCCTCTACCCCTGTATTTCACTCAGCTCTCCAAATTGACTCCACTACAGGTAAAGACGAAAACTTCTCCTGCAAACAGACCTTCAGCTTCTCCAGTGGGGGTGTGTGTCTGGGAGTGAAGGCTCTCCCTTTCCCACTTCCGCAGTTGGGGCACTCACAGTTTTGGGGGGTCTCCTAGGTCCTGCAGGAGCAGTCTGCTTCCTTCAGAGGGTCTGTGGGTCCTCTCGGGATTGCTGGTTTTTTCTTGCAGTTGATCTGAAGCTAAAATTCACAATATGAGCCACTGGCTGCTCTGTCCAGAGCTGCAATCTAGCCCAGACTACTGCCCGCCATGATCCTAATCATAATATCTTAAATTCTACTACATCTCATTCTGAAATGTCTGTCTTTCTCCAATTGCTCCCCACTCCAAATCTGTGAAACTCCCATATGTACTTTCAAATCCAGCTCAGAAGTCACCTTGTCTGGAAAGTCATCCATAAATACTTCTTTCTAGAAGTCTTTTTATTCTTGTATATACTGCTTGTGCTAACATCTACTGTATTACACTGTATTTTATTTTACAGTTACCTTCCTAAGTAGACTTGATGACAGAGATTGGGTCTTATGACTCTAGTATTCCAAGTCCTTAGCACAGGGAAATTGCTTGGTAATAAATGCTGTTGAATGAATGAATACTTTTATATATAAGCAAGCAATGGCTATGTAATACATATACAAAAATACCTAGCATATTCAGAGTATGCTTCTTTTTCTTAAGTAATAAAAAGATAGTTTAAAAGACATTTTTAACACTTCATGTACTTATATGACATATATTTAGTGCTAATCAATAAAGCTAAACTTTATGAAAGAATTAATTCTAGTTAAGAAATGATGTCTCTTGCCTTAAAAATTACTATAAAGGAAATGAGAAGATTTGTCATAGCCTGCAAAGACACAGATATGCAAAATACATGTCTGAAAGGACTGTTATCTAAAACACACGAAGAACTCTTAAAACTCAACAATGACAAAAAGAATAACCTGATTTTAAAATGGGCAAAAGACCTGAAGAGGCACCTCACAAAGATGATATACAGATGCCAAATGAGGATATGAAAAGATACTTCACATCATATGTCATTAGGGAATTGCAAATTAAAGCAGCAATGAGATACCACTTACATCTACAAGAATTGCCAAAATCCAGAACACCACTGACAACACTAAATGCTGTGATTATGTAGAGCAACAGGTACTCTCATTAATTGCTTGTAGGAATGCAAAATAGTACAGCCATTTTGTAAAGCAGTTTGATAGTGCAAAATAGTATGGCCATTTTGTAAGGCAGTTTGGTAGTTTTTTTTTTTTTTTTAAAGAGACATATTCTTACCATACAATCATGGTCCTTGGTATTTACTCAAGTGAATTAAAAATTTATGTTGATGAAAAACCCATTCACAGATGTTTATAGCAGCTTTATTCATAATTGTTCAAAATTGGAAACAACCAAAATATTTTCAGTTAGGTGAATGGATAAACTGTGGTATATACAAACAACAAAATATTATTTAGCACTAAAACAAAGTAAGCTATCAAGCCATGAAAACACATGGAGGATATTAAATGCATATTATTAAGTGAAAGAAGTGAATCTGAAAAGGCTACATACTCTGGTTCCAACTATATGCATTCTGGAAAAGGCAAAACTGTAGAGATAGTAAAAAGATAAGTGGTTTCCAGGTTAGGTGTGAAGAAATGATAAAGAGGCAGAGCACGGAGAATTTCTAAAACAGTGAAACTATTCTGCATTATACTATAATGGTGGATACATGTCATTACACATTTGTCAAAACTCAGAAGATACAACACCAAGAATGAACCCTAAAGTAAACTATGGACTTTGGATGATAATCATATGTCAATGTTGGTTCATCTATTGTAGCAAATGTACCACCATGATTCTGGATGTTGATAGTGGGAGAGGCTGTGGAAATGTGGGTGGGGGAGGAGAAGGTGTATGGAAAATCTCTGTGCCTTCTGCTCAATTTTGCTGTGAACCTAAAACTGCTCTTTAAAATGGTCTATTAAAAAAAGAACATCTGTCCTACATTTTTAGTGTAAATAATTAAAATAAAAAGGACAACACTATTGCATACCACATTGCAGGACCTTGCTACTTGAAATGTGTCTGTGGACCAGCTGTTAGGACAGCACCTGGGACAGAGCCTGTTGTGAATGTAGAAGCCCAGTTTCCCCTCCCTGACCTACTGAATCACAGGCTGTGTTTTGAAAGGTTCCCCAGGTTATTTGTATGCACATCAGAGTTTGAGAAGCACTGGTGTGGAAAACCTACAATTAAGCTGAGTACAAGAAGAACCAGGTTCTTTTCTTACCTCACCAACTCAAAAGTTGTTTAGCATTGGACAATGTATTGAAACTGTAGGTTTCTAGTCTGTAAAACAAGAGGGTTGAACTAGGTCAAAGGTCTTCACAGTGTGGCCTGTAGAATAGCAACATTAGCATCACCTGGGACATATTGGAAATGCAAAGTTTCTATGGACTCAGAAACGATATGGGTGAGCCCATGATCTGTTATTTAACAAGCCCTTCAGGTGCTTCTGAGGCAAACTGAATTTGAGAACCATTGGATGGCCTCTAAAGTTCTTTCCAATGTAAACCTTTTATGATCATTTGGACAAATGTAAATGTCTCAAGATCATGTATATATATGTATTTTTTTACTTGAAACTGAATAACACATTTTAAACAATGAACTGGCATTGTTTTCATTCTCAGATCATGCTTTTACCTATTTAAAATATTTCTTATATTTTTCAAAATATAAATTTCTATTTATATACAAATATATAAGTTTATGTTGAATTTTTCAGCTACAAAATCAGATTTCCTGGACTCTGATACAGAACAATTGATTTGAAGACACCATTCAGACAAAGAAACTCTGAGCTTGCTGCTCATTAAGGGATAAAGATTTTAATCTGACATAATAGAGGGTTTTTTTTTCCTTTTGTAATTAGCAAACCACACATATTTAGTGCCAGGATGGCTGGCTAGGGTCATTTTCATTAACATAGTTGCCACTGAATGCTAAGGATGTCTCTTTCATCCAATAAGAAAATCTAAAAAAGAGGCCAAGGTAAACTTTAATTTGGGTTACTCACAGATAAGAATGTCATGATCACATACTAAATTGTGAATCAGGAAACAGCTGATAGGATTCAGTAAGAGCACATGAAAGCAATAATTTTTTGTCTGGTTTAAGTAGGATGAGAGAATTTGGTTGCATTTGAAATTCTGTCAAGAACAACACAGACAAGCACTGTTTTTAACCCCTACTTTTATCATAAAACAATTCACAGTGTAAGAAACAAACAGAATTTTTAAAGAGGGGAACTGTGGGTATATAATCCAGCAACTCAGTTTTCTTTATCAGACAGTTGTTAATGTTACTATGGGGGAAAACATTTGCATTCCAAGGTTGTGAATTCATAGGGCCATGTTTGCATTTACTTCATGAACAAAGCACCCACCAACACAGCTCCAAAGGGCTTTTTCTCTTGGAGTCTGACTGTGGACTATTTACTAATATAATTAAACAGTAGTGGGGGATGATGCATTTGCATGCCTTAAGCATAATTTACTTTAACCATTTCATTTCTGATATATAAGCCCTCATAATTCATCAATGCTATCAGTTGCTGGCTCTAACATCTTCTATCTAAACCATTAGAGACAGTAGACACAGCATTGGCATTTTTGAAGTTGTTGTTGTTTTCTCCTAAATATTTTCATTCTCTTGATCTTTTGAGTCTTGATGAATAGAACAATTCCACCAACATTTCTGGGAAAATTTTCAAAGAAACAGCATTCAATTTTATGAGAGCAGATTGGCTTTTTACCTTTTTTCAGGAAACAATTAATTGGCTTTAAGCATAAATTAAGCAGGAACCTTAAAAATGGTAGGCTCTGAAAAGGGAGGGCTTTTGAAAATCTGGCCTAAATGTATTGCTGATGGCAATAAATAAATAGGATTTTGATTTCTAATAACATGTTTATCTCTCTAACCACTCTACCTCCTCAAAGGGAATGATGTGTTTGGGCTACAAAGGGTCAGCATGAACCAAAGATGAAGCCTGTGGTGGGGCAAAGGATGGGACCCCTGTGAAGAGCTGCTGAAATAGGCTCTGCAAAGAATATGCTTGGAGACACATCCATCCCCAAAGTCTCCATCCCAAAGAATCCCAAAAGACTACTTCAAGCAGATGAGAGGAACAAGAGGAATAGAGAGAAAGGAAGCTATGACAAAAGAAGTGTCAGGGGATGAGGAAATGGAGAAGGTGGAGGAAGAAATAGAGAAAAAGAGGAAGAAAACATGGGGAGGAGAACAAGAGATAGAAAAAAACTAAAAAGAAGTGAGAGGAAGGAAACAGAGGTCTGAGGAAGAGCCCCAGATGAAGAGGAGGCAGAGAAGGGGAAATAGTAAAGGAGAGAGGGCTGAGGTGGGGGTGTTTTTATCTTGGGAGGGTCCCCATGGGTGTGGTTCTGGAGATTTTTCCAAATGAGGTTATGATAATTGCACATTAGACAGCCTACAGAAGCTTTTCCCCGGCATTTATCAGCAAATGCCTCACTGGTATGGATGAAATTAGCAGACAGCCAGGGTTATTCTCCTGAGATATACTGTTTTCCTAGGTCACAAGGTGAAATTTTTTTTGCTGTAGTCATTGGAAACTAGTGAGTATAGTCAGAGGGAGGATTCTGCTATATTGCCACATCCCAATTAACCTAGAAAAATGCCTCAGCCACTGTATAACTGTTTTTCCATAATGGATTTTTGGTCACTGTTGGATGTGCATGTCAAGCTTTCCCCTCATTTAGGGTTTACAGGATTGCCTGTGATGGAACACAAAGACATCTATCAAAGCCTTACTCACAGCTTTATGGATTCTAATTTAAATTTTTTTAATTAAATTTTTTTAAGTTTAAAATATTTGAATGACACAACATAATGATTTAAATACATGTACATTGTATAATGATGATCAATCAGCTTTGTGTTTGCTACATATATATGTAAACTGTATTTTTCTGTTATTTGTTTTTAGGACACAGAACGAGTGACATATTTTGGGAAAGAAGTCCAAATATTTTCTTAGGTTTACCTATGGTGCAATAAAATTGAATTTACTTCTGTTCAACCTGACTATAAAGTTTACGTCCTGTATATATTAATGTCTGTTACATTTGGGTTACATGTAAGTTTACTAAAAAATGGGGTTTGTCATTCACGTATTTTATGATATTATCAAATTTCTTTCCCCAACTATTTCATACCTGTTTTGTCCAACAGAAAGTCTTTTATTGCAATGAGCTGACTATTGTCTCATCTAATGAGGATTAAGTATTCTGTAAATAAAAATAGATCTTATTAAATTTTCTTTAAGTTAATATCACTGATTACTTCTTAATAATAATATTCCTAGTATATTTTAACTTGTTTTCCGGGAATTCTCCTGAAATGCTAGAAAAGCAATGTCTCTCAATAAAACACCAGTTACATAAACCCTCAAAAGCCTTTGTTTGATTTTTGTTAGAAGGTATGTACTCCCACTTAGGATATTTGGAATGTATTCAACACAAGTGTGAATGATTGGTATGTCATCTTGAGAATATATTGAAAGAAAAGTCCTTGAAGAAAAGAAAATACTTTAAAATAATCTTGTAGCATCTGCTTTACACCTGGAAAAGTAAATTTTATAGTTTAGCACTGTGATGATTTTAGAAATCTAACGTGAACTGTCCTTGGGTTTTTTATTTTCTTGTTTCAGACTATTTCCATGTACAGAACTAGTTTGACTGTTCTGAGCCTTTTTGTCCACAACTGAACACCTGAAGTAAAAGTAGCAAAGAATAATGAATTAAATTACCCTGTGGCATTTAAATTACCCTGTAGCCAGAGTTAGTGTGTATGAGTGTGCAAGTATTTATTTGTAGTACTATGATGCTCAAAAGTTTATAATCTTCACCCTCTTTAGCCTATAAAGTCTTTAGCCTAAAAGTGTGAACACACCTACACTCAAGATTTGTATGTAAAGCCTACTTTTTCAGAGGAGTAACATATGAGGTACTTTCTAAATAATGCCAAAATATTACTGAAGCTCAGTATAGCATGGCTTTTTATTCTTTTTCTTTTTTGTACTGGCATGGTTCCTGAATACGATTCTAACTCATTCTTTCATAACATCAATTAAGGTATACAGGAAGGCATTCAGGAGTCTTTATTTTTTCTTTCAAACTATCAATTCTTAAGTTTTGTGAATATAGTCTTTTTTTGAAAACTGAGAATTTTCTAAATAACAGCTAATATTTTTCAGATGATGTCACACAAACTTGAATATATAATTTTCACATTATATTTATTGATGGATCTTCTCTCTGTCTCTCCCTTCAGAATCCCTTGTTTATGTTTGTCCCATCCACTCAATTCCCACATGTGTGTTTGTTTGCTCATGTGAACTCATAAACAGGTCTACAAATATGTAATGTCTACACACACACATAACTAGATATTTCACAACAAGCTTGTAAGGTCTGTGTGCCGAACCTTTATATCAAACCTATGTGCCCAAAACTTATGTATAAAGCCTGTGTGTGTATATTGAGCCTATGTACCCAAAGCTTGTATGTATAACCTGTGTATCCAAGACCTATGGCCTAGGGGGTAGAGTGTAAAGTACATGGATGTGCTGTGGCCAAGAATAGGCCGAGGCAGACATCAGGGCCAGTGTGACTCAGCCAGTTCGGAGTGCAGACACATAACTCCACTTGTTATGTAATCACTGCTATGTAGCCATAACATGGGAAGGCTCGTCACCCAACTCTGAGCCACTATTGCTTGTAAAAGGTATAACTGCCTTGCTGATGCTGTACATATGGCATGGCTTGGCTTGTGCTGAGAGAGAGAATGTGAAGCTGCAGACCCTGTAAGGGAAAGCCAGCCTTGCAGGTCAGGGAATGTAGTTGCAGGAGTGGAAGCAGCAGGAGCTGCAGAGCCAGAACAGGCAGCTGAGACAAAGGCAGACAGTGTAAGAGAGCTGCTGAATAAAACCATCTTTCACCTGTCTATGGCCCCCCAAGTGTTATGTCAGCTATCTGCCACCTGAACCCACTCCCTTTAAACTTCAACATGGACTGAAACCTGAGGCTTGGCATGACACAGGTTCATATCCTTTCTTCTCTTTTGGTCATTTTTTTTCCTGATATTTTTTGTCCAGATCCTACCACCTAATGGCTGGGATAAAGCTAGGTGATGTGATGAAGGAGCCCAAGATTGAATGGAATATTCCCCTCTCTTTGTCATTTATCCCATCTTTCCCTTCTCTCACTTAGCACTCTTAAGCTGTACCTTAGGGCTCTCTCTTCCTAGCTATGTCTCCCTACACATGCACACACTCTGGGAAGCACCTCTTATTTCTTTTTTCTTTTATAAATTATTTTTATGGAATATAGAATATATCACTTTGAGAAAAAATTTTATGTCTTTACAATGAGAGCTTAATGTTTCAAATAATGTCAATGTAGTTATAATATATTTCAGATTAATATATTATTTTGCTTAACATTGTTGACTAGGGATGTCACATGGCAGCAGTCCTTAGAAAGAAGATCAAAGTTGCAGGTGAATGATAACTAATCTGAATGGAAAGTTGAGGCAAGGCAGCCAGGACCTATTTGAGAGCCTATGGGAAGAAGCTGGGATGCAGAAAAGTAAAGCAGCAAGAGTTGGCAGAGATTAACCCTTGAGGAACTCAGAATCTTGCAGAAATTTTAGGTGAAGGTGCCTCTCTGCCCCCCTCACTCTTGGGACACACTGCTGATTGCTAAGTTTTCAGGGAGTCCCTCTGCGCTTGCAACTCCAGGCAAGCTGTTGGTGGCAATTTGGGAACTTCTCAGGGGCAGAGCACCATGTGGCCAGCTAATGCTGGTGCACTCACATACTGCTCAGGCTGGAAGAGAGACAGCAGGTGCCATACTGGTTGTGCACCTCTGTGGGCCACTCCTCTGCTAGGGGAATCTTAGCCCTTGTGTTGCCACATTACCAAATGCCCTGCAAATATATCCCACAACCTGCTCTGACATTAGCCACTGCAGGGGACCAGTTGCTCCCTGGGGAGCTACAGGATTCCCAAACATCTAGTCCACAGTACTGGCTACCCCTAGAAGAGAGGGTAGTGCAGTCCACCAAAGTCTCCCCTTGGGACAAAGGAAATTCAGGTGTGATGCTGATTGCTGAAGGTGGTTGGGAATAAATATGGAATAGGGGTCACCTCCTGCTTTTCCATCTACTGTTGCAGATACATAGAGGCTTTCCCCTCTCAGGGCCGGCTTAAGTGCACTTGGATATGAACTTTCCAGTGATTTTCATGGTGGCTACACCCCCTGTTGAAACATCCCACCCTGCCTGGGCTTGCATGAAGGGCAGGGCCCCACTCTCCCTCCCTACGCAGAGAAGCAGCATTCCAGCAATAGAGGGCATACAAGCTGCAGAACTGTCTGTTCTAGACTGAGGGAAGAGACTCTGCCCTGAGGACATTTTGGTGGTTGCCACCAGAGGGGCATTTCCACAGACCTCAGTCATACTGTGGCTGGGAGCCAAAGGAAAATGTATGAGCTGAAGTTCATGAACCCTGTGACAGGGTCATGATAAGGGAGCAGATCACATTCCTGTCTACTCAAAACAAGGAGCTACTGTACCCTTCACCCCTTCCCTCAAGACCTCAGTGCACCCCATCATGATCTCTTCCTGCCATCCCCCATCAGGACAGGAGCCTCCACTCATCATCAAACTGCCCAAAAGAGAACCAGATCTTACTCTTAATCATCACCTCCTGGAATAAAGACTGAACTGCATCATCAAATAAAAAAACTGCTGCATCAAATAAAAAACCTGCTGTCAGAAGGGCATAGTGCTAGTGGGTGAGATAACCTTCCTGAGTCCTCTACAGCTCAGCCCTGCAGAAGGTAGTGTGTTGGCTCATACATCCAGTACATTGCTACCACAAGCAGCATTTGAAAATGCCATCCCGCAAAAGCTCTCCATAACCAAGGAACCACTGAAAGTACCCAGAAACTAAGCCAAGTAATCATACACAATTTATACCATGAGCATACTCTCAAGGGAAAAAAATTAAAAGTTAAAAACTTCCATTTAAACAATAGCATGTACAAAAATAAGAAGCAATAGCCCCTTTAGATGAGAAGAAATCAGCACAAAAACTCTGGTAGTACAAAAAAAACAGTATTTTGACACTTCCAAAGGATTGCATCAGCTTTCTAGCAATGGATCCTAACAAAAAAGAAAATTCTAAAATGATAAAGAATTCAAAATATAGATTTTTAAGAAAGCTCAATAAGATCCAGTAGAAAGTTGAAAATCAACACAAATAAATCAGATAAAATAATTCAGAATATGAAAAATGATACAGCTATTTAAAAAAAAAAAACCCAAACAGGCTGGGTGTGGTGGCTCACGCCTCTAATCCCAACACTTTGGGAGGTCGAGGCAGACAGATCAGGAGGTCAAGAGATGAAGACCATCCTGGCCAACATGGTGAAACCCTGTATCTACTAAAAATACAAAAATTAGCTGGGCATGGTGATGCACACATGTAGTCTCTAGTCGCAGCAACTCAGGAAGCTGAGGCAGGAGAATCAATTGAACCCGGGAGTCCGAGGTTGTAGTGAGCCGAGGTCACGCCACTGCACTCCGGCCTGGTGACAGAGCGAGATTCCATCAAAAAAACAAACGAAAACAAACAGAACATCTGGAAATGAAAAATTCACTAAAGTAACTTTAAAACACACATGAAAGCTTTAACAATAGACCAAGCAGAAGAAAGAATTTAAGAGCTTGAAGACAAGTCTTTTGAACTAACTCAGTCAGACAAAAATAAAGAAAAAATAATTTTTAAAAAGGGACAAAGCCTTTGAGAAATATGGGATTATGTAAAGTGACCTTTGACTAGTAGCCATCCCTGAGAAAGAAGAAGAAAAAGTAAGCAACTTGGAAACCATATTTGAAAGAATAATTCAGGAAAATTTCTCTGATCTTGCTAGAGAGGTAGACATCCACATATAAGAAATTCAGAGAATATCTGTGAGATACTACACGAAGCAAACGTTACCAAGGCATATAATCATATGACTATCCAAGGCCAACATAAAAAGAGAAAAAATCTTAAAAGCAGATAGAGAGAAGGGTCAGATCACTACAAAGGAAATCTCATCAGACTAACAGCTGAATTCTTAACAGAAACAATAGTCTAAAGAGGTTGGGAACTATTTTCAGCTTCCAAGAAAAAAAATTTCAGCCAAGAATTTTATATCCTGACAAACCAAGCTTCATAAATGTAGGAGAAATAAAGTATTTGCCAGACAGGCAAACAGTAAAGGAATTCATCACTACTAGACCAGTCGTACAAGAAATGCTCAAAAGAATTGTAAACATGGAAATGAAAGAATACTTAGTATCATAAAAGCACATGTAAATACAATGTTCATTGGTTCTATAAAGCAATTACAAAATTGAGACTACAAAGTTACTAGCTAACACTGTGGCAAACAAACAAACAACAACAACAACAAATCACCTCACATAGCTTTATTAACCTTGAACATAAATGGCCTAGATTCTCCACTTAAAAGATGAAGTTTGGGAAATTGGATACAAGAAAAGATCCAACCATCTGCTGCCTATAAAAGACCCACCTAATGTGTAAAGACACTCACAGGCTCAAATTAAAGGATAGAAAAAATTTATATCATGCAAATGGAAAACAAAAAATAGCAGGGTTTGCTATTCTTATATCAGATAAAATAGACTTTAACCCAAAGACAGTACAACAAGAAGAGCATTATATTATGATAAAACATTCAATTCCACAAGGAACTTTAGCCTAAATATATATGTACCCAACACCAGAGCACCCAGACTTATAAAACAAGTACTACTAGATCTAAGAAAATAGCTAGACAGCTGAAATGGTTTGGCTTTGTGTTCTTAACCAAATTTCATGTCAAATTATAACCCCCATGTGTTGGGGGAGAAATCTGGTGGGGGGTGATTAGATCATGGGAGCAATTTCTAATAGTTTAGCACCATTCCCCTAGTGCTGTCTCATCATAGAGTTCTCAGGCGATCTGGCAGTTTAAAAATGTAGTGCCCTCCCTTTCTCTCTCTTTCGTCACTGTAGTAGGATATGTGGGCTTCCCCTTTGCCTTCTGCTATGATTGTAAATTTCCTGAGGCCTCCTAGCCATGCTTTTGGTTAAGCCTGCAGAACTGTGAGTCAATTAAACCTCTTTTCTTCATAAATCACCCAGTCTCAGGTAGTTCAATATAGCAGTGTGAGAATGAACCAATACTACAGCAATACAATAACAGTGGAAGACTTTAACCCTTCTGACTACATTAGACAGACAATCAAGGCAGAAAATTAACAAAGAAACTCTGGACTTAAACTGGACTTTTGACCAAATGGACCTAATAGACATCTACAGAACATTCCACTCAACAACAGCAGAACACATTTTTCTCATCTGCACATAAAACATTCTCTAAAATTATTTATATGCCTGGCCATTAAGCAACTCTCAATAACTGCAAAAAAAATCAAAATCATATGAAGTATCTTCTTGGTCACAATGAAATAAAATTAGAATTTAATAACAAAAAGGAACTCACAAAACCACATGAGTACATAGAAACCAATCAACTTGCTCCTGAAAAACTTTTGAGTAAATAATACAATTGTCAGAAATCAAACTTTTTTTAAACAAATGAAAATAGAAATACCACATACTAAAACCTCTGGAATAGAGCAAAAGCAATGTTAAGAGAAAGGTTTACAGCATTAAATGTCTACATCAAAAAGACAGAACGATCTCAAATTAACGACTTAATTTCACAACTCAAAGAACTAGGAAAAACAAGAGCAAGCCAAACTCAAAGCTAGCGGAAGAAAAGGAATAACAAAGATCTGAGCAGAACTAAATAAAATTGAGACCCCCCACCCCAGAAAAAATACAAACACTCAACAAAATGAAAAGCTGGTTCATTGAAAGAATAAACAAAATAGAATACTAACTAGATTAATCAAGAAAAAAATGAGAGAAGATTCAATTAAGCATGATTGGAAATGGTGAAGGTGACAGATGTTACAACTGACACCACAGAAATACAAAAGATCATCAGACACTATTATGAACATCTCTATGTACACAAACTAGAAAACCTAGAAGAGATAGATTCATTCCTGGAAACATAACACCTCCCATGATTAAACTACAGAGAAATAGAAATTCTGAACAGACCAATAATGAGTAATGAAATTGAATCAGTACTAAAAAAAACCTACCAACAAGAAAAAGGCCTGGACTGGACAGATTAACAGTCAAATTTCACTATACATGCAAAGAAGACCTGACAAAAATATTACTGAAACAGTTCCATGAAACCAAGGAGGAGGGACAGGCCAATATCCCTGCAGGACATAGATGCAACAAAAATCCTCACTGAAATACTAGCAAGCCAAATCCAACAACACATCAAAAAGACACTCCATCACAATCAAGTGGGCTTTATTCAGGGATGCAAGGATGGTTCAAAATATGCAAATAAATAAATGTGTTTCATCACATAAACAGAATTAAAAACAAAAACCATATGATCATCTGCATCTCAATCAATGCAGAAAAGGCATTTGATAAAATTCAACATTCCTTCATGATGAAAACCCTCAACAACCTAGGCACTGAAGGAATATATCTCAAAATAATAAAAGCCATATATGACAAACTCACAGCCAACATCAAACTGAATGTGATAATGTTGAAAGCAATTCCTCTAAGAACTGGAAGAGACAAGGATGTCTACTCTCACTACTCCTATTCAACCAGAAGTTCTAGCCAGAGCAATCAGGCAAGAGAAAGAAATAAAAGCATCCAAATTGGAAAAGATGAAGTCAAATTATCTCTGTTTCCTGATGATGCAATCTTCTATCTAGAAGACCCTAAAAATTCCTCCATAAAACCCCTAGATTTGATGAATGACTTCAGTGAAGTTTCAGGCTTCAAAATTAGTGTACAAAAATCATTTGCACTTCTATGTACCAACAATACTCAGTCTGTGAACAAAATCAAGAACTCAATTCCATTTGCAATAGCCATAAAAAATTAAAATACCTAGGAATACATTTAACCAAGCAGGTGAAATACCTCTATAAGGAGAACAAAACACTGATGAAAAATCACAAATGACAAAAAACATTCCATGTTAATGGAGCGAAAGAATAAATATTGTTAAAATGCCCATATTGCCTAAAGAAATCCACAGATTCAACACCATTCCTATCAAGTTACCAAAGTCATTTTTTACATAACTAGAAAAACGCTATTCTAAAATTCAGATGGAAACACAAAAACAGTCCAAATAGCCAAAGTAACCCTAAGTAAAAGGAAAAAAGCCAGAAGCATCACATTACTTGACTTCAAACTACACAAGTCAATAGTAACCAAAACGGCTTGGTACTGGTACAAAAATAGACACAGACATGAGTGGAACAGAATGGAGAATCCAGAAATAAACTCACATGCCTACAACCAACTGATCTTTGACAAAGTTGATGTAAATAAGCAATGGGGAAATGACAACCTTATTCAAAGAATGGTTCCGGGAAAACTGGCTAGCTATATGCAGAAGCATGAAACTGGCCCCCTACTTATCACCATATAGAAAAATTAACTAAAGATGGATTAAAGACTTAGATGTGGGAGGAGATTCAAGATGGCCGAATAGGAACAGCACTGGTCTGCAGCTCCCAGCAAGATCAATGCAGAAGGCGGGTGATTTCTGAATTTCCAACTGAGGTACACAGTTCATCTCACTGGGACTGGCTGGACAGTGGGTGCAGCACACAAAGTGTGAGCCAAAGCAGGGTGGGGCATCACCTCATCTGAGAAGTGGAGGGAGTCAGGGAATTTTCCCTCCTACCTAAGGAAAGCCATGAGGGTCTGAGCCTGAGGAACTCTGGCACAGGTACTGCACTTGTCCCATAGTCTTCACAACCCACAAACCAGGAGATTCTCTCCAGGGACTACCCCACTAGGGCCCTGGGTTTCAAGCACAAAACTGGGCGACCAAGTGGGCAGACACCGAACTAGCTGCAGGAGTTTTGTTGTTGTTGTTGTTGTTGTTGTTTTTTGTTTGTTTGTTTGCCATACCCCAGTGGTGCCTGTAATACCAGCAAGACATAACTGTTCACTCCCCTGGAAAGGGGGGATGAAGCCAGGGAGCCAAGTGATCTGGCTTGGCAGGTCCCACCCCCACGAAGCACAGGAAACTAAGATCCACTGGCTTGAAATTCTCACTACCAGCACAGCAGCAACCTGAGATCCACCCGGGATTGTGGAGCTTGGTGGGGGGAGGGGCATCCGCCATTTCTGAGGCTTGAGTAGGTGGTTTTACAGCCACAGTGTAAACAAAGCCACTGGGAAGTTCAAACTGGGTGGAGCTCACTGCAGCTCAACAAGGCTGCTGTGGCCAGACTGCCAGATTGTTTGTCTCTGGGCAGGGCATCTCTGTAAAAAAGGCAGCAGCCCCAGTCAGGGGCTTATAGCAGACTTAAACGTCCTTGCCTGATGGCTCTGAAGAGAGCAGCAAACATCCTAGCACAGCGTATGAGCTCTGCTAAGGGTCAGTCTGCCTCCTCTAGTGGGTCAATGACCCCCGTGTATACTGACTGAGAGATACCACCCATTTGGGGCCAACAGACATCTCATACAGGAGAGCTCTGGCTGGCATCTGGCAGGTGCAATGCTGGGCCAAAGCTTCCAGAGGAAAGAACAGGCAGCAATCTTTGCTGCTCTGCAGCCTCCACTGGTGATACTCAGGCAAACAGGATCGGGAGTGGACCTCCAGCAAACTCCAGCAGACTGGCAGCAGAGATGCCTGACTATTAGAAGGAAAAAAACAAACAGAAAGGATTAGCACATCCACTCAAAGACCCCATCCAAAGGTCACCAACATCAAAGACCAAAAGTAGATAAATCCACAAAGATGGGGAAAAACCAGTGCAAAAAGGCTGAAAATTCCAAAAACTTGAACATCTCTCCTCTTCCAAAGGATCACAACTCCTTGCCAGCAAGGGAACAAAACTGGATGGAGAATAAGTTTGACAAACTGACAGAAGTAGGCTTCAGAAGGTGGGTAATAACTAACAACTCTGAGCTAAGGAGCATGTTCTAACCCAATGCAAGGAAGCTAAGAACCTTGAAAAAAGGTTAGTCAAATTGCTAACTAGAATAACCAATGTAGAGAAGAACATAAATGACCTGATGGAGCTGAAAAACACAGCACGAGAAGTTTGTGAAGAATATACAAGTATCATTAGCCGATTCGATCAAGTGGAAGAAAGGATATCAGTGATTGAAGATCAAGTTAATGAAATAAAGAAAGACAAGATTAGAGAAAAAAGAATAAAAAGGAA
Organism: Homo sapiens; assembly: GCF_000001405.40. Classification (NCBI taxonomy): domain Eukaryota; kingdom Metazoa; phylum Chordata; class Mammalia; order Primates; family Hominidae; genus Homo; species Homo sapiens. Next base: position 122,251,493 of record NC_000005.10, on the reverse strand, counting down.
TGAACAAAGCCTCCAAGAAATATAGGATTATGTGAAAAGACAAAATCTACATTTGATTGGTGTACCTGAAAGTGACGGTGGGAAAGGAACCAAGTTGGAAAACACTCTTCAGGATATTATCCAGGAGAACTTCCCCAACCTAGCAAGAAAGGCCAACATTCAAATTCAGGAAATACAGAGAAAACCACAAAGATAATCCTCGAGAAGAGCAACCCCAAGACACATAATTGTCAGATTCACCAAGGTTGAAATGAAGGAAAAAATGTTAAGGGCAGCTAGGGAGAAAGGTCAGTTTACCTACAAAGGGAAACCCATCAGACTAACAGCAGATCTCTCTGCAGAAACCCTACAAGCCAGAAGAGAGTGGGGGCCAATATTCAACATTCTTAAAGAAAAGAATTTTCAACCCAGAATTTCATATCCAGCCAAACTAAGCTTCAGAAGTGAAGGAGAAATAAAATCCTTTACAGACAAGCAAATGCTGAGGGATTTTGTCACCACCAGACCTCCCTTACAAGAACTCCTAAAGGAAGCACCAAACATGGAATGGAACAACTGGTACCAGACACTGCCAAAACATACCAAATTGTAAAAAACATTGACACTATGAAGAAATTGCATTAACTAATGGGCAAAACAACCAGCTAGCATCATAATGACAGGATCAAAATCACACATAACAATATTAACCTTAAATGTAAGCTGACTAAATGCCCCAATTAAAAGACAGAGACTGGCAAATTGGATAAAGAGTCAAGACCCATCAGTGTGCTGTATTCAGGAGACTCATCTCGTGTGCAGTGCAATGACACACATAGGCTCAAAATAAAGGGAGGGAGGAATATTTACCAAGCAAATGGAAAGCATAAAAAAAGCAGGAGTTGCAATCCTAATCTCTGAAATAGACTTTAAACCAACAAAGATCAAAAGAGACAAAGAAGGGCATTACATAATGGTAAAGGGAACAATGCAGCAAGAAGAGCTACTATCCTAATATATATGCACCCAATACAGGAGCACCCAGATTCATAAAGCAAGTTCTTAGAGACCTACAAAGAGACTTAGATTCCCAAACAATAATAGTGGGATACTTTAACACCCCACTGTCAGTATTAGACAGATCAACAAGACAGAAAATTAACAAGGATATTCAGGACTTGAACTCAGCTCTGGAGCAAGTGGACCCGATAGACCTCTACAGAACTCTCCACCCCAAATCAACAGAAGATACATTCTTCTCACCACCTCATTGCACTTATTCTAAAATTGACCACATAATTGGAAATAAAACACTCCTCAACAAATGCGAAAGAAACGAAATCATAACAAACAGTCTCTCAGACCACAGTACAAACAAATTAGAACTCAGGATTAAGAAACTCATTCAAAACCATACAAATACGTGGAAACTGAATAACCTGCTCCTGAATGAGTACTGGGTACGTAACGAAATGAAGGCAGAGATAAAGATGTTCTTTGAAACCAATGAGAACAAAGACACAATGTACCAGAATCTCTGCAACACATTTAAAGCAGTGTTTAGAGGGAAATTTATAGCACTAAATGCCCACAGGAGAAAGCAGGAAGGATCTAAAATTGACACCCTAACATCAAAATTAAAAAAACTAGAAAAGAAACAGCAAACAAATTCAAAAGCTTGCAGAAGACATGAAATAACTAAGATCAGAGCAGAACTGAAGGAGACAGAGACACGAAAAGCACTTCAAAATATCAGTGAATCCAGGAAATGGTTTTTTGAAAAAACAAACAAACAAAAATAAAAAACAAAATAGACTGCTAGCCAGACTAATAAAGTAGAAAAGAGAGAAGAATCAAATAGACGCATTAAAAAATGATATAGGAGATATCACCACTGATCCCACAGAAATACAAACTACCATCGGAAAATACAAAAACATATCTATGCAAATAAGCTAGAAAATCCATAAGAAGTGGATAGATTCCTGGACACATACACCCTCCCAAGTCTAAGCCAGGAAGAAGTTGAATCCCTGAACAGACTAATAACAAGTTCTGAAATTGAGGCAGTAATTAATAGCCTACCAACCAAAAAAAGTCCAGGACCAGACTGATTCACAGCCAAATTCTACCAGAGGTACAAAGACGAGCTGGTACCATTCCTTCGGAAACTATTCCAAACAATAGAAACTAAGAGGGAATCCTCCCTAATTCATTTTATGAGGCCAGTATCATTCTGATACCAAAACCTGGCAGAGACACAACAAAAAAAGAAAATTTCAGGCCAATATCTCTAACGAACATCAATGTGAAAATCCTCAATAAAATACTGGCAAACTGAATCCAGCAGCACATCAAAAAGTTTATCCAACATGATCAAGTTGGCTTTATCCTGGGATGCAAGGCTGGTTCAACATATGCAAATCAATAAATGTAATCCATCACATAAACAGAACCAATGAGAAAAAACACACAATTATCTCAATAGATGCAGAAAAGGCCTTCAGTAAAATTCAACACGCCTTCATGCTAAAAACTCTCAGTAAACTAGGTATCGATGGAACATGTCTCGAAATAACAAGAGCTATTTATGACAAACCCACAGCCAATATCATACTGAATGGGCAAAAACTGGAAGCATTCCCTTTGAAAACTGGCACAAGACAGGGATGCCCTCTCTCACCACTCCTATTCAACATAGTATCGGAAGTTCTGGCCAGGGCAATCAGGCAAGAGAAAGCAATAAAGAGTATTTAAATAGGAAGACAGGAAGCAAATTTTCTCTGCAGATGACATGATTGTATATTTAGAAAACCCGATCGTTTCAGCCCAAAATCTCCTTAAGCTGATAAGCAACTTCAGCAAAGTCTCAGGATACAAAATCAATGTGCAAAAATCACAAGCATTCCTATACACCAATAACAGACAAACAGAGGGCCAAATCATTAGTGAACTCCCATTCACAATTGCTACTAAGAGAATACAATACCTAGAAATACAACTTACAAGGGAGATGAAGGACCTCTTCAAGGAGAACTACAAACCACTGCTCAAGGAAATAAGAGAGGACACAAACAAATGGAAAAATATTCCATGCTCATAGATAGGAAGAATCAATATTGTGAAAATGGCCTTACTGCCCAAAGTAATTTATAAATTCAGTGCTATCGCCATCAAGCTACCACTGATTTTCTTCACAGAATTAGAAAAAACTACTTTAAACTTCATATGGAACTAAAAAAGAGCCTGCGTTGCCAAGGCAATCCTGGGCAAGAAGAACACAGCTGGAGGCATCATGCTACCTGACATCAAGTATACTACAAGGCTACTGCAACCAAAACATCATGGTACAGGTACCAAAACAGAGGCCTCAGAAATAATGCCACACAGCTACAACCATCTGATCTTTGACAAACCTGACACACAGAAGCAATGTGGAAATGATTCCCTGTTTAATAAATGGTGATGGGAAAACTGGCTAGCCATATGCAGAAAACTGAAACTGGACCCCTTCCTTACACCTTTTACAAAAATCAACTCAAGATAGATCAGAGACTTAAATGTGAGACCTAGAACCATAAAAATCCTAGAAGAAAACCTGGGCAATACCATTCAGGACACAGGCATGGGCAAAGACTTCATGTCTAAAACACCAAAAGCAATGGCACCAAAAGCCAAAATTGACAAATAAGATCTAATTAAACTAAAGAGCTTCTGCCCAGCAAAGGAAACTATCATCAGAGTGAACAGGCAACCTACAGAATGGGAGAAAATGTTTGCAATCTATCCACCTGACGAAGGGCTAATATCCAGAATCTACAAAGAACTTAAACAAACTTACAAGGAGAAAACAACCCCATCAAAAAATGGGCAAAGGATATAAACAGACACTTCTCCAAAGAAGACATTTATGCAGCCAACAGACATATGAAAAAATGCTCATCATCACTGGTCATTAGATAAATGCAAATCAAAACCACAATGAGATACCATCTCACACCAGTTAGAATGGTGATCATTAAAAAGTCAGGAAACAACAGATACTGGAGAGGATGTGGAGAAATAGAAACTTTTTACACTGTGGGTGGGAGTGTAAATTAGTTCAACCATTATAGAAGACAGTGTGGGGATTCCTCAAGGATCTAGAACCAGAAATGCCATTTGACCAAGCAATCCTGTTACTGGGTATATACCCAAAGGATTATAAATCATTCTATGATAAAGACACATGCACATGTATGTTTATTACAGCAATATTCACAATAGCAAATACTTGGAACCAACCCAAATGTCCATCAACGATAGACGGGATTAAGAAAATGTGGCACATATACACCATGGAACACCATGCAGCCATAAAAAAGGATGAGTTCATGTCCTTTGCAGGGACATGGATGAAGCTGGAAATCATCATTCTCAGGAAACTATCACAAGATCAGAAAACCAAACACTGTATGTTCTCACTCATAAGTGGGAGTTGAACAATGAGAACACATGGACACAGGGAGGGGAATATTGCACACGAAGGCCTGTTGGCGGTTGGGGGCTAGGGGAGAGATAACATTAGGGAAAATACCTAATGTAGGTGATGGGTTGATGGGTGCAGCAAACCACCATGGCACGTGTATACCTATGTAACAAAACTGCACGTTCTGCACACGTAACCCAGAACTTAAAGTATATATGTGTATATATATGTATATATATATATATATATATATATATATATATATATATATATTTTAAAGACTTAGATGTAAGACCTGAAGCTATCAAAATCTTAGAAGAAAACAGGAAAAACTCTTCTGGACGTTGGCCTAGGCAAGGAATTTATGACTAAGACCTCAAAAACAAATGCAACAAACCAAAAATTGACAAATGGAACTTAATTAAACTAAAGAGCTTCTGAACAGTAAAAGAGCAACCAACAGAGTAAAGAGACAATTTAGAGAATGTAGGAAATATTTGCAAACTATGCATCTGACAAAGGACTAATATCTCGAATCTATAAGGAACTCAAGTCAACAAGAAAAAAACAACCCTCTTAAAAAGTGGGCAAAAGACACAAACAGACACTTCTCGAAAGAAGACATACAAGTGGCCAAAAAAAAAAATTAAAAATGCTCGACATCACTAATCATCAGAAGAATGCAAATGAAAATCGCAATGAGATGCCATCTCACATTAGTCAGAATGCCTATTAGTAAAAAAAAAAAAAAAACAAAAAAAAACCAAAAACCAAAAACCAAACAAACAAAAAGACAAATCCCCAATAGATATTGGTGAGGAAGCAGAAAAAGGGGGATGCTTGTACACTGTTGGTGGAAATAAAAATTCGTTCAAATCCTATGCAAGACCATATGGAGATTTCTCAAATAACTAAAAATACAACTACAATCAACTCAGCAATCTCACCACTGGGTGTCCACCCAAAGGAAAATAAGTTATTTTCTCAAAAAGACACCTGCACTCATATGTTTATCTCAGTACTAGTCACAATAGTGAAGTCACGGAATCAACATAAGTGTCCATTGGTGGTTGATTGGATAAAGAGCATTTGGAATATATATACCATAGAATACTATGCAACCATAAAAAAAGAATATAATCATGTCCTTTGCAGCAACATGGATGGAGCTGGAGGCCATTATCCTAAGTGAAATAACTCAGAAACAGGAAATCAAATACCACATGTTCTCACTTATAAGTGGGATCTAAACAATGGGTACACATGGACATAAAGATAGAAATAATAGACACTGGGAACTCCAGAAGGGGGAAGTCTGGGAGAGGGATGAGGATTGAAAAATTGCTTATTTGGTACAATGTTTACTCTTCGGTGATAGATTCACTAGAAGTTCAAACCCCACCATTATGCAATATATCCATGTAACAAACCTGCACATGTACCTCCTGAATCTAAAATAATGGAAAATAAGAAAAATACATTATTTTACTATAATTGAATTATTGGTATTAGTTCTGGGAGGCTATATTTTTTATATTTAAATTTTGGGCTGGATATGAAAAGTACATTATGTGAAAGGTATCTGATTAGACTAGCATTAATTAATTTTACTTTGGCATTTGGACAACTTGTAAAACTTTAGTGCCATTTTTTCACACTGTTTTCTTAGCTGTAGGGCCAGTATCTAATTAATCCTACTATTAGTGATTTTTAAATTTTAGCTATTCTGTTTTATAGCCAAGAGCTTTCATAACTCTATAAGAAAATAAGAAAAGTTATCAATGGAACAGAATAGAGAGCCCCAAAATAAATCCAAACAATTAATTTTCAACAAGGACATTAAGAAGGCACAATGGGGAAAGGATAGTCTCTTCAATAAATGGTGTCAGGAAGACTGGATATTCACATGCAAAAGAATGAAATTGTATCTCTTTTTTTTTTTTTTTTTAAATTTAAAAAGTATTTAATTATTACTAGATGTCCAACAAAGTTGTGAAAAATTTAAAAATAAATGACATGCTCAAATACATATATATCCAAACAAATGCTCTTCTTTTCTTTTTTTTTTATTTTTTTTATTTTTTTTCTTTTTTCTTTTTTTTTTTAAATTTTTTTTTTTTAATTTTTTTTTTTTATTATACTCTAAGTTTTAGGGTACATGTGCACATTGTGCAGGTTAGTTACATATGTATACATGTGCCATGCTGGTGCGCTGCACCCACTAACGTGTCATCTAGCATTAGGTATATCTCCCAATGCTATCCCTCCCCCCTCCCCCGACCCCACCACAGTCCCCAGAGTGTGATATTCCCCTTCCTGTGTCCATGTGATCTCATTGTTCAATTCCCACCTATGAGTGAGAATATGCGGTGTTTGGTTTTTTGTTCTTGCGATAGTTTACTGAGAATGATGGTTTCCAATTTCATCCATGTCCCTACAAAGGACATGAACTCATCATTTTTTATGGCTGCATAGTATTCCATGGTGTATATGTGCCACATTTTCTTAATCCAGTCTATCATTGTTGGACATTTGGGTTGGTTCCAAGTCTTTGCTATTGTGAATAGTGCCGCAATAAACATACATGTGCATGTGTCTTTATAGCAGCATGATTTATAGTCATTTGGGTATATACCCAGTAATGGGATGGCTGGGTCAAATGGTATTTCTAGTTCTAGATCCCTGAGGAATCGCCACACTGACTTCCACAATGGTTGAACTAGTTTACAGTCCCACCAACAGTGTAAAAGTGTTCCTATTTCTCCACATCCTCTCCAGCACCTGTTGTTTCCTGACTTTTGAATGATTGCCATTCTAACTGGTGTGAGATGATATCTCATAGTGGTTTTGATTTGCATTTCTCTGATGGCCAGTGATGATGAGCATTTCTTCATGTGTTTTTTGGCTGCATAAATGTCTTCTTTTGAGAAGTGTCTGTTCATGTCCTTCGCCCACTTTTTGATGGGGTTGTTTGTTTTTTTCTTGTCAATTTGTTTGAGTTCATTGTAGATTCTGGATATTAGCCCTTTGTCAGATGAGTAGGTTGCGAAAATTTTCTCCCATGTTGTAGGTTGCCTGTTCACTCTGATGGTAGTTTCTTTTGCTGTGCAGAAGCTCTTGAGTTTAATTAGATCCCATTTGTCAATTTTGGCTTTTGTTGCCATTGCTTTTGGTGTTTTGGACATGAAGTCCTTGCCCACGCCTATGTCCTGAATGGTAATGCCTAGGTTTTCTTCTAGGGTTTTTATGGTTTTAGGTCTAACGTTTAAATCTTTAATCCATCTTGAATTGATTTTTGTATAAGGTGTAAGGAAGGGATCCAGTTTCAGCTTTCTACATATGTCTAGCCAGTTTTCCCAGCACCATTTATTAAATAGGGAATCCTTTCCCCATTGCTTGTTTTTCTCAGGTTTGTTAAAGATCAGATAGTTGTAGATATGCGGCATTATTTCTGAGGGCTCTGTTCTGTTCCATTGATCTATATCTCTGTTTTGGTACCAGTACCATGCTGTTTTGGTTACTGTAGCCTTGTAGTATAGTTTGAAGTCAGGTAGTGTGATGCCTCCAGCTTTGTTCTTTTGGCTTAGGATTGACTTGGCGATGTGGGCTCTTTTTTGGTTCCATATGAACTTTAAAGTAGTTTTTTCCAATTCTGTGAAGAAAGTCATTGGTAGCTTGATGGGGATGGCATTGAATCTGTAAATTACCTTGGGCAGTATGGCCATTTTCACGATATTGATTCTTCCTACCCATGAGCATGGAATGTTCTTCCATTTGTTTGTGTCCTCTTTTATTTCCTTGAGCAGTGGTTTGTAGTTCTCCTTGAAGAGGTCCTTCACATCCCTTGTAAGTTGGATTCCTAGGTATTTTATTCTCTTTGAAGCAATTGTGAATGGAAGTTCACTCATGATTTGGCTCTCTGTTTGTCTGTTGTTGGTGTATAAGAATGCTTGTGATTTTTGTACATTGATTTTGTATCCTGAGACTTTGCTGAAGTTGCTTATCAGCTTAAGGAGATTTTGGGCTGAGATGATGGGGTTTTCTAGATAAAGAATCATGTCGTCTGCAAACAGGGACAATTTGACTTCCTCTTTTCCTAATTGAATACCCTTTATTTCCTTCTCCTGCCTGATTGCCCTGGCCAGAACTTCCAACACTATGTTGAATAGGAGTGGTGAGAGAGGGCATCCCTGTCTTGTGCCAGTTTTCAAAGGGAATGCTTCCAGTTTTTGCCCATTCAGTATGATATTGGCTGTGGGTTTGTCATAGATAGCTCTCATTATTTTGAAATACGTCCCATCAATACCTAATTTATTGAGAGTTTTTAGCATGAAGGGTTGTTGAATTTTGTCAAAGGCTTTTTCTGCATCTATTGAGATAATCATGTGGTTTTTGTCTTTGGCTCTGTTTATATGCTGGATTACATTTATTGATTTGCGTATATTGAACCAGCCTTGCATCCCAGGGATGAAGCCCATTTGATCATGGTGGATAAGCTTTTTGATGTGCTGCTGGATTCGGTTTGCCAGTATTTTATTGAAGATTTTTGCATCAATGTTCATCAAGGATATTGGTCTAAAATTCTCTTTTTTTGTTGTGTCTCTGCCCGGCTTTGGTATCAGAATGATGCTGGCCTCATAAAATGAGTTAGGGAGGATTCCCTCTTTTTCTATTGATTGGAATAGTTTCAGAAGGAATGGTACCAGTTCCTCCTTGTACCTCTGGTAGAATTCGGCTGTGAATCCATCTGGTCCTGGACTCTTTTTGGTTGGTAAATTATTGATTATTGCCACAATTTCAGAGCCTGTTATTGGTCTATTCAGAGATTCAACTTCTTCGTGGTTTAGTCTTGGGAGAGTGCATGTGTCGAGGAATTTATCCATTTCTTCTAGATTTTCTAGTTTATTTGCGTAGAGGTGTTTGTAGTATTCTCTGATGGTAGTTTGTATTTCTGTGGGATCGGTGGTGATATCCCCTTTATCATTTTTTATTGTGTCTATTTGATTCTTCTCTCTTTTTTTCTTTATTAGTCTTGCTAGTGGTCTATCAATTTTGTTGATCCTTTCAAAAAACCAGCTCCTGGATTCATTGATTTTTTGAAGGGTTTTTTGTGTCTCTATTTCCTTCAGTTCTGCTCTGATTTTAGTTATTTCTTGCCTTCTGCTAGCTTTTGAATGTGTTTGCTCTTGCTTTTCTAGTTCTTTTAATTGTGATGTTAGGGTGTCAATTTTGGATCTTTCCTGCTTTCTCTTGTAGGCATTTAGTGCTATAAATTTCCCTCTACACACTGCTTTGAATGTGTCCCAGAGATTCTGGTATGTGGTGTCTTTGTTCTCGTTGGTTTCAAAGAACATCTTTATTTCTGCCTTCATTTCGTTATGTAGCCAGTAGTCATTCAGGAGCAGGTTGTTCAGTTTCCATGTAGTTGAGCAGCTTTGAGTGAGATTCTTAATCCTGAGTTCTAGTTTGATTGCACTGTGGTCTGAGAGATAGTTTGTTATAATTTCTGTTCTTTTACATTTGCTGAGGAGAGCTTTACTTCCAAGTATGTGGTCAATTTTGGAATAGGTGTGGCGTGGTGCTGAAAAAAATGTATATTCTGTTGATTTGGGGTGGAGAGTTCTGTAGATGTCTATTAGGTCCGCTTGGTGCAGAGCTGAGTTCAATTCCTGGGTATCCTTGTTGACTTTCTGTCTCGTTGATCTGTCTAATGTTGACAGTGGGGTGTTAAAGTCTCCCATTATTAATGTGTGGGAGTCTAAGTCTCTTTGTAGGTCACTCAGGACTTGCTTTATGAATCTGGGTGCTCCTGTATTGGTTGCATAAATATTTAGGATAGTTAGCTCCTCTTGTTGAATTGATCCCTTTACCATTATGTAATGGCCTTCTTTGTCTCTTTTGATCTTTGTCGGTTTAAAGTCTGTTTTATCAGAGACTAGGATTGCAACCCCTGCCTTTTTTTGTTTTCCATTGGCTTGGTAGATCTTCCTCCATCCTTTTATTTTGAGCCTATGTGTGTCTCTGCACGTGAGATGGGTTTCCTGAATACAGCACACTGATGGGTCTTGACTCTTTATCCAACTTGCCAGTCTGTGTCTTTTAATTGCAGAATTTAGTCCATTTATATTTAAAGTTAATATTGTTATGTGTGAATTTGATCCTGTCATTATGATGTTAGCTGGTGATTTTGCTCATTAGTTGATGCAGTTTCTTCCTAGTCTCGATGGTCTTTACATTTTGGCATGATTTTGCAGCGGCTGGTACCGGTTGTTCCTTTCCATGTTTAGCGCTTCCTTCAGGAGCTCTTTTAGGGCAGGCCTGGTGGTGACAAAATCTCTCAGCATTTGCTTGTCTATAAAGTATTTTATTTCTCCTTCACTTATGAAGCTTAGTTTGGCTGGATATGAAATTCTGGGTTGAAAATTCTTTTCTTTAAGAATGTTGAATATTGGCCCCCACTCTCTTCTGGCTTGTAGGTTTTCTGCCGAGAGATCCGCTGTTAGTCTGATGGGCTTTCCTTTGAGGGTAACCCGACCTTTCTCTCTGGCTGCCCTTAACATTTTTTCCTTCATTTCAACTTTGGTGAATCTGACAATTATGTGTCTTGGAGTGAAATTGTATCTCTTATGCCACACACAAACATCAACTCATCAAAATGGATTAAAGACCTAAACATAAGACCAGAACTGTAAAACTCCTAGAAAAAAAACATAGAGGAAAAGTTCCTTGGCATTACCTTAGCAATAATATTTTGGATATGACATAAAAGCACAGGCAGCAAAAGCAAAAATAAACAAATGGGACAACATCAAACTAAAAAGCTTCTGCACAGCAAGAAAATATACATATATATCAACAAAAATGTAAAGGAAGACTACAAGTGGGGAGAAAATATTCGTAAAACATGTATCTGACAAGAGTCTAATCTCCAAAATATGTAAGGATCTTACAAATAACCCAATTTTAAAAAGGACAAAGGACCTGAATAGATATTTCTCCAAAAGAGACATAAAAATGCCCAAAATGTCTTTGAAAAGGTGCTCAACATTACTAATCATCAGGAAAATGTAAGTTAAAACCATAATCAGATATCGCCTCATATCTGCTAGAATGGCTATTATCAAAAAGAAAAGACATAGGTGTTGGTGAGAGTGTGAAGAAAAGAGACCCCCTTGTGTACACTCTTGGTGTTCATGTAAATTGGTACAGCCATTATGCAAAACAATATAAACATTTGTTAAAAAATTAAAAATAGAACTACAATTTGACCTAGAAATCTCTGTTATGGGTATATACCCAAAATAAATGAAATCAGCATCTTGTAGAGATATCTATAGTCCCATGTTCATTGCAACATTATTCACAATAGCCAGAAAATCAAACAACCTAAGTGTCTGTTGGCCAATAAATGCATCAACAGACGAATGGATAAAGAAACTGCAGTACACATACAATGGAGTATTATTTAACCTTAAAAAGAAGGAGATCCTGCCATTTATAACAATATGGGTGAAACTGGAGGAAATTATATTAAGTGAAATAAGCCAGATGCAGAAAGATCAATACTTAATTATCTCATACATGGAATTTTTAAAAAGTCAAGTGCATAGAAATAGAGAGTAAAATGGTGGTGGCTGGAGGTAGGGGTGGGGAATAGGGAGATGTAGAGAATCTCATGTTTCTGAATATTCCTTAGTCCTGCAGTCCATCCAAATGCATCTATTTTGTGTCAGAGAGTCTTGGTTTTTGGTAAATAATGAGCAGCAATGAATTAATTATAAAACTACACCATCAGTGTGCAAGCAAGGTAATACATTCCCTTTTGCAGAGAGCATAAGTTTTTCCCAAGCTGTGTGTCTCTTTCTTATGTGTCACCTCCTCAAGAAGACTTCCCCTGACCTCCCTCCTCCAAACTATTCTCTATTCCATCACTGGTTTTTTTCCTTCACAGCATTTAAAAACTTCATGCTGCTATAAAGACATATGCACATGTATGTTTATTGCAGCACTATTCACAATAGCAAAGACTTGGAACTAAGCCAAATGTCCAACAATGATAGACTGGATTAAGAAAATGTGGCACATATACACCATGGGATACTATGCAGCCATAAAAAATGATGAGTTCATGTCCTTTGTAGGGACATGGATGAAGCTGGAAACCATCATTCTCAGCAAACTATTGCAAAGACAAAAAACCAAACACCGCATGTCCTCACTCATAGGTGGGAACTGAACAATGAGAACACATGGACACAGGAAGGGGAACATCACACAGCGGGGACTGTTGTGTCGGGGGGAGGCGGGGAGGGATAGGATTAGGAGATATATCTAATGCTAAATGACGAGTTAATGGGTGCAGCACACCGATATGGCACATGTATGCATATGTAACAAACCTGCACGTTGTGCACATGTACCCTAAAACTTAAAGTATAATAATAATAAAATTAAAAAATAAATGAAAAGATAAAATGAAGTAATTAAAGTTTGAACAAGTCCTTAAATACCCAATGCAGACTTTCTAAACATAGCTTATGTGTAAAGAAATATAGATATTATAATTGCTGACTTATTCTTATGCCGAAATAAAAATGATATTTGATACTGATATTGACAGAGTTAAGCATGAACAAGTTGTAAAAAAAAAAAGAAAGAAAATTTTCCTTAAAGTATTTAATGTTCCCCCCTCTAACCATTCATAAATGCCAAACACAAAACTTGCTCCCCACCCCAAATGTTTAATTAATAAATATATTCTTGTTGGGTGAATTTTATGGTGCGACTCTCAGGTATTTCAGAGCTGATAAATCTTTTGGCACTTCTGAATTATACTTTTAGATGTCAGGATATTTAGGCATTATCTTTGAGGAAGGTGACTGCATGCTCAGACACTCTGCCAAGAAGTGTGCTTCTTCCTTCTTAACCACTTCCTTCCCCAATGGCTCAGGCACTCCTCAGAATCCATCTCCTGGGGCTATCAGATTAAACCAAGCAGGAAAGCTGGTAGAAAGGTTAATATGATTGGATCCAAAACTTGGAATGGTTTAAATTCAAGGGTTTAGTTGCTAATTTTAGTCCCAGGGTAGAATATTCAACAAGTAGACTGTGACTCTGTTTAAATAATCTTCCTTAATGATGATGTAAAGTGAAATAAATTGGTTTTAAAATGTCCTGGAGACAGACAATTTTTTTTTTACTTTTTTGGTTTGTGCTTATGCCCACTTCAGACTGGGTATAAATGAACATAGGCATGTAGAGTTGCCATTTAGGAAAAATTGACAAATACAGTTTTGGATGTATTATAAAATGTAAAAAAACATGATCTAGACCTCCCACTGAGTTGCTGTGAATCAACTTAGCCATTTTTTGCTTACCCACAGTGGCCCTTCGTTTTCTGTAACTCTTTTCCTGCCTCCTCCCCTCTTAACCCCCACTATCTCTCACACAGAAAAATGTTTAAAAATAATATAATAGTAATAATAGTTTTGATTCTAATTCTCTTAATTTGTTTTACTGCTTTAGCCTAAGTTATTTATTCAGGATCAACATATTATTCCCATCCTGGCCCATGGTGTAGCATTTATTTTGCAATTATCATCCTTATTTAGTTAAATGTTTTCAAACACATAGCTCTATGTATGATACCTTCTTTTTTGAAGTAATTGAAAAATACTCTGTACATGGCTTCAGCTCTCAGAACATCTCTATTTTGGAGTTTTAATAGTCTTTCTGCTTTTCAGCAGCATGGTATTTTGTATTAAGCAAGATATGCTTTAGAAGCCAATAAATAAGAACAATAATTGTCTTCATGTTTATCAACTCAGACTCTTTCACTCTTGTCTTCATCATGCATTTTGCCACTTAAGGCAAAACCAAGGACTTGTAGTTTGCTTATATTTATCTATTGCCTGCCAAATGGTCCTCTGCTCTCCTACTCCCCTGCTTCCCACCAACCAGGATAAAAAAATAAGTTTAAGTTCTTCTTATTTGATGGCTTTCTTTGGTTCTTTCATATTTCTGAAGCTTACTTTTTATGCACAAAATTTAAAATAGAAGTGAATGCCATCTTTGTTTTTTATAATTAAACCCTCATTTAATTAAATTGAATTTCACTGGCAGGACTTCAAGGCATAACCTTCCACTTATTATCACCATCTTTTGTGATTCCTGCAGTCATTACTTCTGTGGCAGATGATTGTGGTTTATGTTTTTTTCTTGTTGTTTTTTAAATATATGTCCCTTACTGTTCTTTGGAAAGTGGCCATTGTTAAGATGGAGGTTCTTCCATACTTCCAAGTTTATGTTTGTCAGATGCTCTAGAATAAATGATTATTCAAAACATATTTGAATAATTTTTCTTTTCTTCTATAGCTTAAGTTTAGTATCCAAAAAAAATCAACAAATTAAAACATAGTTTTCTTCTTACATATTTAAAAAATAGTCACATGCATAAATGCAAGGCTCTTTTTTTTTGTATCTGTAGACAGCACTATTGGCATTAACTCTACAACTCCAACTGGGTCCCCAGTATGCTGATGAGGAACTGGTGTGTCATCAAAGTGCCTGAGGGAAAGAGAAGGAATATAGGGGAATTTCCAAGCCACAGGAGGGCATCGTAAGAGTCTGTTTCTGTCATCAGCACAGCAAGGCTAACGTCTAAACCTATACTTTAGGATTTTGTCTGCCATCACCAATGGTCAACCCAATGTCCAATGTCAAACAAATGTCACTGTTTTATAGAAAAAAGGACTTGTTTACCTTGTAAATGTGTTTAAAAGGAGAATTTTGGGCTACTAAAGCACTGTCTCTAGCAAACATAAATGTAGGCTGTAGTGATTCTTTTCTTCATTAACACTTTTTTGTTCTCATACATTTCTCTATTATGTCACTCTGTCTTCTCAAGTGCCAGTAACTTTCACAGAGGCATAGACAAACAAGTAGAAATGCAAACAATGCCTAGCCAGTGGATCTCAATAGGAGCCAGAGAAGAGGTAGGTAGTTGTGGGTGCTAAGTAAAGTCTGAAATTTCGATTAAGCAAGCTCCTATAAGATAAGGAACTGGAGTATGCAGTCGGGATCATAACAAGGGCCCAAAGAAGATAACATTGTATCCCCCACATCATATTCAAAAACATAGGTGGTGGCTGGGCATGGTGGCTCATGCCTGTAATCCCAGCACTTTGGGAGGCCAAGGCAGGTGGATTACATGAGGTCAGGAGTTCAACACCAGCCTGGCCAACATGGTACTTGGGAGGCTGAGGCACGAGAATCACTTGAACCCAGGAGGTTGCAGTGAGCTGAGATTGCACCACTGCACTCCAGCCTGGGCAATAGAGTGAGACTGTCAATATAAAACAAATAATAATACTAAAAATAATAATAATAAAAAAACGAACAAAAACAAAAACAAAAAAACACCACAGGTGGAAACTCGACTCAAGACAACTGAGATGCTTCTACGTTAAATAAAAATGATAGCAGAGTGTGATGGTTAATACTGAGTGTCAACTTGATTGGATTGAAGGATGCAAAGTATTGTTCCTGGGTGTGTCTGTGAGGGTGCTGCCAAAGGAGATTAACATTTGAGTCAGTGGACTGTGAGAGGCAGACCTACCCTCAATCCGGGTGGGCACCATCTAGTCAGCTGCCAGTGCAGTCAGAATAAAAAGCAGGCAGAAGAATGTGGAGAGATTAGACTGGCTTAGCCTCCCAGCCTATATCTTTCTCCCATGCTGGTTGCTTCCTGCCCTCCAACATCAGACTCCAAGTTCTTCAGCTTTGGGACTTGGAATAGCTTCTTTGCCCCTCAGCTTGCAGACAGCCTATTGTGGGACCTTGTGATCATTTAAGTTAATACTCCTTAATATATACATCTATATATTAATATATAGATGTATATAATATATAATGTATTAATAAAGTTAATACCCTTTATATATACATCTATTCTATTAGTTCTGTCCCTCTAGAGAACCCTGACTAATACAGCAGAGCTACCACTTTGGAATTACCTGCTAGTGCTAGAGTCCCCAAAAGCAATTCTGGTTCCTGGGGTAAACTGAAAGGAATGTGCCCAAACCAACTGCGGCAAAGAGAAAGGTGCTTCTATTTTATGCTTGTACGTGTGCACTCTCTCTCTCTCTCTCTCTCTTTCTCTCTCTCTCTCCCCTTAAACAAAGCAGACTTTTGCTCTTGACCTTGGTTCCCAGATTCCATTCTTCTTAGAGGGCAGAGAGGAACTGACAAAGGGCCTGGAGTTAGAGAGGTCATATGAAGCTTAAAAACAAACAAATCATTAGCAATGTTTGTTACCCAGAGTGAATTCATATCCAGCCACAAAAATTGGCCTTGGACAGGTGAAATGGCTTGGGTCTTCAGGCGTTATTGGTGTTGAAAGCTGGGGCTGGGCTGTGTCTGCTGCTCAAGGTCATACAGACCCACAGTTAGGAGGAACAGCCACCATTTTGCACAAGTGGGAATCTAAATTTTAAATACACTTTCTTCAAGAGACATTCTTAGTGCCTTTCTCCTTTTGCTCTACAAATTATACTAGTTGGCAGCAATAAAGCAAAAACTCATGGCTCTCGAGTTTGCCCTTGACAGAGCACACTATCAAATCTCAAACAATAAAAAATGTTAGACACAATTCCAGTGTAATTCAAAGTTGAATTGAGTAATCTTCATTCCAGAACAAGAAAAATAGCATTTAAGACAGCAAAAGAGCATTTTCTTTCTTATGACATAATATAAAAAGATGTTTAACATTACTTATTAGATGGTGGGAAAGAAAGTTGGAATATCTTCTTTCTTTTAAGGTGAGGTAATACAGAATCAACTATTGTTAATTTTGCTTTACTTAGCCCTAAATAGAAAAATAGTAGCATATACAAATAAGCCCAGAATAATTGAAAATATTTTAATATATTTCCAGTTTTAATAAAATATGCAGAAAATGGTTGATTTGATTCTTGACTTGTTAGGAAATTGTTATACAAATACTTGCATTTCAACATATGATCTGTGGAATTGCAGCATTAATATCACCTGGGAGCTTGTGAGAAATTATAAGCCTTGAGTCCCAACATGAACCTAGTGGGTCAGAATCTGCATTTTATCAGGTGTCTAGGTGACTCATATGCACATGAAAGTTTTCTAGGGCACCGATCTAAATAAAACCATTCATCAAAGGCAACATCTCATAAGCTTTGGAAAGCTGCTCTTCCTTCCAACAACTTGGCATCAAAGTAAAAATTGTGTTTGCTATACAAATATAACTCAAGACCAGTCCCCTAAAACTCTCTTCAGACATTCTGGAGCCACTGCATATTTCTTTACTTCTCCACTTCCTTCTCTGAAATACTTCCTAGGGTAAATAATTTCACTTCACATATGCTTTTACCTGTGACTTTGGAAGTCTGAATAACAGCTATGGAAAGACAACAAAAAGAAGTGATACTGAGAGGTTTGTATGAAAAAAATATGTAAGTGAAAGACAAGGCAGAAACACAAAAGAATAAAAATAGTGTGAAATGAAGAAATAAATATATATTTTATTTTATTTATATTGGAAATAGATTTGTCTACATATAAAATGTTGCATATAATGGTTGTTCATAGTTTTCACTATGTAAAAAATGGTAAATTCTCAAATAATACATACAAAAAAATGTTGAGAAACAACATTGTGAAGGGAAATTTGTCTTCTGTTCTTTTAGTGGCCCGGCATATATTTACTCTTCTCCAATTTTCCTTCAGAAATACACCTCCTTGGAGAACATCACACACCGGGGACTGTCAGGCAGTAGGGGGCAAGGGGACAGAGAGCATTAGGACAAATACGTAATGCATGTGGGGCTTAAAACCTAGATGATGGGTAGATAGGTGCAGCAAACCACCATGACACATGTATACCTATGTAATAAACCTGCACATTCTGCACATGTATCCCAGAACTTAAAATAAAATTATGTTTTAAAGACATATGGTAAAAATAAAAAAAAAAAAAAAAAAGAAATACTCTTCCTCCCCCTCACCCACCCAACTCTCAGGCCACACGCTATAGGGGTAGGGCATGTGACATGGCACACAAAGCCTAAGCCCATCCACAGTGTTGATTTGAGTATAGGCACATGTCCCAGGTTAAGCTAGCCAATGACCAATGAATGTACAGCTTTCAAATGAATAATCAGGAAAATATTTTTCTCTTTCATGCTGGTACTAACATGGAAAGGAGGAGAGGTAAGGACTGTAACAGCCATCTTGTCACCATGAGCAGATATCCTGTTCTGGAAACAGAGCCCCCACAGAGAAAACAGGGCAGAGAGTTGGGAACAAAGAAAAAACTGGCTCTTCTTGATGACCTCTTTGAAGCCCTGAAAAAGATGGGCCTGAAAATATACTTTTCAGCTATCTGAGCCAAAATGGTCCTCTTTTGCTTGAACTAGTTTAAATTGAGTTTCTGTCTCTTGCAAGGGAGACATAACTCATTTTGATTATAAAAGTTTGTATATTTCCATGTGTACATATCCATACATGGATCTTATTATCTACAATTTCATAATCATTATTCTTTACTTACTATTTTTTTAAAGATAATTTTTTAGAGCAGATTTAGGTTCACAGCAAAATTGAGAGGAAAGTACAGAGATTTCCTTTATACACCCTGTTCCCATACAAGCATAGGCTCCCTCATCATCAACGTATCTGTAAACCAAAAATAAAATTTGAAGGCCCTCAACCATTTGAATGGACCCCTCCTCTTGGCCAAGGGCATTCCGGAGTTAACCTGAAAATCTAGTTCAGGCCATGGTGGAAGAGGGGGTCAGACATGTCTCATTATACCCCTCCAGGATTAACATCAACACAGACCTTAAGTTTGATAAGAAACATTTACAGTCTGTTCTCTCTGAAGCCGGCTACTTGGAAGTTTCATCTGCATGTTAAAACCTAGGACTCCACAACCCCTTATGTAACCCAGACATTTCTTTCCACTGATCATAACTCTCAATGAATCGTCAATCAGAAAATTGTTAAATCTACCTATGACCTGCAAGCCCCAGCTTTGAGTTGTCCCGCCCCTCCAGATTGAACCAAAGTAAATTTTGCGTGTATTGATTGATGTATTATGTCTCCCTCAAATGTATAAAAGCAAGCTGTACCCGGACCACCTCGGGCACATGTTGTCAGGACCTCCTGAGGCTGTGTTACAGGTGCATCCTTAACCTTGGCAAAATTAACTTCCTAAATTGACCGAGAACTGACTCAGATATTTTGGGTTCACATATCCCACCAGAGTGATACATTTGTTGTTACAACTGATGAACGTACAATGACACATCATTATTACCCAAAGTCCATAGTTTGCATTAGGGTTTACTCTTGGTGTTGCATATTCTATGAGTCTGGACAAATGTATGATGATATGTATCTGCCATTTTAGTATAATACAGAATAGTTGCTCTAAAAAAACAAAAAAAGCCTTGCACTCTGCCCTTTTTCTCTCCCCTAACCTGTGGCATCCACTTATCTTTTTACTGTCTGTATAATTTTGTCTTTTTCCAGAATGTCATATAGTTGGACTCACAGAATATGTAGCCTTTTCAGATTGGCTTCTTTTACTTAATAATGTGCATTTAAGGTTCCTCTAATTCTTTTCACAGCTGAATAGCTTATTTCTTTTTAGCAGTGAATAATATTGTCGGATATGTTATAGTTTATTCATCTATTCACCTGCTGAAGGATATGCTGGTTACTTTCAACCAAGATGGTTGCTTGGTTGCTTTAGGGTTGTTTTCATAACTCAAAATAAAGCTGTTTAAACATCTGTGTGTAGGTTTTTGTGTGCATTTAAGTTTTCAATTTGTTTGCATAAATAGCAAGAAACACAATTTTTAAATTGTATGTCAAGAGTTTTATAAGAAACTGCCATGCTGTCTTCCAAAGTGGCTGTACCTCTTTGCATTCCCAACAGTAATAAGTAAGAGCTCCTGTTGCTCCACAACCTCACTAGCATTTGCTGTTGTCTGTTCTGGATTTTTGGCATTCTAATAGGTGTGTGGTGGTATCTCATTCTAATTTGCATTTCCCTAATGACATATGATGTGGAGCATCTTTTTATATGTTTGCTTGATATTTGTATATATATATTTTGAGGTATCTGTTAAGGTCTGAACCATTTTTTTTAATCAGGCTGTTTGCTTATTGTTGAGTTTTGAGAGTTCTTTGTATACTTTAGATAACAGTCCTTTATCAGAGGTGTCCCCAATCCCCGGGCCGTGGACCAGTACTGGTCCCTGGACTGTTAGGAACTGGGCTGCACAACAGGAGGTAAGCAGCTGGAGAGCAAGCATTACCACCCTAGCTCCACCCCCTGTCAGGTAACAGCGGCATTAGATTCTCAGAGGAGCGCAAACCCTATTTGAACTGCGCATATGAGGGATGTAGGTTGCGAACTCCTCATGAGAATCTAACTAATGCCTGATGATCTGATGAGGAAGAGTTTCATCCTGATACCACCTCCCCTACCCCCAATCTGTGGAAAATTTGTCTTTCACTAAGCCAGTCCCTGACGTGAAAATGGTTAGGGACTGCTGCTTTATCAGACATAGCTCTTGCAAATATTTTCTCCTCACCTGTAGCTTCTCTTTTCATTCTCTTGACAGTGCCTTTCAAAAAGCAGAAAATTTTTATTTAATGTAATCCATCTTATCAATTCTTTTATGGATTGTGCCTTTGGTGTCATATCTAAAATGTCATCACGAAATCCAAGGTAATCTAAGTTTTCACCTATTTTATCTCCCAGGAGTTTTATAGTTTTGCATTTTATATTTAGTTCTGTGATCCATTTTGAGTTAATTTTTGTGAAAGCTGTAAGGTCTGTGTCTAGATTAATTTTAATGCATGTGGATATCCAAGTTGTTCCAGTAGCATTAGTCAAAAAGAAGATGTTTGCTCCAATGTATTGTCTTTACTCCTTTGTCAAAGATCAATTGACTATAGTTATGTGGGGTACCTACTATTCTTTAATCTGCTTTTCTCAACCAAATACATGTCAAGAGATCTATATTGTTATTTTATTGAATACATGGTTTGGATGATAATTTATTGAATCATTTCACACCCGACCAATCAGAGAACTCACTAGAATGCTAATTAGGCAAAAACAGGAGGTAAAGAAATAGCCAATCATCTATCGCCTGCAAGCACAGTGGGAGGGATGATGATTGTCTTATAGTGGCTGCTCTTAGATACAATAGATGCCAAAAGTTTCCTATTCAGATCTTTAAAAGGTGCTAGATTTTTAATCTCTTTAGGATTGGTAGGGTCTGGTAGAAAACATCTAGCTATGTTAATAGAGATTCTTTACAGATGTAAATTTTTCCCCACAAAGGACAGCTTTCCACGGCCATTTCAAGATACGGCAAAGAAACATGTTTTGGAGTAAGGTATTTTGACTTTCCTCTTTGTCTTGTAATGTTACGCCAGAGTCAGGCTGGAAAGTAAGTCACAATATATACGGTTAAATAAAACCCATCTGATGAGAATTTGTGGTTTGTGGGGAATGACTTCCCACAAAACGTTAATGAAAGAAATTAAAGAAGTGGCTGGGATGATGATTGGGATATAAACCCAGGCATTCGAGCCTGCAACAGCTACCCTCTTTGGGTCCCCTCCTTTTGTATGGGAGCTCTGTTTTCACTCTATTTCACTCTATTAAATCTTGCAACTGCACTCTTCTGGTCCGTGTTTGCTACGTCTGGAGGTGAGCTTTTGGTCACTGTCCACCACTGCTGTTTGCCGCCATCACAGACTCGCTGCTGACTTCTATCCCTTCAGATCCCGCAGGGTGTCTGCTGTGCTCCTTATCCAGTGAGGCACTCATTGCTGCTCCCGATCAGGCTAAAGGCTTGCCATTGTTCCTGCACAGCTAAGTGCCTGGGTTCATCCTAATTGAGCTGAACACCAGTCACTGGGTTCCACAATTCTCTTCTGTGACCCACGGCTTCTAATAGAGCTATAACACTCACTGCATGGCCCAGGATTCCTTTCCTTGGAATCCGTGAGGCCAAGAACCCCAAGTCTGAGAACACAAGGCTTGCCACCATCTTGGAAGTGGCTCGCCGCCACTTTGGAAGTGGCCTGCCACCATCTTGGGCGCTCTGGGAGCAAGGACCCCCCTGTAACAGTTTTAAGATTATAAAATTATTCACCCATTTTTTCCTAGTATTTTATAAATTCTTTTTGTCCTTTCCTTTTTCCCTCTTACACATTTAAACCTTTAATCCATCTGGAAGCTATTTTCCCATAAAAGAATCAGCTTTCTTTTCCCAAATATCTGACCAGTAATCCCAGCATTATTTATTAAAAATTCAATTCATCTTCTCACCAATGTGAAATGCCATCTTTATCATATACTTAACTACCACATATCCTTGAGTCTATTTCTGGCTCCTTAATTCAATTTCAATTTAGACTATTTCTGTGCCTCTGTGGCAATTCTGTTTTAGATATTGCAATTTATAAGTTTTAAGTTTGGAAGTACTTACAAACTCAATATTGTAGGTTAAAAGTTTATATTTCCTTTTATAGAAAATTCTTCCAAATTGTTTTGACTTTTTATTGATGTTTAAAAAGTAATTTCAGAATAATTTACAAGTTTCTAAAACATATTTTGCTTCACTTTTGAATAAAAATGCATAGATATTATAGGTTATTTTGAGAAAAATAAATAGATGAATTGTCTTAAAATATTGAGATTTTATAATCAAGAACATGACATATTTTCATTTATTAAATTATATTTGGTTAATGCTCTTTAGGTTTAAAATTTTTTTAAGTCAGGAATGTCTGAATTTAATCAAATACCTTTTATATCTACTGTAATTTGACTGACTGTAAGAATCTAATGGATTTCCCAGTGTTGAATTTGATATATTCTTGGAGTTAAACCTACTTGGTTATGCTATATTATTATTTTAATGCATTGCTAAATTACCTTTGCTAATACATCATTTAGATCTTTGAGAGAGAGAAGTGGGAGAGAGAGAGACAGAGAGAAAGAAAAAGAGAGAATCTGTTAGATATTGCTACCACACATATGCTAGTGTCATAAAATAATTTAAGATAATTTTTTCTCTTGTGTTGCTCTGGAAAAAATTTAAGTCGTATTGGAGTAATCTGTTTCTTGGAAGAATGGAAAAAACTACCAAAGGCACCTTTTAGATCTGAAGCCTTTTGAGAACTTTGACAACATTGACAATTTCTTCTACAATTTGTAGTCTATTTCTTCTTGAAAAAAAAAAAAATCCAAGTTTTAAAAGTTATTAATATAAGTTGTAGAGAGTACTTTTTATGATAATTTTCTTATCATCTGTATTCGTTCCCTCTTTACATTGCTTATTTTATACATCTGCGTTTTTTCTCTTTTTTTTGTTTTCTCTTAAATTTAACATTGGTAAGTGATGTATCTAATTTAATTGTGTCTGATATTTTTTCCCCACAGAGCCAGATCTTGAATTCAGTTACAATTTCCATCATTTTCCTTTTTTTTGGATTTTTGCTTCTTATTTTAAAATATTCCTTCCTTCTGTTTTTCCAGAAGGAAAGTTTATTTTGGTATTTTTTTTTTCTTAACAAGTGACATCTTACTCACTTATTTAGGTTCTTTCCTTTTTAGTAATATAAATGTTTTTTTCCAGATATTCTGTAATTGTGATTTTGATTATTTATTTAACCTAAGAATTGCTTAATAAGTTTTTCTTTTCTTTTTAATTTTATTTGTTTCCAGCATTGAAAGTGCTTTAGTCAGAGAATGTTGCCTACAGTATTTGTACTTTTGGGAACTTAATATTTTTTTGTTCCAAAAAATGTGATAAATGTCTATGAATATCTGTGAGTCTTTAAAAGTATGCATTTTTTGTTTCTAGGGTTCAATATTTGGCATATGCATATTTATTAATTATAATATTATTACAAACATTGCTATTCAAATCTATATTTTGAGCTACAAAAAACTGAAAATGAGGTGTCATTTTTCACTATAATTGTATTCTTGTAAATATATTCTTTATCTTCTGTTACTTATGTTTTATTCATAGTATTTTTTGCTAATGAAAAATTACAGTAATTATAACTTTTTATAGATTTTAACTTGCATCAATAACTGATTTAAGATTTTCAGCTTGCATTCAACTTTGCTTGATATTAGTATAAAGCTTCCTACCACCATTTTGTTTACTTAGTTGATTATTATGTCATTTGTCATTTACTTTTATCATCAAGCCAACATCTTAGGTCTTTTGTTATACCAATTGTTTTTTCTACTTTTAACTTATTGTGTTTTCTATTTCTTTGCCATCTTCTCTAACATTTGAAAAAATATAACTATTTTAAGTTCAAATGGCAATTGCAGTTATAGTTTAAAATACATTTAAACTTACTGTTTTTTAAATAAATTTTAAGTATAAATCATGATGTTATGGGACTCATCTAGATAGTATTAAAGGTTACTTTAGGGAAACAAATTAACATATACATCATCTCACCTTTTTTTTTGTGGCAAGAGCAGCTAAAATCTACTCATTTAGTATGAGTCCTATAGACAGTACAGTTTTATTGCCTATAGTCCTCTTGCTGTACATTAGATTTCTAGACTTGGTCATCCTATGTATCTGTTACTTTGTATCACCTGACCTACATCTCTCCATTTTTTCCCATCCTCCTTCCCTTGGTAACCTGTCTCTGCATATTTGAAAATTTATTTCTAGATTTCACATGTGAGTGAGATAATGCAGTATTTTTCTTTCTGTGTTTGGCTTATTTCACTAAGCATAAAGTGAAATACTCGTTCATGTTGTGGCAAATAGTGAATGAATACTCATTCATACTCAGACTCATTCATGTTGTAGCAAATGGCAAGATCTTGTTCTTTTTAGGGCTGATTAATATTCCATTATCTATGTAACATAGTTGCTTTATCCATTTGTTAATGGGCAGACATTTAGGTTATTTCCATATCTTGGCTACTGTAAATAAGGCTGCAATGAACATGGGAATACAGATATCTTTATGAGGTGATGGTTTTACTTCCTTTTGGTATATGCCCAGAAAAGGGATTGCTGGATCATATGGTAGTTCTATGCTTAATTTCTTTAGAAACTTCCATACTGTTTTCCATAATGGCTATACTGATCTATATTTCCACCAACAATGTATAAGAGTTCCCTTTTCTCCAGACACTAACCAACATTTATCTTTGGACTTTTTGACCATAGCCATCCTAATGGGTGTAAGGTGGTATCTCACAGTGATTTTGATTTGCATTTATTTGATAATTAGTGATGTTGACCACGTTTTCTTATATATGTTAGCAATTTTTATGTCTTCTTTGGAGAAATGCCTATACTTTTTTTTGTTTTGCCAGTTTTCTAATTGTGTTATTTTTTTTTCCACTGTTGAGTTGTATGTGTTCTTTATAAATTTTGGAGATTAATTCATTATCAGATGTATGGCTTACAAATATTTTTTCCCAATCCATAGGCTGCCATTTCATTTTGTTGATTACTTTCTTTGCTATACAGAAGCCTTGCAGTTTGATGCAGTTCCATTCACTTATTTTTTACTTTTGTGGTCAGGGCTTTTGGTGTAGTATCCAAAAAATCATTACCAAGACCAAAGTCCAAGAGATTTCCTCCTATGTTCTCTTCTAGAACTTTTATAGTTTTCTGGTATTATATTTAGGTCTTTTTAAAATCAATTTTGAGTTGACTTTCTTGTATGGTGCTCTTTTGAGCATGGAAATCTAGTTTTCCCAGAACCATTTATGAAGAGACTATCATTTTTCCATTGTGTCATCTTAGTGTTCTCATAAAAAATTAGTTAACCATACACATTTGGATTTATTTCTGGGCTCTCTAGTCTGATCCAATGGTCTATGTGTCAGATTTTATGCCAGAATCATACTGTTTTAATTATTATGGCTTTATAATGTAATTTTAAAACAGGAAACATAACCCCTGAAACCTTGTTTTTCTTTTCAAAAATTGTTTTGGCCATTCAGCGTCTCATGGTTTTATATAAATTTTAGACTTGTTTTTTTCTATTTCTGTGAAGATTGCCATTAGGATTTCGATAGGTATTTTTTTGAATCTGGATATTGCTTTGGGAAGTATTAGCATTTTAACAACGTTAATTCTTCTAATCCATGAACATGGGATATATTTTCATTTATTTGTGTCTTCTTTAATTTCTTTCATTAACATTTTGTAGTTTTCAGTATGAAGATCTTTCATTTCTTTGGTTAAATTTATTCCTAGGTATTTTATTTTATTTTTTGATGCTATTGTAAATGGAATTTTTTTTTTATTTCTTGAGTTAGGTTGTTATTTGTGTATAGAAATGCTATTGATATTTGTATGTTGATTTTGTATCCCGCAACGTTATTGAATTTATTAGTTCTAAAAATTTTCTGTAGAATCTTTGGGTTTTTTAATATATAAGATCATATCAACTGCAAATAGAGATAATTTTGCTTTTTCCTTTCTGATTTGGGTGCCTTTTATTTCTTTTTCATTATGATTGCTCTTGCTAGTACTTCCAGTATTATGTTGAAAAGAAGTGTTGAGAGTGATATGCCACTCTAGATATACCTCTACTAGAAGATACCTTCTACCAAATCTTAGTGGAAAAACTTTCAGTTCTTTTTTTTCCATTGATTATAATGTTAGTTGTGGGTTTTTCATAAATGGCTAATGCCTTTTATTTTGTAGAGAAATTTTCCTTCTATACTGAAACTGTTGAGTTCTTATTGAGAAAACATGTTGGACTCTGTCGAATGCTTTTTCCACATTAATTGAGATGATAATGTCAATTTTATTTTTCATTTTGTTAATGTGATGTATCGCAGTGATTGATTTACATATGTCAAGCCAGCCTTGCATGCCAGGGACAGATCTCATTTGGACATGATGTATAATCTCTCCGATGTGTTTTTGGATTTGGTTTACTACTATTTTATTGAGGATTATGGCATCAATGTTATTCGGATAAACTGGACTGTCACTTCTTTTCTTGAGATTTATTTGTCTCATTTAGGTGTTAAGGTGATGCTGACCTCATAAAATGTGTTTAGAAGTATTCCCTCTAGCTCTATTTTTTGGTAGAATTGAAGTATTAGTATTAATTCTTTGAGTGTTTGGTAGAATTCAGTGAAGCCATCTGGTCCTGGGATTTTCTTTGTTGAAAGGTTTTTGGTTACTCCTTCAATATATTTGTTATTGTTCTGTTTGGGCTTTTTATTTCTTCCTGGCTCAATCTTGGTAGGCTGTATTTTTCTAGGAATTTATTCATTTCCTCTAGGTTATCCATTTTGTTGGCATGCTTTGGCATTCAGTTGTTCATAATAGTCACTTATGATCCTTTTTATTTCTGAGGTATCTGTTGTAATTTCTTCACTTTCATTTTTATCTTGTTGGTGTCTTCTCTTTTTTCTTTAATTAAAGTTTTGTAAATTTTGTGGGGTTTTTTTTGCAAAAATCAACTTTTATTGATTCTGTGGTTTTCTGTTCTTCATTTGATTCATTTCTGTTCCAATTTTATTTCCTTCTCTCTACTAATTTTGAGTTTAGTTGTTCTTCTTTTCCTAGTTTCTTGAGGCATAATGTTAGACTATTTATTTGCAATCTTTCTTCTGTTTTGTTAAGTAGGCATTTATTGCTATAAAGTTCCCTCTGAGAACTGCTTTTGCTGCATCACGTAGTTTTGGTATGTTGTGCTTCCATTGTCATTCCTCTCAATATATTTTTAAATTTCCCTTTTGATTTCTTCTTTGACCCATTGATTATTCAGGAACATGTTGTTTAATTTTACATAGTTGTAAATTTTCAAGATTGCTCCTATTATTGACTTCTATTTTTATACCATCATTGTCTGAAATGATGCTAGGAGTCTGTTGCTCTGAGGCACACTGGTTCAAGGGGCTGAGATACAGCTGTGGTTCTTCTGACCCTGATAGGCAGAGCACAGTACTGATATGGCTCTGGGGAAGAAGGAATGCCCTGGGGAGCAGGGCACAACTGCAATTCAGGACCTGGAGCCAACAGGGCATAACAGCAGATCAGGCTCCAGGGCACGAAGTACCAGGTGGTGGTGACTCTGAAGCCTGGGATGGCGGAACAAGGCAGTAGCCCAGGCTCTGTGAGGCCAGGTGCAGAAGCAGCAGCAATGTCCCAGGAATGGCAAGATGCTGCCGGGGTTTGGGCCCTGGAAGGTGAGGAATGGTGCTGTAATGATTGCATCCCAGAGAGGTGGGGTGCCTCAGCAGCTCAAACTGTGAGGGCTAGTCCAGTTCCAAGTCAGTGGGGCATTGTAGCTGTTTGGCCTAGAAGGCAAGGTGGCACGGCTCAGCCCCAAAAAGCACGATAACACATCAGGGTAGTGGATTGAGTCTACGTATCAGTATATTTTCAGTGGAGTCTCTGGATTCCAGGGGGTGGGATCAGTCGAGCTTCTGGATCCCCAGGGGTAGGGTGCCATGTCAGTTGTGGTGCTGGAAGGCACAGCTTCTCTGGTGTGCAAGATACTCAGCTCCTTCAGGTGGTGGTGTGCTGCCTCCCCTATAAAACGGGGTGAGTGGCAACTGCTCTGGGGTGCTGGAGGTACCTAGGGGCCAGGATACTGCCTCAGTTATAGTGCTGGGGCATGACTGTGTCAATAGTTTGATGCCTTAGTTCTCTACGGCCAGGGCACCAGTTTAGCTCAGCCTGAAGGGGAGGGTGCACCAGCAACTAGGATGGGGAAAATGGAGCGGCTCTGCAGTAGCTTGGTCTTCACAGGTAGGGCATAGCAGGAACTTGGCTGGGAGTGGGGAGTTGGGAAGGAATGGTAGCTACTGGCAGTCGTTGTGCAGTAATGGCTGAACCTTAGGGATGGAGGAATGCAAAGGGCTACTCGCCCCCAGCAGGACACTCTAGGTAGCTTTGGTTCCCATATGCTACAGAGCAGCACAGGGCATGTGGAGGTGGGGTGGCAGGGTAGGGCACAGTATCTGCTCCTTTTCTGAGTGTAACTCAGGGTACGGATTGCAGGGAGCTCCCTCAGCAGTGCTCAGAGCCTATGAGGGCTGCAGGAGTCTCCAGTAGCAAAGACTGCAGTTGTCCACAGTGGCAATAGGTGCTGCTGGCGTCCTCTTGCTTACCTTTTTTCTACAGGGAGAAGCCCCTCCTGGTTCCTAACTGATCCTGCCTACGGGATGGGGTGGTGAAGACAAGCCCTTTCCTTCTCTTATCTGTGTGGCCTTCTTGAATTTCTGTGTTCTACAAGATTTCTGCTGTACAGTTGTTTTGCTGTTCGCTGGTGCTCTCCTTTAGTTATATTGGTGGTAACGTAAATTGTTATTTTGAGGCATTTTGGTGTGGCAGGGAGGAAAGTTCTAGGAGCTTCTAGTTAGCCATTTTGCTGATGTCTCCTATGGTTCTTAATGTATCAATTTTAATTTAAAATATTACAATAGCTCCTCACTTTGAGAAACTAGAGAATAAATGCTAATTTTGGCAATCATAATTTTAGTCTCTAAGCGCATACTCTTATCTTCATTGTTTCAAACCTAGAAAGACTGATGCACAATTTTTTTGTTATTTTGTGCTGTAACAGTACTCCTAAGTTCATTGTCTGAAGATACATCAGTTACACTGCTAAAAATGCAACCAAGGAACTAGCATCCCATAGTTACTGGTCAAGAACACAAATTTAAACATTTAAATTTCTAGTAGACCACTTTATTTCCTTATCTTAAGTGACAAAAAAGAAACTTTGCTTAAAAGCAAAAATTGTTAAAATGAAAGATGCACTCTTGCTTTGTTCCACTTCACCTTCAGGCAGCATCAACCACTATATTTTAATTTTCAATCCCTCTTCTCATTAAAATGCAAAGAAAGGAATAAATGTCGTCAGTCTAACTGCTGTACAAACAGGAAAACAGATCCACTAGAAGGTGGTGCTCCTTTCCACTTTGACAGTGGAAACCTATCTCATATTGATTAAGCAATTATGTAGCTGAATTTTTTTCTTATTTTTGAATCATAATGTCCCTTATGGCATTATATTAAAAATTGTCCATGGCAAGGGAATAAGGGAGAAGAATGGGAATGAAGTATATTTTCCTACTCACCCTAATTGTAGCCAACTGGCAGAAAATACCAGACATGTCAGCATATCACCCCGCTCTGGCTCAGAAGAGAAGTAAATAGTCTCCATTCCCATGTAGTCCCCAAGCACCAAAATGATTTCTGAGGATAAAGTGTGAACTCTCATGCGCGCACAGTCTCCAGCATGCACAGAGACTGCTGGATATGGGTTGTTTCAATTCCTCCTTTAACATGTGATCATCAGTCTGTCTCACTTCTTACAAAGAATTTTGGGAAGTGAGCCTTTGCAGTACCCTGCGCCTGTCTTAATTCAAAGTATAAAGATCAGGAGACACTAACAGTTCTAAAAAATTTCTCAGGATGGGGTGGCAATGAAGTTTGCCTGGCGACAGAGTGATTTAGGAACAATGCATGGGGTTTTCTTTCTGCTTTGGAAACTGAAAAGTTGTTTTTCTTTATTTTTTTCTGTTATTGGTAAATTTTATTAATAATATCTAAAGTATTAGAAATCTTTGGATCTGATTATGATTCTGGTCCAAAAAATGTGTAATCCCCAGTGAAGAATAAATTAAAAGAGCCAACTCCTTTCCAAAACTGAATGGATTGGCTAGGAAACTTGTCCTTCACCCAGCTTTTTTCACTTAAGCCATATACTTTAAGAGTAACTTGTTTCCTTTATCAGTCAGGGTCCTTGCAAGAAACAGCTGCCACATTCAAAGCATATAATTTGAGGGTTGTTTAAAAAAAGAGACCATTTACAAACATATGGGTAGGACACAGAGAAACCACGAGGGATGGTGTAGTACTTGAGGTAAATAATAGTAGGTAACCACTTCCACCCTAGTCCTAAGGGGTTCAGGGGAAGAAACTGCTACTGGGACAGGGAAGAAGAGAGAACTGGGTGAAAGGTCTCCTCGTAGGAGCTGGGATCCTCATTTAAGGAACAAGGCCAGCCCACGGCAACCAGCAAAGAGGAAATGCGGAAAACAAATGTCTGGACCTCATTATCCTCTTTCCCTGGGTCTCCTACCAGTGTCCTCACTGGCCAACCCTACCAACTCTCCCAAGGCCAGGGAGCCCAATGATCCTGTGCTTAAGTCAGCCTCTTGGTGTGCAGAGCATAGAGGAAAGAATGAATGGAGCAACCAGAAGAGATTTAGCACATTTATTTTAAATCAACTAGTATTTATGCAACAGCTACATTTGAGGAAATTCCCATTTCCATAACTTCATCATACACATGAATCGAAAGCCAAGGACAATTGTCCTACGGAAATTTCATCTCTAGGTTGTAAGGGGTTGCTATGAGGAAGTGTAAATAACTTGAAATTTGCAATCATAACGTGTATTCCAATATTGGCTTCATCATGTATGAATTGTATAACTTTGAATGAGCCACTTCTGATTCCGGGTACTCAGTGGTATCTATCAGAATGGTGATGATAGTCATATGGTTTTTCACTTCTGTCACAGAATTGTTGCTAGTACAAAATTATCTAGTGTATATAAAAATATTCTATGAACAATAATAAACTTTAATTTTAATTTGCTTTGGAAAATTTCCTCTGAATCTATGACATCTTTACTTCTTTACAAGTCAAACTTTCTTTTTTTTGAAAAGGAGAGATACTATTGTCAAAGTTGTTTGGTCATTTAACAGTTTACAAGTCTGTGTTTTATGGAAGTAAATAAGTGCTCAGAATGTATACAAAGACTTTCCCCGGGGAATTTCCAATTTCCTCCATCACATCAGGTGCATCTTA
Source organism: Homo sapiens (assembly GCF_000001405.40). Classification (NCBI taxonomy): domain Eukaryota; kingdom Metazoa; phylum Chordata; class Mammalia; order Primates; family Hominidae; genus Homo; species Homo sapiens. The sequence continues at coordinate 122,219,139 of NC_000005.10, read as the reverse complement.
CAAATAATGTCATATATAGAAAGAATTCTTTGCTCATTAATTACATGCAGTTACCTTCAGAGAGAGGGTCTGACTTGCCAAGTATACTACAGATCTGGCTTTAGCTAGGGAAGCAAACAGATGATGAAACAGGCATTGCATTAAGGACCTTTGGGCATTGTCTTCCCAGCTATCTCCCTCTGAATCTCTGAGTTGGTTCCAGAGGTTGTGGAAAGTCATGGAGAGTGCAATACATAGGTACTTTGGGATGACTGTTCTGGGACTAGTCCAGGAACAAGAGAGGATTCTAATTTGGGAGACTTTAACAAACCTCTCTCAGATATACAACAGATAGACAAAAAATATGTATGATTATATAGAAGATTTGGAAAAAATAATACATCTAAACAAACAAATATGCATTTGTGAAAAGAACATTTTTTTCCAAACACAGAAGGTTCATTCAAAGTAGATCAGGTATTCAGCTAAAAATAAAATTTTAATAAATCCCTCAAATCAGAAAGTATAATGCCACATCTTCAAACCAAAATGTAACAAAATAAAATTTAAAACTCCTAAAGGACAGATAAAAAGAGAGAAACCAAGATGAGATAGTCAATTCACTTGGAAACTTGAAAACATACACAGGAAAATAATTTTTTAAAAATCTAGGTTTAAAACTGTATAGTAAAATAGAAATTAAATTTAAATAAACTAAATGTTATAAGCTCATGAAAGAATGAAAAAATACACCTAAGGAATGTAAGAGAGAATTCAAAGGATAGAAATATAAACTAATTAAATAGAAAATAGAACACGATAGAATACATAAGTAAAGTAAAAAGTTGCTGTATTAGTTCATTCTCACCCTGCTATAAAGAACTACCTGAGACTGGGTAATATATGAAGAAAAGAGGTTTAATTGACTCACAGTTCCACACGCTGCACAGGATGCATGGCTGGGAGGCCTTAGGAAACTTACAATCATGGCAGAAGGTGAAGGGGAAGCAAGCACATCTTCACATGGCATATCAGGAGACACAGATCAAAGGGGAAAGTGCTACACACTTTTAAACAACCAGATCTCCTAAGAACTCACTCACTATCATGAGAACAGTAAGGGGGAAATCCACCTTTATGATCCAGTCACCTCCCACCAGGTCCCTCCCCCAACAATGGGAATTACAATTTGACATGAGAATTGGGTGGGAACACAGAGCCAAACCATATCAGTTGCCTCTTTGAAAATGCCAAATAAATAAACAAACCTTTGGCAATCTGATTAACACTAAAAAAAGTATAATAATAATAAAACCCAAACTACTAATTCAGGAACTTTTAAAATAAGAGAATAGTTTTACACAAAGTAATTTTAAAAACCAGAATAACTGACATTCCTAGAAAAGTATACATTAATGAGATTTGCATCAAGAAATTAAAAATCAGAATAAACCAGTACCACAGACAAAATGGAAAATATAGTCAAAAGCCAGGTGCAGAGTATTTTATGAGTGGATTCTACAAAATCAGACCAGGATACTAAAAGAAGAGAACACAATAGTCTTCTTATAAAACTAGATGCAAAAACATTAAATAAAATATTAACACTTTTAATGGAGAACTTCACTAAAAAATAATATATATCATGATCAAAAAGGGTTTAAAATAGTACTGCTAAATATTGAAAAATTGATAAACATGTAGGTCAATAGAACAGTATAGAGCATCCAGAAATGTGTGCATGGGTATAAATATAGTTTATATTAAAAGAAGCCATTTCAAATCAGTGAAAAAATGATGGACTAAGCAAAAAGTGGTATCAGAACAACTGAGTAACCATTTTCAAAAGTTGGATTCCTACTTCATACAATGTTTACTTTTTCAAATTTTGTTTTATTGTGGTAAGAACAGTCAAGATGAGATCTACCTTCCCAGATTTTTAAGTGTACAATGCAGTGTTGTTGGCAATAGGTAGAATGTTACAAAACAGATCTCTAGAACTTGTCTTGCTTAAGTGAAACTTTATGCCCTCTGATTAGTCATTCCTTATTTCTCCCTCCCCCAAACTGAGCCCCTGGCAATGACCATTCCACTCTTTGATTCCAAAAATTTGACTATTTTAAATACCTCGTGTGAGTGAAATTATACAGTATAGCAGATCCCATGAATATGGGATGTCTTTCCATTTGTTTGTGTCTTCTTTCTTTCATGAATGTTTTGTAGTTTTCAGAATGCAAGTCTTTAACCTTCTTAGTTATGTTTATTCCTAAGTGTTTTATTCATTTTGATGTTACTGCAAATGGTATTGTATTCCTAATGTCCTTTTCAGATAGTTTGTCAGTGTATAGAAATACAATTGATTTTTGAATGTTGATTTTGTATCCTGCAACTTTGCTGAATTTGTTTATTCTAACAGGTTTTTAATTGAGGATCAGTTATATACAAGATTATGTCATCTACAAACAGGAAAAATTTACTTCATTATTTGCAATTTGCATGTCTTTTTCTTATTTTTTCTTGCCTAATTGTTCTGACTGGAACTTCTAGCACTACATGGAAGAAAAGTGGGTAGAGTGGGCATTCTTGCCTTGTTCTTGATCTTAGAGGAAAAGCTTTTAGATTTTTGCTGCTGAATATGATGTTAGCTGAGGGCTTGTCTTATGTGGCCTATGTCTTGTTGAGTTACTTTCATTCTATTCTAAGTTGGTTGACAGTTTTTATCATCAAAGAGTGTTAAATTTTGTGACACACTTTTTCTATATCTATTGAGATGATCATGTGATTTTAATCCTTTTTTTGTTAATGTGGTGTATCACATTAATTTATTTTTGTATGTTAAACCATTTTTGCATCCCAGGGAGAAATCCCACTTATTCAGGTTGTGTGATCCTTTTAATGTACTGTTGGAATAGGTTTGCTAGTATTTTGTTGAGGAGTTTGCTTCTATATTTACCAAGAATATTGGCCTGAAATTTTCTTTTCTTGTGGTATCTTTGTCTGGCTTTGGTATCGGGGTAATGCTGGCCTCATAAAGTGAACTTGAAAGTGTTCCCTTCTCTTCTATTTTTTGGAAGACTTGAGAAGAATTGGCATTAATTCTCCTTTAAATGTTTTGGAAGAATTCACCAGTGAATCTATCTAGTCCTGGATTTTTCTTTGTTAGAAAGTTTTTGATTATCAATTGTATGTTCATACTGGTTTTAGGTCAGATTTTCTATTTCTTCATAAATTAGTCTTGATAAGTTGTATCTTTCCAGGAATTAATCCATTTCTTCTAGGTTAACCAGTTTGTTGGATATATTTGTTCATAGTAGTCACTTATGATTTTTTTTTTATTTCTGTGGCATCAGTTGTGTTGTCTCCTCTTTTGTTTCTGATTTTATGTATTTGAACCTTCTCTTTCCTCAGTTAGTTTGGGTAAGTGTTTGCAAATTTTATTTTATCTTTTCAGAAACCAACTCTTAGTTTTGCTGATTTTTTTCTATTTTTCCTCTATTTCATTTATTTCTGCTCTAATTTTTGTTATTTTCTTTCATCTGCTAATTTTAGGCTTAGTTTGTTCTTTTATTTCTAGTTCCTTATAAAGTTAGCTTGCTTATTTTCAATATTTCTTATTTTTAATGTAGGTGTTAATCACAATAAATTTCCCTCATAGTATTACTTTTGCTGCATCTCATATTATAGTATGTTGTGTTTTCATTTTTGTTTGTCTCAAGGTATTTATTTTCTTTTTGATTACTTCTCTGAATCCATGGTTGTTGAAGAGTATATTGTTTAATTTCTACATATTTGTGAACTTCCTGGTTTTCTTCCTGCTATTGATTTCTATTTTCAGTCAGAAAAATACTTGGTATTATTTTTATCTTATTCAATTTGTTAAGAGTTGTTTTGTGACCTAACATGTGCTCTAGGCTGAATAAAGTTCTGTGTATGACTGAGGAAAATGTGTATTCTGGTGATGTTAGGTGGAATGTTCTCTACATATCTGGTATGTTCATTTGGTCTATAGTGTTGTTTAAGTTATCTGTTTATTGATCTTCTGTCTGGATGATCTATCCATTATTGAAAGTGGTATATTGAGGTATCCTACTATTATTGTATTACTACTTATTCTTTTTCAACCTGTCAATATCTGTTTTATATATTTAGGTGCTCTAACGTTAAGTGCATATATATATGTATGGTCATAACTTCCCGGTGGTTTGATCCTTTTATCATTATATAATGTTTTTCTTTGCCTCTTGTGACAATTTTTTACTTAAAGTCTATTTTGGATAATCTAAATATAGCCACCTCTACCCTTTTTTGGCAACCATTTGCATATAACACCTTTTTTCATTCTTTCCTTCCAGCCTATATTGTCCTTAAATCTAAAGTGGATTTTTTTATAGATAGCATATAGCTGTGTCTGTTTTTTTTTTTTTAAATCCATTCAGCAATTCTATGTATTTTGATTGGGGAGTTTATTTCATTTGCATTTAAAGTAATTATTGATATGGAAGGATTTACTGTAACTATTTTTAATCACTTTATGTTTGCCTTATTGTTCTTTCATCTGTCTTTTCATCTCTTGTTGTCTTCCTTTGTGTTTTACTGATTTTTTTTGTATAGAAATGCCTTGAATTTTTCTCTTTTCCTTTGTGTAATTTTTATTTATATATATTTTTATTTAATTTTTTAATTTTTATAGTTACATAGTTGTGTATATTCTATTCTTTGTTTTGTCATTACCTTGGAGTTATTTAAAATATCTTATAGTTATAACAGACTATTTTAAGCTGATAACAACTGAAATTAAATCACATACAAAGTTGATCAATACATCAAATTGATCAATAGAATGAAATGCAACCCAGAAACAAATTCATGTATGTGTAAATATTAAATATATATATATATAAATATATATTTGATTTATAGTTAAAAGTGGCACTTCAAATGAGTGGAAAAGTTGTGTACTATACAATAAATGGTCCTTGGACCATTCATCGTCTATTAAAAAAAATCAAAGTCACTCCATGACAAAAACAAAAAACAAAAAAGAAATTTGGATAGTTGGGGTTTAATGGTTATAGAGTTTCAGTTTTACAAGATGAAAATATTCTGGATAGTGGATACACAACAATGTGAAAATATTTGACACTATGACACTACTAAGTTGTACGTTTTAAAGTGGTTAAGAAACATATTTTACTACAACTAAAATTTTTTACAAATAAATTGTATTTGGACAACTAAGTAAACAAGATAAAATAAACAAAGCCAAAGAACTTTGAAAGTGCCAAAAGAGACAAAATAGACTATATATAGTAAATAAATGTGTGTGCGTGTGTATTTCTCCTACCTTGTGGTGAAAAAGACCTTATTGAACAAAACACAAAATGTTTCCTGGTGAAAATACCAAAGTTTTCTTCTATATAAAAATTAAAAACTTTTTGGGAGTTTTGGTATTGGCATAGCACATAAATTCATTATGTTCCATCCCTCCCACTGATTACAGCTTTAAAAACTCTGTAGAAAATACAAAATAACAACTACCTGTAGCCATATTTGGAAGAGAGTCAAAAGTTGGAGAAGCGACAGAGATGGTTCTCATTTTTTTCTCTTTCCTGTTGTGGGTCTGCCCTATTGGTAGGCTCTGGCCTTCATCTGCTACAGTAGAAGCAGTAAAACGCCAAGAAATATCCCATATTTCTGGCCAGAGGAAGGAGGAAAATGAGTTTCCAGAAGGTGGAGAGTGAAAAAAGAATTTCAGAATGAAAAGCTGGAGAGGAGCAAAACAGTAAGCAAGCCATGGATGATGAGAAAATATTGGCAAAACATATATCAGACAAAGAACTTGTATCCAGCATAATGAAAGCACTCATACATCTCAGTTATAAAGACTGCAGACCCAATAAGAAAATGAGCAATTTGAAAAGTTACTTAGCAAAAGAAGCTATACAAAAAATGGCCAATAAGTACATGAATTGATGCTCAATATCAATGGTCATCAGAGAAATGCAAATTAAACTCACAATGAGATACAACTATGTACTCACTAGAATGGCTAAAACTAAAACTGACCATACCAAATGTTGACTGAGATGTGGAACAACTGAGACTCTTAGACTACTACTGGCAAGTACATAAAATGGTATAATTACAGTTGAAAAGATAACTACTGAGTAGTGAACCTTATCTGTTGCCATTTATAGTAATAGTTTTTAAAGAGTATATGTTTGCTCTCCAAATTCTCAGTTTCCATTCCCACTCAAGTCAAGTTTTTTATCTTTATACTTTCACCTAAACCTTCCTTGCCAAAATGATCAATGACCTTCACAATAGTGAAATTAGCAGTCAATTTCCAGTCCTCATTTTCATCAATATCTAATTTGACATACATGAGCACTTCTCAAAAGGTTTTCTTCACAAGATTTTGGAACACCACACTCACAGTTTTCTCCTACCATACTATTGTACTAGTCTGTTCTCATACTGCTGATAAACACATACCTGAGACTGGGCGATTTATAAAGAAAAAGAGGTTAAATGTACTCACAGTTCCACATGGCTGGAGAGGTCTCACAATCATGGTGGAAGGCAAGGAGGAGCAAAGTCACTTCTCACATGGCAGCAGGCAAGAGAAAGCTTGTGCAGGAGAACTCCCATTTATAAAGCCATCAGATCTCGTGAGACTTATTCACTACCATGAGAACATGATTCAATTATCTCCACTTGGCCTCACTCTTGACCTGTGGGGATTATTACAATTCAAGGTGAGATATGGGTGGGGACACAGCCAAACCATTTCAACTGTCTTCTCCTACTCAGTGTCCTTGCAGGATATTCTCCCATCCCAAACTCCAAAATGTTGGAGGATGACAGGGCTCAACCCTGGACCTCTTCTCGTTTCTATCTCTAATTATTTCCTAAGTGATCTTATCCATATCTTGGCTCCCTAATTTAAAACTTACCCCAGACTCTCCTCTGTATTTCAGATTCATATACCCAAACTTGATTGTATAACTGGGATCACACATTTAATTTTTTCAAAAACTAACTTTTTCAAAAACTAACTTTTTATCTTCCTCTAGCTCTCTTCCAAGTTCTCAGCTCAATAAGTGAACTTCCATTCACCCAGTTGCTCAGGCCAACATCCTAGAAATTTTCCTTGACTCTTCTCTTCCTTCAGAACTTACATCCAACCCATCAGGAAATCCAGCCAGTTCCATTTCTACAATATATTTTCAAAATGACTACTTCTTGCCACTTCTACTACCATCAACTTGGTCCAAGCCACCAACCTTTCTCTCTTTGACTACCTGCAATGGTCTCCTGGCTGATCAGGTCAGCCTCCTCCACTCATTTTTTTTTTGTTTGTTTGTTTTCTGAGACAGGGTCTTGCTCTGTCACCCAGGCTGGATTGCAGTGGTGCAACCTCAGCTCACTCACTGCAATCTGTGCCTCCCAGGCTCAAGCGATCCACCCACCTCAGCCTCCTAAGTAGCTGGGACTACAGGCACATGCCACGGTGCCCAGTTAATTTTTGTATTTTTGTAAAGATGGGGTTTAGCCTTGTTGCCCAGGCTGGGCTTGAACTTCTGAGCTTAAGCGATCTGGCTGCCTTGGCCTCCCAAACTGCTGGAATTATAGGTATGAGTCACTGCACCTGGCCTACCTCTCTTGTTTCTTTATAGTTTATATTCAAGCGGGAGGTACAAGGATTCCTTAAAATGAAGATATCATGTTCCTCCATTGCTGAAAATCCTCCAGTTTTTTCCCATCTCATTGCAAAATAATTCAAAGACTTTACCATGGCCTTCAGGGTTCTATCTGATCAGGTTCCTGGTTCCTCTACTGTATTTCTTTCTTCCATAGGCTCACTCTTTTCCAGACAATCTGGCCTTGTAGTTCCTAAGTCAGGCCACACATGTGTTCCTGTCTTAGAATTTTTGCAATGGCTGTTTTATCTCAAGGTCTTTTCCTCTCGGTCTTGTAGTCTTCATTCTCTTCTTTATATACAGTGCTCAAATAGCTCTTCTCAAGACACTTTTCTAATGACCCTGTCTAAATTGAACCCTCAATATCCCATCACTCTTATTCCCTTTTCCTATTTTGTTTTTCTGCAAAACAATTTTATTTTTATGTCCCCCTTCCATCCCTTCAATGAAAGTCCCAAGAGTTCTAGGATTTTCTGTGTTTTACTTACTGCTATATTCTCAATATCTAGACAGTGTCTGGAACATGGTAGAATTCAAGAAATACTTGTTTTCTGTTGCTTTAGGGACAGCACTATTAGGCTGGGTGCAGTGGCTCACACCTGTAATCCCGACACCTTGGGAGGCCGAGGTGGCCAGATCACATGAGGCCAGGAGTTCACAACCAGTCTGCCCAACATGGAGAAGCCCTGCATCTACAAAAAATACAAAAATAAGCCAGACCTTGTGGTGGCACACCTGTAATCCCAGTGACTCAGCAGGCTGAGGCACGAGAATTGCTTGAGCTCAGGAGGTGGAGGTTGCAGTGAGCCAAGATTGCACCTCTGCAGTCCAGCCTCAGCTACAGAGTGAGACTCTGTTTCAAACAAACAAACAAACAAACAAACAGAACAGCATTATTATTTTCTTTTTTTTATTATTATATTTTAAGTTTTAGGGTACCTGAGCACAACATGCAAGTTTGTTACATATGTATACATGTGCCATGTTGGTGCACTGCACCCATTAACTCATCATTTACATTAGTTATATCTCCTAATGCTATCCCTCCCCCCTCCCCCCACCCCACAACAGGCCCCAGTGGGTGATGTTCCCCTTCCTATGTCCAAGTGTTCTCATTGTTCAATTCCCACCTATGAGTGAGAACATGCGGTGTTTGGTTTTTTGTCCTTGCGATAGTTTGCTGAGAATGATGGTTTCCAGCTTCACCCATGTCCCTACAAAGGACATGAACTCATCCTTTGTTATGGCTGCATAGTATTCCATGGTGTATATGTGCCACATTTTCTTAATCCAGTCTATCATTGTTGGACATTTGGGTTGGTTCCAAGTCTTTGCTATTGTGAATAGTGCCGCAATAAACATACGTGTGCATGTGTCTTTATAGCAGCATGATTTATAGTCATTTGGGTATATTCCCAGTAATGAGATGGCTGGGTCAAATGGTATTTCTAGTTCTAGATCCCTGAGGAATAGCCACACTGACTTCCACAATGGTTGAACTAGTTTACAGTCCCACCAACAGTGTAAAAGTGTTCCGATTTCTCCACATCCTCTCCAGCACCTGTTGTTTCCTGACTTTTTAATGATTGCCATTCTAACTAGTGTGAGATGGCATCTCATTGTGGTTTTGATTTGCATTTCTCTGATGGCCAGTGATGATGAGCATTTTTTCATGTGTCTTTTGGCTGCATAAATGCCTTCTTTTCAGAAGTGTCCATTCATATCCCTTGCCACTTGTTGATGGGGTTTTTTTCTTGTAAACTTGTTTGGGTTCTTTGTAAATTCTGGATATTAGCCCTTTGTCAGATGAGTAGACTGCAAAAATTTTCTCCCATTCTGTAGGTTGCCTGTTCACTGTGATGGTGGTTTCTTTTGCTGTGCAGAAGCTCTTTAGTTTAATTAGATCCCATTTGTCAATTGTGGCTTTTGTTGTCATTGCTTTTGGTGTTTTAGACATGAAGTCCTTGCACATGCCTATGTCCTGAATGGTATTGCCTAGGTTTTCTCGTAGGGTTTTTATGGTTTTAGGTCTAACATGTAAGTCTTTAATCCATCTTGAATTAATTTTTGTATAAGGTGTAAGGAAGGGATCCAGTTTCAGATTTCTGCATATGGCTAGCCAGTTTTCCCAGCACCATTTATTAAACAGGGAATCTTTTCCCCATTTCTTGTTTTTGTCAGGTTTGTCAAAGATCAGATAGTTGTAGATGTGTGGCATTATTTCTGAGGGCTCTGTTCTGTTCCATTCATCTATATCTCTGTTTTGGTACCAGTACCATGCTGTTTTGGTTACTATAGCCTTGTAGTATAGTTTGAAGTCAGGTAGTGTGATGTCTCCAGCTTTGTTCTTTTGGCTTAGGATTGACTTGGCAATGCGGGCTCTTTTTTGGTTCCATATGAACTTTAAAGTAGTTTTTTCCAATTCTGTGAAGAAAGTCATTGGTAGCTTGATGGGGATAGCATTGAATCTGTAAATTACCTTGGACAGTATGGTCATTTTCATGATATTGATTCTTCCTATCCATGAGCATGGAATGTTCTTCCATTTGTTTGTATCCTCTTTTATTTCATTGAGCAGTGGTTTGTAGTTCTCCTTGAAGAGGTTCTTCACAACCCCTGTAAGTTGGATTCCTAGGTATTTTATTCTCTTTGAAGCAATTGTGAATGGGAGTTCACTCATGATTTGGCTCTCTGTTTGCTGTTATTGGTGTATAAGAATGCTTGTGATTTTTGCACATTGATTTTGTATCCTGAGACTTTGCTGAAGTTGCTTATCAGCTTAAGGAGATTTTGGGCTGAGACGATGGGGTTTTCTACATATACAATCATGTCATCTGCAAACAGGGACAATTTGACTTCCTCTTTTCTTAATTGAATACCCTTTATTTCCTTCTCCTGCCTCATTGCCCTGGCCAGAACTTCCAACACTATGTTGAATAGGAGTGGTGTGAGAGGGCATCCCTGTCCCGTGCCAGTTTTCAAAGGGAATGCTTCCAGTTTTTGCCCATTCAGTATGATATTGGCTGTGGGTCTGTCATAAATAGTTCTTATTATTTTGAGATACTTCCCATCAATACCTAATTTATTGAGAGTTTTTAGCATGAAGGGCTGTTGAATTTTGTCAAAGGCCTTTTCTGCATCTATTGAGATAATCATGTGGTTTTTGTCGTTGGTTGTGTTTATATGCTGGATTACATTTATTGATTTGTGTATGTTGCACCAGCCTTGCATCCCAGGGATGAAGCCCGCTTGATCATGGTGGATAAGCTTTTTGTTGTGTTGCTGGATTCAGTTTGCCAGTATTTTATTGAGGATTTTTGCATCGCTGTTCATCAGGGATATTTGTCTAAAATTCTCTTTTTTGTTGTGTCTGTGCCAGGCTTTGGTATCAGGATGATGCTGGCCTCATAAAATGAGTTAGGGAGGATTCCGTCTTTTTCTATTGATTGGAATAGTTTCAGAAGGAATGGTACCAGCTCCTCCTTGTACCTCTGGTAGAATTCAGCTGTGAATCCGTCTGGTCCTGGACTTTTTTTGGTTGGTAAGCTATTAATTATTGCCTCAATTTCAGAGCCTGTTATTGGTCTATTCAGAGATTGAAATTCTTCCTGGTTTAGTCTTGGGAGAGTGTATGTGTCGAGGAATTTATCCATTTCTTGTAGATTTTCTAGTTTATTTGCATAGAGGTATTGATAGTATTATCTGATGGCAGTTTGTATTTCTGTGAGATCGGTGGTGATATCCCCTTTATCATTTTTTATTGCGTCTATTTGATTCTTCTCTCTTTTCTTCTTTATTAGTCTTGCTAGCGGTCTATCAATTTTGTTGATCTTTCAAAAAACCAGCTCCTGGATTCATTGATTTTTTTGAAGGGTTTTTGTGTCTCTATCTCCTTCAGTTCTGCTCTGATCTTACTTATTTCTTGCCTTCTCCTAGCTTTTGAATGTGTTTGCTCTTGCTTCTCTAGTTCTTTTAATTGTAATGTTAGGGTGTCAATTTTAGATCTTTCCTGCTTTCTCTGGTAGGCATTTAGTGTTATAAATTTCCCTCTACACACTGCTTTAAATGTGTCCCAGAGATTCTGGTATGTTGTGTCTTTGTTCTCATTGGTTTCAAAGAACATCTTTATTTCTGCCTTCATTTCGTTATGTACCCAGTAGTCATTCAGGAGCAGGTTGTTCAATTTCCATGTATTTGTATGGTTTTGAATGAGTTTCTTAATCCTGAGTTCTAATTTGATTGTACTGTGGTCTGAGAGACTGTTTGTTATGATTTCTGTTCTTTTACATTTGCTGAGGAGAGCTTTACTTCCAACTATGTGGTCAATTTTGGAATAAGTGCGGTGGGGTGCTGAGAAGAATGTATATTCTGTTGATTTGGGGTGGAGAGTTCTGTAGATGTCTATGAGGTCCACTTGGTGCAGAGCTGAGTGCAATTCCTGGATATCCTTGTTAACTTTCTGTCTCGTTGATCTGTCTAATGTTGACAGTGGGGTGTTAAAGTCTCCCATTATTATCGTGTGGGAGTCTAAGTCTCTTTGTAGGTCTCTAAGGACTTGCTTTATGAATCTGGGTGTTCCTGTATTGGGTGCATGTATATTTAGGATAGTTAGCTCTTCTTGTTGAATTGATCCCTTTACCACTATGTAATGGCCTTCTTTGTCTCATTTGATCTTTGTTGGTTTAAAGGCTCTTTTATCAGAGACTAGGATTGCAACCCCTGCCTTTTTTTGTTTTCCATTTGCTCGGCAGATCTTCCTCCATCCCTTTATTTTGAGCCTATGTGTGTCTCTGAATGTGAGATGGGTTTCCTGAATACAGCACGCTGATGAGCCTTGACTCTTTATCCAATTTGCCAGTCTGTGTCTTTTAATTGGTGCATTTAGCCCATTTACATTTAAGGTTAATATTGTTATGTGTGAATTTGATCCTGTTATTATGATGTTAGCTGGTTATTTTGCTCAATAGTTGATGCAGTTTCTTCCTAGCCTTGATGGTCTTTATCATTTGGCGTGTTTTTGCAGTGGCTGGTACCGGTTGTTCCTTTCCATGTTTCGTGCTTCCTTCAGGAGCTCTTGTAGGACAGGCCTCGTGGTGACAAAATCTCCCTGCATTTGCTTGTCCGTAAAGGATTTTATTTCTCCTTCACACTTAGTTTGGCTGGATATGAGATTCTGGGTTGAAAATTCTTTTCTTTTAAGAATATTGAATATTGGCCCCCACTCTCTTCTGGCTTGTAGCGTTTCTGCTGAGACATCAGCTGTTAGTCTGACGGGCTTCCCTTTGTGGGTAACCCGACCTTTCTCTTTGGCTGCCCTTAACATTTTTTCCTTCATTTCAACTTTGGTGAATCTGACTATTATGCGTCTTGGAGTTACTCTTCTTGAGGAGTATCTTTGTGTCATTCTCTGTATTTCCTGAATGTGAATGTTGGCCTGCCTTGCTAGATTGGGGAAGTTCTCCTGGATAATATCCTGCAGAGTGTTTTCCAACTTGGTTCCATTCTGCCCGTCACTTTCAGGTACACCAATCAGACGTAGATTTGGTCTTTTCACATAGTCCCATATTTCTTGGAGGCTTTGTTCATTTCTTTTTATTCTTTTTTTTCTCTAAACTTCTCTTCTTGCTTCATTTCATTCATTTGATCTTCCTTCACTGATACACTTTCTTCCAGTTGATTCAATCGGCTACTGAAGCTTGTGCATTCATCACCTAGTTCTTGTGCCGTGGTTTTCAGCTCCATCAGGTCCTTTAAGGACATCTCTGCATTGGTTTTTCTAGTTAGCCATTCATCTAATCTTTTTTCCACGTGTTTAACTTCTTTGCCATGGGTTCGAACTTCCTCCTTTAGCTCGGAGAAGTTTGATCTTCTGAAGCCTTCTCCTCTCAACTCGACAAAGTCATTCTCTGTCCAGCTTTGCTCCATTGCTGGTGAGGAACTGCATTCCTTTGGAGGAGGACAGGCGCTCTGATTTTTAGAATTTTCAGTTTTTCTTCTCTGTTTTTTCCCCATCTTCGTGGTTTTATTTACCTTTGGTCTTTGATGATGGTGACGTACAGATGGGGTTTTGGTGTGGTTATTCTTTCTGTTTGTTAGTTTTCCTTCTAACAGTCAGGACCCTCAGTTGCAGGTCTGTTGGAGTTTGCCGGAGGTCCACTCAAGACCTTGTTTGCCTGGGTATCAGCAGCGGAGGCTGCAGAACAGTGAATATTGGTGAACAGCAAATGTTGTTGCCTGATCGTTCCTCTGGGAGTTTTGTCTCAGAGGGGTACCTGGCCGTGTGAGGTGTCAGTCTGCCCCTACTTGGGGGGGCCTCCCAGTTAGGCTACTCAGGGGTCAGGGACCCACTTGAGGAGGCAGTCTGTCCGTTCTCAGATCTCAAGCTGTGTGCTGGGAGAACCACTAATGTCTTCCAATCTCAGTTGGAAATGCAGAAATCATCCGTCTTCTGCATCGCTTATGCTGGGAGCTGTAGACTGGAGCTGTTCCTATTTGGCCATCTTGGAGCTCTCAGCATTATTATTTTCTAAAATGTATTATATGGTGCACTTTCATTCTGAAATATGTACTATCTCTCCCTGTTGGGATAGGAGTATACATGCTGCCCATGGAATTCAGGCACAGCTGTTGTCACCTTCTCTAGGCAGAAGCTTCAAGAGCCTAAGCATGTTTCACCATGTCTTCTTTGCCTCCTGCCACAATAACCAGCAATGTTCTAAACAGAGGCTTCTTGCAGCCTAAGCCTCAGAGAAAATGCTATGGATCAAAGCCACAGTCCATCATAGCATGTGTAGTAAATCAACTTTGCTGCATTAAGCCATCGAGATTTTGGGACTATTCATTTTCACAGTATAATCTATCGTTAGTAGTCCAGACACCCAGACAACTATGGACAAAGGGTGGGTCTGAGAGTACCTAAGACGTATTTGACATATTACATGTTTGCCTGAGCTGGCTCTCCCCTAACAATCTAGTGCTTTGCCACCACAACATTTTTTAAAAAAAAAAAAAATTATAAAAAGCCCTAGGATATTTACTTGGGCATGATCAGAGGTCAATATTTTATTGCTTCATGTTTTCATGAAAAATCAATATAGGAAAAAATAACTAAAGTATCTTAAGAATTTGAAAGCTATTTATCAAACATGGCATATCTTACAATTAAATGAGAGTCTTATTAACAACACTGATTCCAAAGTTGTGTCTCAGGCTGATGGAACCTGAATCCTTGGGACTGGTGTCTTCAAATCTGTATTATTTTAAAAATTTCCCAACTGACTCTGATGAAGCCTGGTCAAAAATCAGTGGTTGAGGTAAACATCTCTCTACTTAAGACCCTAGGAGACACGGAGTGACATACAGACCAATAAAAGCCCTTAGTCTACCCTACTGAAAAACCTATCTAAAGATATTCTTTCATAACCTCTCATTGGATCAAAACACTTCACATTTCCAATGGAAATTCTTGCATATATAGGATAACTTTCTATAGAAGATATCTTTGCTTTAGTTTCAGTTGTCATTAAATGGAAATGGTTGACTCTATACAAAATTCTCAAGGCAGTTTCACTTAGATCCATCTTTGTAGAAACAGGACTAAGAATACCATCAAAATATGGTACGATTGTTCTCTGTTTAGGCAATGTGAGACTGACTTGGACTCAGCAGGAGAACTTCCTTCATTAATATAATATGAGGCAATTGCTTACATTATTTTATAAGAGGTAATTCAGGTAAAGTAGTAGCAATCACCAAGACTCCTACAGGAAACACCAGGATTTTATTGCTAAGTGTCAGAAACAGCCAGTGTTGGATGTGAAGAAAGAAATTGAACACCATGTGGATATTTCTAAATGTAGGTAATATAATCAATAAAGTCTTGCTTCTATCATACAAAATGGCTTTTTTACCCTATCCATACCTTTAGCATAGTTCTCTCCCTAATAGGATAGAGAAGTGAAAGAAAAGGGCTGCAGACATTTGAACCTTTTATTTGACCTTGACGGCAGGAGTGAAAGTCTCATAAAGTCAACATGATGAAGGAAAGGATGGTTAGAGATTTAGAGAAAACATACTTCTCTAACAATGCTGTAAAATAAAATCAGAAACCTTATACTAATTTGTAATGTATTTGCTTTTAGGAACAAGAGAAAATAATATTGAACAATCCCTCTCCAAAATGAGCTGTGTAGTAAGGGTCACCAAGCCAGAAGCAATAGCTGAAAGCAATGTGGTTTGCTGGATTGCAAGGATCAGTTCTGTATCCCTTGGCAGCAAGCCTCAACCTCAACCAGATATACATGCAGCATTCAGAGGGAAACAGATAAACATCTACCATTGCTGACAGATGAAGAGAACTGGTCTACCACATCTTGGCTTCTTTACCTTCATTTTTAGTAATGCAAACATAAATGAGACTTTTCTTTCCCATGAAGTAACTAATTACTAGGTGAGTTATTTCAAGTCCTAGCATTACTACAAAGAAAAACAAATTCCTTTCTGGCACCACCTCAAAAGAAGAATTTCAATTGGATTAGCTTCCTTTAATCTAGATGAACATAATAATACCTTTTTTTTTTAACCATCCTTTCGTCGAATCCATTCCTTTCCCATCCTTTCTTCATTCTCACTTAAAAATAGTCTTAGTGACTCAAACAGTCATGTTTGAATTATTTAGAAAACTGAGGCAATAAATACAAATCACTTTACATGCATACAGGGAGAGAAAGGTAGAGACAGACAGATATGATAAACAGACTATTCACTAAAGCTCTAGAACACCAGTTGATCCTGTTTTTTAATTTTTTTTGCTCAAATCAAACCTATGAATTGAATGAAGTGAGAGTTGCCTGTTGAAAGTTTTATTTAGAATGTAACTAACCATTGCTTTATGTGTGCTTTTCCCCCTTCCTTATTTCAACTGGCTTATTTTATAAATTAACAGATTAGGCATTTATCATTGCAGGTGGTAGTCACCTAAATGCAGTCTAAAACATTGCTTGGAAAAATGAGAAAATTATTCCAGGTATTAAGTCTTTCTTATTGCTATAAGAAGTAAAGCCTGCCTCTTTTTTTTCTCAGATTCCCTTCAGCTTCTAATTCCTACATAATAGCCAGCAAACTTTTCAAAGATTGTCACTTTAGCAATTTTTTCTTTTTCTAGAGATCTTCATGAAACCTTTCAAAAATCCAATTTACCCAGGGGAAATATTCTTTTATTTGGGTAAAATTGTGGAGAACGTATATTTTAGTTCTTATTTCTTGTTTACCTGCTAGATCCAAGCCAAAAAAAAAAAAAAAAGAAAAAAGAAAAAAAGAAAAGAATAAAAGCAAAGAAGGATCTCAATTTCTCAATTGTTCAAAAATTTTGTGTTGTTTGCTAACTTGCGCTACTTTTGATATTTGATAATAAAAAAATCCCCCATTACATAATTTTATATCATGCCTCATATATTTCATAGTATTTATTTCCTTCATAGTATTTGTGACTTATTAATTTTATGTAATTATTTCTAATATTTTCTGCCCTAGTAGTGTATAAGTTCCATAAAGACAAAAGCTATGTTTATCTTATTCACCTCTGTGAAAAATATTTTTAAAGTTAATGCATAAATTGATTGGAATAAATGAATGTGTCAGAATGACTGGGCCAATCTGTACAATGGGAGCAGAGACACCTTTTATGTTATTGCTAAACAAAAATGGTCCTGGCCATTTATAGGGCCTTAATCCTTAGTCTATGGATCGAAGATGTGATAACATTTAGAAAGTTGTCTGAAGGTTGCTTTTTTGACAACTTTTAAGACAGTTCCAGAAATAAGGATTCAAGGAGAATGCTGATGGAGTGCAGCTGCTTTTATACCACACGATACAATGAGTTTCTGAGAATTTGAGAAAGCTGTGGGACAGGCTGAGCATGTATAGCATTGCAGTGGCCAACACATTCAGAATGCTGGCAGAAGACACAAGACTCCTGCACAGAGTTGAAGAATAGTTTATTACACATAACAACAGCAGTAACAACATTTCTGTGCTGGTCCCTGAGCCCCACTTCCTCCAGGTCAATGTGAGAAGAGCCATAATACACCCGCACTCACCGTGGGTTATATTACAGGATGGGAATCTCGAGCTCAGGGAAACAGTCTTCTATAATGGCAGTAAGCATGCCTGCCCTTTGCTTTAGAGGGAAACATCATATAAACATTTTTAAAACTATAGCCCAGAAAAAAAGACAATCAGTACATCTTTTGCAAGATGTTCAGACAAGTGAGACACATGGAGAATTGTCCCCCAACATCCTATCTGTGGAAGGTGTTCTCCCTGCCAAGGGCCTTTATTAAATTAACTGATACCAAAGATGCATACAGAGATATCCTCTAGTATCGACATGGCTCCCACACATGCTGAGTCAGGAGGGTGGAATAAGGTGAGCGAAGAGCGAGAAAGCCAGATGTCCAGCTAAGAAAGAAAGGGCAGCTGGTGAATACCCCTTCCATCACCTGGTTCTACTGCATTTGATAGGAGTTAAAGATTGATGCAGAAAACAGGGGTGAGAAAGACCCAAAATATGCTATTCCTTCTCTTGTCAGAATATAGTATCATTTGGGGCAAGCTAAATCACTTCTCTTTCATTTCTTCTTATCTGAAGCTTATGAAAGCCAAAATAACCCTTTCAAAGGCTACTTAATCTCTGCTTAATATGCAGCTTCTTTGTTATCCTCAAAAGCCAAGAAAACACAAGAGCAAGAGTTCAGATATGTCAGGGGTTGCAGGGGTGAAGGAAAGCAAAGAAAAGCCATTTGTCACCTGTCATGTAAGGACCCAGCAGTGCTGACACAGAAGTCCTGTGAATCTGGCTTACTCCTGTTCTTGCTAATGCATTTGTGCTAAAATGAACAATAGTTTCAAGGTTTGGAGTAGAAGAGAGCCTTAGTTGTCCAGGACAATTATGCTTGTTATTTTTATTTTTTTTAAAGCATTACCTGCTTTTGTTGTTTAGAGTGAGGACCCTTTCCATAAAACAGGCCCTCAGGGCACTCAGGTAATGTGTAAAGGTTTGTTTTGCAGGGAATAATAAAAAGATCTTGAGGATTTATAAGCTGTTCCATCCATTAGAAACTATGTAGATCTGGCATTTAGAGTGAATTATTCTTACTAAGCAAAAATTGAGAAAATTGCTTAAGTCTCACCAGAAGGTACCTGTAGTCTATCAGACACTAAGACACTCTATAAGCTATAAACTTAAGAGAAAAGAAATTGCATGTCTGCATGGATGTCTGCAGCAAGATGAATGACTCCAAAGAGAATGTATCCCAGCTTTGCTCCTTGGTCTGCTTGTGCTGGGTGGTTTTTTTCCATTCTTATCCTCTAGAGAACTTAAGGAGGGCTTTTGCAAGGATTACAGCCCAAGAAGAAGTGCCCCTTTTCATTTCTCCAGTGATATCCCTCCCAGCACCATTTCCACCATCATATATCACATGCAAATATATTCAAGGACTTTTATAGAGTGCCAGGCATTGTGTGGAGCAGTCTGCATGAATTATTTTTATGAATTTCTAGTAACAATCTCATGAGGTAATGCATTAACCTCGTTATACAGATGTGGAAACTAAGAGGTGGGGAAATTAAGGAAACTAGCCAAAGTCCCATAGTTGTAGTGATAGATATGGGATGTAAACTCAGGAAGGCTGACTCTAGAGCAGATTCTTCTAACCCCTCCATAATGCCACAAAGTAGCTCTGCTCTCAGAAGTCACAGGATCACCTTAATTAGTTAGAGTTACAAAGGACTTTTAATGAGCAGGCTTTTCTCATAATGGCCACTTGGTTCTCCTAATTTTCTCAATTACAAATTTTAATATTTTCACCCTTTTCTCTTTTACATTTTTTCCTCATATGTCTGAATTCACAAAGCCTTACCAGTTCTAATTCTTAATAAATGTGCCAATACACCCCTTGCAGTGTTTGGCACAGGGTAAAGGCTTAAGAAATGTTTTTTTACTGAGCTTAGAATGCAGATCACTCCAATCATACTGCGTTCATTAGTGCCAAAACCATTCATTGCACACATTCTGCCTTAGGATGTTCCACCTTTTTTTCTTTCCTTTGAACAAATTCTCACATTTACACTTCACAGCATCTGCTCCGTCAGTCTGGGAGCACCAATATAGCATGCCAAGCTCACTTGAACTAGTGGCACTACTATACAAACGTTGGAAGAGTCATCTTTGTTTCCAAAGTTTTTATTTAAGTGTTCAATCAACACTTCCAGAACAGCTCCAGCAAAAACAATCATTTCCTAAGACTCCATTGACAATATTTATTAGATTTTCCTGTAGTTTTTGTCAAATGAATATTATCTTAATAGTAACTGGCATGTAAGACATTATATCCTGGTACTTCTAGTGTCATGAAAACCATCTTTAAGATAATAGTTAAGAAATCAAAAGAAAGTTGGGAAGAAAGAAAATGTCTTCTTCTTATTCTAGAGAAAAGATCTTAAATGTTATGTAAGTTCTGCCTGGAAAAGTTACCATGTCAACAGTCAACAATTTTCACTGACCAATATTTTCTATAGTTTGGGGCAGCTGTGGTTATCTCTTCAAATAAGGATGAAGTCTTCCTTTCAGTTGCCCATTCCTTCACAATCCCAATTTTGTATTGTAAAAGATTACAAAATGCTGAGATTTTCCTCCAGAAACCAAGAAATCACCCTTAACTCTGGCTACTCCTGAACTCACCTGTAGTCAAATAATTCTACTTTAACTTCAGCCAAAAAAGGAATTTCACTTTCTTTTATTCATCAGACTGGTAGCTCACCATCCTAAATGGACTTCAAAATAGCAGACACATTCCAGGCAAACATTCTGGGGTCTAGACAGTGTAATTGCACTGAAGTGCTGCATAGACAGCAGCACTGGCAGAATTCTTGAGAGCAATATCTGCCTTTCCAAATGTAGTATCTTTGCCTCTCCCTAGCCTTGATTCCATTACCAGGCCAAATCCTTCCCAGACTCTCATTCTCTTTTGAGAAGTCATTCATGACTTTCTTTTATTCTTGCCCCGACAAGTCAAAGATCTTCCTGGCTTTTGTGAACCTCCATTAATTTGTCTCTTCCTTACTATCTGTTGCAGAGCAGATTTTGAGCTGGAAATTTGCATGCAGAAAGTGTTGAGCCTACTTTGGGAATCCATAGGTATGGAGAAGTGACAGTAGCAGATTGGGTAGAGAGATATGTTAGGCTGCGATGCCGTCACAACAGAAATTTCTGATTATTCCATGGAGTGCCCTGAAGCTGGGATGGTCTTGCAGAACGATCCCTCTATTGAAGCAAGAGGGCCCAGCTTTTACAACTTAGCATCAATCAGTCATTGGATATGGCTGTCTCTGAAATGGGGATGAGACCTTGGCCCAGGTGGCTTTCTTCAGCTGTGGGCAATTTCTGGAGTGGTCACAGCTGAGAGACTTCAGTAGTCACCAGTCCCAGCAATTGGGCAAATGAGGACTTTAGTCTCAAAGGGTGGATACTATGATATCCACTATCCACTTATTTTTCTTTCTCTTCTCCAACATATGCTTTTCTTCCAGTCTGACCTATCTCACTAACATTTATAGTCTTACATCCAGAACTCAGAACCCTGACTCTTTACTACAGCTGTTTCACTAACCTTTCTATCTAACCCACTAACCTGGGTCTCTTTCTCTAACCCTTGAGATATTATCTCTTCTTCCTGTCCCAGTGGTTTGCAGCCCTCTGAGTGCTCTGTTATCTGAATGCCTTCAGTATGTTGCATACATTAGAATTTAAATATAGAATTTCTTAGTTGAAGCAGCAATGTCACTGTTTTGTGCACCAGGGGATAGGTGTGGGCGAGAGAAGAGACAGGTGTATTTGTTTCTTCATTTCGGTTTATAGTCTCCTTGCGAGCAAAGACCATGGTTTTAACCTTTTATGTTCTCCACAATGTAGGCAGAGGGCTATGCATCTTTAAAATGTGCAGTATCTTCACAAAAATATGTAAGCACTTACTTTGTGCCAAGTAGTATTCTAGGTACTGAGATTTCAATGGTAAATAAGACAGATGAAGACTCTACTCTCAAAGGAGATTACAACCAGGTTATTAAGAACTAGAAGTCAGTCTGCTACTTATTTTATTTTGACATTTGATTTGTCATTATCTAGAAATAGCAATACCATATTCATAAAGAAACTCTAATAGTCAACTGTTACATCTTCCTTACATAATGAAGCTATGCTATGGCAATAAATTGGCTCTGAAATCTCAGCGACCAAACACAATGTATGTTTGTCACCCTCATCATGCCCTGGTGTGGGTTGGGTGGCTCTTCTCCACCTTGGAGGTATACCATCTGAAACACGTGGCCCCCAAGTTTTCCTTATCAGGGAAAGAGAGAGTTTAAAGGCACACTGGCTCTTACCTGCCTCCATCCCTCTGCTCCAGTTCATTGACTATAATTAGGCACATGGTCTGAAGCTAACTTTAAGGGAGGCTGGGAAATGTAAAAGAACAAATAAATAAGCAGTGAGCACTAATTGTCTGTGCCATAATAGCCAATATTTGTTAAGTATTTTTATATGACAATACTAAGTGCTTTACATCTATTACAACTATGAGGTAAATATATCAATTCCACTTTACAGATTAAAAAAAATAACTGAGGTACAAAAAAGACAAGTCATTTATTCAAGATCCCACAGGTAGTAATTTGTGGCAGTCGAATTTTAAACTCAAGCTCTAAGCTCTAAAGACTATTGTTTCCATTTACTATACCTTAAAAATAAAATAAAATAAAATGCCTAATAGAAGTTCCTGTCTCCTTTCTGGACAGATCTTTGAGAAACATTGTATAGAATAATCTCTTCTTTCAGTTGGTATGATCTGGAAATACTAATCCAACCTGTGATAGAAGTTTTCCTCTTCCAAATTCTCCTAAGTTGATAGAAGAGAAATTCTTCTTATGAGTAACATCTCAGTTTTCTCCCTGCTCTGCATGAAAACACTTGCTATTTTAAATTTTTCATTCTTTATAACAGTCATTAATAGTTCAAGGATTTCAGTGAGCTCCCTTTGAACTAATAAGCTGGACAAAAGTCAGCCAAAAGCCTTACTACTAAGCTGAAAGCTATTGATGATTAAAATTATATTGTCACTCCCCACCAAAAAAAAAAGATTCTTAGAATTAGCATGTTCAGAGCCTACTAAAACATACGTGTTCTTTCTAAATAGGCATCTTCAGTGATGTGGGAAAGCAAAGCCCTTCTCAAGGGCTCAGATTTTCTGTACAAGCTTTCATTCCTCCTACTCCACCCTGAATCCTCCCATCCTTATTTCCATGAGAACAAGGGGACCACAGATAATTGAAATTAGGTTTGCCTTAATGATGGGTTAAGAAGAGAGATGACTTAAAATGCCTGGACAAAGAGGGAAGAGAAGAGCCTCTATTGCCACCTACTGGGCTCCATGTTTTTATCAGCCTATCCAGTCTACCATCTCTGGTTTCAAATCTCTGGCCTCCTAGCTTCTTTTGCAGACTAACTTCCCTCTGACACGTGTCAATCTTTCCGTTTCAGTTTGGATGGAAAAATGCTTATGAAAAAGAAATTAACATTTTAGCTTTCAGCATCAACTATTCTTTAAACTTATGCTAATTCATAAGCAAGGATAATAACTAACCACTTCTCCATAGCACTCAGTTGCTTCCAAGTGTTTTTCATTAAACTTAAGTGAAAACATTTCTCAGGATGCAATTTGAAGAGACTATTATTAATCATATGCCTTGATTAGCCTTGAACAGTGGAATAAGTAAACTGGCTGAATAAAAATTATTTTCTTCTTTCTGAATATCCTTATTTTATAAGCTGGGTATGGCTGAAGGTTTTGGTTGCCTTTAAAAAGTGAGCTATGTGAAGTGATTTTCCAATTGTATATTGACTTGCAATCATGCCTGGCATATAATTTTATATGGCTTTATATTTTAACCACTTGATTATACGGAAGATATTGATATGGATACCTTCAGGGTCTAAGGCAAAATGTTTCAAATCTTTTCTAGAGCACTTAAGAGAATAAACAATTTAACAGCATAGATTTAAGGAATGAACAGAAGCCCCTAGCACTTAGAAAATTTCATGATAAAAAGTTTTTACTCTTCTCAAATTCTTTCTTCTCTATTCACAGTTGCTCACAGTTATCTGAAAAACACACATGACTTTTAAAAGGGAGATGCCAAGAGTCCCACAAAAATGTGCAAAAAGATTGAGTTATTGGTAAAACAAATTAGCATGAGTGGATCAGCAGAATTCAAGATTGAAGATTTATTATTTAAAACATAGATTACATATTGTGTTCCTGAGTAGAAAGAGTCCATATCGAAAAGATGCTGATTATTACTAAAAAGCATATATCAATTTGATTCAATACAAATCAATATACTAGCAGAATTTTTCAATGTTGTTTGATGAGCTTGACTCTAAAATTCATCTAGAAGAAAAAATGAGTAAGAAGAGCACCACCCCCCCCCCCGAAAAAATCTTTGAAAAAGAAACTGGACTTTTCTACACAATATAAAAATGTACTCTAAAGATATAATCATGTAAGCAGTGTGATATACTGTTGCGGACTTAGGAAAATAGATCAAAAGAACAGAATGGAACATCCACAAATGAACCTATTTATATATAGGATAAACTAATAAATTATACTAGAAAATTTCACTGGGGAAAAAGTTAGATCCCTAATGTGCACCTAAAAATAATAATAAAATGTCAGGTAGTTAAGGTCTAAACATAAAAACTAAAAATTGTTAGAAGAAACTTAGGAGACTATAGTTTTGGAAGGCTTGAAAAGGCTCTTTAAGCTATACATCATAATCAGAAAGCAGAAAACCAAAGTCTAACATTTTACTACGTTGAAATGTGTGATTGACTCTAGGACTTCTGATAAGACAACTTCTCTTCCAGATGCAAGGTTACCTACAGTGAGATTGGAGGCTCCCAAAGCTCCCTTAATCGTGCACCACACTTTACACTTCAGTCTAGAAAGGAAACGACTAAGCACCAAGTGCCCCTGAAGCTAAGTGAGGCCCCAAATGCTCCCATTTAAGACTCCCTGTTACTGACCCACAGAATAGTAAGTGCCCTCTGAACACTGCCTCCCTCCCAGCATCCCTCCGGTCAACATCTCCATCTTGTCCTAGAAAGAAGCTTCAGTTAGAACTGAACAAGCATTCCCTAAAGGACCCCCCAGTACTAATCTCAATGGGAATTATATCCCCGTTTAATTTAAATGCCACCAGAAATTCTGGCTTCCCAGAGCATTATGGAGCCTCATATCCATAGACAGATCTGTAAATTCTCTCGTCTTACATTACCCAAACTTCTCCCTGACCTCCAGCCGTGTAATTTGCAGAGCCTAGTGCAAAATAAAAATGTACGTCTCCTAATAAAAAAAAAATTAAGAATTTCATGATGGTATCAGCAAAACATTAAAACCAGCATGGGGCCCTTCTGAGCACAGGGCTCTGTGTGACTACGTAGGTTATACACTCTGAAAGCCAGCCATGCTCTCTACTCCCAACCCCTTTCTTTATTGCCTTATGGCCTCAATTTCTTCTCTAAATGTTTGAAAGCATTCTTCTTAATCTAACTAAAACTCAGCTGTCCTTTGAGGACACTGTTGGATTCCCATATTCTACACCACAGGACCCAGGGATGGAGTAGGTACCCTCTTTAGTCCTCATTCCTTTCCCTTTTCAGAACTTTTCCTTCTTTCTTCAAAAGTCATTTCTTTCAAGCCCATGCCACCATCTAGACCCACTGTCTCTCCTTGTTGAAGTCATCAACACATCGCTCCATTGTCCAGCTAGTACATGACACCTCATAGGACCTCCGTAAATATGTATTGAGACAGTTAACACTTTCTTGTCATAACTGGCACAATTTTTTTAAAACTTGATAGAATGCAAATTCTACTTTCCCAACTGCCTAATAGGAGCAGTCATACTTTAAGCAAAGTATCTGTTTTGCCTGAATACACCATATACTTTCTGTTCACAGTATGTGGATATTTGCATTCTATATGCTGTGTAAGTTTGTCATGAAACTAGCCAAAATGTGACCTGTTATTAAGCCAACTTGATATTTATATCTTAAATATTTATGATTATTTCTTTAAAAAGTTGGGAGTGGGGAGATGAAGGAATCATTTGATATGACTTCAGAAGAAATGCATGCTCCTTTTACAGTTCGCTGCAGCCGTATGAAAAAAAGAGAACCCATCAGCCTGTTAATGCCTGTGCCTGCACCATGAGAATTTCTATGTTCAACACTTCCAAATACTGCCCTCTTCTGGCTAGACGGTGCTTATTATTAGAGTTGTATGAAATGAGCCTGCTTCTGAGAAGAGAAATGGAATAAATGGGGATAGAGACAATGCGATTGTGAGACAATGAAATTAGAAAAAAAAAATGGGAACAAAAATGGGAAAGGTAGATTTATAAACTTCCTAATCTTTAGGCCCACCCACATTATTCCTGTAGAGGTCATCTTGTCCAATGACCTCCAGAATGAAAACAGACAAGGCATACAACTTGTCTGACTTGCCTTAGTACCTGTGGAAAGTTAGGGGCTTGAAAGAAATGAAGCCATAACTGCTCTGATCCTTTTGTTGTCGACAGCCCTCTCTTTCCTTGTGTACAGACCCTGTTCCTGCCCTTCATCCCTGCTCCAGCTGTTCCTCTGATCTGCTGCCCATTGTTGGTTGGGCTTCCAGATAACCGGCACACACAGCATGGCCACTCTTAGATACCTCCAGAGCCTCCCCTGATAACCCAGCTATGTATGGGTTTTCTTTCTATCCTTCATTGCTAAAAGGTATATGGAATTGCTTCGTCACCTTATGCATCTGGGTTCTTCAGCTCTCTGGAAAATACCGCATTGGTGATATAAGAAGAAAATGAAGCAAGTAAACAAAGAGAGGAAGAGAAATAATACCTTTAACTAGAGAAAGTAAAACATTAATTTTGAGGATTTTTTAAAAGTTGATCCCACATGCAGTTGGATTCCACATCCCATACAGTCTAGAATGCTACTGTACCTTTCCTCCCCATGGTCAATGTCACTTACCTGCATGTAGGCTGCAGAGCGTCCCACCACGTTTCACTTTACAGTACATTTAAAACATGCTAATATACATGCTAGTGTTCACCAATGAGGCTGCTTAGAGCCAGAGGTGAACGCCACAGGCCCTGGAGGACAGCCTGGAGAGCCAAAAGGATTAATGTGTTAGCACACCAATAATGGGCACATTGGTTAGGAAATAGTGGTCTAGAAAATACAACAGATTAAGGCAAAATAACATGCCTTATCAAATTATCAGGAAATCCTGTGGACAAACCCAGAGAATTACAAAGAAAAACAGGCCAATTAGAGTGGAAACAAAACAGATCAAAACCTGCAATTCATGGAGTATCCCACAATTTCTATGGGTTTTTTCCTTGGGGTGTCCTCTAGTGACCCTGCTGCCTCTACCTTCTCATCCTTTCAGGGCCAGCTCCAACTTCCCTCTGCAGTGAGGTTTTCCTAACAACTTCAGTCCTCCCGTCTGCTTTGGCTGCAGGAGGTAGAGCCCATATAACACCATTTGGTACAATTACACTAAGTCTTGTGTTGTTCATTGATTTTTTTTGTTTAAGACAGGGTCTTGCTCAGCTGTTCAGGCTGGAGTGCAGTGGCATGATCATGGATCACTATAACCTCAAACTCCTGGGCTCAAGAGATTCTCCTACCTCAGCCTCCTAATAAGTGGCAACCACTACACTTAACTAATTTTTTTATTTTTTGTAGAGACAGGGTCTCACTTTGTTGCACAGACAGGTCTTGAACTTCTGGGATCAAGTGATACTCCTACCTTGACCTCCCAAAGTGTTGGGGTATTTTTTTTTCAACATATTTAGCCATATATCCATGTTCTCTGGCCTTCCATGGTCAGATACACCTTTGCTAGACAAGAAAAAAAAAAAAACACCAAGATCCAAACCCTTGTTGGATGATGTCAGGAATCCCAGTCCTCTCCTCAGGTGACTCTGAGGATTTCTGTAGAGGATGTACCTACCTTGGCTGTTGCTTGCCATCTGTTGCTTCTAACTGCTTTTTTGCATGTTTCATGACGTTTCATGGGCATAGCTAATAATAGGCCAGAGTGAATAGTAAAACTGTACTGAGGGCGTAAGATAATATTCAGAGTTAGAATGCGGAAAAGGAACACTTAAAACTTGGTAATAATGACCACTGCTCTTAAGTCTACCAGTCTTATCCCAATGCAGAGTCCCACCTGCTGTCTCATCTCAGTCTGTATTGCTGACCTGTTGCTATGGCTATGGTTTCAGTCCCTTCTCATATAGGAGGACGTTCCTCTTGATCTTGTGCTGAGTCCAAAACTCCAATTTCTTTCTGTCAGATTCCAGCCAGAGGATGAAAAACTAATTTACTTCATAATAATTACCGGGAGTTGGAGCTCTTTCCACTCCAAAGGCAACCATTCATTATTCACATTCTTTTGCAAAATTGTCCCTCTCATCTTGGCCCCAATGAGACTTCTCATTTATGAGACTAAACCCAAGAATAAACCTCGCATAACAAAACACCCCTAAAAGTGTTTCCTCAAACAAATAAAATGATTCTTTCTTCCAAAAAAGAAGTGATGCTCCTATGCCTAATATATGAAAATGGCTACAATTTTTTAAAGTTTCACCTTTTTTTGCCTTTATTTGCCAAACTTGTCTGCCTTGATGGCAAGAGCAATGCCTTATCCTCCTAGGTTTGTGCCCAAATATTGTTGATTTTCCATTAGAGGGAAAGTGGTCCCTGAACAAGAAGCCAGGAATAGATTCATGTTTGAGCTGCTTGGAGACACCATTAATTATTCCCCCAAATTCGTGTGCACCTCTCCTTCCTGCGGCTGCAGTAACAACACAGTTCTCATCCTTTCTTGCACTTAGGCACTACCATGTGGCTGAGATTCAGCCAAGGAATGTTAGTGATATGAGGAGCATTTCTTCCAGACTGGGCCTGTACAAAACTGCCAAATGGCTAACTCCTTGATCTTTTCTTCTGGCAAGGCTGAAAGGAAAGCCCTCCCCTTCCCCGACTCCCCCACAACCAGGGCAACTTTTGAGTGCCTCATATGGAATGTTGAAAATAGAAACTTCATCAGCCTAGGACCCTGACTGATTTTATGAGAAAGGGATAGCTTACTAAACTGCTCACTTGCCCAATGCTCTTTTTAGTGCAAGAAATAATTTTCTATTTTATTTAAGCCATTATACTCTTTTGGTCTTATTTATTGCAGCAACTAGCTTGCCTCAGTACAAGCTATAAATGGATACCCTATAGTCAGAGAAGCCCCTACTCAGATGGAAAGTTAGCAAAGGTCTGTGTGGTGGGATAAGGCACACTAATGGTTAAGGAGAGGCTCACTCCCCATGCCCTCTCAGCCTCCATTTCAGTACCACCGTCTAAAATTCCACCACATGGATTTCATTACTTTGGATAAAGATGTAATACTTCTAGGAATCTTCTTTTAAAATAACTATCACCTGAAAGAGATAGCACATTCAACCGTGATCTTCCATGAACCTATTAGGATAAATGAGTTTCTCAGATGTCTTTGCAATGAAATACCTAGTGAAAACTTGAGAAAGGGATACAGGCAGCAAAATGTTGAAGGGAATATTAGGGGAGATGAAGGAATATCTGGATCATGGAGCACTCGAGTTTTTGCTCCAACAGAAACAGTGGAGCTGTTTTGACTCCACTGCGCAGTGGTGGGCAGAAGGTGGCAATGGAGACTGCAGAAGAAACCTTGATGGGGAAATTGATGCAGAAGGTTCAAAGAGGGAGATGAAGGCATTGAAGGTGGGTTTCTTTCTTGATAATATAGATGAACTCTGGTCCTCAAATCAGGTGCTTTTGAACACCCTTTTTCTACCCTACAAGCAAGTTATTTTGATGGTCCAGGCTACTTTTTAGATCTGTACATGGCTCCTTAGGAAAGCCCCAGTGAAAATCTTAAGAGAATTTTGGAATTTGTTCAAAACATATGTGCATTTCCAGAGTTCAGATGTTTTGATTATTTTTTCAGTCAGTGCCTTGTTTAGAGGTTCCTGTAATAACTCTACCATTCCAGATTATGCAGTTATTGTCTTCTTTCTGCAGCTCATG
This sequence comes from Homo sapiens, assembly GCF_000001405.40. Classification (NCBI taxonomy): domain Eukaryota; kingdom Metazoa; phylum Chordata; class Mammalia; order Primates; family Hominidae; genus Homo; species Homo sapiens. Next base: position 122,189,217 of record NC_000005.10, on the reverse strand, counting down.
GAAAGGAATATGACTTCTAGTACAGACAGGTGGGCAGGGCAAGGCCATGGGGCTACTAGTGCCAAAAGTCAATCATCAAATAATTCAGCTGCATTTGTCCATTTATTATTACTTTAAAAACAAGTATGTACATATGACAGAATCAGCTTTATGATTAAGAATATTAAAGACAGTATTTTTCCTTAGCATAACATCAGTAATCTGCAACCAAAATTTATATACACTGCAAAATGGTTGTGTATTCAATGGTGGCAAATCTTGGAGCCAGTTTTTATATAAGGATATCTGCCCCTCCAGAATGTTGTCTAGTTGCTCTCTTGCTAAAAAGCAAGCTGTGGAGGTAGCCAGTAACTTTTATGGGCTTGAGAGCTCTATGCCTCTGATCAATAGGAGATTTTATTGGTCCTACCTTATGCCACATAGATGCATCTTGCATTTATTGTCTGTTGTTGCCATAACAAATTACTACAAACTCAGTGGCTTAAACAACACAGATATTCACACAGTTCTGTAGGGTTCAATCCTAGGCTCACCTGAAACAAAACAAAGTAGCGGGGCTGCGTTTCTTTCTGAGGCTCTGAGGGACCATCTGTTTCCTTGCTCATTCCTGTTCTTAAAATAATTTACTTTGCTACTTCTGCTTGTGGAACTGAGGCTCCTGTTTCCTTGCTGGCTTTCAGCTGAGGGTGGCCCTTAGTTCTGAGGGGCTTCTCTTACCCTTCGCACGTAGCTCCCTGCAGCTCAGAACCTGCAACAGAGTATTAAACCTTTCTTATGCTGCCATCTCTCTCACCCACCCTTTGCCTTCTTCTTCTACTTTTTAGAACTCAAAAAGGTTTCCACAACTCAAGGTCCATAACCTTAATCACATCTGCAAATTTCCTTTTGCCATTTAAGCTCCTGTGTCCACAAGTTTTAAAGACTAGGATGTCAACATCTTTGGGGCCCATTATTTTGCCTAACACATTCTCAGCTAACTAAAAGACATCTGAAAACCCTTGGCCTCTAGGGTGATCAGTGTCAACAATAATGGGACCCAGCTCCATGATGCCTAGGGCAGATTTCACTTTCTTATCTCACTCAGTTAAGCTTATGTCCATGCTGGCTTAATTTCATGTTCCTGTAAGTAGGACTGAAAGGCATTGTCAGAGATACCCTGGAATCTTGGGATCCCAGCAACCCCTTCCTGCCACCTTCCTCTTTCTTTTAATTAAAAATAGTAGTAGTTGGAATTTAAACCATTCAAATTCACCCTCAGTGGATGTCAACGACTAAGTTTACCTGGATGTAGGGAACATAAGACTTCATTATACTTTTCTCAATGAGTGTATCTATTTTATAACAATATTTTAAAAGAACTAAGCATAAAGGTCTACCATCCTGTGATAACCCAGCAGTGTTTTTCCTGGTGTATATTCTCTTCACAGCACCCAATTTGGCCTCTACTGGAAATTTCACTGGTTCTCATTTGCGTAATTTCTTCAAAGTGCAGAAAAGCTTCGTTTTTCTTATCTTGCCACAGTGCTCACAGAGAGCAGGCAGGGCTGGCAGAAACAGGCACAGCAGTTTGAGTGGTCCAGACAGTGAGTCAATATGAAAGTCATAAATGATAAGGGAAGTGGGACCATTGCCAGAGGAGGGAAAGGACCTCTCAGGAGTGGGGAAGGAAAGGGCAGGACTTCCCGCCCTGACATGATATGGGATTTAAGCCATATGAGTTGGTCTCAGTAAGGAGTATAAAGAAGAAGTGCTACTCATGCCAGAAGCAAATGAATATAGAAAGACCAAGTGCTGTTACCTGGTTTGCAGAGGAGAAGACTGGATATTTATTTGATATATATATATATATATAGCTTACAAATGGTCCTGATTATCAATAGGAGCTTCTTTTTTCATAAAGATTCTCAGACTCGTGTTCCCCAGGCTATTACAGCAGTGCATCAGGGAGCCATCCTTGAGACCTCACTTAGAAATACTTGTTAGAGCCAGGAGTGGCGGCTCATAGTTAACGCCTGTAATCCCAGCACTTTGGGAGGCCAAGGTGGGTGGATTATGTGAGGTCAGGAATTGGGACCAGCCAGACCAACATAGTGAAACCCCATCTCAACTAACAATACAAAATTAGCCGGGTGTGGTGGTCATGCCTGTAGTCTCAGCTACTTGGGAGGCTAAGGCAGGAGAATCGCTTGAACCCGGGAGGCGAAGCTTGCAGTGAGCCGAGATTGCGGCATTGCACTCCAGCCTGGGCAACAAGAGTGAAACTGTCTAAAAAAAAAAAAAAAGGTAAAGTTTGTTGGAAAATACTATGATGTATGGAGCCAAAAAAGAGTCCAAATAGCCAAGGCAATCTTAAGCAAAAAGAACAAAGCTGAGGGCATCATGCTACCTGACTTCAAACTACGATACAAGGATACAGTAACCAATACTGCATGGTATTAAAACAGACAAATAGATGAAAGAAACAGAGAGATAGCTGACAAATAAGGCTCCACACTTACAACCATCTGATCTTCAACGAAGTCGACAAAAATAAGCAATGGGGAAAGGATTCCCTATTCATTAAGTGGTGCTAGGATAACTGGCTAACCATATGAAAAAGATTGAAACTGGACATCTTCCTTACATCATATACAAAAATCAACTCAAGATGGATTAAAGACTTAAATGTAAAACATAAAACTATAAAAACCCTGAAAGATAACCTAGGAAATACCGTTCTGGGCATAGGACCTGGTAAAGACTTCATGACAAGATGCCAAAAGCAATTACAGCAAAAACAAAAATTGACAAATGGCACCTGATTAAACTAAAGAGTTTCTGCACAGCAGAAGAAACTATTAACTGAATAAACAGAACCTACAGAATGGGAGAAAATATCTGCAAACTATGCATCCAACAAAGGTCTAATATCCAGAATCTATAAGGAACTTAAACAAAACTATGAGCAAAAAACAACTCCATTAAAAAGTTAGCAAAGGACATGAACAGATACTTTTCAAAAGAAGACATACATATGACCAAAAAGCCTATGAAAAAATGCTCAACGTCACTTCTCATTAGAGAAACGCAAATCAAAACCACAATGAGATACCATCTCACACCAATCAGAATAGCTATTATTAAATAGTCAAAAAATAACAGATGCTGGTGAGGTTGCCAAGAAAAGGAAATGCTTATACACTATTAGTGGGAATGTCACCTAGTTCAGCCATTGTGGAAAGCAGTGTGGTGATTTCTCGAAGAACTTAAAACAGAATTTCCATTCTACCCAGCAATTCCATTATGGGGTATATACCCAAAGGAATATAAATCATTCTACCATAAAGACACATGCACATGTATGTTCATTACAGCACTATTCATAATAGCAAAACCTGAAATCAACATAAATGCCCATCAACAGTAGAATGGATAAAGAAAATGTGGTACATATGCACCATGGAATACTACACAGCCATATAAAAGAATGAGATCATGTCTTTTGCAGCAACGTAGATGGAGCTGGATGCCATTATCTTAAGTAAACTAATGAAGGAACTGAAAACCAAATACTACATGTTCTCATTTTTAAGGGGAAGCTAAACAACAAAAACACATGGACATGAAAAGGGAAACAACAGATACCAGGACATACTTTAGGGAAGAGTGTGAAAGGAGGCAGGAGGGAGAAGATTTTTAAAACTACCTATCAGATACTATGCTTATTACCTGGGTGATGAAATAATCTGTGCACTAAACCCCCGTGACACACAGTTTACCTATATAACAAATTTACACATGTATCCCTGAACCTAGAATAAAAGTTTTAAAAAAGGAAATACTATAATGAAGCCATCTAAAGACCCCCCATAATGGATCTGAGAGACTGATATGCTCGCTAAGAGTAAGAGATTTCCCCTCTCCATGCCCCTGACTAGAACATCCTTTTTCAGCCCCCTTCTGGTAGGACAGACCCTAAAAGATTGACGTTAATTGAATGCAAATGAGCATCAAGAGATCCTGGAATTCCTCCTATAACTTCAACTAGAGGGGAATTCAGTTAAACTTTGTGCAGTGCCAAGTAACAGAATGGTGAGGAAATTGCATTGTTGTTGATGCCTGTAAGAGCATTACATCCCACACCCACCAATAATGGCCTGGGTTAGTGTAGACTTCCAAGTACCTTCATCTAGTATCTGCTCTTTATAATCTAAAACAGTATCTACGGGAACTATTTCAAGGTTTGAATTCATAGTTCATGGAGATGCCAAGCATTGTTAAAGAAATTATTTTATTTTGAGAGTTACAAAGAGCTGCACGGATGTGAACTCATTGCGGGAGGGCCATTGGCAGAGAAGGTGAGCTCTTTCCCATTAATAGAGAGACTTCAATGACTTGCTTTGATAATAGACCAGAACTCTTGGGTTGATGTCATCATAACTGAGCTTGCTCCAGATTTAATTCCATGGAACATTTGTAGGCCAGCCAAGGTGAAGCCATCGTGGAATCTCCATACTCAGTACCTTGATGTGTCTCAAGCTGGCTCACAGTTCCCTGTGGATGCGATGATTTCTACAAGAACTCATTCTTTTCAACCACTTCAAGAGCTCACTGACTTAATGCTTCATACACATAAGGATGCTGGGTTTTTAATTTTTAATTTTGTCATACTCAAAAGTCACTTATTATGACCTGAGTGGCAACTCATTTCATAGTTGAGGCCAGAATTTTTTATATTCCCTGCTACTTGATTTCTGAACATCAGCAAAATGCAGAAGTGTCTTTTGAAAAACCTAACACTGTCCACTTCAAGCTTGTTTTCACCTCGGTCTAAGTTAAACCCAAACCAGCAGCAAAACTGCAAGATTCCCATTTGCCTTAGTTACTTAAATAATATACAAAATGTTTCAGATTTGTCAGATCATTTGTGTTAGTATGGATAATCACATTAGTGATGAAATCTAGCATACATATAGCAATGGATGAGTGTGGGATTGGAAGTCCAGCAGTCCTGAGTTTGCTTCCTTCACTATTCCTTAACTCAAGCTCAGTGTGACCTTGAGTTAACTATTTAGACCAAATATCAGTTTTCTGGTCTGTAAAATAAAGATAATGATATCCATCTGTAGGCTTGACATGAGATGTATATAATGTAACATATATGAAGCACTTAGCACAGTGCCTGACCCACAGTAAACTCAACATCTATTTGATGTTTTTGTCATTTTGGTTAATAAGGTAAAACAACTAAACCACCAACTATGAGTCATTAAATGCCATGATTTTTCACAAGATTTTTATTTGAGGGTATCTAAAGACTTTTAAAATGTTCATCTCTTGCTTCCTTTGAAGCAGGCAGGAAAAAACAGAAATATTTGCACAATTATCCTAACTTAACCCTGTGTAATAAGTAGAAGTATGACCAAAGTATTAGGTAGAATAAATTTGCCTGTGTAATTTGGATCTGACTATGCTGTGTAAAGTCATGAATGTGAGGCTTGCAGGAACCCACTGGATCCAGAATGGCCCTGGAATTCTGCCATAAAATGAACAAAGATCTCAAGCAAAACCGCTGGGAGTCCAGGCAAAGCAGCACAGCCCGGGGGAGCAGAATTTCCTAGGCAGAGTCCCTCCCTGACCCTGGCGTCCTCCCAGGAGAGCCCCACCTCGATGAATACACATTCAAGGACTCTAAAATACTAAGCAGTTTCACAACCCACTTACTGTGCATAAGCCTTGGGTGGGGAGGCACAGAACTTTCTGGCAGGCATTTAGACCACAACAATAAAACACCTATAAACCCCTATGTCGGCATAAAGAATTCATGCTGGACTTCTCCTAAATAAGGAAGGAGTTAGCCTCCACCTATTTTGATGAATTGTATTGCAGCAGTCTCCTGACACATGAGGCTGGCAGTGGCTCTGAAATATCTTGTATCATTTCTTGCCATTTGAAAGCGAGAATGAGTTAGATATGGTTCCAGTACATTGAGTTCTCAGCGATGTTTTGAATGTCTCTGCTGTTAAACAATCTTATAGAGAAAAGAAGCACCCCAGTCAAGAACTCAAAAAATGTCCCTGGATAAAAGGACATGTGGAATGACAGGTTATTTCAGAAAGCTCAGGGAGAGGAAGGAATCAGGTTCTTCCTGGGATTAAGGAGTTGCCTGAAGTTGCCTCCAAAACCCTTGTGCACTGAATAAGAGTCCTAATTGTGAAGTTCAAAATCTTGTTCAGGAAAGAAAATGGAAGAAAAATGGGGACCATTGGCTCTGAAATTTCTTTTAGACAAAAATCCCAGCTCTGATGAGAAGCAGCCTGCTTGTAAATCTGCCTGACAAAAGTGTGAAATGGTCCCCAGCATGCCTATGCACATGCAGCTGCTTGTTAAAACCAGAGCATTTGCCCAACTGCATAATAGTGAGCAATGCTTGCAACACCGAAGCGCTGAACTGGGCCTCCCCGGCTAGACCAGCCCTTGGTCAATTCCAGTTTTCCTTGTTTCCCCTCGTCAGCTCCTTTTTCTCCTTCCCACTTTATCCCAATCTCTTTCAAAAGGATTAATTTCTGTAACACTTCAGTAGAGAGAAAAGGGCTTTACTTGGCGGCTTTGGGTTTACAAGATCGTTGGTGAACAATCAGTCTGTCTGGCAGGAAGGTACGCCCACAAACATTACAGGGAACCAACTGGCTGTGGGCACTTGTCCAAGCAGCTTCATTTAAAGCATCAAGATCATAGAAGCCTTTGGCTGGAAAGTTAAAGGAAAAAAGCAAAAAGAAAAAAAGAAAAAAAAATACCAAAAACAAAAGGGAAAGAAAAAGGTAAAATGGATCAGTTTTTATTCGGGAGAACCATATTCTACTTTCTATGGAAAATATTTTCAGGAAATACCTGTTGACTGAGTATTTTAAACAAATCATATTACTTTTGCCTCCAAAAAAGAAAGGGCTGCTCGCTCTTTCAAGTGTTGAATAAAATTAGCTGGGAATCAGACAGAGGCTTTTCACTCTTTGGATTTTAAAAAGGGAAAGACATTGTTTTACATGGTATGATATGCATTCTTCACTAATTATTAACATCTTTGCATACACATTATTATTTTGCAAATATAACTTTTGGCCTTCTTTCAGTTGACTCTAAATATAAGCTTACAAAGGGGAATGAGCATGTATTCGTATTTTCCTTTTCTGTAATCCTTCAGTGGAATGTTTTTAGAAGCCAAAACTGACAGTTGAGAGTGAATTTAAGATGAATTATATCCTAAAAACTTATCATCTCTTCATGGTCATAAACTCAGATATTCTTTAAGTAATCAAAGTGGAGAATACAAACAGAATAATCTGACAAAAAGATACGTCCTTAAGAAAATAACAAAGACAGATGAGAAATGTATAACCTTCATTGGCAGAGCATAGGGAGAAAAAAGCATATGGCTTTATTTTAGAGAAACAATGTGGCATTTAGCTTTAATAAACCTTAGTTAAAATAGAATGATTTCAGTACATTAAATTGACTATGTCTTAGAACCACTGAAAATAGGCCCCCAAAATGTAACAAGGCACTCAAAAACATATTACTTAGTTTTTATCTTTGGCACAACATAGATTACTTCGTTAAAGCTTAGGCAATTCTCATATGATTTCTATCTAATGGTTCACACAACCACAGTGAACCTTAAATTTTTTAACATGTCTGCTCCTAATACTCACTTTCTTGCTCCATGGAAATTTAAATCCCAGCAAAATCTAGTATTTCTTCTTTGGATAAAGCAAATGTCACTGTCTATGTGGGATATGAATGTGTAGTTTCAGTGCTTTGAAAAATGAGAAAAGAATGACACTGACTTTCTCGTTACTCATGCGAGTTTTAAAATGAACTCAAAAATTCCAGAGTAGTCACTGACTCTCACTTGAAGGTGATTCACCACATTTCTAAATGTTTTTGCATAGGGCCTTGACTTCAGATCAGGAAGAGGGGTTATTTGAACCCTGTGACTACAATGAGTTCATGGGATAAAAATGGTAATATGAATTCTTTTTACCTAGAGAGGAAGGGCATCCTCAGAGATAAATAACATGGAAGTGAGAGGAAGACTGCAGGGAAGTGCAGTTATAGGACCCATCTTTTCCATCTGTAGGCAGTAACAGAATAGTGAACCACCAGGGCTTTCAGACCAATCATTCCTCTTACTTCTAGCCTGCTGGTAGTTATGGTCAAGCAGAGAAAGTGATAAAGATCAGAAGGGAAGGAAACATATTTTGACACCAAATGAGAAATGCTGGAAAGAGAGTTTCAATGAGGTAAACAACCTGTTTATGGAAAATGCTCTAATTTCAGTAGCTGGTCATTTTCATCTTTAGCTGTTTTCCCACCTGTATGAAAAGTCCTCTTTTTGACAAGCACTGTGAGTAGCTGGGATCTAGCAGGATCTAGAATTTATCATACAATCTAGGGTCTACTTTGTGGGTTGTTATAAAACTCTCCTTGTGTCACATCTCTGACACAAGTGCTTTGGACTAATTGACATTAAATGACCCCCAAGGTACTTTTCAGCATTGCAAATCTACGGTTACATAGGAGAATGGATGAATTGAAAGATACTCCTCTTAAAACCAACATTGTCCTGTGAGATGGTTTAGGGGATCTACTGAGAAAATGACAATGGTAAAAATATGATAAGCAAGTCTGAGCTTGCATGGCAAAAATATTTTCTTAACTATTCTCATACCCTAAATGAATAAACATGAGGCTTTGTGATGAGGCGAAACATGGCAGTGTAGTTTCAGTTTCATTTGGTTTGCACCATGCTTTACAAATGATTAAATGTGAAAAATTCTGGACATTTAAAATAGATGTCTAGATTTCTAGTTTGTTTTGTGTTATTGAAAGATATGAGTACATTGGACTAAATTTCTTAATGATAACGCCAGCTGGAACTGGGCAGCTGCTTGTCTCCTATAGAGCGAGCTGATGCTCCACAGCGCATCATAGTCCTTACCTCCCCTTTGGTGCACACATGGACCAGTTTACTCAATGTTATAACCTGACTAGTGGACCTGGTGAAAATTCGAGTTTGGTATCCCTGCTCTATGAACACCAAGACACATTCATATTTGGAAACATGACTTTGGATGTTCCCAAAGGTTTTTTTTAAGTTTCATATTTTTTTAAGTTTTATTCATTTTTATTTTTTAAGTATTTTATTATTTATTTTACATTCAAAGGGTTTGATGATGTATGAAAGAAACTTTTGGAGAATACAGCAAATTCCCATAGGTCCCTCTCATGCACAGTGTTGCCAGGACATAGTGTCTTTATGTCTCAGCATCAGAAGATAATTCTTTGGACAGGCATTTCAGAACTGTTTTTCTTATTTGTCTGTAACCAAGGCAAGAAATGTTGTTGATTTTGGTCGTTTGAACAAGTGAAAAAAGAATACTTCTGCTCTTATTAGTTTAGAGAGAAAAGTCTCCCCTTATGCACTCAAATCTTTTTTCTAGGAACTTACCAGTAATGGTCCTGACTTCTGGTTTTTTAGGTACTGGTCTCCTTAACTCTTTAGGCAACAAGTTGTTTTCATTATGCCATTTTTTCAGACATTGTGGCTCATGAATGCTAATAGATTTTGTTCCATATTCACGACCACAAATGTAGCAAACAACTGCTGGTGGACGCCGTATCATTGTTGGCTGCAAGTAACATAAAATAAATCATGAGTGAACTCCCATTCACAATTGCTACAAAGAGAATAAAATACCTAGGAATACAACTTACAAGGGATATGAAGGACTTCTTCAAGGAGAGCTATAAACCACTACCCAAGGAAATAAGAGAGGACACAAACAAATGGAAAAAACATTCCATGCTCATGGATAAGAAAAATCAATATCGTGAAAACGGCCATACTACACAAAGTAATTTATAGATTCAATGCTATCCCCATCAAGCTACCATTGACTTTCTTCACAGAATTAGAAAAAACCACTTTAAATTTTATACTGAACCAAAAAAAGAGCTCGTATAACTAAGACAATCCTAAGCAAAAAGAAGAACAAAGCTGGAAGCAGCACACCACCTGACTTCAAACTATACTACAAGACTACAGTAACCAAAACAGCACGGTACTGCTACCAAAACAGTTATATAGACCAATGGAACAGAACAGAGGCCTCAGAAATAATGCCACACATCTACAACCATCTGATCTTTGACAAACCTGAGAAAAAATAAGCAATGGGGAAAGGATTCCCTATTCAATAAATGATATTGGGAAAACTGGCTAGCCATATGCAAAAAACTGAAGCTGGACCCCTTCCTTACACCTTATACAAAAATTAAGTCAAGATGGATGAAAGAATGAAATGTAAGATCTAAAACCATAAAAACCCTAGAAGAAAACCTAGGCAATACCATTCAGGACATAGGCATGGGCAAAGACTTCATGACTAAAACACCAAAAGCAATGGCAACAAAAGCCAAAATGGACAAATGGGATCTAATTAAACTAAAGAGCTTCTGCACAGCAAAAGAAACTACCATCAGAGTGAACAGGCAACCTACAAAATGGGAGAAAATTTTCTCAACCTACTCATCTGACAAAGGGCTAATATCCAGAATCTACAAGGAACTTAAACAACTTCACAAGAAAAAAACAAGCAACCCCATCAAAAAGAGGGCAAAGGATATAAATAGACATTTCTCAAAAGAAGACATTTATGCAGCCCAAAAACATATGAAAAAACTCATCATCACTGGTCATTAGAAATCAAAACCACAATGAGATACTAGCTCATGCCAGTTAGAATGGTGATCATTAAAAAGTCAGGAAACAACAGATGCTGGAGAGGATGTGGAGAAATAGGAAAGCTTTTACACTGTTGGTGCAAGTATAAATTAGTTCAACCATTCTGGAAGACAGTGTGGCGATTCTTCAAGGATCTAGAACCAGAAATACCATTTGACCCAGCAATCCCATTACTGGGTATATACCCAAAGGATTATAAATCATTCTACTATAAAGACACAGGCACATGTATGTTTACTGCAGCACAGTTCACAATAGCAAAGACTTGGAACCAACCCAAATGCCCACCAATGCTTTACTGGATAAAGAAAATGTGGCACATATACACCATGGAATACTGTGCAACCTTAAAAAAGGATGAGTTCATGTCCTTTGCAGGGACATGGATGAAACTGGAAACCACCATTGTCAGCAAACTAACACAGGAACAGAAAACCAAACACCCCATGTTCTCACTCATAAGTGGGATCTGAACAATGAGAAGACATGGACATGGGGAGGAGAACATCACACACTGGGGCCTGTTGGGGGCGGTGGGCTAGGGGAGGGATAGCATTACGAGAAATACCTAATGTAGATAACGTGTTGATGGGTGCAGCAAACCACAATAGCACGTGTATACCTATGTAACAAACCTGCACATTCTGCACACGTATCCCAGAACTTAAAGTATAATTAAAAAAAAAGAAAAAATGTCTGTTAGATAAAGCTTAGATTTGGAAATCATATTTTAAAATTATACCACATTTAAGTTAGCTGGAAAATCAACATGATTTAAAAAAATCCCCACTAGCCTGGTGACTTTATCTTTTTGGCAATTAAAAGATTAAACTATATTATTTGAGTAACTGGGATTGAGGTGAGGACATGGCTTCAGAGGAAATAAAAAAGAGCTAACCAGAATTCTTCATATTGGTACTATATAAATTATATTTTCTCATTTAATATTGATTGATTGCCTTCTGACTATTTTATCCAAGTTACTATGCTGGGAGAATACAAAGATAAATCAGGCATAATTCCTCTTCTCAATAACACCAGGCTTGAGTACACCCATATATCTGAGAAGAAAAGTAATAAATGTCAATGGAAAGTTTATAACAGACATTGTTAACACTATTATGCCCGCCCACATTGGGATCATGTCAACAACTTTCTACTGCAAGCACTTGTGATTCTTTGCCTTTTTTGATCTGGAGTAGGCTCTGCCCACAGCAGAACAGCTCATCAATTGCAGATGAGAGTTAGCGAATAAATACCCAGTTTCCTCACCAAGGTTGATTCCATATAGTCTTCCAGAAGTCCCCAGAGTGATTGTACCACAGTCGCTTGTTAACACACTATCTAGGCTTTGTTCTCTTCCCTGTCTCTCTTCCTATTCCTTTACTGGGGTATCCTGAGATCACCTCCCAAATAAACTACTTGAACTCAAATTCTTAGTTTTCTTGTTCTTAGGAGAACCAAATCTATGGGAGAGTTAAGGATAAGATGCAATAGGGAAATTCAGCTTCTGTCTAGGATATAGAAAAGGACAAGAATCATTGCTTCCACCTAAACAATGAGAACAAATTGAATAGCTTACAGAATCATAATTTTTGAGCCCATTGGAGACTCAAAGTTGCAAGATAAATAGATGAACTAAAAGGCCTACCTAAGTTTGAACATAGATCAATAGTACCAAGAAAAAGCCTCCAAGCTCCAAACTTTATATGAGACATAATTTTCTGCCACAAGAAAAGGGCAGAGTAGCTGAGCATAAGCCCCTGTAAGGTGCAGGCATGCAGGGACCGTCTGTGTATACTCTCCTACCCACCATGTCTTACACTCAGTTATAGGAGGTGACAATCTGACACTGGGGAGAGGAAGGGGCATTGACAGAAGCCTCTACCATTTTAGGAACCCAGGGCCTGTCTAAATCTGAGGATAGAGCTGTACAAAAGACTTGCACAGAGTACAAATAAAACTTATAAATACAGAAAGGCAATTTAGAGAAGGAGAAAAACATTGATTTTGTTCTGGATCTGTTGAGTTTGACATAATTGTAGAATTTAAATAAATAAGTCCAGCCAAAACAGGAAATACAGGCCTGCAAATTCAGTATTCATTTATTTCAGAGCTATTCACACAGAAAAAAAATGTTTAAAACCATGAAAATTCTATAGATAGGAGTATGTAAAGAATATATGGAGAAAAATTCTTGGGAGAATATTTATAGTAGGGATATTGGACAAGGGAAATTATAGCCAGAAAACACAGAGAAAGGTTCAAATTTGCAGTTAAAGAAACAGGGCATGCAGACAAAAGATTCTGGAAACATTTCTGGTTTCCAGAAATATGGTGTCATCAGCCTTGTCAGATGCTGCAAAGAGTGATGAGGGGCTGAGTAAAGGCTATTAGATGGAGTTATCAGTGGATTCCATACCAGTGACTTTTGAGAGGTTAGTTCCAAAGGAGTGGTAAGGGTAAAAGCTAAATTGTTAGGAGTTAAAAATTATGTCAAGGAAGAGAACAATACACTTTCAAAAAACTTGCAGAAAAGAAACTTGAGAGACAAGCAAAGTAAAAGAAAGCTTTGTTTTGTTGTTGTTTATAGGATAGGGATGCCTTAGGCAGAGAGGAAAAGAGTATAGGCCCACAATAAAATAGGATAATTAAAAATTACAGAGGAGGCAGTAGAAGATGAGATTAAGGGCACAATTGGAGGTGTCAGCTTCTGAGAAAAGGGAAAAAGGAAAAGTTAGAGAAAGGGAAAAGGTGTTTGTAGAGAAGTGAGGAATTGGTGGTGCTCACATACATGGACTTAGTCTTCTAAGTATGAGATAAAGTGATCTTCAGAGAATGAAGAGATTTGAATTCTGGGAAATAGTGAAAGATGCTGGGATTATGCACTCTGGGGAATGTAGTAATGATTCAATTAGGGAAGAATATTCACTGAATAATGGAAAAGACCTAGTTACCTGAAGCTGCAAGAAATTTTGTTGGAATTAAATGACTTTTTTTCAATATGCTCTTTAGTAGCACCAGGTGGCATGAAAACAGAAATAAATTAAGCTGATTGTGTGGTCTCCATTGGGGAAATAAAACTTGGTTAATGTGTATGTCTTAGAATCAGCCTACTTCTAACTATAACTATTGGGACTTTCACTTTTCACAGACCAATATCAAAACCAGAAGGAAACACATTTATGATTTCTGATTACCAGGCATAAAAAGAGATTTTAGATGAATAAATCCACAGTTAACATAGACGAAGCAAAAAGGGAAAATAAAGTGACTCCCTGGATGATTGAAGTTTTTATAAAAAGGGTATTATTTGAAGTGGAATTTTTTTCTATTATTTTATATTAACTTATGCCAATAAACTGTCTACATTTATCAAAATAACTAAATAGTTATTTATCCTTCTTTTTCTTAGCCATATGGTAGGTTCTAACAATTCAAAAGTGGCATGAAAAATATTTGAGAAATTCAAGAAAGACCTAAGAGAAAGTACAAAGCATAAGGAAAAATTTTCAAGATGTTTAAATGTTTCTTACTATTTTTTTAACATGTTTATTTACTGGAAAGGTTAATTAAATGCAGATTTTTAGTTTAAAATGAGAAGTTATTCTTTTCATTTTGAAAATAGTGAATTTAATAAAATTCCACATGGAAAGTATGAGCCAAATCCAGTATTTAACCACACATATAAGCACAATAAATAGCATGGGTCATAAATGAAGACATTCGTGTCACCGTCAGATTTCCTTTGGAAGGAAAGTTAGAAGAAAACAGGCAGACACAGAGGTCAGAAGACACATACTGAACAACTGAAATGGATGTGGGAGAAAATTAATACCATAAAAAGGTGAAGATGTTCTATATTACATTTTCTAAAGCTTCTCCCATGCTCTATATTTGTGGTTGAACTTCAGTTGAACCTGCAATATACTCCATATTCTTAGGTTTTGAGCATCTTACTCCTAAGCCATGCTCTAGTGAAGCGCAAACAACCCAGCCACAGCAGAAGAGAAAAATACATCCACGTGGGTCTGAACAGAGATAAGAAGACCTATTTTATTTTTCATTGATTTTACAATTGTCAGTCTGAAACTTCCAGGGAAAGCTGAGCAATCTCCAACTTGTGGTTATTGCCACTGCCCCAGCTGCCAAGGTTTTCCTATTTGGCCTCTATCTCCAGTCCAAGGTTTTCCTATTGGGCCTTTTTCAGATAGAAGTGGATATGTGGGGGATGGAGAGAAGGAACGGAAAGAAGAGACTGTAGCTCTGGCAGAACCAGCAGAAGGCCCCCTCTTAGCAAATGTGCAGTCTGTAGCTTTCAGTGGCATGGCATAACAGAGTAAGGAGGGCAGTGGAAGGGTGGCTGAGGAGGTTATGTGAGGGCAGGGGGCCCTGTCTATGGAGGCCCTTGCCGGGACCAGCCAACTCCAGGAAAGCGTTATCCAAGAAAGGCAAAGAGGAAGTCGGTAAGTCTGAGGTTGCTGAAGAGCAAAGAATTAGATCAACAGTTTTCCCTGTAACATTTCAGATAGATAGTATTTTGCTGATGTGGCATTACTTTTCTAACATCAAGGTAAAAGACTTTTTTTACAAAAAGTTAGTCACTAAATCTATGTAAGTGTGCATAAAAATCTATCAGGGCTCATCACAATTTTGTTTCTGTGCTCTCAGTTTCCTGGGAAAGTTGATTTAGGCTAGATACAGACAGGCACTTGAACATTTTAGGGAAAACTTTTAACTTGAATCCACTAACTTTTCATATGTTTTCAATTATTTTGCTGGCCACTATTTGGAATTATCATATTATTTTCCACACAGCATCTTTTTCTTTCTGTTAATCTCTTTTCTCTGTCAGGAACACTTCATGTTCAATGCTTTAGGCCAGGTTTGTGTAACACACAGGGAAGTGGATATTTAACAACTTTTATCCTAATTATTGTATATAACCTGGCATCCATCCCTTCATTGTTACTGATTGAAATAAATAGTCATAATATCACTATTGAAGCAGGGGAGAAAGATTAAGGACCAAGAAAAGAGGCTGATTTGTTGGAGAACCTTAAGAGAGGTTTGGATAAAAGAGGAATGGACATAGCTGTTTCAGAAAACCGAGACTAGAATACCTACATTTCAGATAGATTCAGATTTCTCTAGATGACCTCTCTGATAGCACAGGCTAAAAGGAAACCACTGTGAAATACACAACTCAATAACTAATATTGTTTATAGAAAGAAGTATGACAATTGGTCAGAAGGAAAAAAATATTCCTAGCACTAAATTTATTGCATGAATTTATGAATTTTAATAAAAGACATGATGAAAACTAAAATGGAAGTCATTACTAGCAGTTTTACAAAATATCAGAAACACTCCACATTTGTTCATTTCTTTTTTTTTTTCTGAGACGGAGTCTCGCTCTGTTGCCGAGGCTGGAGTGCAGTGGCGCGATCTTGGCTCACTGCAAGCTCTGCCTCCCGGGTTCACGCCATTCTCCTGCCTCAGCCTCCCGAGTACCTGGGTCAACAGGTGCCTGCCACCATGCCCAGCTAATTTTTTGTATTTTTAGTAGACACGGGGTTTCACCGTGATAGCCAGGGTGGTCTCGATCTCCTGACCTCGTGATCCATCCGCCTCGGCCTCCCAAAGTGCTTGAATTACAGGCGTGAGCCACCGCGCCCGGCCCACATTTGTTCACTTCTTATACTAATTATACAGAAGATACGAAGTGATAACTTATAGTGTGAAAGTATAGTTCTGTGATGTTATTTACAAGGGAGTTCAGAGAATGTGATCCAAGCATCACCTCATGAAATAGAAATTGGTAAGAAATGTTTATGGAGCAATAGCCTTTGAAAATCTGATTAGTGTAACAGTGATCTCCCCAGAAAAATGCATATGTATACAGAACTGTGGATATGATATCGACTGATTGGTAGATTCCCTAAAACCTGTCTATTAGCCCCAGGAAGTGAGCTATTGGGCCTTTAGACAGAGCCAAACTTTCTCTTCCAATAGATGATTCATTGTTAAAGGGGCCATTTGGCACTGTTTAAATGGCTCAGAAAGTTCTGAGTTGAAGCATTCAAGAACTTGGCACCATATCTGGCTTTAGGGTGATTCTAAGCACTGTTTTGCCTAGAATAGTCTTATTATATACCTGTTGTCTTGGCTAATATTAATAGCTGCTCTTTTACTCCCTGAAAAGTCCTTGTATAATAAATACATGATATAGCCACTCTACCCCTGATCCTCTTTGAAAAACATTAGTTAATATAAGAAATCAAGGGATGAAACAACAAAAAAGCTAAAAAATATAGAGATTGTGACTCAAAGAGTGGCAATTAATCCACTTAAATCATAGAAGGCAATATAACTATAGAAATTGTAGAGGCTGTGCCCAGTGGCTCTTATCTGTAATCCCAGCACTTTGGGAGACCAAGGCAGGTAGATTGCTTGAGCCGAAGGGTTTGAGACCAGCCTGAGCCTGAGCAATCTAGTGAGACCCCATCTCTACAAAAAATATAAAAATTAGCTGGGCATGGTAGCACGTGCCTATAGTTCTCAACTATTAGGAGCCTGAAGTGGGAGGACCACCTGAGCCCAGGAGGTTGAGGCTGCAGCGAGCTGTGATCGTGCCACTGCACTCCACTGTGAGCACCAGTGTGAGACCCTGTCTCAAAAAAAAAAAAAAGTATAGAGAAGAGAATATAAAATTAATTATCAAAATTGGCAGGGGAAGGAGCAGTACAAATAAGTTAATGACATTAAATTCCTCACTTTTCATGTGAAACAGTCAATTGAAGCAGTGTAAAATTAAAGTTTGAAGTTAATGTTTTGCAAATACTTTAATAATTACTGTTTTTAACTTTAGTGGGTCCTTTTAAAAACTAAACTTTTAGTGAAGAAATATTATCCTACAGTTCAGCAAAATTATTAGTTTCACTTTGGTGCCTTTTTGTCAAATGCAAGTAATTTAAATTTATCTCTACTGATAACCTCACTTCTATGAAAACATATACGTGTCTACTTACATATGTCTGTGTACACAGATGCCTGGAATGATACTCACTAAGGTCAAATTAGGGGAGTGTGGGGTAACTTTTATACTTTCCTAATGGCTTGGATTTTTATAATGAATTTGTATCATTTTTATAATAAAAAGTAATAAAAAAATCAGCTCTGGAGTCAAAAGCTAATCTGGATTGGGTAATAAAATCAGCCTTAAAGGTAAAATAATGCAGACTAAATTATTTTCTGCAAATTCCTTAAATAACTCATAAAAGATATTCAAAGATTATATATATAATATAGTTTAATATTATAACAAACTAGTAGTTGGAATTAGAATTAATATTAGGAATGAATACAGCTTTGCATAGCATAAAATTACAATGCTGTGGCATAATAAGAAATGCATATTTGGTCTCTGCACCTACTTCCTGACACAGAGTTCTCAAAACCCTTGTAATTTCTTGAGTGACAGGGGTGATAGGAGCTTTTAAAATTATATTTGGTCCTTTTCCCTGTTTCTGAAACAAGAGCTTCTAAGACTTTTGGAATCCCCGGGAGTGATGAATGTCTTTTTGTATGCTAATGAATGACTGGTGGCTAGGACCGCCCAGACAGCTTTAAGATTCGGGCTGGTTGCCAGAATGACCAAGGCCTGATCAGAGGGCTGGAAATTTCAGCTCTACTCGCTGACCTCTGAGGAGGGAAGAGGGGCTGGGGATTGAGATAATCACTAATGTTCAATGATTTAATCAATTATCTCTGTGAAATGGAACCTCCATAGAAACTCCAAATGAAGGGTTTCAAAGAGCTTCCATGTTGGCAAATCCATTGAGGTGCTGGGAGTGTGGTGACCCCAGAGAGGTCACAGAAGCTCCACACCACCCCTAACCCCGTACTTTGCCCTGTGTACCTATTCATCTGGCTGTTCATCTGTATCATTTGTAGTAAACTGGTAACATAAATAACACGATGAAGTGTTTCCCTGAGTTTTGTGAGCTGTTATAGCAAATTATTAAGCGTGAAGGGAGGATCATGGGAAATCCAGTTTTTAGCCAAGTTGACAGAAGTGTGAGTAACCTGGCGTCCCAGTAGTGGAGATTGGCTTCTGAAGCTGGGGGGCAGTCTTGTGAGACTGAGCCCTCAACTTTTGAGGTCTGCACTAACTCTGGGACAACACGCAGTTGTCTGGAGAACTAGAGAACTGGTTGTTGCTGTGGGGGAAAAAATCCACACATTTGGTGTCAGAAGTGTTGTCAATAGAAAAGGTTTTCCTTTTAAATACAAAATAAAAATACGGTACTTTAAGTTACGTTATTCCAATACTATTTTATTTTGCTAATTGTTTATGGTTGAATACATATCAGTTAAATACTTGTATGATGAAACATAATTGAAATCCTAGAATTCTGCTCCATTACTTTAAAAAGCAGTAACAAATGTCTGGAAAAATAGTCTGAGAACAAGATTTAGCATGAGTTCATTTCCACCATAAGATAATCCTAAATCCAGCTTTTACAGATATTTTAGTCTAGGCTGTTTCCCACACCTGAACGCATTAGTCAAAAAATGAACTCACAAGTAACCAAGTGCGGCTGTATGGTACTAGTCATCTTATTTTGAAAAGTGGTGGTCAAAAGGATAATTTGGTGGGTGGATGAAGCAGGCCATCCTTTGGATCCTGTATTGCCCATTCTAGCTGGCTTGACATATTGCCATATAATTTTCATCTTCTCAACTATCTCCACCCCCCGCCTCTTGACTGTTTTGTGCAAACTTGGCCTATCTAATATGATGTCAGTAATTTTATGGTTCTCTGTGGCTACAGACTAAAGTCCAACACTTCATATAGACTTCAGCCATGGCCAGTCTTAGCCCCATGAATCACATCTTTGAGCCACGCCAAACTGGACACTATTCCCCATGCTAGAGGCCACAGTCCTCAATTTTGCTGTCTCCATGCCTTCATTCATCTACTTCCTCCAGCACCAAGCTGGAGGTTGTGGGGAATCCCAATCCTTAACTCTCCTTAGTTATGGAGGCAAACATATAAACTATTAATTTACAAGCCAAAATGTGTAAGTGTCATGATATGGGGACATAGTGCCACAAGAGTCTGAAGCAGAAAGAAAGGGAAGTGTTTTGATCAGAAGCCAATGAAGTGGATAATATCTGAAGTGGGTTTATTGAATGGCAGAACTGTACAGGAGAGAGGAGAACTCCCTCAGCCAAGCTGCTAAACAACACGACCCTTTCAACAACTGTTTAATAGTACTGTAGTATGTGAACATGAAAGCTATAATGCCCATAATGGAAACAAGAAGGCTGCTTAGAGGAAGTGTACAAGTGAGGATCAATCTGTTCCACATAGGATGGAAACACGAGTGGTTAGACCTTGAGAAAACAGTTGAAGGTCGCAACATGTTCTAAGTGTCTCCCCTGGCCCTCTGCCTTTCCACCTTGGTCCAGATCCCAGACTTCATCCTCCTGTCAGAACAGTGGGGTGGAGATTTGACAAATAATACTAAAAGGAAGGGCTTTCTATAAGAGAGCTGCATCAGTCAAGTTAAGGTGTTATGCTGTTTTGGATAGAGAGAGGGCAATTTTGGGGATTGTGTTGAGTCCTGAATGCAAGGATGAGGACTTCATATCTTTGAGACACAATCAGATTAAGAAATGGGCCAGATGGGACAATTTATAATTTTTTATTTTTTTAGACGGAGTCTTGCTCTGTGCCCAGCCTGCAGTGCAGTGGCACGATCTCGGCTCACTGCAAGTTCTGCCTCCTGGGTTCACGCCATTCTCCTGCCTCAGCCTCTGGAGCAGCTGGGACTACAGGCGCCGGCCGCCATGCCTGGCTAATTTTTTTGTATTTTTAGTAGAGACGGGGTTTCACCGTGTTAGCCAGGGGATGGTCTCAATCTCCTGACCTCGTGATCCATCCACCTTGGCCTCACAAAGTGCTGGGATTACAGGCTTGATACAATTTTTATACACTAAACCATCTTGGTTATCCCATATTGGAGAAATGCAAATTGGTTCTGCCTACACTAAAGCTCTGAAGTCACAGTAAAAAAACCATGAATGTGGCCAGGTGTAGTGGCTCACGCCTGTCATCCCAGGGGAGGCCGAGGCGGGCGGATCACCTGAGGTCAGGAGTTCAAGACCAGTCTGGCCAACATGATGAAACCTCATCTCTACAAAAATACAAAAATTAGCTGGGCATGATGGCAGGTGCCTGTAACCCCAGCTATTAGGGAGGCTGAGGCGGGAGAATCGCTTGAACCTGGGAGGCAGAGGTTGTAGTGAGCCGAGATGGCACCATTGCACTCCAGCCTGGGAAACAGACTGAGACTCCGTCTCAAAAAAACAAAGAACAAAACAAAACACGAATGCAACTGGAAACATCCATAAATAGAGCAAGAAAGTTGAATACAGTCATTCAATGGTCTATTACTGAGCAATAAAAAAGAACTACTGCTACTTGCACCAGTGGATGAAACTCAGAATCATTATGCTGAAAGAAACCAAACACAAGAGTACACACAGCATGATTGTATTTATATAAAATCCAAACTAATCTGTAGATTAGTGGTTGCCTGGAGGCTAGAAGTGGAAGGTGATAAAGGAATATAAGAAATTTTGGAAGGTAATGAAAATGTTCTATGTCTTGGTTATGGTGGTGGCATAACAGGTTTCTAAAACCATCAAAATTCATTGAATTGCACATGTTTAAAGGATGCAGGTTATTGTTTGTAAATTATTTCTCCATAAGGCTGATTTAAAAACACTAGTGCAGATACAGTTTAGTGGAGTATTTTTGCATTGCCATGCTCATGCAATGCAGTCAGTTAAAAGTCAGCAGTACACGTTGTAAAAGAAATTCCAGAATCAAGTAATGTATTTTAGTTATTTTTGCCAGGAGCTAGGGAATATTTCAAATGATCTCTATTCTAAACTCTTTAATTTATCTCCCAAGAAGTTTTCCTAGTTCAAAAAACAAAGCATATAACCATAAAAGAAAACAAATAAAAAGACCTAGAGAAAATTAGAAAATATTTTATCAAGACTTTTTTTTCAGGACATTAAATTTTTTGTAGGAGAAAGTCCATTAGGAAGCAACCCCATTTACATAAGATTTCATCAAGAAAACTCAACCCTAGAGTTTCAGGACCTGAGCCCTGCAGCCAGAGATGAATAACATAAAAGCAGGACTCTTCCTCTGCACCCACGTGCATGGCATCTTGTCTGTTTGAAACATAACCGACCAGTTTCTTGGCTAGCCATATGTAGAAAGCTGAAACTGCATCCCTTCCTTACACCTTATACAAAAATTAATTCAAGATGGATTAAAGACTTAAATGTCAGACCTAAAACCATAAAAACTCTGGAAGAAAACCTACGCAATACCATTTAGGACATAGGCATGGGCAAGGACTTCATGTCTAAAACACCAAAAGCAATGGCAACAAAAGCCAAAATTGACAAATGGGATCTAATTAAACTGACAGTGTGGCGATTCCTCAAGGATCTAGAACTAGAAATGCCATTTGACCCAGCCATCCCATTACTGGTTATATACCCAAAGGATTATAAATCATGCTGCTATAAAGACACATGCACACGTATGTTTATTGCAGCACTATTCACAATAGCAAAGACTTGGAACCAACCCAAATGTCCGTCAACGATAGACTGGATTAAGTAAATGTGGCACATGTACACCATGGAATACTGTGCAGCCATAAAAAAGTATGAGTTCATATCCTTTGTAGGGACATGGATGAAGCTGGAAACCGTCATTTTCAGCAATCACAAGGACAGAAAACCAAACACCGCATGTTCTCACTCATAGGTGGGAATTGAACAATGAGAACATTTGGACACAGGGTGGGGAACATCATACACTGGGGCCTGTCGTGGGATTGGGGGAGGGGGAGATAGCATTAGGAGATATACCTAATATAAATGACGAGTTAATGGGTGCAGCACACCAACATGGCACATATATACATATGTAACAAACCTGCACGTTGTGCAAATGTACCCTAGAACTTAAAGTATAACTAAAAAAAAAAAGAAACATAACTGACCAGTTTCTTATCTTCCAACATATGAGGCACTTCAAAGTTCATTAGTATGTAAATGTGTATGTGTGTATATATGCACAAAACACATATAAATTCAGTTAGTCCTCATCTACAGTTGATTTTAGGGATACTGAAAGGCTCCCCTTGTGTCACACCATTTATTCCTTTATATTTTCCTTGTGCTTGCCCTTGTCTACCCTCCAGCCTACAATTATTTTCTTTAGGGTCATTCAGCTCAAAAAGAGAGAGCTGAGAACTTTGGCTCTAGAAGGGCACAAGAACAATTACCCATCTGCTACCAGGGAATAAAGGAAGCCTCCTGCATTCACACATTGGAAGGCAGTAATTTGCTGGATTTATCTGTAACCATTACAAAAGCAGTAAGCCTGTTCTTTTTGATGAGGTCATTTTAGTGGGCCTTTGCCAAAGAGCCACATCAAAATGTAAACTATGTTATTACTAAATATGTATGCAAATGAAACGCCTGTGTCCTTCTCCCAAGTAACATGCTTTGTACATTCCTTGGAAATATTTTTTTAAATGCAGAAAGTTTAATGGTCTTTTTTTTTTTTTTGTAGGTTGCATCATCCGTACATCAAACCTACATTTTGTAGGTTGCATCATCCCTACATCAAAATAGCCATATTCCCTGTGTTCATTTGAGGTTATTCATTAACCTAAGAGTCAAAGAGAACTCAGGGCACCCAGAGGTAATAGAACATCCTGCAAGGGAAATAGCCCCTGTAAGCCTGAACCGTGACTTGGAGCAAATCAGAAAAAGGCACTCCTACCTTCAGACACTTTCCAACCATACGGTTGTAATCATTAATCTGTAATAACACAAGTCACAACATGTAGAATTAAAAAATGGTGACCACGGGGGAGATAGACATGACAATCCTTACCCTGTCTCACAACTGGGCCTAGAACTGACCATATATGTCAATGTGTACTTTGTCTCTCAGATGGAGTGTGAATGGTAACCAGTATAGTTTGCTAGTCCATAAATATCTGGGATGAATCAGATGCTTTTCAATTTCAAAAGCCAATAAAACAATAGGATTCTAGATTTTGATACTGCATTTCCATTGTGAGCAGAGATAAACCAGAGACCTCTGCTGGAAACACAGCTGAGACTGATTCACGTGAGGCCCACACTAAATGCAGATGCATCTGGAGGAAAGGGCTGTCCCTCAATAGGTGATTTAATTGAAGCCCAGATGTTGTTGCTCAGAAGTATTTTCTGATTACTGACAATGTGCCAGGGACTGTGCTGGGTACAGAACTGAGAACTTGCCCTAACAGTGGGAATGACCATATTGAACTCACTTTATTTACTTTCTTTTCTTTTTGCCCCTTTCATCTCAGTCCAACCCCTTTATTTAGAAAACATTTTTTAGCTTTGTCCAAAGCTCTATCTCTGAGACAGTATCAGGTTGACAGATCCCTATTTGGCTTGTGCTGAGCCCATTCACTTTAAATTACTCAAGATACAGAGGCAGGGTGAGAAGGGGACCTGCTGAGTGGAGGAAGCATTCTGACTTCTCTGCCCTCTAACATGTTTGAACTCAGACTGATTAGTTTTGAAAACTACTCTCCAGATGTGCAGCCTCCCTAGGATCCTGGACTTTTGGTCCTTAAAAATTATCAGAAGGTTTGGCTCCAAGGTGTCTGATCCAGAAGAATAGCTTCATCGTTCCAGAGACTCCCACAGGTGATCCAAATGGTAGTTGGCTGCTGGGGTGAGTTACCCTATGCTCAGGTATGAAGTGTGCATGCCCCTGGTCCCTGCACACAGCTATCACACAAACATGTGGCTCCTTAAGCATCCGCAGCTGTCTTCTCCTGGCCCAGGCATAGGTCTTTACAGCATCTCACCTGGTCTACCCAATGCTACTGCCTCCTCTTGGCTTTATACTCTGGATTTCAGGTGGCAAGCTGATGGACCAACAGCCATTTCAACCAACAGGCATGTTTTACTTGGTCAGCACAATGTTCTTAAAAGTTTTAAATGTGAATATCTTTAGGTGAGGCTTACTCTCTAGTATACCACAAGCTCTACCACTCCCTGTTGCCCTCTATGCAGCCTGTTCTGCCCCTGAAAGCATTTGAGCTTGTGACTCTGAGCTGCCTATTTTTCTAATCCCTCTCCTCACTCATATCCCCAATAAAAGGTATTTTCCTTATATCTCATTTCTAAGAAATGAACTAACCTTATTGTTAATTCACATTAATGTGCCAGTGACTAAAAGGGAATCTTTGCATTTTAGCTGAGATCTCCTGCAGAGTCAGTGTTTTCACTCGAAAGACTGAGTCATTGACTGAGGAATTAAAACAAAACTTGCCAGGTAGTAGGAGAGGTATTTTAGAGAGAAAAAAAAAAAGGTGACACAGAGATTGTCACATTGAAGATTCCTTGCTCTTTTTGAATTTAAACATGATAACAATTACAACAGAACTTGACAAGAGGCTTGAAGCCTATCCTTAGGCAAAAGAAGCTGTACTTTAAGGCATGAGACCGATTTCCAAGACGCTGTGCACACAGTAAGCATGGGTAATCCTTGAGTCATTTACTCTCTGGGGGATTTTTGCTTTCCCTGCTCCCAGCTGGATCCCAGGCTGTCAAAAACAGGGCACATCTTGCCAAGGTCTGAGGGAATTATGTGATTGTGTAGCTATTTGAATGTGTGTCATTCCATCAATGAGTGTTTCTCTTTCTCCATGATAAAATTAAACTAAAAATTTGGGCCTTAGCTTCTGTTTTAGATTTTCCACACTCCTGATTCCTTCCATTAAGCCAAATAATTGAGATTTCTGTGGTAAGTGCACAGGGCATATCATAGAATGCAGGAAGTTTGGATGGAGGAAGTAAGAGTGAGCGTTCCCCTCCCTCCATGCTTGGTGAAAAAGGCTAAAACCTCTTTTATAAATCCTTGTGTATGTTGCAATATTAAACATGTCTGACCAAGTGGCATAATGGCAACTAATTATCAGCATTTACTGACTAACAGGCCCTGTACTAAACACTTTACATGCTTTATTTCATTTGTTCTCATAATAACCCTCTGGGCAGAGCTCAATGCCCCTATTTTATAAACCAGGAAACTAAAGCACACAGTGATTACTAAGTGGAAAAGCTGGTTTCTGTTGCAGAGAGTTGGGTCTCCTGTGAAGTGGCAGGGAGAAGCTGACAGATAAAGTTTTGTTAGGCACCATCCCAGGTCCTTTGCAGTCATCCTCTCATTCCAACCTCTTATGGTAGAAACTGAGGCTTGGGGAGGTTAAGTAACTTGTTCAAAGGTATTTGATTTAACTGTGCATCTATGATCTGAATCCAGGTCTGTCTGATTCCAGTTGCTTCTAGAAACATGGGAGATACAGTCATCAGTGGTCAGTGGGGTATCATGCCCTGCCTTACAAGTCCAGAGTCAGCCATTGGATGGGACTGGGGAAAAACTAGCAAAACTCCTGCCTTTGCTCTCCCAACTACCTCAAAAGTTTATTCCTTTGGGTCAAACATTAACTTCTCCCAGATAGGTTTTCAGAATGCAAACAGTCCTATGAAGGATGGTTTTCTGTTAAGTTTATAAAATTATCTTGACCCCTTCCAACAATACCAAGGGGTGGGGGTGCAGAGGTAGGGAGGTTGCAGAAGGTGCTAAAAGGCAAAGGAGATTAGAATATGAGGCGAGGCCACCAGAGACTCATTTCTCCAAATCAGAATTTTGCCTTCAGCCATTTAAAACATAATTTCAACCAACTTGACTGAGACTGAATATATACAATTAAGTTTCTACTCTCTTAGTCATGTCCTCCTACATGCAAAGTATAAATAGCATTTTAATGTATGGGAGTAAATGCATAGTTCATTCCCAAACCTTAACAATTGCAGAGTTTGATTGTCTAGAAACCACTGGTATTTCACATTTACTTCTGGTGTTTTTAAACAATTCTTCCCAAATGTCATATCTGGAAGGATCGTTGTTTGAAATTAAATTGTTTTTGGAAATCACTGGATGCCGTGTAAAAGAATTTCCCAATCCGGTCTGTCTATTGGCCAACCATAAAAGAGTCTGTTACTTGTGATTTGGAGTTTTCTTTTGTTCCTTTTAACCTAAGAAAGATTTGACATTCATTTGGAAATGTTGTTTTTATTAAACTATCTTTATGTATTTAATTTTTTAAAAAGAACTATTGATATTTCCAATGCATGCCTGACATTTTAGTTATTTAATTGTTAATCTTGAGCTACAAAGCTGAAAATCATAGGTCAAAGAATGAATTCCAAAATAGACTCTAATTTGGTCTAGGTTTCTGAAAGGAATAATTTCCTAGCTGAAGGTTTTTTTTTTTTTAATTTTCACATTTGAGATAAGAGCCGTTTCTGCTTTTGTTTTTCTGATCTTAGAAGAACATAGTTGGAAGGTGAAGGGTTTGAGGTATTGATTAAATGTCTTGCCAAATTCTTGTCTGAAATGACTTTCCTTGAAGAAAATGGTTGGAGAATGTTCTTGGTGTTTGGTTCTTGTGCTCATCAGTTTGGATACAGGCCTGACTTTTATGCCAGTTGGCTTCTAGGTCACAGAGTAAAATGGAGAAACAAGGGAAAATGGAAGAAAGACAAGAAAAATCCATGGGCTACGGCAGACACTCAATTTGTCCAGTGCATATAATTAAAGAGATGAAAAAAAATGCTCTCTGACCTGAACTTGGACATTGGGTTTTCTCTAGTGCCTGATTTGTCTACAGCTTATGTGTTAGAGAGCACATTGCTCAGGAGCAGAGGCCAAAAAAAGGAATTTTCCTATAAAAAGAAGACCACCACCTTGGATAGGCCAGAAAGAATTCTAACTTTAAGATATTTTTTAAAAATTTTCCTATCAGAGTTGACCCCGCTCTCTCCTTATCCTTCCTTTCTACTCTCTGCCTCCAATTACTTGAAGCTTTAACATGGGACCAGTGATACCTTTATGTTCCCACTTTCTCTGATTAAGGGTAACCTGGGATATGAGAGCAGCATGGGAGACTTTAAAGATGGGACCATGGCATCAGAGCAGGTGCTTGGGCTGAGAATACTGGAAACTTATTGAGTTCCTGGATTTACTAGCCCTTTCTTCAATTTGTAGGTCATTTCTTTCTATGTATAAGACAACCTTATAAAGTAAATATTAGAAAGAGACAAGAGATGTAAGGGAGAGGAGCACTACACAACATAAAGGGAGAGAAGAAGATGGAGTCCCAAGTAAAGTTCTCTCAATTCCCCACCTATCCATAAGGCTGAACTTATGCCTCACATTGAGCAGTGAGATTCTGTTCATGGGACAGTCACCTCTGTTTCAATAAGGACTCCTTACAGATTGCGTTGCACTGCCTTTGTTGGAGCTTTAAGAATTTTGGGAGAGATTGTAGTTGTTGACCTTGGAATTTGGATTTTTAAGTACTGAAGCTATATCCATTCGCTCATTATATAAAGATTCAGTATGCATGATCACTAGGAAATGTGGATGTACGTGTGTTTGGACTGGAAGCAAGTGATGGGGGAAAAAGGCTTTGAAGACATATGAAATTAAGTTAGATTAACTTTTCGAGAGTATAACTATGTTATGGTTTTTGTTCATTTTACGCCTAAATAATATTTGAATTTATAATATGTGATTCTCTCCTCTCACAGAAGTTACAGTCAGTATTTTTCTTTCTAGAGAAGCAGAAAGCCACATACAGAAGCGCCAATGCAAAGAAAGAGCACCTATTTTTGCTTTGGGCTTTGGGCTCTGGGAGATGTAGTTGTATCTATCACAGTGTCTCTACCCAGCAATATGTGATATATAATTATAAGTCAAGGATAAGTTTTTAAATAATTATATTAGACTGTGATTTGTACAGGTGAGTATTATCCTTTAAATTTTTAGATTAGAAAGCTACATGTCAATTTCACTCATGAGGCTGTTGCTCTAAAATGTGTAACTTTCCCCACCTTCGACACACACATATTCCACACATGTAATACATATACACAAATTCCCTTGGGTTGCCTTCTGGAGCCAACAATGTAGAAGAGAACTGGTCCTGTTACCTTAGTGTTGTGGTCTGTCGATGTGAGAGCCATGGGATCATAGAATGCTGCCCTGATATGCAGGCATGGTTGGCACCAAGGAAAGATGAAGAAATGACACAGGCAGTTGGATATTAGTAGTCCAGCGGTCAGCATCATCAAGGGGTAGTTTGTGAGGTCAAGGCTGGTTTTCATGACATCAGCACAGCTGAGGAGGTGAACTAGGACCACTGAAGATTATTAAAAAGGTCGGATCTACAAGTAGGATCCCACTGAAGGTTTCATCTACCACCTCCAAAGAAGCGGAGATCATAGAGGGAAATAATTCTAAAAGACTTAGTCTTTTTTTTTTTGAGACGGAGTCTCGCTCTGTCGCCCAGGCTGGAGTGCAGTGGAGCGATCTCGGCTCACTGCAAGCTCCGCCTCCCAGGTTCACGCCATTCTCCTGCCTCAGCCTCCCGAGTAGCTGGGACTACAGGCACCCGCCACCATGCCCGGCTAACTTTTTGTGTTTTTAGTAGAGACAGGGTTTCACCATGTTAGCCAGGATGGTCTTGATCTCCTGACCTCGTGATCCACCCGCCTCGGCCTCCCAAAGTGCTGGGATTACAGGCGTGAGCCACCGCGCCCGGCCTCTAAAAGACTTAGTCTTGATTTCAGGAGCTCAGTTTTAACAGAAGGCATGAAGAGACAAAGGACTAAGAAGGTTCTTAACATTAATCTTTTTCTATCTCTTTATACCTCTCTCTTTCTCATCCGATAGGCTTGATAAGATTGCCCGATATTTCATCGAGAAAATTTGAGATACAAGCTAACAGGTAGTATTTACCTTATCTCCCCACTAATAACCTACAGGCTTGCCTTCATCTGTGTTCATCACTCTCCTGAAACAAAAAAATTGCCCTCTCCTATCGAAGACCTTCCTTCTGCACACACTGGTGATCCCATCTCCTGGTGCCTATTTTTTTTCCAGGTTTTGCACTTTCTCTGATCACCTCTCTTGCTTCTTCAACCTCCTTTTCTCCACTGGATCATTATTCTAAGCATTAAAACATAATCTAGAAGCTCCCACCTTTTAAAAAAAACCTCTCATCCCAGTATCTCTATTCCTAGCCAACCTACTATTTCTCTTCTAGTCTTCAAAGCCATACTTCTCAAAACACATTCTATCTTTATTCTCCATATGCTCTGCAGCTCTCACCACTGCACTGTGTGCTTTCCAAGGTTAGCAGCTGCATCCACACTGCCAAATTAAATATTTTTTGGTCCTCATTCTACTCAACATCTCAGTATAAAACACTGTTTTCCACGCCTTTATTTAGAACATTTGTCTGATCTCAGCTTTCACGGCACCCTACTCTAGGCCTTTCTCTTGCATCTCCAGACCTTCATTCTCCAGCTTCTTCCCCTCTAGTCCCTAAATATTGTATCTCAGGGCTCAGCCCTGGGCCGTTTTTCTATCTGAGTATTCATTCTGATTGCTTTAAATATATGTTTATAATGCACAAATGTATATCCCAGCCCAGTCCTCCCTTCTGAGTTCCAGACTCATAGATCCAGTTTAAGTCAAATATCTCATATGCATTTTGAATTTGATAAGGCCAGAATTAAACTATAGATCTTACTTCCCCAAATCCAACCCTTCCACAGTCTTCTTCATCTTAGAAAATGGTACTACTAGTGCAGTTGCTCAAGCTAGAAATCTGGGAGTCATCCTTGACCCTCTTTCTTACCCTCCACATCCCAACTATCACCAAGATCTGCCCATTGTACCTTATCTTTATCTCTGCTACCAACATGATATGCCAAAGCATCACCAGCTCTCACCTGGGTTCCTGCAGTAACCAAACTACTGATGTCCCTGTGTTGACAGAGCAGCTGGAGGAAACTATGCTACCTCTTCAGCCTCATCATGTGCCTGTTCCCTCTCTCATTAGGCCCTGGCCACATGTGCACTCTTTCACTTCATTATAAGATCTTCCTTACCTCAGGACCTTCATACATGCTGCCATTGATCCGAATGTCTTTTTCTCTAACCATTCCCTTCCTCCACATGTTTCCTCTTGGCTAGTGCTTTCACACCTTTTATGTCTTAGCTGAAATATCTTCCTCCCACAGGTTTTCTCTAGCCAAGATCCTGAATGTTTGTCTTCCACCATTCCACACTGTCATATCACAATTTTAAATTGTATATTTTTTAAAAATTCCATATGATTTCCTCAATAGGACTACAAACTCCAAGAGGTCAAGAACTGTGCCTATATTTTTATGACTCTATATTTAGTACTTCATCCAATGCCTAATGATAAGTATTAATGAATGAATGGAATTCTGTCCTCTTCTTCCTGTCTAACACTCACAGGTCGGCAGGGTAGCGACACCCATTTTTTATATCACTTCTATGCCCCTTTCACAGTGACATGAAAATATATGAATTTTTGGAATTAGACAGAATGGCTCTGACAGCCACTTGCGAACCCACTGTATGACTTTAAGCAAGTTGCTTAACCACAATCTCCCAACCTGGAAAGTGGGAAAATAATGTTTATCTTATAGTAATATAATGAGAATTAAAATGACATCAGGTATATAAAATGCTAATCATAAGGTGCTGTGGTTTCAATGGTGGTGTCTCCTCCAAAATTCACAGTGGATCTTACTTCCTAGTGCAACAATGTTAAGAGGTGTGGCCTTTGTGAGGCGATTAAGCTGTGAAGGCACCACCTTCATGAATGGGCTTCACACCCTTATAAAAGGGATCAAGGTTAGAAGAGGGAGCACCCTTCTTGCATTTCCATCCCTTCCACCACAGCATTTCTCCCCTCTGGAGGATCTAGCAACTAATTACCATCTTGGAAGTAGAGCATTCCTCACAAGTTCATAAAAATCCTGCTGGTACCTTGATTTCGGACTTCCCAGCCTCTGGAACCATGAAATATAAATTTCTGTTCTTTATAAACTACTCAGTCTTTGGTATTTTGTTATAGCAACACATATGGACTAAGACATAAAGGCATTCAGTAAAAGTTAGTTGCCTGTCTTCCATGCCTTCCCCCAAACTCCAAATTCTTCTTACCTAATAGATACACATGCAGAATTTGAAAAGATGAGAATATCCTGCCCTCATGTGTTTTTCTGATTATGCTCTTCCCACTGTGAGTTTTGCCTGTAAAGAATAAGATACTTAGCCAGAGAAGAACATTTGTAGCTTTAAATCAAATATGTAACTCTAGCACTAAATAACTGGAGTTTATCTAATAAGGGCACCTTCTCAAATACATTTGGGGATGACACAAAGGAGGAAAAAGTCAATAATATTATTTGATAGCACAGAACACATTACTTTAAAAGAAAACACCAGATGGCAGCACCAGATGCTGGAGATGTGTCTGATGGGGCTTTAGCTCAAACCTGAGGACTGAGGATGCTGAAAGTAGCTTAAAACTGTGTTTAGAGAGACAATCATTTATAGAAAAGATAGTTCCCCTTAAGAAAAATAATACATATTTTGCAATATAGAACAAGGTTTTTAGGAACAGCGTTTCAAATGTTACAAGTGAAATCCTAGGAAAATAACCCCAAGCCTTACCTAATAAAAACTTATTAGACAAAAGCTTCATTCTGGTTTATAGTTAATTAGCTCTCTTCTGTTCCAATTAGCTTGAAAGGGCCTAAAGCTAAAGAATGAGTTACAATCAGCTTCTAAAAACAGGCAAAATTTTATCAACTATTAAATGCAAATATTAAAATTTATTCATTCACATTAAAATAAGAATAATTACTTCTATTATATCCCTCAGCATAGCTTAGAAAATAATTTACTAAAATGACATCAAAGAATCTCATTAAATGTATGTGATATTAAAATTTAAAATATTAATATATAGTTTGATCCATATTATGAATCAAAATTTTGTCTGCAATTGACACCCCTTTTAAATTTTTGCTAAATTGGTATTACCCATCTAGGCTTTTCTTTTAGAGGAAAGAAAGGAAGTGTGCTGCTGCTCATTACACCATGAAATACATAAACACAGTCCCAGGACCATCCCACCTTTTAAATAAAAATCCACACTGAAGGTTTTATTCCTCTTAAATACTGTTTAGTGTCCTTCACAACTTTCCCGGGAGATCAGGAAGAGTGAGTTCAGTGCTATACTTTGGATGTGAAACAGTGAGACAATTTGAGCCAACATATTGGTTAGAAGGCAATGCAAAATGCCCACTGAGATCTTGGAGCAGAGCTTGTCTAATCGGTGTTTGTGTTTAGATTTGATAGAAGGATCACAGGAGCATCTGTATCATAAGGGACCTGAGCCAATCTATTTTGGAGAAACATTCTGAGGGAAAGGTAATTCATTCTGCCAGTGAAACAGTGACTGTGGGGTCACTGGAGTGAATTGTTTTCCAAGTACTATGATCATAGTTCCGAAACTGTTTCTCTCACCTGAATCCACTACAAGATTGAACCCTGTGAGAACATAAGGCACGATAGCTGATTCTAATCTGAAATCAGACCAAGGATTCCGGGGGGAAATCTGAATTGTAAGAAGGAATGTGTGAGAGTCACAGGCTGCCAAAAGTCAGCTTTCACAGACAGATGAAATTCTGAAATCTAATAATCATTAGAGTAGTGTTCTTTATGGAAAATGAGTAATTCACAGCACTAAAATTTAAATGATAGAAAAATATCTATAGGGAGGATCAAATCATAACTAAACTACACAGTGAAGGAAAGGCTTTCTGCTGAAAGCACTATGGAAGGGTAAATATCTTCTCTAAGAAAGGGCTAAAGCCCACTGCTTTGAAAGTTCTTATGCTCCCTGGAAGCCTAAGAGCTTTCTCCTTCATAACTAACCCAAGCTTGTTTTAAGCCTGGCAGCCAAAGGGTCCCTATGTTGGATGACCCTTCTATGCCCTCTACTGAATCTTGTGTGGTCCCCAAACAGGCCAGCACACATCTGACAGTGGTCGGGGCCAATTTCCCATTCACATGTGTGTTCTCAGGCCTGAGAGCAGGGTTGGGTGTGCTCTGACATAGTCATGTCCTCTAGACCGCCTCCCCCTACTCTTGTCTAAATGCATAAGTCGAGTCACTGAAGGGCCATCGCTGGCCTCTCCTGACATTCTCCCCTCCAGATGACCGGGTGAGTCAGGAAGGTGTTTCCTCGGGAAGCTGGGGGCCCAAGCCAGCCAGTTTCAGCCATCGTTACTGAGTAAGAACATGCTGTGCTCAGCCTGTTGGCTCCACTCTTGAGCACAAAGTATGTGTTACAACAACAAGCACAAGAATACTGACCACACGCTTCCCTATCTCTAGATCTGTAATGAGAACATTTGAAGTAAATACATACAATCAAGAAACAGTTCTGTAAGGCAGAAATTGAACAGAGTTTCTGATTTGTAGCCCTGAGACACAGCTTCTTGTACTCTGTGAATCCAGACCCCACAGGTTATGGAAGAAAAGCAACAGACAGAAGATGGGAAAAACAGGTCACGTTTATAAGACCAGCTTGAAGACCATGCCACACTGAGGAGTTTGGTTTTTCGTTAGGCAAAGAAACTAGCTGTTTTTTCTTCAATGTTCATCGGAAAACTTGCCCAGCAGCTGTGAGTGACTCTTCAGCTTTCGAATCATTGTCTTGGAATCTTCTAAACCAGTAAGACCATACTTATTTTATTTTAAACATGGAATTTAGGAGCAAAGGACTAGACAGTCCTCAAAGTAATAAAATAAAAAAGAAAGAAAAATCATATTAGAAATAAAGAATGCCGCCTCCCCAACCAATTCCTTTGGTTTAATCTTTTACAATAGCTTGGTATAATCTTCGTTTTCTTTTTTTCTGTCTGTCTTTCTTTTTCTTTTTTTTTTTTTTTTTGAGATGCAGCCTCAGTCTGTCACCCAGGCTGGAGTGCAGTGCGTGATTTCAGCTCATTGCAACCTCCAACTCCTGGGTTCGAGCAATTCTCCTGTCTCAGCCTCCCGAGTAGCTGGGACTACAGTCATGCCCAGCTAATTTTTGTATTTTTAGTAGAGACATATTGGTCAAGCTGATCTTGAACTGCTGACTTCAGGATTTGGCCTCCCAAAGTGCTGGGATTACAGGCATGAACCACCACACCCGGCCTAATCTTAGTTTTCTTAAGAATCCATTATCCCTGCAGGCTGGGCTTTACATTATCCCCAAGTGCTGGGATTACAGGCATGAACCACCGCACCTGGCCTAATCTTAGTTTTCTTAAGAATTCATTATCTCGGCAGGCTGGGCTTTTCAAGTAGCAAGCCATGGAAAAAAGACTTTTACCACTTCCTGTTTCTCATAATTTGATATTCTGTAAGGTTGACACAAGACAAAGCAACCACAATCTGGTTTAATGGACAAAGAACATGGACCAGGCCCTATCTTGCAGGTAGCCATCCTCGTAAGCAACTCTCTCCAATCCTTGCCCATGGTGAAACTTTAGATAAAACCCTAAAAACTCTTTGCCATTCAAGCTGGGGGTTCCTGGGGTCATGCTTATTCACAATGGCCCAAGTGGGGGGGTCAGGGCCTTGTCTTCAGCCTGAACACAGGGCACAGAGCAGCAGCAGGAACCAAGCACCTCCCAGAATATAACCTAGTTGCTTCAGTGTCTACATTGGGGTTAATTTCCTACTTACTACAACCATGTACGTGTCAAAAGAAAAAATATGCTGTATTTACAGACCATGTGTATTTTTGCAAGTGCTTCAGTGTTTAATTGTTGCTAAAGTCATTGGGGGTTTTTGACACAGATTCTATTTTAGTAAGATAAACTCAGCATAACCCAGCATTGCCAAAAATGAATTCCTAAGGTAGATGACTAAAATAAACCGACAATAAATATTGGCTGTTGGAATGGGAATTATATCTCTGTAATGTAGACACAGCATTAATGACTCATTTTCAAATTACTGTCTCTCCCAGGGATTATTTGTATCAGGGATCAGGGAAGAAAGAAGTCCATCTCTTCTTCTTTTAGACAGCAGAATTGAAGAGGAATATGAACCCATCAGGCAAGGATGTTCTTATATCTATTCAGCCAAGAGAGGTATAGGCCCTGGAGTTCAACAGGGAGTTAACTTGAACAGGCTGCTTTGAGGCTGATACAAGGCATTGATAGAAAAAATACTAGGGGCTGAGGTGGCTGATTCTGGGGATAGTTTTCTCTTGTTCCCCTACAGGCAGAGGGCACCACCAGGTTCACCTAATGCGTCTTGTGTGGCATGAATTACCTTATCAGTTACACTGGGTGCTGCCCTGTTCCTTTGCTGCTTGGAATTAGTGTACTCTTTTAGGCCTCCTTTACTCCCTAAATTCAAATTCTGATATTTTGGCCCATAAGGATGAGTTTTACAACTTCTCTGGTGTACCAGGAGGCGGTCTGAGGTAAAGATTCGGCTACAATGTGGGCAGAACACAAGCTGAGCTTGATTTGGTCCCGCTTGGCTGGACTGTGCATTCGGAAGGGGCTGAGGCTTCTGTGGGAGTGGCTGGTGGAGCTCCACAGGGAGCCGGTCATTTTCCATTTTCCACTTTTCCAGGCATTTGGGCTCATGAATAGGAAGGGACAGGGTGCCAAATTCCTTACCACATATGTAGCAGATAACAGTCCTTGGTCGGGCTGGGGTTCCACTACAAGCTTTCTTGAGGCCAGTAAGATGATCAGAACTGTTTGAGTGTGGTGCTCTGGGACCCTCACCCTTTGGCTTGCAGCTTCTGTGATGAACAAGAAGATGATCTGGCAAGAATGTGCGGCCACAGGATTCACAGGGCAGCAGCTGAGCCTGGGCACTCTGAAATGCAGCCTCGTTAGTTGCCTGAAGACTGTAGGACCCACTGCTGCTGAGAGACTGTGGTTTGGAGGGTTCTGGCCTCCTCAAATGCTTGGGCAACTTGCTGTTTTCAATATGCCACTTCTGCAAGCACTGGGGTTCATGAATGGCAATTGACTGGGACCCAAATTCTCGGCCACAGATATAGCATACCCGGAATCCAGGCCTGCGGGCCGGGATCACAGGGGGGCTAAGCTGGCTTTCCGATATAATTCTTCTACTTGACAGTTTTGATAGTATCACAGTCCCAGGTCTCTTTTTCTGAGTGTCTGTCTTTATATTTTCACCAGGATTAACACTCTCTGTTTCTGGGGAAAGGCTAGAATAGGAGTCACTAGAGAGAAGCCCAGCTTGGTTGATAAGGAAAGTGGGTTCTTTAGAATGGTGAAAAGTTTGTTGTAACTTATTGGAAATTCTTTTCTTCTTTCCTCTTTCCATTAACAAAGATGTCTTTCTGTAGTGCTTGCTCTGATTTCAGGCCAGACTCACTTTGGGCTTCTGCTTAGAGTGAAGGTTAGTGAGGTTAGTTGTCCTGGGGTTCACACCGTTGCCAGTACCTTAGCCTCACAGACCGTGACTCAGAGCTTCATTGCAGGACGGCAGTCTGGAATGTTGGAAAGTCCTCATTAAAGCTGAGATGTCTCCAAGATCTGTGGAGGCGGGTGGGAGACATAAGAAGTTATTATGTAAACACACACACACACACACACACACACACACACATTTAGGTTGTTTTGTGTGTGTGTGTGTGCTTTTTTTTTGCTTGTTTTAAATATTGACCTTGTATACTTTTTGACTAGCACAGTAACCAGCATATGGGATTTGGTCAATAAACTGACATAAACCTGAGGAAATCTTCCATCATCAATTGCACTATCACTGTATTGAAAATCGTGTTCTGCCCAAAAAGTTAACTTGACAATTACAGCACATCATAGATACAGAAGACGCAAAGCAATAGAGGCTGAGACCAGGGTGGTGAGACCATAGAAGAGAAAACTGCAAACTGTGAATATTAGATTAATGAAATCAGCAGGTCATACGAAAAGACCCCCTGGGCCCCACAGAAACTTCCACTACGTCAGAGATCCTTAACTTGTTAGTGACATGGATTCCTTTGACAATTCTGTGAAGCCTATGCACTTCTCAGAATAGTATTTTTATAAGTAAAAATAAAAATTGTTGCTATCACAGGTGAAATCAGTTTTACTGAAATAATTTGTCAACTGTTTCTAGTTGTGATATACATTTTAATTGAGGTAAAGTTGTGTCACAGACTTCTTGAGTGTCCATGGACCTGAAATTAAGAACTCTTGCAGAAGAAGTAATTCAAGAATGAATCTTATGAGGATTATCAGGATAGCCCTCAGAGGGACATAAACTTCTTGTGACACATCATGTATTCACTTTTGTTTATTATGGGAATAGGGTATTAATAAAGTGGAGCTATAATTCTCCAGCAAAGAGTACAGCCTAGGCCGGCACCCATCCTGGTGGGATATCTGCAGATCTTTCATGGAAAGATGATACACAGATGCTGCTTGAGGCTCTTTTTTTATTAAAAAGGTATCATACCTACTTTCTTGTTTTATATATGTATGACTTCCAAATATTTTTAAATATAAAACAAAGGCCCTGGATTCCCCAAGGATCCCCACCAGAAGAAGTGGCAGCTTAGATATCCATTTATGGGAAGAATCTTAAATTTGTATATTGGGAAAAGTTATGAGTAAATTTTACCGTGGGTTTATAATCTGGCTCCCCAAAAAGATTATTTCAGAAGCCTCAGGACCTTTTTCATTTCCTTTATCGTTTCATTTATCAGGGTGATAAACTCTAAAGCATCCATTCTTAACCACAGAAGAGCAGCCCCTGGTATGAAGCTGGATCCTCTACATCACGGCAAACACTTCAGTTTGGACAGTGCAAGGCCAGCAGTCCTGGTAATATGGAAACCCTGGGCACTGGATTTGATAAAGAACAAGAAGAGCTGTGATATCTGTGCCCAGCTCCTGTACTTTGGTGCCAACAAAGGTCTGAATCCTTGCCTTTAAGAGTATCAAATCAGGTCTGGCACAGAGAAAGAAGTTATTCTTCATTTTGACAGATTCTAAGACAGTAATGTTAACAGATGTGGGAAAAGTATGTGTTGGCCCCAGAGTGGCCAGCATAGAAAATAAAACAGAGAAATTTATCACTCGATCAGTACCATCTAAAAGAGAAAGTAGATCTATGGAACATAGGAATAGGGTAAAATTATTTCATTAGGTTTTAAATCCAGCCCGTGGGTTATTTCCACAAACCATTCTGCTTTATTGGCTCTGTTCACCGAGGAATTTTAGTTTATCATTTTCCTTGATACTAGGAAATTGCAGACACTAATATGACTTAAGAAGACAGATTAGAAAAATCAATGCAATCAAATAAGCCTCCTTCCCCTAAATTGTCTCTGCCTCTCTTTCTCTCTCTCTGTCTCTTTCTCCCTCCCTCTCTCTCTCTCTCTCTCTCACGCGCGCACACACACACACACACACACACACACAGAGTCAATTCTGTTTCCAGCAGATTAGAATACTGAGAAATCCCCATGACTTTCCCCAGCAACCCCTCCATCTCCCTTTTGATAAGGCAAGAGAGGTAATATTTACTGAATGCCAATTATATGCCAGATAGGGCACAGATTTTTTGTAAACATAATTTTAGTTAATTCTCAAATGATTATGAAGCAGGTATTATTATTTCAACTTTATAAGTAAAGAAACTGACTCAGAAAAGACAAGTAATTTGCCCAAGACTGTCAGTTTCTAAATGACAGAACTGTGAATCAATTCCAGCTCTCTTTGGCTCCAATACGTGGCTCTTTCCATTATTCATTCTGCCTAAATTCCTCCAGCAGAGCTTCTTCCCTTTAGTTTTTATCCCTGTTTTAATGTATTATCCATATGCCTCAGGGGAAGGTAACTAAGCTCTCACCAGCTGTTATGCTTCCTTTTAGAAGAAAGAAGAGGCAAGAAGGAGGAGTGCAGACAAGGCACAGAGGAGAAGCCTCTGAGAGGGACAAAGCAGAAGAGAGAGACTGGGGCTATGGAACACAATGTTTTCAATGTTAAGTGACAGGGGACTTTTTTTCTTCAACTTTTATTATAGGTTCGGGGTACATGTGCAGGTTTGGTATATGGGCATATTGTGTAATGCTGAGGTTTGGAGTACACATGAATCTGTCTCCCAGGTAGTAAGCATAGTACCTAATAGGTAGTTTTTCAGCCCTTCCTCCGCTTGCATTCACTATCTGTTGTTCTCATCTTTATGCCCACGTGTACTTGACGTTTAGCTCCCACTTATAAGTGAGAACGTGTGGTATTTGGTTTTCTGTTTCTGCATTAAGAATCACTTTTTCCAGGCCGGGCGCGGTGGTTCATGCCTGTAATCCCAGCACTTTGGGAGGCCGAGGTGGGCGGATCACCTGAGGTCTGGAGTTTGAGACCAGCCTGGCCAGCATGGTGAATCCCCGTCTCTACTAGAAATACAAAAATTAGTTGGGTATGGTGGCTGTAATCCCAGCTACTCAGGAGGCTGAGACAGGAGAATCGCTTGAATCCGGGAGGCAGAGTTTGCAGAGAGCCAAGATCGCGCCATTGCACTCCAGCCTAGCTGACAAGAGTGAAACTCCATCTCAAAAGAAAAAAAAAAGAAAAAAAAGAATCACTTTTGCCATATACAGTTGTTTTCTAGATGTAGTTTTTCCTGAGTGATGTGCAGTACAGATTCTTTTCTTAATTTCACCAATATCTTCAGAAAAATCTACATAACCAGCAGAGGTAGGGACCAGTTGGGGGAATGGGGCAGACCAACGATGAATGATGTGTTTTGTCTGTCTTGATCATGGGCACAGGGTAAAAGTGAAGGCTGCCCCAAGAGGCCAGGTAGTGCTCAGTTTGAAGCCATGTCACCATTTGATTAGGGATAGATCTTACCGCACACAAACATTTGTGCACTGCAAATATTTTCTCTGCAGCAAACACGATGAAACATCACAAAACGTCCATTTGAATCTTCAACTTTTCTTTTTCTACCATCCCTTTCCTTCTCCAATGTTCTCCTGAAATTTTTCCCTTATTGTGACTAAAGGTATCAAAATATGAAAGATGAGGTAGCTGGAAGCCAGTGAAATTTTTGGGAACGGAGGTGTCTTATGGAGAAATGCGTAATGTTTCTGCCAGTGACTGTGCAAAGGCAACATGCCATGGCACAGCAGTGTTGGTTGCTCTCCCTTTATAAGTTAGCTCTAAAAGCAAAAGTGCTGGAAAATACTAAATGCATATACTTAAATCACATAAGAAATTGGCCTGTCACC
This sequence comes from Homo sapiens, assembly GCF_000001405.40. NCBI lineage: Eukaryota > Metazoa > Chordata > Mammalia > Primates > Hominidae > Homo > Homo sapiens. Next base: position 122,148,074 of record NC_000005.10, on the reverse strand, counting down.
CAAAACGTCATAAAGCAATGTTGCTAGTTTATAAAGAGAACCACTTTGCAAAGCCAGACAGTTTTACCTCAAGCATCTCTGGAGAAATGTTCACTCAGTTGGCCTGAATTATTCGTTTTGACCATATCTGCACATAGGACATTTACAGAATGTCCTGGAAGGCATCACCTTTTATCAACATGATGCCATTTTTCCATTCTCTTCAGGGTTCATGGGAAGGGAGAGACAAACACACAAAGAAGAATGTAATAACCGTGGAAATCCAAAAACCATCTTGGCATTAGAAGGTGTCTCTCTAAAAGAGAGGGAACAGAACACAATGAAAAGTGTGATCATATCTTTTAAAAAATAATCTAGTCCTTTGAGGATGAGTTCATGTCCTTTGCAGGGACATGGATAAAGCTGGAAACCATCATTCTGAGCAGACTGTCACAAGGACAGAAAGCCGAACACCTCATGTTCACACTCATAAGTGGGAACTGAACAATGAGAACACTTGGACACAGCACGGGGAACATCACACATGGGGGCCTGTTGTGGGGTGGGGGGATGGGGGAGGGATAGCATTAGGAGAAATACCTAATGTAAGTGATGATTTAATGGGTGGAGCAAACCAACATGGCACATGTATACCTATGTATCGAAACTGCACGTTGTGCACATTTACCCTAGAACTTAAAGTATATAAAAAAATCTAGCCCTTTGAAACAAAAGAAATATAGTTGATACATGATATGATCCCTTCTCTATTAGTATTGAATTCAAATTCTTTAAATGAACAAAAACATAAACAAGAAAGATGGAGTTGGGGCTGATGGTGGCTCTGATCAAGATTCTAAAATAGAGGAGGTTCATCTTCAATGTTGTTCACCCACCCCATTCAGCAGCCTCCACTCTCCAGCCTAGTATTCTTGTATGCTCACCAGTCCGTCTTACCTATGAAATCTTGCTTTCAAAAAGGAACTGATGGACTCATTTACACCAAGGCTTATAATTGATGAGATAATGTCCCTTCTAATGTCCGGCAGAGACAGTTAGTTCCTTACCAATAGCCATTCCACTCAACTCCCTCAATTAATAGAGCCCCAACTTTCAGCTGGGCACATCTACAAGCTCCTTTGTAGTTAGTGAAAATATTGTGTGGAACTTGTAAGAACAATTCTTGAAAAGGAAGAAGAGAACAATTGCTTCTCTTCCTTTCCTTCTTACTGATGCTTCGAAGATGGATGTGATGACTGGCGCTTTAGCAGCCAGTTGAGAACAGATTTCATTTATGTAACACTTGATATGACAGAGCAGAGGCCTGGATGGACTTGGGTCCCTGGTAATGCTGGAACCATCATAGAAGCCCTGGAGTGCCTTTCTTGGACTTTATTTACATAAGAAAAGTAAATTTTTATTTTTATTTTAGCCATTTTTAAGAGTCTGTTATTCACATGGAAACCTAATACTAATTGAGAGATATCTGTATTTTAATACTGGTGATTAGCACAATTCATCCTAATAATGTTATTTCAAATTTCAGATTTTTTTTGATGAAGGAATTTTTTTTGAGGGAGTAGAGGTTTGGGCGCAGAATTGACTTATTAAATATACACTTCTTAAAAATCAGAAATTTAAAAAATTGATACTATAAATACTGGATCAATGGTTCTTATGAAATTGATCACACTTCCTTTTTTAGAGATTCTTTTAAGAAAAAAAATTTAATGACTATTTTTTATTAAAAATAGCCTATTTTTTCCACAAGCTTATTAAAGAGCTAGCAGATAGCAAAATTGTGCCAGTTATTAACTTATTGTCTGTATACTCCCAACCTTCTTTTCTATATTTAGCTTTATGATATGGGTACAGGGACTATGCACAGCCCATTTCTGCTTTGCAAGCTGGCTCTGTGTTATGCTCTGCCAACAGGAATAATGGGAGGAGAATGCAAGAAGTGGGGAGCAAGAGGCCATTTAATCCTTTTAAAGGCTTCCTGTGTGCATGTGCTTGCTGTGAGCATTATTCCAGCAACACTCCTCTACTCCAGCAGCAGCAGTTCTTTTCAGTAGCAGCAGCTGAATCCAACCAAATTTGTAAAACCAGACAAACTGACCCTTCCCCACCAGATGCAATCACCAGCCAGTCTGTGCGTCCTCCTTGGAGATCTGAGTTTCAACTCCATAGGGTGCCTCTTCTAAGTTTCTAAATTTTAATAATTCAAACGGATGTAACAACCCTCAAAATATAAGTAATAATAATCTGTGATATTCAAGCTGCATATTACTTAAATATTGCAATAAATATAAATGCAAATTAATTCTTTCATAGAATCTTACAAAATAAGATGCTTATCTGAACATTTAATCCTCAACTCAGACCACTGAAAATGCATTTTTGTTATTTTTACACTATCGCAGTGCTTTAAGAGCTAGAATGTATTGTTCTTCCATTTTCCAGTAGATGAACAAATTCATAAGGGAAGCCTACTGTTCTAAGCATGCTTGTATTTTTTTAAATTTTATATGACACTCTTCACCTGCTGACCCCCAAGCCACAAGGCCACCACTGCCACAGAGGAAGCCATAGCAAAGTGATCCTACTCATAGACCAAAGATGACCAGGAGTGTTGAGGGCAGCTTGTCAGGCTCATTCTCACTGGTTCTGCATACTCTTTTCTAGGCAGCGTCTGGTACCATGGCATCTGCAGACCTCAGCCAATCTAATGTGAGTGGGAAAGGCCATGTGAGAGCAGCTGGGACCTAGAGGCAGTATGGTTTAAGAAATATAGGAGCAGCATTTGAAAGGTAAAAAGTGGAAACATTTTCATAAAAGCCACTTAGCCTGAGGCATGGCTTTGAGAAAATATTGGCATTTCTAGACTGATTATAAATAACTGATGAAAAAATTCCTTTTCTTTGTCTCCCCTTCACTATGAATAATTTTAGGTCAAGAAATAAGTTCTTTCACTTTCATTCAATCTAATTGTCAGGTATGAACATAATAGTCTATGGTGTTAGAAAAGCTATGAAAAAAGTGAGAGAAATGCACTCTTTGCGCTTCTAACTAGAGCCCTCTGCCAAAGGCATTTTATGTTGTTAAGGCTTATAATATCACCCTATGAAAACTACTGTTAGATCAAGCCTGTAATTTTCACTCTATATTGAGTATCCAAATCACAGAGTACCCAAGAGTCATGAATGCCACACAGGTATGATCATATAATTGTAATATTGACATTTGCAGTGGTGGAGCACTGGTTATACAAACCGTCAGTATAATCACATTAGAGGCCTATAATATATAGAAATCCAAAGGATAGCCCAAAAAAGAAAAAAGTGGAAGAGTCGAATAACAAGTCTTCAAAGGAATTTCACATGCCATATTTTCTCTCATTTAGGATAATTTTCTTCCAACAGGATAGCTCTATACCAATATGTCTTTTTCAATATTGTTTAAGCATTGGCTCATAGGCACATCTGGTCCATAGCTATGTTCCTTTTAGCCTGTAGAAAGTCAAAACTGCTTGACTTAGTTCCTGTTATTTTAAAATTGGGAGATGTCACATAAAATAAGGATTTTTGGTTTCTCTTGAAAAGTGGAAGAGCTGGCAGAACAGAGCCCACATTCCTGTGTGGCAACATCTAACATAAGCTGATGCTGAGTAACAGCTGTGCCTGTAGCTCAGAGAGCCAGCCTTTACTCTTCCAATGCTTCTCACTAGCCGGATTCACTAATTTATAGTTCATGCTTCTTGCTTGAAAGTGTCCTGTGGGGACATTTTTCTTCTTAATTAAATATTGAAAATCACTTCAAGGAACTGAGAATCCAACTGAAGTCTTCTAGGATATAATTGTTATAAATACAACATATTTATTAGTAAATATTTAGAATATTTAGGAAGGAATCTTCCTAATGAAAGTAGATTAGGGCTGAAATGCTTCGGTCTAGGAGGGAGGGTAAAATCCAAGAAGAAAAGACAGAATCGGTGACTTAAGAAGGAATTTTCATAAGTTATTAAAGGGTTATAGAAGATAATATATACATAACTTTAGAGAAAAAAATAAAGCAGCCAGTGTTTAGAACAGCTACAGGTGGGATTATAGAAGAAATAAAAAGAAAAAAAGGAAAACACAAACAGACAAAATTGTGTTTTGTGGATCACCTAAACTTTTTGGAGACATTCCCATAATTATTTATTGATCGGTTGATATCATAAGAGCTACTCTTCTATTTAAGACAATGGACCTTTCTTCACCATTAAATGACTCCCCAGATGAGGATTGTTAGATTATTAGTTTAAAGAAATAATCAGCCAATTAAAAGAACCATAAATAAGCTATTAGCAATATAGACCATAGTTGGATTGTAAAGATTTGCTCTGGAAATACTTTATAAGAGAATTATGCTTCCTTGTGGGGATTACAGGATTTGGTACACTTTTTCTTTCTGCCAAGCTGTCCATTTTGTCAAGAAATACCTATAAATTAGTTTGAACTGCAAACGTATAAGAACAGTATAGTAGCCCCTTCTCGACCTAGAATGAGATCTATAGCCATCAAGTGTCTAAAATTGATATATTATGGTTTTTAAACATTGGATGGAAAAATCCACAGATAACCATATTTTAGTATCTACATTTTAAAAGAACTGCAAATAGATGCATATGTTTGCCAGCCCCCATCATGTGATATGCTTGCACAGAGTTCCCACTGTCTTTATACTCTTGATTTAGTTGAACTCGGTGCGACACTTTTGACATAGACTTCTGAGCCACGCTGTGTTAGTATCAGAAGTGTGGTCACTTCTGTGTGTCCAGGTGGAAACAAACACAATGAAGAATAAAGTTGTGCATGAACGGAGCTGCTAGGCCAGGATAAATTGGCATAAGAGAGATGGGCTCACTGAATCCGGGAGGAACCTTTCTGATACATCACTCACTTACCTTACAGCAGTTTCAAAGTTGTGCCTTATTTCTGTCCACCTCCAGGAGGTCAGTGCCTCCTGGAGCCTGGCTAACACTTACACTGATTATCAATACCATTCATTACAGACATCAACACCCTTTGTTAATAATGCGCTCTCCACCCAAAGCTGTTTCTGAGGAAAATGCCTGGGAAGGAAGTCAAAAACAGCAGAGTCCATAAGGCAGGCTGGGTCTCTGCTGTGTGCATGAATCAATGTGCCTCTATTTTCTGATATGCTCGCCATGACGTTCCTGGCAGTGACTCTGGAGACCTGGTTGTTTGTGTGTGCCCACAAACTGAAGGCTGTTTCTGAACCTGGGCTTTTTGTTGCTGTTCTCCCCACATCTCTCATCCTTCTATGTGAATAAGTCATCAAAATATGATTGTCATACCATTTGACATCGCTGAATCATGGCAACAAGACTCTCTTTCATGGGCCACATAGTTAGAGCTCACTGATGATTCAGAATCCTCAGCCCTACAAATTCTCATTTCCCAGGAAAGCTTATACAAGATATCCACTGCTGGAGAAAACCACTAGAATGAGTCGCCTGGTGTCTAGGGGAAACGTTCATTCTTTGTGTCCCCAGACCCAAACAAACATGCAATGTGGTGATGGTTCATTTAAAAACCTCTTCAGCTTTTAGTTTAAATTTTTTTGTGGTTCAACATTTATAGAAAGCCTCCTTCCACTCCATGACCAATAACTCTCAACTGCCTTGTTCTGTCTGCCTTTAGTAAACACAAAGATCACGTGTATATTTTAAGTCACACATAAGATTGGAAATATTAGGATATTGGATGGGAAGAGTTTAATTTAAAATCAACTTTGTGGATGCTGATGTGTCCTATCTTTCTTGTGTTTTCAACAGGGTCTTTTTTCCCATCTTCTGTGTTCTATTTCACTTTGTTTCATTATTTCCACTATCTATCTGAGCTTTAAGTTTAGGACAACCCAATAAGAATACCCAATAAGGATAAGATGCCATTAGAAAGAGAGTGAAGAGTATAGCACCCTATGGTTGACACCCACTGCTAATGTCCTCTGGATTTTCCATTTGGCTGGAGAGAGAAGGCGATGCCAACAATTCCAGCTCACTACTAGAAAAATGTGGCTTATATCTTAACTTCATTATATTCTGGAGAAAGCAGCATTAGAAGTGAGGGGCCCAGTCTAATCACATGAGTCATCAAATGTGGAGAACTTCTTCCCCAGTCAGTGAGAGATAGACAGCAGCAGAAAAAATTTCAAGTGTGAAAGGGCCTCAATTAGCTGTTCCAAAGAAGGGGTCTAAGAGTTAAAAAATGCAGGCACCTCTTGAAGGCAGGAAGACCAAGGAAACAGATTCTCTCCTACTGCCCCCAAAAGAAAGATGATCGTGCTGTGAGCTGGGTGTAGAGGTTCATGCCTGTAATCCCAGCACTTTGGGAGGCCAAGGCGGGAAGATCACTTGAGTCAGGAGTTCAAGACTAGCCTGGCCAACATGGTGAAACCTCATCTCTACAAAAAATTAGCTAGGGCCGGGTGCAGTGGCTCATGCCTGTAATCCCAGCACTTTGGGAGGCTGAGGTGGATGGATCATGAGGTCAAGAGATCAAGAACATCCTGACCAACATGACAAAATCCCGTCATTACTAAAAATACAAAAATTAGCCAGGTATGGTGGCACATGCCTGTAGTCCCGGCTACTTGGGAGACTGAGGCAGAAGAATCACTTAAACCTGGGAGACAGAGGTTGCAGTGAGTCAAAATTGCACCATTGCACTCCAGCCTGGCAAGAGAGGGAGACTCCCTCTCACAAAAAAAAAAAAAAAAAAAAAAAAATAGCCAGGGGTAATCCCAGCTACTCGGGTGTCTGAAGCATGAGAATAGCTTGAACCTGAGAGCTGGAGGCTGCTGTGAGCTGAGATCGCGCCACAGCACTCCAGCCTGAGCAATAGACTGTTTCCAAAAATAAAATAAAATAAAATAAAATAAAATAAAATAAAATAAAATAAAATAAAATAAAATAAAATAAAATAAAATAAAAAATAAAAAAATAAAAGCTGAAAACACATTTCCATTTTGTGGTGTCATTTCCTATATGGAATCCTAACCTAAAATGGATCCCCCATCCTGCTGTGCCATGACACTTGTGTGTAACCCCATTAAATGTCCCCTTGGCATCAGTAGCTCATGGGTATTGCTGTTTATCCAGCTCATACCCATTCTGTATGCTCTACATAAACATGAGCAAAGCAAGGATAAAATTTGGAATATACTGTAAAATAGCACAAGAACATTGGAGATGCTGCCTGTGGTGCCCAGAAAGAAGTAGATTTCATTTTAATACAGGAGTGAGACTGAATATTTTGTCTATAATTGAGCCAGATTTGGAAATTCTCCACAGGTAGAAGAGTGTCAAACAAAGACTAATGATAGCATTAACATGATGTAGCTGTCCCAAAGATGGGGGTCCCTTACTCTTTTCCTGCCTGTATGCTCCCTTTGGATTTAATTGCAGTTTATAGTTGTATACTAGGTGTATTTCACTCTGTTTTGTTTTATCATACTATGATCTTTTAAAATATATCTTGCCACTCAGATGTTAAGAATTAATGTTAATTTTTTAGGTTTGATGACATTATAATTGTATTTTTTATTGTAATTTTTACTGAGATAATTGTAGATTCATATGCGGTTGAAAGAAATAATACAGAGATCCCTTGTACACTTGCCCAGTTCCCTCAAGGGTAACATTTTGCAGAACTATAGTGTGGATATTATACTATAATAATACCTCAACCAAGTTGTTGATGTTGATACAATCTACTGAGCTAAGTCAGAATCCTCAGTTTTATTTGCACTCGTATGTGTATTAAGCTCTATATAATTTTGTCAACTGTTTAATAAGTATCCACTACTGCTGTTTTTAATAAGAATTTATCACATTGGTAGCATCTGAATTTTGGTTGGAATTAAATTTCAACATGAATTTTGGAAGGGACAAAACATTCTACAGTAATACCTAGGGTTTCCAATTCCAGGGTCTAGAAGAGCTCTTCACCTGTGAGAGTTTTCCGTGATGGTCTGTGGTTAGCCCAGCTTCTAGGCAAACTTTTCAGAGAATTCCATTGGCCTACATTCATGGGACACCAATAATAGGCATCAGGAACATCCTCTTTTTTCACTCTTCTCCTTTACCTTTCCTGTCCACTGTGCTTGTAAGTCCTCTCTACGAAGACCACTCCATTAAATGCAAATATGGCAAATAACTCCTAAGCTGCCTTAAAAGCTTTTTTCTTCTCTATCTTGAGAAATAACAAGTTTACTCTGGATCCCAGGGCAGGAACGTGCAGATGTGATGTCATGTCCTTATTTCTTTTCAACAGGCATTAACAATTTCTTAATATTTCACTTTTATTCAGTCACTACTCTTTCTTCCCAACTTAAGTGTTATAAGCTGATTTTCATCTACTTGTTCACATCATCATGTTCCTTGTTTTCTAGTTTTTCAAATACCAGGATCTTATAGTACCATAATTATATGGAAAAAATACACAGAATGGGCTGAACTACCTGAAGACATTATGAAATCAATATTTGAAAATTCATACATTTAGGGTTTGTCCTGTAAATATCATGAAGTAATGACAATTTTTTAGGTCACAAATCTTGATCCTTTTTAGTTGACTGCAAAATTCCAGTTATAAAATTGACAATAAAATAAATTTGGTTACATGAAAGATCATTACATTTTTAGGGAATGATAATGAAGCCTGTTTCATATAGGCAAGGAATGGGTAATGTTAATTTAAATAATTTTAGCTAAAACAGCATTCCTGTGCTACTTCTGGGAATCTCTGTTGAAAACTTTATTTAGAAACTGCTTAACACACATAAATGCCCCAATAGTTCAAATAATTAAACTCCGTTTGACATGGTATTTTACATTGGAAACAGGTTAACTGAAGGGGAAAGTGTGGTTTTAATTTTTGTTGATTGAAATGTCATATGTTTCATATATAAGATGGTTCACTTGGAACTGAACAGATAAAGCAATCCAAGATTTATCTGATTTTAATGTTTTACAATCATTTAGTACTTTTGAGTGGAAATGCCATGAACTGATTCAAGGAATGTAAATATTAACTTTTATTACACATTTATGATTTTAAAATGAACCAAAATGGAAAAAGTCTTTCACAAAATAATTATATATTTTTCCATTCTTTCAAAGGATATGTATACTTGATTGTCAAGAAAATAGAATTTTATCAGTTATACTTATTATCACCTCACTGAAGACTCTGCTTCCAATTGTTCAGACACATGAATACACATACACATACACACACACACATACACACATACATCACAGACCTTATGCATTCCTCTCCATATTTCTTCCGGGTCAAGGGGATGTATTGATAATCAATGTTATAATCTTCATTTAGTAATTAATCCATGCCACAATGCTAGTCCATCTGACACTTATTTAGTGATGATATGCTGGATTGTAACTAGGTCATATGGTACTAATAAGGACAATTGTTGGCTGAGAGTCTAACTGAAACTCGAGATTTGAGTCTTTGCCCAATTGCCTTTTTCTTCTATTTCCAGTCCTCACTACTCTTCGTTTTGTTCTTTGTTCATTTCACAATAATTTCACTAAAATAACCTTTTGAACATATCTTTGAACTTGGGAGAAGTCTCATTGGTGGTGAGGCCAGGCTGAGAAGATCATGAGGATGTTTGCCTTTGCCTCAGCTCTTCAAGTAGATTCCCCCTCTTATTGTGGGTTTGCATGTGAAATGCAAGGTAAGGAATTAGACAGTGAGGGAAAAGGGAAAAGGCACTAACAGACACTCTAAACAATATTTAGCATGTTTTTGTTTCCTATGTGATTGCCCATTAATAATTTGGCTGAAAAAAACATCTTATCCTATTCTATCATCTTCTTATATTTTCCTTCTGCTCCCCTTCTCATCTTAGTATTTTCTGCCTTTGCATTTTAATATATCTCCTTTCCCATGATTTTTCACTCCTGTCTTCATTCTACCCATTTGATATTGGATAACCTCTTGTGATATTACATCAATTTATGTAGAAGCATTTCCATATCTAGCATTGAAGTGGTTGGTTATTCCTTTTGGCTGTTTTGCCTGCACTCATAAATCTAATGCCAGGCAGGTGAACGGGTGCGCCTCGCATCTGTGGGCTGTTTCAACCACATAGGTGAAGAGGCACTTCCGCTCTCAACCCTCATCTATCCTTTTCAGAGCAGTCACATTTAACTCCTTAAGCTACAATCACAACTTAAACCTCTGCTGACTGACTGCTCCATGGTTGTCCCACTACTCTCAAAATAAAATCCAACCTCTTGACCTTGAATGCCCTCTGTAACCTGGTACCTCCCTCAGTCTCTGCCTATCTCCTTTTGCTCTCCCTTTTCTGCACCATGCTCCATCCATGTTCATCTCTCAGTTCCTCAGGCAAGTCAAACTCTCTCTTACTTTGGGGTAGACTGGGGGAGGGACTGGGAAGAGGCTTTGCACATGCTCTTGCCATTGCCTAGAATCTTCCTCCAGTTCTTTGCTTAGCTTTCTTATTTTATCCTTCAGGTCTCTATTTAAATATTGTCAACTCAGGCCTTTCTTAACTACTCTTTTTTTTTTTTTTTTTTTTTTTTTTTTTTTGAGACAGAGTCTCACTCTGTCACCCAGGCTGAAGTGCAGTGGCATAATCTCGGCTCACTGCAACCTCTGGCTCCAGGTTCAAGCGATTCTCCTGCCTCAGCCTCCCAAGTAGCTGAGATTGCAGGCACCTGCCACCACGCCTGGCTAATTTTTGTATTTTTAGTAGAGATGGGCTACTGTTGTTGCCCATGTTGGCCAGGCTGGCCTTGAACTCTTGACTACTCTTTTTCAAGTAATTTCTTTCCCTCTGTCCCAAACACACACACTTACACACCCACCTGCACCCATACACATGCACATACACATGCCCATTCATGTTCATTCATGGAACTGATATCACCATCACCATCCATCATAGTTATGTTCAGTGATGCCACTGTTTATCATCTTTACAGCACTCAGCACCTATGTTTTTGTCTGTTTGTTTGCATGTGTAATATTTATCTCTTTAAATTGCATGTGAACTTCGAGACAATAGAGACTTACTTGCTCTCTACATAGTTATATCACCAGCACCTCGCCCAGTGCCAGGCACATTGTAGGTCATAACAAAATAAATTTAATGTTGACCTAGCTGAGTGAGATTAGCTTGATGTTATATTAAATTTTTAAACAAAACTGAAGTTCATTATTTATATGAGGAATAAAAAACATAAAGGGGCTTTTGGAAAAGAAGTGTTATCAGACAGCTTTGTAATATTTTCTCAAGTCTTACACATATGTGATCATTTAATTCTTGTTCATTTTTATAATACTATCTCAAGGAATTAGAATTATAATAATATTATAGCTTTAAAAGCATAACTATACTGAATCCAAGATAAATGAGAATCTCTCCAAGGACCATGAACTAGACCAAGCACTATACCTCATGGTAAAGATTATCAAGTAGTGAGCAACCAGAATAGATGTGCTGCTGCTCCCTAGAGAATGGACCTAGACAGGCACACCAAAGGTAGCCATACGAGCAGCTAGTCACTTGTGCTGGGGGCACTGCCTAACTAGGTAGAAAGCTGAAGGAGAATCACAGAGTTTGGCTTCCCTGAGCTAAGTTTATTCATACATTGTTTTTCTTGACCACATATGTTCTGAGTGCTAATGACTTTCAAAATTTAATTTCCCTTGGAAATCAGATATCTTCTTTTTTAAATTTTTAATTATTATGAATACATAATAGTTGTACATATTTATGGCATAGGTATGATATTTTGATATAAGCATACAACATGTAATAATCAAATGAGGGTAATTGGGATATCTACCTCCTCAAGCATTTATCATTATTTTGTGTTGGGAACATCACAATTCTAGTCTTTTCATTATTTTGAAATACTTACAGTAGCTTATTTTTAACTATAGTTGCCCTGTTATGCTCCTGAACATTACGTCTTATTCCCTCTAACTGTATTTTTAGGCTCATTAACCAACCCCTATTTATTCATTTCCCATTACCCTTCCCAGCTCTGGCAACCATCATTTTACTCTCTATCTCAATGAGATCACATTTTTTTTTTTAGCTCCCACATTTGAGTAAGAACATGTTCTACTGTCCTTCTGTGCTTAGCTTATTTCACTTAACATAATGTCCTCTAGTTCCATCCATGTTGTTGTAAATGACAGGATTTTACTCTTTTTATGGCTGAATAATATTCCATTGAGTATATGTGCCACATTTTCTTTATCCATTGATCCACTGATGGACACTTATCTTGACTCCATACCTTGGCTCTTGTGGATATTGCTGCAATAAACATGGGAGTGCAGATATCTCTTTGGCATACTGATTTCAACTTTTTTTGGCTATATACCCAGCAGTTAGTTTGCTGGATCATATTGTAGTTCTACTCTTAGTTTTGTGAGGAACTTCCATACTGTTCATAGTGGCTGTACTAATTTACATTCCTACCAACAGTGTACAAGGGTTGCCCTTTCTCCACATCCTCGCCACCAATCAATATTGCCTGTCTTTCTGATAAAATCCATTTTACCTGAGATGAGATGATATCTTGTTTTAGTTTTGATTTGCATTTCTTTGATGATTAGTGATGTTGGACATTTTTAGACTGTTTGCATGACTTCTTTTGATATATGTATATAGACCTTTTGCCCATTTTTAATTTTTTTCTAATTAAAAAAATTTTTTGAGATGAAGTCTTGATATGTTGCCCAGGCTGGTCTCTAACTTACGGCCTCAAGTGATCCTCCCACCTCAGCCTCCTGAGTAGCTGGGATTATAGGTGCATGGCACCAAGCCTGGCTTTTTGCCCATTTTAAAAATGTATAATTTGGTTTTTCACTATTGAGTTGTTTGGGCTCCTTATATTATCTGATAATTAATCCCTTGTCAGATGGGTAGTTTGCAAATATTTTCTCCAATTTGTGGGTTGTCTCTTCACTTTGTTGATTGTTTTCTTTGCTCAGTAGAAGCTTTTTAGCTGGCTGTGATCCCATTTGTCCATTTTTGTTTTGGTTGCCTGTGCTTTTGAGATCTTACTCAATAAGTCTTTGACCAGACCAATGTACTAGAGTGTTTTCCCAGTGTTTTCTTCTAGAAGTTTTATAGTTTTATGTTTTAGATTTGATTTAGTCCTTTTTGATTTGATTTTTTTCTATGGAGAGAGATAAGAGTTTCATTTCATTCTTCTGCATATAATTATCTAGTCATCTCCCTTCTAAAGAGAACCCCCAAGTACCAGGCACTCAAGAAGAACATTTTCAAGGCCACAGGCCTTTCAGTATCAATGTATGATTTTTGGAAGGTATCTCATCAGAACTCCTTGAACATTAGAAGGGCTGACACACTATGGCCTACAGGATAAATCTGGCCATCGTTCAGCTCTTTTGTAAATAAAATTTTATTGAAATACAGCCATGTTTATTCATTTATGTTTGTCGTTGACTGCTTTTGCCCTACAATGGCAGAGTGTATGGCTTACGAGCCCTTAACTATTTACCATTTGGGCAAAGACAAGAAAATTTTCTAACCCTTCTGTTAGACCATTTAAATTAGATTTCATTTTAACATTAAGACATCAAGTTATTAATCAATGTGAACTTATAGCACTCAATGCAACCAGAATCCTACTAAGTGCTGTCTGCACAGAACTCCATAAGGCTCCTGTTAGAGTCTCCTCTCAAACAAATGCTTGGCTGCATTGCACCTTGGGGGACCTTCTATTTGCACTTTGCCATTCTTTTTAAATGATTAACAACTTGCCTTCTTTATATTCTCCCTCTCTGCTGCTCCCAACATAGTGTATTCCTATTGCCATATTTGTGTGCAATGATATTTAGAAATTGTTTCTTCGTGTTTGTAAGACTCCGCAGAAATCATCACTGATCCCTCAGGAAGGGTGTTCTGGAATTGTTCACATTCTTCACCATTTACAACTTACTTCTGGAATTGCATATAATCCTGAAAATGTATCATTCACCCAGATAGTCTGGGAAAATGAGTTAAAATAAGATTACATATTTATTCAAATTATGTAGACCCAGAGAAGAAACAGTCATATGAAGGTCCAGTTGGTAAAACTAAAAATTCTCTTAGAAATAATAGATAAGATTTGAATTCTAAAATAAGCTGGAGCTGGGCGCTATGGCTCACGCCTGTAATCTCAGCATTTTGGGAACCAGGGTGGGAGGATTGCTTGAGCTCAGGAGTTCAAGATCACCTTGGGCAACATAGTAAGATCTCATCACTACAAAATGTAAAAAATATTAGCCAGGCATGGTGGTGCACACCTGTAGTCCCAGCTACTTGGGGGACTGGGGTAGGAGGATCGCTTGAGCCCAGGAGGTCGAGGGTGCAGTGAGCTGTGATTGTGCTGCTGCACTCCAGTCTGGGTGACAGAGCAAGACCCTTTCTCAAAGAAATGAATGAATGAATAAAATAATCTGGAAAATGCAACTAATAGAAATAATAGTTTACATTTTAGGCTCAAAAGAAATAGGTATTTTATGGAAGTGATAGCAAGATTTGGAGATGCTGGAAAATATTTTTTCTTAGTTAACATTTGAATGTTTATAATTTTCTGTCAATTCGTAAGAATATGTGATGACATTTATTCTGATGCATATTTGACCAGGTATAGATTTTTCTCTGTAATTGTGAGAAATATACTGTTAAACAGGAAACAGAGCTGATGTTATAAATAATGTTTTCTTGCAGAAATTATGAACAAATAAATATTCTCCTCCTGCTTTTTCCTGTCTAGAACAGTGTCTGGAATATAGTAGATGCCCAATAAATTACTGAATAAATTAACAAATAAAAATTAAGTTCAAGTCACATTCTATATTAATGGGCTTGAAAAATACTTATTTTTTTCACTGGGATTATGATTCCTGAATAAGATTATAACTATATTTTTGGCTTTTGCTTATTACAGAATCACTTAAAATAAGGTTGCTGCCTGGGGAAACATTTGGGCAACATGCAAGGAGGACTGCCCAACCTGATTCTAATTCTTGCGTATGGTTCACTAGTAAGCAGTCATGGAAGAATTCAGCTTCCATATTTATTCTGAATACTTGCTTCAGGTATTCAAATAATATAAGTTGGCTTATTAAAATTAATATGCCAATAAGGATAGACAAACAGATCCATGTAACAGGATAGACAGTCCAGAAACATATGGTCAATTTACATACATGATCAATTCATTTTTGATGAAGATGCCAAGACAATTCAATGGAGAGAGGAAAATCTTTTTAACAAATGAGAGTGGAACAACTGGATGCACATAGGGAGAAAATATCAACTCCCTACTTTCACTACACACAAAAATTAACTCAAGATGGATCATGGAACTAAATATAAAAGCAAAAATGATAAAACTTTAAGAAGAGAATATCTATGATCCTAATATTTGCAAAGATTTGTTAGACAAAACACAAAAGAACTAAGTATAAAAGAAAACATAATAAATTATACTTTCTCTTAATTATAAACTTCTGCACATTAAAAAAATTAAGAAAATTAAAAGGCAAGACATAGATTGGGAAGAACTGTTTGCAAGACATATATTTAAAAATTGGATTATCTAAAAATTTAACTTTATAAAGTTAAATTCTAAAATACCCAATGGTATTGACATTTTAAATAATTACCTAAAAAAATGAAAGTATATGTCCACAAAAAGTCATTTACAAATGTTTACAGTAGCTTTACTCATAGTAGTGAAAAACTGGAAATAACATAAATATACATCAATGGATAAATGAATACAAAATTATAGCATATTCATACAATAGAATATTGTTTCACAATACAAATGAACAAACTACTAATATACACTACATGGATCCCTTTGAATAATGTGCTGCCGAAAAAGTCAAATGCTAAAGAAGTATAGGTACTTAATTATTCCATTTCTATGAATAAGCAAAGCTAATCTGTAGTGACAGAAAGTATATCAGTTATTGTTTGGTGGGTAGGTGCATGAAAGGAAAATTGACTACAAAGGTTAATGGACGTTTTCTTATATTTACGTCTTTGTTGGTTCATGGATATAATCATTTGTCAAAACTCATCAAATTTTGTACTTAAAATGGGTGCATTTTATTATATGTGAGTTATACATCAATGAAAAAGACATTAAAAAGAAAAAATGTTAAATGGGTAAAAGGTATGAATAGATAATTTTTAAAAAGATACAAATCTCCAAGAAGTTCATGAAAAGTACTCCATTAGTCATCAGGAATATGCAAATTATGACCACTGTGACATATTATTCCATATTTATTACAAATATCTACCCTATCACTCATTAGTTTCACTCCTGGGTCCGAATCCAGAATAAATAAAAACATATATCTAATAAGACTTGTGCAGGCTTCTTTTTTTTTCCCCACATATAAGTGAGATCACATAGTGTTTGTCTTTCCTTATCTGGCTTATTTCACTTAGTATAATGTCCTCAAGTTTCACCCATGTTGTTGAAAATAGCAGTATTTTCTTCTTTTTTAAGGTTCAATAATATTCTATTGTATGTTTATACCACATTTTCTTTATCCATTTATCTGTTGATAGATAATTTGTTACCACATATGGACCATTGTTAATAATGCTGCAATGAACAAGGAAGTGTAGATATCTCTTTAATATACTAATTTCATTTTCTTTGGATATATACCCAGCAGTGGGATTGCTAGATCAGATGGTAGTTCTCCTTTTAACTTTTTGAGGAACTTCCATATTGTTTTCCATAATCCATAATGGCTGTATTAAATTACAATCCCACAAACAGTGTATAAGGGTTCCCATTTCTCCACATTCTCACCAACACTTGTTATCTTTTATCTTTTTAACAGCCATTCTCACAAATGTATGGTAATATCTCCTTGTGATTTTTATTTGCATTTCCCTAATGATTAGTGATGGTGAGCATCTTCATATACCTACCTGTTGAGTGCAATAATGGTTACCATGAGTGGAGGATGAGACGAAGGGAAGATAGGCAAAGGGTACAAACCTTCAGCTATAAGATGAGTAAATGCTAGAAACCTAATGTACAGCATTGTGATTATAATTAAGAATTATTATAATTAATAATAATTGAAATGTGTTAAGATAGTAGATCTCAAGCATTCTCACCACAGCCAAAAAAAGGTAACTATGTGATATGATGAATACTTCAATTAGCTTGATTGTGGTAATCATTTCACAATGTCTACATATGTCAACACATTTCATGAGAAACCCCAAATACATGTGATTTTTATTTGTCAGTCATACCTCAATAAAGCTGGAAAAAAGTTAGACATAAAAAATAAAATTAGGAGAAAAATACTTTGTGGAAGAATCTTTATAGCTGCTTTAGCTATAAGAGGACCAAACTAGAAACAAACAAACTACCAATCAATGTAATAAACAAATGTAAAATAAGCATATAATGCAATTATACTTACCTTTAAAAAGAATTGTACTACTGACTTAAAAACCCACATTGAAATGCTTGAAAAAACATTCTGCTGAGCCAGAGACGTCAGTCTGACAATATAATATATATGGTATCATTCTATTCATATAAAGTTCATGAATGGCCAACTATTCTTTGAGGACAGAAATCAAAACAGTGGCCCCCTGTGGAGGGAAGATTGGCTGGAAAGGATGTGAGGAAACATTCCAGGGTGAAATAAATGTCCCGTGCCCTGACTGAGGTGACCATGACATGGTTGTATATACCTGTTAAACTCATTGATTTTAGAAACTTGAATTTAAGAACTCAAGATTGGTTACAATTTACTCCATGTTGATTTTATCTCAAATAATTAAAAAAAAAGCCAAGACAACTGAGTAATTATAGCCTTTAATACCCCTTTTCTTTCATGGATAATCTGGCTAATAAACATATAGTTCTGAATTAATGTTAAAACCTGACTTCATCTACTTTTCTTTGAAGAAAGTTATTTTAAAAATCATTCTTTTAAATACAATTTTATTATTTTTTAGGTATTAGAACATCTAATCCATAGTTCACTCATCATTGTCAGCATCCAAAGAAGTAAAATGACATTTATTGTTTTGTTTAGTAATACTTGAGATTTTTCACTTAAGAACTAATTATTATTATTATCGTCATTTGTATTTCTTCCCAATAGCAAGGAAATATTTACTGAATACTGGTGAGAAGCCAATGGAAGAGAACAAGAATATCTAAGAGAAGCAGTTGTTATTAGTTGAAAGGTTTAAGACCTACCAGACAACAGAGAATGCACACACCCTGCGAGAGCCTCACCTTGTGACATTTGTTCTTTACCTTTTTATTTTGCCTTTTAGCATGGCATGCTGAGCACCTCTGAGTTTTCAGGGAAGGAGCTGACAGAAACAGGAACAGAATAGCTGGGAGCTCCAAGATTCACATTCCTTGCAGGAGCTGGTGTGAGTTTTTGAGGCTGCTGAGTAACAGGAACCGCAGTCTTTGTTGCCTGGATGTATCCTGGCAACCTGTCAACAAAAGGGACGGGACTGAGTTCTCTAGTAACTGATGGGAAACAGAGCAAAGTAGGTATGGATTTCAGCTTTCTTTTAAATTGACTCCAGGAACTTTACCGATGGACTGAGCAACCAACAGGGACAGATAAATTTAAGTCACAGGCTCTTCTTGATGTAGAAACACAGCGTTTTATTTTAAAGAAGAAAAGAAAACAATATTTACTGATTATCTTATTGATCTTTTCTAGGGACTTTAAAAAATACTGTAACGGTTAATATTGAGTGTCAACTTGATTGGATTGAAGGATGCAAAGTATTGTTCCTGGGTGTGTCTGTGAGGGTGTTGCCAAAGGAGATTAACATTCCAGTCAGTGGACTGGGAAAGGCAGACCCACCCTCAATCTGGGTGGGCACCATCTAATCAGCTGCCAGTGTGGCCAGAATAAAGCAGGAAAATGTGGAAGGACTTGACTTGCTGAGTCTTCTGGTCTTCAGCTTTCTCCCATGCTGGATGCTTCCTGCCTTAGAGCATTGGACTCCAGGTCTTCAGCTTTTGGACTCTCGGACTTACACCAGTGGTTTGCCAGGGGCTCTCAGGCCTTTGGACACAGACTGAAGGCTGCACTGTCGGCTTCCCTACTTTTGAGGTTTTGGGCTTCCCTACTCCTCAGCTTGCAGATGGCCTATTGTGGAACTTTACCCTGTGATCATGTGAGTCAATACATTTTAATAAACTTCCCATCATATACACATCTATTCTATTAGTTCTGTCCCTCTAGAGAACCCTGACTAATACTAATACCATCTATATAGAAGAGCTTGGGCCAGTCGCAGTGGCTCACACCTGTAATCCCAACACTTTGGGAAGCTGAGGCGGGTGGATCACCTGAGGTCAGGAGTTCAAGACCAGCGTGGTCAACATGGTGAAACCCAGTCTGTACTAACAATACAAAAATTAGCCGGGCATGGTGGCACACACCTGTAATCCGAGCTACTTGGGAGGCTGAGGCAGGATAATCGCTTGAACTCGAGAGGTGTAGGTTGCAGTGAGCCAAGATAGCGCCGTTGCACTCCAGCCTGAGCAACAAGAGCGAAACTCCATCTCAAAAAAAAAAAAAAAAAAAAAAAAAAAGAAGAAGAAGAAGAGCTTGGTCTCCTCTAAAACAGGGAAGATGGATAGTCTCCATGGCTCTCAAAGCATGTTCTATGTTTTGGTCTAAAAGGCAAGCAACCACAAGATGTAGAAGCTATGCTTAATCTATTTTTCTAACATGTCCTAAAACATAGAAAATATTTTAAAAACTAAGGCCAGTATTTAAAAATATATCTGAAGCAGTGTTTTCAAGATTCGTATTTCAAAATACTCTGAGATATTAAGATAATTGTAGTACAATTCTACAATTAAATATTCTGCAAGCATTAAAGCTTATGAGGCAACAGTTTATTGACCTGGGAAAAAGTTTACAATATATTGCTAAATGAAAAAGAGAAGCTACAAAACAGAATAAATAGTATAATCTCATCAAATTCTTTGTGTGTGCTCATGTGCACACAAACACACAATTAACTCAAAGAATATACATCCCAGTGTTAACAGTGGCTACCTATGAGTGGTGAGATTAAGGAACATTTTTACTGAATGTTCCTTACTGGTTAGCAAAAAAAAAAAAAAAAAGAACAAAAACTTGACCTCTAATATTCCCCAGCCCTGCTCCTTGTCCCCAGATAATGTAATTGGGATATGGAGGTAATTCACAGGACTCTTAATTCTGCTGAAGTGACTCTTCAGGCCACACAGTCTAGAGATCCCAAGGGACAGTAACGTTTCACATCCTAACTTGCAATAACGCTCTAACTATTCTAGATATCTAATTTATGATATAAAATATTTCTAATTAAGATGCTTCTGAAATCATACGATACATATACAAATAATAATACATGCATACAATGACATAGAGCTGATATAATATCAGTGAGTAAATGTTGAGATGGCGGCAAGAAAACCCTGTTTTACCTGTTGCCTTTTACTGACCTGTAGGCCCCTAGTTAACACACTTTTCACTTTACACAAACTGCATGTTTTATCGGCCTTATTGTGAACTAAATGTGATCTTTCTCTAAAGAAAGTGCCCAATAAATAAACATCATCCCAAATGCACACCCAATATTCAGTCCAGTGGCTGGCTATTTGGGCCAGATGGCAGAAGAGACAGGAAGTGTTGGCCTATGACAGGACAACCTCAGGAAAACATCACGAGAGTGGATATTTCTGAGCTAAAGCAGGGCAGAGTCTCTATCCTGGCTGGAGCAACTCTTAGGAGGCCCAAGAATAACAGAGCTTGCAGGCTTTGTTAGCTGTAGCTGATGGTGCACTCACGGCCGTCTCTTCCCTGGTGCTGTGGCTGAGTTGCCAGCTGCTTTTCTGTATTCATCGAAGCTGCTTCTAAAACTGGCTGGAGTGGAGCCTTTGTTTCTTCCCAAATTCTGGACTCATTTTTAATTCATGGGTTTATAGTTTCAGTCAGAATTGAACTTCCTGGTGTTCAAATGTATTTCATCTTGGCAAAACAGGCGTTCCTGGGTGCTCTGTCTCTGTCTCCTTCTCCCTGTCTCTGTGTCTCTCTGGTCTTTCCGAGCGACCAAAACTTTTAAGCTGCTCGTATTTTTTTTTTTTTTTAAGCATGCGCAGAGGCATCTTCGACATCAAAAAGCTCTTACAACACACAACCTTTTGAAGATTTAAGTGTAAATGAAGCAGAAACATATGGATTCTATTTTCCATAAATCACATACGGTCCTAAAAAATCAAGGAGGGTATGTGTTTTGCATGATGTATTCTGTTTAGTTGAACCCAAAACATCTGAGGCATACTTGGAGGTTGATGAATCCAAAATATTTACCCATCCCTATTTATAACATTGTGGGGGAGCCCTTGATTTATGGTGACAACTAAACTGCTCACATCTGTTGAGTGGGCAACCAGCAACCAGTGTGAGCTTCAAAGATAACCGTGTTCCTTCTTCTGTTCTGACTCCAGGCATTCAAGTCAGACCCAGATCAAAGACACTGAAGCCTTTACTTGAGCTGGTCTGGTTTGCTCTTGCTTGAGCTTTTCTCACCTAAAACAATTGCCAGTTATTTCAAGTTATGTGATATCCAATCATGCTTGTGTCACTGTGGGATGATGCCAGCCTCCAGCAATAATCCAGATCTGACCCCTTGTGGGAGCAGCCCCACCACAAGGAATTCTGGATTATTTTCCCTTCATAAAACCACAGCTGTTGTGCCTGCACAAGCCCCTGACTTTTTCATTGAAGGAATGAATCACATTTTCATGGAGCAGGAGAAATGCTTCTCCTTGTTGGTATCTCTGCCTATCCTCAAGACTCTTCACTGATGCAAAGCCCAAATCTTACTTTGCAAGCTACCAATAATCCTTTGGAGTTTATTTAAACTTGGCAGAGACTACATTCTGTGAGAAAAAAAAATTGCAATGGCAGCAGCAGGGATCCAAACAGGATGTTTGTGAAGTCTGGCAAAATAGGTGCACTGAGTGCCTTGTTCTTGTCTACCTAATTATTGTTTACTTCATTCTTATCGCCTAACTCCGAAACAGCAAGTTCCAGCCACCTGACATCCGTTATCTCAAATCTTTTAACCATCCTACAAGGTAGGCATTAGTATCCTTGTTTGACAGATTAGAAAACTGAGGCTCAAGAGCATTAAGCAACTTGCCCCATTGACAAGGCTATTCCAAAGCAAATCTGGGATGGACATGTGTATCTTTCTGGTGCCCAAATGGCTTCCCTTCGCTGCCTTCTGCTAGATCTTGCTGCCATATTCCCATACCCAATAAATAATATTTTCTATGACTTGCCCAGACTGAGTAAACATTTAAAACCTAGACCTTCATGTCTCCGAAACAGGAGGCTTGAAGAAACACTGAAGAAACATTATATATAACACTGAAGAAACATTCCCTGTCCATAGGAAGGGAGATCAAAAGACAGAAATCCTTCTATCTGTCCTGGCAATGTTTTTATTATGAGTCTGACCTCAAAAGAGAGAGTCATTTTTCAAATACGCCTTTTGTCACAAGAACAGGCTTTGTATAAACTGAGTTTTATATACTGTACTAGACTGAACTGTAAAATGTCTACATTTAAAATAGTGCAAAAAGTGTTCAGTAGTAGATTCGAAGGAAAGGAGGAGAGGGTGCACTTTAAATATTTTAAAACTCAAAAAAATGTATTGTATTTGATGCACCGGAGTCCTGTCCATCAGATCTTAAATCTTCAAGGAATCCTTGCCCTAAGATAGTGTTTCTCAACTTTTTTGTGTTAGTGCCCTCTGCCACAAA
Source organism: Homo sapiens (assembly GCF_000001405.40). NCBI lineage: Eukaryota > Metazoa > Chordata > Mammalia > Primates > Hominidae > Homo > Homo sapiens. The sequence continues at coordinate 122,125,144 of NC_000005.10, read as the reverse complement.
GACTTTTAAGGTTTATTTTCCTAATCTTCCCTCACCCACCATGAAATTTTAGTATCACAGATATACCTTATATCTGTTTATGTACTGTGGTTCTTTGGCCCGCCACAAACAAATGCAATATCTAAGATTATGTCACCTTTGAAACCAATTTTCACTGCTTCCATGGGGAATGCATGCTGAGGGTCATAGATCCAGAGAGCTGACAGTGTTGGCCTCAGATGATCTCACGGCCAAACTGATGTACAGAAAAAGTGGCCAGGAGGCCACAGAAACCATGGTAATCCTCCACAGATTGCCTAAACAAAAGAGAGGGGCAAATTTTCCCTTAAGTGTGTTCAAGAGAAAAATGGACTTGCTTGAAAAGGGGCAATAAATTTATGATATTTTCTATGTATTTGAGTGGTTTTATCATAGAAATAGAACTCTTGGAGCTGAAGTGGACTTCAAAATTGCATCTAGTCCAGCCAACTGTCCTCAGGCAAAAAGATATTTTTGGTCTGACTTTTTAAATTGATGAAGCATTTAAGTAGAGAATATTAGTTACTTGTTTATGTAGCACAGATTTAAATTCTGACACCAAGAAAAAAAAATATCGTCAGAAGACGCCTTTGCTTTATCTTTGCCATAATAAAAACATTGCCAGGACAGATAGAAAGATTTCTGTCTTTTGATCTCCCTTCCTATGGCCAGGGAATGTTTCTTTAGTGTTATATCTAGTGTTTCACAGATAATACAATATTTTGTATATATTGTGTTGTAAAGCCTCCTGTTTCAGGGACTTGAGAGTCTAGGTTTTAAATGTTTGCTGTGAGTCTGGGCAACTCATCACAATCCTGGCTCTGCAGGCTGCCCTGGCTCAGTTCTCTACCCTAGTCTTCCACCTCTTTTCCTAACTTTCCCAACACCCATAAATCAGGACCCAGAGCAGCTTTACATAGTAGGTTCTCAGTGAATATTTGCCTACTATGCTGGGCACGTACCTTATTTTGTTAAAAAAGATAATAGTGACAAGTGGGTTGAAGATAACCAAAGTTACAAGATGTTAAGACCAGATTCACATTTAAAGATTTTCACCTTTTAATGTTAACATTTTGAAACAATTTTGCATCTTTTTAGAGATTTGGCAGAAGTCCAAGACCTTATGGCATGTGAACAATAAATATTTAATCAGTAGTTTATCACTCAAAGATTTCTAAAGCTGGTTTAAATTAGAGTGTTCATGGCTGATAATAGTCTAATATTTGATGTTTTCATATGTGTTTTATGAAGTGCTTTTCAACTCCTTAATTAGAGATAGTAAGTTATAAGGAAATTCCTTCTAATTGTCCTTCTTTCCACCAGTCTCAGAGAAAGGGATATATTTCTCTCTGGTAATTTGCCCCCTCCCCCCCCCCCAGGTTAGCCTCTCCTCTCTAGCACCTTTAGTTTCTTCTATTCTGTTGGCTTCTTCCCCTCAACTTTTAAACGGACTCAGCTGTCCTCTATCTTAAAAGAAAATAATCTGCATTTGCTGTGTGTTCCTACCTACTTCTTGAGTAGGAGTGATCCAAGCCCCTGGCTCTATTTTACACACACATACACACACACACACACACACACATACACACATTTAATCACCTCTGTACCCCATCATGTGGTTTCTATTGCTTCTCTCACTGAAGCATCTTCTGAGAACATCATTGGTGCGCTCCCAATCGGCTCAGCCAAGACATTTTCCTGGTTTCCATCACCCACGATGACTTTGATACATTTAACTGTTGCCCTCCCACCCACTAGAAATTCTCTTCTCCTTTAAACACCTCATTGATTTTACAGGCAAAGAAATGTACCAAGTTTTTAGGCTGACTTCAAGACTTGATTAGTATGAATATAATCCATCCAAGAAGCAAAGAGTTCAAGACCTAAGTCACAGCCACAGTGCTTGCTGTGGAACCTGTTTGTCACCACTGTGAATGAGTGGAGAGAGAGATGAGAGCTGGTTAGTAGGGAGCACTGTATTCTGAGACATGGAGATTATTCTTGCTGCATGCCAAGTCTCGTGCCAGGCAATTTGCTATTGGGATCGCCCTTTGCTATGGCAGGTGGAGTTTTCTGTCTCTTCCTTTCCTAATTTCCTGCAGATGTTTGCTAAAATAGAAACTTGGTTAGAGTAATAATACATGAAGGTTTTACCAAGAGATGATCAGTATCAGCAAGACTAAGTCTATTTACCTTTTAGAGGCTTTCCTTGAACCCTGAAAGCCCTAAGCCGACTCAGATAAAGACTGTACCATGCCACTCTAGTCCTTGTTAACTACCTAATGAGGCTGAATTGAGGGCCCATGGTAAGGGATGAGGATGCTAGAAAAAGAAAATATTGTACAGACACTCACCCTAGGCTGACTTCATATGAACCAAAATAAAACTTCATAGGAAAACATCCTCTGGATCAGTGATTCTTAAATGGTGATAATTCCTCCACCCCAGGAACATTCTGCAATGTCTACAGACATTTTTGGTTGTCACATATAGGGTGAAGGGGAGTGCTGCTAGAGGATAGAGGACAAGATGCTGCCAGACATCCTAAAAAGCACAACTAAGCCCTCCACACCCAAAAAATTATCTGGTCCAAAACATCAGTAAATGCTAAGGTTGAGGCTTGTGTGCTGAACTCTCCAGGTGTAAAATAGACTCTGAGTGGCAATGTTTTCTTTCTAGAACAGGCTGAGTCAACAGGCTTTTTTCCAGATTCACGGTGCATAACCAAGGGGTTCCATTGCAAACGAAGCAGCAGGCACAGAGAGTCTCTATAGCTTGTTCATATTTCTACAGCCGATATGTGAGGACACCTTGGAAATGTGCACGCTGGCCCTGCCTGACTCACTTCACGGCCCACGCTTTTTTCCATATCACCTGCCCCAAGCAGCTGAGCTGCAGACATTCAGTTGCATGTGACTAAGGGCTAACTCACTTCTGCAATGCAAAAATTAGCTAGAGAAAATGCAAAGACAGAGAACTGAGACTAAGTGTTCCCTGTGAAATTTGTAATCGAATTAGAGTGGGACAGAATGAAGCTAGGGGTTGTCTGATATGTGGGCAAGTACAGACTCTGAGGTGTGAGGTCAGAGCCAAGTTATAGGAAAATAAGATGAGGTCAGCTGGCTCCTAGATAAAGCAAAAGACTGGCGAAGGCTCTTGCGAAAGTGATGATCCCAGCCAGGTGAACCTGGTCTTTACCAGATTCTCTCTTGCATATGCCCTATTTGTTATATCCTCTGGACCTGGAATCACCCAGCTCTCCTGTCCTCCCTCAGCTTTCACCACAAGTCACCTCTCCTTTCCCTTTGTTCTCGTCTAAAGCTCCTTCCCAGAGCAGCTCTTCAATAAGCAACCATGAATTTTCAACTTTTTGGCTAGTAAGATAGTGCTTATGCTTCACATTGTTATTATTAACAATATGTTATCTCTCCAACATCAGACTCGGAATGGAAAATTTTATTTATACTATTGTATAGTCAATGCTTTGGGAAATATTAGCTATTTTTGCAGATGAAACTCCATTCCATCTTATTTTGGAAAAGAGACATCTGAAGTCCAGAGGGGAAAAAATTATCCACCCAGTTTAAAGTAGAGCCAATGAAAATATGGCCTTTTTCACTCTGTCTTTTGTTATTATTGTTTATTTTCTTGGATGGGCAGTATGTGTGCACACACACACACACACACACACACACACACATATATATTAATATATATATATACAGTACAAAACTGAAAAATAAAAAAAAAATTCTATTTCCACCCCTGACTCACCAGGTTCCCATTCCTGGACCCTACTGCAGCAGCAACTTCCATTACCAATTTCTTGTGTATCCTCCCAGAAAGTCTATGCATTTACAGATGTACATCTACGTGTGAATATTGCCTCCTGGCCTGTAACCAGTGCCCTTCCCATTCCTCTTTGTGGCCACCACAGCTTCTATTGCTCAAGACAAGCCATGACAAAACAGATGACACATTTGTGCTGTTGAAGGAAAACTCAGTGACTCAGATAGACACAAATTGTTCCATGTACCTTTCATCCTCATTACCAGGTGACTTTGCCAAGGTCAAGTGGTGACATTCTGATTTACCACTAAACTGACTGGATGTAACTCACGTTTGATGAGAATATGAAATTCAGATATCAAAAAGGAAAAAATATGCTTAAATTTTTGAGTTTCATAATTAAACTTGCTTTTATTGCTTTGTTGAGAATATTATTTCTCTTTTAGTTCAATGGATGCAATCTATCTGAAAAGCTAAAAATAGGATTTCTCCAAAATTGCCAATTAATACCCAAATCTTTAAATTTAAGTTCCAGAATCATCACATTTCTGAAATTTTCCTTTAGCATCCCAGGTAAAAGAGCCAAAAGGGTCTCATTGTTTTAACTGGCCAGGTTAGGCTGAGCTTAATCCAAGCTCCTGGTAGGAAATGCAAATTTGGCTCACCGTGGCTGTGCCATTTACAAGAACCTGCATTTGAATAAACCAGGAATACATTTCTCTTGACTCTTATAGAGCCCTTTTGATAATGACTCCAGCCCTCCTAAGGTTTTTGTCCAGGTTGCCTGAAAGTGGACAATTTTTACAAGTTTGCTTTGGCGCCCATGGCATGGATTTTTATGGAAATTCACAATTGTTTTAGTGGGTGCCAGTTTGCCTGCAGATCTCTGTGGGAGCCTCCCAGCCAATTTGATGAGAACTATATGCACCTAAAACATGCCAAGTGATGTAAGGAGTGACCTGTCCCCAGTTCTTTGCTCTCCTGCATATGACTGCTGATACATCTTTGCTCTCAATTTAAGGACACACTATTGAGTATGTGCAGTATTTCTGAAGTCAAAAAAACATTTCTATATTGAAGCCTCCTCTGCTTTTTCCCTGAAAACATGTCTGTTTCTCTGGGATTAAATCCAATTTATTCTATCATATCAAACTGGTAAGGCAACAATGATACAGGTTCATTGGGAATATATATTTTCCATGAATGAAACAAAATGAGGATTTGGTTAGGAGAAGGTGGAAATGTGGCCCAAGATTAATTCTCAACATGCCTTTTAATAACCAGCAGGAAAAATCACTCATTCAGGTGGCTTCTAAATGAGTGTTCAGATGTATTTATGCGACCACATGTAAATCATGATGTAATCACCAGGAAGTCAAACTGAGATTGGCTTAAATTAGAGTTTACAAGGTTCTTACCCCAAGATTAAAACATGTGCCACATTTTTCCTTTATTTTATTATTTTTTTCTATCTGCCATTTTACTCTCATGTTTTATTACTTTGTATTATTGGAAAGCTTATTACAGTTTTACTTTATGAAACACTTAAGAAGACTGTTTATTAATGGCTTAATTTAGAAACAGCACAATTCTCATTTAATAAACTAGAATTCTGTAAGGCAGTTATTTCATATTCATAAACAATCCTCTTAGTATATTTTTTCAATAAGGCCAGAAAACTAATGTATAGCAGAGAAAAAAGTACACGCGAGAATAGATTTTATGTTTCATGCAAACCAAAACTCAAAAGTAACCTGTTATTTTACAGTCTTCACCTTCCCTTCAATTATACCAGCTTTAATATTTTTCCTTTGAATTCCCCTGAGTCAGATGGTTCTCTTAAGCCTCAAGATTATAAAAACAAGAAACCTCTCCAAAATCACGTGGTTAAAGTCTCAACCTGCCGTTAAAAATACTACTGGTGAGGCCAGTGCTGCATTCTCTGGACAGCTTTCATAGGCTGTACGAACTCAGAGAGTCACAGTGAACTGTAGGGAGCATGGCATTCTGTACCACCCTGTCCCTGGAAAAATACCATGGCAGACTCTGGGAATTGTCTACCCAACATCTATTTCCTATCTCACTGGCCCTTTCTTCTTTCCAGTAAAGAGGCTGAAAAAAGATGATTTTCCCATCTTCCCTTCCATCTGGGGATAGCCTTGTCACCAAGTTCTGGCTAAAAAGATGTAGAAAAACATCTATTAGAGCAATGCTTTTCAAACTCTGCTGTGTATAGGTATCACCCGGACATAGTGTCAAAATACTGAATCTGAATCAGGCAGGGCCAGGGACATTGCATTTTAATAAGTTCACTAGTGATGGGTGATGCTGTGATCTGAGGACCACAATTTGAGTAGCAAAGTCTTAATGGGCTTCTAGCAAGGATTTTCCTTCTTGATTTGGACATCAGGGAGAAAACTCCCTCTTGTTCTCCCTTCTGGCTTCCTGCTTTCTAATAGAATTGAAGAAGGACATAAATGTGGAGTGGGGTGACCCATCTTATATCCAAGAGGAATGGAGGCTAACATGCTGAGAATAGCAGAATAGAAGAATAGAACATGTCTAGGACTTTGATGATGTCATTTTGCCACTGAAGTCAACTAATCTTGGCACCTTCTATTTCTAGACTTTTTAAAAAATGGAATAAGAAGTATCATTATGACTTAAGTCACTACTTGTAATGTTTTCTATTATATGCAACCTAACAGTTCTTATGTGTTACACAAACTAACCTGATACATCCAGAGCTAGGTTTATAATCTATCAGCCCTGAGGCAAATCCCATTTCTTATAGTCAGTAGCCTACAGAGAGTCACCGGGCCTGGGGAATGTAATTCTTTGGCTGCCAGGTCTTCTGGGAGCAGAGAACATTCATTCATGTGCTGCTAGATGAAAAAAATATATATTCTTAAGATTGTGGCAATTAACCCATGGCACAAAAATGGGGAAAAGGTGAATGGAGAGAGGCATAAGATTTGAAACTGTTTCTTGTATTTTCTTATTCTCTAATTAAACTATTCTGAGGGATGACAGAACAAGTGGTTTCCTATGAGTGAGCTCATAAAGTGAAGTTTGCTGCTGAAACTCATTGGCATCCAAAGGCATTTTTTTGGTATCTAATACTGAAGGTATGTGTTGCAGAATTACAGTAAATTAACTAATGTGTATTATTTTGGAAAAGTTTGACACTTGCTTCTCCTAATATTAAACAAATACAAGGTGAATACAACTTTGTTAACAATGCATTTTGAATTTGTTTGCTCTATCTTTAAGACTATTTTACCCCCAAAGCTCTGATCATTCCAATTCTGTCCAACTCTTTGATATCTTTCTCTCTCACATCTCAATTTTCTCATAGTATTAGTTAGGTTACAATCTTACCTGCTGTGAAAAACAAACAATAGTAGCTTAAATTGGATACAAAACTATGTCTGCCTCATCTAACATCCAAAGACAGATATGGAGCTTCATGGTCAGCTCCTCACATTTCCACATTCTTCGTTGGCTATTGAATGGATATGGTTCAAAGCCAGTCCATTGGATTTCATCTTCCACTGGCTAATGTTTCCACATGGAAGAGATACACATCACTTTCCTTTTCTTCCCATTAGCCAAAGCAAGTTACAATTTAATGGAAGTTAGGGAATCACAATAACCACATGCCCAGAAGGAGGAGGATCAGAATATTTTTAAAGAGCCAAATAACTGCCACAATATTTAAACAGTGAATTGCAAATGCCATATAAGACTAGAAATACTAGTTATAATGATTGCTAGAACAAAATCAAAATTAAATTACTCCCCCTAATTTTGCTGCCAACAACTGTGTTAATCGCCATCCTCCCTACTTTGTGCAGTTTTTTTATGAGTTTCTCAGATACGGGCCATACCTACTAATGTGTGGCCTAACAGCCAGAGTAGAAAGGAAACCATGATTCCATTGGTCTATATTACATTGAGAAATTGGCCATGCAGCTAAAAGTCATCACATTTGATGTTCAAAAAAAGTTATCTTTCAAAGGTATTTTTCATTTTCCTGTAGAATTACTACTTTGGACAGCGCTGGGACTAGGAAAAATTGTGAATAGGGTATGACTTAGAGACAGTTTATAATATTTTGAGGGTAATAGCCCCTTTCTATTCTCTATCTTGCTTTCCAAGTCTTCTGTAAGTCCAATACCAACACCTAAGTTTTCACTTTCCAAGGAGAAATTCTTATTTGGGATCATTTCCACCTCAAAATTTACGATCAAAATTTAACTCCACTGTGATCTATTCTTTAAAGACACAGGTCTTTGCTAATCAATATGAAAAAAACTTATTACAAAGTGTTCATGGCCAAAAGGAATTGAATATGTAATTATTCCAACTAATAAATTTGTAAATTTACAAGGGCCTTCAATACCTTTAGCCAAAGGAGACAGAATAGGAATCTCAGTATTCAGGAAAAGAATTGTAGAAGATCTCTTTGAACAGATCTTCCCTGGGGGTTTCCCTTAAATCACTCCATAGACCTTAAAATGCTTGTTATAAACATGAATGATATATCTTTTTTATTACCGTGCTATTAAAGTAACCTAAGTGATACCATCTGATGCTGGCGAGGATGCAGTTTAACTGACCTCTAATACATTGCCTTGTATTGGAATGGGATGAATTCTGTTGGAAAGGTAGTTTTGATGATAAACTCAATCAATTAATCTAAGATTACGCATTAAATGTGATTGCTGATGAATGTTAGGTAAAATGCAAAAGAAACATTCAATGGTCCTATCCGCAGTCTCTTCTCCTGGCATACTACCTTCTTTGAGTTCCTCTAATACATATATGCCCCTTTGCTTTCACGTGACATTATATTTCCTGAAATGCACTCACCCCCCTTTCTCTATCCCATCTTACAGTTTTGCTGACTAATTCTTCGTTTATTATGCTTTATTTCAATGCTACTTCCTCTAGGAAGCCATTTGAGGCTCCATGAGGAGGGGATTCAATTCCTTCTATGTGTTTCCACAGGACCTCTACTTCCTCAAAGTACCGGTCACTCTGTAGGCTAGTCTACACCACCTGTAATAAGGAAAACCCCATCAAGACAGAGATGGTGGCTCCCTTGGTGCTATGATCTGAATGTTTGTGTGTCTCACCTCCCCCTTGATCTACAAATTTATATATTGAAACCTTAAGCCCCACAGTATTAATAGGTTTGGGGCCTTTGGGGAGGTGATTAGGTCATGAGGGCAGAGCTCTCGTGAATGTAACTATTGCCCTTGTATTATAAAACAGGCTTTAAAAAGCTTGTTTGCTCCTTCCACTATGTGAGGACACAATAAGAAAACAGTCTGCAACCCAAAAGAGGGCCCTCACCAGAACCTAAACATGCTGGCACCCTAATCTTGGACCATCCAGTCTATGGTATTTTGCTAGAGCAGCCCAGTATACCAAGGTACTTGGTCACTGTTGCCTTCTTAGTACATCAGGAATAGTATCCATAGTACTGCTCAAAAGCATATTTTGAATAAATTAGTTAACATATTTAGCATTGTAGAAGATTGTCTCTTTATAATATACTTACTGGTTTTACCCTTGCCTGATGTTAGGGTTTCAAAATTTAACAGTTGTAAGAAAGCAATAATAGATACAGAGAGATCTACTCTATTAGATATAGATCTAGGTAGATTAATACATTATCTAGAAATATGTAAACAGTCTCACTATTAGGTGAAACAAAATATGTAAAAAGCTGTAAGTACAAAGATGCCCCTAGCAGTCTTCTTTATCTTATCAAATATCAAGTGTATTCCAAATGTTCCTAAATAGGGGAATATTTAAATTAATTATAGAGTTATGCTTGAATGGAATAATATGTAGCCATTGAAATGATGGTTATAAAAAAGGAGGGTTGAGGAGACTATGTCACAACATGGAAACGCCTTATAATAAAATGTTAGTCAATTACAAAGTAAGATACTAAATCATGCGGACATCATTATTATAAGTATGTGAAAAAATTTGTATGAAAAGAAATAATGATTGCATTTAAGTAAAGAATAGTGGATTTTTTTGGTTTATATTTCTATTCATGTGATTATGTTGCTTTTATAATTAAAGTATGTAATAATGATATTTGTAACTTTAAATGCAATGAATCTGCCTTATGGGTAACAAAATAAGAGTTTGTCTAACCCTTGTGGTTCAAAGTTTAAGAGATAAGATACAAAGAATGCAAACCAATATTAACTGGATCAAAAAAGAGATTTTACTTCATGTGATTGATTGATAGGAAATAAATTGCTAACTCAATAAAAATTGTTTCTTTTGCAGAACTCTTTTTGCCCAACAGAATGTGGACAGCAGAACTGCTTTATAAATTGGGAGGAAGGCACACCTGGAAGATGGTGATGCCAGCACAATGGGAAATGTGCCAGTGTGTAGAATTCTTCTCTGGTCTTTGTAAATAGAAATGCTCACTTTCTATGTGAAACACCTAAATGATTCGATGCCAAACGCAGAATAAGTTTAAAGGTAGAACAAGCAAATAGCTAAACAAGGGAGTGTTTCAGAAAGGAAATATGTCAAGCCTTGGCTCAAAAGCAAAACAGTCTTTTCATGAAGGGAAGTGTTCACAGCATCTATTAAATGCATACTCAGTCACAAAAATAAAACCCATCTGTTTAATATTAACATTTGTAATAAACATTTTAAAAAAAGGAATGTAGAAGGCAAAAATGTATTGTAAAACAAAATGTACACTCTTGGGATAACTAAAACTTCCTCTGAAAGAATTGCAGTACTCTAAAGCTTGTTCTTTATACCAAAAGCAATAACAATTAGTTGCATGACACTGCAATAGCAGAGGCATATTCTGCCCTTTGAGAGGACAGGATATTAATCTGAAAATTGAGCATACGCTCCCATAGTATAGAATGCCAAACTTCCTTGGATGCAACTTGCCAAAGCAAAATTATACACCTGAAGTGTGTCCTAAAATTTAGAGACAGAAATGATGTATTTTAAAATCATGACTTAGATATTTGAAAGTTTTTGGCTACATTAGGAAGCTAATTGTCATGTACTTCGATACAGAATCAAGATGTACTAATTTTTATTGGTACACTGGCATTAAATGAATGTGTAGCATATGTTTAAAAGGATGTATCTGAGAAGCAAGGATGAGGGTAATAGAATACTAAAGTCTAAACTGAGGGTCGCTTCAATATTTTATTAGCCATTTTATGCATATGAACACAGACCATATTAGATACTTAGCAAGTAGGGGAAAAAAACCTGTTTCTATCAGGGGAAGGATTATCTCTATTGAGAAACACATGTTAATAGGTCTGTCTAGTTCGGAAGAAGCTGCCTCTCTTGGTCAACATTGGATGATGTGGAGCTGTTCTATCCAATATAACAAGCACTAGCCACATACAGCTATTGAAATGTACATGGTAAATTAATTAAACTCTAATGTCATGTTTAATTCTTTAAGTGCTTAATAGCCATATACAATTAGTGGCTACCATACTGTGTAGTGCAGATTACAGAGCATTTCCATCATCATAGAACGTTCTATTGTATAGGACCGGTCTGGGTAAAGTTTGGGAGATAGAGAAACTACTCCATGGGAATCTTGGATTTAGGGGCGAGTAAAACTTTCACAAAGTGGCAAGGAGATCTGAACAGAGAGGCAAAAATTGCAGTGTCGTGAGAAGCCAGAATCTTGTCAGAAAAGAGAGACTGTTGGCTATAGAAATGTCTGAAGTGTTTTTTCAAAACCGAATACCTGAGATTAAATGTAAACTGCTCCACCTCCTCCCACTGATACCTTTTGTTACAAATCTTCAGGAAACCTAGAATGGAACAACACAGCAAGGGCTGCTGCCTGGGCATTAGAAATAGAACACCACACCCAATGGCTAAAGCTGGTGGCCAGAGATAAGAACTTAGAGGCATCTCTCCTGCCTAGCAGACTGGGCCCTGTGTTTTCCCGCCACTTCCTTTAAATAAACCATTCAGGCACTTGCCTGTAAACTGAAAGTGATCCATATTCTGCTAGCTGCCACTCTCTCTTTCTCTCTGCCTGACCTTTCATTCCTGCCTTGCGTGACCGAGGGATGGAGGGCTGCCCTCCAGATTCATTGCACCCTCCCTGCCCAAGGCCTTAAGCAAAAAGCTTTGACTTTGCTTGTTTTTGTGGTGGTGTATTGAATTTTCACCTTCCATCTGAAGAACTGGGGACTACCCTAGGCTAGATTTTCCAAGGGAGGCCAGGACGAACACAAGAGCAGTCTCCCAGTACTAAGGCCATGGTCAGGTAGGCATAAACTGGACACAGGTCAGGCAAGAGTCTCAAGGATGTCTGCCAATATAACCAAGTTCCCCATGTGAGGGACATCCTGGTCTCAGGTCAGACAGCTAGGCACTAAGCCATCTGCTAGGTGAAAGAAGTGTCCTGTGAAAGGCTCCTTTTCGTTTCCTGTTAGGGCAGGATTGCTAGCCTCTCTGGTACTGGAACCACAGTTTAGCTAGGGGCTCTCAAAACAACTCTCCTCCACACATAGCCATGGGTCAACGGTATCTGGGGTAGTATGGGTCAGTGTCATAATCAGCAGATGCAATGAAGCATGGATATTAGAAATTCAATAGAAATAGCAACTTAAGGTCAGAGGTAACCAGGAAAGAAAAATAAGACACCGGCCCCACCTCAGTACCCCAACATAGCCATAAGAAATGATCTCCAGAGAACTGTCGAAAGCAACTTGTATTAAATTAATCTAAGGCAACTTCAGTTGGTTGTAGAATTACTTCAATTATCCAATTGATACAAGTTACACACATGTGGAAAAAATTACAAATTACTATTCCTTTGTCTTTATTTCCTGACAAACAATAAACATTTTCTTAGGCATTAAGAAGGATAAAGTAAAGAACCCAAATGCATTCTCCTCTATTTATTCAGCGCAGAAAAGGCTTAGGTTAAAAAGTCCTAGAGATAATTTTTATGAGGTGGAAATTTCTTGATTGACAATGAGAGATTGATCATGGAAACTTCCTCTTACCTTTCTTTTATCTTTGCGAGCTCTTTGCTGCTGTTTTCAGATGTGTTAGGAATAGAGATAAACTTCTGGCAGGCCTATTTTGTGAGGTAGATATTCTAGCTCAGAATAAAGTGAAGGTTTATGTCACCAGATTTCTTGGTCAATACTAGGAAGACGTTTAGCTTCTTGGGTGGGTGCAAGAGTAACTGACTGTTCTTTTGTTTTCCAGAAACCAGTCACATCCACCATATTAAACAAGAATTTGTTATTTATTTGTGGATTTTTTAAGTCTTTTGGTCAGCCCTGCAAATAATAAAGACTTCTAAAATTAAAGGAATACCAAAATAACTATGGCATTTCCTTAGTTAAGCATAATGGCTTCTTCAGAGCAGACTCACTGCATAAACACTGAACATATTCTTTCCCTCCAGTAACATCTGTGAACAAGTTTACCACTTGGGAAAACGAGAGACTAGTAACTATGTCCAGACACGGTTGGGCACAGGTGCTTCAACAAACCATTCCACAAATACACCCCAGTTCCGACAAGTGAGCTATTTCTGACTGATCCTTTGAGACTTCCAGTCACACTGTGTGTTTGGCCTGGGAGCAGGTGACCCACTGGCAGGGCAGTCAGCATCATCAGCTCAGGGGATGGACTTTACTGGCAGAGTGCCTTCCCTAAACATATTGACTCTCCCAACAGAGAACGGCAGCCCAGCGATTTATTAAAAGCAATTGTGTATTTCCTTGGTCTAGCCAAACATTTGGTGCATGTTACACAACCCTCTAAGACCAAGCTTCAGTCTGACTCTGAAGAAAAGCTGTCCCCCACTAGCCCAAATTATAATGAACCTCTGATCTCCCACAGTGACCAATTTCTGGGATGTTCATTGGTACTTAATCATGTACTGCCTTGTGAGAGGTACTTCTTCCACTTGTAATGAAATTTTTTTATTTTCCTCATTTAAAACGTTTGCAATTTACCCCTGTTAAATTAAATTTATGGGATGGCATTGTCTTGAATTCAGCTTGTACACAAGGCCCCAAGAGACCAGCCCAGCCCAGAATGGAGTCATGTGTGCTAGGTGCCACATAATCAAACTGATCATGGCTTTTAAAAAGCCAGTTTAAACAACAACGAAAACAAACCAGATTTTCAGCAACCAGTCCAAACAGGTCCAGTCACCGTAAGCTGGCATGATAAGGAAACTTTCTCTTCCTTAACCCTGTAAGGAAAGTAACTTTTAAACAATGAATCCACATTTTGTTTCTTGTTTTATGTTCTTCAGCCTTTCTGTCTATAAAGCCTACTCCCTCTGCTCAGCTCATTCGAATGTCTTTCTGTTTTGTAGATGGAATGCTGCCTGATTCACAAAACACTAATAAAAAAGAATTTGATCTTTGAAACACAACTTGCTGAAATTTTGTTCTTTGACACCCTTAACTACATTTCATACTCTTTAATGGTAAAGACATTTTTAAAAAATTTCATTTGTTTTGTAATAATATTAAGTGTGACAGCTTATGTCTAATAGGCCTTAATCTATTTTTATGAATTTGAAAATAGATTTTTAACATTGGAATTTAGAAATAAGCATAAACCCTTAACCCCTTATAAAATTGTTTTGGGTAGCAAAATGTCATTTAGCATTCTAGTAGAGTCAGAGGGAGAAAAACTAATTCTCTTTTATTAAAGTTGGGGATTGGTGAGTGTGTGAAGAGAAAAGGCAGAACAGATACTCTAAAGCTTGGGAGATCCAGAATCATTATTCGATGTGCTAGCAGAAAGAAATCCCCTGAATCAATTAACTACTCAAATGTAAACTGCCCATCTCTAGAATCAGCCATATAAAAATCAAAAGCTCTTCTCTGCTTCGTAACACCCACTATATTGAAGCTGGTTATTTTATAATAGTGATGTTGTTCTGGTCATAGACACGTAGTATCTGGATTTTCCCTATAAGTGACACTTTGTATGCTCACATATTGGATGCATCAGCTAAACCATGTTCAATGTTTAGCAAATCAGTGGTTTTAGAATTCAAAGTTAGCAAACAAACTCTTTTTTCAAATGACATTTTACTTCAAAGACCTGTGAGAAGTGAACACAGCCTATTATTCTTGAATACTCTAAAAAAAACCCTAGAGAATTGGAATTATTTGGCCTGTGCAAAAGAGAAAATTTTGAGAACAAATTAGCTGTTCTCAACCTTATCAAAAGACAAAGAGGAAATGCATAAATAAAATGCCTTTAATGCATGTATAGCAAGAGGGGATTTTTCTTTACTCTCATTTTTGAGAGTGGCAAGCATGTGTGTTTTTATTAAACCAGAGGCAGACTTTGTTATCATAATGGTGCATCAAATGTATGTACACATGAAACCATTACCATAATCATGATAGTGAACACATTGATCACCCTTGAAACTTTCCCTGTGCCTCTTTTGTCTCTCTCGCCTGTCCCCCAACCTGACCTCACAATCCCCAGAGCGACACTGCTAACCTTCTGACACTATAGATGAGTCTGTATTTTCTAGAATTTTATATAATTGGAATAATATATTATGTAACCTTTTTTGTTTGGCCTCTTTCACTCAGCATAATAATTTTATGATCCATCCATGTTGTGTTCAGTACTTTTTATTGCTGAGTAGTATGCCATTGTATGGCTATATCAAAATTTGTTAATCCATTCACCTGTTGATAGATTTTGGGGTTGCCTCCAGTTTTGGGCTATTACCAATAAAGCTGCTAATATTTGTATGTAAGTCTTCTATGGGCATATGCTTTTATTTCTCTTGGGTAAATACCTAGGAGTGGAAAGGCAGAATCATATGGTAGGTGTATGTTAATCTTTTTAAGAAACTACCAAATTGCTTTTCAAAGTGGTTTCCATTTTATACTGCCAACAGCAATATATGAGAGCTAAATTTCCTCTGCTTCCTTGCCATCATTGATGTGATTATACCTGTAATTCTAGTTATTCTACTAGATGTGTAGTAAAGTTTTATAGTTCTTTATATTCAGCTTATATGTTCAAATTCCAATTTATAGAATGATATTCTCAACTCGCTATGTTTTAAAACTACATCTTTACCAGTAACAGTCACAGTGTCACTGGCCATAGGGTCCTGGTAGGATTCAAAACCATAAGGCAATCAATATCTAAGTGGAGGCTCCTCATCATCTTGTTGGCTTCATGGTATTTGTAGTTGAGGGAATGCTAGATCACCAGTGCATCTGTCAATTTCTCTTTGGAAAAGACCCAGTGAAATGGCTGTCATATTATATGAGAAAACACCCATCTGTAGCACTGTTTTCTTTAGGTCTGTAATTTAATGAGCAAAAGAGACAAAGAATATGTTCTTAAGCTACTTTGTGTTTGACACTTGAGAGAGATGTGTAGGATCAGGAAGTGTTTGGACTGAGGATAAAGGGCCACACTGCCCTGTTTTCCCAGTCCTAGAATAAGAAAGCTTATGTAAGAGGTAATGCTTTCAGAATCCATCAGTCGTATCCCATATTGGATAGACTCTACCTTCTAGTGTTTCTCTTACTCACTTTTTCAGTTCCCTTTTAGCTCATTCAGGAACCCAGTTTCCTAGGGATTTTTTATTGCTATACCTTGGACTAGAACAAGGTATAATTTTGGGCAGGTGTGTAGCCAGATAGAAAAAACAGGGTTTGAAGAAGGCAGTGGGTTGTATCTCAGCAGGGAAGAATATATCTAATGGGAATTTCAATGTTTGATATATTTTCCCTTACAGTAATCCAGTTTTCCCTTTTCCCATATTGCTCTTCAAAAACTAAGGCTAGACTCAGAGTTTTATTATTCCAGGAAAATAATGTGTAGCTATTCCCTGGATCAAAAATGCCATTCCTCAGATTTGAGTCTAAAATCAGATTTTTAAAACATTTTGTGAAACAACAGCATTAAAATTCAGACCCTGTTGAAACAAAAACTTTTAGAAAAAAGAAATTCCCAACTTTTCTTTGTATATCAAGATCAAAACATGGGAGTGTGAACCTAAGTATTATAAGCCACAGTAAAGAAAGGAATGAAGACATGGTGTAAGAAAAGACTTCATCTAACAGAAATAAAAAAAGATTTTTTCTAATTGCTGTGGAGCAGAGCCAAGAGAGGGTGAAGGTTTGGCAAGAGGTCATATACAAGTGTCCTAGCTCCTCTTTTAGTGCCAAAGTCCCTGTGATCGTGAGTAGAAAGATACAAAACAGGAACAATTCAAGGGCATTGGAGCTAATGGACTGTGTCCACAGAACCAGTCCATGAGACTATGCTATACCAGTCCATGAACTTAGCAAAGCCCTATGTTCTGTTTGGTCTTAGTGTCTGAAGAGAATAGTGATCGCTGAGAGAAAGGCATTGAACTATCTCACAGAATCCTGCAAGCTGCAGCAAAATGTGGAGGAAGCAGGCAAATGTTCCGGGCTTCCCTGTGGGGCACTGAGGTACCGGACCAGCCGCCCAAGGAAGTCTGTGGTACAGGGGTTAATGCACAAAAAGGCAGCAATGAAGCCCATGGTCAGTGATCTGTGAATTTCAGTACAAGTGCATAGCACCAGTCCAGACAAGAACAGCCACAACGCAGCAGGCGTCTGCAGATCCCTCCCAGTAAGGACGAAAGATAGGGCATCTCAGCAAATGCTGAAGAGCAGAGGATGGCATGAGGAAGAGACTGCCCTCCCAAATACTATAAAAATGCATTTGCTTCCACTAATATCCAGAGGCCAGTTTGGACAGAAAGAAAGGGAGCAGAAATTTTGAAACTGAGAATTAATCCTGATGAGAAATTAAAACTAACAGAATAATTTACCTTTAATTGGCAAGTGCAATTATTTTTTCTGCTATCATCAGCAGGAATGGGGTTTCCAAGATAAGATGAGATCAGTTTCTGGATATAAAGAAACTACATTTTGTTGCAGATTTGAATTGTGCTGTACACTTTTTACCAGGTCCCCCGACCCCAACCCGCAACAACCACTGCACCACACATTCCTATGTGTTAGCAGTCATCTCAGGCAGAATTCTCCAGGGACAGCCTGGTCCTCAGCCCTATGCAAATGCCACTGATCTCCTTGAGTCCCAGTCTAGAGCACCATGGCTACTCCCGTCTCTGGGAAAATGATCCTGTTGCCTTGTGCAGAATACAAATCTCCTGGAATAAATAAATACAGATAACGATGCTTTGTTGGTTCAGGTCATCTCACCCTTTTTCTCTCATAAAGGGGAGGACAAGAGAATTAGATCCTTGTTTTGACTCTTCTTCAAATATGGATAGTGTACATGAAAAGGAGACACAAAGCAGGTTTATACAAGTCTCTTGTTCTATTCTGTTAGTCTTATAAATAGTTCTATAAAGAACACACAAAAATAACAGAAATAATACTTAACTTTTAACTTTTAATTGATTCTAATAATCACATAAAGTAGAAATCTTGACACAATCAGGAATTATAGTTGTCATTAATTTAAATATCAGTTCAAACACTTACTTATAAAAGTTATACATACCTTTCCCTTTTTATTTTAACTAAAATATGCATTTATTCACCATTATACAAATTATACAAATGAATGCACTTTTGCTTACCAATCTTTTGATTTAAAGCCAATAGGTCAAATGATTAAACACATGCTGTTATTCTTAATAAACTACCTCATTGTGTATTATTAATAATTTATAATTTTTATTTAATCCACTTATTTAAGGTGGACTGAGCTCTTGAAAATACTTGTGAAGCAATTTGGGTGTAAAATCATTCTAGAGTAAGATGATTCTCCACTCTATTTTTTACAATAACTATCCACAGGTAATTCATTGGTAATTTTTAGTTACTCATCTCAATCTAATTTTGAATAAGTTTTCCACTTAATTTTCATAGAAGCAACTTTTTAAATGTTTTCACTCATAGTTTATTGATTTATATAACGTGTTTAGTTTACATATTTAAAGTTATAAGTACAACTGGCATAAACTGATTTGGAAATAAACACAACTGGCTATGGTATTGGTCAACATATATCTCAATTGGTAGGTGCTTGCCAGACTAAAAGCTGCCAACAGTGAACATTCAGCAAGCCATGGGCAATAGTGTGCTGGAATGGAAAATATTGGTTAGTACGGAAAGTTGATGAATTGGTCATAAGGTAATAGAGTTTATTACAAAACCATTCCCAGCAAATTCATATTGCATTACACAGCAATTTTTTACAAAGTTCACCAGAAGCATCCTTTATCAACGAAGTCAATCAGTTTTCATGTACCTACTTTGTAGTGCTTAGTAAGGCACTCTCTATATGTGATTTGTTATTTTTGTCTTCATAAAGGTTGAGCATCCCTTATTTGAAAATCCAAAATCCAAAACTTTTTGAGCACTGACATGACTTCTCAAGTGGAAAATTTCACACATAAGAATTTAATACAGACTTTGTTTCATGAACCACATTATTTAAATATTGTATAAAACCACAATAGATCAGGCTATGTATATAATAAAGGGTGTATGAATTTCATAATAAATGGGAAATGAATTTCATAGATGAATAACATAAATAACAAATGAATTTAATGTTAAGAGGAGTCCCATCCTCAAGATATCTTATATATATGCAAATATTCCAAAATCTGAAGAAATCTGAAATCTGAAACACTTCTGTTCCTAAGCATTTTGAATGAGAGATATTCAACCTGTAATCTATTTATTTCCTACCTGGTCCTCTAACTTTGAGATATTGAGTAAGTCCTGGGTTTTTAATGTACAAAGAGAGCTCTTAGCCTGGCGTTTTAGTTACTTCTATTCTGCTTTTCTGCAATTATTCCTTATTTTCTTGCCACAGTTTTGCCTACTTTTTATCAATTCCCAAGATCAGTTCTATACCATGTTTTAAATAAGCAGTTTTTCAAATTGTTTACCAATCAATAAAGCAGGGACACTGTGACGGTTAATTTTATGTGTCAACTTGACTGCACCATGACATGCCCAGATATTTTGTTAAACATTATGTCTGAGTGTGTTTGTGAGAGTTTCCAGAAAAGATTACCATTTGGATCAGATTAAGTAAAGCAGATTTGCCATCCTAGGGTGGGTTGGCCTCATCTAATCCGTTGGAGGCTTGAATAGAACAACAGGTCTCCAGTAAGGAAGAGTTTGCTAGCTCAACCTGTTTTCAAGCTGGGACATCAGTCTTCTCCTACACTTAGACGGGAACTTACATGATTGTTTCTCCTGTTTTTTAGGCCCTCAGCTTGGACTGGAACTACACCCCCAGCTCTCCTGGGTCTCCAGCTTGCAGAGGAAAGATTGCAGGACTTCTCAGCCTCCATAAATGCGTAAGCTAATTCCTTACAAAAAATCTCTCTCTCTCTCTTTCTCTCTCTCTCTACACACACACACACACACACACACACACACACACACACACACACACACGTATCCTCCTATTGGTTCTGTTTCTTTGGAGATCTTGACTAATACAAGCACCTTTCAATCAGATTGGAGGCTGCCTAATGCTGGAAGTGGGCCACCCATCTCTACTGTGCTAAATTTCAACCTTTTAGTTGCCTGATCATGGAGAGGTCTAGGTGGCCTGGGTAGCAGAAACACAGTCAAAGCTCAGAACAGCAGTTATTTGTCCTCATGTATCTTAATATTTTAGCAAGTACAACTCTCTGTGTGTGACAACAAACTACAGAATTCTCTTATAATTCTAAGGCATTGTGTGTGTGTGTGTGTGTGTGTACACAAATGCATATGCACACTAACGTAACTCCCAGAAATGATTTCCACTGACAAGTCATAAAGAGTTGTAAAAAAAAATATGACTAGTTTAGTACACAATACTAATTCTTCTTAGACTTTCCATCACTAGAAGTCCAATATTAATAATTTTACCATAAAAGGGGTGGTAATCAGAAAATATTCTCACTTCTGATGGACTACTTTAAAGTTGAAATGGTGTTATGTTTCCATTAATAGCCTGGATCTCATTAAGTCATTAACACATTCTAAATTCAGTGACACAAATTCGAAGTAAAGCAAATGGGAAGGAGGAGGGATCTTTAAGCTTTAAAAGATCTCCCTGCTTTAAGCTGAAGTTAAAGCTGACCATACCAAAGACATAAAGCACTTTTTAGTGTGAAATGACATTTGTGGTTATGTTTCTATTTGATGAGAAATGTTAAGTTTGTGACAATCATCCATCCTTACTGTGAATTTTTTTTCATTAAAAATATGTGTATTACTCAAGTATTTATAGATAAACTAAGATGCTATCATGAATTTGTTTCAAAAGAATTCAACGGACAGTTGGAGGAGTAGGAAGTATGGATAAAATGAGATTGGCTGTGTTTGATAATTATTGAAGCTGGTGTTGGGTAAACGGGGGTTCATTATTTTATTCTATTTTTATGTATATTTGATGTTTTCCACAGTACAAAGCTTTTTTCTCTCCATTTTCTATTTTTTACTTTAGCCATAATTATACTTGTGTCTCTAATTCATATTTTAAAAGTAAAATACAAGATAATTAAGATGGTATGTATCCAATTAAAATTAAAATAAATCTTAAAATAATGAGCCCTTTTTCATAGCCATTCCATTATTTGTCTTTTAATCATGATAGTGTTCTTTATGGAAATCACAGAAATTACTTTGAGTTCATCATTACAGATTTAATAAAGTTTAGAGAATTTCTGTTTGTTAATTCATTTAACAAATATTGAGTACCTCCTTTGTACCAGAAACAGTGTGGGAGGGTTATCTGCACTGAGTGAAAATATATTTTTTCATTCCCCTCCAACAGACAGTTGTCAAATCTATGCTGCATTTTAGTTATTTTCTTGTTTGTCAGCTCAAGGCATACAGCATCCCTTATGAAAATATTGCTGAGTTTTGCTTTCTGCTAAGAAACTTACTATTTTTAGAAATAACATGTTTTCTTATTCTAAGTATTTTTTAATTTATTGATTTCTATAAATAGCCCATCATCAAAGTGGGATAGATCAATAAGATAAATTAATTACTTTTTGGAACTGGCCTAGTATCTAACATCTGAAGAAGGTAAAAATACTAATTATAGAATGGTACAGTAAAAAAGAATACAACCTTGTGAGAGACCATTGTCAGGTCTGGAATTTTATTTTACTCTACTTACAAACTATTACGTCAGCCTGTTATGATTTCATATGAAGACATAGACTCTTGGATCAGAAACACAGGAGTTTATTAAGCATAACACAGCAAGCTTCCTGCTGTGAGGTTCTTCCTGCTCAAGTCCCATGAGCATGACTCAATGTGTTCAGATATTTGGGACACACAGTGGGTTTGCATCACAGCTAAGGAACACTGAACTTGGGGAATCCACTGCTTTTATAGAAAACAATAAGCAAGCCCATTCTCTTTTCAATCTGGGGGAATATGCTTACCTCATCTCTCAGAAGAGATTAAAAATATTCAGTGTATCCCAGACAAGGAACTGGGCTAGAGGACGTCTATAGTCATTCCCAACTCTGATGTGCTGAGCAGTAAGCTGTGTTCTGCAACTGTGTTTTTCTGTTGCGCATTAGACATGAATTAGACATGAGAATCTCTAAGTCAATCATTCAATAACAGTTGTTGCTTTTTTTTTTTTGAGACAGGATCCTGCTCTGTAGTCTAGGCTGAAGTGCAGTGGCATGATCATAGCTCACTACAGCTTTGCACTCCTAGCCTCAAGCAATCCTCCCGCCTCAGCCTCCCAAAATACTGGGGTTACATGTGTGAGCCACTGTGCCTGGCCTCAATCACAGTTTTTAAACAGATATACCAAGATACAATTTTTCAGTAATAAGTTTCTCCTTCTGGGACCCCATTCTATTTTATGCTAAATACTTAAGATAAAATCAGCAAAATTCAGTGATTTCACAGCTATTTTGGTTTCAACCTTCAATGATGTTGGGGCCACCCCTTCTCTGGGGTTTGATGCTCCTGGGACTTATATAAACTAATGCTGCTATGCTGGGAGTGAGGATGAGGAGAAAAGGAAGATGTTCACCCTGGTCTGTTCAGGTTCTAGGCTGCATTCTTGTTTTACACGTCATTTCTGTCATGTACATACAGTCCATTTGCAGGACTTTCTTGGATTGATGGTGAAGTCATAAAGAAAAAAAAGGAGTATATCAGTTAACAAAGTATTATCCCCACCACACCAAGCTAATCAAATATTGCTTGATAACTGAAAGCATCTATGTGTAGGAGGAAAGTAAGAGTCTAACTCTCGTAAAGTTAAAAGCTACTTGTCTTCAGATTTTTCTCCCTCCTATATGAAGCCTAGCATGGAGTATATGCACAATTGCACACATGTTTCTTGGCAGAGTAGAATCTAGAAAGAGTAAGCTACTAAACGTTACTCACTATGACCAGGAGAGGGCACCTAGCACAAATGAATAAAATAATTCAGTCAACACCAGGTTTTATTTTAAGATTCCTTTTGGACTCTACCATTTGCATTTTACAAATCAATTTATTTTATGTGTCCACTGTAAACTGTTTTTGATCTAAGGATAAGTTCGATTACACATTCTTCCTGATGACTGTCTCCTACAATATGTTATCCTAGGTGGCTGAGATACTGATTTTTCTACACAGGGTGCAAGAACAAGTCCATACGAATAGGAAACAATTACAGAGGAAAAAAATTATTTTTGTAGATAATTTTCAAAAATAATGCTCTAGAGGAACTAAAATGTGTTTAAGCAACCTTTCAGAAGAGGAGAAACTCATATTTATTGAAATCTTGTAAGGAAAGACTTTCTTTCCTCCATTTCTTATGCATGTATGTGGTTTGGTCTAGATTGCAAGCCATGCTCAAAAAATTACCTTTGAACACTCTCAAACATAGGAAAGAATATTATTCTGTCATAAAACAAAATGGAACACTATATTTCCCAGAAGAAAAGAGGAAACTTGAATTCTATGTATTTCCTTTCTGGCCTAGCAGACGTAAACAACAATAAATTGGCCAACCATGTTCTTCAGGCATATAATTTTCTTTCTTCCTAAAGTGGACACTCCCTGGGAAAATACAAATAACTTCTAATTTCAAATCCTTTCAACACAAAAGGAAAGTAGGCCACCTTGACCAGAGCACAAAATAATCTTTTCCAAGAGGACTTGAATGAGTACCTCATTCTCCAAGGGAAAAATACATACCAGGATTTTTTACTACTTTATTTTGTTTGATTTTTAAATACTTTTTATAGCCATGAAAAAAAAAAACATATTGATGAATTGATTTTTCCAAAACAAAATCAGCATGTCTTTTAAATTTAGCATGAACGTGGCTTCCCAGCTGCAATATTTTTGAGAGTGGTTAAGGGACTTGCTTGGAGGGCGTTGCCCAGTGTTTTCAGCTCAGGGGTAATAGTTCCACTCACGAGGCATTGATCTTACACTCTAAAGTCACCAAAAACACCAAACTGTTTCTGTCCTACTAGAACATATTATAGGGATAAAGAATTCCTGCAATTCAACAGACTACGGTTTAATTTGCATGATAGTAACTATAATCAACTTTAGTCCAGGAACCTAACTACTTCCCATTCAAAGGAAGAACATTTTGCTTTTGGCTGACAATTCACTTTCAATTCATTAATAATAATAACCAATATCATTATTGAACGACTGCTATGTGCCATTATCCTCTTAACTACCTTCCAAGATAGTTTTTGTTATCCCTGTTTTACAGAAAACTGAGGAGGCTCAGAGAAGTTAATGAACTAACCCTCGGTACAGAGTAATCAGTGACAAAAGCAGAACTGGCATGTCTGGCTGCTAAAACTATGTGGTCTCCACTAAACCTCATTACTTAATTGCATAAATTATTTCACCAAATTGAAATGCAAATCCCACCTTCTTTTCATAGCCATGGTAACTGCTTTCCCACTTTTCTATTTTTCAATTTGGAGGAGAAACGAGTTACGAAGCAAATTAATTTTTAGTTCCCCTAATAAGAAAGTACTATGAATTCTTATTATATAAAACACATTTAAATTACTAGGCTGAGTACACAGTATAATATATATTTTCAGAGATCTTGTTATTAATAAAATATTGTCATTTTTTTCTATTTACTCATAAACCCAGGTAAAAATCTTGTTGTTAGATACAACACTTAATGATCTAATAATAAAGTTCTTGAGACAGCAATATATAGTAATCTGTGATAAAATATAGATTTCAGCAAGTTTAAGTAGATTCTGATAATCTGTCCATGTGCTACTCAGAGTCTCACACAAGTTTTAAAACTGCTTTCTTGCAATTTATCAAGTTCAAACCAGGTGATATAAAAGACTTTAGTAATTCTAGGACTTTTTTTTTTTTTAAAGATTAGACACCTAAAATCTCAGAAGCACATACACTTTTTCCAAACAGTTGCCAGCTTTCTGAGAGCCATCAGTATCAAAACGACAGGCAGAATTTTTCATGTGGTTACTGACCGCCTGACCCATTCCTTGGCAGGAGTGTTCAAGAGCAGCTGAATCTTGGGGAAAATATACAGAAGATGAATAGAAGATGGTAAAATTCTGGGGGCTCCAAGCCATCTCAGATTAGCCACTCCCTCTGGCTCCTTCCTTCTCCCCTGGTTTGTAGCAGTGAGTCCCCAGCGTGATCTCTATGTCTGTAAGAGTCTGTGTAGGGACTGCTGTGTGGCCGGAGTGCTAGTGTGTCTAAGCAGATGCAGGGGCAGGCATTCCCTGTATGTCTCCTTGCCTTCTTGTGGACCTGGTCTTCCAGCCAGCGCCTGGTCCAAAGGCTGCTTACCTGGTGATAATAGTGGGATCTTGCATTCCTTTTCACCTATTTCCCTATTCAGCCTATTTGCCCTTTTCCAATGAGCTATCCCAATGCCATAAGAGATAGAATCTACCACATCTTATCCTGCCACACCCCACCCTAGCACTGCCCTCTACACTGGGGTTGCCTTACAAGTGGGAGCAAGAGAGATAGTTGGCTGTGGGGAGATGGGGTCCAGGTCACCTGAGCGGCAGAGTTCTCCTTGTCCTCTCATTCTACTTCCATCCCAGCTTGCTCAGCCCTGAGTCATCTGACCTCTGACGCCTCCAGTCTTCGTGCTTTCTAACAGTCAGCATGACAGAGTTGCTACAGCCCCTGCTTCTGCTCTTTCTGGCTGTATGACACTGGAAATCAGTTCACCTGAGGCTCTTTTCTCATTTATAAACAGAGGAATAGTAGTTCCTACCTTCTTGGGTTGGTGATTATATGAGGTACTGCATGTATAGCACTTACCATAGTGCTTGGCAAAAATAAGTTCTCAATCAAAGTTTAGTTTTACCTCGTATTATTTCCCATTTAATTTTTTATTAATGCCTACTTTTGTTTTCCCAGTGATCAGCCACGTATGGTCTTCACATGGTCATGGATTCTTGTATAGCATTGGCTGCAGCAGTCACATGAAAACCACTCACACTTTAACCTGCAGGAAGCATTCATGAGTGGTTTATAGACAGACTTGATAATTCTGATTTTTTAGGAAAATTGGTCTCAGAAAGCAGCCCATTTTTTATTGACTCAACAACACACTGAAATTTCTAAAATAAAAAAAGCAATATATTTACTAATAAAAAATATTTTTAGGCTAGGCCTGGTGGCTCATGCCTGTAATTCCAGCACTTTACGAAGCCAAGGCAGGAGGACTGCTTGAGCCCAGGAGTTCAAGACCAGCCTGGGCAACATAGTGAAACCTCATCTCTACAGAAAAAAAAAAAATTAAAAATTAGCCAAGCATGGTGGTGTGCACCTGTGGTCCTAGGTACTTTGGAGGCTGAGGTGGGAGGATCACTTGATCCCAGGAGGTTGAGGCTGCAGTGAGCCGTGATCATGCCCCTGCACTCCAGGCTGGGTGACAGAGCAAGATCCTGTCTTTAAAAATAAAAATAGGCCGGGTGCGGTGGCTCACACCTGTAATCCCGGCACTTTGGAAGGCCAAGGCGGGTGGATCACCTGAGGTCAGGAGTTTGAGACCAGCCTGGCCAACATGGTGAAACCCTGTCTTTACTAAAAATATAAAAAGTTAGCCAGGCATGGTGGTGGGTGCCTGTAATCTCAGCTACTCGGGAGGTTGAGGCAGGAGAATTGCTTGAATCCGGGAGAGAGAAGTTGCAGTGAGCTGAGATCACACCATTGCATTCCAGCCTGGGCAACAAGAGCGAAACTCTCTCTAAAATAAATAAATAGATAAATAAGTAAATAATTTTAAACAACTATTTTAAAGCTTATTATTTTTGAACCAAAAACAATAAAGGCAGTTAAAAGAATAACTATTATTTTAACTTTCCTTCACATATACAAAAGGGTTTTTTGTTGTTGTTGATCACTAACTGAATTACATTAAAAAAATACTGTTGCTAATATAATTAAGTATGGTAATCCATGCCTGTATTACCCACATGGGATACCAACCCATTAAGAAGCAATGTTGCAGGTGTGAGTAGCCCTACACCCCATCAGATTGACAGCAGCATGAGACTTGGTAAAAACATAAGTTTCTCCTGGTGGTCTTCCTGCCTTTACATGATGTGCAAGCCTCAGTGTCTCTCAATTACAAGCTGTAATAAAAAATAAAACAAATCCAACTGTGAGGGAGCAGCTTGAAAGGCACTTAGGAATGACTGGACCCTCAGGGGCACATGGCTAATAGAACGGGTAAGATGTCCTCTGTGAGAACCTTCTCAAGAAGGCAATCTTGAATACTTGTTAAAATTGTGGGTTTTGTCATCTGGATGGGAAAACAAAAAGAGATTCTAATCTCATGCTTTACACAAAAAAGAATGCCATACTTTCAAATACAACAATAGAAACCAGAAACATACAAACATTTCTGGAAACCAGAAAAAAATTATGGGAGAATATTTTTGCACTCTTAAAATAGGAAAGGCTTTCTTAAGCCTGTCAGAAAAGTGAAAGATCATTAAAAAATTAAAAATAAAAAAATAAAGTCACTCACATAAAAGTTAAGTAAACTTTACTTTCTGCCTGGAATAAAAGTACTATAGCCAAGGGAGAGCAATATTTCAACATACAAGACAATAAAAAAAAAGCTTATTCCATTATACAGTTAACTACCGTAAATAAAATGGAAAGGACTCACAATCCAGGAGACGAAGGATATCACACTTAACAGGAACAAAAATACAAATTACTTTTACAGTTAAAAAAGGCTCAAAATAACCCATAATAAAAATGCAAATTAAAGCTATAATGAAACATCTATTTCTATTTATCTAGTTGATGAAGATCAAAACATCTGACAAAACCCTGAGTTGGGGAGGATACAGAAAATCGGCGCTTTCGTATGCTGTTGATGAGTGTGCAAATAATTCTCTTGGAGGGCAATTTGGCAGTGACTAGCAAATGAAAAGTGCACATATCTTTTTATAAAAAATTCTCTTTCTAGGAATTTATCATGCTTAGATGAGTAGGAACTCAAAGCTACATATACAAGTGATACAGCTCGGATGAGGGGAGGAACACCAGGGTTCTAGGTCCTCATGCCGGTTTAGATAAAAGGACATGGACACACGTGGAGTGGGTTAAGGAGCAGAGAGCTTAATAGGCAAGATAGAAGAGAGAAAGCAGAAGATAGAAGCTCCTCCCTGCAGAGACAGAGGGATGGGGGCTCCAAAGCGAAAGAGGAGACCCCAAGTGGGACAGAAACCAGCCAGGTGATTCAACAAGCCATAGGGACAGATTTTGTGATTGATTTTTGGCTACATCAGCTCAGCAGCCACAAGAAAGAAGATTCTTTTAAGGCTAAAAATTCCCTGGCTCTCTCACCACATTGAATGGATAATTTAAAGCCCTGAATTTCCCATTTCTTTTTAAAATCTCTCCAGCGCAGTTTGCAGCAGCCAGTTTATCCTTATTCATCATATCCTCCTGCTATGCCACAACCTTTATCACTCAGTCCGTCAAAGCCAGGTTTTCTATAGGCACTCATTACAGGTGATACACCACCAGCTGCCAAAAATTACTATTTTACTGTTTCACCACCTGCTGCCAAAAATTACAATTATCCCCTCATTTAAAGGTAAGTAGGGTGCAGTGGCTCACGCCTATAATCCCAGCACTTTGGGAGGCCAAGGTGGGCGGATCAACTGAGGTCAGGAGTTCGAGACTAGCGTGACCAACATGGAGACACCTCGTCTCTACTAAAAATACAAAATTAGCTAGGCGTGGTGGCGCATGCCTGTACTCCCAGCTACTCAGGAGGCTGAGGCAGGAGAATTGTTTGAACCCAGGAGGTGGAGGTTGCGGTGACCTGAGACCATGCCATTGCACTCCAGCCTGGGCAACAAGAGCAAAACTCCGTTTCAAAATAAATAAATAAATAAAAAGGTAAGTACTTCCTTGCTTGCATCAATCACAAGTAGGTTAAATACGTAACCTATTGTCTCAAACATTGTTATCAATCAAGATTCAGTTACAGATAACAAAAAACACTCTATTTTAAGCAGAAAATAATTTAAATTGAGAAATTACATTCTTATAAAATTATTGAAAGAGATGGAGTATTGGAGTCTAGCCTGGTCTCCAGAAATAATTGCAGGAAGATTCTGTAACACTGGCTTACCAAGGGAGCTGCTACCTCGGCCACATTTTCAGTGGAAGCTGGGAATCTGGAAGCTGTCCCTGGAACTATGGCTCCAGTAACACATACTTTAGCTGGAATCCAGGGATCTGCAAGGTGCAACTGTCAGCTCCAGAGATGTCCTGCACCTCCTAAACCCTGCAGTACACACTAGACCCACAAAGCTATTGAATGGACCCTGGAATGTCCTCTGCAGCTGAAAATCTCAATTCCCGCATAATCATGCTTGTCAGCAAAATCAGCAAAAACTGAAAAAGAAGAAACTCTGTCTTACTTCAGTTTCAAATTTTGTACATCTCGTTTGGTTTCAGAACCTAATTCTTGAACTCTGGCTTCAGGGCACTCTGAGAGGTGTGGATTTTAGCTGTCCTACCTCTGGAGTTTAGGAAGGCATGCAAGGGGGGGACACATGCCCCATAAAGTTTCAAATCAAAACGCTAACATTTTGTTTAAGCTAATTTTAAACTCAAAATTTAGCTTATTAACATTTTGGAAATATGAAGCATCCAAGAAGTATGTTTATTACAAATCCAAGCTTGTCAGAATTTTTCTATGCACTTGGGCACATCTGAAGTAACACTTTGGAGATGAACCAACTTATTCACAAATGATTTTTAAAAGTTAACTTTTGTACTTAGGCTGTCCCATTTGCAATTTATTTGCTTGCATTTATATTCTGCATTTCTACACATTGGTTCTACACATTTCCATCTTGGAAAGAATAACAAGGAAATTCAGTTTCAACTCAAAGAAAGGATCTGGGCATTGTGGCTGAGAACTGTGCCTGCTGTGTTGCTTGGTTGAGCAGTGATCCTGTCGCCCTCTGCTCCCTAAATTTGCCTCAGTTCCTCATAGCTTTGTGGTTGTTTTCAGTACATGTGTGTTCTCAAATAACTGACAACTCCCACCCACTTCCTAACCTGACTTAAATGTGGACTTTGCATTTATATATTCTAAAGACTATAATTTAATAGATGGTTTATCACCATGGTATTTAAAAAAGCATGAAGATAAAAGGGAAAAAGAAACAAACGGGCCTGGAGTGGTGGCTCACATCTGTAGTCCCAGCACTTAGGGATGCTGAGGCAGGTGGATCATCTGAGGTCAGAAGTTCAAGACCAGCCTGGGCAACATGGTGAAACCTCGTCTCTACTAAAAAAAAAAAAAAAATGCAAAAATTAGCCGGATGTGGTGGCAGGAGCCTGTAATCTCAACTAGCTGGGAGGCTGAGGCAGGAGAATCGCTTGAACTCTGGAGGCGGAGGTTGCAGTGAGCCAACATTGCACCACTGCACCCCAACCTGGGTGACAGTGAGACCTTGTCTCAAAAAAAAAAAAGAAAAAGAAAAAAGAAACAAACCATTGGTTAGGAGAAAGGGGGAACAAATCGCATAGGTAATGAAATTTAATGTTCAATTTGAATAAAACATACACCCTATGTTTCTCAGATCTGCCGAGTGAATCCACCTATAAATCTCTTCTTCTAGCATATAGGCTTGAACTAACCCACCAACTTTCCAAAAGACTAGTGACTCCACCCAGCTACTCATTCCAGAGTTATAGTTATTGAGTCAAATGCCTTGGCCATTCTAAGAAAATTCCACAAGTAACAATTACTGTACTTGGCGGAAAGCCTGGTAATACCCAGCTAGAACTTTATATTTTTGTTGAATTAAAAATACATTTCTAAAATATTTTTCAGATTTATTGCTACTTAGGAAAGTGTATTATCCAAATATAAAGTGAACAAAGAGCTAAAAGAAGTAATTTAGGTTAGCAGATAATAACATTCGAAATCGTTATACTAGATAATTGTATTCTAAAGATAATTGAGTTCTGCCCCCAAATGGCCTATTCCTCTACAGTCAATAAAAGTATTTGGAATCTTTACTAAGTCTCTTGGTGGGGAAAATGCCTGAAAACAGACAGCATACTGTTAATATAAGCCACATGACTTAACATTCTTTGCTGGATAGTTTTCTTATTCCTCATCTCTTTACAAACTCAACTCAGTCCTCTAAAATGATCCAATCACTGGCACCCTTTCTCTCTCATCTTCCTTCCAGAACTGTCCTTTTACTAAGACCACTTCTTTCCCAATAGCTCCGGCTGCCCACAGTGACTTTCCCTGCTGTACGCAGCCCTCTGTCAAGTTTATTCTCCTCCTGTGTTTTGATTGTTTTTCTCATACGAACTATCTCATCACCCCACATTCTTCATGGAAAATGAAATCCAGCCAGTAAGAATTTTTTTCTCCTTGGAAGAAAACAAAGGGGCAAGAGAGACTATAAATGTTTGCAAAAATACTCTGTCCTCTGTCACCCCTTTCCCCCATTAGTTCTTCATGCAGCTCTACCAAGAAGAAAATGCCGTATGTGTTCGGACACCACATTCCCTCCTCTCATCACTCTAACATGCTTTTTCTCTTCTTCACCTAGGTCAGGCAGGCTTACCAACAGGTACCCTGGAAAGCCACCACACCTATGTCAGTCCAAGTTTCCACTAGAACTTTGGAAAGGCAATATAGTCATCTCTTGGTACTTATGGGGGACTCATTCCAGGACCTCTCACAGATAACAAAATCAGTGGATACCCAACTCTCTGATATAAAATGGCATAGTATTGACATATAACCTATGCATATCCCCCCATATACTTTAGATCATTTTAAGATTCTTTATAATATCTAATACAATGTAAATGCTACCTAAATAAGAAAAAAAGTCTACATATTCAGTACAGACACATTTTTTTTCCTAAACATTTTCCTCCATCAGTGGTTGTTTAATCCATGGATGCGGAACCCATAAACAGGGAGGGCTGACTGTATATCAGCATTGGGATTTTACTCCCCACCCACCCAGGGTCATTGTTTTCGTAATATGAGGACGAAGATAACTTCACGGAGTTCTTTCTATTACCTGAGCAGTTGATCGCTAGATGAGCTGCACCAACAAAACTAAAGCAGCATGATGCAGGCCAAACCACCAAAGTTTTGGTAAATCCAAAGTGGCCTAGGAAAAGTTTTCTGCCGTCCTGGGTACTATAAAATGTAGAGAACTGAAGAGCTGAAAATTCATACTGAAAATAAATAAAAGCACACCGTCCCCAGTAAAGCCCCTGACAAGACGGGCTCCTCAGGGTCAGAAACCTCACTGGAGAGCATCCCACTTCAAGAGCCTGAGTCAGCCTTGCTGCAACCCTTCCTCTTCTCATCTTCCCCAGTTCTGGGGTTCAGGTTCCATCCATTTGTAATGCACCGGCAGGGCAGCTACACTCATCCCTTGTTCCACCTCGGTGCTGTTCAGCCTTACCACAAAAAATCAGGGAGATTCTTGAGGGGCTGTGATAAAGTTGAACCAGCCGACTGTTTTTTTCAAGTGTAAGACAGTTTAAGAATTCTTCATGACCAATCTTTCCCTCAGGATCTTGATCCCGGCAATTCTGAGCCTAAGTCATACTCTATTGCCCCCTAGAGGATTACTCATTTTTGTCGTTTACTGTAGGAATTAAAAGGAGAGCTTCTACCCACTCAGTTATGAACTTGACATATGAATTCCAGTAAGTCTCCATCCTACCATACATTCATTCTAGAGAACTGAGGAAGTCCACCGTGAAAGGAAAGTATTTCGTGGTTTTGAGTTCACTAGACCTAAAGAGAATATTTTTCTGTTTCCAAGGATTTATCCCAATGCAGTTTTAAGTCATTCACTCCCCACATAAAACATTCCATTTTTTGGGTTCCTGGTGAGGTACCTCCCATGAATTTCTCAAATTCATACTAGCAAGTAACTTCTGTCACTAAATCCTAAAACCATTTGTCTTGAAGTTTCCCAGTAAAGAGACATGGGGTTCTCGGAAGAGGAGTAGAGACATTCAACTTATAATAGCATGTTTACCAAGATCCTCTTTTCTCCCAGGAATTATTATAAGAAGTTGACAAAAATTTTAAAAATTGAGAGTCTGTTGAGAATGGATTAAAAACCAACTTTATGACTCAATATCACAAGTGAATTTTTTAGACTTCTTTAATAGATAGCCTTACACGATGCTGCATACATCTAGGCCTACATCGAGAACATCCTATCCCCAAAATTAATGCTTAGCTTCAGTAAATCTCCATCACATTTCGTTGGCTTTTGGTATTATTCCAAAAACCATTGCCACTTGTGTTGGGGGCCATTTACCCCTTCATTACTATTCTGATAGGCATAGGGTGTGTATATCTAGAGTTTATTATAATTTAGGCTCAAAATCACAAGAAGTAGTCCCTAATGTGTAACCCAAATATAACTTGGGCTCCATACCAACCCAGCAGAATGTCTTTTCAATAAACCAGTGGTTCCCAAACCCCAGGACACGGACCAGTACCATCCCTGTTAGGAACTGGGCTGCACAGCAGGAGGTGAGCAGTGGGCCAGCAAGTGAAGCTTCATCTGTATTTACAGACACTCCCCACGTCAAAAATTCCATTTTTTGGGTTCCTGGTGAGGTACCTCCCATGAATTTCTCAAATTCATACTAGCAAGTAACCTCTGTCAGTAAATCCTAAAACCATTTGACTTGAAGTTTCCCAGTAAGGAGACATGGGGTTCTCGGAAGGGGAGTAGAGACATTAAACTTACAATAGCATGTTTACCAAGATCCTCTTTCCTCACATTACCACCTGAGCTTTGCTTCCTGTCAGATCAATCATGGCATTAGATTCTCATATGAGCGTGAACCCCATTGTGAACTGTGCATATGAGGGATTTAGGTTGCATGCTCCTTATAATAATCTAATGCCTGATGGTCTGTCACTGTCTCCCATCACCCCCAGATGGGACTGTACAGTGGCAGGAAAACAACTGATTTTACATTTTGGTGAGTTGTATAATTATTTCATTATATATTACAATGTAATAATAATAGAAATAAAGTACACAATAAATTTAATGTACTTGACTCATCCTGAAACCATTCTCCACACCCTAACCTTGGTCCATGGAAAAACTGCCTTCCATGAAACTGGTCCCTAGTGCCAAAAACGTTGGGAACCGCTGCAATAAACAATAGACAATCATCCTAATAGTAATTAAGCAATTAGAAACTTCACTCAGTCTCCAAGAAAAATGCCAAAATAGAGAGCACATACTTAAGCCTGTCTTCATTAAACATGTCTTTAGGCTTAATCCTCAGTGTCAGTCTCTAGCTAATGTGAAATAAACATCGAATATTTAAAACAGATCACCATTCTCTTACAAAGTGTTATGGTCTAGTCTCTCAGAAATTAACATGGGGGCCATTATGAAAAACATATCTTTAAAAAAGATGATTGTGATTATGTAATATATTATAGCAGTATTTTATTTTGTAGTTACTTAGTATTAATGGGAAAATATATTATTTACTTCCAGAAATATCAACTTGATAACATCCATTAATAATAAGGAAATGATTGAATTGTGTCATTGTGTCAGTTTTGTTCTCACTAATCACTTGTTTATATAACTGATTATTAGTACAGGGTTATAGCATAACACAAGTGTGTTAATAAAACAGTAACTTCTGTTTCTGTTTTTTGTTGCTGTTCCTATAGCTAGTCTTAGGTTTTGTTTTGTTGTTGTTTTTTTTCTTTTTCTGAAAACCTTTAATGGAGACACTTAGGATAAAAAGCCTATTTGATTGTGTGCAAGAGTGTTAACATAAATAAAGTGTTCTGTAGTAATTTGTGGACTTCCTTTGTGGTTTGCTTGAAAGATTACTAACTGCTTATTAGCACTTCACATATGAAAATATCACCATTTGGACTGCAGCTGGAGCTGCTTTTAGCTGGCGCCCTGTTATCTCCCAAACTGAGTCACAGCATTTTGAAGAACCCTATCTCAACACTCATGCATGCATTCTGCCA
Source organism: Homo sapiens (assembly GCF_000001405.40). Taxonomy (NCBI): domain Eukaryota; kingdom Metazoa; phylum Chordata; class Mammalia; order Primates; family Hominidae; genus Homo; species Homo sapiens. The sequence goes on along the minus strand of NC_000005.10, from coordinate 122,089,744 downwards.
CATAAACCTTAGAATTTAGTGTTAGATCATCTTAAAGTATTTCCTCTCATCTCATTCACAATTTGCCACGCAGTCATTGTGGAAATACCTAAACACCATTCTCAACACAGGGTACTTTATAAAATAACCAGGCTCCTAACAAGATGTAAAAAAGACTGCTTAGTTACATGAATTATTCAATTTACAAATGAAAATTTTCAATGGGATAGCCTTAAATCTATTTACTCTACCACAAAACTGTTTTGTTTACAATGAAGTTACCTTAACCCCTCTAAAATTAAGAAATGTAGATTTTTGGTGCATGTAAATGTGAGGGCCTGAATAAAGCCAGATTGGTGTGGTCAAGCATTGGGCAAGATTCCCCATTAACTTATGCCAAGACTGTCATTTTAATGAGATTAAGGTTTCAATTTCTTCAGCCCAAGACCTCTCTGGAGCACACACTCTGCTATTCTGGTTAAATTATGCCTATTTCTCTCCAAAATGAGTAAATACTTAAGTTCCCATGCTGAGAGAGCTGAAGTGAATTTTCATTTGGCACACATATTCTGAGAGTGTAATGCATGTTTGTTGAAACCATGCTGAGCTGGAACAAAGTGTCTTTATGATTACTACTTATTAACATGTATTAAGAACAGTTATTGTACTTGGTCTACACACAATACATAAAGGAAGTCATCGTTCCTACAGATGGAAATATACAGCTTGGATGAATACGTTACAGATAAAATTTATATCATGGAAATTACAATTTAGTTGAGAAGACAGACATTGAATACATAATTACAGGTGAGGGTGGCTTTACAAAGAAGTGCAGTATGCTATGTAAGGGCAAAGAGAAGGGGCTGACTTTGTCTCCAGAAAGCAATGACATTTAAACTGAGGCTTGAAGAGTGAGATGAGGTTGGCTAGCAAAAGAGTGGAGGAAAAAGCAGTTCATGAAAAGGGAATAGCAAAGGAAAGGCCCTGAGGCTCTCAAAGAACATGAGAGTTTGGTCTGGAACCTGCAATTAGTAGTAGTGTAAAGGAGGTAAGGCTGTGTAGGGAGATGAGGGTGCTGGTGGTATTGAACCTGCAGAAGTAGTCAAGAGTGGGGAGCATTAGACCATAGTATAGATTGTTTACTTTACTCAAAGGTAGTGAGATTCCCTAAATTGTTTTGATGACAGAAATGGCATGGTCAGATTTGTGTTTATGAAAACATCATCCTAGGTGCAATATGGAGTATCTGAAGGGTGGGTGGACATGAGCGGATGTGGGGAAATTGGTTAGGAGGTTATTGCCTAACAGAGAGATGGCTGGTGACTTGCACAGAGGTGTTTGAAATGTCCAAGGAGGACCAGAAATGTCCAAGAAATATAAAGGAGGCGCAATTAACCATATTTGAAAATGGATTGGATGTTGGGGTAAAAGACAGAGTGACCTGAGCGATGAGTCTCAGGTTTCTGGAATAGTCAGCTGGGGTTATGGTTACTAAAATAAAGAACAACAAAGAAAAAACCTTGGTGCAGACAATCAGTTTCGACATGTAATGTTGCATATTAAGGGTTTTAAAATACACACACACAGAGCTGTATGTTTGTATGAATGCACTATAATATTTTATTTAAAATTATATCCCTTTCATCTATTATTAAATGAATAATGCTTTCATATATACAAATATTTCTATCTTCTGTGAAGCAGCTCTGCTACTGATTCTATGACAGGTTAACTTTATTTAAAAAGCGAATAAAGTATGCTATCCTTTTTGCTTTTAAATTTTTATGAGTCACCATAATTGTTACAAAAGTATTAATCTTTTAAATAGCAACTGAATATTTTGGAAGTATCTAGTTATTTCTAATATTGTGAGATGTAAAACAAATTATTCATGTTCTATTCAATAGGAATTTCTGTGGTCAAAATTATATTCCCCAATAAATTGATCTACTCACAAATAGAATAAAATATATATCACATATAATTCTGAAACAAAGATATAGCTGAATGCAGTTATATGAGGGAGCCCAGGTGATAATAGCAGAAGAACAACTCAGCTATCCTACAGGATTGTGAAATAATATTATGTGTTTTATTTTAAGGCACTAAATTTTGAGATGATTTGTTACATAGCAGCGGTTAACTGTTATGGCCCTGTTTTTTTCATTGTCTTTTTTCCAAAAGTCTTTATATAGAATCATTCCTTGTGTCTCTTGATCTTGTTTTCTTATTTATATCCTTCAGCTCTCTTTTGAGGTCTTTTACTATTCTCCTCCTTAAATTTTGATGAGAGAAAGTTTTTAAGAGGATATAAAGTCAATATATAAAATAAATTGTCTTTCTATAAACTAGTAACAACAACAATAAGCTTAAACTTAAACATTTTCCTCTATGATAATTTTAAAACAAATAAAATACTTAGAAAATAATTAACAAAAGACATGCAAGCTTTCTAGATTAAATACTATAAGATATTGCTGAGAGAAGTTAAAGAAAACCTGAATAAAAGGAGCAATATACCACGTTCATGGATTGGAATATTAATATTGTTAAAATGTAAATTGTCTCCAAATTTACCTATAGATTTAATACAGCCTGAGTCAGAATTCCAGCAGTCTTTTAAATGGAAATTGACAGGCTATTATTAAAATGTATATAGAAAAGCAAAGGATCTAAAACAGAATAGTTTTGGAAAAAAACATGAAGTTGGAAGACTTTCACTACCTGATTTGAAGACTTACTAGAAAGCTACAATAAACAAGACAATATGGTATTGGTATAGGAATAGGTAAATAGATTAGTGAAACAGAATAGAAAGTTCTGTTTCACTGATTTGTTATATCTATATTTGTTATAGACCCACACATATAAAGTAGATTGATTTTTGACAAAGGTATTAAGGAACACCTTAGAGAAATACTAAACCTTTCAAAAAACAGTTCTGAATCAACTGGATATTCATGTGGAAAAAGATAAACCTCAACTCCTACTTCATACCATATACAAAGTATTTTGAAATGGATCATAGACCTAAAGATAAAGCTAAAATTAGAAAACTTCTAGAGAAAAATATGGAAGAAAATCTCATGGCCTTGGGCTAAAAAATGATTTCTTAGGATACAAAGGACACCAATAGTGAAAGAGAGCAAATTGATACTGGATATATCAAAATTACAAACTCTATTCTGCAAAAGACATCATTAAGAAAATGAAAAGTTAAGTCGACAGACTGAGAGAAAATATTTGTAATGCATTTATCTTAAGTAAGTCTGATATCCTGAATGTATAAAAAACTTTTACATCTCAATAAGAATACAAAAAAAATTAAAAATTGGGAAAAATTTGAACAGATATACCATAAATGTGTGAAAATGAAAAAAATGCTTAAAATCTTTAGTCACTAAAGAAATGCAAATTAAAATGACAATGAAATATCATTTCACACTCAATGGCTAAATTGGAAAACACTGTAATACCAGAGGTTGATAAGGATGTGAAACAACTAGAACTTTATATGTGGCTGGTGTGAATGTAAAAATAATACAACTAACTATAAAACGATTTGACAATTTTGTGTAAAATTAAACATGTACTTACTCTAAAGATGCAGTAATTCTATCTCCATTTACAAAAAGGAAATGAAAATATACATCCATAGGATAATTTGTAGATGAATGTTCATCGCAGCTTTATTCATAATGGCCCCAATCTGGGGGGAAATTCCCCCCCCCCCAACAAAATGAACAAATAAACCGATTATGATATGTTCATAGCATGAAATACTACTCATCAAGATTGAGCAACAACATGGACGAATCTTACAGACATTACGCTGAACCAAAGAATAGACACAAGAGAAGAGCTGCTGTAAAATTCCTACTAACTTGAAGTATTGGAGCAAATAAAACATCGAGGTGAAAAAAATCAAAACTGTGGTTACCTGGGGCAGGGGTAGAGTGGGCTCAAGAAGACTTTGTAAAATTATGGAAAAATTCTGTATCAGGCTTGTGGTACTGGCTACAAGGGCATATACATTTTAAAAAAATTCATCAAACTGCACACTTGAAGGTTGTACGTTTTATTTTGTATAAATCATATCTCAATAATTTCTTACTGATTTCTTTTTTTAAAAAAGCCTGCCTGCCTCAAAGTAGCAAAATAGGCACTTTAAGAAGGAAAGAATGTTCCTTTTTCCTTGTTTATAGAAAATGCCTTTTTGCATGATTGTATACAGTTGTCTTTGTCGACTTTTAAATTCTATGTCCAAGTACCAAGTAGTAATAACTACCATTTATTCATTGCCTAACATAAGCTAGATGCTCTGACATGCACTTACAAACATTTCATTCTCACAACAACCCTGAAGATAGATTTTATTATCTTTATTTTTGGTGCCGAAACCCAAGTCTCATAATAGTTAAGTAATTCATCCAAGTACTTATTGTTAGTAAATAGTAGAGGTGAGAGTTATCCAAGGACTGTCTGTCTCCATAGTCAACGTTCTTTCTACTACTTGTCACCTTCCCAGCTAACTTGTATGTCACACGTATCCCACAGCCATTTAGCCATGGGCACTAGAATGACAGTCACTGCTAGTCTAATTATTTAATTGGCCTGGCCACAATCTCCTTGTGATGTAAACTTTAATGAGTAACTCAGCTTATTTTTTCCAGTAATTAAACAAAGAAAGGAAAATGAAAGAAACAACTACTTACCTTTTTTCTACTTCACATAACAAGAATTTAATATCGTGCTTATAGCAGGCTAGACCTGGGTTCAAGATCCAGCTCTGCCAAGTTTTAACTGAGCATGATGCTTTATCTCTCTAAGCTTTATAGATATGTTCCTTATCTATAAAATGAAAATATTAATAACCACCTCATAGGGTTATTGTGAATATAAAAGTGAGGTAATACATTCAAGCACTTTGTATAGTTCCAGGAGCATAGTAAATGGTAAGAAACAGAAGCAATTATTAGTAATGAGAGGACAGGTATTGTCCTGTTAGAGAGGGAGATTAAATTGAGGGAGTTTTTATAATTACTTGTTTTTGCTTATTCTTTAAATTATTTCTTTCCTTGACTAGGCATCTATTTAGCAAATTTGAAAAGACCCTGTATATTCAACTCAATGATTTAGGTATTGGAGACTCCTTAACCACAGATCATTTAAGGTTGTATAACTTCATTTTGAGATTTTCACCTAATATTTTCATTTAATCAATGCATTTATTATTTTTCAATATGCCACTGTACTATAGGCTCTTATGTTAACCATTTCAAAAACTTATATAGACCATTGAGCATAACGTATAAAAGATATCTCCCTGGCAAACAAGCCTGTCTTCTTCACATAAGCAGCCTAGAATAGGGTCAAAGAGTCCAGTGCCATTATGTGACCTATTGGAGACACAGTTCCCACAGACTTTATGACACAGGGCTTAAGTTTTTTTCTCTGTGCCTCCTGAAAGAGATAACTGTGATCCATAAAACAGCTGAAATATTAGAAAATATATAAAAGTCAGAGAAACCCATGTTTACTGCAATATAGTTATAGGACTAATTATAACTAACTGAGCCTGTTTAAAAGACTCACGGCTTCAAGAGCCATTATATAAAAAAATTTCAGGCTGGGCGCAGTGGCTCACACCTGTAATCCCAGCTAGCACTTTGGGAGGCTGAGACAGGCTGATCATTTGAGGTAAGGAGTTCAAGACCATCCTGGCCAACATAGCGAAACACTGTCTCTACTAAAAATAAAAATAAAAAAATTAGCTGAGTGTGGTGTCATGCACCTGTAATCCTGGCTACTGGGGAGGCTGAGGCAGGAGAACCACTTGAACCTGGGAGGTGGAGGTTGCAGTAAGCTGAGATTTCATCACTGTACTCCAGCCTGGGAGACAAGAGTGAAACTCTGCCTCAAAAAAAAAATTCATTGTTTGATTAAGGTGCTATATAATCAAGAGTAACATTCTAATCATAATAGAAAGAAAAAGAACTGATTCTCAAAGTTGACCTCAAGCATAATTGTGAAGCAGGGTTTCACTTTCACAGCCTCATCAACATTTTCCTTCCACTCTGCCTTCACTCCAAACACACACAACACCCTCAAATATTCTGAGATCTATCATTTTACAGGAGAGAGGGACAAAAAATTAAATCTCAGATAATTCCCATTAAGACGTTAGACATTTGTCATCTTGTTTTCCCTGGGCCTTAAGAGAAGGCAATGCACACTGAGTTAAGTTAAAGCAGAGGGATGACTGCCTAGTAGTAAGATTGCAATCATTGCATGTGATAGGCAGAGGAAGAATATAAGTCAGGACCCTCCTGACTTATACCCCACGATTTTGGAGGATCATGCCTAGGTTATATTAAATAACTTTTAGGGTACTGGGACAGTGAAACTGAATCCAGCAAGAGCTTAGGAGCAGAAAAGAAGTCCAGAGGTAGAAATAGGAGCACACTTCATTGTATCAATTAATAACAAAAATGACCCTATACACTCCACAGCATGAAGAACGTTGCCATTTTGCCATTGGACTGTCTATTGGGACCAATTAAATCATGTGGACTTTACTTGTAAGCAATTTTGCCAATTGGCTGAACCCTTTTTTTTTTTTTTTTTTTTTTTTTTGAGACGGAGTCTGGCTCTGTCACCCAGGCTGGAGTGCAGTGGCGCAATCTCGGCTCACTGCAAGCTTCGCCTCCCGGTGAACCCTTATTTTTATTGTTAATAGAACTAATTACTTTGAACTCTGATCCCCTGTACTTCAAAGACCCATTCTCCTATCATATCACCTCTTCTCATTTTCCCATTTTGTTTCAGTAACTAACATTCTTTACTTCATCACACGTGAACATGCATTAAGGACACCAGAATGAAATACTTTTCTATTCCTTAGAGTTAAACTCCACTTTTCCATTCCTTAGGTGGCCCAAAGGAATGGGTAACCAAGCCAGATACATTTAAAAGTTATTATTTCTGGAATTCTTCTACTCAGTTTGTTTATACTTTTTTTTTTTCAGTTTGGTCTTGACACACAGACAAGTGTGTACCCAACTGTCTACTTTTTATATTTGGGTGAATACCTGGAAGTGGTATGTGGCAGAAGGCTAGGATAAGTAGTAGAAGGGAACACAAGCACACTGTTAACTTTAAGGCTAACTTACTCCTCTCCTCCATTTCACTCCAAGTAAAAAGATTTCTAGTTCTGTATTTCACTCTGTTACATTTCTTAATTACTTTTTAAGTATCCTCAATGTCCTAATTCAACACTCAGAGTGTATTCTCCTTTGTGTTATATGGTATTCTGTTTTCTCAATCATTTTCCCCTTACACATCTCCAACTTTCCACTTTTTAAATTTTATTCTCTGTGCTGTTTTGTTTTCAAACCACATGGAACCAAAGCACATACAACCATTACTCTTTACCAAAAAACAAGCTTTGTATGAGCTTCTTGAGCCTCAAACAAAAGAATTTACACTTGAACCTGATTGCTTTGAATGTGGCATTACTGTTCTGGCTTCTGCAATTCAGAGGCCCTGCTTTATGGTTTCGGCTTTCTGTTTTCCATTTATGTGAAATGTCCTACAAAAATAAATGTATTTAACAAATACCAGGAACATAGCATTACAACAACTTTCATTTCTTGGCCAATGGGCCAGACATTGCCATTTAAAGATTTGATATTGATGGGCTAGAAACTCAAAAAAAGAATTAGCAACATTCCTTCCCTTCTCTTATGGCACATACTGCAGAATTGTTCACGAGAAGAAAATCTCATGGTCAAAAGTGAAATCAGCTGTGGATCTTATCAAAGCAAAAAAAGCTGTTTGTATCTTGATGTAGCCGTGGCTTATTATTATTATTGTCATCATCATTATCATCTCAGATTTGAGTGGAAAGGAACTATGGTTTCTCCAATTTTGTGAATAATAGTTTTGTTATTGAACAGGGAACACAATGTGTGGCTAGATTATCTCCCGCAGGGCTTGCAAACACTGTATTGTCCCCAAATGTGGTAGCCACATGTTTGTTTTTCAGCTGACAGAGTCCTAAGCCAGAGAGATTTTAGAGGAAATGAAGGAGAGTGAAAATCAACTAAGCTTTTCATTAGCATGTGTGACAAAGGGTAGTGTGTTTTTCTCTTTTGGTAGTGTGTACATGTTTTAAGAAAATAAATATTGCACATCATTACTGCTCTAGTCAGTTATTTATACTCTGATAAGAATTTTAAAGTCTGTTGGAGCAAATCTGGAAAAAAGGATCAACTTCATTCAGCTCTAAACTTTTAGTGCTCACGTGTGCAAGTCACCATTATGGTATACTACACTTCGGAACATATATATGTGTTCAAGAAATGTTTGTAAAACAAATAAATATGTATTGACTTTCACTATTGGAAAATATGTAGAATAAGAAAATTGCAGTCTGCAGATTCTAACTCACACAAAATGCATCCAATGTTTTAAACTCCAACTAAAAAAATTTGATTAAATATTAATAATCATAATGAACACATTATTATCAATGAATCGAAAGTAATTGGAATAACTTGAATATTCACAAAAATCAGAGATTTTAAAACTAGGAAAAATACTTTAGAAAGAATTTGGTTAATCCTTGAATCCTAAATATAACAAAAGCCAGAGATAGTAAACAAACTGTCCAAAGAGACACAGCTTTTTTTTTTTTTATTGGAGCACTAGGATTGGAAACAGGGCATTTTATCTGGGATCCAGTGTAAACTTTCTACCCTCCCATTAGGGGTGCTGCTTTGGTCTGCCATTCTGACACTATGTCTGGCATAGCAGAGGTCTTCCCTCAGGAACCTGTGGTCAAGTAATAGCAGTTTCAGACTTCTCTAGTCTAGGGAATAAGCTGTTCATGGGCACATGCAGAGCCTTTTTCAGATGAGGGATAATTACATTCTTTCGTTTCCTGCTTCTCCTGTAATTTGGCCTGTCCATTGAAATTATAATCTATACACCTGTTTCTTCTTTTTCACTCCATCTTTCTTAGTGGGTTTGGAGGAGTTGAGTAGTTTAATTTTAAGCACTGCAGCAAGTCTGTAAAATGACAGCTAGGGATGTCTCTGACCCTTATAGGGAGAGTGAGATGTCACTGTTGACTTGCCATCAGTGGGAATTGCATTTGAATGTTCATCTTCAAGTGCAAATTATCATGTAAGTAATAGATTTGCCAACACATTGGCGAGCTTCCATGTGATATTTCCCTGTGACCAAGGATGCTGTGCAGTCATGGGCAGGGGAAATCTAACTTGACTCAAACTGAACCAAACCCATCACCCTGAACTGAGAATAATGTGAACTGATTAGGTGACAGAAGCAGCCACACCCTGCTCAGTGTCAGTCAGCCTTCTTAGGTGGAAAACAACAGAAATTGACTCTGACCATGTTCAGTCACAAAGGAATGTATGGGGGGGATGGGGGGGTGGGTCGGGGAGTAAGAAAGAAAGAAGGAAATGCTGAAGAACCAGGTCTTAGAATGTACTCACCTAAAGTAGCTTGGGTGACGGGGCAGGGGACGGATCCATGTAGCAAGACATAATGGGCACTTTTTCATTTGTTTGTTTGTTTTTTAGATGGAGTCTCACTCTGTTGCCCAAGTTGGAGTGCAGTGGTGGATCTCCGCTCACTGTAACCTCTGCCTCCTGGGCTTAAGGAATTCTCCGGGCTCAAGCAATTCTCCAGCCTCAGCCTCCAGAGTAGTTTGGGATTACAGACATGTGCCACCATGCCCAGCTAATTTTTTGTTTGTTTGTTTGTTTGTTTGTATTTTTAGTAGAGATGGGGTTTTGCCATGTTGGCCAGGCTGGTCTCGAACTCCTGACCTCGAATGATAATGATCCGCCCGCCTTGGCCTCCCAAAGTGCTAGGATTACAGGTGTGAGCCACTGCGCCAGGCCTGGGCACTTTCTTTAGTAGTTTGAGGAGCAACATTTTTGACAGTGTCCTTCTGCTCAAGATTCAGATCCCAGATAAAATTAAACCATCTAGAGAGATGGCTTGATTGGCCAAACCTGGATCTCATGACCACTTCTTGAAGTGGGTAAGTCTCATAAATGCTCAGTCCTTCCACTATGCAACTGAGTGGGGTGGGTGGGAAGCCCCTCAAAGGAAAATCCGGTTGTTCTTACTAGAAAGAAAAGGAAAATGGATGTGAGGCAGTCAAAATCAGCAGAGGTCCACCACACCACCAAAATGTGGTGATTAAATATGGAGAGACAGAGACTAACAGAGGTATGTGAATATTGAAGTATGTCTGGACAATAGCCCAATGATGAGACCAATAAAATGGTTACCAAAATCTGGTTTTGAGTAGTAGTGTTAAATCAGACCATTTAGTAACCATTTTTTGTTGCAAAGTTTCTAGCACTGCCCAAACCCTGAGTGGTATATGAATAACTCGTCCATTATGTATCTCTTTCCAGTCAGCATAATTTATCCCCCACCTATATTCTTTTCTGACCACTCCTACTTCCTTCTCTTTACCAAAATCTAAACTCTAAGGCTGTTTCTTCAGCAACTTCTTTGTTTAGATTGGAAGATAAATTAAACAGCATGCGATGTTTTACTGACTTTCAGTATTTAACAGAGGTGATTTAATTTTTTTTTAAATCCAAAGTCAAACTTCTTTATAAGATGAAGGAGAAAAATGTCTTATAAAATGCATATGTGAAGATGCCTTCTGAGTGCTTTCTCATGCAGACTTGTTCTAGTCTTTAATGAATCTTCCTTGTAGACACTGTGGAGATGAAAGATGGTTCTCCACTTCTACTCAAAGTACAAATCAGGCCGGCATTTTGAAAAAGAGACAGGTTTATTCATAGCTGCAGCGTTAGCTGGCTTTGTTCCCTGTACAATTTCACTTTTGGTTATTAAAATATTCACTGTAGGAAATAAATTTGTAACCCATTTCTCATATTACCTACACACAGAAAAACAAAATTTGATATCCTGGGGTTTATTTGCTGAGGGCGCTTCCCATAAAAGCGAGAGAGTGTGCGTTGGGAAATGTGTCTGGTTAACTCTTTTATGGATAAACTTTAGTCACAATCCTCCCCCGCCCCCCTCTCACCCCCAGCACCCTCCCAACCTCCCGACTTCCCGCCTCTCAAGGGCTGGTGACCTAATAGCATTTTTCTTCGTGCATATTTTGGCGTCGCCCCATGGCCTGGCTGCCTTCGCCTGTCTGAGTTTTTTGAAATTCCTGCATGTTCGCCCCAGATTAAGCCAGTGTGTCTCAGGATGTGTGTTCCGTTTTGTTCTTTCCCCTTAACGCTCCCTGTGCAACGTGTCTGGGGGGAGGAGGGCAGGGACGGGAGAGAGGGAGGGGCAGAGGCGAGGAGCTGTCCGCCTTGCACGTTTCCAATCGCATTACGTGAACAAATAGCTGAGGGGCGGCCGGGCCAGAACGGCTTGTGTAACTTTGCAAACGTGCCAGAAAGTTTAAAATCTCTCCTCCTTCCTTCACTCCAGACACTGCCCGCTCTCCGGGACTGCCGCGCCGCTCCCCGTTGCCTTCCAGGACTGAGAAAGGGGAAAGGGAAGGGTGCCACGTCCGAGCAGCCGCCTTGACTGGGGAAGGGTCTGAATCCCACCCTTGGCATTGCTTGGTGGAGACTGAGATACCCGTGCTCCGCTCGCCTCCTTGGTTGAAGATTTCTCCTTCCCTCACGTGATTTGAGCCCCGTTTTTATTTTCTGTGAGCCACGTCCTCCTCGAGCGGGGTCAATCTGGCAAAAGGAGTGATGCGCTTCGCCTGGACCGTGCTCCTGCTCGGGCCTTTGCAGCTCTGCGCGCTAGTGCACTGCGCCCCTCCCGCCGCCGGCCAACAGCAGCCCCCGCGCGAGCCGCCGGCGGCTCCGGGCGCCTGGCGCCAGCAGATCCAATGGGAGAACAACGGGCAGGTGTTCAGCTTGCTGAGCCTGGGCTCACAGTACCAGCCTCAGCGCCGCCGGGACCCGGGCGCCGCCGTCCCTGGTGCAGCCAACGCCTCCGCCCAGCAGCCCCGCACTCCGATCCTGCTGATCCGCGACAACCGCACCGCCGCGGCGCGAACGCGGACGGCCGGCTCATCTGGAGTCACCGCTGGCCGCCCCAGGCCCACCGCCCGTCACTGGTTCCAAGCTGGCTACTCGACATCTAGAGCCCGCGAAGCTGGCGCCTCGCGCGCGGAGAACCAGACAGCGCCGGGAGAAGTTCCTGCGCTCAGTAACCTGCGGCCGCCCAGCCGCGTGGACGGCATGGTGGGCGACGACCCTTACAACCCCTACAAGTACTCTGACGACAACCCTTATTACAACTACTACGATACTTATGAAAGGCCCAGACCTGGGGGCAGGTACCGGCCCGGATACGGCACTGGCTACTTCCAGTACGGTAAGTACCCCCAAGTCCGCTGGAAGCACCCGTGCACCTGGTCCCCAGCTATGTGGCTTCTCGACGTGGCTGCCTGGGCGCGGCGGGCCCCGGTCCTCGCAGATCCGATCCCTCCCCCACGCGCCTGCAGTGGCAGCCCTGGAATCCAGTGCAAACCGCGCGTCTGGCCCCTCCTGCTTCCTTTTCACATTGCTTTGCAGTCCCGGGCGTCCCCAGTTCTCTTGCTGTCCTCCGCTCCACTCTGCAGTCCCGGTGGGCGAAGGGTGAGGAGTAAGGGACCTAGAGGGGTAGGGAGTTGGAGCGGGGGGCGCCGGGTTGTTTCACTGCTGCGCCCGTCGCCTGCTGACGTTTAGGTCTCCCAGACCTGGTGGCCGACCCCTACTACATCCAGGCGTCCACGTACGTGCAGAAGATGTCCATGTACAACCTGAGATGCGCGGCGGAGGAAAACTGTCTGGCCAGGTACGGGCTGATATGTCTGAGGCCCCGCTCCCCGGTCTACCTTCAGGGGGCGCTCTGGTGCCTGGTTCTGACTGCTACTGCTTCGCGCAGACAAGTGTTAGGAAGTGGGACAAGAGCTGGGAAGTGGGACGTGACCTCCTGGGCATGCTGACCTGGACGGAGAGTTAATATTTTTGAAGATTTCTGTGGGTTCTGTCTCAAAGTGCAGCAGGAATCACAGAGGTGGAGGAAACCCTTATCCTGGAGACTGAAAGTCTCATGCTCTTTTTCCAAGATACTTAAACTTGGGAGTCAATTGTTCCAATCACTTTTCATAAAACAACTATACAGTAATTCAAAAAATTTATTGTAATGGAAGGGTGTGTTAATACCCCCTTAAAAGATTCGGGGCAAATTTGCCATCGTAGCCTCATTGGTAAAGACTAAGTTTTCCTCTTTTGTTTGAGACCACGATGAACTTGGTTGTTTTGGTATTACTTCAGCCAGAATAAGACCGTGAGCAAGAGCTTTGTTTTTCCACTATTCTAAAATAAAATAGTAACTCTGGGATTGGGGTTCTCTGGGTTTACTGCTGGGAAACAGCAGAGGGAGCAAAAGATGTTTTAATAAAAATTTAAAGTGTAAAATAAGGTCATCAATACCACCTGAACATATAGACACACTAAATATATTAGTAGGAACACAGTGATGTTTATTTGTACATTTCTTCCACTTTGACCCTTTATAATTGTCAGGCTAAAGGAAGTGAAGAAATCCAAGCTCATTTTCATTCCTGAGTCTTGCATCACTCACACCATTGAACTCCCTATGATGTTTTTACAGTACTGCCATTGTTTTGGGATAGTGAAGTTACAAAATTATTAATTTAAATCTGGGTATGCTCTTTTAGAGTTATTTCCTCAGTTTGCAGCTCATTAACTTTTTTAAAAGTTTTGTTAAGTTTGAAGTTTGTAATAAACATCTATGAATTATTTTTTTTATTGGGGGATTATTTCCACTTCAGTTTCACTCATTCATATGATCAAACTTGAATTGATTCTAAAGTTTACTTCTGACATTTAGATTTTTAATGCTTATTATGTTTTTACTGTTAAGATCTGTGGATTTCCATAGGTGTTATTCATTCACTTATTCACCAAATATTCATTGAGCTCTGACTACTCCAAGACGGTTCTAGGAGCTTTGGATTCAGCAATGAACAAAAAGAAACAAAATGCCTTAGACTCTTGGAACTGATAGTCTAGTTGGGAAAGGAGGATTGTCACTACTATATAATGGATGTTTTATTTGTAGTTTTGTCTTTAGTTAATATTCCATGAATATAATAATTTTTCTTTTTTCAAAATCACAGTACAGCATACAGGGCAGATGTCAGAGATTATGATCACAGGGTGCTGCTCAGATTTCCCCAAAGAGTGAAAAACCAAGGGACATCAGATTTCTTACCCAGCCGACCAAGATATTCCTGGGAATGGCACAGTTGTCATCAGTAAGTAAATGGGCCTCCTGGGTACTTTTGGGTTGCTTTTCATTTCTCAGGTGATTTTTGATATCACAAATGCAAGTCTTATTTCTTACCTGAAGGGAGAAAATTGCTATTACTTATATTTAGAATTTTTCTCTATGTAATTTCACATAACCCATCTACTACAAGATCCTGTTATCTTTTGAAATGGAAAATCTGAAGCCCAGCTTATTAAAGCTGTTGATAGGATACAGCAATTGACTTCAATAAAATTTACTCCAATGCATTACAGATAGGATTTCTTTAAAAGTCCATTACAGCCAAGATCATCTAAAGTTAGTTAGCATTAAATAGCATTTCATAAAGACCACACGTTTTTTATCACAAGCATTCAGAAACCATTCTCAAAGAAAGATGTAGATGATACATCCCATCAGCTCAGAAGGACCTTCTTCCATCTTTTAAAAGACCTGTATCAAGCCCAAGGTGGTTGCCTTTTCTATCCTAAATTTAAGGATTTTTGCATAAGGTAATTCTATCATTTGCCTTAGTAACTTGCCTGGGTGTTTATTTTCAGGAAATCCTCATGTGTGGCCTTAAACTTACTTCCTGAAATCCAAGCCAGTCCTCATTGTTTTTTCCTTATGTGGGAAGATGAACAGCTCAGCACCTTCCATTTAATGAAATAACAAAAGTAGATATAAGTCCCTTAATTTCCTGATAAAATAGGAATATTTTATTTCTAAATAAAAGTGTGTACTATTTAAATAATAATGGTGGATAAAACATGCCATGAGTTCTCCCTTGCTTTTCACTAATGATTTTAAATATGTGAGAACTCAATTTTTTAAAATCTCATAGAAACCTTGAAAAAGTCATGTGCTGCTTTTCGGAATGAAACATCAGCAGTGGCAGCCAAGGGGAATACACTAGAGAACACAGGGCAAGTTTCACTTAAGCACAGATAATTTATTGTCCATTTCTATTTAATATTCAAAGACAAAATGGGGTACAATAAGAAAGCAAAATACTGAACTAAGTCTTTTGTCCTAGTAGCAAAGTTAAACCTTACAATTTTGATAGACTTATGTCCTGGGGAAAAAAAAACCCTAGCATGAATCTCTCTTTTAGAAGATAAATTTGGTCTCAATTTTAATGTGAAAACAAATTTGTGAAGCCATGGGGGAAGTCATTTAATATCTTCATTGCTTTCTCTGTATGTAACTGACCACCATCTTTTTGTTTTGTGGGACATCAGACATTACCACAGTATGGATGAGTTTAGCCACTATGACCTGCTTGATGCCAACACCCAGAGGAGAGTGGCTGAAGGCCACAAAGCAAGTTTCTGTCTTGAAGACACATCCTGTGACTATGGCTACCACAGGCGATTTGCATGTACTGCACACACACAGGTATGTTGGCACCCTGAAATCCAGAACCTCAAGCCTCAGAGAGAAACGGGTCATCTACCGTTAGTTAGCATTAAATAGCATTTCATGAAGAGCACACACATTTTTATCAAAAGGATACAGAGACTGTTCTCAAAGAAAACTGTAGATGATATACCCCATGAGTCTAGTATTTTCTTTCCTCTCACCTCTCTTTTATAAAGCATTCAATTTGAGGTCCATGTTGTTAAGATGTAAAATAATTGGGAAAAGGCAAATGATGGCTTGATGATCCAAATTACTTTTGAAGTATTTCCAGTTATGCATGTGGCCCCTATTCATGATCACAGGTCAGTGTGGGTCCTTGTTACAGTCCACAATGAAGAACAAAAATTTACTCTCTGAAAAAGTCTGAATGGTTGACAACATATGCACCCATTCTGTATTCCTTAACCGGCTTAGTAAATAACTGTAAAAAAAGATATCTCTGTTTTTTCACCTGTGAAACCATTCCTTCCTTCTGTTTTATGCTGAAAATAGAATAGTGGTTGCGGTTAGCAAATGGAGGAAAAATAAGTTTCTTTAAAAGCACTTTAAAAAGTTGCCTCTTTTAATAATGCAAATAAGAGCAGAAGGACACCATTTCTTTCTCCACACATATATATTTAAATCTACAGTATAATTGATGTCAGATGTTGTTTGGATGGATTTTTTTAAAGTAGTGCTGAACTAAGCAGTTTGCATGTTTTATCATTGGAAAATGCGTGTCAGTTAAAATCTATGTCAGTATTTCCATATGAAACCCTAATTTGTAAAAGGACATTATAATTTGACTCCCGCCCAGATCTTGGCAAGGGGTAGTGAATGTACATAACTGAGGGTATGAAGGGATCAGCAGTTGGCATCTTGGGAAGCAAATTCCAGGGCTGTGGCAGGAAGCTGTTTGGTGACCTAAATGTTACCATTGCTTTTTTCTCTGAGCTTAGAACATCATAGCAATTGGAGGGGGAAAGGTTAACTTCTACATGCCCCAGGACAGTACTTACTTAAGAAAGAGGAGATGTAACTTACCCACACATTATTCATGTGTGCATATACAGATTCCCTTTTCAGTGATCTGCAAGTCCTGTGCAAGGGACCTAGAGTTTATTTGCCCCATTTACAAAAAGAGGCACTCTGGACAGCTCACTCTGAAATATTTGAAGCTGGGATTGTAGACATTATAGCACTTCTGGTTCCCCCCCTTCTTTGGGGTGACCCCATTTCATTTTATATGGTAGCTTTCTTGTTAATCATCTTCCATATATGTTCTTTTTAACCATTATTCACCAAATCTTGCATTGAGCGATTTATATATTTGTTTTTTTCATTAGATCAATGTCTCTTTCACATGGACTTCATTTAAAGGAAAAAATAGTCTCTCAATCACCTAATGATGACTCAGATTAGTTTATTGTAATGCTGCTTAAATGTATTCAAGCATAAAACTAGGTATAACTTCTTTAGATTTATACTTTTACATATTAATAACTCTTGTGTTCTGAGACAAAAATTTACATATTAAATATATACGAAACTAAAACAGTTGAATTCACCTTATTAATTTAATGTAACAAATAGTATGTATTGCTAAAACTCAAATTGCTGATTTAGAGAGCCTCAGCTAACATTCAACATTGAATCTGTTTTTATATTTTGACTTTGCCTACATGAAATGCCTATTTGCCTTAGTAACTCGTTTTTGCTTGCTTGTGCAAATAATCAAAGCTTATACTTAAGTTCTGCCAGCTTATGAACTCGAGTGCCAATTTCAGCATTTTTAAGGCTCTTTTGTCTATTTGAAGGCAAGATAAGCACTGAAGCATTATGTAAACCCATCTTAAATGAATATCTAATCCAGTGAATCCTTTACAATGTCATGAACATTGTGGTAGTAGTAGAAGTAATAACTAGCACTTATTGAGTATGTATTATATGCCAGAATCAGAATTGTATGCTGGAATCAGACCAAAAATTCTTCATTTTATATTTACTACTCAACATACTGTTAAGTGATGTATGGATCAAGGTAGGAATCTAGATAATAACAACAGAATATGAGTCTCACTGCTGTGACACTGACCCTTCTGAGTTGGGCCTGTCTGTGCTATTGTGTGCTCTATGACAGCACAATTCTCCCCTGCTCTTCCCAAATCAAGCTACAGCTAAACCAGCATTGGTAGAGCATGCTAAGGTGATTTTACTGTCTCTTGGGTGACCAAAGTGATCTTAAACAGCAAAGCAATATTGGTTGCTAGAATTGAATGGCAGTATTGAGTTAAAATGAATCTAGCATGTACTTTGAATTTAAATTACTATTAGAATAAAAATACAAGTTAAAACTTTTTGTGAAGAACTAATGGAATCAAGAATATACCTACAGACTCCAATCTGAGGAAACTTCTCTAGACTATAACATTCTTAAAAGCAAGGATTGTATTTGTTATATTTTTCTCCTCCCAGCCTGTAGAAGGCATTCATTTACTTATTGATGTGAATATTTTAGCAAGTGGAGTGATGTGGCATTCATCAATTTAGTCATGCATTTACCCCTTCAACAAAATATGTCATATTTCAGTGACTGTATGAGAGAGAGTATAGTGGGGTAGTTAAGAACAGGGACTCTGGACCTTGATTACCTAAACTCAAAACCAGCT
This sequence comes from Homo sapiens, assembly GCF_000001405.40. Classification (NCBI taxonomy): domain Eukaryota; kingdom Metazoa; phylum Chordata; class Mammalia; order Primates; family Hominidae; genus Homo; species Homo sapiens. The sequence goes on along the minus strand of NC_000005.10, from coordinate 122,071,340 downwards.
TAGCCACTTACTAGGCTGGATACCCTTGGGTAAGTTATTTGATCTTAGTGTGCCTTAGTTTTCTCATCTATAAAATGGAGATAATAGCCCCTCATGTAGTTGTGAAAATTGAATTTTTATACACACACACACACACACACACACACATATAAATGTTTACGATTGTTCCTGCCACATACTATTTAATAAATGTTAGTTATTCAAAGATACAACGTAAACTCTACCCTTAGGGAACTTGCAGCCTCTGGTTAGCTATATTCTTACATAGCATGTTATAATGCAGAGCAAAAAGGGATAAACACTGTAAAAGCTATCCACAATAAAAAGTATCATGGACGTTCAAAGCACAAGAAGGTAATTTCCAAAAGGGGAAACTGGGGAGGATTTCACTGAGAAGAGGACATTTGAGCTAAGATAATTATTATGTGGCCTTTATTCCTGAACTGTTAAAATTCTAGAACTTTGGTAGAGGCCTATTTTGTTCCTTCAGATTGCATTTATCTCTGGTGATATATGACACTTTTAAGAAGTGAGGTGTACTACTACTTATATTAGTCCTGTATCTTTTTTAGCTGGAGGTGCTATAAGGCTGAGTAATAAATACTTCTCAAGGGAGATGAAATATAAGTATAGTTTTATGTCAGACTCTTGTAAGTACTAACTTAAAATTTAATTTGCAAATAATAGCATATTATTTATCATAGTCTGACCACATACCATAATTTTAAATTTTTTATTTTGTTTATCTTAGGGATTGAGTCCTGGCTGTTATGATACCTATGGTGCAGACATAGACTGCCAGTGGATTGATATTACAGATGTAAAACCTGGAAACTATATCCTAAAGGTAAAGACCTTTGAAAATATATCATATATTGATATTGCAGATCAATAGGCCCTCTTCTCTGGATTCAAATGTTAAATAATCATGGTATTGGAAGCAATTATACATCCTCAAACTATTTATAAACAATCTAATCTAATCTAATCTGTCTTATTTTAAAGAACTTCAGGGGAAAATATGCAGTCTCTTTCCATAACGTCTCCAGAGTTTAACCACTTACTTAAGTTAAAATCCCTTCCCTGCTTGATTTAGCTAAGTCCTCATTAACAATTTCCTTATTGTAGCCCTATGGAAAAAGAAATACTGAGGAACTCTTTGTGTTGCCCAGGTCAGTGTAAACCCCAGCTACCTGGTTCCTGAATCTGACTATACCAACAATGTTGTGCGCTGTGACATTCGCTACACAGGACATCATGCGTATGCCTCAGGCTGCACAATTTCACCGTAAGTGTTATTTGCTTAGCTAAGTAATTGTTGTCACAAATAATTTTTGTTCATGCCAAACATTATACATAGAATGTATCTGTTTCTGCTACTACAGCAGCTTTCTTGTAAGCAGACCAAAGGCAGAAAATGGTATGCAGTCTGATTTTATTTTTTTAAATAATGGAAGGCAAAGGAGAATGTACTAAGGTTTTTAGTTTTCAGGAGAAGCTTAGTTTTCAGGAGAAGACATAAACAGACCACAGTGTTTACCCAGAAGGCATTTGTGAAGGCCCAATATATCAAATTGCTCAATATGTAGAGTGGGTGAGCTTGTAGAAGCCCCAGTAGTTGCTTCTTGGCCCCTTCCTCGCAGTCCCTGAAAGAATTGCTAGGGTTCTTCAAAGTACATTTTGAAAACCACTGCCATAAAGTAAGCAACTGAAGAGTTCAGCCCCCTCTGGTCTGTACAAATCAAGATGTCATATATTTGAGTTCTAGAACCATTGATACTAGGAAAATACTCTGCAAAAGATTGAGGTGTGTGGAGGTTTCTTCATAATATTCCTACTCCTGAGACTCTTCTTAGAATGAAATACTGGAAGATATCTATTCACAGGGAGGTGCTCTGATGAAAATAATGAAAAAAGGTTGGGTAGGTTTGACTGCATGCCTGTCTGTCCTGCCCCATCTCCTTAAGCACTACCTCCCCAAGTGTTGCTGGGTGCTAGATTATAATTACATATGCCACTTGAGTTATGCCTTCCCAACAATGAGAATACTATTTCCATTGGAATGATACTCAACACTCATCAGCTTTGCTTTGTCACTGGAGAACCACCAGTGCCACTGGATCATACAGACAGGTATAGCAGAGCTATACTAGAATCTCATAATTAATAGAAATTTCTGCCTGATACAAAAACCCAGGACTTTCTACATAAAGAAGCAGAGACTGTGCTTTACAAGTGTTGTCACAACATTAGAGATAGATGAAGCCTGTGATAGCAAAAGGATAGCACTGAAAAAACAGAGTCACATACATTCTTCTGAACATGCCCACAGCACAGAAAACCTGGCAGGTTTTATGGCCCATATTGTGTGGAGTTGGTTATAGTAGAACCAACCCCCGACCCCCACCGCCAGAACACCATTATAATTTAAGCTAAAATAATTTGCACTTAAATAAACAGATTAGTTTTTTCTTAATTTTTATAATTCCTTAATTTATTCATCCATTCTCCATTTATTTATTCATTTGCACTCTCATTTTTGTACTGTTTGTTGATGCCCTGAGCTAGATATTACTGAATAATGCAAACATAAATAGGACTACTAATCTCTATACTGCTGTAGCCTTATTACACTATTTTCAGTTAATTACTTATGAATTTCTTTGTTTAATGTCTGTCTCCTGCTCTACTCAGTGATGGCTGTGATTTAGTCTCTTGTCCACTGTTGTATACCCATTGTCAGGTACAGGTCTGCCACCTTGCAGCCTCTCACTCACTGCTTAATGAATTTCTTTCTCAAATAATTTGAGTAAAGGCATTTTGAGTAGGGGAAGTGAGAGAATTACACATATAACTGTAATAGAGATACAATATGAGAAGTTTCATGAGGGATAAAATAAAATGTGGTGAGATCAGAAGGACCTTTGCTATAAGTTTGGTAACTCCCAACTATGTCTTACTGACTTCCCACTAGAAATAGGTCTGGAGAGGTCTGTTGCATAGAATGTCTCTTGCTTTTAATCAGTAGAATCCATTGAATTGGGTATTGCTAGATATTTAGAAGAAATAAAAATTGTTGTATTGCTCCAGCAATATGACTGTACAAGAGGGATTCCTGATGTGGTCACTCATATAGAGTTGAATTTTTTTTTTTTTTTTTTTTTTTACTAGTTATTACTGACTGTAACAAACTTCAAGAGTGGTTGAAGCTGGAATGTTTATAACTAATATAAACCAGATGAAAATATGAAAAGTGAAATTATAATTAGTGATCATAATAAAATGTCATACTTATTCTGAGTGGAAATATTGGGGAAAGTATAGAATATTTGAGAAAAAAACCCCACACCTTCAGGATAGTAATACTTGCTTCTTACATTTTGACTTTCACATCAGGCCTTCCTTCCTAGGAATCAGAGTTCAGACAGAGGAGAGGTCTCTTTGGGCTGAGTTTCAGGAGTGACTTTAGGATACATTTGAATTGAGCCTTGAAGTCTGGGGAATGCACCGGGGAGCATTAAGGAAAGGAAGCCCAGGGCAAGTCAACGTCACAGGCAACTTGCATGGCAGGAGGAAACTGCAGGGCATGTTTGGAAAAACAAGTCTTCTAGTTTGGCTAAAGCATGAATTTTGTGGAGTTACGAGTTGGACAAAAAGGATGGAAAAGTAAGTTGAGCCAGATGGAAGACAGCCCTGAAGAGCAGGCTAAAATTTATTCTGGAGGCAGTGGGAGGCTGAAGCTTTTTGAGCAGGAAGTGTAACTTGCCTAAGGCCATCAGGTCAGTCTGGTGGCTGTGTAAGCAGCAGTGAGTGTGACTCTGAAGACATATCATGTATCAGTTCACTGATTGCTTTTCCTGCCAGATATTTAAGAGCATTCTGTTGATGTGTAAAAGCCACCCAGTAAATAGTTGAATAGGTATGTGCTGTTAATGTACCCTCTCTCCTTCATTTTCCTCACTGAAACAAAATGTACGGACCAGGTGACTCTGAGGCTTCTTTCAGTTATAAGATACTATGTAAGTTTTTTTTTTTCTCCTCACAGAATTTACTGTTTGGAAATTGGTAGTTTATGATTTGAATAAGTGAATTTTCACTTCCTTACATGAAGATCTATGGTCACATTTAAAGACAGTAATATTTGATTGATTAGCTTTGGTCCAGTTTCTGCCTATTAATGTATTATTCTACATCCAAAGCCATGCTGGAGAAGGACTAATTCAAGATGGAGCAGAGGCCTTGACTCTACTTCTTGGTGGACATGCCACCCTTGTTCCATGGAATGAATTCCCCTGGTCAGGGATGCTGGTCCCAGAAGTCCTGCTGTACTCTTGAGTGTTTCAGAAGTGGTTTCTTTGCCTCTAAATGTGAAGAGTGTAGGCATCAGGCATCTCTGCTGTTGACATAGTCACTTTCTTCAAACCATTATTAAAATGATGTACTACTGCATAATTTCACAACATGATTGCTGCTTAGGTGGAGGGAAACTGTTGCATAAAGTTTTTAAAAGGTTGACTTTAAATTTGTCTGTTGTACTCATTCATTATATTATCAGGTTAATAATTTGTCTTATTTTGTCTTCTTAATCTAGGTATTAGAAGGCAAAGCAAAACTCCCAATGGATAAATCAGTGCCTGGTGTTCTGAAGTGGGAAAAAATAGACTAACTTCAGTAGGATTTATGTATTTTGAAAAAGAGAACAGAAAACAACAAAAGAATTTTTGTTTGGACTGTTTTCAATAACAAAGCACATAACTGGATTTTGAACGCTTAAGTCATCATTACTTGGGAAATTTTTAATGTTTATTATTTACATCACTTTGTGAATTAACACAGTGTTTCAATTCTGTAATTACATATTTGACTCTTTCAAAGAAATCCAAATTTCTCATGTTCCTTTTGAAATTGTAGTGCAAAATGGTCAGTATTATCTAAATGAATGAGCCAAAATGACTTTGAACTGAAACTTTTCTAAAGTGCTGGAACTTTAGTGAAACATAATAATAATGGGTTTATATATGTCATAGCATAGATGAATTTAGAAACAATGCTCCTACTGTTTAAATACATATGGACACATCTGGTGCTGAGAAAGAAACAAACACATTACCATTGGTGTCAAGAAATATTACTATATAGCAGAGAAATGGCAATACATGTACTCAGATAGTTACATCCCTATATAAAAAGTATGTTTACATTTAAAAAATTAGTAGATAACTTCCTTTCTTTCAAGTGCACAATTTCATTTTGACTTGAGTCAACTTTTGTTTTGGAACAAATTAAGTAAGGGAGCTGCCCAATCCTGTCTGATATTTCTTGAGGCTGCCCTCTATCATTTTATCTTTCCCATGGGCAGAGATGTTGTAAGTGGGATTCTTAATATCACCATTCTTGGGACTGGTATACATAAGGCAGCCGTGAAACTGGAAAGTCATTTTGATGACTGATGTGATACATCCAGAGGTAAAATGCATTTAAACATATTAAAGTATTTGCCAAAGATACAATTTTCTTGCTGACATAAAAATCACACAAACAAGTCCCCCCCAAACCACAACTGTCTCTCAAATAGCTTAAAAAAATTGAAAAACATTTTAGGATTTTTCAAGTTTTCTAGATTTTAAAAAGATGTTCAGCTATTAGAGGAATGTTAAAAATTTTATATTATCTAGAACACAGGAACATCATCCTGGGTTATTCAGGAATCAGTCACACATGTGTGTGTGTCTGAGATATAGTCTAAATTAGCAAAGCACATAGTATTACATACTTGAGGGGTTGGTGAACAAAGGAAAAATATACTTTCTGCAAAACCAAGGACTGTGCTGCGTAATGAGACAGCTGTGATTTCATTTGAAACTGTGAAACCATGTGCCATAATAGAATTTTGAGAATTTTGCTTTTACCTAAATTCAAGAAAATGAAATTACACTTTTAAGTTAGTGGTGCTTAAGCATAATTTTTCCTATATTAACCAGTATTAAAATCTCAAGTAAGATTTTCCAGTGCCAGAACATGTTAGGTGGAATTTTAAAAGTGCCTCGGCATCCTGTATTACATGTCATAGAATTGTAAAGTCAACATCAATTACTAGTAATCATTCTGCACTCACTGGGTGCATAGCATGGTTAGAGGGGCTAGAGATGGACAGTCATCAACTGGCGGATATAGCGGTACATATGATCCTTAGCCACCAGGGCACAAGCTTACCAGTAGACAATACAGACAGAGCTTTTGTTGAGCTGTAACTGAGCTATGGAATAGCTTCTTTGATGTACCTCTTTGCCTTAAATTGCTTTTTAGTTCTAAGATTGTAGAATGATCCTTTCAAATTGTAATCTTTTCTAACAGAGATATTTTAATATACTTGCTTTCTTAAAAAACAAAAAAACTACTGTCAGTATTAATACTGAGCCAGACTGGCATCTACAGATTTCAGATCTATCATTTTATTGATTCTTAAGCTTGTATTAAAAACTAGGCAATATCATCATGGATACATAGGAGAAGACACATTTACAATCATTCATTGGGCCTTTTATCTGTCTATCCATCCATCATCATTTGAAGGCCTAATATATGCCAAGTACTCACATGGTATGCATTGAGACATAAAAAAGACTGTCTATAACCTCAATAAGTATTAAAAATCCCATTATTACCCATAAGGTTCATCTTATTTCATTTTTAGGGAATAAAATTACATGTCTATGAAATTTCAATTTTAAGCACTATTGTTTTTCATGACCATAATTTATTTTTAAAAATAAATTAAAGGTTAATTATATGCATGTATGTATTTCTAATAATTAAAAATGTGTTCAATCCCTGAAATGTCTGCCTTTTAAATATAACACCTACTATTTGGTTAATTTTGACGATTTTTTTTTTTCAATTAGGAAGCTAAAAATACTACTTTATTCCTTATATGAACATTCATCCCCCTCCTGGCACCTCTAAACACACCCAAATAACTCACAAGTACTGATTTAACACTCTGTATTACTGAACTTCTTTGAACTATTTTGAACTTTGAATCTCTTCTCTGAATAACTGCCGAAACTCAAAGATAATAATTAGTTGATGAAGGTTATCAATTAATAAAATAACACAGACCAGTCTTACCAAACTCTAAATACATTTTAAAAAATAGGAACTGGCAATGATAAAAAGAATGTTGAGTACTGACAGGAGATTGGCTTTTACACTAAAAAAGACAGAAAATGGACTAAATAGGAACATAATTTCAGAGTTTATGAGTCAGTTTACAATATGCCATATTAGCGATCTCATGATGATTCAGACCACAGTCTGGGTTAAAGATGTCTTGACCTCTGAGGCTAGCATAACATATATGAGAATACAACTTGCCTATTTCCAGAAAATCTGTATATTTTTATAGAATAACTTTATTTACAATTTCTATCATCCAATTACTCACTAGGCATTATTTGTAGTACTTTTTTTCTCTTTGAAATCTCATAGGATAGTCACACTTATAAACATTCCCAATATTCGGATTCTAGAAGAAATGCAATTCATTAAAATTTTCCTGGCACTGAGAGTTAATCTTTAGCAGATTGCATGAAAATACTGAATTCCTGGTAAGGAGATATTTTGTTTTAAAAATAATGTGTTTTGATACGAATCAGTGTATTAACTGATAACTAAAAAGTACTCTTTTTTCTATATATACATATTTTTTTGAACTCATATTCACAATCAACATATTCAATCAGTGAGTTAAGTCTCATTCCTAGCTACCAAAATTCCTGGGCCACTTTTAAACACTAAACATTTCATTTATCCTCTAAGCTAAAATGGTGCTGAGTTATTTAAATCTGAATGTAAAATGCATTAAATCTTAGCTTGTGGTATATAAACATTTAATTAATATAAAACTGCTTGCTATAAACTAAGTAACATGTCATTTGGTGTTAGGTTTTTAGTGAAGTTTTAGCTTCTCCCAAATTTTTCAGGAATGTTATTTGTAAGACGTGTAACTTTTTTGAAGAACTCTTATTTTAAATGCTCAGACATTGGCTTTATGTTCCTCTTTGCATTCTCATATTCTTTTATTATACATCTATACTATGATTGCAAGATTATATAAAAATGCCTTGAATAAATGATTTCAAGTGTCTATAGTAGTCATTTGTTGTTATATAAATAAATCATCTGATTTTCATTTTAGTTGAAATGTTATAAGCCATGGATATGGTGTTAGTTTCTCTTAATTGCCTTTTGTACTAAAAAATTGTTTAATTAGGTCACACTGGAAATTTGTCTATGATGGATAAAAATCTAGCTGATGTTTTAAGTAGACACTGTCATACATAAACTTTTATCACCAGTACCAGCTACTTATAAGGACACAGAGCAGGCATTGCAAGAACAATCACACTGCTTTAATTAAGGTTTACAAGAAATATATCTGACTATAGATATAAACACACACATACACACACACACATCTAATTCTAGCTACAAATTATTTGTATAAAGAGACACATTGCTATCATAGTAATCCTTATTTAAATATGCACCAGATTAGCCTGAAATCTGGTAACATGAGAGGGCAAACAGGCCCAAACTTTGGGCAAGTGTTTTGGGGGAACAACTCACAAAATTAACCCACAAAAACAATTCATCCTTAAGGAGTCTTGCAGGTAAAACAGATGTAGACTTCTGGCTGGCAATTTGCAGATTTGAGTTGTAGAATATCAGTGATACCTGAAACCACAAATGTCCTGCTTCTATCTCCTGCTCAAGGCAAAGCATCTGAATATGCTTTTGTTATTAATTCAAAGATGATTTCCTTTGTCTCATCAGCATACAGTGTTTCAAGCACTGTTCATTAATTAGCTCAGTAACCAAAGATAGGGGTGTGTAGATCTTTCCTTTTTGTCTGAAAACTTGTCTGCCTTTATGTGACTCATTTGTTAATACTTCTACTCCTTACCACAGATATTAGTAGAGGATTAACACACAGGTTGAATAAATCACTTTCATCGTAGTAATTTGTAGCTTAAAATCAGAGACCTTTCCCCATACTCCTTTTTAATTTGGAGAGCAAATAATATTTATATAGAATTAGGACAATATTGATTTCCTAAAGCATGTACTAAAGAGTTCCAGTTTCACAAGATACTCAGAAAGAATCCAATATTAAGTAAGTATGGGAAATGTTCTTTCCCATACTTTGGGAGATTCACAATACTTTTTAGCATATATAAGTGTCTGAGAAATCCTGCAGTAAAGAAACCACTTTGTTATCTAGTGTTTCTTAAATTTGTTTTGTCACGAGTCTTTTTTAAAATAGCACTTATTATCCTAGTATACAATTTTTGCTTGGAAAACTCTGGGATATACCATCTTAAGTAATTTTAAATTTGTAGAAATGAGATCATTTGGAATGTATTTAAAATAAATGTGGCAGCATTTGAGCTATAGGACATAAGGATACTGGATATCCAAAACTCACTAATTTACTGCCTGCTTCACTTTCTAAAAAACTACAGAACATGGTGAAATAGGACCTTTTCAGTGGAAAGGATTATTTAACTCTCTAAACCATGTTCTATTTTAGAAAAAAATATGTCTTTCCTATTTGTTAGATAACTTGAATGCTTTTAGGTACCGCTTATTAAAATCTCTTCCCTCACAAATCTTAGTTGTTTATAACACTAGGGTGAAACAATCATTTTCTTCATGGTTCATTCATTTTGTATACTTAAAATTATGTTATGCATAATTGCATAACTTAAGTAATTTTCAGTTAAAGTTTTGTACTTCCCATTGTGGGCAGAGAAAAATGGGACTGGAAATAAATGACTTGGAAGGATGTATTCATATATTTACAATTTGCTACAAATAATTTGTTTGTTTCTTAATTATGGGAAGTAGGCACAAAATTTGGAGAGAGAAAAAAATAGAGCTATATAACCAAAAAGAGAACCATTAAAACAATTACCAAGAATATGCCTGTGTCACTGTTAGAAACAATATTGCCAGTTCTCAATTTACATACCAAGTCGAACCAGAGCTCCTAACACAATTGTATAAGTAGGGGCTAAAGACAAATTTAACGATAGAGTCTGATAAGAGATCGTTTGTTTGAAAAAAATGAATCAAATAATGTTGGGTCTTCATATATATGTCTTTAGTGAATTAATGCATGAATCTTGAGTCTGACAATTTGGAGCCAATACTACCAGCTAGTGATCTGCAAACTGATGAGCTAAACCATTGCCACACAGCTAATATTGGAGTCAAGAATTTTCAATTATTTTTGACATTATTTTTTAGAATGATGATATTAGAAAAAACCCTTTTAAACTGATTTATTGTTGGGTTGGTGCTGGGGCTAAGATTCGTGAATGAAAAACAACCTGGTAGCTGTGATCACTTCACGTTTGTTTTAGGATTCTGGTTTCTGCCGACAGGCATATATCTTAAGCTTGCCTGGTCAAAAGAGCAATTTTGGGTTCATGTAACCAAAGGACAAGGGTGGAGTTTGCTGCAGGAGCAGATGGAACCAGGAAATCAAACACCAGCAAGATCACATTCTTGCTGTCTATTCTCTGTTTCTTTGTGAATCAACTTTATTTTCTTGGTTTCATTGAGGTTTCATGAAGATGCAAATCTGGTTGCCTGCAGACCGGGTTACATATGTACACAGCTTATTGACCAGAAAAAAGCGGCATTAACCTGTGCTCCAATTTGAAAAGCTCAGGGGAAGGTATTTCATAAGCTCAGTTTGTGTCATTTACCAATCCTTGACCCAGTCGTTGTAGATACTACAGCTGATACAAATCAAGTCAATTGCTCTTATTAATCACTGAAGTAAAAAAGGTGAGGTCAAGTAAGAGGATGCTTCAATCCAAACCACATGACTGCATTTTGGCTTATGTGTGGGTGTGATGGGAAAGTGGAGGAAAGGAAAATGATTGCCCAGATGAGGGTGAGTTATTATGGATATTGCCAATGAGAAAATTACCAGGACCATCAAGCCACCATGTTTACGTCCAGCAAAAAGATTAATAAAATCAACATCTACACAATCCAACTCAAAATATTTCCTTCCAGGCTGCTCACCTACCTGATTTCTGTTAAGAACCCCCTTATTCATAGTATCTAAGGCCTGACTTTCTCTCCAGAAAGAACTAATGCCACCATCTTCTCTACTTCCATATTACTTTCCTCCCCGTTTGCAGATCTAACTAGTCTGCTCATTCCCACCTCGTCTTCTGTGTTTCATGAAGTCTTAGTAGGGCATTTTAGGAGGAAAGCCCATTCTTAACAAGTGAGAGAAGATCCAAGTTCCTTCTTATTCAACATGTCACACTGGAGTTCCAAAAAGGAGGGTCAAGGCAAACAGAAAAAGAATAAGAGCAAGAGAGAACCATTCTTTCAAGCTTTTGCTTCTACAATTGCTACTCTTTCCCACTGACCACCTTCACCATCCCTCTATCCTGTTCTTGGTCTTTGACCATTAGTGCGAGTCTCCCTCTGGAAGGAGCACATTAGGGTACGTTGCACTCTTTACTTCTGTTAGTTATAGTGTACTTTTAACACACTTACAGACACTATAGAATAAGTACAGTCCAAAGGCTGGGTAGAGGGGAAGGGAAAACTTCAGAGAACAGTGCAGCAAAATACCCATGTTCTTCAAGAACTGCAGAGAAGTTGAATGACAGTAACATGGGAAGCTTGAATGAGAGTAACAAGTAGTCAGCTATATCCATCCCTCTCCCAATATTATCTCTTGCTACTCTCACCATTCCTTTTAATTAGGGGTATAGAAAAATTTACACATAGATTTTGCTGGGGTAAGGTGGGAGATGTGTGCAGGAGTGACAGCTCATCCCAGGGGTTCCTAAACCTGAGTCCAAGAATATCTGTGACTACATTAAATTTGCATTGCAGATCAGAGATGTAAGGGGATGAGGTCAGAGGGATGGGATAAAAAACACATACATGGTACAGTTTCCTCACTAATTTAGGCAACCTGCTCTCTGGGAAATAACAGACCTCCAACCTCAAGAAAATAACTTTCTCCAAGGTCTAGACTGACCAGAGATGCCTTTTAGTCCACAGGGAGTTACCCTGTTATTCTTTCAGAGTTTGAGAAGGCTTGTCAGGAGTGAGTCTCACAAAGCCTTGTTGCCCCATCTCCTACCATTTTCTCTGGGGGAATACTTCTGAGTAAAAGAGACTTGGAAAAAAACGACATACTCTTCTTTTCTCTGTCCTCATGTTTAGGTTTTCACAATTTAACTACAGGGGATCCTCTGGCATTCTTTCTCTTTCAAAGACCTGACAACATGAAGCCAGTGGGAACGCTTTAACCTCAATGTTGGTCTATTTGAATTTTCTAGAAAAATCTAAGAATTGGATTTTCCCCATCAGAATATTTCAGATCTTCATCCTGGTTTCACTGAAATAATTTTAGTTGGTTGGCATAAATAAATAATGCTCATTTCACTGAGGTACCATGCTACCAGTGCTTCACAAACACAGTCAGTTCACAGAATCACAAATTTACCACTGCTTTGGGGCTTATCTAAAAAATATTAAATCAAATGCCCCAACAACATGAGAGGCCAAATTTCTACATTGCAGTCCCATTTAAAATAACAATGACAACATTTTTAGAAGCTAGTTAAGGGGAAGTGTGTTAGCTTTTGTGAGAAAGCCCAGATATATAACGATAGGTATTAAATATTTAATGAGTTGTTGCTACGTTCTAGACATAGGGCTTTATACACACACACACACACACACACACACACACACACACACACACTATCTCATTGTCTTCTCACAGCTATGAAGTAGGATCTATTATTTTCTTCATTCTACAGATGACTAGGAGGCTTCAAGAAGCTAAGCCATTGCCCAAGTTATGACAATTCCAAAGAAAACCCAAGGAAATCAATCAAATATCTTAGAATGAATATAAATCCAAAAAACTAATTATGTAAAAGATACAAAAATTTTCTTAAGCCAGTAATAACCAATTAAAAACTGTACTTTTCAAAAGATTTTGTTTATAACTAGAAATAATCTTGACATGGTGCTCATGTGAAGAAAACCCCAAATATTTGTTGAATAGAGAAGTGTACTATGTCATTCTATAGGAAGACTGAACATTGCCAATAAATCATGATTTAAATAATATTACCCTATAATGCTATCAAGAAAGTGAGAGAATAACACTTTAATAAACTGCTTGAGGTTAAATGGACATCATTTTTTATGTAAATAATTTGACAATATATATCAAGAACCTTAAATAATTCCTCTTGGGCAATAATTACACTTTGAGGAACTTCTCTTAAGAATATAATCAAGGCCAGCAGACATGGTGGTTCATACCTGTAATCTTAGCACTTGGGGGAGGCTGAGGAGGGAGAATTGCTTGAGTTGAGGAGTTAGAGACCAGCATGGGCAACTCTGAAAAGACTCCGTCTCTACAAAAATTTAAAAATTAGTCAGGAGTAGTGGTGCATGCCTGTAGTCCCAGCTGCTCAGGAGGCTGAGATGGGAGGATTGCTTGAGTCCTCTGATGTCAATGTTGTCTGTCTGATCCATCTACTATAAAATTCTCCATCAGAGTTTCACTTAATCATTTTAGCAGCCATTAATGAACATTGCTAGATTCATTATCAAAATCAGTATTTTTTTTTTTTTTAAAGAACTGAGAGCAGTCCAGGAGTGGTGGCACACACCAGCAATCTCAACACTTTGGGAGACTGAGGAGGGAGGATCACTTGAGGACAGGAGTTTGAGACCAGCCTGGGCAAAATAGCGAGACCCTCATTTGTACACACACACTCATACACACACACACACACACACACACACACACACACAGAACTGAGAACAATCCAAATGGCATATATGTTTTTTCATTTGAGCTGGACTATTTGTTTCTCTCATTAATGAGCTTCATTAAATAATAACCTGAAAACTTGATAATAAACCTTTCCTTTTCTTCTGATAGTAATTCGAGATAGTTTTGGAATCTCATGAAAGATATTCAAGGTGCTGTGCTCTTTCATGAGAAAAGCCAAAACATTGTTTTTGGAGCTGTTTTTGTCATGTGCATGTGTATTTTTCTCCCATTATGGTCAAGTGTAATTTTAACCTTATACAAATGATCTGTTGACTTGAAATATCATGGGAAAACTTTGACCTAGAACATTTTCAAAGAGGTTACTGGAAAGACAAGAAAGCTAAGGACACTTGGCAAGGTGGTTATATTACATGCTTTACATAACATTCTTCTTCCTCAGATTTTTCAATTTTAAATTTGGTTTCTCAATTTCCTGTAACTAAATTTCAAGCACCCTAACTGACATTTAAGGCCTTCCTTTATCTGGTCCCAATTGTCCTCTTCACTGGTTTCATATCCCATTGATTTTCATGTATTCTTTCCTCTGGCTATTCTAGACAACTGACTATTTCCCTTAGACCTCTTATTTCCCCAGGAGTAAAGGACATGCCCTGTGGACACAGAGGGACTTTACCTTTCTATCTCTGAAGGTGCTTGATTCCTTTTTATAGATTCACATTGATGCATCTTCTCTTATTTGACTTGTAAGGGACAGCTACAAGTCTAACAAGACAAAGTGTTACTTGGCTAACACCTTGTCTTCTTACTTTTTAAACAAAATTAGGACCTTAATTTCCTTCTGGGAAGACATATCCCACACATGGAATTGTTAATCATGATGTTCCACACCAAGCAATAAATAGCTCCAGGTTCAAAACTAGAAAAATTGAATAGTGCTTTCTCCCTAAACTTTTAATTCTATGTAAGTGACTAAAAGATTGATAATGGTTAGGAATGTTTATTGGCAGCCAGATGCGTTTCTCAAGAATTAGTGGCTGATATTTACTGAGTGCTTGTCAAATTGCTCTAACCATAAAATTCTACTTGCAAATGTATCAGGGCTACATTTTAGTATTTATTTGATTGTTTTCTAGCTGTTTCCCATCCTCTCTTCTTCCTTATTTACATTCAGCTGGTCATTGTTCTACCCTAAGTAAGTTCATAACCACTCAAGAACAAAGATTCAAAAAAGATCAGCCCCAAATTGCCAGACAAGTTCTTATGACATACTTGTAGGGCTGTTTTTTCTGTCTCTAAAACTAAAACTGGGAAAAAGAGAGAGAAGATAGAACGGGCAGTCAAATGAGAGAGGGAGAATGGACAAAAAGAAAACGGACAAGAAAGTTCAGAGGTTTGGGGACCGGAGTGAAAGGTTCTCTAATTTTTTCACCTATGAGAAACCTGTTATTCAACACTCTTGGGCAGTTTGAGTCCTGAAGAAAGTGGTTAGGGAATTTGGATACCTTAAATAAAGATGAAGGCATAAACAAAACAAAACTCTTACTCCTTGACCAAACAGGAAACAAATAAAATTAGTGGGAAGTTCCCCTACATATAAAGAGAGGTAACTTCAATGTTAATTTTATTTCTTCCTTTCACTGGTTTCAACTTTCACAACACCATTAAGTGAAAATGGTAATAGCAACCATCCTCATTGTGTTTTTAATTTCCAACATGTCGCCATTAAATACAATATTTGCTATTTGTCTATTTGTCTAAGACATCCATTTTCATGTTGAGAAATCATCCTTCTTTCCCTAGATTTTTAATGCTTTTCTTAGAAATAAAAACAGATTTTACTAAATATGTCTTTTTTTATTGGGATGAAAAAATATCTTTTATTGGTTTTACTGGAATGATATATTTAATCAAATTTACTTTCTAAAATGTAACTAACATGACAATGCTGGACAACTTTTAAAACTGTATAGAATTTGGTTTGCTGTATTATTTACAACTACATTTACAAATGATTGAGCTCCTCCCACCCCCACAATCTTTGTTAGGTTTTAGTATTGGGATTATCCTAGCTTCAGAAAAGTGTAGTTGCTATGGTTTGAATGTGTTTCTCTCCTCAAGCTTATATGCTGAAATCCTCACTCCCAAGGTGATGATATTAAGAGATCGTTGGGAGGTGATTAGATGACAAGGGTGGAGTGCTCATGAGTGGGATAAGTGCCTTTATAAATGAGGTCCAAGGGAGCCTGTTTGCCCCTTCCACCATGTGAGGACTCAGCAAGAAGGCATCATGAGTGAGGACTGGGCCCTTACCAGACACTAAATCTGCCAGAAACTTGGTCTTGTACTTCCCAGCCTCCAGAACCGTGAAAAAGAAATGTATGTCATTTACAAGCCACTCAGTCTATGGTATTTTGATACAGCAGCCTGAACAGGCTAAGACAATAACAATTGTCAACAGCAAAGTTTATTCAAGTTTATATCCTAGCTTCATCACTTATTGGCTGTGTGATCTTCAATAAGTCACCTGACCCACAACGATTTGGGTGGTATTACAGAATGTAAATGTCATAAGCCTTCATAAGGTAGAAATGACATAACTAACAAATTTGAGGGGAAAAAATGAAAAGGTGTGTTCTATTTCTTCATATTTTTATAGCTGGGGTCAAAATATGCAATTTAAAAATAAATATATCCATTTGCCTATTCTTACATTTATGAATATAAAAATAAAATCTAAGAAACATAATGCTGCCAACTAATAGTAGTGGAGGAAAGGAAGCTGAGAGAAAGATAAATATATTAATTTAATCATTACTCAGAAAAGGCAGTAAAAGATACTATCTATAGCAGGCATCAATAAATATGAACCATGAGCCAAATCAGGCTTACCACCTGATTTTGTAGATAAAGTTCATTGAAACACAGTTACAGTGTCTTTCAAGCCAAGATGGCAAACTACAAACAGCTCATGTATGCCACACTCACGGACAGGAAACAAAAGAGCTAGTGAACACGGACCCTGCAGACTGATGATCTGAGAAACCACACTGGGGACCCAGCAAGTCAGCAGGGGAACACAAACAGCAGAGAAGAGCGAAGCTGGGCACCAGCCTGTCTGGGCTTAGCTCGGAGCCAGGAAAACCTCTCCAATACAGGAAAGGTGAGAGAATGAGAGCCTCTAGGGGGATTCATGCTCTCCACAGGAACTGTGCAAGATGGATCAGGAGAATCCCCCTGGACCTCCCAGAAACCCCTACCACACTCCCAGACTGAGGCAGGGAGCCACTCAGATGTTTTGTGGGGGCAACAGTCAAGTCCAAAGGGACCTCTACAAGCTTTGGGCCCTGGAGCAGATCAGTATCAGCTTAATAGCCCCAACAGAGGCTGCAGTTGTGGTGCCTGGAAGCAGTAAGATTGCTCCATCTCACACTGCTGGATGGGGCTTGCTGCCAGCTTCTGGCCCAGCAGTTCTGATTCAGCCTGAACTTGGCTGGCCACTCCAACTACCCCGCCACTTGAAGTCAAGTGGGCGATGCTTGCTAGAGCTTCCAGCCCAGTGGTCCTGTTTTTGTGTGAACTCAGCTGGAGGATACAGCTTCCTGATGTACCAGGAAACACTTGGGTGGCAGGGCATGTGACTCCACCTACCCCCACCACTGATAGCCAGGAGGACAATGCTTGCTAGAGTTTCTGGCCCAGGGGTCCTGCTTCTGTGTGAACTCAACTGGAGGATACAGCTTCCTGTTGTTCTGGAAACACTTGGACAGCAGGGTGCATGACACTCCACCCATCCTCACCACTGGTAGTCAGGTGGGCAACACCTGCTAGAGCTTCCAGCCCAGCGGCCCCACTTCTGTGTGAACTCAGCTGGTGGGTGCAGCCTCCTATTGCCCCAGGAAGCACCCACATGTCAGGGCAGGCCAGCCCACCCACCCCTGCCACTGATAGCCAGGTAGGCAATGCCTGCTAGAGCTTCTGGCCCAGTGGACCCACTTCTGCATGAACTCAGTTGGAGGGTGCAGCTTCCTGTTGTCCTGGGAAACACCCCAATGGCAGAGCACAGGAACCCACTCACTTCCACCCCTGGCAGCCAGGCAGGCAACACCTGCTAAAGCTTCCGGCTCTGAAGTCCTACTTCTGCATGAGTTTGCCAAGGGTTGAAGCTTCTTCTTACCCTGGAAACATCCAGAGGGCAAGGCAGGCAACTCCATCCAGCCCTGCCTCCTAAAGCCAGACAGGACACACCTGCTAAAGCTTCCAACTCAATGGTCCTGCTTCCACCTGAACTCTGTGACCAGGCGCAACCCTGTGTTTTCCCAGGAAGCACAGGAACAACATATGAGGGCTGACTGGGCAAGGACATAGCTTGTCTGCCAACTGTGGGGCCTGCCTAAGCAGCCCCATGGAGCAGGATACCCAACAAAAGAAACATGGGCATGGAGACAGCAATTGGAGGGGGCTCCTCCAAGGCCCAGGAGCTGACTAGAATCAAAGCAAGCCAGCCAAACCCACCTTATACCACAATCAAATCCCCAAGGGAATCAAAGAAAAAAAAAAGCAAAAAAATCCATCGAAAGGACAGCAGCTTCAAAGACTAAAGGAACATCAGCCCATACAAATGAGAAATAACCAGCACGAGACCTCTGAGCACTCAAAAAGCCTCTTTCCTCCAAATGACTGCACTATTTGCCCAGCAAGGTTCTTAACTGAGTCGAAATTACTGAAATGGCAGAAATTGAATTAAGAATATGGATAGTAATGAAGATCATTGAGGTTGAGGAGAATGTCGAAACTCAATCCAAGGAAGCTAAGAATCACTGTAAAACGATACAGGAGCTGACAGATGAAATCGCCATTATAAAAAAGAACTAAACTGACCTGATAGAGCTGAAAAACACACTGCAAGAATTGCATAATGCAAACACAGTATTCACAGCAGAATAGACCAAGCTGAGGGAGGAATCTCAGGACTCGAAGACTGGCACTCTGAAATAATTCAGTCAGACAAAAATAAAGAAAAAAGAATAAAAAAGTAAAAAGCAAAACCTCCAAGAAATATAGGATTTTGTAAAGACACATAATCTACAACTCACTGGCATCCCTGAAAGAGATGGGGAGAATGCAAACAACTTGAAAAACATATTTCAGAATATCATGCATGAAAACTTCCCCCACCTCTCTAGAGAGGTAAACATTCAAATCCAGGAAATGCAGAGAACCTCTGTGAGAGATTATACAAGACCATCTCCAAAACACCATTATAATCAGATTCTACAAGGTCCAAATGAAAGAAAAAATGTTAAAGCCAACTAGAGAGAAGAGGCAGGTCATCTATAAAGGGAATCCCATCAAGCTAACAGCGGACCTTTCAGCAGAAACCCTACAACTCAGAAGAGACTGGTAGTCTAATTCGGCATTCTTAAAGAAAAAAATTTCCAACCAAAAATTTCATATGTGGCCAAACTAGGTTTCATGAGTGGAGGAGAAATAAGATCCTTTTCAGACAACCAAATGCTGAGGGAATTCATTATCATCAGACCTGCCTTACAAGAGCTTATAAAAGGAGTGCTCGATACGGAAAGGACTGTTACCAGCTACTACAAAATCACACTTAAGTATACATACCAGTGACACTACAAAGCAACCACACAAAAAGTCTGCATAATAACCAGCTAAGAACATGATGACAGGATCAAATCCACACATATCAATATTCGCCTTGAATGTAAATGTGCTAAATGCCCCAATTAAAAGGCATGGAGTGGCAAGCTAGATAATGAAGCAAGACCCAAGAAGGGTTTTCAAGAAACCAATCTCACATGCAATGATATCCACAGGCTCAAAACAAAGGGATGGAAAAAAACCTACCAAGTAAATGGAAAACAGAAAAAGCAGGGGTTGCAATCCTAATTTCAGACAAAACAGACTTTAAACCAACAATGATTAAAAAAAAAAAAGATAAAGAAGGGTATTGCATAATGATAAAGCGTTTAATTCAACAAGAAGACCTAACTATCCTAAATATATAGGGAGCCAAACAGGACCACCCAGACTCATGAAGCAAGTTCTTGGAGGCCTACAAAGACTTAGATTCCCAAACAATAGTAGTGGGAGACTTCAACACTCCACTGACAGTATTAGACAGATTATTGAGGCAGAAAAATAACAAAGATATTCAGGGCCTGAACTTAACACTTGACCAAATGGACCTAACAGACAGAACTCTACACCCCAAAACAACAGAATATACATTCTTCTCATTGCCACATGGCACATTCTTCTCATTCTGAAATCAACCATACAATCAAACATAAAACACAATACTCAGCAAATTAAAAAAGACTAGAATCATACTAACCATACTCTCAGAATAACAGTGCAATAAAAATAGGAATCAATACTAAGAAAATCACTCAAAATCATACAATTACCTAGAAATAAATAACCTGCTCCTGAATAATGTTTGGGGAAACAATGAAATTAAGGCAGCAACCAAGAAATTCTTAGAAACTAATTTGAACGAAGATACAACATACTAGAATCTCTAGGACACAGATAAGACAGCGTTAACAGGGAATTTTATAGTACTAAATGCCCACATTAAAAAGTAAGAAAGATCTCAAATTAACAACCTAACATTACAACTGGAAGAACTAGAGAAACAAGAGCATGCCAATCCCAAAGCTTATGGAAGACAAGAAATAACCAAAATCAGAGGTGAGCTGAAGG
Source organism: Homo sapiens (assembly GCF_000001405.40). Classification (NCBI taxonomy): domain Eukaryota; kingdom Metazoa; phylum Chordata; class Mammalia; order Primates; family Hominidae; genus Homo; species Homo sapiens. The sequence continues at coordinate 122,050,747 of NC_000005.10, read as the reverse complement.
AAATTGAGACATTAAAAAATCATACAAAAAGATCAATGAATCCAGGTTTTGGTTCTTTGATAAAATTAATAAGAGAAATAGACCACTGGCTGGACTAATAAACAAAAAAGATCCAAATAAACACAATTAGAAACAACAAAGAGGACTTTACCACTGACCCCACAGAAATACAAACAAACAAACAAATAAAACCCAACAGAGACTACTATGAACACTTCTATGCACCCAAACTAGAAAATATAGAAGAAATGGATAAATTCCTGGACACATACAACCTCCTGAAATTGTATCAGGAGAAGCTGAATCCCTGAATAGACCAATAATAAGTTCTGAAATTAAATCAGTAATAAAAACCAACCAACCAAATAAATCCCAAGACCAGATGGATCCACAGCCAGATTCTACCAGATGTATAAAGAAGAGCTGGTGCATTCCTGCTGAAACTATTCCAAAAAACTGAGCATGAGGAACTCCTCCTCAGCTCATTATATGAGGCTAAGATCATCCTGATATCAAAACGTGGCAGAGAAAAAACAAAGAAAGAAAACTTCAGGCCAATATCCTTGATGAACATAGATGGAAAAATCCTCAAGAAAATACTAGCAAACTGAATCCAGCAGCACAGCAAAAAGCTAATCCAGCCCAATGAAGTGGGTTTCATCCCTGGGATGCAAGATTGGTTCAACATATGCAAATCAATAAATATGATTAATCACATAAGCAGAACTACAAATAATAACCACGTGATTATCTAAATAGATGCAGAAAAGGCTTTCAACTAAATTCAACACTCCTTCATGTTAAAAACCCTCAATAGATCTTTCCTGCTTTCTCTTGTGAGCATTTAGTGCTATAAATTTCCCTCTACACACTGCTTTGAATGTGTCCCAGAGATTCTGGTATGTTGTGTCCTTGTTCTCATTGGTTTCAAAGAACATCTTTATTTCTGCCTTCATTTCGTTATGTACCGAGTAGTCATTCAGGAGCAGGTTGTTCAGTTTCCATGTAGTTGGCGGTTTTGAGTGAGTTTCTTAATCCTGAGTTCTAGTTTGATTGCACTGTGGTCTGAGAGACAGTTTGTTATAATTTCTGTTCTTTTACATTTGCTGGGGAGTGCTTTACTTCCAAATGTGTGGTCAATATTGGTATAAGTGCGGGGTGGTGCTGAGAAGAATGTATATTCTGTTGATTTCGGGTGGAGAGTTCTGTAGATGTCTATTAGGTCTGCTTAGTGCAGAGCTGAGTTCAATTCCTGGATATCCTTGTTAACTTTCTGTCTCGTTGATCTGTCTAATGTTGACAGTGGGGTGTTAAAGTCTCCTATTATTATTGTGTGGGAGTCTAAGTCACTTTCTAGGTCTCTAAGGACTTGCTTTATGAATCTGGGTACTCCTGTATTGGGTGCATACATATTTAGGATACTTAGCTCTTCTTGTTGAATTGATCCCTTTACCATTATGTAATGGCCTTCTTTGTCTCTTTTGATCTTTGTTGGTTTAAAGTCTGTTTTATCAGAGACCAGGATTGCAACCCCTGCATTTTTTTGTCTTCCATTTGCTTGGTAGATCTTCCTCCATCACTTTATTTTGAGCCTATGTATTGACACCCTAACATCACAATTAAAAGAACTAGAGAAGCAAGAGCAAACACATTCAAAAGCTAGCAGAAGACAAGAAATAACTAAGATCAGAGCAGAACTGAAGGAAACAGAGACACAAAAAAACCCTTCAAAAAATCAATGAATCCAGGAGCTCATTTTTTGAAAAGATCAACAAAATTGATAGACCGCTAGCAATACTAATAAAGAAGAAAAGAGAGAAGAATCAAATAGATGCAATAAAAAACGATGAAGGGGATATCATCACTGATCCCACAGAAAGACAAACTACCATCAGAGAATACTATAAACACCTCTACGCAAATAAACTAGAAAATCTAGAAGAAATGGATAAATTCCTGGACACATATACCCTCCCAAGACTAAACAAGGAAGAAGTTGAATCTCTGAAAAGACCAATAACAGGCTCTGAAATTGAGGCAATAATTAATAGCTTACCAATCAAAAAAAGTCCAGGACCAGATGGATTCACAGCTGAATTCTACCAGAGGTACAAAGAGGAGCTGGTACCATTCCTTCTGAAACTATCCCAATCAATAGAAAAAGAGGGAATCCTCCCTAACTCATTTTATGAGGCCAGCATCATCCTGATACCAAAGCCTGACACAGACACAACAAAAAAAGAGAATTTTAGACCAATATCCTTGATGAACATTGATGCAAAAATCCTCAATAAAATATTGGCAAACCGAATCCAATAGCACATCAAAAAGCTTATCCACCATGATCAAGTGGGCTTCACCCCTGGGATGCAAGGCTGGTTCAACATACACAAATCAATAAACGGAATCCAGCATATAAACAGAACCAACGACAAAAACCATAGGATTATCTCAATAGATGCAGAAAACGCCTCTGAGAAAATTCAACAACCTTCATGTGAAAAACTCTCAATAAATTAGGTATTGATAGGATGTATCTCAAAATAATAAGAGCTATCTACGACAAACCCACAGCCAATATCATACTGAATGGGCAAAAACTGGAAGCATTCCCTTTCAAAACTGGCACAAGACAGGGATGCCCTCTCTCACCACTCCTATTCAATATAGTGTTGGAAGTTCCGGGCAGGGCAATCAGGCAGGAGAAGGAAATAAAGGGTACTCAATTAGGAAAAGAGAAAGTCAAATTGTCCCTGTTTGCAGATGACATGATTGTATACCTAGAAAACCCCATCATCTCAGCCCAAAATCTCCTTAAGCTGATAAGCAACTTCAGCAAAGTCTCAGGATACACAATCGATGTGCAAAAATCACAAGCATTCTTATACACCAATAACAGACAAACAGAGCCAAATCATGAGTGAACTCCCATTCACACTTGCTTCAAAGAGAATAAAATACCTAGGAATCCAACTTACAAGGGATGTGAAGGATCTCTTCAAGGAGAACTACAAACCACTGCTCAATGAAATAAAAGAGGATACAAACAAATGGAAGAACATTCCATGCTCATGGATAGGAAGAATCAATATCATGAAAATGGCCATACTGCCCAAGGTAATTTATAGATTCAATGCCATCCCCATCAAGCTACCAATGACTTTCTTCACAGAATTGGAAAAAACTACTTTAAAGTTCATATGGAACCAAAAAAGAGCCCGCATTGCCAAGACAATCCTAAGCCAAAAGAACAAAGCTGGAGGCATCAAGCTACCTGACTTCAAACTATACTACAAGGCTACAGCAACCAAAACAGCATGGTACTGGTACCAAAACAGAGATATAGACCAATGGAACAGAACAGAGACCTCAGAAATAATGCCACATATCTACAACCATCTGATGTTTGACAAACCTGACAAAAACAAGCAATGGGGAAACGATTCCCTATTTAATAAATGGTGCTGGGAAAACTGGCTAGACATATGTAGAAAGCTGAAACTGGATCCCTTCCTTACACCTTATACAAAAATTAATTCAAGATGGATTAAAGACTTAAATGTTAGACCTAAAACCATAAAAACCCTAGAAGAGAACCTAGGCAATACCATTCAGGACATAGGCATGGGCAAGGACTTCATGTCTAAAACATCAAAAGCAATGGCAACAAAAGCCAAAATTGACAAATGGGATCTAATTAAACTAAAGAGCTTCTGCACAGCAAAAGAAACTACCATCAGAGTGAACAGGCAACCTACAGAATGGGAGAAAATGTCTGCAACCTACTCATCTGACAAAGGGCTAATATCCAGAATCTACAATGAACTCAAACAAATTTACAAGAAAAAAACAAACAGCCCCATCAAAAAGTGGGCAAAGGAATGAACAGACAGTTCTCAAAAGAAGACATTTATGCAGCCAAAAGACACATGAAAAACTGCTCATCATCACTGGCCATCAGAGAAGTGCAAATCCAAACCACAATGAGATACCATCTCACGCCAGTTAGAATGGCGAACATTAAAAAGTCAGGAAACAACAGGTGCTGGAGAGGATGTGGAGAAATTGGAACACTTTTACACTGTTGGTGGGATTGTAAACTAGTTCAACCATTGTGGAAGTCAGTGTGGCTATTCCTCAGGGATCTAGAACTAGAAATACCATTTGACCCAGCCATCCCATTACTGGGTATATACCCAAAGGATTATAAATCATGCTGCTATAAAGACACATGCACACGTATGTTTATTGTGGCACTGTTCACAATAGCAAAGACTTGGAACCAACCCAAATGTCCAACAATGATAGACTGGATTAAGAAAATGTGGCACATATACACCATGGAATACTATGCAGCCATAAAAACTGATGAGTTCATGTCCTTTGTAGGGACATGGATGAAGCTAGAAACCATCATTCTCAGCAAACTATCACAAGGACAAAAAACCAAACACCGCCTGTTCTCACTCATAGGTGGGAATTGAACAATGAGAACGCATGGACACAGGAAGGGGAACATCACACATTGGGGCCTGTTGTGGGGTGAGGGGGGGTGGAGGGATAGCATTAGGAGATATACCTAATATTAAATAACGAGTTAATGGGTGCAGCACACCAACATGGCACATGTATACATGTGTAACTAACCTGCATGTTGTGCACATGTACCCTAAAACTTAAAGTATAATTAAAAAAATCCTCAATAAACTAGGCATTGAAGGATCATACTTTTAAATAATAAGAGCCATCTATGACAAACCCACAGCCAACATCATACTGAATAAGCAAAAGCTGGAAGCATTCCCCTTGAAAGCAGGCAAAGACAAGGATGTTCTCTCTCACCACTCCTATTCAACATAGTATTGGAAGTCATCGCCAGTGCAATCAGGCAAGAATAAGAAATAAAAGGCCTCCAAATAGGAAGAGAGAAAGTTAAAATATTTCTGTTTGCAGATGACATGATTCTATATCTAGAAAACCCCACCATCTCTGCCCAAAAGCTCCTCAATATGATAAAGACCTTCAGGAAAGTTTCAAGATACAAAATCAATGTATAAAAATCAGTAGCATTCCTATACACCAGTGACATACAAGCCAAGAGCCAAATCAGGAACAGAATCCCATTCACAATTACCACAAAAAGAATAAAATACCTAGGAATACAGCTAACTATTGAGGTGAAAGATCTCTACAATGAGAATTATAAAACATTTCTCAACGAAATCAGAGATGACACAAACATATGGAAAAACATTCCATGCTCATGGATAGAAAGAATCAATATTGTTAAAATGGCCATACTGCCTGAAGCAATTTACAGATTCAGTACTATTCTTATGAAACTACCAATGACATTTTTGGCAGGATTAGAAAAATCTATTTTAAAATTCATATGAAACCAAAAAAGAGCCCAAACAGCCAAGGCAATCTTAAACAAAAAGAACAAAGACGGAGGCATCACACTACCTGACTTCAAACTATACTACAGATCTACAGTAACCAAAACAGCATGGTCCTGGTACAAAAACAGACACATAGACCAAAACAGAATAAAGAGTCTGGAAATAGTGCCACAAATGTACAACCATCTTGTCTTTGACAAAGTTGACAAAAACAAGCAATGTGGATAGGACTCTCTGTTCATAAATGGTGCTAGGATGATGGGCTAGCCATATGCAGAAGATTGAAATTGGACCCCTACCTTACACCAGATACAAAAATTAACTCAAGATGGATTAAAGACTTAAATGTAAAAACTAAAACTATAAAAACCCTGAAAGACAACCCAGAAAATACCATTCTGAACACAGGACTTGGCAAAGGTTTCATGACAAAGATACTGAAAGTAATTGCAAGAAAAACAAAAATTGACAAGTAGGACCTAGTTAAATTAAAGAGCTTTTGCACAGCAAAAGAAACTATCAACAGAATAAAGAGAAAACCTATGGAATGGGAGAAAATATTTAACAAACAATGCATCCAACAAAGATCTAATATCCAGAATCTATAAGGAATTTAAACAAAGTCACAAGAAAAAAACTAAAAACCTCCATTAGAAAATGGGTAAGAGACATGAACAGACACTTTTCAAAAGAAGACATACATGCAGCCAACAAGCATATGAAAAAATGCTCAACATCACTAATCATTTGAGAAATGTCAATCAAAACCACAATGCAATACCATCTCACACCAGTGAGAATGGCTATTATTAAAAAGTAAAAAAAAAAAATAATAGATGCTGGCAAGGTTGTGGAGAAAAGGGAATACTTACACTACTGGTTGAAGTGTAAATTAGTTCAGCCATTGTGGAAAGTAGTTGTGACAATTCCTCAAAGAACTCGAAAGAGAATTATTATTTGACTCAACAATCTCATTATTGGGTATATATCCAAAGGAATATTAATTGTTCTACCATAAACACTCATGCACATGTATGTTCACTGCAGCCCTATTCACAATAGCAAAGACATAGAATCAATCTAAATGATCACCAATGTTAGACTCGATAAAGAAAATGTGGTACATATGCCCCATATGATGCCATTAAAAAGAAAATGAGATCAAGTCCTTTGAAGCAATGTGGATGGAGCTGGAGGCCATTATCCTAAGCAAACTAACACAGGAACAGAAAATCCAATACTGCACATTCTCACCTGCAAGTGGGGACTAAACAATGAGAACACGTGGCTACTAGGAGAGGAACAGCAGACACTGGGTCCTACTTAAGGGTGGAGGGTGGGTGGAGGGAGAGGATCAGAAAAACTACCTATGAGGTATCATGCGCATTACCAGGGAGACAAGACTATCAGTACACCAACCTCCTGTGACAAGGAGATTAACTATATAACAAACCTGCACATCCACCCCTAAAACTTAAAAGTTAAATAAAAAAAATTTAATGAATAATTTGTTTCCATATTATCCATAGCTGCTTTTGTGCTACAATACCAGAGTTGAGTAGCTGCCACAGAGACCTTATGGCCTGCAAAGTCTAGAATATTTACAACCTCATCTGTTACAAAAAAAGTTTGCTGACCCTTATTCTAAAGCCGTGGAGTATTATTAAGTAGAGTATACAAAATTACAACTGTAAAGAGAGCCTCTGTTAAGAAATGCAATTATTTCATATTGTAAAAGAATCAGTGACACACACAAAAGTTGCCTATAAAATGACAATGTGACTGAGAGCTGACTTGACAGAAACAAAAGAAAGTCAGAAAACAGCGACAGGCTGGGCATGGTGGCTCACGCCTGTAATCCTAGCACTTTGGGATGCTGAAGTGGGCGGATCACTTGAGGTGAGGAGTTTGAGACCAGCCTGGCCAACAGAGTGAAACCTCGTCTCTGCTAAAAATACAAAACCTAGCCGGGTGTAGCAAGGCATGCTTGTGATCCCAGCTACTCAGGAGGCTGAGGCAGGAGAATTGCTTGAACCCAGGAAGCAGAGGTTGCAGTGAGCCAAAATCGCACCACTGCACTCCAGCTTGGGCGACAGAGGGAGACTCTGTCTCGAAAAAGAAAAAAAAGAAAAAAAAAGAAAATAGTGAGACAGATATTTTCATAGTAACAGAAGGAAATAAGTCTCATGACCCTATTAGACTATTATTTAAGAATGAGACTATCACTATACAATGCTGAAAACATATGTACTTAAGAAAGTAGAAAAATAATATTAGAAAGAAGGATGGAGACAAGGAAAAATTGATGAACACAGAAACTGGTAAACGTGGGTAAATCTACATGAATATTGACTGTTTTAAGCAATAATCTATAGTAATTAAAATATTTGACAAAAATGCATGCAAGATAAGAGTGGTGAAAGACTTCTGAGGCCTATATATTATTTGGTAGGCCTATAGAATGAGATTCATTTAGATTTTAAGAAAATACATACCTTTAACTTTAAAGGTTAATACCAAAAGAAATTCTAAAATAGCAGAGAAGGAAAATCGAGAAAACAGGTGAAATGAAATTTTGAAAAGGTCGAAAAGAGAAAAACAGTATCTTAAAAATCACAATGCATTGGAACCTATGGGATATGGCTAAAAGAGCACACAAAGAAAAAATACATACCTTCCTTAGGAAAATTGTTAACTAACTAATCTAGAAAAGAAGTATAAAACACAAATATGCAAAATAAGAAAAAGGGCAAAATAGTTCAAACTAGCAGAAGTTATTTTAAAAATCAAGAGGTGCCAAGTGTGGTGGTTCATGCCTGTAATTCCAGCACTTTGGGAAGCCAAGGAAAGAGGATCAGTTGAGCTCAGGGTTCAAGAATAGCCTGGGCAACATAGCAAGATGTTGTCTCTACAAAGCCAGGTGTGGTGGCATGTATCTGTAGTCACAGCTACTTAGGAGGCTGAGGTAGGAGGATCGCTTGAACCCTGGAGCTCAAGGCTGCAGTGAGCCATGATCGTGTTATAGCACTCACCTGGGTGACACAGTGAGACCCTGTCTCAAAAAATAAAAAATAAAATTTTAAAAAATCAAGAGGTTACATTGTTTAGTTCTGCAAATAACATATATAACAGGGACAAAATGGTTACTTTTAAAGAAAAATTTAAATTGAGTTCAGATTAAAATAGAAACAGATAACTTAATACAGAAAAAATAGAGTTGTCAAAATGCACTAGGCACAAATGTTCTTTCAGAGTTATTCCAAGAAATGTTTAAAGAACAACAAAAAATCATATCTTCATTTTCATAAATGTTTAAAAGGTATCTGATAAAGCTCAATGTCTATTCTTGAACTGAAAAAAAATACACTTCAGTAAGAGGAATAGATCTTAACACCATATCTGTCTAAATTTAAAAGTGAATTTCATGCTAAAAGCAAACACTAGAATTATTCCCATTAAAGTCAGAAATAAACAAGGTGGTCTAATATCATTGCTATTATTGTATGTTTTACTGGAGGTACTAGCAATTCTAATTAGGCAAGATAAAGAATTATGAAAATTAGAAAGGAATAAGTAAAACTATTAATATCTTTAGATGATATAATTCTGAACCTGGAAAAATACAAGAGAAACAACAGAGAAACTATTAAAAATAATGAGAGTTTTGTAAGGTGGCTGAGAAAATTATCAGTATATAGGAGTTCATAACCTTCACATATACCACCAACAGCCAATTAGAATGTAAAAGATCAGATCACATTTATAACATGAATAAAATGAAATATTCTGTTTGAAAAAAAATTAAAGCTAAAAGGCAAATGAGAAAATGAAAATTCTTTGCAAGGCATGGTAGGCAAAGGGCTAATTCCTTTAACATATGAGGAGCTCCCACAAACAAATAACGAAAAAGACCAAGAGCCCAAAATAGATATGGTTAAAAAAAAAGCATATCACAGAAATAAAAATACAAATACCTATACTGATTGCTTTCACTTTAAATCAATTATGGTAAAGTTCAAATGGGCCCCAAATGCTGCCCAGTAATCATACTGTTTCTTATTTCAATTACTCTACCATACTTTCCTTAGGGGATTGATTCATTCCTTTCTATATAATCAAATATCCATCACTCTCTCTCCCATTCTCATTCTCCACTGCTACTACTCAAGCCCAAGCCACTTATCTCTCATTTAGATTATTCTAATAGCCTCCTAACTGGTGACTACAGCTATTCAACCATATGAGTCATTGATAAACTGAAAAACTTATGCATATTTTCGAAAAGCAAATATTTAACTGAGCACTTACTATGTATCAACCACTGTTCAAAATTGTCCCTAATCCACAAATCTATATTCTAGATGGAGGAGGCTGAAAACTATATAAACTTATATATGTTAGGTGATGAATGTCATAGAAGAAAAAGCAAAAAGGAGGAAATAACCAGTTGATACTTTCTAAGTGAAGTCAGAGAAGTTCTCTCTAACAAGATGACCTTTGAACAGAGATCTGAAAAATTGAGGGAGGGAGGCTTGCAGGTATTAAAGTGCAGAACATAAATTCAAGCACTCAAGAACATATACTTTAGGTACATTAATTGTGCAATTTTAGTGCTTGTAAATCTTTAAAAATTTGATAGGGCCTGACAACCTCTCCTTTATCATAGCTGGTGCCTACGATATCAACTAATTCACACCTATTTCAAATACGAGCTAAATTGCTTGTTTGTTGGTGTATGTGAAGGCTGTGAACTTCTGTCCAGATAGAGAGAGCAAAGCTAAGCATTGAGTATTCATACCGTAGTCGTTGAAAAATAAACACAAATACCCTCCTCCCTTTATTGACCCTCTAAGCTTTGGCTGTCTTTACTGAAAAACATCCTTTTAATTTTATCCTGAAAACAACATGGAGAATGACTTTCTTTCAAAACAAGTTTTCCCCTGAAGAGAAACACATGTTCAAAGTACAAACAACATTCCAGTATTCAGCTTAAGGCTACTTAATTTTTGCAGGATGATATCGTACTTAGGCTACTGAACATGTTCCTGTACATATAATTTGTTCTACAATTCTATAGTATAGGCCCAATTCACACTGGCAAATCCATGATTTTATGCAACTAATTAGAGAATAACAAAAAGAGATGTTTGAAATACAAATACTTCCCAGGTTACAAATAATTCCTAAAATTAATCAAAAGTAATGACCCAACATAATTAAAAAAATAAAATTTCACAAATTGATTAAAAAATTATTTGTAAAGAAAAGGTATAAGAATAGCTAAGGAAATTTGGGGGAAAAGATTTATGGATAAACCAAGCTACTGGTTATCTGAATAAAATATAAAGGTATAATAGTTTAAAATGTAATACTGGATCAGATAAAGAGATAAGCAAAAAGAGTCTCCAGGAACATTTACATGATTATATGGTGACATTTCAAATAAGGATAACCCAATTACTCAAATATAGCATTAGAACATTATTCATTTTGGACAAAATAGAATAGTTAGATCCCAACCATATATCATATATGTGTAAGGATAATCCTAACTACAGTAACAGATAAACTCCCTAAATCTCAGTCACTTCAATACTCATTCATTTTTTGCTTGTGTAAAGACTGGATGGACTTGGGAGGATCTGCTCAATGCAATTATTCAGAGAACCCAGCAAATAGAAACTTCACCATCTTCAAACTCTATCTTGAAAATTGCCCAGTATATCAACGTCTGTCTGGGATATAATGGAAGAAGTGTGGAAGATTATCTGGAAAGTTTTGTGGGGAAGGTGAAAATCATGTAATCATTTTACCTGTATTCCACTGGCCAGAATTTGCCTAACTTTATGGAGGCTGGGAAATATTATTTGCCCAGGTGCCTAAGGAAAGAAGTAATAGATTCAGTGAGCACTTAGCCAGTTTTTAACATACTATGTCCTTCTGGTTACCAAATATCCTACCACACCCAGAACATACACCCTCCTTCCTCAACAGAGGCAATTCAAAGTTCCATCCAGTTACTATAACCAGCTCAAAGTCCAAGATCTCTGAATGAAGCATGGTTCTTTCCATCAATTCTGGATATACCTTCTTAAACACCAGGTACAGAAATTTCTCCCCTGCCACCAGGCCCAGCATATTAGGATGAGTAAGGACAAATTTATAATAGAAGCTGCCATTCCCATTACGGAATATGAGAGATACAGAGGACACACCGTTCTGTTATAGTTACGATATCTCACTAGCAAGCATTTTGAAGTCCTCTGATCCAGGAGTGAGGGCATTTCTTTGATTTTAATTTTGCTATCTGGAAGGAAGTACTTGTTCATTGTTTTTCAAAGCACTAGAGCCATCCTCTTGGAGATTTTTTTTTTCATAATTACCATATGCCACATTTGAAATAAATGATGGAGAGTGTACCCTCCTTGGGGTTTTTTATAGTTTTTGCATCCCACCTCTTCCCTGAGAAAGTTTGGGAGCCCCAAAGTACGTTTAATGATAGAACATTCAAAGGCTGATGGAGTCCAGTCTTGCAATTACTTTGGCACCAAAAACAGGCAAATGACTATAGTTTTTGAGAGGAGGGTGTCTATTCTATTACATACATTGGTAGCATCTCTTAAAGTTCTTTCCTAAATAAAGTTTTCAAGCCTGCCTTGCATTTTCCTTCCTTTGTCCTTATGCCTTAAAGGCTATCATGTTTGGAAGGAAATTGCACACCCTTACTCAGGTCTATGCTGGAGCCAGGAGTCTCAGTGGATCTTTGTACACAATCTCTTATCACTTGGGACTGGAAGCAGTGATATTTGATCCTTTGCTTTTCATTTTTGTTTTGCTTGCAAACTAGTAAATGATTCCCACAGCCCAACACTCACTAATAACATTTCATTTTCCAGTCTTTTTTCCTAGAGCTATAGGGTTAGGAACCATGTGGCCCACCTTCTAAAAAATTGCAGATGATCATTTTAATAACTGCTTTGTCACTGTATGACATGAATCTCGTTTTTTAGCCCTGGCTAGTCATTTTCCTCCCGACTCTGTGCCAGACCCTATATTTTGGGCTTTTGGGCTCCTTCCCCGTCCCCCACCCCTATAGGAGTATCATTTTTCTAGCACCAATTTCTGTATCAGAATAGTGCTACCTGTACTATAACAAAAAATTCCAAACTCTCATTGGTTTAACAAAACGGATGTTTATTTGATGATCACTTAAGTCCAAATGGCGTTATTTAGGCTGATAATTGTGATAATTACTCCTTCATCTTAAAAAGGTAGGCATCCATCTAAGACATAAAAAATGAGTGGGAGATATGAGATTTTATGGGCCACACCTGGAAATGGCTCAGATAGTTTTCATCCACATTCCACTTAAGGATTAAGCAATTCCTAAGTCACATGACCCAAACCTAACTTCAAGAGGGGTTGGAAAATGTAGATTAGTTGTATACTAATTGGTTTGATAAAGCAGTTTGCCAATCTCTGCCAGAACACACAGGGGTAAATCCAGATGGATTAAGAGCTACATTCAGGCCAAGCACTGTGGCTCATGGGTATAATCCCAGTACCTTGGGAAATCAAGGTGGAAGGAACACTTGAAGCCAGGCGTTTGAGATCAGCCTGGGCGACGTGGCAACGTGGTGAGGCTCCATCTCTACCAAAAAAAAAAAAGAATACAAAATAAAAACTGAATAGCCAGGTGTGTTAGCATGTGGCTGTAATCTTGGCTACTTAGGAGGATTCCTTGAGTCCAGGAGTCCAAGGCTGCAGTTAGCTATGATTACGCCACTGCTCTTCAACATAGCGACAGAGTAAGACTCTAAAAAATGAAAAAAATAAAATAAAAAGAGAAGAGCTACATTTAAACATATAGCTATAAAAATACAAGAGGAAAACATGGAATAATTTGAAGATGGTAAGAATTCTATGAGGAATGGGAGTTTACCCTACCTGCAAGCTACAAAGTTAGCCTGCGACAATTTTAGGGATGCCGGCAGAAGACATGTGGTCCTGGATTAGAGACAAATAATTTTATTAGTCATGGCAAAAACAAGAGGCAGAGTGTGAGCATGATGTTTGTGTCAGTTTCCCCATTGGGTTGGGGGTCCCTAAGACCACCCTGAGGCTCAATGATTCACTAGACTCACAGGAGGCTGGGCACAGTGGCTCACGCCTATAATCCCAGCACTTTGGGAGGCCAAGGCGGGCGGATCACCTGAGGTCGGGAGTTGGAGACCAGCCTGATCAATATAGAGAAACCCTGTTTCTACCAAAAATACAAAATTAGCCAGGCATGGTGGTGCATGCCTGTAATCCCAGCTACTCGGGAGCTTGAGGCAGGAGAATTGCTTGAACCCGGGAGGGAGGCAGAGGTTGCAGTGAGCCGAGATCACGCCATTGCACTCCAGCCTGGGCAACAAGAGTGAAACTCCATCTCTTAAAAAAAAAAAAAAAACTCACAGGAGTCAGAAAATGCTGCTATATTCATACTCATCGTTTATCACAGATTAAAGGATATAGATTACAATCAGCAAAGGGAAAAGGTACATGGGGCAAAACCTAGGACAAAACAGGGGCAGGGGCAAGCTTCCAGGTGTCCTCTCCCAGTTGGGTCATATGGACACACTCCAAAAATGATGTGTGAAAACATGTACTAATGTTGTCAACCAGGGAAGCTCACATTGAGCCTTGGTGCTCAAGGTTTTTACACAGGGTCAATCACATAGGCGTAAATCACTTACAGGACTGAACTCAGCTACTCCATCTCTAGCCTCCCAGAGAAAGAAATGTTCACCATAAATCACATTGTTAACATAAACTGTCTGATCAAATCGGTACTACGTTCGCAAAAGGCTCAGAGGTCATCTTCCAGGAGCTGTCCAAGAGCCAGTCCCAAAGACAGGCCTTTCTCAGGATGTACTTATTTCTCCCAGCACAATGTGTGACAACTTGTGCAAAATGTTGCCAACTAGGATGCTCACCTGATCCTTGGGGTCTATGGTTTTTAATGGGGGGGTCAGTCACATAGATATAAATCACCTGTATGATTGACCTCAGCTATTCAGACTCCAGTCTCCCAGAGCACAGATGAGTACTCACCATAAATCACTTAGATAAAACTAGCTGATCAAAGTGGTATCAGAAGGTCCAAGGCCTTATGCATACAAAAATGCTCTTATCAGAAAGAATTGTTAGTTCAGAGCTCATCTCCCAGGAGCTGACCAAGAACCAGTCTGCAAGACAAGCATATCTTGGGAACGTGCAGAGTTTGAGCAACCCTGGCCAGCTGAGTTAACCCCTTCCTGTATACTTGTATTCTCCCAAGTCCTATGGGGAAAACACAAAGGACCATCGTTTGTTTGATACCTGTAGATTCACTGTAGGAGAGGAGTATTGAACTTGACTGATTTTTGTCCTGGAGGAGATGTTACTCATTCCTCAAGCTTGCTCAGTGCAAATAAAATCCTGAAAAATGACCCAGGTAAAAGGTGAACAGGGCTTTGAGGTCTTGGTATACTTAGCGAGAACCTGTGGAAGCTCAAGGCTTATGGTAGATTGCATTGTCCAACAAGGGTAGGCTCTCTTACATAAGATAAAACACAGATGGCAAATTGAAGTGATTGATAAATTTGGTTACATAAAAACACTTATACAGCACAAAAGACACCATAAAAATGAAACTGGGGCATAGAATATAGTAAGCTGGAATGATCATTATTTCCACTCTAAAAATTCTAATAGAAAAAATTACAAAATCATAAATTTTCTTGAATCCAACAAAGAGATGTGGTAGTCGGAAAACCAAGCAGCCAGAGATCTAGGGAAGTACAAGCACCTCCTAGGAAAAAGATTTAAGAGCACTGGCTCACTTGTGACAGAGCACAGAAGGAAGATGGGGTTGCCATAAAGGTAAGAAGTATTTGATTAAAGTTTTTGATGAATTGCTGCAGCTGAATGTGGGCTAACTTGAGACTATGAAGCCCTGAGAGCTGCTGACATAAGGGGAATTTGCATCTAATCTTAGGCTCATAGATATGAGCCTACACTGGACACTCAGGAGAAAGATGGGAGACAGGGCAGATAAAACTGTTGAGGATGTAGGCCTGAAAGAGGAGGGGCTGCTGCTGTAGGAAAGATACAAATCTCCACTAGGACCCTTTTTCCCTACTGGAAAAAACAAACAAACAACAACAAAAACTTAAGCCACTGGAAGGAAGGACATCAAACACTGTCACTCAGGACACAGGTGAAGACTCACTGTGACTTGTGAAAGGGTAATAGAAAAAACAACAACAACAACAAAAAAAAAACCTGTATCCCTGGAAAGGGACAGAAAGCTATCCTCTGCCCAGACAAACAGATACATCTCCTAATTGGGAAAGGGGCAACAGACACTCCTGGAAAAGATTTATCAAAGATACAGTGAAGAGTTTTGGTGTCACAAGGAAGAGTGGCAGGATCACTAAGAGTAACAATCCCAAGATTTAGCCATGGTTCTTTTAAGTATCAAAAATACAGAAAAACTTTTAAACATCAAGAGCTCAAAAAATTCTTTCCATGAGTCTTTTTTTTTTTAAGAAATCTGCTAGAAAATAAACTTTATTCAAACAAAAAAATGACTAGAGAAACTTCAGCAATTTAGCATTAAATATACTTAATTGCAAATCTAAGATCAAAATTAAGGTGAGAACAGGGTATAATAATAATAGGTTATATGATAATGCTATTTGTTTTGTGCTGTATGTTCTGATGAATAAAAAATGATGCAACTAAAAATAGGAAGAGAAGGTAGATGAAAAAAGGAAAGTAGGAAAACTCAATAACTGGTATTTAAGCAACATGTGAAAGTTAAAGAATGTCATTAAAGATGGACAATACAGATTCTAAATAAAAAATGGGGGGGGCGCTAAGGGCATTAAAAAAAGTATAAGCAAAAGGACAACAGAAACATAAACCTTCCTAAATACCAAATTTAAGATTTTGTTTTTAAAGAAGAGCACAGTAAACACATTATAACGAAAAACAGACTAAATGTAATAAATATAATAATTACAGCATAAAATAATCTGGCAGGGTTGACAGCAAACATATTCATCTTAACACATGTGAAAGGGCTTACTTCACTTATTAAATGGAAAAGATCTTCATTTGGGTTCATAAAGAACCAACTATATGCTCTATTCAAGAGAAACACCTAAAACAATTATTTAGAAAGGCTAAAAATAGGCCGGGCGCAGTGGTTCACGCCTTTAATCCCAGCACCATGGG
Source organism: Homo sapiens (assembly GCF_000001405.40). Lineage (NCBI taxonomy): Eukaryota > Metazoa > Chordata > Mammalia > Primates > Hominidae > Homo > Homo sapiens. The sequence goes on along the minus strand of NC_000005.10, from coordinate 122,034,080 downwards.
AGGCTGAGGCGGGTGGATCACCTGAGGTCAGGAGTTCGAGACCAGCCTGGCCCACATGGCAAAACACCATCTCTACTAAAAACCCGAAAATTAGCTGGGCGTGGTGGCGTGTGCCTGTAATCCCAGCTACCCAGGAGGCTGAGGCAGGAGAACTGCTGGAACCCAGGAGGCAGAGGCTGCAGTGAGCCGAGATCGTGCCACTGCACTCCAGCCTGGGCAATGAAGCAAGACTCTGTCTCAAAAAAAAAAAAAAAAAAAAAACTGAAAATAAAAGAATATCTAAGGTCTTCCAGGCAAATGGAAACAAGAAAGCAGAAGCACCGGCTGGGCGTGGGGGCTCACACATGTAATCCCAGCGCTCTGGGAGTCTGAGGCAGGTAGATCACCTGAGGTCAGGATTTCGAGACCAGCCTGGCCAACACGGTGAAACGCCATCTCTACTAAAACTATAAAAAACCAGGCGTGGTGACAGGTGCCTGTAATCCCAGCTAACGGGGAGGCTGAGGCAGAGAGAACTGCTTGAACCTGAGAGGCAGAGGTTGCAGTGAGTCAAGATGGCACCAGTGCACTCCAGTGAGACTTTACCTCAAAAAAAAAAAGCAGAAGCACAATACTGATATTGGATGAAGTAGCAAGCAAAGCAAGCAAACCGTTGTAAGGAAAGATTTTTGAACTATTTTTCTCAATACATTTGTAAAAATGGAACAAAAGGAAATAAAAAGAGAAACTCATGCATCTGATTATATGGCAGAAATAAATGGCAGAAAAAGAAATAACATGATAGAAAAACAACATAAAATCAAGACAATTGACAAACGGAAAAATATTTGCAGTACATAAAACAGGTAAAGGGCTACTATCCCTAATATATAATAAATAAACCTTAAAAATTAGGGGGAAAAAGGAAAAAAAAACCCTCACCAGTGGAAAAATGGGCAAAAAAAAAAATTCAAAAAATTGATACAAAAGTGGTCCTTAAACATTAAAAAGTATTCAACTATCCTCCCAAAGAGTAAGCAATACACAGCCAAATTACATAGAGGTAATATTTCTTACCCATCTTACTGTCACAAAGAGGTCATGGGAGGCAACAGAGCCAGACTCCATCTCAAAACAAACAAACAAAAGAAAAACAAAAAAACAAATAAAAAAAACAAAGAGGTCATGGGAAAATAGGCCTCTGTCATACACTGCAGTGGGCATACAAACCTTCATGGAGGGGAACTTAGCAATTTTCAACAAAACTACATATGCATTTACATTCTGACACAACATTCCCACTTCCAGAAATTTACCCTGAAGACAGACCTGCAACAACATGAAATACATACTGTTTTTTCATATATTTCCTTTGCAACATTGTTTGTAATTGCACAATGTGAAAATAATCCACATACCCATAGATAGAAGAGTGGTTTAGTAAATTCTTATACATTTACCCAGTGGAGTACTATAAGACAATTTTTTAAATGAGGAAGATCTCTATGAACAAATCTGCAGTGATTGCCAGGATATATTTTAAATGAAAAAGGCAAAGTTCACGTAATCATCTAGAAACTGCTAATTTTTGCATAAGAAAGAATATGAGGTAAGAAAAATAGACATATATTTGTTCATCTGTGCAAACAGGAACACAGGAAGAATTTACCAGGGATTAATGAGATTTATTGTTTACAGGGGGCGGGCGGGAATGGGGTGGAAAGAACAAACAATGGGAAAGGGGAGAGTTGCCACTCCTCCGATTATAGTATTTTGTGTAGCTCTGACTTCACGAACAGTGTTGCCGTTTCATATACATAAAGGAAAAAAAAAAAACTACCAAGGATGGAGGAAAAATCATTAAAATAAAATACTGTCAGAACCATATAAATTTCACTACATTTCACATATACTGAAGGGAGGAGGGAAACCAGTATTCACCCAGGGAACTTTATATATATCTTTTTAAATTGAGATATGATTCACACAATATTCACCCTTTTAAAGTGCAGTTCAGTGGATCCTGTATATTCACAAGGTCGTATAATCAGCGCTATCCAATTCCAGAATACATTCATCTTTCTAAAAGTAAATGTCAGACTCATTAGCATGCACTCACTATTCTTCCCTCTCCCAGCTCCTAGCAATCACTGATGTATTTTCAGTCTCTATGGATTTACTTATTTTGGACATTGCATGTAAGTGGAACCATATTGTGTGTTTAGCTTCTTTGTTAGCATGATATTCTTAAGGCTCATCCATTCACGTTGTAGTCTGTATCAATACTTCATTCCTTTTTATGCCTGAATCCAGTCCACTGTATGCATAAACCACACTGTTCACTCATCATCAGATGATGGATATCTGGGTTCTTTTTTTTTAGCTATTATGCCACTATGAACATTCACATTCAAGTATTACATGTTTTCAATTCTCTTGGGCATGTATGGCTATGGGTGAAAATTATGGTTGACATGAGACTTTCATCATGCCTATGTTGGTACATCTGACAGTGTCCCACAGGTCTCTGAGAATCTGTTCATTCCTTTTTGGCTTTTCTTCGTAATTTCTATCTCATTATTGATTTTCTCTATTTGGTGAGACGTTGTTTACTTTGGTTCTTTGAACATATTTAAAATAGCGTTTTCAATGTCTTTTTTGAGTAAGTGTGAAGTCTGGGCTTCCTCAGGGAATTTCTATTGCTTTTTTCCCCATCAGTGCATGGACCATTCTTGCTTGTTTTTGTGCATGTCTCATAATTTTTTGGTGAAAATTGGACATTTTAAATAACATGTTACAACTCTGTATATCAGACTCCCTTTCCTCACCAGGTTTTGCTGTTGTTGCTATATTTTGCTGTTTACTGACCTTTCTGAACTATATATTTGTAAAGTCTATATTCTTTGTTGTGTATGAAATATCTGATTCATATGCTTAGTAGTGTGCTAATAATTGGACAGATTTCCTTAAATGCCTGGAATCAATACTTCTCTTTGTATTGGGGACTCTGTGTGTTGGGGCACACCTTTAATACTTAGCCACAAGTTAACAGCTTCTCCTTAGCCTTCACCTACTTATGCAGTGCCTCAAGGTCAGCCATTGGTGAGAGTTTAGGGCCTTCTCAGCTTTTTCCTGAGTATGCACACAGCTTTATGCATGTACATAATCTCCTTGATTCCAAAAAAATATGTCATAACTTATCAAAGTCCCTATCTTTTAGTTGTTCAACCTTTCTGAACTATTTATGTGTAAGGTCTATATTCTTGGTTGTGTATGGTCGTTGAAATCTCTGATTCATTAAACTTAGTAGTGTGGTTACTTTTGGTTAAAAAGAGTAATAGAAAAAAAGCAATAGAAATTCCCTGAGGAAGCCCAGACTTCAGACTTACTCAAAAAAGACATTAAAGACGCTATTTTAACTTACTTAGTTTTTGGTTAATTTACTGTTTACCCCAACTGTTACTCACTGCCTAAGGCAGTCTTGATGTTAAAAAAAAAAAAAAGCCTCTAATTGTTTTTGAAAAACAATCTCTGGGAAAAAGCTTATCTCATTGGGCAAGCTCTAACTCAGATGAAACAAATATAGCATTGCAAGTTAAGCCTTCCAGTTAACCATTGGTCAGGTCAAATAATGACAGTACTCAGGGAATGTGTCTGAAGAAACTCCAACCCTGTTCTGAACTCCCTCCAGTGGCTGCCAGGCTGCTGGTTTGCACTATGATCATGGGCTGTTGGTTTTCACAGCTACCATGAATCTGGGAAGCAGATTAGAATAAGGCAAGGTTTCACAAAGATCCCTGTTCTTATCAAGATTTAGATTCAAGATTCAGATATTTTTTCTTTAGTAAATACTTCTTGGATTGCTGCAAGCCTTTGGTTAATTCTAGAGTTCTGAAAGGTTGATTCTGATAGTTTGGACAGTTTTCTTATTGCTTTCACAGAGAGAAACATTTTTTGGATGTTCTTACTCTGCCATTTTAGCTGTTATTACCCCAGGTAACTTTTAAAGAGCTCTAAACAAATATTGAACTCTTTGGCTAGTAGGCTTCTGTTTTGCAGAGCTATCACTTAGCAATTCTGAAACTAGCTTGTGTATGTATTCTAAGGTTGAACTTTCAAATATGTAAATATATCCTCGATAATGGTAATCAATTTTCTCACTATTAAAGAACTTACATGTTAAAAGGACATAGGAGACAGCTTGGGGAGGCTCCCACTAGCCAAATTAAGTAGAATTTGAGCACTAAAATAATGAAGGACTTAATTTAAAAATCCATGGACTGGATTTGCCCTTCTATATTAAACAACTAGGAAATTGCACAAAATACACCAAACAACAGTTTTCAGACAATGGAGAACAGGTGGCAAAGGATAACCGTAACTGACAGAAGAAAAACAAACGAGTTTGAGTGCTACAAGTATACCAGCTCACTGCCTGAAGTTTCCAAACCATAGTGCAGACAGAAGAACCCCAAAAGAGCTCAGTGGCCTTACTGAAATTAGAGACAGACTTCAGAGTTCAGAAAAGTCAACGTGATTAGAATTTGTGAGGCAAAATACTAGAGGAAGGAAATACACAGAAAAAGTGCTCCAAAGCTCTGTAGAAGGGTTCTTTCAAGTCTTTAGTGGAAGATCAACCTGCATGAGGTGTATAAAGAATATAACTAAGACCAGGAAAAAAACTAAACACTAGAAAGGAGTAAGTGGAACTATGCCTTCCACAAGCCCAGGTATAGTTTGTGTTCTGACCAGCCATTGCAGAAAGATTTCCTGATAGACACAGTATCAGGTAGAGTTCCTAAAATGGTAATGCCTCGTAGTGGAGTCAGATGAACCCTAGACCAGGGTTTCTCAACCTTAGCACTGTTAACATTTTGGGCTATAAAATTCTTTTTTGTGTGTGTATATATTACACACAGCTTAGCAGCATCCCAGGCCTATATCTGCTAGATGTAGCCCCCTCCCACCCCCAACCCTTGACTATGCAAAATATCTCCAGATGATGTTGCCAAATGTTCCCTGGGGGGAAAATCACTCCAAGTCGAGAACCAATGCCCTAGACTAATGGCTCTTGTAGACCCATTCTAACAAAGCACAAACCTCAAAATGACCATCTGATTCTAAGTAACTTCACTGCATCCCAGAAAAAGTCCAACAGTACTTGTAACAAAATCTAATAGCTAACAGCTAACAAATTTAAAACTCTTCCCTCTTAACTTTTTACTTGGACCGTAACTCCTTCCAGTTGAGGTAAAAAGTCTTGGACAGACTCAGCAGTGTGGAGGATAGTGACCCCAACTTCACAGTCTGGCAAACTCTGGGTAGGTACAGAGACATTTTCCTTTTACTTTTTTGTCAGTCTGAAATTATATCAAAATAAAATTTAAAAGAAAGAAGTACAAAAACAATGTATGCATCTGACACAGCAAAAATAATTTTCTCTCTGCATAATCCCTTGAATTCCATTATTCTATTTATCAAATTTTTTTTTTTTTTTGAGACAGTCATACTCTGTCACCCAGGCTGGAGTGCAGTGGTGCAATCTTGGCTCACTGCAACCTCCACCTCCCAGGTTCAAGCAATTCTTATGCCTCAGCCTTCTGAGTAGCTGGAATTACAGATGCCGGCCACCACGCCTGGATAATTTTCTGTATTTTTAGTAGAGACAGGGTTTCACCATGTTGCCCAGGCTGGTTTTGAACTCCTTGCCTCTAGCGATCTACCCGCCTCAGCCTCCCAAAGTGCTGGGATTATAGGCATGAGTCACCACGCCCGGCTGAGTTATCTAAATTCTTAAGCTCCTGAAATAAGTAGAAACTCTTGAGAGTTTGTGAATACAGGTTAACCAGATGGCCTTCCCTGCCATTAAAGGAACTAATGTGCAGGAAACATGGATTAGCATTATTCAGTTTACCAAGAACTTCAAAATTTTTCCCAGCATAGCAAAAGTGAAACATTTGAAGGGATTTAAAAATTTCTGTTTTCCTTTTAAATAGCAGTACTGTGATGTATAAAGCAGTCCCTTCCTCAGTGAGTCATCTTACAACTTCTTTGCTTAGCCATCAGTGGAAATATTCTTTTAATCCTACCACCTTCAGAATTTGTTCTTAAAAATTAGAATCTATGATTCCTCAAAAATTTTAAAATAAGTATAGTAAAAACTAGATAATATACATTCTTGATTTAATGGAAATATTTATATGCAGTGAAACATAAAACAAATTATTGGTTGTATTGCTATATTTAAACAATTTTCTTAACTAAAATATAATTAAGAATCCCAAAATTGTCCTAGACAACTATTTTAGAATCAAAAAGTACATGATCACAAGTACTTAAAACTATAATAAAATTAATATTTATCTGTACATCCATAATAAAAGTTACTATTTTAGTTTGCTAACAAGAATGATTTTTAACAAGGGTGATCTGGTTTAAATAGCTGATTTCCTATGTTTCCATTATTATTTTAAATATATATTGACATTTATGTTTAAGGAAACAACAGAGCTGAACCAGTGAAGCACATTTCATGATAAGCACTAAAGAGAAAATATGAGATCACTAAAATCCCCAAATTACTTCATAAGGGAAACAGTCTGAGGGATATTATTAAAAATCAATTTAAGTACATATTGGATTTGTGAAAGGCTTATATAAGCGTAAGTTGAATTTACTTTAAAAAAAAATACAAAAACAAACATTCTATAATTCTCCCCAAGAGACTTATTCAAATACGAGTTTAAGTAATAGCTGCAGAGCCTGGGGTGAGAAAGCTGGGCATGGTAGTGCATGCACCTGCAGTCCCAGCCCTTTGGGAGGCAGAGGTGGGAGGATCACTTGAGCCCAGGAGTTTGAGGCTGCAGTGAGCTGTGATTGCAATATTGTACTCTAGTCTGGGCAACAGAATGAGATCCTGTCTTAAAAAAAACATTTTTTTTTTTAGATGGAAAAGTTTGCAGAAAGAGGCACTAATCAATCATCAAACGTAATTTTTTTCCCCTGAAACACAGCAATATTAGATTGCTGTTCTTTTCGCCTTCTGCTTGCTTCCCATGAAGGATGAAGAGGCAGCTGCAATTGCTGTTTTGTATTTTCAAGTCTTCCTGATAGCTTCTTATTAAACTGATTCTTGATCTGAGGCTCATTCTGTGGAAAATCTAGGAAGAGAAAGCAAAAATAATAATAACTATATACTTAAAGAGCATATAGGAGAAGTAAATTTCATCTTTTTCAAACCAATGTTAAAAAAAGAAATTTTGTTTTCTTAAATGGAATATTTCACAATTTAAAACTGAAGTCTAACAGGGAATAGTTTGAAGTTGAAAATTTATATACAAGTAGTCAATTTTGACACACATGCTTTCTAACACTTATAAGTAGATGTTTATTGAGTGCCTCTTAATTTATGCTGTGCTGTCTTATTTATAACAACATAAAGAAAGGAATCACTCTGTTGTACTAGCATGGAAGGCAAAAAAGAAGGGCATCATGTATTTTCAAAGGAACATCATTAGCTTATGATATCTGTGTACATGAAGCAGATGTAGCCAGAAAATTCACATCTTAGCTAAGACACTCCACTGAGTCTGACAATACTGATAGTGCTTACTCATTTTTAAAGGCTATAAGTTGATTCCACTCCCGTCTGTTATTGAACCAAAAGTGGTTATTACAAGGCAAATAGTACTAAGTCTACTCAAGAATATAAGACAAAGTTCTTTTTTAGTTGTAACATTAATCTCCAGATATGAAGGTGGCAACTTGTATTCTAGTCCATATAGTATCTTAACATTTTACATGATTTTGAACCAAGTCTTATTTGGCGAAGATACACTAGTATGAAAAGATATGCATCAATGCACATTTTAGTTGCTTACAGAACTTAGGAGATGGAATCAGAAAGAAAAAGAGAGACAAAAAAACTTAATATAGACTTCTTAATCAGTCCTATGACTATGTAATTTCTCCATTGCAAGTTAGGAATCATTGTCAAAAGACTTCTTTTTTTTAAGACGGAGTCTTGCTCTGTTGCCCAGGATGGAGAGCAGTGGCGTGATCTTGGCTCACTGCAACCTCCACCTCCCAGGTTCAAGCAATTCTCCTGCCTCAGCCTCCTAAGTAGCTGGGATTACAGGCATGTGCCACTATGCCTGGCTAATTTATGTATTTTTAGTAGAGACATATTGGTCAGGCTGATCTCGAACTCCTGACCTCAGACGATCCACCCACCTCAGCCTCCCAAAGTGCTGGGATTACAGGCATGAGCCACCGTGCTCGGCCTGTCAGAAGCCTTTTAAAGACCTCTTTAAGAAAACAAATGTAAAAATGTTATATAAACCAGTGCACTGTTTGGGATAATATTTACAAAACATTATCTAGACAGAAATCAAAACAACCCTTATCTTACACAAATCACATGTGCTCTAGAAATCTGTTACAATATTCAAAGAGTGGCTGTAGAGATGAAAAGTTTAAAAAAAACTGTAGAGGATGTGGAGAAATAGGAACACTTTTACACTGTTGGTGGGACTGTAAACTAGTTCAACCATTGTGGAAGTCAGTGTGGCGATTCCTCAGGGATCTAGAACTAGAAATACCATTTGACCCAGCCATCCTATTATTGGGTATATACCCAAAGGATTATAAATCATGCTACTATAAAGACACATGCACACGTATGTTTATTGCGGCACTATTCACAATAGCAAAGACTTGGAACCAACCCAAATGTCCAACAATGATAGACTGGATTAAGAAAATGTGGCACATATACACCATGGAATACTATGCAGCCATAAAAACTGATGAGTTCATGTCCTTTGTAGGGACATGGATGAAACTGGAAACCATCATTCTCAGCAAACCATCGCAAGGACAAAAAACCAAACACCGCATGTCCTCACTCATAGGTGGGAATTGAACAATGAGAACACATGGACACAGGAAGGGGAACATCACACACCGGGGACTGTTGTGGGGTGGGGGGAGTGGGGAGGGATAGCATTAGGAGATATACCTAATGGTAAATGACGAGTTAATGGGTGCAGCACACCAACATGGCACATGTATACATATGTAACAAATCTGCACGTTGTGCACATGTACTCTAAAACTTAAAGTGTAATAATAATAAAAATAAAAAAAACAAAACAAAACAAAACAAAAACCTGTTTCATAAAAACTGAGATTTGAATAAGGTAGTATTTCTAAATGAATGTATTATTTTATATATTACATAGAGTTGTATATGTAAATAAACTAGTAAATATTTTAAGCATACAAGCTAAGCACAAAAAACCCTTTATTTGGATAGTCTCATTGTGAAAATGTAGGTATGTCTTATATTTACAGTTATCCTGTGTTTGTGAATATATGGTATAAATGGGGCATACTGACATGTTTCTGCCAAATCCTGTATTATCTTCCTTTTAGGCATACAATCAGAATATAGTTTCCATTCCTGCTGCAGTTAGGTGAGGTCACATGGCTAATTGAGTTATGGCCAATAAAATGTGAGTAAAAGGCCTGGACCATAAAAACCTCACATTCAATCTTCCATTACTTTTCTATCGCTGATGAATGAAGAGAACTCCTAGGATCCAGAGGAGGCAAGAGGCACAAGACAGAATAAAATTCCTAGAAGCAGACAGACTGATAGATGACAAACCACTGAGATTTAGCAGGTAGTCTACTATGAATAATACTAAAATTGGTACTCTGAAGTACCATTACAATAACATAAAAATTTGGCATTGGCTTAGCAGTTCAGTGGTGGGTAGCAAGGAAACAGATAACTGAGAATGAGAAGTAAGCAACCCATGTGCCAAAGAAATAGGTAAAACTGTTGTCAGTGATAACTTGGCAAGCAGGCCACAAGCCTATGGAGTTTGCTGTACAAAGGTAACTGGCTGGAAAGAATAAAAAGATCAGCGTATTACTGGCTGTCCTTGACAATGCACTACACAAAAGAGAACAGAGAGAACAAAAGAATCTAGATATTTGGGAACTTAAGGTTTAGAAAAGCCTTTGACTCCCAAACAGTAACCTGTAAGTCTAAGAAAAGTTGCCCACAGCAACTCAGCCCTAGAGCAGAGATAAGACTAAATGTATGGCACTCCCATCCAAATCTGATTAATTTTCAATGCAGTAGATGCTGAATGAGAGCGGGAAGTGGGAAAAATAAAACAAAACACAAACAAATAAGACAAGTTTGAGAACTAGCTCAAAGAAAGAATTTTCAGTACGGTAACTAGCCCACAGACGGACTGAAGGAAACAGAGGTCAGAAATCCACTGAGTTTTTGAGGAGGTGTATAGTGAAAGAAATCACAAGCCTGGGATGGAAAAAACCTCTGCTGAACTTTGTACAATCTTCATCATTTTATATTTGTACCAGTGACTTGGGGCAAACTCCAAAGAGATCATGTTAAATACCCACCTCAGATGTGGCCACGAAACAAAGACCCTCCCTAGACACGGACCATGAAGAACAATGGATAAAGAAGTTCCTCTCAGAGCCTTCATAATCTTTGCTCAGCAGAATTTCAGATAGTAGACCTGTTGTGTGCCTTCCATTTTTTCCTTAAGCTATCAAGAGTTTTTATTGTCATTACTTTGTCCCTGTTCTGCTACTCGATACATGGTATATCATGGTATGAATTTCTTTTTGGTACAAAGGTCACCAGACTTTGAAGAATCTCATCCATGAGATTTGATGGAAAATACTCCATGACCAGTGATCCTGGACTTTGAGCTAGATGCAGTGACTGGATGTGACTTTGGGTTGGCTGCCTTGGGAAGGAGGTAAGTGTGCTCTGTGTAGGAGGAAAAGTGAAATGGCCATCCAGTGATAGAAAGTCTGGTCACTGGAAGAAAAAGTTATGTGTTCACGAAATTCCACTTCCTCTTTTCTCCTAGATATATAGTAAGACTGCATTTCTTAGCTCCCCTGTGGCTAGATGGGGTCATGTGACTGAATTCTGGCTAATGATATGTGAGTAGAACTGGTTTCTGCTACTTTCAGGCCTTGCTCACAAACACCTGCAAAATTCTCCATGTACTCCATTCCCTTCTATTGGCAAATGGAGAATATTTGGAACCTGGAGGAGGAAAACGCCAAAAGATGGAAGAAGCCTGATCCTTGAATGACTATGTGGAACACAGCCTCTCTGCTAATTCATCACAGTGGACTGTGATGTGAATGAGAAATGAATTTTTGCTATGTTAAGTTAGTGAAAGTCTAGGATTGTGTGAGAAGTCACTCTACCCAAATACATGAAACTTAGATTTGTTACGAATTAATCTGAAAATATTCTGATTATACTCTTGCCCAAGAAAGTAATATACTTGTTATTCAATGTTTAACGGCATGGCATTAGCGTTTAGGATCACTAATAATTAAGATATAACTTGCATAATTTACTTAAAAAAAGTGTTGGTTTAATTTGAGATAAGTTAAATAGACATAATATTTCCTGATAAATTTTGTCTATATCTTTCCCTCTGGCAGGACACAGAAGAAAAGAAAACCAACAACAAAAAATTATATTGATAATTGTAAGATGCTCTGTTAACATTTCTGTGGGTACATAATTCATTCAGGCTATATTAAGCAACAACAATTTCTCATTCTTTTACTCTGGTAAAACATAGCTTAATTGCATATGAAGGTCAGGCAACTATGAATACATACCTAGGGATCTTGTTTTTGGAGCCTGTTCTTTGAAATTTCTAAAAGAAGAAAAACACCATTATGACTTTTTAAAGATAAATCCTCTGATCTTAAGAAAAAAACATAACAAAATTGATGATAAAACTAATTCAAAGGGCCACTATACTCCTTAGTCACACCAGCAAACAATAAAATAATTATGAAAGTCCCAGGTTGTAGCTGTATCAAACAAAGGTTTGTTAGAATCCAGTGTTACTACAGACACATGAGGACCTATTTCCCTCACCACCTTTAAAGAGAATTCTGTTTGTAATGGGAAATATCTTGTCTTGGTTACCTTGCCTTTACACTTCGGGATTATCTATATAAAGAATTTCTAAAGTCTTTTCACAGGAAGAATGACTCTCATATAACAAAAATTAAGATTTACATTTTGGCGGGGCACGGTGGGTCACGCCTGTAATCCCAGCACTTTGGGAGGCTGAGCAGGGTGGATCACAAGGTCAGGAGTTCGACACTAACCGGGCCAATATGGTGAAACCCGTCTCTACTAGAAAACAAAACAAAACAAAAAAAAAACAAAAATTAGCCGGGCGTGGTGGCATGCGCCTATAATCCCAGCTACTCAGGAGGCTGAGGCAGGAGAATTGCTTGAACCTGGGAGGCAGAGGTTACAGTGAGCCAAGATCACACCACTGCACTCCAGCCTGGGTGATAGAGTGAGACTCCGTCTCAAAAAAAAAAAAAAAAAAAAAAAAAAGATTTATATTTTGTGGTAAAGGGATAGTGGTGTGCCATTTTCAAATGTGGAAAAAAGTGCAGCTTTTTGAGGCAAGTTTGGAAAATATAAGTAAATATTTTAATTATTTCAACACTCCACACGTTTTTATGTCTTTGCCATACTGTGACATTTTTGAAAAATTTTTACATCACATTTTTCTATTTCATTAAAGACTATCCCTGACTTGTAAATATATGCAAAAACAGTTTATAGCTGTTACTGAAGAAATTAGCTAACCATAACCTTCACTCTAAAATGTGAAGATACCCTTTATCAAATTGGAATTACAAATAAAGTTAAACTTACTGTTTTATAACAGAACAGCTATGAAAAGTGGTGAGCAACAGAGATGGAGACAGCAACATCATCAAATAAAAAGCAGTATGGAGAAACTCAGTTTAAGGGCAAGCAGCCTTATATACTGAAATGGTACTAGACAGTAAAATGACTGATGTTTACAATAATGGTCCTGGATCATCAAGAAAAAACACCATATTCTTTTCAGAAAGTTCTGTTTAGAAAGATACATGAAACATTTTCAAAAGTTTTTCATCAAAAAAGATTTCAAAGTTTCAAAACTTTGATAAGTGAAGGAATAAAATTTAAATTAGCTGGCATATTATTTGGCTATAACATCTCATTTTCTGATGAAACTAGGCAAATGTGGCATTGCCATATGTGTATCTGTACCTAATACCCCACTACAACCTTGGAGAGGGCCATGTCTAAAAACAGGATGGGTTGTACAAACTAGAATTATAGTCTCTTCATGTATGGACAAGTAGACATTTATAGCTTTTTAAAAAAGAACTAATGATTATTTCAGAATAGAAAAAGAATCTTACCTTCTAGAGCTTTTAGATCCAGATAAAGAGTGGAAAAACACTGATTCTAACTTTCTGGTTTCTGTACTTGGCTTGATTTTGTCATTTCTTGTATCCCCATGAGTTTCACCTGTATCTTCTTTAAGAAACACTTTTTCTAGTGGTTTTTGTTCCTTAACTGAAGAATGACAACTACTTTCCTTCTTTCGTGTCCGTCTGACTTTCCCAATGAAGAAGTCGTCACCGCTATCACTATCTTCAGACATGGAAGACTGCTTGTAAAACCTTTCTTCTGTGCTATCATCAAAATATTCCTTCTCCTCTTCACAAAATTCTTCTCCGCCATCACTGTTACCAGAGAGTGAGCTATCAGATCCTTTGTTTTTTTTGGTTTGACTTAGAGTTTTCAGTTTTGGGTCAGCAGGTGTCTTCTGGGACTCAAGGGAAACTACAGAATCCTTTTCTGAAGGCTTTGATGGAGAATTTGCAATAGTCACTGCTTTAGGTCCATGTTCCATCTTTGCTATTTTTTCCTTTGAATTATGTATTGGTTTCTTCGCCAATATTTTGGTTTCTTTGACTTTTTGCTCACTGATGACAGTTGCTTCACGCTGTAAATTACTTCCATTATCATTTGAATACAAAGTATTCTCAGAATGATTGTCCTCTGAAGCATTCTTTGATGACTCAACTTCAGCAACATTTTGTCTTGCTTCTTTAAAGGCTTGTACAGCAGCTGCAAGAGAAACAGTGCATCACTCATTTTAGCACTGAAACATATAAAACATGACTGTTTTAGGACAGTATTTTAAAAAATTATTTGAAAAGATTTAAGAGGGCAGTTGGAATTGATATTAAATACATATACTCGGTCTGAATTCACAAAGAAATCTTTCGACTTCTTAAAAACCAAACATAAGATATGCTCAGACGTATTCATTTTAAATTGTGAAAATGAAAAGAAAATGTTTTCTTCATGTCTTGGAGTTATGAAGAACAGTAAAAACATCACAGAATACAAATAAAAGGGAATGGCAACTTTAATTTATATAATAATAATGCATTATTATAAACTGTGCTTTCAGACATAAAATTCAGTATCATGTGACAAAAAAATTTCATTTTATAGATATATTTTATAATAAACATATATAAAATTATGTTCCTAAGTGGCGAAACCAAAACTAATGAGTTATGTCAATATTTTAAAAAAACTATTCAACTTTATCTTGTATATATTATATATAAAAAGATATATATTACGTATTATACGTTCACATATTAGAATTTACTAAACAATACAGATTTGGTTTTTCTTCAGAGATCACACTTTCTGTATTTTCAGACACCTTCCACACTGGTAAATATTTGAAAGAAACTTATATTTATAATAGAACCTCAAGAGTTAAAATAAGTGAATAGCCATTATCCAAAGTCTACAAATACATTAAGTACATGGCTTAAAAGTCATTTAATTCATACCTTTTAGCACATCTATCTTTTTCTTCAGAAGAGGATGTACTGCTAGTCTGGCAATTGCTCTTTCAGTTGCAGTAGAATCTGGCTGCAAATTTAAAAATATAATAAACGTATGGGAATGAAATAAAAATGACACTATTGAAAGTGAATAAAATAAAATCTATCATAGTCTTTAAAATTAGAGTTGGAGAATAGAACTAGTTAATATTCTCCTTAGATAAGATATCTGTATAATCAATCCATGCTAAAGACAAAGATCATCCTGACAAAAATATTACTGCCTTTGAACAACTAAAATTATCACTTAATCATTAATAAATATTCTTTGGATACGATACTTAATATTCTCAGAATTGTGATAAGCACCATGTGTAACATCAAAAAAAGAACATAGTTTTTACTATCAAAGAGCTTGAACAATCTAATTAAGAAGACTAAATTAATATCAAAGAATCAAATAACATATTAGTGCTAAACTGGGTGAGACTACTGTAATACTTGAAGTTCCATTTAACAGAGACCTAGAAATTATCTAACGCTCTATATTTCTATTTTAAATGTCTACTATCACTGACACGTTCTCAGGGCCTAGACTGAATGGGAACATTATATACAGTATTCAATATATTTATAAATTTGGAAAAATCATAATGCCGGCTAATGACTTGAAATGCCGTATGAAGGCTGACAACATCTAAATTTCGACCTCCAGCTCCAACCTGAGCTCTAAGCTGATACATCAAACCACCTAACCTGACATCTATTTGACATTGTCAAAACAGAATTCTTTGATTTTTCCTCACAAATCTGCTTCTCCTGTAGCTTTTCCATCTTATTGTATGTAATTTCCATTGTTCTGGTTGCTCAGGCCTAAAACTCTAAGGATTCTTTCCCACTATTTGTCTTTCCCTCAAAACTCACAATACACCCTGTGGTTCCAAATGTAAAATATATCCAGAACCAGTCGCTTCTCACCATTTCTATTCTTACTACCTTTGACTAAATCACCAACACCTCTCACCTGGACCAACATAATTAAACTTATGCCTGGTCACTCTCCTTTGCAACTTGCTCTCTCAACAGTCAATTTTCCACACAACAGCCACGGTGATTTTTAAAAATGTAATCAAATCATGCTATTTCCATATCTGTTCTTCTTTAAGCTTTATTGCTTTCTGATGCTTAGCCCATACCATTGCAATCTCTTCTTTACCTGGAATACTCTACTCCCAAATATATACACGGCTGATCATCTCACTGTATTCAGGTCTCTGCTTAAATGTCATCTCAACTAGCACAACACTTCCCATCACTATTTACTTCACATCACTTACCACTGCATGGCAGTGTAGATGTTTTCATATCTGCAAAGCAGAGACTTTGTTTGCCTCATTGCTGTAGATTCAGTGCCTAGAATAGTGACTGGTAATAATAGTAGGCACCCAATACACATTTAATAAAGCAAGTGAATAAATTTCACTAGTGTGTGAAAGTAAAACAACCAGTTTCAAATGTCTTTATCCTAAATTTACCCTTCATTGTGAACAGTCAAATATAAGACATTTCCAACCCAGTATTATAAATGTACGAATACCAAAATAAAAACAAGATGATGGCAGTATGCAAGCTATTCTGTTTGTAGGATTTATGTGAGTAATGTCACTCAAAGAATAATCTATTTAAATTACACCTGGTGCAAATCCTGTGCCAGGACCATCTGCTATTTAATTACCTTGTGTACTAGGTTGAATCGCGTCCCCTCAAAATTCACATCCACCTGGAAACTCAGAATGTGAACTTATTTGGAAACAAAGTCTTTGCAGATTAAATTATGTGGAATCACAGTGGATCAGGGTGGTCTTAAGCCCAGTAAGACTGGTTTCCTTATAAGGAGAAGAATATTTTGATATAGGGGCACAGAGAGACACAGTAAAGACTACGTGAACACTAAGGGCAAAGATTGGAGTTATCCTGGCATCAGCCACCAGTAGCTCAAAGACACAGGAAAGTTTCCCCTCTGGAGCTTCCAGAGAAAGTGTGGCCTCACTGACACCTTAATTTCAAGCTTTCACCCTCCTCAACTGTGAGAAAATAAATTTACTTTTTTGTTGTTGTTGTTGGGAGTCTCACTCTGTCACCCAGGCTGGAGTTGCAGTAGCGTGATCTTGGCTTACTGCAACCTCCGCCTCCCGGGTTCAAGCGATTCTCCTGTCTCAGCCTCCCGAGTAGCTGGGACTACAGGCACCCGCCACCACGCTCAGCTGATTTTTGTATTTTTAGTAGAGATGGGGTTTCACCACGTTGGCCAGGCTGGTGTCGAACTCCTGACCTTGTGATCCACCTGCCTCGGCCTCCCAAAGTGCTGGGATTACAGGTGTGAGCCACCGCGCCTGGCCAATTTACATAGTTTTAAACCACTCAATTTGTGATACTTTGTTATGGCAGCCTTAGGAAACTGATACGCATCTATTCTGACTATTAGACACAGCTTCTGTTCAACCTTTTCCAAGAAATGTCGTCTACTCATGGACCATTCATTTAAGTACAGCGCAAAGTGAACCTGTTTCTTCAACCTGCTGCTGAGTTTCCTGATACAATAGAGGAAAGATAGAAAAAAGATAATTTAGGAAGGAAGGTTATTGCTAGTATCCTGAGTCACTTAGTGACAAGCTGAGCTGCTGAAGGCATAGGTCAAACATGCTTGCTTGAGTATTAAAAGCTAGAATATAGAAACTCCAATGAAAAACATGATTTTTCAGGCTAAGAAGACTGAAAACAATATATGAAAATAGTCACATTAGTATATTGGGACCTACAAGATTTCAGATAATAAAACAAGTCACCAAATAATAAACTAAAAAGAAAAGACGCACAGATCACAATGGTTTCAGACTTTAATTCTGGAAGTCAAACTATAGAGCAGCTAATGCTTCTAAAATTATGAAGGAAAAGAATTTCCAACCTAGGGAAGAAGAAAAATACTTCCACACATGCAGTTTATTCAAAAAAATTTACATCCTTGTACATTTCTGTCCAAGAAGCTACTGGCTCCCCTAAAATGAGGAAGGATACAAATAATAAGAATGGCATAGGAGACAAGAAACAGAAGACTTAGGCAGAAGGAACTTCCCAGGATGATGGTGACAGGAGACTTAGGTTTGGGATACTTGGTGTGCTGAATATCTGGAGAGGACATATCAATAGCAGATGGAGAGTTTGGTGTTACACTACAGATAAGACAGAAAACTAACAAAATAAACCTATCACAAACTGTAGAAAACAGAAATATTATGCAGAAAAGTAGTAATAACTCAGTACATGACTCACAGTCACAATAACATAATCAATAAATGTTCACCTAATCTGATTCAAGTATATAAGGAGGATGAAGGGGGGATATCAGGAGATAAGTATATGAGGAGGATGGAGGGGATATATGACTTAGAGCCTGAAGGAGAAAAGAGATCTAAATCTTTACCTACCACAACATAAAGTTAATAGCTAGTGCTTAAAATAAAAAAGCTAATACAGTACATAAACATCTTACTGTAGGGGTAAACTCTATGCGAACTAACTGCAATTGAAGCAGGAAAGGAATAATAGAGTACTGCCACTTTTATAAAAAAATTCTTGTAGAAGTATTTGATTTTCAAAACCAGGAATTGGCAAACTGGCCCATGGGGGCTGTTCCAGCCTGCCGCTGGAACTTTCTTTTATTTAATAAAGTTTTATGGAACAAAGCCAAAGTCATTCATTTATATATTGCCTATGTCTGCACTCACGACACAATGGTAAAGCGAAGTAGTTGTGACAGAAGCTGTGTGTCTTACAAAGGCATTCATTTCAGGTCCTTTACAGAAAAAGCGTGATGCCTGCTCTAAATTACATGCAAGTAGAATCCTTGGTGGGGCAGAACTAAAAAATCAGGAAGAAAGAAAAAACTGTGTAGTAGGCCCGTGATGTTTAAAAATTTAAAATAAAAATACTACCATGACAGACTTCTGTTGCCAAATTAAAGCAACAGATTATAGCAGTAAGTGTGCTTCCAGATTGGTAACACAATTTGAGATTCTGTCTTGGTAGAAACAATTTGGTATCCAATGAAGAAGCAGTATATTTTAATCCTCAGGATTAATTACAGAAGGTTGGTATGTAAAAACAATGACAACAAAAATGACTAATCCTGAGAAGTGTATTCCCCAAGAAACTGCCCTTCAGGTTATAGGAAAAAAGAAGATATTCCAGGAGCAGCTTTTTACCTTTTACTGCTTCTTTCAGCATGTTTACCTCTTATAGTTTCTAAAAATCCACTTCAAAGGTAATTCTCAATATATGAACAGATATAAAACAGACATAAGAAATTCTGGGAATCCTAACCAGATTTTGATTAAAATGTATTCAAACAATTGTTGAAAAACACATCTACTGCTGTTTCCAAATCCCTGTTTTGACAACTTGCTAAAATCTTTGCTGAACTGGGTATTTCTTTCCAGAGTTAGCTATATCTTCCCATCTTAGTTATAACAAGTTTTAGAAGAGCAGTGGTAATACTTGCATGTCTAGTGTGGACTCCGGGGTAAATGCTATTTTGTTAAGAGTCATTTTATCATTAATTTTATTTAGCAAAGCTGTTTCTCTGCCCTGGAAGATATCCCAGACTAACGCTGATTTAGTAATCTCATTTCAGTGAATTTCATTTTTTTCTGAAAGGCTCTAGAAAAAGATTTACAATTCTATAATTATGTACGAATCTCATGAATGAAGATTTTTTTAATTTTTTTTTTCTAATGTCTTCTTCTATAACTGTGTTTTTATGTTGCAATCTTTGTGGAGCACTTATTTGTGGAAGAATATCAAGTTTATATAAAATGAGACTGATTCGAAAAGGGCCACCGTGTTGCATAATCCCCGGAGAGTCACTCACATTGTAGTTGTCAAATTGGAGCTCTGCAGCCATATGTAGCAGCAGTGAGTCAAAGGAGAACATAAAAGTTTGGGTCTACAGGGTATGTAGGTATATAAAATGAGTAGTTATGTAGAATTATGTATACTACAGCTTTAGGTTCTATAATTATATGCAATTTGTGTTTCTGAATAACAGTTAATGCTATCAGCTGATAAAATGTTATAAATATATAAATATTGTTATAAAACTCTAAGATGTGTTTTCTGTTTTATTTTGACAATAATTTTAGACACTTATAGAGTACAAAGTGATATTGACACATGCATACATTGTAGAATCATCAAATCAGAGTAATTACCATATCTACCACTTTAAACATTTATCATTTCTTTGTGATGGGAACATTTTAAATCCTCTCTTTTGGCTATTTTGAAATATATTAACTGTAGTCACCTTGCTGTGCTACAGAGCACCAGAACTTGGTCCTTCTTTCTAACTGTAACTTTCTATCTGTTGACCGATTCTCCCTTTTCCAGTTTGTACTACTCCTGTCCCCAGCCTCTGGTAACGACCATTCTACTATTTCTATGAGTTTGACATTTTTAGATTCCACATACAAGTGAGATTTACCAAATTTGACTTCCATTAGCAATATATTAAAGTATGTTTTTCTAGGCAGTTTTCCCATGCAGAATGTTAGCAGACTTTTTGTTCTTTGTAATCCTGAACTAAAAACAGTTAAGTCATTAAAATGTTATTTTTTATTCATTATGTTACTAAACCACTTGTACGTCCCTTTCTATAAACATCTGTCCATAAATCTTGCTTTGTTCTTTTTCTGCTGTTTTGTTCATCATAAGTAATCTTCATAGATTTAGAAAATTAGCTGTGTCCTTTCACACGTATTTGCAATGTTAGTATTTTTTAAAATCTTTTTTTGGAAAATTTTCTGGGTGAGAAATTTAAAATTTTCATGAGTCAAACTTTCATACTTCTGAGTTGAATTTTTTAACAAAAATGTCTTTGAAGTATGTGCTGTATCTACTTTGTACCGTAATTTTATGGTGTATATACATTTGAAAATGTACTCAGTGCTTCTAATTTTTATAAATGAAATTTTGATAAAGTTGCCTACCCAATACCATAGCCAAACATCTTAGAGAATGAACTACTTGTTATATTGAAATATGAAAAATGTTAGAGTTAAGAATACTTAACAAAATATATTCAAAAATTACAATACAGACATAGTGAGTGCTTGACACAGTGAAGTTTTCAGGCAAAATAAATGTAAACACTGGGAGGATGAGCTTTGTCATTTTTATGTGATGCCATAACAACTTTGAAGAGGGACTAAAATGCAACATCAGGACTTTTGATCTGGAAGATCTCTTTATTACAGAAATGAGAAACAACAAGAGTCAGAGGTGGTAAGTAACCTGACTAAAGTCACAAAGCTAGGGAGAAGGCAACACTAGTTGAAATGCAAAAACTCCTAGAAATTTAAACCTCTAACTTTTGCTAAACAAGAATCTTTGCAGAGGGTGAGTTCACAACTGATAATGAGGATATTACCAATTACTTCCTATCTGAATTGTCAGCCTCAAAGAAAAAGGCACAAGTTATGTTCAAGTACTAATTAGAATACTGGTATTATAACACTATAAGAAATCATAATAATTAGAATTGAGGCTTTCATTGAATTAAAAATTATTTAATCAAGGCATTCCTAAACATCAGAATGTATTGTAGGAGAGACATATATCTCCTTAGTATATATCTGGTCCTTCACTATTCCTTATATTTAGCTGCCAGCTATTTTTAACTAATTTGTATTTCGTCTTGATGACATGTTAGTAATTTGCAAATCTCAGTTGCTTGCAATTACGGGAGTAGAAAAAATATTCTAATGGAAAAAAACTGTGCAAATGAAAAACTTATTAACATACACATTAGTTATATGTTTCATAAATACTAAATTTAGTTTTCCATTCTTAAAAGACCAATAAAAATATTACACTTGTATTTGAAATGTTTGTTTTAAAGAAAGTCTTTGACATACCAATTTACTAAACCATAGCAATTATTTAAGGATTTTTATTCTTTCTAAGAGAAAGTCAAATTTAATATTTTTAGCTTCTAATTTTATTCCTAATTTTCATTTTAAATCTTTAATTTTATTCTTAAGAATTTTATTCTTAGAAAATCCTACATTTAACTTTTAAAATTCAAATTTCAACAAGATCTAAAGGGGAAATGGACCAAAGATTTTATCAATCAATTAGACTAACCTTCTAGGCTTGATTTCAAGATTACCTAGCCAATTAGGAACAAGCTAGAACTCAAAATCTGTTTTCTGAATTCGGTCTAGTATTCTCAACAAGTTTTCAACTCTGAGATAACTTTCACATTTCATGACCCAACTCCAGATGTTTTTTACACTATAAATTGCGTAAAGCTCCCTTCATGTGTTTTTGAAAATAAATGAAATATAAGCATTAAAAAAGAAAGCTGGTGAAGCAGATGGGCTCAGGTTTATTCCCTTGGCAGTGTTTTGGGTCTCTGTTGCACTGAGATAATATTTGCACCTTGCTTACTGCACTGGGTTACTGCAGAAACTCACAAGAATGAGTAGAACAGACTCTTTCCCTCCTCATTTCTCTCTTGCCCATCTTCCTTCCTCACTTAACTTCTTCCCTCTTTATATTTACTGAACTCTTATTATTATGTGAAGACACTGTCTTACACATGAGGACACACAGATCAACTTTTGAAGCTCACAATGTTGCTCTAATTTAAAAGGCTAAGACAAATGCACAAATAACTAATACAAGGCAGAATGTGATAGGCTTCATAGGTGAGATAGAAAATGGAGATTTATAGAGGGAATAAAAATACACTGATGCATCTTAAATAAATTTATTTTGAAGCTTAAAAGGCTACTAAGTAATCTCAATGAACAAATAGTTTTTACACCTGCATGAAAAAGTCTTCCCAATATCGGGAGGTATGAAGGAAACCACAGCTTTCCTTATTTAAAGTTGACATAATGTTTGCCATGGAAAATTCTCTGGAAACTGTGGTTTTCATGTACCTCCAGTTTCTTCCATTTCAAATAAATTAAATAAAAAAGGGAAAACACCTTACCTTTTAATGGAAAATTTTTATTTGGGTATATGGGTATTTATTGTAAACAGAAAAGCATTTGGATGTATCTCAGAATGTAAATAACCCAAAAATGAAAAAGATCTCTTCTTTGAAATGCTACCTAAAATAAAGTGACTATAAATAAACTGGTGGAGGTAGAATGCTAGTAGCAGTACTTTGAATATCAGATGGACTTAATTTCAATTATAGATTTTATCTGATGACATAAATCCACATATTCATATTTGTACTTATCAAAAACATTTAGCAAAATAACAGCAAACAGTCCATTTGGCTGTATCACGAGAATTGGGGCTAACTAAACATGGATATTTAGGTAGTGATGAAAAAAGTCTCAATTATATTATCAAATATAAACTCAACTAAGATTTTTTAAATAAATGCTGAAAATAGACAAATGAAATCTTTTCCATAGGAAGGAAAAAGAATTCTTTGGAAAAATACTCTCCAATATTCTGTCTACTGTATGTTCCTGTCTTTGAAGACATTTAATAAAAACACTGAAAACTGGTCATATATAAATACAGTTTTTTTGTGAAAATTAAAATTTTATGGGAAATTTAATTTGATACACACACACATACATACATACAGAATGTTATATGTGAACATTACTGTGAGGGAAGGAACATTAAGTGTAAGTGATAAAGCCAGTCATTTAATCATTCAAGCTAATCACTTATCAATCAACTGGAGGAAGTAATAGCTTTGTAGTAGGGGTATCTGCAGCTATTATTTCTTTTCTGCATGAAAAGTGAGAGGACATAATCACTGCTCTATTTCCCCTAAGCCACTGGGTCTGCTTTTAAGTGACAGTGATGTTAATCTTCAATTAAAACTTACATTAAATACCAATTACAGCCTTCCTTGGTTCCTATTTCCAGCAGTGGATCGATTTCTAAATGTATTTGGTCCCAGAGCACCATATGTATATGTCCTATAGTCAACTAAGGAAGAACGAACACATAAAAATAGGACAAAACAACAAGAACAAAAAGGAAAACTATGTAGAACTCCATGTACTTATAATGAATTCTAGGCAAGCAGAGGCCAAAAAATGAACCTTCCTCTAATTTGCCCTTTTAACACTGGAAAGCCATAGGGAGTTAATAATATGACAGAAGGAAATGAATGCTGGAGAAAATCAAAAGTGTAGAAATTAATTTAAAAAAATTTTCAGTAGTGATGTGACACAACTGAATCAAACAGTGCTTATACTTATTACTATTTTATGGGTCTTTGGATCTTACAGTTTGGTACTGGTGGCAGAGTTAGTGGGAAGGGAAGGTTAAAGGGGAGGATGGAGTTGAGTGCCAGAAAAGAAGCATAGAACAAGCTGAACAGATCAGGATGGGATGTTCCACTATGGCACTAGCTTCTAAAAGAAAAATGGAAAAGATTG
The DNA here is from genome assembly GCF_000001405.40 of Homo sapiens. Taxonomy (NCBI): domain Eukaryota; kingdom Metazoa; phylum Chordata; class Mammalia; order Primates; family Hominidae; genus Homo; species Homo sapiens. The sequence continues at coordinate 122,009,868 of NC_000005.10, read as the reverse complement.
ACGACATATAGAAAGCAAAAATTCCAAAGACAAACTTGGCCCAGAATATTTTCCCTTGAGAGATTATGGGAATTATCCTTGCCATTACTGCAGAACATGAACCACTTTCATCAACTTGACTTGCTTGCAAGAATAGTAGATAGACAAGAAATAGGTAAGGTAATCCTTTCAGGACCATGCTCATCTACATACTACAAAGAGCTACACATACACAGGACAGTCATTTTAACTATTTGTGGTCACCCTACTCGGAAAACTTACCAAGAACTATGCATGAATCTATCCTTCTACTCATCTGAAGAATGGAATACTTCCTGTGAGCTTTAAAATATCACATCTTTATGTTTATTTTCCACCTCCCAGTTTCAAAAAGAACTTAAAAGATCACAGATATAACACATAGTAAGAAAATACCAAATAAAAGTAGGCAGAAAACATGAAAAGGGGGGAAAAGAAAGAGAAAATATTATCATAATGGAAGAGACTAATTAAAATGAGGAAATTGTATCCATCAAAGACACTATTAACAAAGTAAAAGGAAGCCAAATAACAAAGGCAGCTATTTCCAACCTGACAAAGAGCTCACTCCAAAATATCTAAAGAACTCGTATAAATCATTAAGAAAACAAACCAATTAAATATTTAAAAAAAGATAAAACCAGGCGCTACATAAAAGTGGATATGCAAATGACCAAACAAAATGATGACATGTCAATGGAAAAATGCAAATTAAATTTAGGTATTATACACGCACTAGGATGTCTAAAATGAAAAAGACTAGCAATACAACTTTAACTAGAACTCTCATATACTGAAGGTGGGAGTATACATTAGTGCATCTACTTTGGAAAACCAGCATATCTCCTAAATTGAACGTATGTGTGATACTATTATAGAATAAGAAATATATATTTGGTCTTTATCTTGGTTCCTAGCCAGAGCTCCCAAAACTCACGTTATTTCATAAGCAATAAGAAAATAAAGGTGAAAGGAACATATTTTATTATAATATTTTATTTTTGGTCCTAGTTTCTGAAATATGCCATATTCCATAACCAAGTAACTCCACTTTCAGGTATGTGCCCTAAAAGAAATGTGTAACAATGTTCATAGGGATAGATGTCAGCAAGATGGCAGAACAGGACTCTCTAGGGCTCATACCTGCACAGAAACATCAATTTGAATGACTATCTACACACAAAAAAATACCTTTACAAGAGCTAACGAAACCAGATGAGAGATTACAGCACCTAGGTATAGCACAGAAATTAGAAAAAAAGAAAAACAACAACAACAACAAAAACACATTGAAGAGAGTAGGAAGGACAGTTTTATACTACTCAAGTTACCCCTTCCCCAACCCCAGGCAGTAAACCATGGAGAGAAATACTTTCCATGTGGTGATGGGAGGGAGAGGTGAGCACTATACTTTGCCTGGGAACCCAAAACACAACCTACTCCAGTAAAACCAGCACCAAGAAGGTCGTCACAGGCCCCGACTCCAGGCTGGTAACCAAGGACTGAGACTCCAGGCCCACCCTAGTGCTAGGTTGAATGCCGCAGTCCCAGGCTCCAGGCCTACACAGCAAATTGTGTCTCTCGGTTGTCCCAAGACAGGCCAACATCAGTGGCCCCAGGTTCTGAACCGCCCTCAGCTGAGGATGATCCCCATGGCCCCAGGCTTCGGGCCAGCCCTAGGCTTCAGGGCAGCCCAGTATCAGGTCAGCACTTGTGGTCTCAGCATTTAGGTCAGCCCCTGTCAGACCTGTCAGGTCCCAGGCTCCAGGATAGTACATTCAGACTAAGCCTCCAAGCCTGTCTTGGCACCAGGCAGGATCCTACAAACCCCAGGGTCCAGGTCTGCCTCAGTGGCTTCAGGATATATACCGACCCCAGTACCGAAGTGGTTCTTACAACTCTAGGCTTCAAGCCCACCCAAGCACCAGGCCAGGCCCTGTGACTGAGGATACAGGCCTATGCAGCACTAAGTCTGCCCCTGTGGCCCCGGGTTTCAGACCTGCTCCATGACCAGGTTGGCACCCTTGGACACAAACACCAGGCAGGCACGTGCAGAGACAGGCTCCAAACCTGCCCAGTGCCAGGCTGAGTCCCCAAGGCCCCACGCTCCAGGTTGGCCTCTGATGCTCCATTCTCCAGCAGACCCAGGGTCCAGGTCTGTCCCAGAAAACTCCCACTGGACCAGCCAACACAGACCCAGGGTGCAGGACCGCTCCTGTCTACACAGGTCCCGGGCCTGCCCCTGAGGCTGTAGGATACAGGCCAGCTTTTGTGGACCTAGCCTCTAAAACAGCACTTGCACACCAGCTTCTAGGCTGGCACCAACAGACCGAGGCTCCAGGCTGTTCCCCATGGCCCCAGGATCCAGACCAGTCCCAGTGGCTCCAGACACCATGTCAGCACCAGCAATATTAAGTTTCGACCAGCACCGTGGACCTAGGCTCCATGCTGGCCTTGATACCCAGCCAGCCCCCATGGTACCAGGCTCTAGAGGATCCAGAGTCCAGGCCTACTCCAGCAGACCCAGGGTCCAGGTCCATCTCAGCATTCACCAGTGCCAGGCTGAATGCCATGGACTGAGGCCCCAAGACCACCCGTGTAGACTGTGTCTCCAGCCCAGCCTTTATTGATCCAGTCTTCAGGCCCTATCACATGAACCCAGATGCCAGGCCAGCCCATATGGTGACCTGGTCACCAGGCCGGCATGCCCAAAGATTCCAGCAGCAAGCCTGCCCTCAAATCATGCCAGACACTCTGCCCAAAATCTCTGGATGCACTGACTGGAGAACGGTTCTCCCAGACAAAGCAAGTATGCAAACACTAGAATAAGTCCCTACTTCTGTAAATATGCAAAAATCAACATAAGGCAACAAGAGACAGAAAAAACCTAAGAGATACAACACGACAAAAATAATGGGATAATATCCTAGTAGCTGACCCCTAATAAATGAAGATATAGAACAGAATGACAAAGAATTCAAATATTCAAATAATTATTTTCAGAAAGCTTAAGGAATTTCAAAATACATTCAGAAACAAATTAATAATATAAAGAAAACAATAAAATACCAAAATGAGAAAATTAACAGAATGACTAAAATTACATATATGAAAAATTTAAATTCTAGAGGTGAAAAATACACTGAAATAAAAATTTAATGGAGAACACCAACAGCAGAACTGATCAAACAGAAGAATCTGTGAACATGAAAATAGGTTATGTGAAAATATATAGTCAGAAGAGAGAAATTAGAAAAAAGAATGAAAAGGAATGAATTAAATTTATGAGATTTATGGAACAGCATCAAAAGAACAAATGTTTGAATTACAGGAGTTTGTGAAGGGGAAGAGAAAAACAAAGGGGCAGAATGCTTACATAAAGAAATAATATCAGAAAAAATTTCAAATTTGAGGAAAGACATAAATACCCAGGTACAGGGAGGTCAAAGGTCTCCAGTGAGATTCAATCCAAAGAAGACTACACTTAGACACATAATCAAACTGTCAAAAATCAAGGACAAAGACAGCATCTTGAAAGTAGCAAGAGAAAAGAAGCAAATAACATGTAAGAGAGTTCCAATAAGACTAGCAGCAAATTTCTCAGTAAAGGCCTACCTTATAAGCCAGGAAAGAGTGGGATGATATATTCAAAGTGTTGATGAAAAAAAATGCCAATGAAGAATACTGTACTTGGCAAAGTTGTCTTTCAGAAAAGAAGAGAAATAAAAACATTCCCAGACAAAAGCTGAGAGAGCTCATTACCACCAGACCTGTCTTACAAGAAGAAATGATAAAGGGAGTTCTTTGAGTTGAAAGAAAAGAACACTAATTTTAACACTAAAATAAATGACAAAACTCACTGCTAAAAGTACATAGTCAAATTTAGAATCTCCTAATACTCTAAATGGGGGTGTGCAAATCACTTGTATCTTTAATATGAAGATCAGAAGACAAAACTATTAAAATATTGTTAGCTACAACAGTTTGTTAAAGAATATACACGTAAATTATAACACCTAAATGCAGGAGGAGGAGGAATAAAAGTATACAGTTTTTAAATATGATCAAAGTAGCCACTAGGGAAAATCATTTAATGAGAAACACAGCAAGAGAGAAAGAAAGGAACAAAGGAGCTACAAAACAGCCAGAAAACAATTAGCAAAATGGCAGTAGTAAGTCCATATGCAGAAATAATTACCTTGAATGTCAATAGATTAAATTCTCCAATCATAACACATAGTGGCTGAATGAATTTAAAAAACAAAAAACAAAAACAAAAATAAGACCCAACCATATGCTGCCTATAAGAGACTTATTTTATCTGTAAGGACTCATAGACTAAAAGCGAAGAAATGAAGTAAGATATTCCATGCAAATGGAAATAAAAAGACAGTAGGAGTAACTATACTCAGTTAAAAAAGACAAAATCAAAAATTGTACAATGAGACCAGAGTCACTATATAGATAAAGGGGTCAATTCATCAGACGGATATAACACTTGTAAATATATAAGCATCCAGTATCAGAGGACCCAAATACATAAAGCAAATGTTAACGGAGCTGAAGGAAGAGACAGATTGTAATACAATAATAATAGAGGACTTCAATACTCCACTTTCAGCAATGCACAGGTCATCGAGGCAGAAAATCAATAAGGAAACATCAGGTTAATAGTATACCTTAGACTGTATAGACCTAATAGACATCTACAGAACATTTCATCCAACAGCAACAGAATACTTCTTCTCAAGAACACAAGGAACATTCTCCCAAACAGATGATATGCTGGGCCACAAAATTAGGCCTAACACATTTAAGAAAACAGAAGACATATTAAGTATCTTTTCTGACCACAATGATATTAAACTAAAAATCAATAACAGAAGGAATTTTTGAAAAATTCACACATCCATGAAAATTAAACATCATGCTCCTGTACAACTAATAAGTCAAAGAAGAAATTGAAGAGAAAATTAAAAAGTATCTTGAGACAAATGATAATGCAAACACAACATACCAAAACTTATGGGACACAGCAAAAACAGTTCTAAGAGAGAAGTTCATAGCAATAAATGCATACATCAAAAGAGATCTCAAATAAATAACTTCAAGTTACACCTCAAAGAATTAGAAAAATAAGAACAAACTAAACCCAAAGTGAGCAGAAGAAAATAAAGATTAGAGCAGAAACAGATGAGAGAGACGTGAGAAAAACAAGAGGAGATCAACAAAACCAAGAGTTGGTTTTTGAAGATATAAAACTATAAACCTATATAGCTAGACTACAAAAATGAGAAGACTCAAATAAATAAAATGAGAAATGAAAGAGGAAATATTACAACTGATGACCATAGAAACACTAATCATACTGACCAAAAGAACAGAATAGAGACACCTGAAATAAATCCACGCATTTATGGCCAACTGATTTTCATCAAAGCTGCCAAGAACATACAATAAGGAAAGGACAGTCTGTTCAATAAACAGTACTGGGACAACTGGATATCCACATGAAAAAAAAATTAGACCACTATGTCACACCATACACAAACCTCAACTCAAAATGGATTAAAGGCCAAAACGTAAGGCTGGAAACTGTAAAACTGCTAGAGGAAAACATAAGATATATGCAAACCATACATCTGGTAAGAGTCTAATATCAATCTTATTAAAGGAACCCAAGAAACTCACTAGCAAATTAGCCGGGCATGGTGGCGCATGACTGTAGTCCCAGCTACACTTGCTACACCAGAACTTGCACACCAGCCTCTAGGCTGGCACCTCCCACCTTGGGAGGCTGAGGTGGGAGGATCGCTTGAACTCGGGAGGTAGAGGTGGCAGTGAGCTGAGATCCTGCCACTGCACTCCAGTGTGGGTGACAGAGCGAGATCCTGTCTCAAATAAAACATAGAAACAAACAAAAGGAAACTCACTAGCAAGTAAACAACCCAATTAAAAATAGGCAAAGGACCTAAACAGACATTTCCCAAAAGGACACATTCAAACGGCCAACAGATATATAAAAAATGTTCAATATCACTAATCATTAGGGAAATGCAAATTAAAACCGTAACGAGATATCACCTCTAACCCATAAGAATGGCTACTACAAAAAAGCCTAAAGATAACAAGTGATGGAGAGGATGTGGAGAAAAGGGAACTCTTATACATTGTTGGATGGCAATGTAAATTAATACCACCATTATGAGGAATAGTATGGAGGTTCTAAAACAAAATGAAAAATAGAACTACCATAAGATTCAGCAATTCCATTACTGGGTATGGGTATATATCCAAAGGAAAGGAAATCAGTATGCTAAGGACATATATGGCAAAAAACCAATTATTGTATTTTGACATCTCAAAAAATAAAAACAAATATATTGTGCCATATTTTGATTTAATTAGCACTATTCTGTTCAACGTGTCATTATTTTGTCTAAGACCTGAGCACACATTTAAAACCATTTTAGGGATAACATTTTTCATTTTTTTTTTTTTTTTCTCTGAGACAGGGTCTCACTCTTGCCCATGCTGGAGTGCAGTGGCATGATCACAGCTCACTACAACCTCCACCTTCCAGGCTCATGTGGTTCTCCCAGTGTAGCCTCCTGAGTAGTTGAGACTACAGCTGTGTGTCACCATGCCCAGCTTATTTTTTGGATGTTTTTGTAGAGATAGGGTTTCACCAAGTTGCCCAGGCTAGTCTTGAACTCCGGGGCTCAAGTGATCCATCTGTCTTGGCCTCCCAAAGCACTGGGACTACAGGGTGAGCCGCCATGCCCAGCCTTTCTTCTCTTTATGAATGAATTATATAGAATAAAAATACTCACTGCAAAACTGCACTCATAACTTTGGTGTTGCTTTTCTGACAAAGACAGCTTTTCTAGCCATAAAATGCCTTAAAATTTAATATGACTAACATCAATTAATTGTAGAGAAATGAGTGAGAGTCTACATAAATGTAGCATCAGAGTGCTTTTTTTCTTAAGGCTGGGAAAAAACCTTAACATCATCCAGTTCAAAGAACTTTTTAATCTTCAGATTTTCCCTGAAAAATATTCTCAACACTTTGAGACTCTAATATTCAACAATTTCTCACATCTCACATAATTACAACAATTTCTCACATAATTCTCAATATTCTCAATATTCGCAATATTCTCAACACTTTGAAACTCTAATATTCAACAATTTCTCACATCTCACATAATTACTGCCATGAACTACTAATGATGCCAGTGGACTGATGATTCCTCCTTAGGAACGATGGAGAGGAAGAAAAGTAAAAACTATGCAGTATCTGTTCCAAACATCCTTTCACAATACGTAATTCTAAATCTAAATCTAATCAGGACCTCAAATAAAAGTCATTGGTAAGAATTCAGTTTTTGAAGTTATACTATATTTAAAAATTCAAAAAGAGTAAGCCCATTACATGGATTCCACAGCAATCCTGAAGAAAAGTAAACATAGGAAAATCCAGTATTTGTCATAATTAATGAGGAAAATCAGATTATGCAGAAGAATGAATAAGAATGAAATCCAGATCAAAACCCTGCTATGTTAATGAAACCTTAAGAAGACATGGATTTACATTCTTGTTTAGTTAACTTGCTGATTGTGTTAATCTGGACAAACTAACCTCCATGAGCTCTAGTTTCCTACTTTATACAATGGGGATGTAATTCTCTCCCAATCAAAACTCCTCCACTAGAGTTGCGAATATTAAAAATTAAATGTGATTGTATCTAACATACTTTAGTGAAAACTATAAGCACTGAATATAGGTTGTATTTAATAAATAATTCAATTTTAAAGACAAATCAATATGTAATATAAGAATGAGTATTTTTAAATCTTTTTCTTACACACACCTTATAGTTAGTTACAAGTATAAATTCTCTTTTAGAAATAAACTCTGTGGTTAAGATTATCTCTTATATTTTCTTGTACTGTCCTTAGCAATGCTTTTAAGATACCAAAGGATGGCCGGGCGCGGTGGCTCACGCCTGTAATCCCAGCACTTTGGGAGGCCGAGGCGGGTGGATCATGAGGTCAGGAGATCGAGACCATCCTGGCTAACAAGGTGAAACCCCGTCTATACTAAAAATACAAAAAATTAGCCGGGCACGGTGGCGGGCGCCTGTAGTCCCAGCTACTCGGGAGGCTGAGGCAGGAGAATGGCGTGAACCCGGGAAGCGGAGCTTGCAGTGAGCCGAGATTGCGCCACTGCAATCCGCAGTCCGGCCTGGGCGACAGAGCGAGACTCCGTCTCAAAAAAAAAAAAAAAAAAAAAAAAAAGATACCAAAGGATGACTTGGCTTCTTAACTGCCAGCCCCAATCCCCACAGTAGCTGTTTTCATTTATTTAATATACAACACTTAGTGTGGAGTAAAATTTGTAACAAAAGGTTCTGAGAAAAATAAAAATAAAAAATAAAAATAAAAAAAATAAAAAATAAAAATAAAAGGGCCATGATTTTGGAAATCATGGCCCTAAATCATCTAGCATGCTGATTTGCACATAAACATCGACTGAATGAGTATTTAGCTACCAATCTGTTATAGCAAAATTTCCAACAATTTGAGAGATCTTAACATTACACAAACTTTTATTCATTTTACTCAAGTAGTTATGATTAGAAACTTTTATATAATTATCATAGTATATTTTAAAGTATGCTCTGATTTATTACATTTGAATTATCCCATCACTTTTTGAGAATAGTGATTCTCAAAAGCAAAACTTTATGGAGGTTTAGAAAAAAGAGAAAAACTTAAGAGCTTGGAGAAGGGACCTTTAATGGTGATCTCATTGAAGTATTTTATTGATTAAAAACATGACATCCAGAGTCAGTGTATGTCAAATTTTTCTATTCAAGTCCCCTGAAGGCAGAGAGAATGATAATGTATCCTCTGGGAACACACAGTTCAAGGTTACACTCTAGATAACCCAAAATTTGGTAGTCTTATAGTTTATCATAAAAATTAATGCAAAATTTAGATTTCTGGTTTCTTTTCTTCTAAAATTCAGATGTTGAGACTTGTGAATTTCTGGTTCCTATCTGGAGAGTTAGAGAACCAGAAAGAGCAAAAAACAAAAAAGATGGACAAATAGCAAATTCACACTGAACCAGTCAGAGTGAACATCTTATAGTCAATTTGGAGTGGGATGAGATGGGGCATTATATACAGAGGACCAAAGATAAGAATTATGGCAGACTTTTACAAAATTAAAGAAGCTAGATGACAAAGTGCAGAAAGACAAGAGCTATCAACACAGAATTCTATACTTAGTAAAAATATTTTTTAAAATAAAGGACAAACAAAAAACTTCCTTGCCAAAAAAATTGTAGAAACTTACTGCCAGCAGATCTACTCTTCAAGATATTTTAAGAGTCTTCAGGAAAAACAAATACACCAGCAGAAAACTTGGATTTAAACAAGGAAATAAAGAGCAATCAAAACTGAATAAGTGAAAGTATAAAAATGATTTATTTTTATGTTTAATTATGTCAAAACTGAACTGAATGTTCAAATGTTCAAAGCAAAAATAGAAAAATCTATTATATACTTATAGCATATGTAAAATGTTTAACAACAATGGCACAATAGAAGGCATAAAGTAATTGGCATTTACTGTTCTTAGATCATTACACTGCATATAAAACAGCATAAAATTATGTGAAAGCAGATTTTGGTTAATTAAAGGTGTATATTATGAACTGTAGAGTGAACACTAAAAAACAATAATAAAATATGTACATGTAATGAATAGGTCAATAGAAGAGATAAGATGCTCATTTAACTCACAGACCAAAAAAGAAGAAAAACAAAGCAAAAAAGATATGAAGCAAATAGAAAACAACTGCTAACTGGTAGATTTTAATTCAACCACATCAATAATCACATTGAATAGAAATGGCTTAAACATACCACTTAAAAGAGAGATTATCAGATTGGATAAAAAGCATGATCCAAGTATATGCTATTGATTTTTTAAAAATCACCTTAAGTACACAGACATATGGAGGTTAAAAGTAAAATGATGGAGAAAGATATTGAATGTAAACACTAACCAAAAGAAAGCTAAAGCAGTGATATAAATTTCAGACAAGATAGACTTCAGCACAATAAATATTATCGGGGTTAAGGAGGGCCATTACATAATTATAAAGGATCAGCGCCCCAAGAACATAAATCCTAAAAGTTTACATATCTAACATACATGTTTCAAAATGCATATGGCAAAAAGTGACAAAGCTGAAAGATCAAATAGGCAAACTGACATTCATAGATGGAGGTTCCAACGTACCTCTTAATAAAGTAGGCAGAAAAAAAAACAGTAAAAATATGGATAATCTGAATACCATCAACCAATTTGACTTAACATTTACAGATATCCCAAAAGAATATATGTTGTCTTCAAGTGCACATGAAATATTTACCAAGATATGCTATACTCTGGACTATAACAAATAGTACAACATTGAAAAGAATAGAAATCACAAAGTTTATGTTCATGGATCATAAAGGAATTAAATAAAAAAAATTGCAAAAAGATACTGGAAAACCCCTAACGGTCTGGAAATTAAGCAACACATTTCGAATTAAACCATGAATCAAAGAGGGTTCAAAGGAAATTTAAAACATTTTAAACTAAGAAAAGAAAATACAGCATAACAAAATTTATGAGATGCAGCTAAAGTACTGCTTACAGATAAATGCATAGCATTAAATGCTTTTATTAGAAAAGGTCTAAAACCAGTAATTTAAGCTTCCACATTAAGAAACCAGAAAAAAACACAAATCAAGAAGATCTAAAGAATGTAGAATGGAGCAAAAATCAATGAAAGTAAAAACAAACGCAATACAGAAAAATCAATTAATACAAAATCTGTTCTCAAGTGGAGCAACATGGGTACAAATTATAAAAGGGAATTAGTAAGGAAGAAGCAGGAGTAGAAAATCCAAAGAGTGGAAGATGTAGAAAAATGTAATGATGATGCCACCTAACACTGGTGTGTTCTTAATCACCTAATTTAATTCTTTTTGGGTTCCAGTTTCCTCATTTGTAAAAAGAGGGTGAAAAAACATCTTTCAAAGAGTAAATGTACAGATTAAATGAGATATTCATAAAAAATATTTGGAAAAGTAATAAAGCATCTTAGTTTTTTTTTTTTTTATACTTTAAGTTTTAGGGTACATGTGCACATTGTGCAGGTTACTTACATATGTATACACGTGCCATGCTGGTGCGCTGCACCCACTAACTCGTCATCTAGCATTAGGTATATCTCCCAATGCTATCCCTCCCCCCTCCCCCCACCCCACCACAGTCCCCAGAGTGTGATATTCCCCTTCCTGTGTCCATGTGATCTCATTGTTCAATTCCCACCTATGAGTGAGAATATGCGGTGTTTGGTTTTTTGTTCTTGCGATAGTTTACTGAGAATGATGATTTCCAATTTCATCCATGTCCCTACAAAGGACATGAACTCATCATTTTTTATGGCTGCATAGTATTCCATGGTGTATATGTGCCACATTTTCTTAATCCAGTCTATCATTGTTGGACATTTGGGTTGGTTCCAAGTCTTTGCTATTGCGAATAACGCCACAATAAACATACGTGTGCATGTGTCTTTATAGCAGCATGATTTATAGTCATTTGGGTATATACCCAGTAATGGGATGGCTGGGTCAAATGGTATTTCTAGTTCTAGATCCCTGAGGAATCGCCACACTGACTTCCACAATGGTTGAACTAAGTTTACAGTCCCACCAACAGTGTAAGTGTTCCTATTTCTCCACATCCTCTCCAGCACCTGTTGTTTCCTGACTTTTTAATGATTGCCATTCTAACTGGTGTGAGATGGTATCTCATAGTGGTTTTGATTTGCATTTCTCTGATGGCCAGTGATGATGAGCATTTTTTCATGTGTTTTTTGGCTGCATAAATGTCTTCTTTTGAGAAGTGTCTGTTCATGTCCTTCGCCCACTTTTTGATGGGGTTGTTTGTTTTTTTCTTGTCAATTTGTTTGAGTTCATTGTAGATTCTGGATATTAGCCCTTTGTCAGATGAGTAGGTTGCGAAAATTTTCTCCCATTTTGCAGGTTGCCTGTTCACTCTGATGGTAGTTTCTTTTGCTGTGCAGAAGCTCTTTAGTTTAATTAGATCCCATTTGTCAATTTTGTCTTTTGTTGCCATTGCTTTTGGTGTTTTGGATATGAAGTCCTTGCCCATGCCTATGTCCTGAATGGTAATGCCTAGGTTTTCTTCTAGGGTTTTTATGGTTTTAGGTCTAACGTTTAAATCTTTAATCCATCTTGAATTGATTTTTGTATAAGGTGTAAAGAAGGGATCCAGTTTCAGCTTTCTACATATGGCTAGCCAGTTTTCCCAGCACCATTTATTAAATAGGGAATCCTTTCCCCATTGCTTGTTTTTCTCAGGTTTGTCAAAGATCAGACAGTTATAGGTATGCGGCGTTATTTCTGAGGGCTCTGTTCTGTTCCATTGATCTACATCTCTGTTTTGGTACCAGTACCATGCTGTTTTGGTTACTGTAGCCTTGTAGTATAGTTTGAAGTCAGGTAGTGTGATGCCTCCAGCTTTGTTCTTTTGGCTTAGGATTGACTTGGCGATGGGGGCTCTTTTTTGGTTCCATATGAACTTTAAAGTAGTTTTTTCCAATTCTGTGAAGAAAGTCATTGGTAGCTTGATGGGGATGGCATTGAATCTGTAAATTACCTTGGGCAGTATGGCCATTTTCACGATATTGATTCTTCCTACCCATGAGCATGGAATGTTCTTCCATTTGTTTGTATCCTCTTTTATTTCCTTGAGCAGTGGTTTGTAGTTCTCCTTGAAGAGGTCCTTCACATCCCTTGTAAGTTGGATGCCTAGGTATTTTATTCTCTTTGAAGCAAGTGTGAATGGGAGTGCACTCATGATTTGGCTCTCTGGTTGTCTGTTGTTGGTGTATAAGAATGCTTGTGATTTTTGTACATTGATTTTGTATCCTGAGACTTTGCTGAAGTTGCTTATCAGCTTAAGGAGATTTTGGGCTGAGACAATGGGGTTTTCTAGATATACAATCATGTCGTCTGCAAACAGGGACAATTTGACTTCCTCTTTTCCTAATTGAATACCCTTTATTTCCTTCTCCTGCCTCATTGCCCTGGCCAGAACTTCCAACACTATGTTGAATAGGAGTGGTGAGAGAGGGCATCCCTGTCTTGTGCCAGTTTTCAAAGGGAATGCTTCCAGTTTTTGCCCATTCAGTATGATATTGGCTGTGGGTTTGTCATAGATAGCTCTTATTATTTTGAAATACATCCCATCAATACCTAATTTATTGAGAGTTTTTAGCATGAAGGGTTGTTGAATTTTGTCAAAGGCTTTTTCTGCATCTATTGAGATAATCATGTGGTTTTTGTCTTTGGCTCTGTTTATATGCTGGATTACATTTATTGATTTGCGTATATTGAACCAGCCTTGCATCCCAGGGATGAAGCCCACTTGATCATGGTGGATAAGCTTTTTGATGTGCTGCTGGATTCGTTTTGCCAGTATTTTATTGAGGATTTTTGCATCAATGTTCATCAAGGATATTGGTCTAAAATTCTCTTTTTTTGTTGTGTCTCTGCCAGGCTTTGGTATCAGAATGATGCTGGCCTCATAAAATGAGTTAGGGAGGATTCCCTCTTTTTCTATTGATTGGAATAGTTTCAGAAGGAATGGTACCAGTTCCTCCTTGTACCTCTGGTAGAATTCGGCTGTGAGTCCATCTGGTCCTGGACTCTTTTTGGTTGGTAAGCTATTGATTATTGCCACAATTTCAGCTCCTGTTATTGGTCTACTAAGAGATTCAACTTCTTCCTGGTTTAGTCTTGGGAGAGTGTATGTGTCGAGGAATTTATCCATTTCTTCTAGATTTTCTAATTTATTTGCGTAGAGGTGTTTGTAGTATTCTCTGATGGTAGTTTGTATTTCTGTGGGATCGGTGGTGATATCCCCTTTATCATTTTTTATTGTGTCTATTTGATTCTTCTCTCTTTTTTTCTTTATTAGTCTTGCTAGCGGTCTATCAATTTTGTTGATCCTTTCAAAAAACCAGCTCCTGGATTCACTGATTTTTTGAAGGGTTTTTTGTGTCTCTATTTCCTTGAGTTCTGCTCTGATTTTAGTTATTTCTTGCCTTCTGCTAGCTTTTGAATGTTTGCTCTTGCTTTTCTAGTTCTTTTAATTGTGATGTTAGGGTGTCAATTTTGGATCTTTCCTGCTTTCTCTTGTCAGCATTTAGTGCTATAAATTTCCCTCTACACACTGCTTTGAATGTGTCCCAGAGATTCTGGTATGTTGTGTCTTTGTTCTCGTTGGTTTCAAAGAACATCTTTATTTCTGCCTTCATTTCGTTGTGTACCCAGCAGTCATTCAGGAGCAGGTTGTTCAGCTTCCATGTAGTTGAGCGGCTTTGAGTGAGATTCTTAATCCCGAGTTCTAGTTTGATTGCACTGCAGTCTGAGAGACAGTTTGTTATAATTTCTGTTCTTTTACATTTGCTGAGGAGAGCTTTACTTCCAAGTATGTGGTCAATTTTGGAATAGGTGTGGTGTGGTGCTGAAAAAAATGTATATTCTGTTGATTTGGGGTGGAGAGTTCTGTAGATGTCTATTAGGTCCGCTTGGTGCAGAGCTGAGTTCAATTCCTGGGTATCCTTGTTGACTTTCTGTCTCGTTGATCTGTCTAATGTTGACAGTGGGGTGTTAAAGTCTCCCATTATTATTGTATGGGAGTCTAAGTCTCTTTGTAGGTCACTCAGGACTTGCTTTATGAATCTGGGTGCATATATATTTAGGATAGTTAGCTCTTCTTGTTGAATGCATCTTAGTTTTAAGTAGTATGATCAGCAGACTAATTTTTATATAATACATGAAATGTCATATTAAGTTCAACATACCTTTAAGGACCTCGAAGGTATGATATTACAGCAAAACAAAATGTATATGTTAGTATAAATTTTTTTTGTGGTGGCAGTAATGGAGTTCAGTTAGGAAAACTAATTACAAACTAATAGCATGACTTCTTGGTAAGTTTTCTCTTCAAGAAAAAAGTAAGCAATATAGATGAGAAACTTTTCATAAGACAAATATAATCTATTGCAGATATACCTTTTTGAAGATTTTTTCAAAGTTGATATCATCACCAAGAGCAGATTTAGTTACTATGTCAGGTTTCAATTCCTGTGAAAGAATAAAACAAATTAATTTTAGTTATGTGTCTATTTTTATCACTATTATTAAGTTCCTTTCCGTATCTTAAGAAACTTAATATTAAATAACATCTTAATTTTGAGAAAAGAATTAACTCCCATAAAATATGACAGAGTTGAAAGGAAACATCAGGAATATAACGGAATGTGAATTAGTGTAATGTGCCTATTAAAAGAAAAATATTTTCAAATGGAATCAAAGCAAAACCTAACTCTATACTGTATATAATAAAGACTCACAAAGAACAGTTATTTAAAAAGCTTCAAAGATATGCCAGGCAAACAGGAAAAATTAGAAAGCAGGTGCTGAGACTGTGTTTCAGACAAAGCTGAGGCAAAGAAAACAAAATGAAGACAAAGAAGATAACATTTATGACTATGCATCAAATAAAACACAACTATTACATAAAGCAGAAACTTCATGAAATAAAGGAAATAGAAATACTATTTATTAGCTCAAGACTCTGACACACAACTTCCAGTCAAGAAAGAACAAAATCGGGAAATAAAATTACAAGATCTTAACAACAATTGTATCTTCTTCTCAAGTACACATGGAATATTGATAAAAATTATCACATATTAAGTCAAAGAAAGTACAGTAACAGTAGGCTCCATCAAGTAAAATATTATTAGCAACAATCTCCGGTCACAATGAAAAAGTAGAAATGAAAGAAAATCAACTAATCAATAAAAGAAAAATTAAAAAAGGCCCTTCCACCTGGAATTAAAACAATAAATAAATAAAACTACCTCAAATAAACAAGTCTTGAGAAAGGGGAAAGATAAACAGATATGTCAGTCTAACAATAAGAAAATGCTACATATCAAAACTTATGAAAAGCATTTAAAGTGGTTATTAGCCTTAAAACAACTATTGGTAAATAAAATTAATGAAAGTAAGTGAATTAAATTACTCAACTAAAAGTAACCGAAATTACCTCTGTCAGTTCTTCATTTAACAAGTGAAAAGTAAGACTCAAATCGTGATTTGTCCAAGGTCCTATAACTGGGTGGTAGAAAGGCTGACCTTAACTAGTACCTTTATTAGATCATCATCTTTCTGGCCTACTGCCTCTATGATAAATTCAAAAAATCTCTACCACGGTTAAAAGCATTCATGAAAAACTAACACAAAATCAATTTATATTTCATGGTTTGTGATGATGTCATAGGACAATTTAAACAAGACCATCAGAATCTTCTAGGTATGAGAAACACAGGTTTTAAAATGAAGCATGATTTATATGAGCTGAGTGTTATTATAACCCTTTCAGCAGAAGGAATATATACATATGTTTTTTCATAAATGTGAGGGACTGAGCAACCCAGGCAGGTAATTTTGCCAACTTTTGTGGTCTTTCAGAAATATTACAGGGAGAATGATGTGAAGGTTCAAAATCAACAAAATATATTTAAAAGATATATAGAAAGTGAAGTTGATATGAATTTAATCAGGTTGGGTATATTTAAAGAAATATGTTTGCCACTAAGGCTGTGAATTTGTTGGACTAATTATTAGCAATACCCAATGTCAAGATTTGCAAGCTAACAAGTTAGCCAAATACAGTATCACAGATGTCGGTAGAAGACACGAGGCTCCTGGGTCGGAGACAAGGGGCAATTTATTACTCATAGCAATAGCAGGAGCCAGAGTATCAAAATTTTTAAAAAGCTCATTCACTGTTTTACTTTTTTTGCCCCAGAAACCCAAAGCCCCAGATACATGGTAGATATTAAACTTAAGACATTAAAAAATCCATGTAATAAAAACTAAAGGGAATAATTTAGGAATATAATACCTCTAAAATGGGCTAATAAGTGGAAAACATGTTATTTGATTGAGAAAGGGAAAACCATTTGTAGTTCTAGTAGTATGATACGCAAACACAAAGCATGATTACAATAACCTCTACTTCTAGAACCTAAGTAGCGATTAATTACACATTGTGTGCTAGGCTAAATAGCTCCTGGAAGACGTCCATGAGCCTATGAACATGTTATTTTACATGGCAGAAGGGACTTTGCTGATGTAATTAAGTTAAGAATTTTTTAAGATGGAGTTATTATCCTGGATTATCCAGGTAAGCCAAATGTAATCACCATCTTCCTTACAAGAGGGTAGCAGAAAGGTCAGAGAAGGAGATGCAGAGAAAAAAAACAAAACAAAACAACAACAACAACAAAAAAACGAAAGTGTGGGAAATGGTGGAGGTGGAGGGGGGAGAAGAGAAAGAAAGAGGGAAGAGAAGATGCTATGCTGCTTGCCTTGAAGATGGAGAAAGACACCATGAATCAAGGAATGCAGTTGGCCTACAGAAGCTGAAAAGGCAGGAAAAATTCTCCCCTAGAGCCTACAGAGAGAATATGGCCCCACTGAAAGTCTACAGAAATAATACAGTCCTGTTACTGTTAGGACTTCTAACCTTCAGCACTGTAAGACAATACATTTGTGTTGTTTTATGCCACTAAATTTGTCGTAATTTGATACAGAAGCACTAGGAAACTAATGTATTTTCCATCTCCTACCAGTCTTCGTATTATAAAATAATTCATTATACCATATTATTCGGACAAACACTACGTGCCATAAATAATGCCAATAATTAGACATTTACCTTAAAACTAAGTAAAATATAGATGCATTTGGATGGCTTAAACTTTTTGTATTATACCATTTATACTTCGGTATTTTGGACCAACTCGTTTATTACCTCAGTTTTAAATACAGCTATATGTGTCATTAAAAGGGAATACTGTCTCCTAAAACATGGTTCATATAAAATGTAAAAATTGTGTTTAGCAAATATGGATGGATAGGAAAGCTGTGCCATAACTGGAATTGTCAGGTACTATTTTAAGTAAACAATGAGAAACTAAGACTTTTTTTAGACAACACAAAAACTGCAATAAATGATATATTATGAAGTTATTCTTATCTTCCTATACTTCTTATTCAGAAGAAATCAGGTACTGACTTTCAGAATAAGGCTCCTTTTGATGTACTATTACAATTGCACAGATAGCACCTTAAATATTAGTGTTCCTATTCAAAGATTACAGAAAATTTCACACATAGCTTTTCTGAATCCTCCTAAGAGTCTGCTGCAAAGTCTGCTTGGGAAGTTCATGCTAAATTGTCAGGACTCGCAAATTATTTCTCTAACTGCTCTGAAACCTAGATTTACATACATTTTAACTCACAATATCTATTTTTTAAGGGAGAATTTTAAACAACTTTTTTTTTATCACTGTAGGACTGAATTTAATAGTGTCAATAATACATTATAATTTGGCCACAAAATTTACTTATGTTTTAAGAACATATAAATTACATATCAAATTGATTATGGAAGCCAGTCATAGAAAAACTCAGTAGAATCCAGAAGATCAGTAATTAAAACTGGAGGAGACATGCAGAATTGAGTTTTCAAGATCTGAAATAATTCATTATTTACAAAGAATGCCTGGGATGACGGACAACTTCCCTGGATTTGAGGCTGGGGTCCCTTACCTGACAATACATCAACTCTCTTCATTATAAATTGCTTCTACAAGTGCACTGGAAAGCAGGTAAGCCCTAATTTGGCTAAAAAGTAGCAAACTCTGAAAGACAAATGGTATGCAGAGGCTTGGGCACTAAAGAATCATTATAGCTTTCTGGCTAACTATTCAGAAGTGTACATATATTCTAACCAGCTTGTTGGGAACAATTCTGCTTCAAGTGAGAACGTGGTCAGGCAATAAGACATGTAGTCAAAAGAAAATGTGTTGAGGACATACATAAAACAAACAACTTTTGCTTACAATAACCTTTGTTCTCCATATTCTTGACAGAAAAATGGAACAAAGAGCCTAGAGTGTAAGCTCTTCAAGGGTAAGAATGGTGTCTTATTCACCTTTGACTATGAGACTCAAGCACAATGACACATGTTGAACAGAACTGGACCAGAGTAGAAACATTTTAAATGTCTATTTCCTTTTTTTCCCAACTTTTATTTTAGATACAAGGGTACATGTACAGATTTGTTACATGGGAATATTGTGTGATGCTGAGGTTTGGAGTAAAGATCCCGTCATGCTGATAGTGAGGATAGTACCCCATTGGAATTTTTTAACCCAGACTTCTCCCCACTCCACCCGCTAGTAGTCCACGGTGTCTCCTGCTCCCATTTTAAGTCCATAGGTACTCAATGATTAGCTCCTACTTGTAAGTGAAAATGAGAACATGAAGTACTTGCTTTTCTCTTCCTCTGTTAATTTGCTTTAGAATATAGCCTGCAGCTCCAACCATGTTGCTGCAAATGACACGATTTCATTCTTTTTTTATGGCTGCACAGTATTCCATAGTATATATGGACCACATTTTCTTTATTCAATCTACCATTGATGGGCACCTGCACTGATTCCATGTCTTTGCTATTGTAAATAGTGCAGCCGTGAACACAGACGTCCATGTGTCTTTGCTAGAATGACTTAATTTTTTGGGTATATACCCAGTAGTGGTATTCCTGGGTTGAATGGTAGCTCTGTTTTAAGTCTATTTCTTAGTGAGAGAGGAAAAATAAAATCAGTAAAGTCTCTTATTAGGAAAAAATTCAAATCCAAGATTTGCCAAAAAATTTTCAGTTGCCAATCTAGGCTTTTTCTTTAGAGAAACAAAGTTGAAAGAGAACAAATACTGGGAAAAAAAATCAGCCAAGAGGACTACTAGAGTGTTCCAAAGAAGAGTACTTACTGCTCATAAGTATTCTAAATTACTCTGTTTTACTTATAATGGGAGAAGGTAAAACACTACTTAAAAGACTCACTGAAATATACAGATTTATAATTGTGAATGGCTGAGAAACTACATTAGGTATTTAGCCACGCAGGTGCCAGATACAACCTTGCTCTTTCTGAGGAAAGGTTTCATGCCAAATGGAAAACTAAGATCCATTTCTAGACCCAGTAATAGACATTTTAGACAGGAGTTATATATCTATTCCAAGGGCATTTTATATGTATTCAGTGTTTAAAGATCACCTAGTCCCGCATGCACCACACTTAATCGTGGTTAATGTCACTTAAAATTGTGAAAGAAACTAGTTTGTGCTTATATGATACTGTTACACCATGCTCTTCCTAGTGTATATTGTTAATGCTAAGTAAAATGATTAATCAGACAGCGACACTTAGCTTTCCTCCATCTAAAACTAATTCCAGGCAGGGCTCGGTGGCTCACACCTGTAATCCCAGCACTTTGGGAGGCTGAGGTGGGCGGATCACGATGTCAGGAGATCGAGACCATCCTGGACAACATGGTGAAACCCCGTCTCTACTAAAAAGAAATACAAAAATTAGCTGGATGTAGTGGCACGTGCCTGTAATCCCAGCTACTCAGGAGGCTGAGGTAGGAGAATCGCTTGAACCTGGGAGGTGGAGGTTGCAGTGAGCCGAGATCATGCCACTGCACTCCAGCCTGGCAATAGAGCTAGACTCCGGCTCAAACAAACAAACAAACAAACAAACAAATTCCAATATCTTTTTTTTTCAGATAAATGTAGTTCTCTTGAATTTAGATTTTTCTCTAAATTGAATATAACTGCAAATACTCTAAATATTCTGCAATTTCGAATGCAGAATATAATGCATTTTTCTACATAGTAATATGCAAATTTTATGTAAAAGTTATACATTATGAACTTAGGAGAAAAAAATACCTAGATACATTTCAATTTGGAAAAAGAAAATTTAGGTTGCTCAACTCTGTACATACTTGAGAAAGGCCTGTCATCAGGACTGGACCTTGGCCAGCTCCTAGGAGATGACCTCTGAGTCTGTGGGCCACAAGGTACCAATCTGATCAGAGAGTTTATGTTAACAATGTGATTTACGGTTAATGTGTTTTCACTTTGGGTGGCTTCAGTCTGAATAGCTGAGGTCAGCCATGCAGGCAATTCATGCTTACGTGACTAACAGCCAATAAAAACCCTCAACACCTAGGCTCAGGTGAGCTTTCCTGGTTGACAACACTTTGAACATGTTGTTACCTTATGATGGGAATGTGGCCATATGACTCCACTGAGAGATGCCACCTAGAATTATGCCTATTTTTTCCTGGACTTCACCCCATGTGCTCTTCCTTTTGCTGATTTTAATCTGTATCCTTGAAGAGTAATAAACTTTTTGTGAGTATAACAGCCTTTCATGAGTCCTGTGAATCTTTCTAGAGAATCATCAAGGCTCAAGAGTGGTCTTGGGGACTCCTGACCCACTCATTTTATAGAAGAGGAAATCATGACCCAAGAAACTTTAAGAAACTCATTCAAAGAATCAAAGCAGGGCTAGGACTAGAATCCTTGTATTCTGCTTTGTGGCTATATTCTGTTGTCAGTGATGGTCAATTAAAATTTGTTTGAATTCCTTCCTAATTATGTTAAACTAATATTATTCATGTTTTCTACATTAAAGACGTCATCCCCTAATAGCCAGATCCATCAGAATTATTCTAGTTCTCTTATTCCACACAGTGCTAGATGCCACTTTTTGCTTTTACACAAAATATCAAATTAAGTCAAAATTAGGTAATCCCAATTTTGGTTATTTGGCTACAACCTTGTCTTTCTTCTTTCCAGGGACTTTGTTTGAACAACCTAATATAGTGACTCGTAAGTGTATAAGCAGTGCAGTGCTGCCTCTGGTTAAGCAGGGAAAGTAAACATTTGTAACCAAACTATTCTGTATTGTGCTGTGGGAAGGGAGATTGGGTAAACACAAAAAGCAACTTGGAGGCAATAACCATGTTGACATTTTTAATTTCAAGAGAATCTTATCAGAGTCAGGCTTTTAACTTAATAAAATATAAAACATGTTTGTATTTTCCAAAGTGTGATCAAAATTGGAATAGTATATTTGGGTTATAAGGGATTATGCCCCAATACAAAAAATTAGAAGGTGCCAAGAAATGTCTGGGTTCTAAATTTTTGGTCTATTTGAAAATGAGTCATTTCTCTGAAATAAAGAATCTGAAATAACTTGTAAGAGTGAGAGACATCAAAATCTTCACACTTTTCTACAGTTGAGAATTTCATTATGATTACCTTTCAGTGACAACAAAAACTTTATTTCCTAAATACTGTTCTGCTTTTTAAATACAGTTCTAGATGAAACTTCAATAAAGTTATACTCTATCATCATATTGCCAATAGATTTTTTTTCCAAATAAAATATCAGATCTTCTTCCTACACCTATTCCTGTGTTCTCTATAGAAACCAATTGCATCTCAATCCTCTGCTGCTAGGATTAGACAGCTCAGAGACATGTGATACTGGGAGTCCCTTCACTATGCTTCTGTTATGCTCCTATCACCCTTTCTGCTTTCTCTTTGGTACTGTCAGTTTTATCTGTTCCCTCCATTGTATTACCATTATCCTACTCCTACGTTCAAGACTTCTTTATGGATTGTGTGGATTATAATAGCCTAATTGGTTTTCCAGACTCGAGGATGAGTAACTCCAAGGCCCATTATATCACCATTCGGAATACAGAATGAAGTCAAACTTTCAGTTTGGTATTTAAATTCTTTCAGTACTCGGCCTTAATGTATCTTTCTGCTCTAACTGCTCTAATTTAATAATGCACTTCCATGTTTAACATTCAGTTCTACATAGAATCACCTGAATAAATTTTCTACCTCAATATCTTTGTAATATGTTTGCTTTTTAAAATTCTGTCATTCTAAAAAGTTTCTCACTCCCTTTCTTTCCAATCAAAAACTATCCAAGTTTTGGATTTTGGTTTTTAAATACCACTAATAATGAAGCAGGACTTCTTAGAGAAATGGCTGATTACGGATATGAGGCAGAAAAAGTATAAACCCTGTGATAATTTCTTATGCCAGAAAAGGACAAATGGGATTCAAATTAGGGTCTCAAACAAGCTATGTAGGCTGGCTTAAAGGGGCTACCACTGGCTAAATTTGGGTGTCAAAAAGAATACTGACAGCAATGAATCGCAACCACATTGATCATGTATTTGTTGTTCAGACTAGGGCCCATATGAGAATAAAATAAGGCCCTATTAATAAACATGCTGGGCCACATGGTGAATGAATACCAGGACAATCCCAGGGAAATTTGGTTATATGATCAACCTAATTATAACACTTGTCAACACTTGCCATCTCCAAATGCTCTTTATTTTTCTCTCCAACTCACTTCATTGGCTTTTGTCCCAATTACATCAATCCCATTATTTTAAGCCCGTGATGATCTCCACGCTGCTAAATCTAATGAATAAGTCTCAGTACTCCTCTTACTCAACGTATCAGCAGCATTGTCCCCTTCTTGGCCTATCAATTTTTGTTAAGTTAATTCTTCCTTTCTTCTTGATACTCTATCTTCATTTGACTTAGGTTGGACCCATATTCTTGGTTATTTTTCTTTGTCTCCTTTGCTAGTTCTTTCTCTTCTAACTTAAGAATGGACCAGGACTCTGTCCTTGGTACTCTTCCTTTTACTATTATCTAATAATACCTCACTGATTTCATCCAGTTTCATTATTTTAAATATCATATATATGTGAACATCTCCCCAAAATCTCCATCTGTAGCCAAGATAATTTCTCTGAACTGCAGACTTACATATCCAAGTATCTACTTTACATCATCATTCCTAATCCTTCCCACTCTGCTCTATTTCTTCCACAGTACATAATCTACTAACATGATAAACAATAACTTAAATTTATTATGTTGTCTACCCGAATCCCCCAACCCCCCACAAAAATAAATTACAAAAGATCAGGAACCTTTGTCTACTCTTCTCAGGTATACCATAAGTGTCTAGAAAAGTACATGGCATTTGGTAAATGCTCAATAAGTGCTTGTTGAAAGAATGGATACTGAAGTTATTTTTACTTGTTAGGTATTATAAATTGTTACACTAAATATCTCAGTTATCGCAGTATTAGATATAACATAAACCAGACATGTCAGTAAACACTGCCCCTGTGCAGGAACAATGGCAGAGAGTGTATTTAATAACTATGTCTTTCATTCAAGTTTATTATTTTCTATTACCTAGATTAAAAAAACACACCAGTTAATCTCTCTTGACCATGTTGATATCTGAGTTTAAATCACTATCTTCCTTTACACAGACTTCATGAATAGAAACTAACAAAATAATCTAAAAGCTTTGTATTTCTTGATTCTACACATACTTCCTTTACAATGTAAAAAAGAAAAAAAAAACAAAACCCAACACCAAAACAAAACAATGAAGCAATACAAATTAAAGTTTTTCACCCTATAATTTGTAAAGTTTCATTCAACTTTTAAGACTCACTGTTACAGAAAGACTTCCTTGAATCCTCAAGCAGTGCTAAGTGTCCCTCCTCCAATGTGCCTATCAGCATCTTTCAATACATCCCAGTGAAGCTCTCTCCATTTTTCTCATTAGACTTTAAGCTTCTCAAAGGCAGACACCATATTAATTTCTATATTTTTATAAACTAGCCAAACATGGCACACACAAAGTATAGACATATATTTTTGTTGAGCCAAAATAAAGTGTTTTGGTCATGAGGATGGCTCTGAGATGACATTATAAATAAGTATTTGAACTTTTCTGGCAAAGTACCAGACTAAAAAATATCAGGTAAAACTTCTGTCTTTTGAATCCTACAGTGCTAACTGAAATAAAGACAGCTACTTTAGCTTCTGGTCTAAAGTCACAATGCAATCTGGACAATGATAATGGATTGTGTGGTATAGCTGATCTGGAAAATATCTCTGTTCTGGATCCCTCTGTCATTACTAGTTTTAGCGTAACTTTTCAAAATCGTGTTGAAGGCAATGGTCATCTTAAATAACATTCATTCATGCCATTTATATGCATTAAAAGACTATAGAAATTCAAATTCTTAAAAATTAAAGTGTACTATGGCTAGGAATGTTGATGTTGTATATGTTATTTACTCACCACAGCAAATAAGTCAAACAAAAATTATATACTGCTATAACCTCTTAAAAATCTATTCATAGATGTGCCCATTTATATTTGAAACATGTCACAGAAATTTCACAGAAAGCCTTCTATGTGCTGAACACTGCGTAAAAAGGCAATCCAAACAGAGTTTCATGTTTGAAATAACATGCCAATAACCTGTCATAGTAACAAAAGGAAAGATGTGTTAATAATAGATTTCTAAAAACTGATTACCTAAGTACTGTATGTATGAAGATGAAGTAAGCAGGGTAATTTTAAGTAAGTGGGGTAATTTCTGTTTAGTGCAGTTGGTGGGAACAATAAAAATATAACCAAATTACTAGAGGAGCTTTCTCCAATCATACAAAACTCCCATCCATTATGACATATGCCCTAAGGCACGAAGCCTTATGCATATATCCTCCATCTTTCCCAATAAAATCACTACTTTAGAGGTTGGTGAAAGCTGTGAAAATGATGCATTCTGATTTTGCAAAAGTATGTGTGATGTGGTGGAAAATCCTGCCTTGTTATCAGACAAAACCATAGGTAAGAATGAGCAATGTATAGGGAATATAATGTTGACTGTAGTATTAGAAACAAATGAGGTTAATACAGTTGTGCACGATGACAGGGGTCAACTGATGAAAATGCTTTTAATACTCATGAGAAATTAGATCCCATCTGGCAGACAATAGGAAGCTAATTTTAGGGTCTTGAACAGGAGAACAATAAAATAAAACAAAGTAAGTTTACTACTAAGAAATTTTACTAGTGTCAGGTTTTTGCTGGCAGCCAGTTAAAGAATTACTAAATGTCTACAAATAGTACTGTCTCACTTTAGTTCCAAGCTGAATTTCATGTCAAAAGTTGAATCTTCATATTCTAAAAATTAAGCTGAATGCATTTTTCGCCTATAAATTATTTTCATCAATATATAAAAATAATTGTTTCAGTGAACAAAAGCTTAAAAAACTTGTATAATTCAATTGTACAATGATCTGCATCTTACCAAAAAATATTAATTAAACATAAACATTACCAGATAAAGCAGTCAAATGAAGTTTTACCATACAGTCCTATCTCTCACAGTGAAATACTTTTTAGAAAATAAGGCAAAATAGCTTGTTTAATGTAAGTGATTAAACATGATCACATTTTTTATGCCAAATAAAAACATCAAAATTGTTCCTGGCATATAAAATTACTCACTTCTGTCAGGTACAAAGAGGTAGACAGAGAAAATGACACCCAGCAATTACATTAGTCTGAAGATTCTAAATAGAACACTTCTGTATTCTAAGAAATAAATCGAACAGACAGCCATTTTCATTCTGGACATTCTCTTCTAACAAAATGGATGGCCTTGTGAAGAAAAGCTTTTTGTTTGAAAATAATTTGTCTCCATTTAACTCCAAATTGAGGTGATATCCAGTTGAAAAAAAAACAAAAAGAACATCACATTTTGTAAGACCAGTTACTTACTGATCTTATTGCTGCTTTTCTCTAGGGCCCTTTGTCTCCTATTATGTGTTTCCAACAAAATATGTTGTAATATTTAACTCTTTTCTCAAGCACCATATTATTTCAGACTGGAATTATGATAGTAGTATTGGTTGTCCAAAATTTTTGAATTAATAATTTAAAAGTGCTTTGGATACTTTCACAGTTATTAGGAAATGTTTGGCTAAGGTTTAGGTTCAAATTTCCAGAATTACAAAACAAAAAAATCTAATCAAAACAAAACAAAAATAAATGGGAAACATTAAAAAAAAAGCCATGTTATACTGCTTTCTCCCTTCATACTGCTGAATCTTGTTTATACACTCAGTAGCCTCTGAAGTAGGCTTATCTAGGTGAAGAATTCCAGAATCAGCTCCTTAGAATCAGTTCCTTATTTAAAACTTAGGTGTATACTATGACTCAGTAAATAGTAATAGCATTTTCATCTCTTTTGCCAACAAAGGCCTGCAACTTGCTCTTTGTTTTCAAACAGAAGCAAGCGGTTCAAAAACAGACAATACATACTATCGTTATTTTTCACATATGTTCTTATTTAGAAGACAAAAATATTTTAAGGCAATCATAGACTTTATATAAATATGGCCTCCAATGAAAATCATGACTCCTATATATTAAAAATGCAAAAGTGTTAAGAATTTCAGGAATATGACCTATACAAAATAGTAACTTAAAGCTGTAGAAACTACATGCCAGAAAGCAAACTGGGATTTCAGTATGATGATCTGTTACTAAATGCTGTTTCATGAGTGTGAGGAGAGCATTATATACTGATCTTTTAAAATAGCGCTATGATTTCCTGTTTATAATTTTAAAGGTCACAGTTAAGTACAGAAGGCTAACAAACCAGGGCATCTTGTTTGCTCTTTTAGAAACAAAAGTTCTACCTTTTAAAACATTAAATTTGAAGTTATATGGTCTCAGGGCATTGGCTAAGGTGACTGTATAAAATGAAGAACCTTTTTCCTCCTGTTTCTGATACTTAATAAGCAAAAAGAAAAGCTTCTGATTACAGATTCTTCTTAGTAACAGTTCCATAGTATTCCATTTATCTTTAGAGACTCAGAACAACCTCAACACTGTAAACGTGCCAACATGTAAAAAAAAAAAATTGCAGTAGAAGTCACTCAGTCAGCTAGCCAAGCAGCGTTCACTATGTATCAGACACATTACTAGGTGTTAGGAACAATTAATTGAGTAAAATAACCCATTTTCTTAAGAAGTTCTGACTAAGCAGCAGGAATGGCATGAAAGCAGACTGCTATACCATATGATAGCGGAAATACATACAAAGTAAAAGGGCCTGCATAAAGTAGGTAAGTACTTCTTCTGGGATTAGAGCAGAAGTGCCAGGGAAAGTTTCCTAGAGCAAGTAACATAAGAATTAGGTGTTGAAGGAAGAGTAAATGTTTATTCAGGTGGGAGAGATGTGCTATGTTTAAAAACTCTGATGTAGGCAAGGGGGCCTGAAACTGCTAAGTTTGGGATTCAGTTTAGCTGGTTAAAAAAAAAAAAAAAAAAAAGGTACAGGGTAAGTGGAAGATACAGAAGCAACAGAGAGGTAGCCAGAGTACAGATCACAAAGGGTCTTGTATATCATTCAGGGAAGAAGTCCCATTAGATATGCATTTCAGAAAGGTCACTGGTTAGAGTGCAGAACATGATTTGAAGGCGAGACCAGAGGCAGGAAGTCTATTATGATTTGAATGTGTTTTTAAACGTGCTCATTTTAAAAACACCTAATTCATCATTCCCTTCTTGAAAGAGTTTCTTCACAGTTTCCTAGATACTCTTGGTTCTTTTTCTCCTTCACTGGCTACATTTTTCAGTCTCTTTTACTTATTCTTCTTCATCTTCCTAAAATCGAAATTTTAGTGTGTCTTGAGGCCCTCAGAATAAGATAACATGATTAATCATCCCCATCTCCCCAACCCTGAAAACAAGCATAACACCTGGACATACTACCAAAAAGCCCTATCTGAAGATATTAGAGAGTAAATGGAAACAGACTCTGATGGAGGGTCCACCAAGCTTACTTGGAGGAAAGAAGATGGAAAGCTATACAGCACAAGTAGTTATCATTTCTTCAAAGTTTAGCCTAAGGCCAACTGCAATCAGCATGGTTTAGAAACAGTGGCAGAGCTACCCCTGAAAGAATGAATTCAGGATACTTTATCCGCTGAGAGAGCAGGGTAAGCCCAGAAGGGAGAGAGAAGAAATCTCTAAACATCTTAAGTGTTCAGACAAGTAGCAGATTCAAAGCATCTTGCTGAAAGACAAAAGATGTAAACTGAGACTGGAACTGCTAAGAAACATAGTTTAAAGTTAAAACCTAGCCAAGAAAATTCATTCAAACAACCACTTATTCGAAAAAAATAACCAAATCCAGGATCTCTGCGACTTCATAATGTCCAGGGTACAGTCCAAAATTACCCAGCATATGAACAGGAAAGGAAACAACATTTTTCTTCTCCATAAGCAAAAATGGCTATTATCACTATCCTTGATGGTGTTCAAAAAAATTGCTCTCAAAAAATGAAAATACTATCAGAGAAATAAATTATTGCAGCAGAGAAATAGAAACAATAAAAACGTTTTAACGGATGTAGCCACAGAACATTAATCGCTGGGTGAAAGACTACAGGATATTCACATAGTCTCACAGTATCATTTCACAGATTACTTAGTAACAGCAAACAGAAAAGATACCTTTACAATGGAGAAATCTGGCATATGGCACTTAAATCAAGTGCCAGAACTCAACACTGATAGTAAAGGTACAAACATGGATGTGATACAAAACACTATTATTATATTATAGTATTACAATTTTCTATAGGTTTGAAGGGTTTTCCAAAAAGTTGGAAGGAAAAGTATAAATACAGTATTATTAGAGATTATGAAACACAAAAGAAAGGCTAAAAGGAAGATTATTACACATCAGGGAGGGAAGAATTAAAGTAGCTGTCTTGGGATCTATTCACTTCCTTTACCAGGAGGAAACTCTAGCAAAGGGAGGTGATGCTGTTTAGTCTTCGTGTTAACATGCTGGTAAGCAGTCCCTCTGGTAGATAGGATAATGAGTTTTTGTTAGGAGGAGGGTCCTTATCTGAAGAATGCTCTTAGTAGGCTGTCCCTTGTTAAGGATGCTTACAATAAACAAACCCAGAATTTATGGGTTTATGAAGCCTGGCACACTGGAGAACATCATGTAAGCTATATAACCTTAGGATATTACACGGAGAAGTTTCAAAATGTAAACGCTCTCTGATATGAGGTAATAACCAGACTTCCTCATTTGGAGACTCTGGGCTGGAAAGTACACGTCTGATGTGGAAAGGAAGGACCCTGTGGAATTACATAGTGTCCCAGATCTCTCTCCTTGCTTCTCCTGTCCCCTTTGACTACTTGCACCCTTACAATTATTACTAAAGCTGATTCTAGGTGAGATCTCTAACACGTTGAGTCTGATTTGATAACACGATTATTTGTATTGGCTCACAAATAAAACTCTCAGAAATAATTATAGTGTAAGATTAACGATACTTTTAATACAATTACTTTCATAGAATAAATGAACAAAATGTTAAGTTGACATAGCTAATTAACACAGTACAGTGTACTTACAGACTTCAATAAGGTATCTTTTACCCTACGGAGAAACTTGTTTAAGCATTCATAGGAAAAAAAACTTACCAAAGTCACAGTATGTGAAACTATAGAAAAAACTTGGTAACTTTTAAAAAAGCATATATAACCAGAAATATCACAAAATTCTAAACAGTATATGAATACATACAATGATAAACCTCCAATCTAAGGGGTATACACAGCCTAGAATACTTCTGAGTATGTCCTCTAAAATGGGATTCTCCCTAGAGTTGTGGTGAGGTTCAAGTGGTATGATATAGTTATTATATTATTTTGATGATGTATCATTTTACTTAACTTTTATGCCTTTACAGATTATAATCTATACTATTTTTTTCTATTTGTGATCTCCTAATGACAACCACTTAGGAGCAAGCTGTGCAGAAGCCTGAGATGAAGTGATCCTAACTGCTGATTGTAAGCTCAAAGGATGATTTTAATAATAGATTTCAGAATGTAAAACTAGGGGAAGAATAGAACAAAAGGAGAAAGTTTTAAACTAGAGGAGAAGTAAGAGGTAGCAGGCAGAACAAGGTCTCAAAGAAGAATACATAAATTCTCATCTTAAAGAATATTCAGGATAGGAAGAAGTAACAGCCTTAAGAGAGGAAGAGGTTAAAAAAGAATACAGATAGGCCAGGAGTGGTTGCTCACGCCTGTAATCCCAGTACTATGGGAGGCCGAGGTGGGCGGATCACCTGAGGTCAGGCGTTCGAGACCAGCCTGGCCAACATGGCAACACCTTGTCTCTACTAAAAATACAAAAGTTAGCCAGGCATGATGGCAGGCAACTGTAGTCCCAGTTACTCAGGAGACTGTGGCAGGAGAATCATTTGAACCCAGGAGGCGGAGGTTACAGTGAGCAGAGATCGGGTCACTGCACTCCAGCATGGGCGACAGAGAGAGACTCCATCTCAAGTAAAAAAAAAAGAAATACAGATATAGGCTACTGTGTATATTTACCTGTCAGGAATTAAAGGATCTGAAAACACGTTGCACATCTTTCAGTCTTTTTTTTCCTAGATGGCAAGTTTCATGTTTACTAAATTATCTCCTCCAATATCTAGGAAAGTGAGTCTGGATATATCATAGGATGTTCTCAACTTACTGAAGCAGTATACTACAGTGGATAACATAATTAGCTTTATAATCAGTTATAAGTTGCTCAGTTTCTCTAAGCTTGAGTTTCTTATTCTGTAAGACAGGGATAAAAATGATATCTACCTAGTGAGACAGTAAATATAAAACACATAATATAATGCCTGGCACATAGTAAATGCTCAGTAAAAGCTAGTTGTTACTTTTATTATTGAGTAAGAGACTTGTTGCACATTTTGAGTAATTTCAGTATATGCTTGAATTTTACCATCTCCTTCTCCAGTTAAGTAACTTACTGATCTATAAGTGTTGATAGGCTAATTTAACTAACTTTCAAAGAAAAAGAAACTGTTTTAGAAGGCAATATTTCTACTAATATCAAAGTTAAAAGTATGGACACTATTATAGAAAAGGCAGCAAAGACTTGGGTTTCATACACCATAGTCTATAAAATTAGAACCTATGATTTTATAGTGTAAAGATCAAGCCAATTTTTTTTCTTAGTTGGCCAGAAAAAGCAAACTCTCATTTCTAAAAATACTCATGATTTCTTCACAAAGAAGTCATCCTGCAACAAAATACCCTATTATTATAGAAAGCAAGAATAGGATAGTATGTCATCAATAAGACTATAAAAATGAAGCAGTGTCTGAGCCAAGGAAAAAATTTCTCTGGAAAAATAAATGAGCAGAGGTCTTTTCTCCAAATTTAATTGAGATTGAGAGTTTGTTTTGTCATCATTTATTTGATACTCCCAAGTAGGTAATAACCATTTCCTAAGAAAATTACAAATGACCTTTTAATTAAGAAAAATGCTTTATTTATTTGCTTTGTTTAGAAAAGACAACAAAATTTGTAAAAGAACCATAAATAAGGAATAAAATTTGACACGTAAGAACAGCAAATATATAGTCTTTCTAGTATTCATTTTATATTTAAATTCATTCCAGTTTTTAAAAAGCATTACAAAAGAAGTTGAAGTCAGAGTAGCCAACCCAGCCTGCCCTAACTCCTGCCACAAACTCAAGACATATATATACTATGAATTTTATGAATTTAAGGAATACATAGGCTATGAATTTGGCTTTCTATGATGCAACCATTCCATTGCGCAATCACAGGGAAAAATAGAACACAAATCAAACCAAACCAAACCAAACCAAACCACGATAGTGATGTGGTAATCTTGTAAACCTACAAACTTTATCACTGAATCAGATTTCCCTTTGCTGATGAGATTCAAAACAAGAAACAGAAAACAGGCTTTACATTTAGATCAAAAAGGACAACTTTTCTTTCTAATTAATCAAATGTATCACTGAAATTTACAAAAGGGAAGTATTCTAAAGATTGAGTATCTTTTGTTCTCAAACTCTTCATACACCACATACAAGTTATTATATATAACAAACCATGGAAAGAATGTAGTGTGTGTGTATGTATATATTTTTTATATATATAAAAAATTTAACAAATTCCAGTTTACTCCAGTTTTTAAACAGTATTACAAAAGAAGTTAAAGTCAGAGTAGCCAACTATACATTGTATGTGTATGTGTATGCACATATATATATTATATATATATATACATGCATACACACACACACTGCATTCTTTCCATGGTAAAATAAAATCAGCAATTATATAGTAGCTCAAAGCCTCTGAATAATTTAAGACTACAAAAATGACTATTCAGAAGAAATTACAGGGAAAAATTTAGGTAGGCAATGTAATTTAGTAAGAACCTTGGTTAAGAGAAAGTGAAAGAGATAAATTGTAACTTCCTATTTTATTGCTATTCTCAAGACAAAATCTCTAAAGATTTTATTTCTCATAGGAATATCATTTTAAAAAGGTATATGAAAAAACTAAATAATCTGCAAACCACAGAGACACAAATGATCACTGACAGTCAAATACAGAAGACTTTTTTTTCCTGAAGGACTGAATAAAAAGGGAATTATAACCTTGAGAAATAAAAGTTATATCAGATGGATTCCATGAATTTTATAATAGTGTGCAGCAGAGGGAAGGAAGAACACAAGAAACAAATATACTTCATATCAAAGAGTCGTTTCCTAGATGTTTTTATTCAGATTAACTGGGATAACTTTGTCCTATTAAACACTTTACTATCCGTTTA
Source organism: Homo sapiens (assembly GCF_000001405.40). NCBI lineage: Eukaryota > Metazoa > Chordata > Mammalia > Primates > Hominidae > Homo > Homo sapiens. The sequence continues at coordinate 121,976,184 of NC_000005.10, read as the reverse complement.
AAAGGAAGAAAGGCTGAGAATCTTTGATAACTTAACTCAATTAAAATAGTTAGAGAGTTTTATTTCTCTTTTACTTAATTCAAAACTTGAAAGTTATACCAAAATATAATAGGCAAACATGCATGCAAAATGACCCTGCAATTAAGAAAATTGCTGGGACCAAATGTTGTTTTTAAGTTCTACAGTAAAACAGTCTCCCAGACATTTAATGTCATGTCATTTGGTAAATGAAAGTTTCCTCAAAGTAAGAGCAGCAAGAAGACCTAAAAATTATGCTAGTGAAGAGTCTGACTGAAAAAAAAAACAAAAATATGGGATCACATTGGTCTAACACTAATTTTATTTGAAGTTACTACAGAACTGAATAAAATGCCGATACCAATACATAAAAATTTATTGAGCTGGCAACAAGGAAAGCATGATGTCAGCCACCAATATCACCATCCACATTCCCAAATAGCATGAAGACTTTAATTCTTGAACTGACTTCGTGCTAAAGTTACAGTAAAAATAAAAACCTGAGGCAGGAGGCATTATTAAACATAGATGAATTTAGTTTGGCACAATTTTGACTCAAATTAGCCTAGCACTTTAACAAATTCAGTCAAAAACAGAAAAATGCAAGCTTAAATGTTACAATTTTCTAAATGTGCTACATTCTTCACCAAACAGACTGATACAAGATGTCTTACGCAACTCTCGGGAATATTCAAATAAGCAATACCACACACAAACAAAATGCAGGATAACAGGATACTCAGAAACATACACACATACACACCCACACAAGTCCTTACCTTCATGGCATGGATTTCTTCAAGCAATCTTTGCGCCCGTCTTTGGTTTTTTAACAGTGCATCTTCAGTACCCCTGCAAAAAATACATTACGATATGTAGCCAGGCAAAGCATTAATTTTAGACTTATAGTGTAATGGATAATCACTTCATTTCTTTTTAGAAAAGCGTAATAAATCTCTAAATAACAAACACGCCACTATCCTACACTGTCCATTTCCCCCACTCCCAAAACACACCTCAATTTACTAACCAAACCCATATGTTGGAAAATGGCAAAAATAAGTACTGTCTTGCCATTGTATTAATGACTATTACTTTTGATAGTTTGCCTTCTCTAGTTCCTTAATAACACTTTTTTAAATCAATCAATCGTACATTGTATTTAATGTAATATAAATGTCATAATTTACAATTAGAGTTTGACTATAATTTTATCAAATGAAAATTTGCTCTCTGGCATTTAAGGAAAAAATAAAGAAGGGCTATATTCTGACATATTTATGAAAGAATAGGAAATTAATCAGGAACAAAACATACTTGAAGACTAAGTATTCATGCTTACATCATAAAAAGAACTATAAATAAAATACTTTTTCACTAACACTAGTGATACTGAAAATACAAAATATTGTATTTTTCCAAAAAATTACATGGAACACAATGTTCTAATAAACACTTTCATAAGGTACTGAAGATTTCAAATTACTTAGCAATTCAAGAAAAAATGTGATATAAAATCTTCAAAACTGATTCTTAAGGTATTACTAGATTTGTTAAGCTGTATCAGTATCTTAAAATAACTTCTGATAACACAAAACACACAAGCCCAAGGGAATTTCATTCTAAAAAGACCAAAAGAGAGTTTTGCAAAAGCAGCAAAAAAATTCATCCTGTATCTTGAGCAATGATGGTCCAAACCATAGAAGGGCATGCTGACACAGCACATTCTATCTCACTCACATCATCTCCGCATACAAAACAAAAATGGTGTATAAGACATTTAATTACTTCTCTATATCCCACCCTAAACATTTTAAAGTATCAAATAAAAACAACTTTTGACATTTTATTAGTCACAAGATCATTACTTTAAATGACTAACTTTTTTGACTTCAGTCGGCCAACACTCCTGACAAGTTTTCGGATAACTAAAACTCGAATTCTCTTCACTTCTTTTCTCATCTTCACAACCTTTGAAGAATAAAGCAATAATTAGAAGAAAGGCACTTACTTCAGGAACAAACACACTTTATTTTGAGTCTTAATATTTGAGACTTAGTCTACCACTTTAACTACTTTTATTGTCTAACTATATTCGTAGCTTGATGAAATCAAACCTCTTCCATAAATAGTGAAGGAATAAATCAACAGTCTAAAAATGTGTCTGAGAGCTTAAGAAAAACAAGTTATAATTTTTTAAAAAGTCACAGTATTACCCGAGATAAGTATTTTAATGTTACACTTATATCTTGCTGGGCTTGGAATATAATAAACAGTGAGTTCCCTGAAATCACAGCCTGTCATATTCATCTTTGTATTCCCACCGTTAAAACAAAGCCTCACTCATAATGGTAGGAATTTAATTTGTTGAATGACTATTTTAATTAGCAAATTAGCTTTTAATTAGCAATTTATTTTACATATTTATAAAACAAATCTTTCATTATTTTTAGTAACAAATTATTTCAAGTATAATTTTAAAAGAAGATCCACAAACACAAGGGCATTGTGTGCAAGCATATGTGCATGTAAACATACATGCCCCCCCCCCACACACACATGCACACACATACAAATACATAATTTAAATCACCCTACTGGAGAACAATGTTTAACTCTAAGAACAAAAAGCAGAGCTATAGGCCAAAAAATGGAAATTATAGTTATAAAAAAAATACACATTATAACAGCTTTCAGTGCAATGGCATGTAATTACGGAGTTTATATTTCATCTATCAGTTACGAGGCATACATCTTAAAAATTACTCCTGGAATGTCCTTCTTCCCCTTCTTCACTTTAGGAACTATATAAAATTCAGGTTCAGATATAGTCATTCCAGTGATACCTTCAATGACTTCTTCAGTTAAGGATAACCACTCCATCCCTGGGGTCCCCACTATACAGATTCTGTCATTAAAGCATCTACCTCACTGCACTGTTACTAATGGCTCATGTGGCTGTCTTTTTCTATAGACAGCAAGCTCCTAGAAAACAGGAGTCTTGTAATATTTATATAGTGTTTTCTTTGCCCTGCAAGAGTGCCTGGCACAAAAAATTCCTCAAATTCTTCTTGCCAAAATAACATTATCAACATCATCCTGTTTCTTTAAGGCTCTTCCATTTAATTAATATCTTCTCTTACCCTTCATGTCATTCACTCCCTTATTCACTGAAGATATTAGCAACCAACTTACAATTTCTTTACACCCTAAGTTCTGCCATCATTCTGTGTAACTTGCATGTCCACTTGAATAGCCCATCTGATAATTATATCTTCACTTCTTTACTTATTTTCTAAAGACCTAATCTATTCTATCTCAGCCATCCACTTCCATGGCCACACTGTCAACCTTGTCATCACTCATAATATTCAATTTCTAAAACCATTAATTCAAATATTCCACACTGTGATCACAACCTCTATCAGCTTGCTTGTTCAACTCCACCCACCACAACCATCTTTGACTTCATTAGGACCACCAATCCACTGACTCCTACACTTAATGTTCCTCTTTTTATGCAGTTTAGATACATGATAACATCTGCCAATTTCTTAAACTCCTGCCCCTCTGGTGAGGAAACCGTAGTCCTGAATGAAAAAAACACTCTGAGTTCTTCATTGTCATATGCCAACAGCAAATACTTGTAACATTCTGTCTACTATAAATTCATCATAATTAACCTCAAGTGGACCCCCATTCTTCCTAGCCATCCTGTATTTTTCTGTTCAGTTCACTCTACAATGCCTGTTTTAAGCTTTTGCCTACTCTCCTAAATCCTCTAGTCTCCGTCCTCCTTTCTCTCTTTCAATCGTGTGGAGAAAATAATTATCAGTTGGGAACCATCATTTTTCTACTACCATGAATGCAAATGTACTTCCATGACCCATCTTCCTTTACGAATAAAGTTACAATATAAGAAATACCACTACACATATCTGAGTTTATCTTTTAACTGTCTTTTAGAGCCCATTCTCTTCTGCCTTCCTAGAACCTCTACTATGGATTATCCCTTTACCATAGCATTGTCATTCTCTTCCTTTTAATGCATTTGTTTCCCACTGATTTTTAAACATGATTGAGTCATTTTCATTAGAGACTAAATAAACATCCTCATTACATGGTTCACTAGGACCACTCCCTCTTCAGTTGTGTGGAGAACTAAGCTTTTAGAAAGAGACGTCCAAACTCAGTATCTCTATTTCTGCATGCCACACAAATCCAGTTTGATTTTCATCCTCATCAGTCTACTAAAAGATGTCACTAAGGACACCAATGAATTCCAAAAAAGCCCCTGAAATCCAATGGAAATTTGACATTTTTGACCACTTTCTCTTTCTTCAAACATTCTTCCCTTAGTTTTCCAAGATAGTTTTCTTCTTTCCTTTCTACTCACTCTATTTTGATCTTCTTTGAAAATTCATCCACCTCTACCCAGTCATAAAATGTTAAGAGTTGAGGGGGCAGTCCCAAGCCAGTGTTTCTTTTCACAATACATTGTTTAGCCTTAAGAGATCTTATGTGTGCATATTTAATTTGCCACCTAAACAAAGAGGAGTCAAACATTTTACCTTCAGCTGAGATCACTCCTTTTAGCTTCAAGCCCAAATGTGCAACTTCCTGCTTGACATTTCTTTCTGAGTGCGCTCAAAATCACCTCAAATTCACACCTAAATTCATGTTCTTCACCTCCAATAAAACCCTTCCCTTCTTTTGTGGGGAGGGGGGGTTTCATATTTCAGAGAATGGAACAATCCTTTTAGTTATACACCTAAAGGTCTTTAGAGGTAGCTCTCTTAATCCTTCACAATGAATCTCCAAGTCCTATTAATCTTAAATCCTAATTATCTTTCAAATTGTACCACTTTTTTCCCTATCTTGACCTTTTTGCAATCTTGGCTGAGTTACTGTTAACCGGTTTCTCCACACCTGTTCTTCTTGCCTCTCTCCAATCAGTTATCCACAATGCCATCGCAATAAAATTTTTTAAAGTATATATCCAATGTCGTACCTTTAAGTAACTCTCTTTAACGGTGTCCAATTGCTCTCAGAAGAATCACATTGGCCTTTCAGTCCCCTGTCCTCACCATGCTCACGTCTACTACAAAGCCTTTACACCTACCATTTCCACTGGTCAGAATGTTCTTTTTTCCCATGTCAACTTGTTAACATCTATTCATCCTGATTTTGGACCAATTGTCATTTCTGTGAAGTCTTTTCTGGCTTCCCTGAGAGGGTCACAAGTACCTTTAATTGGTAACTTAATACTTTACTTTTAATCTGATTATTTTTAATGTGTCTTTCCCCAGTAGGTTATAAATTCTGTGAAGTTGATCAAGTATCTGGTTTTATTCAACACTGCATCTTAACACCTAACATAGTGCATGGCACACAGTATGTGTCCAATAAATATTGGTTAAATAAATGACCAGAAATGTAGCAATACACACTGTCTATTCACTGTTTCAAATGCATAATATATTTTAAAAATGCACAGTAATCAGGTTTCTTTCCTGCTAGATAAGTTAACCTCTTAGGAATTTGTTTCAAAGACCCATTTAGAAAAAAAAATCATACTTTGCATAAATGAAAAGGCACACAGACAAGGCTTAAGGAAAAAAAAAAAGAACGGCCACGTTGCATAAACAGAATTATACAGTGTCATGATACATTTTTTAAAGTTAAGTTATTCATAAAATAAACTAATAGCAAGCGATGAACTGCACATTAAAATATATTAACAAATGTTTCTAATTGCTGAACTTTGCAGGTGCATGAGATGATAATATACCATTTGCTAACCACTGTTAACTAAACTAATAAACTGCAGTGGGTAGAGTTGGTCCTTGGTTACATTCCAATCATAACAAAGCTCGTCTCCAATTTTAAAATTCCAATTTAAGAAATACTATGTTTGCCATGAATGGATAAGGGAATTCTAAAAGCAAAAGGAATACCTCATATACTTAAGACTTAGGTTTCCCCAAGCACTTAGATTTTTGCAAAACTGATGACAAATATAGCCTTTAAGTTAGGATTTAAAAGGCTGCCAATTTATTTGTCACCCAGGAATTGTAAAGTTGGCTGACAACCCAGAAGTCAATGAACAGGCCTAACACACCAATACTGCCAGAAGTCCAAGTGCACTGCTTAATGGCAGTACATTTTGGCAAAACTCTAACCAAAAGCAAGAACTATCATTGTTAGAATTGTAAAAACAGTATGATTATTGTTTGGGACGGAAAGAACAGAGGAATAGTGTGAGCACAGAGAAAACAGAGGCATAGAAATGTAAATAAAATATGCTGACACAGAAGAAAGAAAATGAAAGACAAGTAGAAGGAAGGGGTCTGAAGACAGAAATTGAAGGGAAAATCTGAGGCCATCACCAACAAGACTGATTAAGCCAAGCCAAGGGTCTTCCAAACAGCAAGAGAATGCATTTAAGACAATCTATAAGGTCTGAAGAAAAAGAATTAAGACTTACATACCCAGCGAATATATATGTACTGACAGTGAAGTATCGCCTAGAAATTAGACATACAGAAGCCTTTAAAGTTAACCTGGCAAAATCTAAACATAGGGCATCTCTTGCATAGACAGTATAAAAATACTATAAATAAAGTGGAAGTCTAATATAGCTATTTGAGAAAAGACCATGTGAGATGACTCAGAAGAGTCAACATAAACACAGGAAAGGAAACCACAGAGAGGCAAAAGTTGGCAGTGTCCAGCTCAAGGAAATTCCAAAGAAAGGGTTCCCCAGCTCAGAGACTTGAGAAATCTAATCTGTTCTGGAATAACTCAATTATGGGAACAGATGCATCACAGCTCAACATGAATCATGCAACTAAAACCCCTTTCTGTATTTCTACATACCAAGCAGCTGATGGTCAGTATACAGGAAAAGAATGTGTTTTACAATGTGAGCATTTATTACGCATATTAGACACGTTTTTTAATAAACTAGCTTTCTCATTCACACAATCTCTTATACATTTAGGTTTAACATGAATTTGCTTTTTAGAGAATGAGCTCTATTTCTGGGGTGACAATGACGGCAAGTTTCTGATATGCAAAGCAGACAGGAGACTTTGGTCCAAAGACAAAATTAAATGCTACTTGAATTGACTTTTGGCTGGCTATGTGATAGTTGGCCAACCAGTTAGCCTCTGAAAATTCACCAACTTTACCATGTTTTTGAGTTAGCCTGTAACAAAAATCTATAGTTATTAGAAAATAGTTATTCTAGGAGCTAGTATTGTTCCAGGGGAACTTGCAGTGTTAAGAAAGTGTTTCTAAGAATACTAATACTTCTGCTTATTCATTAATTACCTATCAGATTAGTAAATACAAAAAAACTACGACAACAAATTCTTTGTATGAAGTTGGAGGAAACAGACAAATACACTGCTGGTAGAAATGCAAACTGATTTACTCCTTTGGGGGAAACCATGCTGTACTTTAACAAAAGTCCTACTTCTAGGAATCTATTCAGAAGACACATTCTCAACAATAGGAAAAGGCTACACACAAGATTATTCATTGCATCATTTTAACAAAATGTAGCATGAGAGAGAAAATAACGTATATAAATAAAGCATATAGCAATGTAGTATTTTAAATCAATGCAAAAGATCTGTAGGTATTACATGGATAAAACCTGAAAAGTAACATTTGGTGAATAAAATACAGTAGTCCCCCCCACCAACAATTTTGTTGTCAGCAGTTTCAGTTACCTGCGGTTAGCCAAAATTCCAAATATAAATAACTCATAAATTTTAAATTGTGCACCACTCTGAGTAGCATAATGAAATCTCTCACTGTACTACTCCATCCCACATGGGATGTAAATCATACATCCAGTGTATTTCTGCTGTATCCGTTACCTGCCCATTACTGTACAGAAAATAATAATAATAATAATAATAATAATAATAATAATGACAGAGTTTGGTACTATCTGAGGTTTTAAGCATACACTGGGGGTCTTGGAACATAACCCCCATGGATAAAGGGAGACTACTACAATTTATAATTTGTAAAACAATATGCAGTTTAAAAGTATACAACACAATACTATACACTGGGTATAGATACGTATGTTACTAAAATTGTGAAAAATATATAAGAGAAAAACACACACCAAGAGGAATAATTACCTCTGAGGTAGAAAAGAAGATGGGTGGAATTAAATATTAAGATATAGCAAAACACTGACATTTCCTAAACATAGGAAGTAGATTATAAGAAGATCTGTTACATTATTTTCCATACGTTTGAAGTAATTCATAGTTAACAAAATTATTGGGTTTCTTGTCTTTGTTCGAAACAAGGTCTGGCTCTATTGCCCAGGCAGGAGAGTAGTTGTGTGATCTCGACTCATCACAACCTCCGTCCCCCTCCCGGGCTCAAGCCATCTTCCCACCTTAGCCTCCCAAGTAGCTGGGACTACAGGTACGTACTACCATGTTTGGCTAATTTTTCTGTATTTTTTGTAGAGACGGGGTTTCACCATGTCGCCCAGGCTGGTCTCAAACTCGTGAGCTCAAGTGATCTGCCGGCCTCAGCCTCCCAAAGTGCTGGGATTATAGAGTGAGGCACTGCACCTGGCCAAAATTATTTTTGTATGAAGAGGACCCTAATTTTATCATATGGATGATAACTTATTGTTGATTTTACTTTTTATTTCTGATGAGCAACAATTTTTTAAAATACCTAGAGTGCTTAGTGATTATCTACGATTTAACCATTATTGGGCATATGCTGCCACCTAGCAAAACTTCCCAGAATAGTTTAATAACTAAACACAAATTGGTTCTTACGGAAATGCCCTAATTTAATATTTCAGAAAAAAATTATTAAAAAGTACTATGCACCTAATCACGACACAAGCGTTTTGTAACTTCATAAGCGCATACAAACGTGGTTCTTGACATTCTTATGTTTTACAATATGTGGAGGAAACTCATTTTGTTCTTTGGCACTTTAGTTTCTACCTTTACTGTCTTACATGAAATGAAAAGCAATTTTCTAATGGGCTTAATGGTAATTTGCTATCAAACAATAAAATAGGCCAGGCGTGGTGGCTCATGCCTGCAATCCCAGCACTCTGGGAGGCTGAGGCAGGCGGATCACGAGGTCAGGAGATCGAGACCATCCTGGCTAACACGGTGAAACCCTGTCTCTACTAAAAATACAAAAAAAAAAAAAAAAAAAATTAGCTGGGCGTGATGGTGGACGCCTGTAGTCCCAGCTAGTCGGGAGGCTGAGGCAGAAGAATGGCGTGAACCCAGGAGGTGGAGCTTTCAGTGAGCCAAGATCCTGCCACTGCACTCCAGCCTGGGCGACAGAGCGAGACTCCGTCTCAAAAAAAAAAATAAAAAATAAAAAATAAAAAAAAATAAAATGTCAGTTGTACATATAGGCCGTTGGCCTTCCTATGAAATTAAAGCACTCCATCAGATTGCTACACCTCCTAAATCTGATTTTTACATATCACTGCTGCCTAAATTTTAGAAAACAGATGACTTGAGAAAATCTAGCTCTAGTTTTGCAAATTATTTACGCACTAAATGCTATGGCACTGTTGTTTTCAATTGTGCATTTCTCCTCTAGTTCTAATGGAAAGGGAGGAAAAAAAGCATTTAGGAGATTTTCCCTCTCATTTGAACATTAGTTGACAGTTATGCTATCCATGCTTTCATCTGCCCATTATATACCTACTTCTTATTACCTGTAGACAAGGTACTGTGCTGGAGGTTAGGGAAGCTGCTATAAAAGCAATCAAAAATTCTCTCTTCAAAGTACCAAAAATATGCAATAAATAATCATCAGGATAGAGTAAAAAGTGATGGTTTATTTTTTAGAAGAGTAAAGATAAATTTTTACTTTACTTCGCAAGAATAACAACAAACTTTAATCTTAATCTCTTTACAACATACTTAGTATTGGAAGTTCTGGCCGGGGTAATCAGGCAAGAGAAAGAAATAAAGCGTATTCAAATAGGAAGAGAGGAAGTCAAACTGTCTCTATTTGCAGAAGACATGACTGTATATCTAGAAAACCCCATTGTTTCAGCCCCAAATCTCCTTAAGCTGATAAGCAATTTCAGCAAAGTCTCAGGATACAAAATCAATGTGCAAAAATCACAAGCATTCCCATACACCAATAATAGACAAACAGAGAGCCAAATCATGAGTGAACTCCCGATTCACAATTGCACAAAGAGAATAAAATGCCTAGAAATACAACTTACAGGGATGTGAAGGACCTCTTCAAGAACTACAAACCACTGTTCAAGGAAATAAGAGAGGACACATACAAATGGAAAAACATTCCATGCTCATAGATAGGAAGAATCAATATCGTGAAAACAGCCATACTGCCCAAAGTAATTTATAGATTTAAAGCTATCCCCATCAAGCTACCATTGACTTTCTTCACAGAATTGGAAAAAACTACTTTAAAGTTCATATGGAATCAAAAAAGAGCCTGCATAGCCAAGACAATCCTAAGTAAAAGGGACAAAGCTGGAGGCATCATGCTACCTGACTTCAAACTATAATACAAGGCTATAGTAACCAAAACAGCATGGTACTGGTACCAAAACAGATATATAGACCAATGGAACAGAACAGAGGCCTCAGAAACAACACCACACATCTACAAACATCTGATCTTTGACAAACCTGACAAAAACAAGCAATGGGGAAATGATTCCCTATTTAATAGATGGTGTTGGGAAAACTGGGTAGCCATATGCAGAAAACTGAAACTGGACCCCTTCCTTACACCTTATACAAAAATTAACTCAAGATGGATTAAAGACTTAAACGTCAGACCTAAAACCATAAAAACCCTAGAAGAAAACCTAGGCAATACCATTCAGGACTGAGGCATGGACAAAGACTACATGACTAAAACACCAAAAGCAATGGCAACAAAAGCCAAAAATGACAAATGGGATCTAATTAAACTAAAGAGCTTCTTCACAGCAAAAGCAACTATCATCAGAGTGAACATGCAACCTACAGAATGGGAGAAAATTTTTGCAATCTATCCATCGGACAAAGGGTTAATATCCAAAATCTACAAAGAACTTAAACAAATTTACAAGAAAAAAACAACCCCATCAAAAAGTGGGCGAAGGACATGAACAGACACTTCTCAAAAGAAGTCATTTATGCAGCCAACAAATATATGAAAAAATGCTCATCACCAGTGGTCATTAGAGATATGCAAATCCAAACCACAATGAGATACCATCTCATGCCAGTTAGAATGGCGATCATTAAAAAGTCAGGAAACAACAGATGCTGGAGAGGATGTGAAGAAACAGGAATGCTTTTACACTGTTGGTGGGAGTGTAAATTAGTTCAACCATAGTGGAAGACAGTGTGGTGATTCCTCAAGGATCTAGCAATAGAAATACCATTTGACCCAGCAATCCCATTATTGGCTATATACCTAAGGATTATAAATCATTCTACTACAAAGGCACATGCACATGTATGTTTATTGTGGCACTGTTTACAACAGCAAAGACTTTGAACCAACCCAAATGCCCATCAATGATAGACTGGATAATGAAAATGCGGCACATATACACCATGGAATACTATGCAGCCATAAAAAATGATGAGTTCATGTCCTTTGCAGGGACATGGATGATGCTGGAAACCATCATTCTCTGCAAAGCAACACAAGAACAGAAAACCAAACACTGCATGTTCTCACTCATAAGTTTGAGTTGAACAATGAGAACACATGGACACAGGGAAGGGAACATCACACACCAAGGCCTGTCGGGTGGGGGGAAAGGGGGAGGGATAGCATTAGGAGAAATACCTAATGTAGACGACAGGTTAATGGGTGCAGTAAACCACCATGGCACATGTATACCTATGTAACAAACTTGCACGTTCTGCACATGTACCCCAGAACTTAAAGTATACATATAAAAAAAAAAGATTAAAGTTTGAGAAGAGTCAATGTAAGTAGTTGGGAAGCTAGTACAGTAGCTGTACTAGGATTCTAGTGGTGATGGAAAAGAATTGAAAAGATTGAAAGCGAATTCAAATTATTTTTCAGATACATTTCCTCCTTGAAGAAGTTAATTCATTTCTTCTGCCTATTTTCTGAGATGGTTTCTTTTAATTTCTATGAGGTATTTCCTATTAAGGGCATTAGCCCTTTGTCATATCTGCTGTATTTTTTTTTTCTAGTTGGTTGTCATTTCTTTTCTTTGGTAGGTTATTCAATTTTTATGTAGATAAATCTCTCTTTCCTTTTGTGGGTTTTTTTTCCCACTAATTTTAAATTATAATATCCTCCATCATCTCCACTTTTTTCTGTCCTTTTTATCTCCTTCACATTAGAACACACTAGACTTCAGTGGTGGATGTGTGTAGTTCCTGCTTTCACAAATTCATGTAATCACCTAGTAAACATATGTGCTACACATGATAGACACATAAACACAGGAAGACAGAAACAGTTACATAAGTGTTTCCAGAGGAGAAAGCAATCTGGGTGCACAAAGAACAGACACCTAACCCAGACCGAGAGGAGTTAATGAAGGTTTCCTAAAGGTCAAATTTTAACTGTTTTGAAGAAGAACAAAAGTTAGCTAAGTGTGAAAAGAGTCTTTAATGACTCATCCCCTGTCATTTCCATCATCAAAGTCATTACAAAATTTGATATGAAGCTCCCTGGGGTTGAAATCCCAGGGACATTACTCTGATCTTTCATACATCACAGGTAACCTAATGCAAAATAGCCCACCAAACGCTTTCTGGCACAAAGCACAAGCTTAATGTATGTTTATGAGTAAATAGTAACTACTTTCAGCTTCCCTCTTCAGCATATCCTGTACTCCACTGTCAACTGAAATCCTGACTCGTTAATCTGGCAGCAGAGAATATATTTCAGTTTTATTTCCTTCTTCATCTCACAAGTTCCCATCAGTGAAGAGTTACTTATCCCTGTATTACCCACGGGTTCTTCTGCTACTAGCCCTTTCCTGCTTATACCAGTCCCTCTGCCTGGAATGACTTCTTCCCCTTTCCTGAATCACTGACTGCAATTCCTGTGCAAGATCCCTAAAGACCAAGGACAAGTATCACCCATTTCATTTTGCCGCCTTTGGAAACTTTTCTGCATTACTAGGTTTTGGAGGCATTCTTCACACATTGTTCTGTAACACAGGTGAGTGTTGCTTAGCTCTCTTACTTGAGTATAGGTTACTAGAAAATATGAAATATCCCTTACACTACTGTGTGTAATCTAAACAGTGACTTGCTCATAAACGGGATAAAGAATTTCCTTTCTGTATCTAACTGTGAGGTCCTTACTCGATCCTTATGTTTCCAGCTTACTTTAAGACTTTGGATGACATTATTTTGTTGAATAGAAGCAGAAACCAGAGGGGGATAAGTGGTAGAAATGGTATTTTGTCGACACCGCACACTATGGAAGTGACGGTGGTGAGAACAAATGTCTGATGAGAATGGACTGAAAAAGCAGAAAAAAGAATTGAGGATAGCAAGTATAAACAGCTCTTTATTGAAGTTCTGCTGTAAACGGAAGCAAAGAAATAGGACACTAACTGGAAGAGGAAACGAAGTACTGAGCATACAGTCTCATTCAAGACCACCAATTTCTTAGAAGCTACAGCTCTTACTTTCTCTCTTTCATTTTCGACAGGCAATAAAGAGCAGGTAATGTGTACTGAAAGTTTATTAAGGGTCAGGCACTTGCAAATACTTTACGTATCTCAGTTAATCTCACAACCCTGGGACGAACTATCTTGAGTTCCGCTTTACAGACGAGAATATTGAACGTACAGGCTAAAGGTTCTTCCCAAAGTCCCACAGACATAAATTCGTGGGGCCTGACACATGTCTCTCACTTTAGTCACCTGGAGACCGAAAAGGGAAATTACCGGTTGCCAAACTCCAAGTTGCGGGAAACCCGCCTGGGCCCACCACGAAAGTTCCTCCAACCGCACCCTCTATGCCCGCCTCCGACCACGCGTCTCAAAAGAGCTGGTTTTGAGGACCCTTAAAGTCAGCCCCATAGGTTCCTCGGCGCTCACCTCGTTATTGAGGTTCAGAGTTCCCGGCTGAGCCATGGTAGATGAAGGAATATGATCCGCCGCTGCCTGCACGTGAACCGGTCTCTCAGACCGCGGCTGCGTCGCCACGCCCCTCAACGGAAGCCTCTTCTGTCCAAAACTCATCCGCCTTCTGCTCTAGCTGCCGCCTGGGAACAAGAAACATTGACGCTTGGAAGGGAAAACCGGAACTGAGACAGAACAACTACCGGCGCAGAGGGCTACGCAACGGAATTGCGCGTTCCTATGGAAACCAGACGGGGGCTGGTAGCTGGGCAACGTCTAGTTTTTCAAGATTCGGTTTGTGTGTGTGTGTGTGTGTGTGTGTGTGTGTGTGTGTGTGTGTGTGTGTTCCCTTGGTACACTGCGCTCGCATTGTACCGGCCTTGGTTTTTCTCTCTAATGGCTAGGGGGGCGCTGAACGGCGGTGAAAGAGCTCTTCTGAAATGATCACTTGAATGAACGATTTTTTGCTTCCATTTTTTTAAATCTAGTATTTGTGAAGATTTCTGCTTTTCTAACAAGCACACCTTTTTAAATCCTCGCAGTTTTTTGTTACAACCTGACATTATAGCTGAGGTGCGGACATTTTTTTCCTGCACACTATAGAAGGGTTTAAATTTAGGGAATAAACATTTGAAGCAAAACCAGGATACACATTTGGTACTGCCTGTGGGAATGGCTGTTTATTAGCCGGCAAGCATAGGAGACGTAAGGGAGTGTGTTTGAATTAGGTAATATATAATTGTCAACACCTTCTAGTATTGACCATTAAAATGTGTCAAATGGTGGTCCAAGAGCTTTACATAAATTAGCTCCAAATCTCCACAGAAATCCAACAAGATAGAAATTATTTTCCTTTTATTAATATTATTTTGTTAGAGACCCAGTCTCTCTTTGTCATCCAGGCTGGTGTGCAGTGGCACAGTCATAGCTCACTGCAGCCTCAAACTCTTGGGCTCAAGCCATCCTCTCACCTCAGCCTTCCAAATAACTAGGACTACAGGAGTGAGCCACCCTACTCTGCTCTGAACTATTATTTTACAGATGTGGAAAGTGACTTCAGAGGCACCAAGTGCCTCGCCCAGAGTCACTTGCCTGGGACTGTCCACTGCTACAGGACTTCAAGTCCAGCTACATAATACCTGGGGTACAGTGCAAAATGAAAATCCAGGCCCCTTTATTCAAAATGCAGGAAAAACGTTTCTTCCGGCGGAGGGTGGTGGCTCATGCCTGTAATCCCAGTACTTTAGGAAGCCTAGGCGGGCGGATCACCTGAGGTCGGGAGTTCGAGACCAGCCTGACCAACGTGGAGAAACCCCGTCTCTACTAAAAATACAAAATTAGCCGACCGTGGTGACGCATGCTTGTAATCCCAGCTACTCGGGAGGCTGAGGCAGGAGAATCACTTGAACCTGGGAGGCGGAGGTTGCCGTGAGCCAAGATCACTCCAGACTGGGCAACAAGAGTGAAACTTCGTCTCAAAAAAAAAAAAAAGTTTCTTCCATAGCGTCTCTTGACTCATCATGGTGTTTGTTAATTTACTATTTAATACGATGCTCCCTAAAGCACAGAGACATTAGGTTGTCAGGGCAGACCCTCAAAGGTGCCTGAGACCCCTGCCCCAAGACTCAGGTAGGAGTGTATACACTGGAGCAAGGTGGCAGCAGTTGCTGGGTGGAGACAGGAGAGCAGGAAACCAGAGAATCCACCTGAGGAGCTTTTGGGGACAGGACCACACATGACCTGAGACAACAAGGCCTTGGCACATGTTCCATTATCCCACTAGACTTCACTTACAAAACTCAAATTCAAAAAGGAAATCACTAATAATTTCAAGACTGTGCCCAAAGCTTAGTTAACCAAGGCCCACTTCTGAGCCTTTGCCGAAGAAACCAGCCTTGTCCAGAACCCATGCTGTTATCTCATAAAACTGAACTCCGCTTAGAATAGCTCTGACTTGGTAAAAGAAATTGGCATTCTTTTAGTTTGGTGCATTATTTGGACACAAATGGATTTAACAGATGACTTCCTGTTGGACCAGTGTTACATGAAGGTAGATTTGCCACTACTAAATAGTACGCTGAATTGTAATTGTTTCCTTTGTCTACCTTCTGTCATTAAAGCTGAACTCCTGGAGTGTAGGAGCTTTTTCAGCTCCAGGTGGGTAGTGTACACTTTGCATATAAATACATACGAAGGAATGTCAAATAATCAAGATAAATAGAGAGCTTTATTGAAAATCTGTCTTCGAATTTGGGAGAAAGGAGTTATTATGATCCCATAATGCTTCAGAAAATGTATTACTAATACAAAATTTGCCTGTAACTCTGAAAAGCTTTGCAGTGTTTTCTCTTGACTACTTCTTTTGCTCCCTAAAATCTCAGTTCTTAAACCACCAGTCTCCTCAGGATCAGCACTTGCTTAGTTGTTTTCCTCCTTAGCCCATGCTGTCTCCCTTAGCTATGATGCTTCCTCTGCTACATCTGCTTGCTCAAGTGCTATTTCTCAAGACCAGGTCAAATTCCATCCATCCCTTTTAATAATTATTTCCACATCCCCAAAGATAAGTTTAATTTTGCTCACCAGTGGGTCATATTTATAGTATTTATGATAGTCTACCAGTGGGTCATTCTTATAGTATTTATGATAGTCTACTTTAATTTGAAATTATTTGTGTACTGGTTATTCTTTTTATGTTAAAAGCTCTCAACAACCTTAGATACTCTTGTTTTTTTTTTTTTTTTGAGACGGAGTCTCGCTCTGTCGCCCAGGCTGGAGTGCAGTGGCGGGATCTCGGCTCACTGCAAGCTCCGCCTCCCGGGTTCACGCCATTCTCCTGCCTCAGCCTCCCAAGTAGCTGGGACTACAGGCGCCCGCCACTACGCCCGGCTAATTTTTTGTATTTTTAGTAGAGACGGGGTTTCACCATTTTAGCCGGGATGGTCTCGATCTCCTGACCTCGTGATCCGCCCGCCTCGGCCTCCCAAAGTGCTGGGATTACAGGCGTGAGCCACCACACCCGGCCGATACTCTTGTTTTTAAAGAGACTAGTATTGTTCCATTTTCACAATATTAATGTGAAATCATTTGTTCCAGATATATCACCTCCAAGTCAATCTTCCTACCTCTTTTGATGCCACAATCTCAAAAATTATTTTGTTTGATAACAAAGGTAGTTCTACTAACTGGCTTTCATTAAGCAATGCCCAATTGATCCAGTAATAATAATGTATTTGTGATAATTAGGTTGAAAGTTTCTCTAGAAAGCAAACTGTCTCCCTGTTTTATTCATGGAGGGCTGACCTGGATCAATTAAATGCTGTCAGATGTATGAAATGACAAAGCTATAATAATCAAAAGCAACTAGTTTGAGACTTTTTTTCTTTTTATTACAGTGCTCCAATTAGTGGAACTAAGGGTCCACAAACACATTCAATAGAGACTCAAGTTTTTCAGTGTCAAGTTCCTCAAGAGGAACTTGTGTTAGTCCCACGGTGTTAGTTGGTTTGGGGTGCCATAATAAAATACCGCAATCTGGATAACTTACACAACACAAATTTATTTAGGATACGTGAAGTCCAAGATCAAGGTACCATCAGGATTAGTTTCTGGTAAGAGCTCTCTTCTTTGCTTGCAGATAGCCACCTTTTTGTGGCCACAACCCCATGTAACCTTTCTGCTGTGCACATGTGGAGAGAGAGCTCTCTGGTGTTTTCCTCTTCTTATAGGGGCACCAATCCTATTGGATTAGAGTCCTACCATTATGACCTTATTTAAACTTAATTACATCCCTACAGATTTTTATCTCTGAATAGCATCATATTGGGGGTTAGGTCTTCAACATATGAATTTGAAGGGCAGGGAAAACAATTCATTTCACAACATCCACTTTCCTTGAGAAATCTTCTGTGATTATATCAAAGTAATCTCTTATCTAACATGCTGGATTACTGCCATTATTCTCATTTTGCACTTTTCTTAAGTTTTATTCATACAATTCTAGATTACAACTAAACATGGATGTTTAGCAAACAGAATTAAGAAACGCATACTCACACATATATGAACAAATGATTTTTGAGAAAGTTTCAAAGGCAATTCTGTGAGGAAAAGTTAGTTTTCTCAACAAACTGTGCCTGAATAATTGGATATCTATATGGAACACACACACGTTCACACACACCACTTTCACCCACATGTAACACCACCTAGAAAAACAACTCAAAATGGTTGAGTTTATATCTAAATGTAAAACCTATAAAACTTCAAGAAGAAATCACAGGACAAAAACTTTGTACTGTGAGCAACTACATGCTAACAAATTGGAAAACTCTGAAGAAAGGATAAATTCCTAGACACATACAGTGTACCAAGATTGAACCATGAAGAAACCCAAAACCTGAATAAACCAATAAGTGATAAAATAGAAGCCTTAATAAAAAGTTTTCCAGCAAAGAAAAGCCTGGGGCTTGACGGCTTCACTGCTGAATTTTACTGTGCACTTAAAGAACTAAGAACAGCCCTACTGAAACTATTCTGAGAAATAAAGAAGAGAATACTTCCAAAGTCATTCTAGGAAGCCAGTATTACTCCAATACTAAAGGCAAAGACACATCTAGAAAAGAAAACTACAGACCAATATCTCTGATGAACATTGATGCAAAAATTCTCAACAAAACACTAGTAAACTGAATTCAACAACACATTAAAACATCATCCATCGTGACAAAGTGAGATTTATCCCTGGGATGCAAGGATGGTTCACCATATGCAAATCAATTGATATGACACATCATATCAACAGAATAAATGACAAAAATATAATTTTAACTGATGCTGAGGAAACATTTGATAAAATTTAACATTCATTCACAATAAAAACTCAACAGAGTATACAAAGAACATATCTCAACATAATTAAAGCCACATATGACAGAAACAGTATCATGATTGGTGAAAACCTGAAAGCCTTTCTGCTAAGATCTAGAACAAGACAAGGATGCTCACTTTAACCACTGTTATTAAACATAGTGATGAAAGTCTTAGCTAGAGCAATCAGACAAGAGAAAGAAATAAAGGGCATCTAAATTGGAAAGAAAGTAAAATTATCCTAGTTTTGCAGATTATATGATCTTATATTTGAAAAAACAACATCTCCACCAAAAAGCTATTAGAACTGATAAATTGATTAAAGTTACAGGATACAAAATCAGCATACAAAAATCAGCAGCATTTCTGTGTTCAGTGAACCATGTGAAAAATCAAGAAAGTAATCCCACTTATAATAGCTACAAATAAAATTAAATACCTAGGTATAAACTTAACCAAAGAAGTGAAAGATCTCTACAGTGAAAACTATAATGCAAAAAAAACTATGATGCAAGAAATTGAAGAGGACACACACAAAAATGGAAAGATATTCCATGTTTATGAATTGGAAGTATCAATATTTTTTAAATGTCCATACTACCCAAAGCAACCTACAGATCCAATGCAATCCTACCAAAATATCAATGACATTTTTCACAGAAATAGAAAAAACATCCTAAAATTTATATGGAACCACAAAAGACCCAGAATAGCCATAGCTAGCCTAAGCAAAAGACCAAAACTGGAGGAATCACATTATCTGGCTTCAAATTATTCTACAGAGCGATAGAAAGCAAAATAACATGGTACTGGCACAGAAATAGACACACAGACCAATGGAATAGAGTAGAGAACCCAGAAGTAATTCACACATTTACAGTGAACTCAATTTTTACAAAGGTGCCAAGCACATGCATTAGGAAAAGGACATTTTCTTGAATAAATGTGCTGGGAAACTGGATATTTATATGCAGAATAATGAAACTAGACCCCCATCTCTCACCATATATAAAAATCAAATAAAAATGGATTAAAGACTTAAATCTAAGACCTGAATCTATGAAACTATTAAAAGAAAACTTTGGGGAAGCTCTCCAGGACATTGGTCTGAACGAAGATTTATTGAGTAATAGTCAACAAGCACAGTCAACCAAAGCAAAAGTGGACAAATGGGATCACATCAAGTTAAAACGCTTCCACACAACAAAGGAAACAATCAACACAGTGAAAAGAAAACTCACAGAATGGGAGAAAATATTTGGGAACTATTCATCTGACGAAGGATTAATAATCAGACTATATAAGAAGCCCCAACAACTTAGTAGAAAAAAATCTAATAATCTGATTCAAAAATGAGCAAAATATCTGAATAGATATTTCTCAAAAAAGACATAAAAATGGCAAACAAGTAAAAGAAGATGCTCAGTATCTTGATCGTCAGAGAAATGCAAATGAAAACGACAATGAGATGTCTTCTCATTCCAGATACAATGATTTTTATCCAGAAGACAGGCAATAACAAATGCTGGTGAGAATGGGAAGAAAAGGAAACCCCTGCACACTGTTGGTGGGAATGTAAATTAGTACATCCACTATGGAGAACAGTATGGACGTTCCTCAAAAACCTAACAATAGAACTACCATATGTTACAGCAATCCCACTGCTAGGTATATACTCAAGAGAAAGGAAATCAGACTATCAGAGAGATGCCTGCACTTCCATATTTATTGTAGCGCTATTCACAATAGCCAAGATTTGGAATCAACCTAATGTTCATCAACAGATAAATGGATAAAGAAAATGTGATGCATACATGCAATGAAATACATTCAGCCATAAAAATGAGATCCTGTTACCTTCAGTAACATGGAAGGAAATGTAGGACATGATGTTAAGTGAAATAAGCCAGGCATAGAAAAAACAAAGTTCACATGTCCTCAGTTACTTGTGGGAGCTAAAAATTAAAACAATTGAACTCATGAAGATAGAGAATAGAATGATGGTTACCAGAGGCTGAGAAGGGTAGTGGTTGGGGGAAGTGGGGTGGTTAATGGGTACAAAAATATAGGTAGATAGAATGAATGTGATCTAGTATATGATAGCACAACAGGGTGACTACGGTCAAGAATAATTTATTGTGCATTTAAAAATAACCAAAAGAGTATAATTGGAACATTCATAAAACAAAGAAATAATAAATGCTGGAGGTGATGGATACCCCATTTACCCTGATGTGATTATTACACATTGTATACCTGCATCAAGATATCTCATGTACCCCATAAATATATACACCTACTATGTATCCATAAAAATTAACAATACAAAAAATTAAGAAAAAACTCTTTTCAACTGAAAAAAATATTGTGACCCTGGGTTAGGCAAAAGTTTCTAGGATATTAGACAAAAAGCAGAATCCATATAAAAATACATTAAAAATTGGACTGAATCAACAATAGAACTTCTACTCTTCAAAAGACACTGGGAGGATAGCCAAAAGAGAAACCACACATGGAGCGAAAAATTTTGAAAATTACATATTTTATAAAGCACTTTAACCTTGACTATATAAAGAACTCTCCAAACACAAAAGTTAAGAAAACAGGCAAAATATTTGAACAGATATTTCACTCTTAAAAGATATGGGAATAGCAAAGAAGCACATGAAAATATGTTCAGCATCTTTATGAGAGGCGACAACCTGCTGGCAGCCCTCGCTCGGCCTCGGCGCCCACTCTGGCCGCACTTGAGGAGGTCTTCAGCCCGGCCGCTGCACTGTGGGAGCCCCTCTCTGGGCTGCCGGAGGCCGGAGCAGGCTTCCTCTGCTTGCGTGGAGGTGTGGAGGGAGAGGCGCGGGCGGGAACCGAGGCTGCGCACAGCGCTCGCGGGCCAGCGCTAGTTCCGGGTGGGCGCAGGTTTGGCGGGCCTCACACTTGGAGCGGCCGGCCCGCGCCCGCGCCGGCGCCGCTGGTCCCGAGCAGCGAAGGGCTTAGCACCCGGGCCAGCAGCTGCGGAGGGTGCGCCCCGGTGCCCCAGCACTGCCGGCCCACCCGCGCGGCGCTGGAATTCTCTCCAGGCCTCGGCCTCCTCCCTGCGGGTCAGGGCGCGGTGGCTCACTCCTGTAATCCCAGCACTTTGGGAGGCCGAGGCGGACGGATCACGAGGTAAGGAGATCGAGACCATCCTGGATAACACGGTGAAAGCCCATCTCTACTAAAAATACAAAAAATTCCGGACACAGTTAGACATCAGGGAAATGCAAATTAAAACCACAATGTGATTTCTTTCTATACCTATTAGAATGGCTAAAATAAAAAGTCTGATCATACCAAGTAGGATGTGGAGTACCTGGAACTCTCAAACATCACTAGTGGGAATGTAACGCGGTACAGTTTAGAGTTTCTTAAGAAGTTTCTAGTATATGACCTAGGCCTTCTCTTCTAGATTAATAGAGAAATGGAAGTACGTGTACATACAGACTCTTGTGCTTAAATGTTCAGAGAAGTTTTAATTTTAATAGCCAAATGATAAAAACAATACAAAACTTTATTCAACAGGCAAATGAATAAACTATGATACACATACACATACACACACATGCACACACACGAACATCATTCAGTAAAAGAAAGCAATGGCACACACTATAACATGGATGAATTTTAAAATAATTATGCTGGGTGGCAGAATCAAGACAAAAAGAGTACATACTGTATTATTTCATTCATATAAAATTCTAGGAAATGCAAACTAATGTATAGTTACAAAAATAGATCAATGGTTGCCTGCAGAAGTGAGAGAGAGGGGATAGAAGGATGCCAGAAAAAAAATTGCAAATGGTCATGAGGAAGTTTTGGATGGTAATTGATATGTTCATCGTATCAATTTGTGATGGTATCACAGTTGATACGTATGTCAAAACTTATCAAAGCATATATATATCAAACTTTGTATATATATATATGCAGTAAATTGTGTGTCAATTAAAGCTCAATAAAGCTCTTTTTTCTTATTATACTTTAAGTTTTAGGGTACATGTGCACATTGTGCAGGTTAGTTACATATGTATACATGTGCCATGCTGGTGCGCTGCACCCACTAACTCGTCATCTAGCATTAGGTATATCTCCCAATGCTATCCCTCCCCCCTCCCCCCACCCCACCACAGTCCCCAGAGTGTGATATTCCCCTTCCTGTGTCCATGTAATCTCATTGTTCAATTCCCACCTATGAGTGAGAATATGCGGTGTTTGGTTTTTTGTTCTTGCGATAGTTTACTGAGAATGATGGTTTCCAGTTTCATCCATGTCCCTACAAAGGACATGAACTCATCATTTTTTATGGCTGCATAGTATTCCATGGTGTATATGTGCCACATTTTCTTAATCCAGTCTATCATTGTTGGACATTTGGGTTGGTTCCAAGTCTTTGCTATTGCGAATAATGCCGCAATAAACATACGTGTGCATGTGTCTTTATAGCAGCATGATTTATAGTCATTTGGGTATATACCCAGTAATGGGATGGCTGGGTCAAATGGTATTTCTAGTTCTAGATCCCTGAGGAATCGCCACACTGACTTCCACAATGGTTGAACTAGTTTACAGTCCCACCAACAGTGTAAAAGTGTTCCTATTTCTCCACATCCTCTCCAGCACCTGTTGTTTCCTGACTTTTTAATGATTGCCATTCTAACTGGTGTGAGATGATATCTCATAGTGGTTTTGATTTGCATTTCTCTGATGGCCAGTGATGATGAGCATTTTTTCATGTGTTTTTTGGCTGCATAAATGTCTTCTTTTGAGAAGTGTCTGTTCATGTCCTTTGCCCACTTTTTGATGGGGTTGTTTGTTTTTTTCTTGTAAATTTGTTTGAGTTCATTGTAGATTCTGGATATTAGCCCTTTGTCAGATGAGTAGGTTGCGAAAATTTTCTCCCATGTTGTAGGTTGCCTGTTCACTCTGATGGTAGTTTCTTTTGCTGTGCAGAAGCTCTTTAGTTTAATTAGATCCCATTTGTCAATTTTGGCTTTTGTTGCCATTGCTTTTGGTGTTTTGGACATGAAGTCCTTGCCCATGCCTATGTCCTGAATGGTAATGCCTAGGTTTTCTTCTAGGGTTTTTATGGTTTTAGGTCTAACTTTTAAATCTTTAATCCATCTTGAATTGATTTTTGTATAAGGTGTAAGGAAGGGATCCAGTTTCAGCTTTCTACATATGGCTAGCCAGTTTTCCCAGCACCATTTATTAAATAGGGAATCCTTTCCCCATTGCTTGTTTTTCTCAGGTTTGTCGAAGATCAGATAGTTGTAGGTATGCGGCGTTATTTCTGAGGGCTCTGTTCTGTTCCATTGATCTATATCTCTGTTTTGGTACCAGTACCATGCTGTTTTGGTTACTGTAGCCTTGTAGTATAGTTTGAAGTCAGGTAGTGTGATGCCTCCAGCTTTGTTCTATCTAGAAAACCCCATCGTCTCAGCCCAAAATCTCCTTAAGCTGATAAGCAACTTCAGCAAAGTCTCAGGATACAAAATCAGTGTACAAAAATCACAAGCATTCTTATACACCAACAACAGACAAACAGAGAGCCAAATCATGAGTGAACTCCCATTCACAATTGCTTCAAAGAGAATAAAATACCTAGGAATCCAACTTACAAGGGATGTGAAGGACCTCTTCGAGGAGAACTACAAACCATTGCTCAATGAAATAAAAGAGGATACAAACAAATGGAAGAACATTCCATGCTCATGGGTAGGAAGAATCAATATCGTGAAAATGGCCATACTGCCCAAGGTAATTTACAGATTCAATGCCATCCCCATCAAGCTACCAATGACTTTCTTCACAGAATTGGAAAAAACTACTTTAAAGTTCATATGGAACCAAAAAAGAGCCCGCATTGCCAAGTCAATCCTAAGCCAATAAAGCTCTTAAATGAATACATTTACCCTTGGACTAGCAATTCTACTTCTAGAAAAATATAGTAACATTACATTGGTAGAAATTATTGATGCATGTAAAAAGCTATTCAGTATATAAGTGTTTATAATAATAGAAGATTGGAGGGAACTTGTCCATCAACCTGTAACTGACTAATAATCCATTAAAAAGAATAATCAGCTCTTTATTGGAATGAAAGGCTTTTCATGATATATTGCATAATGAATAAATCAAGTATCACTACACAATAGTATGCTATTGTTTGTGTGTGTTAGGAGGGAGATATGTGTACACACACACACACAAACCACAATTACTTGTTTGTATAGTATCTTTGTTCTTTATAGGGGAAGTCAGGAGCTGGGTAAATGTAGGTAAATTCTACCATGTTTCCTTTTGTGTCTTATAAATTTTGCACCATGTGTTATTAACTTTTAAACCGAATAAAATTTAAAACATAGTCTCATAGTTGTTGTTGCAATTGTGAAAGGAATATGTTCTCTCATTTCCATATACTTTAGCTGGTTATTGCCAATATAGATACAAACTATAAATCATGAATTTTTTTGTGTATGTTATCCAATCACTTTTCAAGTATTTTTTGGAAGTGAGAAGGATTTTTAAGTTTGCAATCATATTATTAGAAAGATAGTTACCTCTTTCAGTATTTATAACAATTATTTTGTTTTGGATGATTATATTTATTAGAATTTCCAAACAAATATATTAACAGTGTAAGTAATAACAATGATAGTGAATATCCCTTACTTTTTCCTGACTTTAATGGGAAGAGCTTTAACATTTCACAACTTAAAATGATATTTGGTGTTTTTCATGGTGAATAATTTAATCAAATTCAGGTTTTTTTTCTACTTTACTAGAGGCCTTAATTGCTTTGATATGTTGTTTTTCTTTTTAAGGCATTTTCCCCATATGTGTTCTTATTGTATCGCAGCTGTCAGAAACTTATGGGCCATTACTAAGAAAGTAGATGTAGCTCTATATTTTTTTCTTTTACTTAAATGAATAGATAAAAGAGAAGTTATTATTGAGAATCCTATCTTTTTTTATAGCATATTGTTTACAACCTTTAGCATGTGAACTAGTGTTAGTAATTCAGCTCACAACAGATTGCAACACAACTGAGTGTTTGATCCACAATCCGGTACCATTGCTCTAAAATTTTATTTTGACTCTGCACTTTCAGTCCTCTATCCCCTGGGTGGCAGTGTTGTTCTCCAAATTGCACATTGTAATCCAAATTGCAGATGTTGAGGAAAGCAATCTAAATATGATATGTGATAGCATTTTCTGAATTAGAAAGAAAATAGATGGATATACCAGGTCTTGTATTTATTTAATGCTTAGTATTAACACCTTAAGGTTTCAAACTTTGATTTTAAGTAAGTCACTAAACAATAATAAAGTGTCTAAGTGAAACATTAATGGATTCATTTAAGATTCTGTTTTTAAAAAATATATAACAAACTGAAGAGTGTAAACAGCTACTGTATAAGAGGCAGGTAGTTCAGAAGTCACTAAGCTAATAGCTTTACTAAATCAATCTTCTAACATATTTCTGGCATAAATTGCATTTTAATTTTTATGGAGCATTTTGATTAGATTTGTTACTTTATGTCTCTAGGAAATCTAAGAAAGTTTTATTCTAGAAATTTTATATCTTAAAAATTTCAGTAGCTAGTTAATGTCATGAAGCCAAGTTTTATAAAATTCAAAGTGGTAGAGCTAACATGTACTTAGCAATTTAACATTTTGGCTAAGAGCTTTGGCTCTGGAATCAGACTATCTGATACTAAATTCTAATTCTACGTCTTAATAGCTATATGATCTTGGGGAAATTATGTAAGATCTCTGTGCCAAGGCGTCTTTATTTGTGAAAATAGGAGTGATAATCTATCTCACAGGATTGTTGTGATGTTTAAATGAAAACACAGTATAGAGTTCTTGATGAATATTTACCTCTAAATAATTTACTGTTATTTTTATTATTTCATTTGATCTTAACAGTAACTTTGTGAGATAGGCATGGTACATAAGAGGGATTCATGTCTTATGAATAACAAATATACCTAAGGTCATAGAGGTAATAAGGGGGCAGTCCAAGTCTTTTGACATAAAATCACTGGTAGCAATTTTGTAACAGCTCTATGATATGAATGTAAAATTACATTAATAGTTTGTAGCCACCATGTCATTAATTCCCATTCATCTAATTATTTATTAATTATCAATAATTAATGAGGTAATATAATTTATAAACTATACATTCCTTCACATATACAATTTACTTCTTTTAATTATTTGCCAATTAGCCCAAAATAGGCTCAAGATTATTGCAACAAAGCCTGTAATAATTTAAAGTTAAGTTCAGAAAACATTATTAAAACCCAGTTCAGATTCTTTTCAACATAGTGATTGGCTTTGATTCATTTTAATAAACGTTTTTGAGTGTCTATTTTGCAAAGTATTGTACTAGGTTCAGTAGGAGATACAAAAATGATGAAGACATTGTCCATGTCCACCGTGGACTTACAGAGTAGTAACTTAAATGATTCTAATACCAAGATAGACTGCATTAAGTACTGTAGTAAGAGTGTGAGGCACTATTGGAGTCTAACAGGGCAGTGAACAAGCAGTTTGACGAGAATGCTTCCTACAAGAGGTGGAATTTGAGTTTCATTTTCAAGGAAGGAAGCACTTTAATAGGAAGCTGAAGAATAGGAAGAGAAAGTTTCCACTGGAGGAAATTAGTTAGATAAAACTAGGTAATAGAAGACACACTATTTCACAAATAGAATAAAGCTTCCAAAGGATTTTTCATAAACCCCTAAAATCTCCAAAAACATTGTTAGGCCTAGCAATGAAAACCTTTTTAATTTCTTAAATATATTTTCTACACACGTCCCTCCTAAAAAATGATAGTTTTCTTAAGTTATTAAACATTTGAAAAAACTGAAGTAAGGTGTTTTAAGGCAAAAAACAAAATACATGAATCTTAATAGACTGATAGAAGTAGGTTTCAGAATACCTGGAAATTTATGGATCTGTAAATGATTGAGTAATCTCTAAAGGAAATTTTGCTGCATTATACTTAAACATAAAGATAGAAGTTTGAAAGAAAGTAAAGTGAATGATATTGTGAAAGTTAATTATTCAAAATGGAGACATTCCTGTCATACCCAACTAAAATGGAATTGGGAAGCCATGGGGAAGGACACCCAAATCCCTTCCAGGAACTATTTTTGCAATTCAAGAGAAAAAAAACATCATTTTAAGATTACATCTTACATAGTAACTGCTGCCACTTACTGCTTAGAGCTCAGAAGCTCCTACACTCAGCTCAACACTGCTAGTGCCAATGAACTTTCTTTCAAAGCAACGTACATAACTTTTCTCTTTTTCTCAATAAAATTCCAACCTTTCTTTTTGTTTTTCAGACACATCTAAGAGCTACTCTGGATTGTGTGCATTGAATTGCAATTTTAATCCTTGTATATTATTCCCCAATAAATTGTTTATTTGGAAATTCAACTATAAATAGTTTTACTTAAGGTTTATAATGTAAGCCTGTTCAGAGAAAACATTTTTAATTTGTCCATCAAGGAATAAAGTATTTGTAACAAATTTATTGGTCCACTTCTCCATCAAGACCAAGAGAGAGGCAAGATATATGGCCTGGAGAGGTAAAATTAGCAGGTCACCTAGCCTCTCCTTGAAGAAATCAAATGCTGTTTCTCTAGTAAGAAGAAGAGTAAGAGAGAGAAGCTCTGTTATTTTGCCCAGTTCATAGTCAAGCATGATATCTCTGCTTCATTGTTTTACAGAGATTCCTCAATGTGCTCACTGAACTTTAGTAACTACTTGTTACCACTCTACTGCAAGTCTACTTCTCAATGTCACCAGTGACCTCCTAGGCACTAAGCTGGATTTCAGAGCGCTTTAGTATAAGATCATCATCCCAGTCCTTTGCCATTGATTGACAGACTTGACTGTGTTGGCTGAGCCAGTGACCGCTTCCTCTCTTGCCTCCCAACATGTACCACTATCTAAGCTATGAGCCTCATCAGGTAGTGGTTGCTTCACACCAGACTTTTTCATACCTGACCTAGCCACATGGACACTATTAATTCAACAAAAAATTATCCAGCCCAAATGTCAATAGTGCTGAGGTTGAAAACCCCTGATCTATGTTTATGTCCATAACAACCAACTGTATAGTGCAATGAAGTACCAAGGGCTGGGCTGTGGGAGAGGATAAAATCTGCAGAAGTTTGGACTTAAAAACAAAGACGATAATGGTATTAGGGAGTTACGTGACACACCAATATGTAGGAATGTCTCTACTTTTTGTGTTTGATTAATAATTTATTAAATATACTTGAAAATCAATATAGTCTGTAGGGAGCCTTTAAAATGATGCTTTCATAGTTTTTTTTTTTTTACAATCATAGAAAGCAGATGGTTCTCTAAAACTTACAGGTAATTAAAGGCTTCTTAAACTCACAGCATACAAATATTTCAACATTTAAATAGAAGCTCATTTTCTTCTAAAGTAATTTCCTTGTACATTCTTATTAAAGTATAAAAAGGACAACATTAATAGTTTTAAAAACCTATATTTAACCTAAATCAAGATTTTTCTACAAATTATCCCTGTTCCCAAAAAGTTTAAAAGATATCAGAGAGTAATGTGATACTAAACCAAATAATCTCATCACAATGGAGCATTTCACTTTTAAGAAATATTGGGCAAAATTTCCTATTTAACCTTTCATGCTAGATTTTAACTGTATGTGTGCTACATGACATACCAGATTAATCCAAGTCATTCTGTTGATGCAGTAGATTGTTATATATGACCAGTTACCATATAATATCATACTGTAATTGCAAAAATGACAATATTTATGATAAAGCTTAGAAAATCTTTTTAATAAAAAGCAGACCTCACTGCTCCAATTTTTTATAAAAATTACCTCTTTTCCTCCTATTTATTTTTTGCCTTGAATGGTACCTTTCATAGTATGTTAATATGCAAAGATATTTACATTACTTTTATCTAAGTTAGCCTTTTACATGGTTGCTTTCTGTTTGGATACACAGAATTTATCAAAACACACTGACAGTAGATTCTTAAGCAATTCTGAAATTTTTGGTCCCTTTTTAGGTTCCTGCAGAATGATTTTTCTCAGAAAAGTGTATCTCTAAGAACTTAATGAACCAAAAGAAAATGAATGACACAACACAGCAACTGTATTTCCATGGTATCTTATACCCCAAGAAACACTTCAAGATTACATTGTCTAATATTAGGCCTATTGCCATGCAATGACCTTGAGCCAAAGACCACCAGAAGCACAGCTGTAGTTAAATGAGTTAGATTTATTACTTGTTTCAATGAGGGAGAATGCACACTATAGGGTCTCGGTAAGAAGGTGTTTGAAAGCATCTGTAGAATTAGGGGTTTGCTTGAGTAATTTTGGAGAGGATCTGATGAAGCAGGGGTTAGATCTAAATTAGGTGCTTTCAGAAAGCAGAAGGAAAATCCATGAATATCTCAATAAATCTTATGTATGGGGAAGGCTGACTACAGTGAAGATAAAGTTGAAATTGATTTATAAAACAGTCACTCATTTTAGCTGGGGAAAGGAATATTTGGTATTTTGTGGTTGAACAATGACCATTTTTTAGTTTCACTTAGTCATGGTCTCAGAGTTATCTCATTTGATGTTGATATTCTGTGAGACTGTTTATGTTCAAGAGCATAACAATATGGCCTAGTTTAGAGCATCAAACCAACTTGTAACAACACTGTTTTAGATCAGTTCTCCAGTATCAGGAGCAGCTGTTTTTCCTCCTCAGCTCTATTTACAAAACTTATTCTTTGTTCTATCTTATTTACGGATGTAATCTTAGTCATCTAAACCAGAAACATTTGATTAATTTTAATATCTCATTTATCTTACCCCTGACACCTTAAAGGATTATTTGTCACCAATTTCTGTCATAAGTATCCATGAAATGTCTTTTAAATTCATTCCTCGTCCTCTATCTCACTACCTTTGTTCAGCCTCTCATTATCTCTTACCTAAACTGTCAAAATTGCCAGCAAACTGGTCTCCATGTTTCTTGTTTTACACCCTACAATCCCATTCTCTAATTAATATCAAAACCTTCTTCCCAAAACATAAAAGGATCATTTTGTTTCCTCATTTTATAACCTTT
This sequence comes from Homo sapiens, assembly GCF_000001405.40. Lineage (NCBI taxonomy): Eukaryota > Metazoa > Chordata > Mammalia > Primates > Hominidae > Homo > Homo sapiens. Next base: position 121,944,989 of record NC_000005.10, on the reverse strand, counting down.
AATAACTCTCTTTATCCATACATTTTGTTGCACAAGGTCTAAAGTCCTATCCTGCCATTCAAAGCCCTTAACAATTTGGTGCATCTTAACATTACCATCTCACTTCAGATCAGTCTACCATTTCCCATATATGGTCAGTGTCCAATAATTCATTCAACAAATATTTGTTGAAGGTCTTTATTATGTGCTTTTATTGGGCCATGTTATTTTCTGTAATTTTTAAAATTATGTGACCACTACTGTGCTTGTTAAATGTCTGTCTCCCCACTAAACTCTAAGCCCAGTATTAATTGGAACCATGTCTGATTTTGCTCACCATCTTATTCCCCGCATCTAGCCGAATATCTGTGCTATTAACAGGGACTACTACATGTATTTTGCTCATGGTGGGATTGAGTACTTTGTTAAATTGAGAATATTATTAATAAAAATAACAAAGTCAGATTTTCTTAATATTCAAGACTACTGCTAGTAGTCACTAAGATGAATAAAAAGCTACATCAGTATGAACATAAAGGCAGGCTAAGCAATGGATTAAATGAATCCTCATAAAAATGCAGAATTTAGATAATTATAAAGGGACTCTGAGTTAAACTGGTTTTTTGACTCCATGTTACAAAGATCTGAAAATAATTCTACATTGACATGCTGATACCTTTCCAAGATTGAGAATTTGATGAATAGCTAGATGCTGCCAAGAAAATTTTAAAGAGATTTAAGAGCCAGGGACTATGAATCAGAATGCTTCTGTGTCTAGTGCCAATATGAAAACTTATTACTGCTGTGGCCCTGGGAGAGTCACTTCATCTTCCTGAACTTCAGGATCGTCACCTGTAAAACTAGGGTGGTAGATAGATCTCTACATAGACTATCTTAATTCCACAAGACAAAAGGTACAGCAGCACTCCCTGCCCCAAAGGCTTCATAAATTTACTTCTGATTTTTTTTGACAAATTGAAGTTATGCTTTCTCTGTCCAATTCCCAATGTGAGGAAATGGCAAATTACCACTTACCTTCATTATCTTCTAATTAATCAAAAGGAAATATTCGTCAAGGATAATTCAAGGTGGTTCCTACTTTGTATTTCTGCTTATTCTGTTTCAGACCAAAAATCTAGTACAATGAAACACCAATATGTCCTTGAGGATTCAGCATACATTGAATTAGCTCCTGGGCCACTAAACTCTACTGTCTCCCTCTATATTTTACTTCTAGTTGGTTTCATTTTTTAAATTCTTTGAAATATTGATTGCAGGACTCTCAAGTTCTCTATTTTATTATATATTATTCTATTGATAATTCTGTAACTGTGATTGATAGTTTTTTCTACTCTTTGTTCTCCTCATGTGATATTTTAAGAGAATCATTGATTTTTTTAAAAAGCTGGGACAACTAAAAATATATTCACCTGCCCAGATTATAGACTACAGGTTAGCCTCCTATACAGAAAGGTTGGCATGCTTACTCATTTTGAATCCTTTAGAGGAATATAAGTGAATTGGTAGGTACAACTTATGTTGAAGTGAATGTGCCTCCAAGTCTTCCTCCTTCCTGGTGACAGGAATGTTGATACAATGGTATGAACTTCAGCAATATTTGCAAACATACAGATGAGTCCACATATAAAAATTGCAAAGTAAAGTTTCGAAGGAGCTTGGGACCTTGATTACTTTGTCAAACTATCATACCAACTTTTGGCTTTTCCTTGAAGAAAACAATAACCAACCAACCAAATAAACAAAAAACTTTATGTGTTTAAGCCATTGTTGATTTTGATTTTCTGTAACAGTTGGGTCAACCTAAATTTCTCTGATATAATGATAATGGTAACCATCTTTTTAAAAAGTTTCTGCTGATTTGCCTACCAACTGGTCACTTTTCCTCCCAGACAATTACCTATCTACTCAAAAGCACTCAATGCAGTTTGGCGAGTTAATATTATGAAATAGCAAATTTACATAAAAATAAAAAGAATATCTGCCTCCTTTTCACATCCCATGTAATACTTACACCTGGACGCTGAGAGTCTCTTCTCTTCCCCAGCCAAAATGCCAAAAATCAAAGAACACGGATAAAGGCTACAGAAAGCATTAAACACACACACACACACACACACACACACACACACACACATGCACATGCGGCAAGAAAATAAAAAGGCCACTGGTCAAAGCAGAATTCAGAAGTCCTAGAATACACATGGAAATGTTAATCTTCTTGCTTGGACAAACTGTATAAATAGAGTGCAGGTCCAGATAAAAGAAGGAATTCAGAATACCGTGAGGCAAGGGCAAATGTGCTAGAGGAACTAGGAGACTTTGCCAAAGCTTCAGTGATATGGTTTGGCTCTGTGTCCCCACCCAAATCTCATCTTGTAACTCCCATAATTCCCATGTGTTGTGGGAGGGACACAGTGGGAGATGTTTGAATCATGGGGGTGGGTCTTTCCCATGCTATTCTCATGACAGTGAATGGGTCTCATGAGAGCTGATGGTTTTAAAAACGGGAGTTTCTTTGCACAAGCTCTCTCTCTTTGCCTGTTGCCATCCATGTAAGACATAACTTGATCCTCCTTGCCTTCTGCCATGATTGTGAGGCCTCCCTTATGTGGAACTATAAGTCCATTAAACCTCTGTTTCTTCCCAGTCTCAGGTATGTCTTTATCAGCAGCATGAAAACGGACTAATACATTCAGCAAACTGTTTCTTGATTCCATTTACCATATTTTTCACTCTCAAACATCTGATCACTATCAGCCATCCTACTTTCTTTTCCTTTCTAGCATTTTATTATGAAAAAATTTTCAAACATACCGAAAAGTTGAGAGTAAATACATGTAACCCACCACCTGGATTCTATCATTAACATTGTACTATATTTGCTTTATAACATTATCTATCTCTCTGTCTATCTATCATCTATCTATTTATCTCTCCACCATTAATCCATCTTACTTTAGGTACGTTTTAAAGTAAATTTCAGATGTCCATAAACTTCCCCTTTAATACCTCAGAATGAATGTCATTAACCAAACTTTAATATTATTGTAATATTATTACAATAATAGTAATTCTCTCTGATACATGTGATTATTTGTATATTTTAAAATTATTATATTAAAACATAATTATTGTACATAATGATTGTGTAATTATAGAATATATACGTGCAATATGTTATTCTCTCTGAAATACATATTTCTGAATACATACATATACATGTGATTACTTGCATGCCTACTTTACCACTGGACTATGATCCCCTTGAGGGCACGTGCAATGATCTACATATATCTGCATTCCCAATGGCTAGCCTAGGACAATTTAGCAGGTGATAAATAAATGCTAGAATGAATGAAGTTACCTTCTCACAGTAGCACTAATCTAGTCAGTTTAGGTAATAGGATCATTCCCACTGGATCATTCAGATCCAAAATTAGGTTACTTACACAAGTCAGGCAGGGAACAATGACAGGATGTCAGGACACAGACTGAGTTTATAGCCAATGCAAGCTTTTTTCTGAAATGCTTTTCTTACACTTAACTATATCCTAAAAAAGTGAGAAAATCAAAATTTAGTACATGACAAAGGGCATAATACTTAATTGCTTTCTTCGCTAGGGCACGCCTATTACTATAATCATGTTTATTCTCTATCATGGTTAACTAAAGCCTAATATTTTTATTATTAGTTGAGTATGCCAAGAATAATCACAGTTATAGTCTCTTAATACAGAATTACTTTCAGAGTATGTTGTACCTTTGAGCTTAGTTAAATAAAACTCTATTGTACATAGCAAAAAGATATCACCAAGGAGTGAAATGTCACATCAAATCTAACTGGACACAAGTCAAGTTGGCTTTTAGGCATCCATGTTGATTTTCCATGGTTGCCTATCATATAAGTTTTACTGATATTATCATGTTAATAAGAAAATTAGGACTGTATAATATACCATTCTTCCAACAATGTAATGAGATAATTTATACCCCCTGCTAAGAGAATCAGTCTGCATACTTAGTGAACAGATGCAAGGAAGAGAAATGTGTGATAAGCTCTGGTGGGATGACACCATCCATGATATTAAACAAGAAGCATGTGTCGTAAATGTGAACCTTATATAATAGAATAATACCTTTTAAAACACAAATGTGATCATAAAACCATCTGCTTCATAATCATCTTGCAAAGTACATCTGGTATTGCTATATTGGTTCTCTAAATTGTTCCTAGATGAATTTTAAAAACATAAAATCAATACAGATAGTCTATGGGCTGAAAGACTAAATGTCCAGATGGCCTTTTTTAGTACCTTTGCTAATTTCATCATTGTATTTCTTAATTAAGCCCTGTGAGTAAGCATGTAACTGTTAGCATTAAAAACACATATTGATTAAATGAGTGTTTGAAGGACTCAGGTAAGTGGTGGTCTTAAATTTAATTTTGTAAGTTGAATATAATTTTATTTCTAGTTAATCACTCCTTTACATTAAATTTAAAGAAAATACAACATCCCTAGAGTCCTTATTTCAATCATTATATCATATGATACTTTGTTTGAAAAAACTGGAAAAATTAAATTGGCAAATTAATGAACACTAGTCAGTGGATTCTAAATTAAAACATATTAAGAAAGGCACACAAAAACTTAGTCTATACTCAGAAGACATTGTTAATTTTTACTATCACAGACATCAGATAACTTATTATATTTTTAATAAGACTAATATTTGAGTTGGAAATTATTTTCTGATCCGGCACAATTTTTGTCTAAAGTGAGGAAAAGTTCATCTTTGGACTAGTTGGAGAAAACCTACAAAGAATTTATGCATAATAGAATATTATTTTAATTATTATGTGGACTACGTTTTTCGCAATAACCCTTCTCCTGTGAGAGTTTGAACTGTTTTCTTAGTTGGGATTTACATTTGCATGTATGTCTTCTCTCTTGTTGGCCTTGTTATAGAAATAATCCTTTCACTTTTGCTCTACTGGAGAGCGAGGAAATGCTTCCATTGGAATGTTTTAACAACACTTAAAATCAACCTTCAAAAATATTTATTGGGTTACTGAAAATATGAGCAGAGGGCCACTACTCTAGTAGGCGTGTAATACTCTAGTATTCTAATAATTTTTACAGAAATTTTGTGAAATATATTAAAATGTAAAATGTTTTTACCTTTTATTTCAGCAATTGTATTCCTAAAACTATAGGTAAACTTCGCAAATGTACATAGACATATATATAGTCATATATGTTCCAAGTTATTTATTGTACTCTAATCTTGTTTGCAAATTGTGAAAAACTGAAAATAAAATAATTATTGCACCATAAAAAAAGTTGAAAAAAGGTCCCATTTATGCTTATCTTTTTGTTGAAAGGAACCTGAAACTATCAAACGGTTATAAATGCCTAAAAACAAACAAAACAAGGAAAAACAAACACAGAAAATCTCAAAACACTGTTAACAATGGGTCTGTATGCTTTCAAAAATTTGATATTTTTTTATTTTTGGCTTGCTTACGTATTTTACAACCAACACTCGTAAATTGACAAATAATAAAATGAATCCTTTCAGTGGTTGCATGGATACTTGAAGTGATTTTAATTTCTTCATCTCCCTTACTCCTGCATGCAACAATTGTTAACTTTTGAATATCCTACTACTTTTGAAATCTTCCCTACATTTCACTCTTTGCAAATCCAATCCTTCTCATAATATAGCTGTTACTTAATCTTTCAGTGCCAAAACAACATTTTACATAATTGCATTATGATTTTTCTGTTATTTATTATTACCCTGATATTCATTGTACATATTTCTGAAAATTTATTTTTGTTTCAGAATAATTTATTTCCTGTATAGAATCAATGTTCATAGTTTTGGTGGTCTCATTTTTAGTTATTTCTGCAATGTAGTTATTTCAGTCAAATCCCTAGGTATTTTCCCCCCTTATCTTAGAAGCCCCTGCTAAGAAAACTGTAGAATTTATTTGTCATGCAAACTGGAATGTATGAGTACTATAATTATGTGAATATAGAACTACAAATGCTAGCAGGCCATTCTAGCAGGAGTTCAGTAAGTAGAAATAATATTATTTACATAAAGTCTAAATAAGTACCTTCTAGCTGCAGAGCAATAGAAAGATTTAGTAGAAAGAGCAGAGTCATAGTATATGAACCATGTGCTATTCAAGTTTAAGAAAATTTCCCTGCACTGGTTTTGCTCTCTAAGGCTAAAGGTCCATGTTGAGACTCCCAGTTAATAGTTAAAAGTTTGTGCTTTTATTATGTGCTTGCCCCCTGATATTAGAACCTTGGTTTACTTAAAAAAAAACCCAAATCCCCATCAATGATAGACTGGATGAAGAAAATGTGGAACATATACACTATAGAATACTATGCAGCCATAAATAGGAGTGAGAACATATTTTTGCCAGGATATGGATGAAGCTGGAAGCCATCATCCTCAGCAAACTAACACAGGAACAGAAAAGCAAACACCGCATGTTTGCTTAAGTGGAAGTCGAACAATGAGAACACATGGACACAGGTAGGAGAACAACACACACCAGGGCCTGTTGCGGTGTGGGGGACGAGGGGAAGGAACTTAAAGTACAGATCAATAGGTGCAGCAAACCACCATGGCACACATATACCTATGTAACAAACCTGCACATTCTACACATGTATTCCAGAACTTAAAATAAAATAAAATAAATTTCAACTTTTATTTTAGATTAAGGGTATATGTGTGGGTTTGTCACATGGGAATATTTTGTGATGCTGAAGTTTGGAATACAGATGATCCCAGTACCCCAGTAGTGAGCATAGTACTCAATTAGCTAATAAGTAGTTTTCTAGCCCCTTTCCCCTTTTTATCTCTCCCTTGTAGTCCCAGTTTCTATCATCCTCATCTGTATGTCCATGTGTACTCAATGCTTAGCTCCCACTTATCAGTGAGAGCATGTGGTATTTGGTTTTCTATTTCTGCGTTAATTTGCTTAGGGTAATGGCTTCCAGCTGCATCTTGGTTTACTTTTGATACAGCCTATTTGATTTATACGCAGCACAAGTTGGATCCTTATGCATGCCAGTATTCTTGACCTCACAGCCAAACTCACATTCCAGTTTCAAATAGTTCATTCAAAGGAATTTACTTTTTCATTGTGTTCAAGCCACTTACTCTTTTAGAAATTCTGACAGGAGATATTGTTACTACTCTCAAAGAACTAAAAAATTAAAATTCTTTAATAGTGATATTAGGAGGCTTATTAAGAAGGGGAAAGGTGAGTTGGGTAAGAAGGATAGATAAGACTTTTGACAGTTGGAAGACATCTAAAATACAGAGCATAATTAAGGGCAAAAAAGTGAGACTTCGAAAGAAAAGAAGCAGAAAAAGAAATTAAGGTTAATTGAGTAATTGTTTTAAACTGAACATTATACTAGGAACTATTCAAATATGTTTTATTTACCCACCACAGCATTAAGTTAGCTCAGCCTGTATGGTTCCCAAGTGCATACTCTTTTCTCATATTTCTGAATTCAAGTTTCTGGGTGGGACTTGGAGATGGTAGAGTAAGCCTTTGCAAAGGTCCTTAGAACAAAGAAGTGGGAGAAAAAATGAACATCTTTATTACAATGAATTTCTGACAATTTTATCATCAGCTAAAGAACTTAAATTTTAGTCTAGAGACTCTGTAGTCGTATCAGTAACATCATCTATTGTTCCCAAAGTAATAAGCAACTGGAGTCTATAAGGAAACGTAATAGAGCAGAGGAAGGGAGAATAAAAGGATCTCATTAAGGTATTAAAATGCCTAGTGGTAATATTTCCTTGACATTTCATATGTATCCTTAGGAACTAATCAAATATGTCCTGTGAAGCTGTCTGGATCAAGGACATCGCTCCATTTTTTCAGAACATAAAGGACAGTGATGAATTACATGGAAGATAATTTGACAATCTTTTTCTGCTAAAGGTTAGTTGTGAAATATTAACTATATGCTTTATTTATTCATTATGTATATCTTTTTTTTTTACTTTCAAAAACAAGAGACTTTAACTTGTTATAGGCTCCAGGGGTAGAAAGTGAGAAAGAATACATTATTTCAGAATCAGCAAGTTGTGTAGTTATGCCACAGTTATAACAACCTCCAATTGTTAATATTTCTATCTCCCAGGAAGGACAAAAAGGGAGAAAAGTTAAGGATTAAGAACAATGTTAATAGTAATAAAAAATAATAATGAATTCTAGCATTCACAATAATAAAACAGCAAAATTTGTTTTCTAAGTGCCATATGTCTCTAAGCACTTGAGGTGCTTTATTTTACCCTCAAAATGACCCTTTAAGTGTGGTACCATTATTAAGAAAAAAAGTTTCCCAATTGTTTCAACAACTGAAGCACAGTGAGCAAATTAATTCATCAGAGCATGTCACACAGTGAGGAAATGTTGAAGCCAGTATTTGAACAGGGATAATCTGGGTCAAGCCATACCCTTAACCACCAAATTCTATTATATCAAAATAATTCCAACACAAATACATATGGAATGTAAGAGATTGCTTAATTCTGGTTTTCTATGGTACCTAGAGAATAGAAGATGATGACAATGATGGGATATTCATTATACTATACTTAGAACAATCGACATCTGTAATACATTGGTATTACTTTGGATCCATGCTTCTACCTGTAATTTTTAAAAAATTTTAAAATTTACAAGTTAGTTTATCAAAGGGTTGGTGCTTATATTGTGTGGTATGGTCAGTGACAATTTTCAGTGTCTCTTATTTAAGTGCTTGATGCTTCCTTGACTGGGACAAAAAGGAAGAATATGTATTTATATCCTCAAACAGAAGTTGGCTTTCAAAATCTGTTGTATTGAGAGAGATATCAAGCCAGATAAATAACGTCAAGATTCATCCACAGTTTTCCATTGTATAACATGATTAGTATTCAGGGTGAAGTATTTAGGCACATAATTCTTCAGTTTTCTTCTTCTTTTCCCTCTCACTATTCAGCGCTCCTTTCTCATAAATTCCCTGACACTACTTTCTTCAAATGTTTTGATTTGTTTCCACCTGAGTTGTTTCATTTTCCATGTATTGAATAAAAGTTATCTAGGAAAAGAAATCAGAGTTAAAGTTATTAGTTGGTTTCCAGAATTCTCTTGTAAGTGAGTATGAGTTTTCTATTTACTACTTCAGCAGCTATTTGTTGTAGTTTTACTTTGCTTCTCATAAAATTAATCACACAATTTAATGGTCCATCTACCTGTTGTAGAACAATAAGAAAATATATTTTACTGGACGTGGTGGCTCACGCCTGTAATCCCAGCACTTTGGGAAGTGGAGAGAGAGAATTGCCTGGGTCCAGGAAATTGAGACCAGCCTGGGCAATATAGTGAGACCCGGTCTCTACAAAAAAATTTAAAAATTAGCTGGGCATGGTGGTGCACATTTGTAGTCCCAACTACTCAGTAGGCAGAGGCAGAAGAAGGCTTGAGAAGAAGGCTTGAGCCCAGGAATTTGAGGATGGAATAAGCTGTGATTCTGCCATTGCACTGCAGCCCTGGCATCAGAAACAAAACAAAGAAAGAAAGAAAATATTTTAAATCCACTTATTACACAGAGACCTTAAAACTAAACACCTACTGTATTCTCATTTGATTTTTTTTTTGATCATGGTGAAAGCATTTTTAATCACATTCATAATTTTGTGCCTTTAGTTCTACTTATCACTGCTTATAGAATTGTTTCTACTAAGTCACATGCTTGTCAAACTAATCAATTGTGATCAATTAAGGCTAATTAGTGAGTCAGTATATTATGTCATACTACAATTAGCTTTTTTTATTGTCAAGAAGAAAAACTGAGGTTAAGAAGACATTTTCGTGATTTGTGAGTGAAAGAGAGAGAGATTGAACAAGTACCAGTATGTCTGGAATAGTTAAATGATAGGAAATATACAATAGTTTCTTGACTGTTATTCTAAGGCTGGGGAAAAGGTGAGGGATGCTATCACAATAACAGTATATGAATGCATAGTAACTTCCACGTGCCAGATACTGTGCCAACACAGGAAAAGAGAATACTGTGCTAAATCATGCCTTGTGAATATCAGCTGGGAATTTAAAAACTCTTCTAAGAGCTAGTTTGATACTTTTTTTTAAGAAATGGAAAAGCTATACTCTGTAGTATCTCTTTTCCCAAATTTGTATTTCTATTTAGATGAATGTTTGACTACATTCATCTAAATATATAAATTTTATAATTTATGTTTATAAATACTAATAAATTATATTAATATTTAACATATTAAATATATAATTTAAACATATTAAATATATAAATTTATGTTTATGTTTATATGAACATATAAATTTTGATAATCTTTCCTAGTTTATGAAAGAGTAAATGTTTCAGACAAGTGTGTGTCTCCTATTGAATATTTGATATTCCTGAAAAGTTGGTATATAGTAGTCATATTTCATAATGCAGAACAGTAAATTGGGAATGTCAGTAAAATTTCTTTTTGCAAATATTGGCTCATTTTTTTGTCAAGCACTGTTTAAACTCCTAAACTCCCTCAAGTTTCTATCTATCTCTCACTTGGCTTCATATTTTAGGTTTGCATGTTTTCTCACAGTTCAGTTAAATAATAGGCTCAATGAAAGACAAGGAGAAAGTATTTTTTGAGGATAGTAGAATTTGGTAGCAAAACTGGATATGGTAGTAGCCAATTTCACTTACGAACATAGATGCAATAGTCTTCAATAACATATTAGCTAATTGAATCAAATAGTGTATTTAAAAAATAGCATCTGGTTTTCGAGTAACACTTATCTGAATAATGTAAAAAAGTAAAGATTACAAATAATTTCGGATAAAACAAGAGTCTAATTACTCTGGGAGATCCGTTAATTAAAAAATGCTAGATTAAACATAAAAATAAGTTTTAAAAATACATCACTGGCCTGATACAAAAGAAAATAATCTAAAGATGCTAAAAATAGAGGAAAAAATGATAAGCAAAGATGTTGAAAAATATATAGGTACATCTAAATTAGCCATGACCTTATAAAATAATAAAATAATGTCTGACTTACGGGGTTTAAGTAAAAGATGAAGCTAAAATACTGGAAAAAATAACATAAATTGGCAAAGAATGAACAGAGTTAAATCATTAAAGATCTATCTGTTGCTTGAAGGAAAGGTAAAGATCATTAAATTTATGTATTAAGTGTGTCTATTAAAACATCTAAGGCACACTCACAAAAAAATGTTTAGAGAATATATTCTATTAATTTGTAGGAGTGGAATAAAAGAAAGGATAGAACCTCTCAATCAATCTATAAATAGTCAGAAACAGAGAAAAATAAATTGAAATAGGAAGGCAAATAGTACAATATGAATGGCAGCACTACACTAAAATATGTTGTTAGTTACAATAAATGTAAAAGGATGAAAGTAACATACAAGTTTTGTCAAGTAGGATTAAGAATACAATTTTTTTTCCTAAGAGACATCTAAATTTTTCTCTCTGCTTATACACACACACAGACACAGATAATATATACATGTATATGTATATATGACAAAAATCATTAGAAAATAGTAAAAAGTTATATAGTCCAGGAAGATGCAACAGTCCTAACCTGGTGTACACTAAATAACTTAGTTTAATAATACATAAAGCCTATATTTGCAAACTCACAAGGACTATCTACCATCATATTATAATATTTTAAAACACCTCAGTAACTACTCAACTAGGTGTATAATAAAACCAATAAAACTACAGATAATTTGAACAGCATACTTACTAAACTTGTTCAGGCTGAAATGCATAATATTAAATTGAAGAATTAGAGAATGTACTAGTTTCAAGCCTATGCAGAAAATTTATTAAGATAGTTCATGTTTCACATAGGGTATAAAGCGAACCTCATTAAATTTCTGAGCATTAGTAGCCCCCAGTCTATAATCTAAAACAGTGTGTTTTTAGTAGTATTTATCATTAAAATTTTGTAGGTTGCTATTAATGTCATATTTAGAAGGGTGTCTATAGTCTTAAATACCTTTATTGGAGTAAAAGATTTAACATTAATAAGCTAAGTATCTTAAAAAGTGAAAAAAGACTCGTGGAATAAAGCCAAAATAAGTAGAAGGAAGAAAATGAGAAAGAGAAATGCAGAAACTAATGTAACAGGAAGCAAACACGAAATACAGATGATAAATACAGCCAAAAGTTAGGTCTTTGAACAACTGAAAATATAGACAGTACTGGTGAAGACACAAGTGAAAGATAACAGCTATTTAAAAAAGGGCCAAAACTCAGATTATGTAGAGCTAGAGGGAGAGAGCCAGGTTACTGAATATTAAACACAATTGGCTATGTATTAACTAGTTATTGTTGATATATGTTTTTTCTGAGACCACAAATATATTAATAGTTTTCAAAGTACTGCATCATTTAGGCTATTTAGCATTGAATTTCTTTTCTGCATTTATGAATATGTAATTCTGTTTTAAGCATTCTTTCAAAATGTAAAATAGTGTCGTCTTTATGGGTAGGATTTTGGTTAATAACTTCTTTATTGCTCTAACTCAAATTTGACAAGTATGATTACATAAGCACTCTTGTATTTGGCTGGAATCATTGTTAACTGCTATTATAAATATATAATTTATATTATACACATATAACATTAAAAATTTTTTTGAGACAGAATCTCACTCTGTCGCTCAGGCTGGAGTGCAGTGGCATGATCATGGCTCACTGCAGCCTCGACCTCCCAGGCTCAGGTGAGCCTCTTGCCTTAGCCTCCTGAGTAGCTGGGACCACAGGTGCATGCCACCATGCCCAGCTAAATGCTGTATTTGCTATTATCTTTTTGAAAAGGAACTTGGTAGTATTTCTAAAGAAATTTTTGAAAACTCATATGACATGGTCTCAATAAATATGTTCCCTAGCCAGGGTTTTTGAACAACAGATTTGTTTAAATAAGCATTTATGTAAAGAGCATTAACTATCAGCATTGGAAGTAACCTAAATATTTAATATAAGCAATTGTTGAAATATCTTTGATACAGGCTACACAAGTATAATGCCAGTAATGATTCTGCAAAATTTTCACAATACAATGTTAAATGGACAAAAGAGTACAAGCTTCCCAGGCCACATGTATTTCAAATTTTATCTAAAAAATATGTATATGTGTGTAAATAAGAAAAAAAAACTGGAAGGAAATATACAAATTAATTAAGACATTTTCTCTGAGTGTTGAGATTATTAGTGACTATTTTCTTTTTAAAAATTGGCTATATGTTATACATTTTCTACCATGGGCATTTGTGTTATCAGCAAAAATAATAAATATTTATATAAACTATCAATGCAATTAATCATAAAAGACTAAAAAACCTCTTTATAATCAAGTCCATAGATGAATAAAACCACAATAAAATAAAAAAATTATAGATGATAGAAAGCTCTTGGAAAGCTGGGATTAGAAAGGGAAATTCTTTTATTTTTTATTTTTTAACTTTTAAGTTCAGGGGTACACGTGTAGGTTTGTTACATAGGTAAACTTGTGTCACGGGGCTTTGTTGTATAGATTATTTCATCACTCAGGTATTAAGCCTAGTACCCATTAGTTATTTTTCCTGATCGTTCCACCCTCCACCCCCCAAAAGGCAGAAAGGGAAATTCTTTAAGAAAAGCTATACACTAAAACCCTATAGCAAGCATAATAATAAATGGAGAGATTTTAGATGGGTCCTGCAAAACAACAGGAAGAAATTTTAAAAACCCACAATATTTGAGAGGAAGGGACAATTTATTTTCAAATTATATGTCATTTGATTACTTACACTGAAAAATCAAAATAATCCAAGTACTTCTTATAAAAAAAATAAGATTTTTTTTTTTCTTTTTCTGAGAGGAAGTCTCACTCTGTCGCCCAGGCTGGAGTGCAGTGGCGCGATCTTGGCTCACTGCAAGCTCCGCCTCCCGGGTTCACGCCATTCTCCTGCCTCAGCCTCCTGTAGTAGCTGGGACTATAGGAGACCGCCACCAAGCCTGGCTAATTTTTTTTGTATTTTTAGTAGAAACGGGGTTTCACCGTGTTAGCCAGGATGGTCTCGATCTCCTGACCCGGTGATCCGCCCGCGTCGGCCTCCCAAAGTGCTGGGATTACAGGTGTGAGCCACCACGACCGGCCAAAACTAAGATTTTTTAAAAAAAATTTCCAGTTTTAAAAATACTATATGGAGAGCAGCAACATTCTTTATATCAACAAGAACCAATTAGAAAGTGCTACATAGAATAGAAAACAAGATTATATAGTATCCAGGAATTAATGTAGCAAGAAACATAACTTTTATATAGGACGTTTATAAACTGATTAACTTTTATAAACTCTGCTAAAGGATATACAATTTCAATAAAAAGAGTATAGGATTACAAACTTGTGTGAAAGGATAAATTACTATAAAAGGGAAAAAGAGGGAATGTTGGCAAGCTATATGAAGAAAAATTGAGTTGGAGTTGGATCCCAACTTCAAACTGATACAAAAATAAATTTAAAATCAATTAAAGTTCTAAATGTAACTATGATGTTAATGAAAAAAATGTCAGGGAATATTTTGAGATTGGGAAATAATTTCTTAAATAAGACCTAAACCAATAATCAGAATTATTAACAGCATAAATATTTACAATGTAATTAAACATTTTGGTCAATCAAATCAAAGGTTAACAGGCTCACAAAGGTGATGGAAAAGTTGATGTTCAACAAATACAATATTTATTATGTACATAGAACTACTTCACATCAGTAAATGTCAGGAAAGTCAGTTCAAAACTGGGCAAAGAATATAAAGACACAATTTTTAGAAGGGAAAAATTAAATACTTAATGAGCATTTTAACATCAATGGTCATCAGAAAATGCTAATTAAAAAGCAGTAATATATCAGTACACATCTGTCTGTTCAGTAAAAATTAAAAATCAAGTAAAAATCAGGGACAGGTTAGGATGCAGGAAAAATAAGACTTCATGTATAACTAGTAGGAGTTTAAATTTGTACAGTTATTTGTGAGAGTGAGAGTAATATTAAATCAAAAAAATCAGTTGATATATGTGCATATTGCAAAGCATAGTCATTTTGCTATTGGATATCTACTCCTGGGATACATTCCTATGGTGTGCAAGGAGGCTGATATGCAGATGTTTGTTGCTGCTAGGTGTATTGGATAAGCAAATGCGCCATCTGCATGCTTTGGGATACTATGTACAGGACAGAAGGAATGGACTTAGATTGTATAGCAACATGGATATCAAGAAACATAATGTGAATGGAAAGAGTACAAAAGAGAAAATTTGTTGAACACCATTGTTTTAAATTGCAAGTTATGGTCACATATAACGCTACTATATATCATAGATAAATCTATATGCAACTTGGAAGTTTAGTTGAAGGGAATAAATGAATGGTGCTGGAAATAATTGATACAGATATAACAGATACAGAAGCTAAGGAGACTCATAAGGACCAGTGATTATCATGATAGTCATGAACACTATACTATAAATAACTGAATATAGTCAGAACTAAACTGGAAAAAGAAAAGGGAGGAAAAGGCAAACTGAAAAAAACATGTGAGAAGGAGAAATAAATACTTACAAATACAAAATCAGAGTGGTGAGAGCACATGGACACGTAGAGGGGAACAACAGACATCAGGGAAAATATTTAATGTGTACTAGGCTTATATCTGGGTGATGAAATAATCAGTACTACAAACTCCCATGACACAAGTTTACCTATGTAACAAATCTGCACATGTACCCCTGAACTAAAAAGCTAAAAAAAAAAAAAGAAAAAAATCAGTGTGGTAAGAATGAGCACTCAATGTAAATCCTTTCTAAATTTGGAGGCAGACAGATTTTTGTTTTTTCTCTTTTTAGACAGGGTCTTACTCTGTCACCAAGGCTGGAGTGCAGTGCCATGATCATGGTTCTCTGTAGCCTCAACCTCCCCAGGCTCAGGTGATCCTCCCTCCTCAGCCTCACAAGTAACTGGAACTTGGAACTACAGGTGTGTGCCACCGCCCCTGGCTAATTGTGCTTGTGTGTGTGTAGAGATGGGGTTTCACCATGTTGCTCAGGCTGGTCTAGAATTCCTGAGCTCAAGCAATCCACCCGCCTTGGCCTCCCAAAGTGCTGGAATTACAGGTGTGAGCCACAAAACCCCCAAGCGAGAGAGAATTTTTTTCTTAATTCCCGCACCCTAAACAAACACTTTCTCTTCCTCTGGGTAGATAGTGGAGAGGAAGGGCAGTCAACATGATGGATTTCTGATTATGATTATTATTTTGTGTAGATGCTGTGTATCTCTAACAATAATTCTTAGTGACTTTGCCAGTCCCTTTACTGTGTTGAAGCTGTATATATTTTAGTCTCACTGGACATGTATTTGATTTCTTACAAGCTGCCTAGAGTGCTTCAGGCTCAGCTGTCTAATTTACCTCCGAGCTATTGTCTGTCATAATTTTTATGACAAAGCTTTGCATAGTATAATTTTATATCTTTGTGTTATTCCATGAAATAATTGTCAGTCAGCACTCATTATTACCAGGTGCTGGTTAATTCTGTAATTCTTTTATCAGTTTCACTACATAGGTCTTCCTATGTTTTTCCCACTAAGCTTTGTTTATTGAGATATCATTTATATACAGTAAATTATTTAACTGTATATAAACTTTTAATTGTGGAATTATGTATCTGTTATTTGCTTCTGGATTGTGATACTACCGACCTTTGGTATTGAACCACTTGTGTTTAGAATACTCTAGTGTAATGTATTTTATATTTATATATTTTTTAACTTTTAGTTTCATGGTGTGCATGTGCAGGTTTGTTACATGGATAAATTGTGTGTTGCTGAGGTTTAGTGTTCAAATCATCCCGTCACTCAGGTAGTAAGCACAGTACCTCATAAGTAGTTTTTCAACCCCCACCTCTTTTGTTCCCTTCTCTAGCAGTCTCCAGTGTCTGTTTTTCACATCTTTATGTCCATGTGTCTCAATGTTTAGCTCCCATTTAAATGCGAGAACATGCTGTATTTGGTTTCCTTTTCCTGCAGTGTTTATGGTATTTGTGATTTGGCATTATTCCTGAAAATAATAGCTCAAAGCGAAGCCTATGTTCAAAATAAAAGAAATAACTCAACTTTCATTTAAACTTGTTTTTAAAGCCACAAATTCACACAATTTGAGGGAGCTAAGAATGGACAAAGCTCAAACCTTCACCTAATTGAACAGAAATTCTACTGTGTTCTCCTTTACATTCAAATAAATAAAACTTGCTTATTAGGTGTGCCATTAGGAATAGAACTTACCATCAGTTTTGCTTGATTTTACGTGATTCTTAATATTTCTGTCTCAAATAAATGTCTGGAGAGCCTTATAAGAAGTACTTACAAATTTTTTCAAGCCATTGTTATTTATCGTCCTTACAGGGTAAATCACAAATTTGAGTGGGAGAAAAATCTATAAATATTACACATTATTTAAAATGCAGCATATTTTACTTCTTGGCTAGGTTTGTAAAAGTTAATGTTTATAATGTCACATTTAATAAAACATTAGCTTTGAGAATGCCTGAAGATATTATTCATTAATATAGCAAGAAATTATTCCTGTATTTTCTACTTTAAGTACAAACTATGAATTAGTTATCATACCTTAGCTTGGCCTAATTTTGATGTTCTTTTGAGAATAGTCAAGTTTCAATTATATTACAATTATATCACTGTTTTTCAAACCTCAGTAATTCCTGTGGAATTTCATAAGTTTTGCCTCGTTCATATATCACCCTTCCTATTATTTACTTAATATTACAGTTTTAATATATTATTAATATGTTCTGATATATGTTCAATAAGCACACTACCACTAAAATTAAAAATGTTTTATCGGTGTACCAACTAAATTATATCAAGTACTCTGAATGTTGAGTGTTCCACATTTTGGGAATGACTGTATTATATTATACATTATTCTGTTATGAGGGCACAAGGTACTTAATATATCTACACCTCTGTGTATATTGCCGTGAAAGACTACAGTCTTGGAACCTGGCAATGGTGGGATTTCTACAATCAGATAAAAGGACTGTGGGTTGGAATCTTAGTTTTCAAAGTGTGGAAGTCTTAGACAAATATAGACAAGTCACTTAAATTTTTGTTTAAAAATGATGTTTTAAGTTAAAATATAAACTCAGATACTATGGTCTGAATAAATGGGAAATTATCCCACAAAATATATATTATTTCTATGGAAATTCTGAATAAAATATAGTCCACTAACAGTAGTGTCATATTTAGCTCTTTGTGGGCAGAAATAAGAATCAGAAAAAGGGAGACAAAGTTTCTCAAAATGGGAAGAATGGTGACCTTGGATATTAATAACTAAAGAAAAGGCCATCAAAGGGTTCTTACGAACACCAGATTTTCATGGCACTTGTTAATTTTCTACTTCTGTGGATGTGAAAGTGGTGGGTAAATGGGATACCATACAAACAACCAAGGTTATATTCTCCCCTAAGTTGTAAAAAAGTATCTAGATAAAATTTGAAGGTCCTGAGGAGGAAAACTGAAAATGCTTTTGACGTAAAGCCATCTTTAAAAAATCTGTAAGTTACACAATTCAGGGAAGCCCATGGGATGTGCTGTGTATGATTTAAGAGATTTCTAATATATTGAATATCATCAAGCTTAGAGAATACTGTGCTGAACTATGCAGGATTTGATACCTGTTAACGTTTTTGTTGAGATTTGATTATATAGGTTTAATATTCTTTTTTTCTTACTCTAAATTACATACCTATAATTTAGAAACTAATGTTTAGTGATTATTTTGCGCATCTGTTTAAATAAAACATTCTATTTTGGTAAAATAGACTGAGTTGAAGAGAAAAACTTGCTCTAGTTCTTGGTACACAATGTTATCAATCTGGCATTGCTAGTGGTAATACTATGAAGAGTCAGTAGAATTCAAGATCAAGGTTTAACAGGAGATTTGCTCAATAAAGCAAGTGTCTTCTATTTGCATTTCAAGAATTTCATTTTTTCCTGTTTTTAGTTAAGACAAAATTAAAAAATTATGAACCACGTTGGTCATGAAAATGAGATTTTTGAATGGTATGGTTTTGAATATTTCTTTACTCAAGCAGTGTAAGTTTGTGGCTAAGAATGCGGATTCAGGAATCAGACAGATCTGGGAAGCGTTCAGGTTCTGCCAATAATTAGGTCAAAAAGTCCTGTCAAAGTCTCGGTTCTCTTAATTATAAAATGAAAATAATAATAGCATCTATTTAATTTGGTCACTGTAAGCATTAAATGAGATGATTTCCATAAAGTTCTTGGCATAGTGATGGGAATATAGTAAGTAGTCCATAGATAGCAACTATTATTTAAAATAATAATATAGAAATAGTAAAAACAAAACATTATATAATTCAAGAATACATAAAATTTGTATATACATAACTAATGAGGGATTCCTGGTTATTATTATCATTACCATGTTGATAAAACTATGAACAATGGATTTCAAGCATCCACTCATTATGTTAACCAGCTCTCTTATTGGGAAGCCACAAAGATAGCTATCAGAACTGTGAATGCCAAACGGTGATGCTATAATTTCTGTAACTTATCAACATCCTTTGATAATTGCTTAGAAGATGTAAAATGAGCTTTTAATTTAAAAATTGATGCCATGACTTTCTTTAGGTACCAACTCCATGATATTTTGAGCTGCACTGGTCAATTAAATTCTGCTATAAAATGATGACTCACTGTTTGCTTACTAGTTCATTCTGACTTATTTTTGCATAATATGTACGATCAGATTTGCTGCCTTCGTATCTCTCTTCAAACTTATAGTCACCCTGAGCTGTTCTAAATTTTAGAGAAAAAATATATTTAATTCCTAAATCTACTCATTCTTAGGATAAATTTTAAGGGACAGGTATGAAGCAGTGAAAATAAATAACCACAAATATACACATATGCAAGATAGTATACAAGGCAAAGGAATAAATAGTAATTGAAAAATTATTTATATAGAATGCATTTTAGAGGTTTTCCAGATGGTAGCATCTATATTATTCAGCTGCTCCAGAAAAACTGTGGTGATTGGGAGAAATAAACTTTTTGGCTATGTATTTCCTCCCTTTTTTTTCCTGCTTATGCATTGTTTTTTGGAAACTTATAGTCTACCTTACTTTTAGAACATTGTTCATCATAATGTTAACTATTTTGATAAAGAAGAAAATCATTTAGATTCTTAAATCTTCAGCTCTTTTTTTCTTCCATTTATAACCATCGTCAAAAATAAAATTTTATCTTTTTGACACACTCTTAGTTTTCAGATATATATGTCTTTGACATATTGGAAACAGTGCAATTCAGGCTTAGACTATACTTCCTAGTCTAAGCCTGAATTTCAGGCTTAGACTATACTTCCTAGTCTAAGCCTGAATTTCAGGCTTAGACTATACTTCCTAGTCTAAGCCTGAATTTCAGGCTTAGACTATACTTCCTAGTCTAAGCCTGAATTTCAGGCTTATCTTTCTATTGTAAAATGAAATATAGAGGGATGATAAAACCAACCAAACAAACATTAATATGAATGATATGACTTGTTTATTTGTTATGGCGCAAAATCCCAAACACAACAAACATTTAAAGCCTTCTTGGTAAGTGGTTTCTTCTCAGGCTTCAAATAATATATATTTTTATTTTGCTACACTGACAGTAAAGAATATTTTAAATATAATTTTATGAAAATATATTTTAAAACTAAAATTTAGTGATATTGCAAATATTGACATCTTGGTTACATAACATTTGATACCATTTTACCAATAAAACACTGAAAGTTAATATATCAAGAGAAACAATGTGCCTAATAAACTACTCTTAAAGTATACTTTTGTATATTGTTTGTTTATTATTCAAAACTCAGTTATAATAATTGCTGTGCTGGTAATGATGCTCATTTTTTCTTTAACTTCTGCAATCATCAAAAGAAAACATTAATGGTGAATTCAATCAAAAGAAAACATTAATAATGAATTGACTACAAATGGCATAATTGTGCTTACATGGATAACTGCATTGTAATGAAGCTAATCTAAGGGCCACGAAAACAATAAATCTTGTGTGTAATCCTATTCTGTCAGGAAGGTATGCAGCTAAATTCCTATCCTTCTTTTACATTTTAATGAGGCCAAACTATTCCAACGAATAACGAAAAGACACAAATATTATAAGAGAATCTGTTTACTTATTCATTCATCCTTCTATTAGCTAATGTACTGAGCTCCAAATATTCACAGTCACTGTTAAGTGATAAAAATAGCATTAGGAATACACATAGTCTGTACTCTCAAAGAGTTCTTAATCCGAGATTAGAGATGGATAGATCAACAAAAGCACTAACGATGTGGTGTGATCAGAGTTACCATGTGTTCAGGATGGGGAGCACAGAGAGAAGCCACTAGAGCAGTCTTGGAGGCTTCTAGGAGGAAGGGTGGATTGAGCCAGTGTTAGCTAACTAAATAAAAATTTATCCGGACAGTCTACAGGAGGCGAGCATGTTTCCAACATGTACAAATGTACAAAGGCATAAAGAGCCTTATATGTTCAAAGAAAAAAGTTCCATCTGAAAGTGGATAGATGGATAGATATGACAGCGAGGTTCAGACAGATTAAATAACTTAATTAAGGTAATAGAGCTAGTTAATGGTAGAGAAAGAACTAGAACAAACAAAACAGGTTTTTTAAAAAAACAAACAAAAACAAAACAGGTTTTTTGTTTTAGGGGAAATCTAATACCTCAGGACAAGGAGTCTTTAATTCAATTTCCACTCATGAATTTCAAATTCCACAGCTCTCAAAGTTATAACAACATCACTGAGTTCAGAAGGGCAGTGTGCTTGCCACATCTTTTTTTTTAAATTTATTTATACTTTAAGTTCTGGCTTACATGTGCCGAACGTGCAGGTTTGTTACATAGGTATGCATGTGCCATGGTGGTTCACTGCACCCATCAACCCGTCATCTACCTTAGGTATTTCTCCTAATGCTATCCCTCCACTAGGCCCCAATTCCCAACAGGCCCCAGTGTGTGATGTTCCCCTCCGCGTGTCCATGTGTTCTCATTGTTCAACTCCCACTTAAGAGTGAGAACATGTGGTGTTTGGTTTTCTGTTCCTGTGTTAGTTTGCTGAGAATTATGGTTTCCAGCTTCATCCATGTCCCTGCAAAGGATATCAACTCATCTTTTTTTGTTTTTTGAGAGGGGGTCTTGCTCTGTCGCCCAGACTGGAGTGCAGTGGCGCGATGTCGGCTCACTGCAAGCTCCGCCTCCTGGGTTCACGCCATTCTCCTGCCTCAGCCTCCCAAGTAGCTGGGAGTACAGACGCCCGCCACCACGCCTGGCGAATTTTTTTGTATTTTTAGTAGAAACGGGGTTTCACCATGTTAGCCAGGTCTTGACCTCCTGACCTTGTAATCTGCCCGCCTAGGCCTCCCAAAGTGCTGGGATTACAGGCGTGAGCCACCACGCCTAGCCGAACTCATCGTTTTTCATGGCTGCATAGTATTCCATGGTGTATATGTGCCGCATTTTCTTCATCCAGTCTATCATTGATGGGCATTTGGGTTGGTTCCCAGTCTTTGCAATTGGGAATAGCGCTGCAATAAACAACGTGTGCATGTGTCTTTAGAGTAGAATGATTTATATTCCTTTGGGTATATACCCAGCAATGGGATTGCTGGGTCAAACGGTATTTCTTGTTCTAGATCCTTGAGGAATTGCCACACTGTCTTCCACAATGTTTGAACTAATTTACACTCCCACTAAGAGTGTAAAAGCATTCCTGTTGCTCCACATCCTCTCCAGCATCTGTTGTTTCCTGACTTTTTAAGGATCGCCATTCTAATTGGTGTGAGATGGCATCTCATTGGGGTTTTGATTTGCATTTCTGTAATGACCAGTGATAATGAGCTTTTTTTCTTATGCTTGTTGGCTGCATAAATGTCTTCTTTTGAGAAGTGGCTGTTCATATCCTTTGCCCACTTTTTGATGGGGTTGTTTTTTTTTCTTGTAAACTTGTTTAAGTTCCTTGTAGATTCTGGATATTAGACCTTTGGCAGATGCATAGATTGCAAAAATTTTCTCCCATTCTGTTGGTTGCCTGTTTACTCTGATTATAGTTTCTTTTGCTGTGCAGAAGCTCTTTAGTTGAATTATACCCCATGTGTCAATTTTGGCTTTTGTTGCCATTGTTTTTGGTGTTTTAATCATGAAGTCTTTGCCCTTGCCTATGTCCTGAATGGTATTGCCTAGGTTTTCTTCTAGGGTTTTTATGGTTTTAGGTCTTATGTTTAAGTCTTTAATCCATCTTGAGTTAATTTTTGTATAAGGTGTAAGGAAGGGGTCCAGTTTCAGTTTTCTGCATATGGATAGCCAGCTTTCCTAATGCCACTTATTAAGTAGGGAATCCTTTCCCCATTGCTTGTTTTTGTCAGGTTTGTCACAGATCAGATGGTTGTAGATGTGTGGCATTATTTCTGAAGCCTCTGTTCTGTTCCATTGTTCTATATATCTGTTTTGGTACCAGTACCATGCTGTTATGGTTACTGTAGCCTTGTATTATAGTTTGAAGTCAGGTAGCATGATGCCTCCAACTTTGTTGTTTTTGCTTAGGATTGTCTTGGCTATACAGGTTGTTTTCCATAAATAGACCAATAACAAGTTCTGAAATTGAGGCAATAATTAATAGCCTGGCAACCAAGAAAAGTCCAGGACCAGATAGATTCACAGCCAAATTCCACCAGATGAGCTGATACCATTCCTTCGGAAACTATTCCAAACAATAGAAAAAGAGGGACTTCTCCCTAACTCATTTTATGAGGCCAGCATTATTCTGCTTCCAAAACCTGGCAGAGACACAACAAGAAAAGAAAATTTCAGGCCAATATCCCTAATGAATAACAATGCGAAAATCCTCAGTAAAATACTGGCAAACTGAATCCAGCAGCACATGAAAAAGCTTATCCACCATGATCAAGTCGGCTTCATCCCTGGGATGCAAGGCTGGTTCAACATATGCAAATCAATAAACATAATGCATCACATAAAGAAAACCAATGACAAAAACCACATGATTATCTCAATAGATGCAGAAAAGGTCTTTGATAAAATTCAACACCCATTCATGCTAAAACCTCTCAGTAATCTAGGTATTGATGGAATGTCCTCAAAACAATAAGAGCTATTTCTGACAAACTCATAGCCAATATCATACTGAATGTGCAAAGGCTGGAAGCATTCCCTTTGAAAACCATCACAAGACAAGGATGCTCTCTCTCACCACTCCTATTCAACATAGTATTGGAAGTTCTGGCCAGGGCAGTCAGGCAAGGGAAAGAAATATAAGGGTATTCAAATAGAACGAGATGAAGTCAAATTGTCACTGTTTGTAGAAGACATGATTGTATATTTAGAAAACCCCATCGTCTCAGCCCAAAATCTCTTAAGCTGATAAGCAACTTCAGTGAAGTCTCAGGATATAAAATCAATGTGCAAAAATCGTAAGCATTCCTATACATCAATAACAGACAAACAGAGAGCCAAATCATAAGTGAACTCCCATTCACAATTGCTACAAAGAGAATAAAATACCTAGGAATCCAACTTACAAGGGATGCAAAGGACCTCTTCAAGGAGAACTACAAACCACTGCTCATGGAAATAAGAGAGGACACAAACAAATGGAAAAATATTCCATGCTCATGGATAGGAAGAATCAATATTGTGAAAATGGCCATACTGCCCAAAGTAATTTACAGATTCAATGCTATCCCCATCAAGCTACCATTGACTTTCTTCACAGAATTAGAAAAAACTACTTTAAATTTCATATGGAACTTGTCACATCTTTGTTCAGTCTTTAGGATGACTTCCTTTAAACTCTTCTCACCAGCATTCATCCTTAAATGAAGCAGAATCTGCATAAGACCAAGCCTTATATCTGCTTAGTGGCCAATAAAAATGACACTTTTGGGTTGAGGGGAGTGGAATGGGGATGGAGTGGGGAGAGGTAAGGGCATGGCTAGCTCATGCTTAATGCTCTATGAAAAACTAGCTAGGTCACCAGTGCGCAGGTGAAAGTGATCTCTTCTGTATCATGTACTTCAGCAAAAATGACTTAAATCTTTTAGTAAAGATGTTGACAATGATGGTACACCCAAAAGAGTTAATATTACCAATTAACTTACTGTTCAATGCTCAGTGGTTCTCACCTTAGACCTCAACAGACCTAGTATAGACAATTGGAAGAACTGGCGTTGCTGTATGGCATGCTAGTTTAAAGGAGGAAATTTGGTAAGCAACAGAGATAGTTTGATATCAATTTCAGCAGAACAACAACATGTGTAAACTAGAATATGATGTAAACATTGTCTTCAAATTCAAGTCACATTGATTTATATCCTGAAAATAAATTCTGGAATGACAGATCTAATCTCAGTCTACAGTAATTGACTAAACAGTGATTGAGGTGACAGCTATATACCAGGCACTTTTTGGCTTGTCTCCACAAGCCAAAGGTACAAAGGTACAAAGGTAAACACCGTTTTCTAACTTAAAGCAGCCTACTGTAGACTGGAGGATGTTTATGGCAGTAATACTAAAGATCATTCTCCAGTAACTGGAAAACTCACCTGTGCCTCTTTTTACAAGAAACTTGATAAATTTTAAAAACTGTTTCTTTACTGACCTGCTGCTATAACTGTAAACCTTGGAGGTGAAACTTACCAGGTCAAAGTATATTTATTGACTGCCTATTATGCTTGCCAAGCCTTCTGTGAGATGCTAGGATATCACATGAATATGAATTACTTCTTGCTTTCAAGAAACATTTGGTCAGGTGTGAGACATTATGGAGCAGAATATCAGTTTCAAAATGTATTAATAAGTGAATTCAAAACTTATAAACCAGACAGAGAAAGAAAGAAAATGTTATACATGGTCTTGCTTTCATCTTCCTTATCTTTCTTTAAGCTCTTGAATACTTTTTCTCAATTTCTCAAATTCTCCTCTGAATTTTGTGTGACTTTGGGTTAGTTTTGTTTAGATTACTGCATTGGTTAGGATTCTTGGTGGTAACCAAAATAAACCAACTGATCAACTTAAGCACAAATAAAAGAAAAGAGAAGAAAAAGAATTTATAAGAAGGATAGTGCATTACTCATGATATAAAATGATAGGCTCAAGAAGGATTCAGGAAAGAACAGAAACCCACTGTAACTTTAGGGATCTCAGTAGCAAAAACTCACAATTATTTCCACTGGAAATAGCCCAAATCCATCTGTCTTCTACCTTTATGTCTCTCCACTCAATATTCAAATTCCTGGTTGGGAGAATATGATTGCTTTAATGTGAGTCATGTGGTTATACCTTAGATAAGGCTAGCAGCAATAGCATGGTTTATAGTTCTGCTAAAACCACAAGGAGGAGAATGGTTTTCCAAGAGAAGTGTGGGGTGCTGTTACTAAAAGCTGGTGGGGTGCACACTGGGAAGGTAAGAACAATGTTTCTCAAAGTTGAGAAATGTATGACTTCTTTTAATTGAAAAAAATTATTATACCCCTCCTCAATGTAGTTTTAAATTATTTTTATTTGTCATAATCATCAATATTTTAAAGTGTTTGAGCAGTTTGTGTTTATTGATATACTACCCTCTTTTTTAAGATTATTGAATGTGAAAGCATAGAAAATGACTAATTTTTGTTTTTTGGTTTAAAACAATGTGAAAAATTACATCTACTAATACAGTAATACTGTATTTCTATTGTTCTGCCCAGTGGTCCTGGTAGCTAGGGATGGGGAGTAGTTCCCCATAATTTCTACCCCTGACTCGTACTATCCAAAATAAGCTTACCAATTAAATGCAAACAAAACTAAAACAGAACACAAAATTTTATTTAGAAACATTGCTTTACTGTGACAGATGATATTGTTTGCTGAAACTGAATCATTGCTCAAAATGTAAATATGAAACCAACATCTACAGGCAGGTTCTTTTAAGTTTGGCATGCCTATGCCACCTTATGCTAGGGGATAATTCAAAATGTCCTCCACTATTCTTCATCAAAACAGCTTCATAACCATTGTTTCAAGAGTGCTCAGTGATATCCATCTAACCTTCATTCATCATGAAAATATTACTTGTGCATTAAGTCCACATCTGTTCTTTTGTCATTAGCCTCAACAATTAAAGTGAACTATTGAGTCTCAATGTTGTAGTAAAGAAAAATGCAACTGGTGCTGAAATGATGAAGCACCATTAGGTTATAAGGCAGATATCCAGAATGTGCTTATGTAGAAAATTTTAGACAATTATAAAAATAAACACATCAAATTTTAAAAAGTATCTGAAATCAGAGCTAATTATCTCAATCTGCCAAAGGTTAGTTTTTCTATGTGGGTTTTCAGTGTGGAAAAATAGTTTTCACTTAATAATTTTTCCTTCCCATTAGATTAAAAAAAATTTACTGAGCAGTAGCTGCACAGATTTGTCCAAGGTGCTATCAGGGAGACAAAGGTAAATAAAACATAAAGGCTGCAGATAAGACACACACATCATCACAATGAATTACTGTAGTGCACCTTCTGTCTGAGAACTACTCTAGTAAAGGAACTGAAAAATCGCACAGTTCCTTTTATTAAATGAAATATTATTATTAAATGAAGTAATTATTGCATTTTGCATTTCCAGGTGCTGGGAATACAAAGAAAAAAATTAGATACCAGTCTTTATCCTCATGGCTCTTGCTATCTTGTGACAGAAACAGAATTAGACAAATAATTTTGCAAATATTTAATTAATCACACATGCTACAAATACTACAAAGGAGAAACACTGATTCCAGAAGAGCGTGAAACAGAGGTCCTGACCTATTTTGGGCTTTCAACACAGGCTTTCCTGAGACGGAATCTGAGAAGATTCCTCATATGGCATATGAAGAGGCTGACCATAGAAGAAGCAACTCAGGCAGTGGATACAGCAGACAAGGCAAGATACGAAGCGTTTGCAGGACTGGTGTGAGTGGGGGATCTAATTGTCCGGAACATAGCTTGATTTGAAGAGGAGTAATGGGACAGTGTGGGAGAAGCTGAGGTCAAATTAGAGTGTGGTCTTGAAAATCCTCCTGGAATACTTAGCAAACAAATTACTTGGACTTTATTTTGTAGGCTTCTAGGAGCCGTTGAAGCCATTGGGGCATGGGATATAACGAGAAATAAGACCTGTGAAGATTATTCTCTCAGGAATGCACACAGTGCATTGCACAAGGCAGAATCAGAGTCAGACAAGTTGTACTGGAGGCCGTGACTGAACCTCAGGGGAGTTGGAATGGATGACTCTAAGGGCAATGGAAAGAGGGCTAAGATTAGAGGTAAGGGTAAGTGAAATAGCAAATGTGCCTTTGAGGCTTTGAATTTGGATGGTTGTTTGGTGCCAGTGTCAGAGTTATGGAATACAAGAAAAAGACCACGTTTTTGCCTACAGATGAATATAGTTTATAAATTTCAGGTAGTAAATGCTTATTTTTAAAGGAAACTAACATCTAATAGGTAGGTATGATGAGTAAATTTGTGTGACAAATTTTATTTAATACAAATGTAGAAAAAGAATCTTTTTTCTGCAAATGTATTTATTTGAATGGTTTATAAATTATCTTTGTTTAGAAATCACATTCATTTTTTAACCTTTCTATTTTTGATTTTTGTCTTATTTCCCAATACTGTTAACATTGAAGAGGTAGGGAAGAAATACGTAGAAAAAAGGCTGTTTATACTGTAATTCCTGCCACTTAGCCAGCGGCCTAATGGCCACCTTCTGGGGAGAGACTTGGCAGCTGGTTTGATTGGGTGAGTCAAAGGGCCAGGCTGGAGCCAGGTAATTTGGCTGTCCCTTTAACGAGGCAGCTTCACAAACATTTACAGCTGCTCATTTATTCTCTTTCTAGAAGCTTGATTTGTAACCTCAATCAATTTCTGAGTATTTATCTAACTCATTTAAACCGGAGAAAGAGTCCACTAATCCCACTATTGCCAAGAGTAACCAGCCAGGTTGAACCAATTCCAGACCTCTTAAAATTATTTTGCACTTACATAACTTATGAAAAATGTCTTGCTAGTCCACAGTTGTTTTTCATTTGTTCATTATGGAAGTCTTATTCTGGCCATCCATCAGTGTCAATAGAGTCAACATGATCTCTCTGTCAGCATTCACATTTTATCTCTAGTTGTGGAAGTTGCTCAGTAAACTGATTCAGTTGTTGGATGGCACATTTTTGCTGGACAGTGTTCTAGACCCAGTCCTAAAGCTGGCCTAGAAAGTATACTTCATTCTGATATTTTAAGAATGGGAAGAATGAATGGTTTGAAGCAGAGGAGAGGTAGGCATTTTCTCATTTGCAGGATATCTATCTCTCTGTGCTCTAGAAGAAAAAAAATGACCCTAGATATAGCTTGGCGTAGCTTCTGGAACTCACCTGGGGAGTAAGCAGGGAATCAAATAATCAGAGCTGCTCTCTCAGGTACTTAGGAGTGCAGCTTCTAAATCTTTCAAAGAAAATGTACAATTGCTATAATTAACTGAAGTTTTGGGGTCAGTTTTATACTCATCATAAATGTAGTTTTAAATTGAAATTTTCACAGTCATGTGTTGACCGCAGTTGAAAGACTTAACCAGCTAAATAAGACAAAGCATGTGTTTTTGCCTTTGGTCTTTTTCCATTTTGAAGATGACACCCATGAAATCATGTGTAATTTGAAGAGAATAGGGTAAAGTTAAAGAAACGAAATGTCTAATCCTTACTGTCCATAAACTTAATCCCATGTCTCTGCATCCCTGTCTGAGGCATACACTTACATTCCCCGTGAACTGAATACAGTGATCACATGCCATTTAATCAAAAACATCCTTTATAAAAATTGACTTTAAAGGAATCATTTGGCAGATATAGGGTTTTCTTTCCATAAAATGCCTCAAACACTCCTGATGATAAAATTAAAATGGAAAGGCTCAAAATATGAAATCTCAAGGAGAGTTTACAGAGACCTGAAATCTGCTGAAGGATCATTTGATAAAAGGCATAGAAGCATTAAGCAATCTTCAGAGAATGCAAGTTGAATTGGTACTTGGATAAAAATAAAATGATATATTCATTCAAATTGGGATAAAGAAGGTAAGTATAAATCTATGTATTTCCAAGCATTGGAATTTGGATTATTTTGCTATCTGCATTGTGGTGCAGAAAGGGATTTTGTTTTACTATTGGATATTTCATAAGAAAATGGATGTTTCTAAAAACACAGGCAGATCTCGACACAAGAGTATGCTCAATTTGGTTTATTACAGCAATATGTCAGGCTCTGCAGCTTTGGTAATACCGTGTTTTTATATCTTATCAACATATACTTTCTCTCTGATGTTCTGTAATCTTCAGTATCTTAAAAATATACAATCAAGGGTGAAAGACTGAAAAAATTGTTAGATTTTAACTTTTGTTTGCATCATAAATATCCTGGGGAAAACTGCACGGAGAAATGTGTGTGTATAGTGTATCCTATAATGACATGTATTGTGCTATTATGCCTAAAGCATTTCATAAGCACTTCCTTGTATAATCAGAAAAATCAAAATAGAAAATCAACAGAAAAACTGGTTGAAAATTTCCTTATCTCCTTTTTAAAATGACACACACTAGTTTAATAGAATTCAAATAAAGAGATAGGAAAGTTTTTATTTTTATGTATTTCATTCTTTTCACCGGTGCCTCTTAATCTTGAGACAAATTTTCTAGTCTGCAATTCAGGAAATAGCATGGCAAGGGTTCTTTATGAAGACAAATTGCTGCTAGGTCTTGCCAGGCAACAGATTAGGAACGACTTTATTTTTCGAAAGCTCATATAGGGCCTGTGGCCACAACTGAATTATGGTTCAGGTTATAAAATAAAATATCCACAGGTATATAAAATGCTAATAATGGTAAGAAATCATTTGGTACTTTGAAAATTTACTGACTTTTATCCTCTCTCTTGAAAAGTAAGCCTTATTTTGAAGAGATGTGGTCTTCCTGCTGCGTGCACGTAATTAGCAGTAATGAGAATTAGACAAGCGCATTTAGTGCAAGCTCATCCTTGTTTTAAGTTGTGCTTGTCAAATGGGGATATAAAATGAGATGTACTGTTAATGCTTCAGTGCATTGTGGACATATGGCAGGCTTTTAGCAAAGAGGCACCCTGGGAGGATATTTGCTTATTTTTCGTACATGTCACTGAGACTCACAACACCCTTTTTCTCCTAATGCCTAATAGAGGGTACTAAGAAAACAAGTGGCTGAATTTATGACCTAACAGAGATTCCTCATTAAGGCTAATATGAACTGTCTTAATTGAAGGTTAAATAATGCATTATCTGCCCATGATATTCTTGTTCTCTGTCCTAAATTTTTATAGAAATGACTATAATATTAAAAAAGCAAACTCCCACTACAGACAGATTGGAAACTGTAGGAAGAAGAGAGTGTGGCTAATCTTTTTTGAGATTCTACTATGAGTTCAGCAATGTTTTAGTGTTTTTTTTTTATCTTTACCATACGCTTTTGAGGCAGATATTATTCCCAATTCTTAAATGAGGAAACAAGATAGTTTTGTACCTTGCTAATAATTATGAAATTAGTGAATGAAAAAGGTGTCATTAAACATCAAATCTGTGGGACCATGCTCTTTTCACTACCAATATTGCTGAGAGCTCTTCACTTACCTTCCTTACCTTCTGGATCTCCTAATCTGAAGGGCTGAAGTTAAAAGTCTATCAACTCTGTACCAGGATTCTCCTCTTCTGTTACAAAATACTCTTCTTATGAAAAATCACACCTTCTGATTATACAGTTATTAACTGACTTTTAGTTTTCTCTCAAAATTCAGTGAGGATTTTGAATATGCTTTAGTACCTATTCTTTGCAAATTCTGTTACTGTTCTCATTGATATCAGTGTTCTTGTGCATAATCCATCCAACTTCCTCACCTCCTTCTAAGCTCCTCAATACAACCAAATATATGTCTTTTGTGTTCTCTATACTTTAGAAAACAGATGCTGCTGGACATTATCATCATCTATAACTGTTTTATTTTTGAGATGTTATTATTCAATTATATTAAATTAAAATGCTCCCAATATCCTTTCTCTTTCCACCTTGTGGATAGAACCCATGATTTGTAGTAAGCATGACTATCCAAAGAAAGACTATTATTTTCCAGCACCTACTACAGCTAGTCTTAGCCAAATGACTAAGTTCTGGTCAAAATATATGAGCAACAGTTTGTGTATAAAGGTAGTTGAGAAGAGGGACTTATTTTTATTTCCTTCTTATTGGATTGACAGCTCATGTTCCACCTGGAGTTCCAGCCTTCCTTTGGCCCATGGGAAGGAAACCATGAGCTGAAGGACAGAGGACAAGATAGAAGGAGGAGAATGGTTCTTTGATTTTATGGAGCGCTATAGTACCCAAGACTGCCTGTTTTCTAGACTTGTTTTACATGAGAGAAAAAAACAACAACTTGTTTTCTTTCAGCCCGTATTATTTTATTTTCTCAAATTCAACAAAATCTAAACCTAATATGTTTACTCTCAGTTTTTTTTCAAGTCATCAATGATCCTATGCCCATTTCTTCCAAGCCAGCCTGGCACCACAGTTAATCACATGCACAACTCCTTCACCAGCATTGTACTACTTTCTATAGAAATCAATGAATACAATCTTAGCCTTCATCCATCGATCTGGGACTGTGTAGGTTTTCTAGAGCCTACCATATATTTGTACATATTTTTCCTTGGTGTAGAATGCCAGTCTCTCCTGGATGATTTGAAAAATTCTGGTCTCTTAAATATCCCATCTCTGGTTATCTCTTTCTTGCATAATGACAGGCCAACGGAGACTCAAATTCAGGAAGATTCCTCGATTGAACACCACTTCGTTCCAGCCCAGGACAGCTGGTTGTTTTCATCGTCAGGTTTCCTGGTCTTCACAATTTATTTTTCCTTTTTTTTTTTTTTTTTCTACATTTTCAACCAGGTCTTTGACATTTTTAAGGTGTCAGCTAAATTGCCTAGGAGTCTAATTAATACTAGTGGAAAAGAAGTATAAAAATCTAGAATTTTTGGAGGAAGAGTTGCAGAGGTAGGAGAATGTTGAGAGATCTTTCAAATGTAATGTTCAACATTTGCATTTAAATCTGACAGAATTTTTTCTCATTTATCTCTAAGGAATTGAAATATTTCAAATGGCCTAGTGAAATATGACTGCTAACTTAAAAAATGCACATGCCTACCTTTCATTTTAATTTTCTTGGTTATAATATCAAGTTGTTCCTATCTAGTTGGAAAGAAATTTTTTTATTTTAATTTTGTGTAGCACTAAAATATACAGTATAGTATTGCTAAAAGCAAGGTTCCCATCAAAAGTATCTATTACTCAGTATTTATGAAACCTCTGGTTTATAACACTTTGAAATAAAATTGAGAGAGATTCCTTGAAAACTGTTAAAATGTCTACAGCTTTGCTATATACGATACTATAAATAAGTAGCATATCAACAAATGGTATAAATAAGGAAATTCTGCCAGGATTTTTAAGTTGTTTATAGAATCTTTAGAATATTCGGCAACAATTAAATTTCTGAGAGGTTTAACCAAATTCATTAAGCAGTAGACTTGTTTTTATAATTTTTTAATTTAATTTATTTCTTTTCTAATTTCTCTGCTATCAGAGATTAGTAATAGCTGATTTGGTTATGCCAACTCTAGTCTATAGAAGACTTCCTAGATGTTGATTTTATCAATTATTAATGATTAAGATAATGTATTTTAATACTTATAAATGTTTGTATTTAATAAAATATAGTTTAGAACACATTTTTACAGATGAGGACGATGGAGACATCAGGGGTCTAGTGTGTTGTTGGTCACATTTGTTGCTAGTCCAAAAGGTGGCACTGAAATCCAGATTTTTTAAAATTCTTTATTGTCATAGTTTTTTCTTCTATTACTATTACTGATCAAAGTCCTTTAAATTCTAGTGATAATGAAGTAGCTTTATATTGAGAAAATGACCATGAAGAAGTAGAAAATATTTTAAGGCACTGAGAATTGGTCAAAATCAATAAAGATATGTAAAAATGCTTTACATGTATGTTGCATTTTTTTGCTTTAAAAATAATTTTATATAGTCACACTAGTTTTCTAATGACATTTGCCTTTTAAAATAAACTTTTATTTTAGAATAGTTTTTGGTTTACAAAAACATTTTCAAAATAGTGCAGAGAGTTCCCTTAGGCTCCTCGCCATGTTTCTCTTATTATTAGTGTCTTAAATTGGTTTGATACAGTCCTCACAATTAATGATTCAGTATCAATATATTATTATTAACTGGAGTTCATACTTTATTCAGAGTTTTTTAAATTTTTATCTAATGTCGTTTTGCTGGTTCAGGATACCATCCAGGATACCCCATTACGTGAAGTCGTTGTTAAGTTAATTCGTTAGGCTCCTCTTGACTGTGACAGTTTCTCAAACATTTCTCGTTTTTGATGACCTTGGCAGTTTTGAAGAGTATTGGTCAGGTATTTTATATAATGTCCCCAGATTGGGATTTGCTTAATATTTTTCTTATGATTAGATTGGGGTTATGGGTTTTTGGTAGGAAAACCACAAAAGTTAACTGGCACTCTGATCAAATCCTATCAAGGATACATACCAGCAACATAATGTATCACTGTTGATGCTAAAGTTGATCACCTGGCTGAGGTATTGTTTCTCAGGTGTCTCTACTGAAGAGTTTCTCTTTCTTGTTTTTCTCTTTTCCATACTGTACTCTTCGGAGGCAAGCCACTTTGCTGAGCCCACGTGTAAGAAGTGAGGAGTTATGCTCCATCTCTTTGAGGCAGAGTATTTGCACAAATTATTTGGAATTTTTTAAGCACAGGACATTTGTCTATCCTCTCCCATTTGGTTTTTTTTAAGACCATGTATTTATGTCAGTATGGACTCAAGGATATTTATTTCATAAGTTTTGTTATAACATAATACTACTTTATTTCGTTGTTCAAATTTCTTTAGTTTTGGCCATTGGCAGCTTTCAGCTGGTTCCTGTGTCCCTTTGCATTTCCCCCATCATTGTGGGGTTTCATTGAGCACTTCTTCACTTTCTGGCACTACGGGATGCTCCAGGCTCATCTTGTGTATTTCTTGCTCCAGTCCTAGATTCAGCCATTTCCCCTAAGAATCTGTGATTCCTTTTATTGGAGAAAGATATTAGGCACCAAGATCTGGGTACTGGGTGTGCTTGTTTTTGGATGTTATTAAGTCTATGCCCTCTCAACTACAGAGGAAGTAAGTGTATGATTACATACTAATCCATGCATGTATACAGAGTTGCTGATTTTTAATTATAGGAAAGACTACATTTTTTGTATCTCTCATCTTGCACTATCACTTATCATATACTTGCTATGCATAACTATTGCTTTCAGGGCTTTAAATGTATTCTGTCACTTCATCTTCACAACGATATTTGGTGTAAGTAATATTATCATTCTTATTTTAAAGATGAAGAAAAGAAAAATTTGTCTCTTTTTTTTTTTTAAGGGGAACAGTGGGGAGAGGGTCTCGCTTTGTTGTCCAGGCTGAAGTGCAGTGGCATGATCATTGCTCACTGCAGCCTTGACCCCTTGGATTCAAGTGATCCCCCAGCTTCAGCCTCCCAAGTGGCTGGAACTACAAGCATGCACCACCATGCCTGACTAATTTATTTTATATTATTATTATTATTTCAATAGTTTTTGGGGGAACAGTTGGTGTTTGGTTACATGTGTAACTTATTTAGGTGCGATTTCTGAGATTTTGGTGCACCTATCACCTAAGCAGTGTACACTGCACCCAGTGTGTAGTCTTTTATTTCTCACCTCCCTCCCACTCTTCCTGAAAGTCCTCAGAGTCCATTATATCAATCTATGCCTTTGCAACATCATATCTTAGTTCCCACTTATAAGTGAGAACATACAATGTTTGGTTTCCCATTCCTGAGTTACTTCACTTACAATAATGGTCTCCAACTGCATCCAGGTTACTGTGAATGCCATTGTTTCATTCCCTTATATGTATATGGCTGGGTAGTTTTGCATTATATGTATATATATACACACACACACACACACACACGTGTATATATACATATATATGTATATATGTATACATTTTCTTTATTTACTTGTTGATTGATGGGCATTTGAGCTGGTTCCATATTTTTGCAATCGCAAATTGTGCTGCTATAAACACGCATGTGCAAGTATATTTTTCATATAATGACTTATTTTCATCTGAGTAGATACCCTGTAGTGGGATTGCTGGATCAAATGGTGGTTCTACTTTTAGTTCTTTAAGGAAACTCCATACTGTTTTCCATAGTGATTGTACTAGTTTACATTCCCAACTGCAGGGTAAAAGTGTTCCACTTTCACTACAGCCACACTAACATCTATTATTTTTGATTTTTTAATCATGGACATTCTTGGCAGGAGTAAGGTTGTATTGCGTTGTGGTTTTGACTTGCATTTCCCTGATAATTAGTGATGCTGAGTATTTTTTCATGTTTGTTGGCCATTTGTATATCTTATTTTGAGAATTGTCTATTCATGTCCTCAGCCCACTTTTGATGCAGTTATTTGCTTTTCCTTGTTGATTTGTTTGAGTTCCTTGTAGATTCTGAACATTGGTTATTTGTTGGATGCATAGTTTGCAAATATTTTCACCCACTCTGTGGGTTGTCTGTTTACTCTGGTGATTATTTCTTTTGCTGTGCAGAAGCTTTTTAGCTTAATTAAGTCCCATCTATTTATCTTTGCTTTTGTTGCATTTGCTTTCGGATTCTTGGTCATGAAGTCTTTGCCTAAGCCAATGTCTAAAAGAGTTTTTCCAATGCTATCTTCTAGAATTTTTATGGTTTCTGGTCTTAGATTTAAGTCTTTGATCCATTTTGAGTTGATTTTTGTATGATGTGAGAGATGAGGATCCAACTTCATTCTTCTACATGTGGCTTGCCAATTATCCCAGCACCATTTGTTGAATAGGGTGTCCTTTCCCTGCTTTATGTTTTTGTTTGCTTTGTTAAAGATCAGTTGTGTATAAGTACTTGGCTTTTTTTCAAGTTTCTCTATTCTGGTCCATTGGTCTGTGTGTCCGGTTTTATACCAGTACCATGCTGTTTTGGTAACTATAGCCTTGTAGTATAGTTTGAAGTTGGGTAATGTGATGCCTCCAGATTTGTTCTTTCTGCTTAATGTTACTTTGGCCATGTGGGCTCCTTTTTTATTCCATTTGAATTTTAGAATTGTTTTTTGTAGTTCTGTGAAGAATGATGATGATATTTTGACAGGAATTGCATTGAATTTATAGATTGCTTTTGGCAGTATGGTCATTTTCACAATATTGATTCTACCAATGCATGAGCATGGGTTGTGTTTCCATTGTTTGTGTTGTTGATGATTTCTTTCAGCAGTGTTTTGTAGTTGTCCTTGTAGAAATCTTTCACCTCTTTGGTTAGGTATATTCCTAAGTATTTTATCTTTTATGCAGCTGTTGTAAAAAGGGTTGAATTCTTGATTTGATTCTCAGCTTGGTTGCTGTTGGTGTATAGCAGTGCTACTGATTTGTGTACATTGATTTTTGTACCTTGATACTTTACTGAATTCATTTATCAGATCTAGGAGCTTTTGGGATGAGTCGTTAAGGTTTTCTAGGTATATGATCATATCATTAATGAACAGTGACAGTTGGGCTTCCTCTTTACCAATTTGGATGCCCTTTATTTCTTTATCTTTATCTTGTTGGATAGGACTAGATAAAGGACACAGGACATGGGACTAGTCCTACGACATAGGACTGCCAGTACTATTTGAGAAGAAGTGATGAAAGTCATGCCTGGCTGATTTTTAATTTTTTTCTTGTAGAGGCAGAGTCTCGCTGTGTTGCTCAGGCTGGTTTTAAACTCCTGAACTCATCACAGCCTCCCAAAGTGTCGGTATTACTGGTGTGAGCCAGTGAACCGGGCCAGAATCTCTCTTTTGCACAAAGAGTTTAAATAGCTTTCCCAAAATCACATTTTAGTAAATCATGAACTCAGGTTTAAATTTATGTAAACTTATTACAGAACCAGCCTTTTTAACAGCTATTATTATATAGCATTCCCAATGTGTAATGTAACTTTGAAGAAATTAAAATGATTTCCATGGTCAATACTTATGAGTGTAATTATTTCATAGTCACAATATATGGAATAATTATACTCATTTATATTGGATGCAGATTTATAAAAGGTAGGGCTGAATAATTACAACCAAGTCTAAATGAGATTCAAAAATTAAAAAATAATTTATAATATTATTTTAATAGTAAATATTTAATATTTACTACTAAATATCTAATATTATTTATTAAATTATTTAATATTTACTATTAAAATACTATTTAAAATTATTAATAGTAGTGTAATATTTTTAAATAATTGCTTTTACTGAAATACATAATATATTCAGAAAAGTACACAAATCAAGCGTACAGCTTGAGAGATATTTGCAATGTGAACCTACCCATTTAATTACCATCCATTTAATTACCATCCGGATTAGGCAAAAGAAAACTAACACCCTAGAGGGTCTTGCCTTTATTCCTGTACCACCTTAAAGATAACCACTATTTTGACTTATAGCATACTGATTAGTTTTTCTTCATTTAAAACTTTACATAAATAACATAGTATGTGCTATTTTGTGTCTGGCTTCCTTGCTCAACATGGCGAGATTCATCCATATTACTGTGTGTAGAAGTTTGTTCATTTTTATTGCTGTAAAGAATTTCATTATAAAAAGTAATACAAATTATTAATCCATTCAAATTTTGATCATCACTTGGGTTTTTTCCAGGTTTTTATTCTTACTAAGTAACATTCTTCTATGTGCAGTCTTGTATATCTTTGGGTATATACCTAAGAATAGAATTACTGAGTCATAGGATGTGTTTATTTCCCATTTTAGTCTGTTTTGCCAAATAATTTTCTGAAGTGGTTGTCACTGACACATGGTATTTTCAGTCTTTGAAGTTTTACCCTTGTGTTTTTACCCAGAATTTAAAATCAGCCTGTCAATTTTCATAAAAATTCCATTGGTGGTCTTATGGGAACAGAATTTAATCTATGCCTCAATTCGGAGAAAACTGACATCTTTATAATATTGTCTGAATCCACTAATATATTCTTCTATTTATTCAGGTTTTATTTAATTTCTCTAAATCTTTTGTAGTGAGCAGACATATCTTTTGTTAGATTTGTTCCTAAATATAAGATATATTTGATGCTATTGTAAGATAATCTACTGAGTCTATTCAATATCTATTGAATATATCTGTGATTAACTATGGATACCTTTCTTTTCCAACCATTTGTTTTTATTATCGTATTGTGTCTTCAATATAATATGGAAAGAGCTATAATAACACTCAATCCCAATCATGGAGAAAAGTTTTTAATATTTCTCTTTAAGTACAACGCAGTTTTTAAAAGATTCTCCTTATCAGATTAATGATAATCTTCTTCCTCTTAATTTAGTTTTTGTCATGCACAGTATTGAATTTGGATGGTCAAGTATTTTTTCTTTTTAGAATATTAGTGCTATGACATACATTGATTTTCAGATGCTAAAATTGCCTTGCGTTTTTAAAATAAAACAAATATTGTCATGATATTTTTCTATTTTATATCTTGCTAAATTGTTTACCAATACAGTGTTGAAGATATTTGTACCTGTGTTCTTGGAGAGATTTGTCTGTAAATTTCTTGATATGGCTTTCTGTGATTGTTATCAAAATCATGCTGATATTATAAACCTAAGTGGTTTCATTTTTTTTTGTTCTGAAAGTGATTTTTTAAGTTATGCCTAATTTCTGCTTGCATATTTGGTTAGAATAAATTGTTTATGCCTTTGTACCTGAAGTTTTTTTTGTGGAAAAATGTTTAATTATACATTGAATTATTTTATAAATATAGAGGAATTCAGATTTTAATTTTTTCTTATGTCAATCTTTGTAAGTTCTAAGTGATTTTAATTATTTCATCTAAATTGTAATATTTGTTGGCATAACACCCTTTGTCTGTTCCCATCTTCCCACTCTCAAATAATGGCTATTGAAAGCTTTCAAAATTTGATGAGTGCTCTTTTTTGCCTTCCAATGTATATTTTTACATGTTTTACTTTCTAGGTCATTGCAGATGGGATTAATAGAAAAACAGCCAATTGCTGAAATAGTACTTTTTAACCTGTAAATACCCATATTAAGAATTGTGAAAGTTGAGGTTTATGATTTACTTTAATTTTAAATAGAAAAATCAATAAATTATATGTATGTGTGTATGTATGTATGTGCATGTGTGTATGGACATAGGAGAGAGAGAAAAAAGAAACAGGAAGGCTTTGAGAACCTTACCCATGTCAGAGTAAACATTGGATAGGTTATCATGCTTTTCACAAAAATTTCTCATCATTTTAATATCCTTCAACAACTTTAAATGTAAGCACTTGTGGTAACAACGTAAGTAGACTGATATGGTAGGAATTACCCAGATCTTGGTTCCTGCCTTTTACATAAGTGCTTCTCAAAGTGTGCCCTCTGCATCACTAGCAATTTGGGTACTGATTAAAAGCAAATTCCTGAACTCAAACCCACACCGACCTAATCAGAATCTCTCAGGATAAGACCCACAAAACTATCCTGGTAATCAGCTCTTGGGAGGAGTCCTATCCACTGAAGCTTGAGAACTACTTTGATTAACTCTTTGCTGCTAATTAAGCAGATTAGCTTTATCAAATGTTTAAAGCTGCATAAACATACTTTTGAGGTGCTTTTTCTGCAGAAAAAGGAAGTTCTCTACCTGAACTGAAGTTGAGTATTTGAGATAGTTGAGTATTTCAGCATTAGAACAGATATCTATACAGCTGAGATTCTAAGAGTGAAATCTTTTTGTGCATTTCACTGACTTAATTTAAAATTTAAATTGTTTGTCTAACCCCAAAGTCTGTTTATTTGGTTGACTAAAGTTCTTACATTGTACCTTTTTTTGTTTTTTTAGATAAAGGAGACTAGGAATAAATTAATTGTACAAACTCAGCCATAATGATTCAGAACTGGACATGATATATGTGCACATATTCAAAATGAAAAACAATTACTACTTGTCATTTGTTAGTCTCTACTAAAACAATGCCAGTTTAGAATGCCACAGAAATATGCTTACATATAGACATTTGGAAAATCTCTTCCTAACAATTAACCAAGACTCCCGTTCATCTATTGGTACTTGATGAGTTGTGTACCAATGTTTCAATATTTTTATACTCAAGCAATAATATATCTGATAATAGGAGGATGTAACCATTATTTCTGTTTTGCTTCTAAAATTATGAAGTAATTCTAAGTAGATATTAGAATTTCCGATGGTAGGTTCTCACATAAAGGAATTAACAGCTACTAACGTGGGTGTTTTGTGAAATAATAAACTGCTCTTTTCTCCTGTATGACCACGTATCTGGGTTCCCTCTGTGCTGTCTTATATCCTGTGCTCCTACAGCAGGATGCCACTCTCCAGGACAAAACGATGTAATGAATTTATTCTATCTATATTTACTATTAACTTGTATAGTCTATAAACCACCTGGCTTGAATTGTCTTTGAAACATTGGATGGTATAAGGCTGAGAGAGATAGGCTTCATTCCTAAATTGAGTTTAGCTCATGCATAAGGATAAGAGATTAGTTGAGTGGTATGGTTTGGTGAATATAAATACTTTGATCTGCAGTTTACACAGTGTTTTAAAGTGATTTTTCTGCATTTGGTCTAGTAAGCCTTTCATTTGGTCAC
Organism: Homo sapiens; assembly: GCF_000001405.40. Taxonomy (NCBI): domain Eukaryota; kingdom Metazoa; phylum Chordata; class Mammalia; order Primates; family Hominidae; genus Homo; species Homo sapiens. The sequence continues at coordinate 121,902,863 of NC_000005.10, read as the reverse complement.
TGTATTGGAAAAGAAAACATTAAAGTAATTTAATTTGACCACCCAAGGGCAAAAAACTAAACAAGAGATTGAAAACATGTAACATGCGCGTGCATACACACACACACGCACGCACACACACACCCCTATCTACCTATCTATGTATTTATTTATATTAACATTCTTCCTTCCTCTTAGAAAATGAAAACCAAAATATTATGACTTAAAATGTGACCATTGATATTACCAACAAGTATTAAATACCTTTATTAGAGTAACAGCTATGAAGAACAACTGTAGGAAGTCTTTGTCTTCAGGAGATTGTATGAGAAGTTTGTGCCTTATCACTTTTGATTTCTTAAAAAAGCAATGAAGTTATATTTTGAGGTGTTAGATCTCACTGAGATCCTTAATAAAAATTTATTACTGTTGTGACAAATTTTAGAAGATTCACTTAAAAAATAAAGAGCAAATTACAAAGAATATTTAAGGAACATATTTTTATTAAAAATCTAATCTTTTAGACCATTTTTATTATTTTCTCATGTGCATTAATATTTATATAAAAACATTATTGCACAAAAGCAGAAATATTTTTCTTGCAAAAAGTACATATTAATTTATAAGAAATGGATGTGTCCATATGTGATCTATTTTAACTGCTGAATAACTGTTCAAAACTTCCGGGCGCGGTGGCTCATGCCTGTACTGCCAGTACTTTGGGAGGCCGAGGCGGGCAGATCACGAGGTCAGGAGATCAAGACCATCCTGGCTAACACAGTGAAACCCCGTCTCTACTAAAAATATAAAAAATTAGCCGGGCGAGGTGGTGGGTGCCTGTAGTCCCAGCTACGTGGGAGGCTGAGGCAGGAGAACGGCTTGAACCCTGCGGGGCGGAGCCTGCAGTGAGCCAAGATCATGCCACTGCACTCCAGCCTGGGTGAAAGAGCGAGACTCCTTCTCAAAAAAAAAAAAAAAAAAAAAAAAAAAAAAAAACAACTTCAGTGAAAATATTGTAAGCAGTTTAGATTTGATAAAACAGCAAAGTTAGCATTATAGAACACTCTTATTATTGAAGTCTTTGAACACTAAGATATGCTTAGATTTGTCAATATAGTGTTCAAAGAAAGTAGTCAGATGGGTTAGCCATGATAGAAAATAGTATTCGGTTTGATTTTCTTTAATAGTTGCCCATTAAAGGATGTATTTAGATGTCACTTAAGTAAATATGTTAGATGTTTTATGACAAAATAAATATATTAGATATTTAATAACCAAATGAAAGAATTTACCTTAGAAAAGGACAAAAAATATTTCAACCTTTATCTTCATCTTCCCATAAGCTTGTTATATACCCAGTACCTTTTCAAAATATGTAAAAGGAGAGAATATCTCAGCATATGATGAAATTTAATCAGATCACTTGAAGGGACATTTGGAGAAAATTGTTATATGCTGTAATCACTTCCTTTAGGCCTGATCCTTGACATGTGTGTGAGGTAACTTTATTAATGTTCTTTGTCTTTTGGGAGGTACACATAATTATTCTGTGTATGTATTTGAGCATGTCTATGACTACATGCTCAAAACTTTAATGAGAATTACCTTTGCCTTGTCTGAACAATCTACTAAAACAGACTCAAATCCCCTTTCTGAACTGCAGTGACCAATTTCTTGCCATGTATTATTCATTTCAAGTAAGTTAATGTCATTGGGAAACAGAGTCTCTGGCTTGTATAATAAAAGATTTTAAGTAAAGCACAGTTAATTACTTATTGCCCATGCCCTGGTGTGCTTTTCCAAATGGGCTTTTTTGGCATATGAGTGACAAGAAGTCATCAGGGCAAAGTCATAAGCAGAGCTTTTTATATTAAAACTTTAATATCTCAGTGCCTGGGGCACTAGATAATTCAAGTTTCCTAGTTACAGAACCTGAGCAAATAATTTAGCATCTAGTGCATCTCAATATGCTTATTTTAATTTAACTTCTGTCTCTGAAATCAAATGCAGAATTATCTCCCAAATGTTTCAATTGCATGTGTCAGTGACCTTGAAAAGAAAGACTTGTTAGTGCAACTCCTGTGTCCTCATGGGAAACACACTAAAACTTTAAACCACAAATTTAAAGTTTTGCGGAATGATGAAAATTCAAAATGTACACAGTGGAAGGAATATTATAACATTTCTTTCAGTTGTCTTGTATTATAGAAAAGAAAGAAAATGACGCTTTATCTTTTCTAATTATGAAGGTGTGCTTTAAAATGCTCCTCAATTGACAAATATTTGTTTTGGTACAAGCTTTATCATTACATGTAAAAAATATTGCAACGAAAGATTAAAGAGTATGAGCAGTTCCAGTCTAGAATATCTACATCAGAGAAGGTTGGGACAGCAATTTGCTAGATGGTTGCATGGTGAACTTGACATTGAACTTGGCACTTGCTTAGTTGACCATTGTTCTTATTGGTACGTTCATTGGGAGTGGTCTTGAGTGATCCCGGAAATTGAATCTAAAGTTTCTTCAGTACTATGCCTTGGTATTGCCACTTCACATTAAAATATTAGAACTAGAAAGAACTTTGAAATTATTTTAAGAAATCATTCATTATATGGTTAAAAAAAACTGAAGCCTAGAAGTTAAAGTGACTCAGCCAATGTTATAGTTTAGTTTTTTATGCTTTAATGCAGTTAAAATGTATCCTACTTTAAAATAATTTGTTTGTTAATAATTTGCTATTTACTATTCCTAAGTAGGTATCAAAAGTGCACAATCAAACCATAGTTTTTATTGTTCTTTATTAGAATGTAGAAATGCTTTTTTCTCACTGGCTGTAAGAATATAATTACCAAGGAAGCTGGTAGCAATGTGTTTGTAGAGCAGAAATCAACCTATATAATTTAAACACAAATGTGAGATGTATTTTAGTTTCATAATTTACATATTATATATTAGTAAAGTTGATCTGCCATTCAAAAGGGAATTTTACTTGGAAAACAATTTTCATCAGGATTACACTTGTTATTTAGTTTTACATTATCATGATGCTTAATGATATCATTATTCATCTTAAATAAAAAGAACCTACTTAACTATAACCTTATTTGCCATACACTGTAGTCAACGTTTTACAAAAATAATATTTTGTGTATTGTCATTACAGAATGTTTGGCTGAAGAGACAGAAGAAAGAGAAGTTCAGTGTATTACTAATGTAATAAAAACACTTGCCAAGAATTCAAGGCCAAGTCCAATTTAGTAGTGATTAAATAGCAATTATAATTTTAGAGCTATCAAGACAACAGTGTGAACTGATTTGGTTTCATTTCAGTCCCAAGGAGGGACAGATGCACATTGTGTCAACAGATGCAGTCACTCCATTGAATAATGTTCTTGAGTACAAATTAGGAGAGCTGAATCTATGTTCCAGCCTGACAAATAATGTTGCAGAGCTCCTATTTTGTACACAAATTCTTTGTCTATATTTAATATTGTAATTCTAGTTTTTTTTTCTTGTAGAGAGATTTTGATGGTCAATGAACTCCATAAAAGAGGTGTTTGATAAGTTTGGAAGGCAAGGACTTGCATGTTTTTAATACATTTGACTCCTCGGAATACAGTCAAGAACTGAAAAATGTCTGTCATTAATGGATATTATGACAGCTCAGTAGTTTGGCACACTCAAGTAACTGTTACAAGGATTCAACTTACTGGCTTTTCAGGGATTAAAAACTTAATCCAGTGTCTTTCACAAAAGCTCTTTTTTCTCTTTCTCCTACTCTTTCATGTGTTTTCCCTGTGCAAACTTCTCTTTCTGTATTCCCAACTATCACCTAATGCTTGATATCTCAGAAGTCTTTCTGCAGGCTAACCTCTGCAGAGCTTCAAGCTCTATTTCTACCTGAAAACTAGATCATTCCAAATGGATGTCCCATGGGCACTTTAAGCCTACCAAATCTTCAAACTAACTCTAGTATCTTTCTCACCAAACACCTCTCTTCTATACTGTAAAGTATATTATTCGTGCTAGGAAATTTAGAATTGTTTTTAACATCTTGCATTTTCACAAAGCCCCTGTTCAAAACATCTCTAAATTGCAGACCTCAAGTGTCTTTGTAAGCAATCATCCCTCTTCATCTACACTGTAGACACCTTTATTCAGGTTCTCATTGTTGACTGACTGTCTTAGGTTGATGCCACAGAACAGACTCAGGAGGGAGGCAGGTGTTTGTGGAAAGAAGGAGAGCTTTGGCACCCAGGAGACCTGAATGTTTGAAGACTTATCTATGCCTGTTACCAGCTATGCTTGGTTGGGTAGATTACTCAAACTTCTTGATCTTTTGTTTATGTGTAATGTATAATTTTGTATAATGGCAAATAGTTATTTTACATAGTTGCATTAAAGATTAGACATTGGTGGGAGCCAATTACAGATGTGTGTCAGGTGCAGTGGCTCATACCTGTAATCCCAGCACTTTGAGAGGCAGAGGTGGGAGGATCACTTGAGCCTAGGAGTTTGAGACCAGCCTGGGCAATGTAGGGAGACCCTGCCTCTACAAAAAAATTAAGAAAATTATCCAGGCATGGCAGTTCCAGCTATTTGTGAGGCTGAAGTGGGAGGATTGCTAGTGCTTGGGAGGTCAAGACTGCAGTGAGCCATGATTGTGCCACTGCATTCCAGCCTGGGCCTGTTTTTAAAAAATGAGACCTGTTTTTTAAAAAAAGATTATAAATCGTGTGTATATATACATATATATATATATATACATACAATAGCACAGTGCCTGGTTGCCTAGTGCATCATAAGATTTAAATAACTAGCAGTGATGGCCTCATAGTGTACTTGCAGACTTCAATGAGTCTGGCTGTTACAGTTATCTCACATTTAGCTTGAGTGGCTGCCCAGGTTCCTTCTAAATATGAGGCCTAGTCAAGTCTCTTTCAAGTTTAAAAACCTTCAAAATCTTTAATTACCTGAAGTTTAAAAAATTCTGAAGTTTTTACAAATCTTCATCCCAACCTCCAAGGTTCTGGGTTCATTTTCCACCGCTTCTGGAATACACACTATTGGAATATACCAGGCACCTCCATTTCCCTGCTGGAAGTACTCTTCCACCATTCCTTCATAACAAACCTTCAGACTTAACCATTACCTTTTCTTTGAAGTCTTCCCTGACTTTTACACTTTGTCCTATATAGAGGCAATTGCTTCTTGCTCTATTAATTCTTGTCATTCATTTACACAGTGAATGATAATAGCTAACTTTCATTGACTTTTATCATGTTCTTGACATTCTTCCCAAGTGTTTTACGTATGTGAACTTATGTATACTTATAGGAAGATACTACTATTATCCACATTTTCCAGATAGAAACTCAGGCGCAGAGTGGATAAGGAACTTTGCATTAGGTCAAAACTAGTTGCTAGTGGAGTCGAGCCTTGAGCCAGAAGTTTGGCTTCTGTGCCTACGCAATTATCCTCTTACTGCTTATTGTCTCCCAGTAGTACTTAACACGGGATAAACTGTCATATCCCAGTTGTATACTTGACATTAAAGGAGGACCTCAGCCCTGTGTCATACATAAATTAGTTTTGGCTGTACAATGAGTGCAATTAGGGGAGATTAGGAAATGAACCCTTGACAACTATGCAAGTCATAGCTGTTTGCAAATGATACTCATTGTTAAAGTGCTTCTGAAATGGTAATTATCCATAATACTGTACAACTTGTATTACTTAGAGAGTGATTATTCATTTTTGTAACTTGCTTTTTTGTCATTTACTGACTTCACCTCTCCCCATCATTCTTGCTTTTTTTGCTGTTCCACTGCTCCTAAGCATGTCCAATAGAAGGGAGAAGCGGTGAATTCTAATTACTCAGTTTTTCCTCCTTATTGGCTGCTGGAGTAGAGAAAGTTGAAATTATTGGAAAACATAATGCCTGGGGTTATTAAGTTTTATATACACATCTTTATTTTTCATTATTATCAATGGCCAAATTCATTTAAAATTTATGAACCACGTGTTGAATACCTACTATGTGCTAGGTTTTGTGGACTGCATAAATTGCGATTTTTAGAGCCAGCAAGAGTAAGCTTTTTTGTTGTTGCTGTTCTGTTTTTTGTTGTTGTTTGTTTTTGTTTTTGTTTTTGAGACAGAGTTTAGCTCTTTTGCCCAGGCTGGAGCGCAGTGGGCGATCTCGGCTCACTGCAACCTCTGCCTTTTGGTTTCAAGCTATTCTCCTGCCTCAGCCTCCCGAGTAGCTAGGATTACAGATGCCCGCCACCACGCCTGGCTAATTTTTGTATTTTTAGTAGAGGCAGGGTTTCACCACGTTGGCCAGGCTGGTCTCTAACTCCTTGTGATCCACCCACCTCATCCTTCCAAAGTGCTGGGGTTACAGGTGTGAGCCACCATGCACGGCCAAGAGTAAGCTCTATTTAATAGCTTTTTAAAAATAGAGATCCAATTTGAGAAATCTAACGAAGTAATTTTTGAAAATGTGCATCAATTAGCTTAGCAGTGTACATAAATACACTTGTATAAAATTCTGGGTTTAGGTAACATCGCTTCATTTTTCATTGGCTAAATATATCCAACTCTTTGCTTTGACATTTACAACCTCCCTCTATCTTATTTCTACCTACTGTTTCAATTGCAGGTCCCAAGATATTCCTCAAGAGTCTCCTGGCCACACTGCCAAACACATCATATGTCTGTGCCTCAGAACCTCAGCTTTCACCCTACCTGGTATATTCTCCTTCCCTTATCTGTGTTTTGAGTTTTCTCCTGTCTTTGAGGCCCAACCAACTAGCAATATCTCAAGAAAAGCATCTCTGGAGAATGGCTCTGCTTTGCAATGAACTCCTGCAACGCTTTTTACTCCTGTTGTTAACATTTCACTTGGTTAAGTTGTACTTACTGTCCTTTTCTTCATGTACTGTCTCTCTTACTGGTTTTTTATAATAATGATAATATAAACTACCATTTGTTAAGCATTTTTCCAAAGGCAGACACTTTACTAAAATTTTAACAACTTTTATCTAATTGATTGCACACAAAAACCCTAGGAGGTAGGCATTATGAAGGAAGTAACAGAGGTTCAGAGAGGTTATAACCACTGCCCTTAATTTCACAGCTTGTGAGAGGTGGAGCCATTACTTTTCATCATGATGCACTTTGAGATCATATTATATAACCATCTCCTATTTGTCTCTAAGGGTTATTGTGAAGCATCAACCTCATAATTCCTGAATGTAAAAGGGGACCCTAATCATCTATGGGTAGCTATGCTATTCCTTATGGTACAAATATAAAGTGGATGAATGAAGAAAAATAAAAACACCAAGTTGGCACATTTTTTCATAATTTAAAATACTTTTCTAATTTCATAACACCCTACAGAGCCAGTTTATTGATGAACAATGTCTTGATCAATATCATAATTTTGTAACTTATTGACACCTATATAGTGGTAAACAGGAACAGTGTATTTTCTTTTCTTTTTTTTTTTCCAGGGTACATGTGCAGAACATGCAGGTTTGTTACATAGGTATAGACGTGCCATGGTGATTTGCTGCACCCATCAACCTGCCATCTACGTTAGGTATTTCTCCTAATGCTGTCCCTCCCCTAGGCCCCCATCCCCTGACAGGACCCAGTGTGTGATGTTCCCCTCCCTGTGTGCATGTGTTCTCATTGTTCAACTCCCACTTATGAGTGAAAACATGCGGTGTTTGGTTTACCATTCTTGTGTTAGTTTGCTGAGAATGATGGTTTCCAGCTTCATCCATGTTCCTGCAAAGGACGTGAACTCATCCTTTTTTATGGTTGCATAGTATTCCATGGTGTATATGTGCCACATTTTCTTTATCCAGCCTATCATTGGTGGTCATTTGGGTTGGTTCTGAGTCTTTGCTATTGTGAAAAGTGCTGCAATAAACATACACGTGCATGTGTCTTTATAGTAGAATGATTTATAATTCTTTGGGTATATACCCAGTAATGGGATTGCTGGGTCAAATGTTATTTCTGGTTCTAGATCCTTGAGGAATTGCCACAATGTCTTCCACAGTGGTTGAATTAGTGTACAATCCCACCAACAGTGTAAAAGTGTTCCTATGTCTCCACATCCTCTCCAGTATCTGTAGTTTCCTAACCTTTTTTTTGGGGTGAGGAGGTAGATCAACCATTGTCAAATTTTTTTATAGCCCATGAAATGCTCTTGAAAGGATCTAAGGGCCGCAAACTTTCTTTCTTTCTTTTTTTTTAAATTATACTTTAAGTTCTGGGGTACATGTGCAGAATGTGCAGTTTTGTTACATAGGTATACATACATGTGCCGTGGTGGTTTGCTGCACCCTCAACCTATCATCTACGTTAGGTATTTCTCCCAATGTTATCCCTCCCCTAGCCCCCCACCCCACAAAGGCCCCAGTGTATGATGTTCCCCTCCCTGTGTCCATGTGTTCTCATTGTTCAGCTCCCACTTATGAGTGAGAACATGCGGTGTTTGGTTTTCTGATCTTGTGATAGTTTGCTGAGACTGATGGTTTCCATCTTCACCCATGTCCCTGCAAAGGACATGAACTCATCCTTCTTTATGGCTGCATAGTATTCTATGGTGTACATGTGCCACATTTTTTTAATCCAGTCTATCATTGATGGACATTTGGGTTGGTTCCAAGTCTTTGCTATTGTGAATAGTGCCACAATAAACACATGTGTGCATGTATCTTTATCATAGAATGATTTATAATCCCTTGGGTATATGCCCAGTAGTGGGATTGCTGTCAAATGGTATTTCTGGTTCTAGATCCTTGAGGAATTGCCACACTGTCTTACACAATGGTTGAACTAATTTACACTCCCACCAACAGTGTAGAAGCATTCCTATTTTTCCATAACCTCTCCAGCATCTGTTTTTTCCTAATTCTACTAATTTTTGAACATCTATTTTGTATCCTGAATCTTTACTAAAATTGTTTATCAGTTCTAGAAGCCTTTTAGTGGAGTCTTTAGGATTCTCTCAGCATAGAATTATATTATCAGCAAAGAGAGTTTGAATTCTTCTTTTCCAATTTGGATGCCTTTTATTTCTTTTTCTTGCCTGACTGCTCTGGCTAGGACTTCCAGTACTATACTGAGTATTAGTGATGAGAGAGGCATCCTTCTCTTGTTCTATTTCTCAAGGGGAGTGGTTCCAGCTTTTGCCAGTTCAGTATGATACTGGCTGTGGGTTTATCATAGATGGCCCTTATTATTTTGCAGTATGTTCTTTGATGCCTAGTTTGTTGAAGATTGTTGTCATGAAGAGATGTCGGATTTTATTGAAAGCTTTTTCTGAATCTGTTGAAATGGCCTTATGGTTTTGTTTTTAATTGTGTTTATGTTGTAAATCACATTTGTTGATTTGTGTCTAATGAACCAGTCTTGCATCCCATGAATAAAGCCTACTTTATTGTGGTGTATTAACCTATTCATGTACTTCTGGATTCCATTTTTTGGTATTTTGTTCAGGATTTTTGCATCTATGTTCATCATGTATATCACCCTGAAGTTTCTTTTTTCGTTGTGTCTCTGCCCAATGTTGGTATTAGGCTGATGCTGCGATCATAAAATGAGTTAGGGAGGAGGAACTTCTCAATTTTTTCAAATAGTTTTGTAGGATTTGTATGAGTTCTTCTTTGTACATCTGGTGGAATTTGTCTGTGATTCCATCTGGTCTAGGGCTTTTTTGGTCAGTAGAATTTTTATTACTGATTCAATTTCAGAGCCTGATATTGGTCTATTTTAGGGTTTCAATCTCTTCCTGACTCAACCCTGGGAGATTGCATTTCTAGAAATGCATCCATTTCTTTTAGATTTTGTAATTCGTGTTCATAGCATTTTTTGAGAATCTTTTGTTTTTCAGTAGAATCAGTTGTAATGTCATATTTGTCTTTCTGAGTGTACTTATTTGTATGTTCTCTCTTTTTTTGTTAATCTAGCTAGCAATATATCACTCTTGTTTATTTTTTCAGAGAACCAACTCTTGGTTTCACTGATTTTTCGTATAGATTTTTGCATCTCAATTTCATTCAGTTCTTCTCTGGTTTTAGTTATTTTTTTTCTCTTCTGCTAGCTTTGGGGTTGAGTTTTTTCCCCCTAATTCCTTTAGGTGCGAAGTTAGCATGTTAAATTGAGATCTAACTTTTTGATGAAGGCATTTAGTGCTATACATATCCTCTTAACATTGCTTTAGCTGCCTCCCAGAGGTTCTGGTACATTGTGTCCGTAATTTTATTGATTTCAAAGAACGTTTTCTTGATTTCTGCCTTAAATTTGATGTTCTCCTATAAGTTATTCAGGAGTAAGTTGATTAATTTCCATGAATTTCTGTAGTTTTGAGAAATATACTTGGTATTGATTTCTGTGGTTGCTGAGTGGAGTGTTCTGTAGATGTTTATTAGTTCAATTTAGCCACATGTCAAGTTTAAGTGCAGAATTTCTTTGTTACTTTTCTGCCTCAATGATCTGTCTAATGCTGTCAGTGGTGTTTTAAAGTCTTCCACTATGATTGGGTCATTGTCTAAGTCTTTTTGGAGGCCAAGAAAAACTTGTTTTATAAATTGGCTGCTCCAATGTTGAGGGTATATATATATATATATATATATATATATATATATATATATATATATGTATATATATATGATAGTTAAGTCTTCTTGTTGGATTGTACCCTCTAGTATTATGTGATGTCTTTCTTTGTTCTTAATTTTTATTTATTTAAAATCATTTTATCTGATATAAGAATAGTGAATCCCATTTTTTTTTCCTGTTTGCATGCTAAATCTTACTCCATCAATTTACTTTGAGCTTTTGGGTGTCGTTACAACATGTGAGACATATTACCCAATTTCTTACATCATTGGTTCAGTAATTTATTCTTTTTTTCCATTGTCTTTCAGGTTTTGAGCATATTCAACTTGAAAAGTAGGTTACTGTTGATGATTTCCCAGGTTTCATTAACATCTTCAACAATCTACCAAGTCTTAATTAATGGGGAGTAGCATGTTAAACATTGGCCATTTATCTAAACACTGTCTCTGAATTTGAACTAACATAACTATTTTTAGATTCTTTTACCTATTTGTTACCCTTCCCGATTGTTCAATTGATATTATTCACTTATTAAGGCAAATATTGGCAACTGTAAGAGTAAAATCTTGTTATCATGTGTAGGCTTTAATGCTGATTTGAAAGTTACAGTCATTTTTATGGCATCTACTCAAATAACACTTCTTCTTGTAATGTAATGATTTTTGACACTTTTCTTTGACAGACAGCCCAAAATATTTTCAGTTTATCTAATTTATGTCTAATAAAAATCTACTCATGCCTCTGTGGGTGGACACAGCCAAAGCATGAAATAGTGCTGAGCATCAGCACCGCTTCTTCTGTTAATGAAGTTTCTGGAGAAAAACTTGACTCAAACAGCAGGGGCTGAGTTCCTTTTCTTGTCTGTTTTGCAGCCTACTAAGCCATTTTTATTGCTACACTTTAAATTTAGTCAAAAGGTTAAACATTTATTTATCTCGACATGTATTATAAGCAGTTTTTTCACTGTGGGGCATTTTACATGATTATTATTAAATTTAAACTTTCTCAATCTTGTGTATTTGGTCCAGGAGATGTTTTATTCCAGTGATTGTAACAGAGGCAGGAGGCAGAAAAATCCCAGGCAGACCAGCGTGGGTCCCCATTGAAACCCCACCTTCAATCCACAAACAGTCCCACAGACCAGAGTGAGAACTTCTATTTATGTTTGCCCACTCTCACTCAATTGATTTTCTGAATAATGCCTTTTAACCAATCGAATGCTGCCTTTTCAATACTACTTACAGCCCACCCTGTACCCATCCTGTGCCTGTAAAGACCCCAGACTCAGTTGGTAGAAGGGAAGTGGCCTGACTTTGGGGAGGAGATGTGCTGACTTTGGGGACGAGATCTCCTGACTTCGGGGAAAGACGACCTGCCCTTCCCATCCCCTCCCCAGGTCCCCTCTCTACTGAGAGCTGTTTTCGTTGCTCAATAAAATTCTCCACCCTCACCATCCTCAGGCGTCAAGTGTGACCTCATTCTTCTTGGATGCTGGACAAAAGCTTGAGACTCACTGAGTGTGGGTACCCAGAAAGGCTGTCACACTGGTTCTTTGCTCTCACCAGAGGAGGGCAGCTGCTCCACATGATGGGACCAGTGGGAGACTGAGCTGCTAACATGCTACCATCCATCGGGCTGTGGACAGTGGAGCTAAAAGAGCTAATTAGCGCACTAACATCCCCTCTGGGGCTTCCAGGTCATAGGCACCCTTGCCTGGGTGCGACTGTGTTCCTCTTTAGGTGACACGCAGCTTGGTCTGGCTGCAGGCCCCGCACAGACCTTGCTGCTATGTCGATGGAGTGGCCAGCCAGATCCCGCACTCACTTGTTCCTGTGCTCCTTCCCACAAGAGGCTAAGCATGGCAGGCCGAGTAGACAGGGTACCCTTGATGGAAGTCTGGCAAAGGGGCCAAGAAAAATCCTGAATCAATTGCACGCTTAAAAAATGTATCTTTTTGCAGGTCGCGGTGGCTAACGCCTATAATCCCAGCACTTTGGGAAGCCGCGGCAGGCGGATCACGAGGTCAGGAGATCCAGACCATCCTGGCTAACACGGTGAAACCCCATCTCTACTAAAAAATACAAAAAATTAGCCGGGCATGGGGGCGGGCGCCTGTAGTCCCAGCTGCTCGGGAGGCTGAGGCAGGAGAATGGCTTGAACCCTGGAGCCAGAACTTGCAGTGAGCGAGATAGCACCACTGCACTCCAGCCTGGGCGACAGAGCGAGACTCTGTCTCGGAAAAAAAAATGTATCTTTCACTTTTTAATCAACTATAAAAATACAAATCAACTTTATGGATATTTTTGATAGAAATTATGTTCAAATGGTAATTATCTTAAGCTATATTATATTTAAATGATATTAATTAGATGTATTGCAGTTTGGTTTTAAGTTATGCAATGAGCTGAGGTCTATGTCATCAGAGATATATGATCTCTTCACCTTCTCAATGTCATCCTCTTCACCTCCTCCATAGTTGGGGAAGATTTGGGCAATTAAGACAATGTTTTTCCTTATACTTGCTTCATCTAGCTGATATGATCTGTGTGACCTTTTCCAAACTCTAGCCTCATGGCCCTTTGGTCATCTCCCATTCAAAATTCAATTTCAGCAATTCCCTCTCAACATTTGCAACTCGTCATCACCTAGAACCGTTCAACTTCAAATAGCTAATGTTTTTGATCCCAAACTTTTGTTCTTTAATTTCTTTCTTTTTTTTTTGTTATACTTTAAGTTTTAGGGTACATGTGCACAATGTACAGATTAGTTACATATGTATACATGTGCCATGTTGGTGTGCTGCACCCATTAACTCATCATTTAACATTAGGTGTATCTCCTAATGCTGTCCCTCCCCCCTCCCCCCACCCCACAACAGGCCCGGGTGTGTGATGTTCCCCTTCCTGTGTCCATGTGTTCTCCTTGTTCAATTCCCACCTATGAGTGAGAACATGCGGTGTTTGTTTTTTTGCCGTTGCGATAGTTTGCTGAGAATGATGGTTTCCAGCTTCATCCATGTCCCTACAAAGGACATGAACTCATTTCTGCCATAGAACGTGTTCTTTTTCTTCCCTTAGCCATCAGTTGCTTCACTGCCTTCCTATTCATTTGGTCTTTCAGTCATTTCTAGATTTCACCTCTCTATTCAAGCTAGACTCTTCTGGTCACCATGTCATGTTTTCTCACCCTTATTACCTTTTTGTATCTTAACATCATCAATTCTCAACTTTGGAGACATCCAAGTATCTATCTAATTTGCTTATACTTGCTTTCTAGTCTTATTGTATTGTACAAAGTCACAGAACTAGATAAATCATGTCCAGTACAAACTTCGTGTTTTCCAAACAGAGACAGGAGTACTGAAAAAAAATAAAGATTTGAAAATGTATGATTTTTTTTTTCAGGGAAGGATAAGTAGTTCAGCTTGATAGGTATGGTGGGGAATGAAGGAGAATGTAGTTGAAGAGGTAAGTCAGACCTAAGTCCTGTAAGTATCTGAAGTACCATGGCAAGGAGTTTAAACTCTCTATGTAGATAATTGGAGTCAGCAAGGGAAGAATCTATGTGGATTAATGACCATTTTCAGAGCTAAAATAAATATTAGAAATAAATATTTAGAGCTAAAATAAAAATTAGAAATAAATATTGACAACAATGTGAAAGATGATTGGCATGTGAATAATAGTCTAAAGCCATCAGACTAGTTAGGAGGCTGTTGGGATTTTGTACTCATCAGGCATTATGGGTTGAACTGGGCAATTGGACTAGGAATGAAGAATGATTCTCTTGTACTGTGTTCTTCAGTGAACAAGCGTCTTGAATAATGCTCACAATGGTATGTGGCACTATATGAGACCTTTAAGCAAATCTCTGGGCTCTTTAATATGGTGATATATCAACTCATTTTTTCTATTGTTAAATGAAGTCCCTATGTAGAACAGACACATGGTAGGTGCTAAATAAAGTAGAGTTGAATCTGTTGCATCTGAATTAACTTAGTGGCTATCTACATTGAGGACTCACTATGTGTAAGTCCATTATTCACACTGTCTTGGTCTTCCCAATATTAAGTAACCTTTTAAATGGGAAACAAATAGCTTTGCCAGACTACTTTTTTCTAGGTAAAGCTTGGTGTGTATCTTTCCACAGATGGAATTGTTATACATACCACAACAAGGGGGTATAACAAATCATGTTTGCAAAATTTCTATGCAAAATATTTCTTTGTGTGGAGATTATGCCTGTTTTGAACCTGCCTGAAATGATTTAAGAGTGTTATAATTGAATTGTCACCAACATCATAAAATCTTTCCCCAGGGAGGAAATAAAACTGCTCAGAATGTTGTTTATTTTTAAAGCAACAACTGAGCTTGACCACAGAGCCTGGTTCAGGGTTGCTGGCAGAACTCTTTGTGTGTTCTCATGACCCAGTCAGCCAGGTGAATGGAGAGTCCTAGATAGTCCTGGTTGAGAACTGACAACTTTGGAAGAACAGAAGCAGCAAGAATAGAGTCTGATTGTTGGTTTGCATTATCTTGGATAAAAAATAGACCATAGCATAAATGCTGTCCTCTCTTTCTTTTGGTACAATGACATTTCCAACTCACTTGATAGGTTTGGTGGGGAATGAAAAAGAAATAATAAGAAATAAGGCATAGCATAAATGCCTTATTTATGTTATTTATTTTATAATAATAAAAAATATTCTAAGGTCCGGGCTGAAGAAAAATTTTCAATTTTGCCAGATACTATGTCATTTCTTATAGTCAATTTTTTTCCTAATTTAAAGTGATTTGTTGCTTGCAGTAGTAAAATAGAATTAGCTAGAATGTTCAAGTAGCAACCTCTCTTAAAAGAGAGTAACAATAAATCAAAAGTATATTCTGATTATTTTGACTCAACAAGTTCCTTGCTATATATCCTTAGTTTTATATATTTCTTTCTGTCATCTCAGTGAAATTTTAGGAGGGTGCCTACATAAACTTTTGAGTTCAGTAAGCCATGGTGAAGCCAAATTCAATTATTAATGGTTAAATAGTCTGCAAATCAGACATTTACTAATTTAGCTGCTCCAATTAGAATGAAATTGATATTTTACATAAAATTTGTCTCATCTGAGTTCTCTTTTTAAATTTTCTATCAAGATTTCTACATACTTGTCATATTCTTCCTAGCCTCCTGCAATAATGTCAGTTTTTAGAGGGAAGCAATTAATTTTTTATATTTGGATTAGTACAGACTTTACACAGTATTTGTACATTTGTGTCATTGAATAAACGTGTGAAATCTATCTTAATTGTGCAACTGTTAGTCCAGGTGAAGCAGCATTTTTATGAATAATTTAAGTCACTTGAAGTTATGTTAACATGGTCATGTAAATATTGAAAACGCATATTTTAAATTGTTTTATTTAGCAACCCTGAATTATATAGTTATATTTCACATTTTCTGGTAGGGATTTGAAATATGAAGAGAGATAAAATGAAATCCTGGTTGTCTTGTAGGGATAATACTTTAATTAGGATTTGGAAATCCATTTAAGTTTTCTAAAAATGAACCTTCAAATTCTCTTCTGGGCTAGCTCCATAATATGTGATATTAGGCACTTACTCTGTAGTGGATTTCAGAATGATAGAAAAACAATATTCAGTTCTTGTGTTCTATGTCATTTTTCATCTGGAAAACAAGTTGGCTTATTTGATGACCAGGGAGGATAAATGAGTGTTGATAGTTTTCAATATTCCAGAACTTTCATTCTTACACACACACACACACACACACACACACACACAGCCCTACACCTACATACAACATAGAAAAAGGCTTTACCTATGTTTTTGGTCAAAGCTATTTCCATTCTAGTACTATCATTGGCGTGAAAAGGAGTATGAGAAGAAGAATGTATGATCTTACTCCCAATAATAAATCTAACTGTAGAATCAATGAACTCCCTGGTACTAAAGAAGTCAAAGTAATATCTTCCAGAAAAAAAAGAAAATATCTGTTGAAATTTTTCTAGATTTTAATTAATGATAGAGTAAAAGTCAGCATAGATTAATAATTAAATTAACCCCCACCAAAGAACATAAACTATAGTCATAACAGTTCATTTGCTGTTTCGATATTTCACATTTTTAAATTTCTATTTTTGTAAGCATTTAATTTTCTGTAAGTTTTATATATGTTGTGTAGTACACACAAATATAGTTTTCCTAAACCCTAAAGAGGTTTGTTTGATGTATACTACTTCAGAGTTAGAAAATGTTTAAGTTATTATAGTTTCAATTGTACAACCATTCTCCATTGCTCTCTCACATCTCTACATGCCTTGTGAGTAAAGGCACCGTCTACCACATTCTAGACTATGGTTTTAAGGATGTTTGTGTAGCAAACAACCTTGGGAGATAAGAATAGTGTCTCCCTTCAGAGCAAAGGGAAGGGTTTTTTACTGCTGAATACAATAAATAAAATGTTTGCCTTTGGGCCAAGCAGGCTTAACTGTCCATGATAAAAGACTTGAATTTCCTAAGCTTAGAGGTCCTTTCCTGTAATATACCCTATTCTTTATACAGGTGTCATCTGGCCCTCTTTTCAGTGACGCATGAATACTGGGGCTCAGAGAACTGGTGCAAAATGGTGATGATCTGGCTACTATTACTGCTGTGATTAAAAACCTGAGCTTTTTGGGGGCTTAGGAGTATCACGTCTTCTGTCAGCACCAATAAAACTGTAGCAGGCTAACTTCCCTCACCCCAGTTCTATGGACATACAAATTGTTTACAATAAACTGCACATAATTAATGTGTACAATGTGGTGAGTTTAGACAAATGTATACACTTGAGTTATCATCACCACAATCCAGACAATAAATATATCAAAACCTTCTTAATGTCTCCCTTACATCTGCCTTTTTTTGTTATAAGTACACTGAACTTATGTCCTACCCTCTTAACAAATTTTTAAATACACACTCCTTTTTGTTAACTATAGGCAACATGTTGCACGGCAGATTTCTGGAACTTACTCATCTTGTATCACTCTAACTTTATATCCATTGAATAACAACTCTCTATATCTCCCTCTTCCCATCTCCTGGTAACTACCATCCTGTTGTCTACTTCTATTTTAGATACCTCATATAAGAAGAATTATGTCTAATTGTCCTTCTGTGTCTGGCTTATTTCACTTAGCATAGTGTCTTTTAGGTCTATCCATATTGTCATAAATGGTAGGAGTTCTTTCTTTTTAAAGGCTGAATAATATTTCATTGTAGGTATATACCACGTTTTCTTTATCCAAACATCTGTTGATAGACATTTGACTTGTTTCCATATCTTGGCCATTGTGAATAATGCTGCAATGAGTTTGGGAGTGCAGATATCACTTCAAGATCCTGATTTTAATCCCTTCAGATATTTCCCCAAAAGAAGGATTGCTGGATCTTGTGATAGTTCTATTTTTAATATTTTAAGGAACGCCCATACTGTTTCTATAGTGGCTGCACCATTTTACATTACCACCAAAAATATGCAAGAGTATAAGAGTTCTCTTTTTTTCCATATCCTTGCCAACATTTATCTTTTTTTTTTTTTTTTTTTTTTTTTTTTTTTTTTTTTTACTAATAGCCAACCTAACAGGTGTGAGGTGATATCTCACTGTGGTTTTGATTTGCATTTTCCTGATAATTAATAACGTTGAGCATTTTTTCGTATAGTACCTGTTGGACATTTGTATATATTCTTTTGAAAAATGTCTATTCAAATCTTTTGCCTATTGTTTTATAGGGTTATTTGTTATTTTGCTATTGAGTTTGAGGAGTTTTTATATATTTTGGATATTAACCCCTTATCAGATATATGGCTAGTAAATATTTTATCTCATTCCACAGTTTGCCTTTCTACTGTACTGTGCCGAAACTTTTTAGTTTCATATAAACCAATTTGTCTATTTTTGATTTTTTGTTTGTGCTCTTGGTGTTACATTCAATAAATCATTCCTGAGACCAAAGTTAAGAAGATTTTCCAGTATTTTCTGTTTTCTCCTAGTTTTACTGTATCAGATCTTATGTTCAAATCTTTAGTCCATCTCGAGTTAATTTTTGTATATGGTGAAAGATAACGGCTTGATTTTCTTCTTTTTCATGTGACTATCCAGTTTCTTCAATACCGTTTATTGAAGACACTACTTTCTCCCCATTGTGTATTCTTGGCATCCTTGTTGAAGATGAGTTGCCTGTATATGAGTGGATTTACTTTTGGACTCTTTATTCTGTTCTATTGGTCTATATGTGTATTTTTTTCAATGATAGTACCATACTGTTTGATTGGTGTCATTTTGTAGCATATTTTGAAATCAGGAAGTACGATGCCTCTAGGTTTGTTTTCTTGCTTAAAATTGTTTTGGCTATTTGGTGTGACAGGTTAACTTGTAAGTTTCGAAGTTGTTGAAAAATCTCACATCCTTTATAGATACAAAAAGTTAGAACTGATTTCCTTTTACAGAGCCAAATGACACTGCAATGTAGATCCTCAGTTATTATGTATCAATGACATAAGACCACATTGGTTTTTGTCCCCCAGAAGTGTTACAGGTTTAATATTATTATAATAAATATAACAAGAACAAGTGCAATGATTTAAATTCTGCCGGTGGAAATATTCCTCCAAGGATAATTGCATGCTGATTATTTTGCTGTTCTTCTGTTAACTTTTAAGCATCATTTGCTCCTAACTTTCCATATATAGCTCTACTTTGTCATTTTCACCTCTTCACAATGCTTTTCCTTTCAAGGCTCTTAGCAGACAAATCCCAGGAACATTGCAGAAGCTAGATAAGGCTATAAATACCCAAAGTATTTGCAGGGGAAGCTTCATGAACAACGCTGTGGGGAATCAAGCAAATGGCAAGAGTGTTCTAAATGCAATACTTCTGATTTCAGTTGTCTGTTCTGTCTTTTCTTTATTGGGACTGATTTCCACCATCTTATTTAACTGGAGGCCATCTTAAGATGAACCCATGCTGAGTATTTTATTGAACAGTATATGAAGTTAAAAGAAAAAAAAATGCATGCTTAAATGCTGTGTGTGTGTGTGTGTGTGTGTGTGTGTGTGTGTGTGTGTATGTGTTGTGGACCCACATTGTGTTTCTGCACAATACAGTAGAAAGGCAAACTATGGAGTGAGATAATTCTAAGAGAATAATTCCAAGAGAAGCTTGGGATTATTTTCCCAACCTATAATCAGCATCTTTCTTCATAAAAGGAGTTCTTCATATACAAATGCATGCAAGCTACAGTTCTTTGCTCTTAGTTTTACCTGCATTATCAGTTGCTATGAAATGTTCACTAACATTTTTTAAGTAAGCCTGTGAATCAGGGAGTGGGCTAAAGCATTTTTTCTGGTCATTTGGTTCTGTGCCAATATCAATTTCCCTTTTCATCATTAATTTCTTGAAGACAGAGACTCTGCCTTATTTTTCTTTGCATCTCCACATTAGACTGCATCTGCTCTGGAACTTAGTGGGTGTTCAGTACATGTTTATTTGTTTGAATTAATGAAAAAAATTGAATTAAAGCATAGTAAATGGGCACATTTTCAGTGGAACTATTGTCAAGAGAGAATTAAGAGAATGATTTACTCTAGGCAGGATAATTCTGTTCATTTCAAATATCCAGCTGCATTTTGAAAATGGGGCTTTAATCATCTTCATTTGCTATTTTTGTAATCTTTTAATTATTCCTCATATAACAACTCAAATAAAGAAATAATTATAGCAAACACTTACTGAGAGCTTATCAAGTGCCAGATATTTTTCTAAGCACTCTCTTTTACCTCATTTAGCCATCAAAAAGCTAATAGAACTATTAATGTTATGTCTACTATGCAAATAAAAAATGGACTATAGGAAGAATAGGCTTAAGGCCACACTATCAGCGGTCAGAACAATCAAATGTCCAATGAAGACTGCTTGATTCTAGGCCAGTGTCTTAATCAATACTGCCTCTTAGGCAGCAGTAAATGTATTAAAGATGATCCACAATTTGCTGCAACTAGCAAGAAGATGTTAAGAAGCAACTGAAATGCAAACTATTTTGAAACATTTTCTGTTGCAGCAAACTAGAATTTTAGCCTTAAAAGCATTGCTTTTTTCTTTATCCTTGGCAAATATTTATTTCCCAGACCTTCTGACTGGAGCCCATCAGACATGGAAACTAGTAGGGAGGAAAAATACACTGTGCTTGACCTGAGATTAAAGTTTATAAAAACGATGCCTCATAACAAGTGTTCAATAAATGCTTTTCTGATAAACTAGGGATGATATTAAGATTCTTAATTATCATATCATTTTAAACTAATCTATAATTCTAGTTTACCAACTTTCTTAGATCATCGCCCCTTTTTAGAAATGTATATCCAGCTCCGTTATACTATAACATGGATTCTGCAGTAAATTCTGTTTCTTTTGTATGTTATTACAGTCAATTAGGTGACTAACAAACATTTTCTGAAGGTGATTCACTTTAGAGTAATTCTATAAGTATATATAACACAGGCTAATTCTTAGAGTGGTATTTTTAAAACAATTAGATTAAGAATAAAAAATCCCAGAGCCTTGTGTGATTTTTTAATAATATTATGTAAGAAAATGAATTTCTTCAAAATGATAACTCTCATTGGGTTCTTATAGTTTTTAATTTTTATATATCTGATGAAGCTCAATAATTTTTAGATAGGTAGAATGCCAATTTAAATTTCTTTTAAAAATTTCAACCAAAAATATGAAATAAATTGATATAAGCATATTTTGGATCATCCAGATAACCACTTATAACCAAGGACTCAAGTAGGACTTGACTGTTCACAGTTGGTATTTGCCTTGGCTGTGCTTCTCAATCTTCACTCTACTGACATTTTGGACTTGGTAATTCTTTGTCATGGGGCTCTATCCTTGCATTTAGGATGTTTAGCAGAATATCTGTCCTCTGTTTACTAGAAGCTAGTATTCCTTCTTCCATTTTGTAACAATCAAAATGTCTCTGTATGCTACCAAATGTCCCTTGTAGGGCAAAATTGCCCTCATAGAGAGTTGTGCCTTGGTGAATATAATGTGTTTAAGCTAAGGGGTAGTTTAAATGTAGAATAATATTAAAAGAACAGAGGCAGAGCTTCGTACATAAATGATGCATCTAATACCAAGTAAAGGCCCAATTACAAAACAGTGCACTGCACAATTGAACATTTTCCAATAGTTTTAATAGAGAAGTCTTAGAATACTTGAATCATCAGATATCACAGGATAGCGTAAGCATTCTGAACTAAGATGACAAACCAGTGTGTTAAGTATCATCTTTACATTTTGTTGCAGCAAAATAGCATAATTTACCACACTAAATTAATGTTAATTTGAATTTTATTGCTTTTATAATTTTGTTTGTATATATTTATTTTGGTTTTAGAATTGATGTTCTAACCATAAGCTCTAAGCATAAGGAGTTTATACTTAGCTTTGTGTTTATACATATTGGACAAACAATAATAAAAATAATTTGTCAATACTAGGAAGCCTCAAAGAGCATTTTTTTTTACATTGAAATAGATTAGTACATTTCTGAAACTTGAGAAACACTAAATTTAGGGCATCTGAGGCTGGGTAGAGGGAGGAACAGCAGGTAAATAGGAAGAGGAGATCCTTGAAAAATTCGGGGAAAACTCCAGAGTTAGCTGCTGGACTTCTACTGTATGATTTTAATTTGTGCCAGCTATATAAGAAAAAAATCAATATTCTTTTAACTAGGTTATTCTATATTTTTCTTTTTGATAAAAAATAGTTTATTTTTTGCTCTGTAAACTGCCATGTGGAAAGCATGCTTATCCAAGCAAGATAATTTCAATTTTGATTCCAACTGAAGACATAGGAACTAGGGATAGAATTAGATCAGTTTTCAGATAGTTTTCAAAATTTATTATGTCACATTGTATAAACAATATATGATCCTCTGTGATTTTAGAGCAAATGGAACAGCTTCCCAGGTTGCAAAGCAGGCTCCTTTTACCTGTTGTGTTCTCATTCACATTATCTGTTATTGTTACCTTATGCCTCTGTTGGATTGATCTGCTCAAAATAATTTTAGGACTCTATTGCCCTATGCACCAAAGGTGCTAAAAGACCCTCTCCTTCTGTCAGAGGCCTGTGAACCAGAGCAACTCCATCTTGAATAGGAGCTGGGTAAAATGAGGCTGAGACTTACTGGGCTGCATTCCCAGATGGTTAAGGCATACTAAGTTACCAGATGAGATAGGAAATTGGCACAAGATACAGGTTATAAAGACCTTGGTGATAAAACAGGTTGCAGTAAAGAAGCTGGGTAAATCCCACCAGAACCAAGATGGCCACAAGAGTGACCTTTTGTTGTCCTCACTACTACAGTCTCATCAGCGCCATGACAGTTTACAAATGCCATGGCAATGTCAGGAAGTTACCTTATATGGTCTAAAAAGGGGAGGCATAAATAATCCTTCCCTTGTTTGGCATATCATCAAGAAATAACCGTAAAAATGGGCAAACGGCAGCCCTCGGGGCTGCTCTGTCTATGGAGTATCCATTCGTTTATTCCTCTCTTTCTTAAACTTGCTTTCACTTTACGGACTTGCCCTGAATTCTTTCTTGTATGAGATCCAAGAACCCTCTCTTGGGGGTCTGGATAGGGACACCATTCCCGTAACACTTCCAGTTTTTAGACATATTCCTTTGCTTCTTTTTCCTCTCATTGTCTTTTATTGGAGGATATTTTGGAGTGTGGTCAGTAAAGTAAAAGATTGAAATTGGTCATAATTGCTTATTGTTTCAATGGTTGAAGTGGAAGAGCTGGAACCCATTTCTCTCCATCCCCAGAATAAGAAAGCTCTAGAATGACTGATTTATCTAACCCCAGGATGGCTGGAGATTATGCACTGCCCTAGGCTTCAGGGAAAATGAATGTTTGTGGTGAAGTGAAAGGGATAGGAGAGCATTTTCTAGCTTTCAGAGAGGAAGGGCTTCCTTTTAACCTGAGTACTGAAGATGACTGACCCCTCTATACCCCACCGCTCAACCAACAATGAACCAAACATCTACATTGCCATAGAGACAGCCAGACCAGAGACTCAGTTTTTATCTAAGATCTAATGAAACAACACTGCTTTTGGAGGCTAAAGAAAAAAAGTGCTAGAAGAGAGAGAAAAGAATTTCTTTTATTGTTGATTTTTATGTATTTTTTAAACTTTTATTTTAAGTTCAGATGTACAAGTACAGGTACGTTACATAGGTAAACTTGTGTCATGGGGGTTTGTTGTGCAGATTATTTCATCACCCAGGTATTAGGCCTAGTACTCATTAATTATTTTTCCTGATCTTCTGGCTCCTCCCACTCTCCACCCTCTGAACGGCTGAAGTTCTGAGGAAAGAATTTTGGAGAGCACTTGTGCTGAATTAAGAACCTTGTTCTCCTCTTTTCCTTAGGTGGAAGTAGAATTTTCAGGTATTTCATGTGTCTCTAATCTGTATGAAGATTTGTGTCATAATATATTTCTAAAAAGACAATAAAAATCAAAGCAATAGATTAGATCAGAATGTCACTATATCATTAGGATGACCCTCTACTAATTAGGGCTATAGCTTTCTTTTATAAAGTTATTGCTTTCTTTTATAAAGTTAGATGATTTTAGATATAATCTTTTGGAAGGAAACATTCTTTGGTATTTCATGTGACATAATTATTACAAAGTCTTATAAAAAATACAGTTTATGCAGGAAGCTTTATGTGTCACTTTATAAGCTCTAATGTGTTGTAGCATTTATGTTTTGAAGACCTAATATTTGAAAAAGGATATCTTCAAATTGCTGTGCTTTTGGCATTAAGCCTCTCACTCTTATAAAGGAAGTAGAAGCATTATTTGATAGAAAAATTTCAGTCACAGTTTTATAATATCAAACTTCAATAAGATAAGTGAAAATGTAGGCCCAGTTTCTTTCAGGCACAGTTGTCTTGTAAACCGCCAACATATTTGACAGGTGCAACTTGTACTGAGCTTGTCAGAGATATAAGAAGGATCCCCAAAGTAACAGAAATAGAGAATTTAACCTTCTGAAGGTTCATAACCCATTGAAAACAGTTGTTGGACATATTTCTTATTATCTTTGTAGAAGGGAACAAAATCTGATTTATTCCAAAATTTATTCGAAGAGATGCGCCAATGCGCTTTACACATTGACATATTTTTTAGAACTCTAAATTGCTGAAACCAAGTTTATTTGAAACCCAGAAGAGAATGAAAAATTCTCTATTGACTATGTTATTCATTATCTCTTAAACTTAAATATGTTTTATAAAGGAATAGGTCATCATGTTTATTTTAAAATTCCTTCTTTTTAAATTCACTTATAGTGTGGATAAATCTATGTGGATAAGAAACCAAAAAAAGTTAAATAAACCAGAAAAACACAAATAAAGCACAAATCATTCCTTTTATAAGTATTTTGTATTTTATACAGAAAAACTTGTAAATGGAATGTCTTTTGGATTTTCACATTACTACCTATCATTCTTTATCATTGAGGAAGAATCCTTCCAAAGAAGATAATGCTGATGACCATGGCCATTGAAACCTGGAATTTCAGGTATCAGAGATGAAAAGAAATCTTTTTTTGAAGATAAAGAACTATCTAAGTGAAGCATAGAATAGTTCTTTATTAACTGCAGAGAAACTAGACCCAACCCCCGTAGTTGGTTTTAGAGCACTCAAACACTTTTTTTCACTGAAACTAAGGTTCTTATTATGCATGTTTTCTAATTACACACTTAAGTGCCATGTTGTTATATTCCATATACAAACCAGAGAGCAGTACTTAAGAGTCTGTAAATATATGCCATACCTAAGTTTTGAGACTATGCTTTCTTTCCTCTCTACTCTTCTATATTCATTTTCCTTTCTTCTCATTTTGAAAAGACTTCTCCTCCATCAGTAATCGAATTAATTTTGTGTGTAAAGGAGAGCACTTCGTGTCTCAGGTGCTAATGAGGTTTAATTTCCAGCTGAAACTCTTTTTATGAATAATTAAAACATTAAAGATAGATCTGAATAATTTCAGTCAGAGAAGGAACTACTCCTTTCATGAACCTGGCGTTTATTAATTGAACAACTATTTCCTGTATGCCTCTGATGTGCAGGGCCCAGTGCACAGATCTATTTATTAATTAGATATTGTCCATACCTTCCTGTAGAAGGAATACTTAATTCAAATTAGAATTACGTAGAAATATAAAAAAACCATTTGCAGAACCAGGTATTCTCCCTAGAAGATAGATAGCATTTTAGTGCATTTAAGATATAAAAAAAAATCTTACCACAGGAGAATAAAGAATGTCCCAAAGAGAGGTGAGTAGTTCAAGTGCAGAGAGAGAGTATCTTTGCAAAATATCAAGAAGTGTGGTTGTTTATATATTTAAACTTTTTCTCAGTTTGAGACACACCATATTATTGACTTTATCCACTGTTAACAAACCATCCTTACACCATTATGGCTTGCTTCTTCCAGGCCTACTTACTTACCCAAGCTGGAAGACCAGCTGGGCAGCTTTGCTCAGCCCTTGGTCATTCTTGACTGAAGTAAAAACATTCTTAACTACTTTGTTCCCAGCAGCAGAAGACTGAAATAAGTTCTTGTTAGATCCACGGTCGGCTGCGCTAGGGTGAGCCCTGACAATCAGAAGGGCCTTGAACTATAGATCATCTCTACCCCCTTGTTTCGTCCCTTGTGCTGAACTTCAGCCTGTGGAATCACTAGTACTCTGCCAGGCTTTTCCTTTGGCTTCAGGGAGTGGACCCAGCATTCTTGTCCTTGGTGGACTTACTGTTTTGAAGAAATTGGTAATTTGATAATGACAATACAATTACTCATGCAAAAATGTAGCTCCTGCAATTCCTTCTCCTTCCAGTGTGAATTCTTCCCTGGAGTGAACCTCTTGGATGTGGAACATGACAGAACCAATACTGGTGAACAACAGTCCTCCAAGCAAATGATAGTGCTACATACAAAGGAAGTTGGAATGGATATTGGTTAAGCAAAAGCAATGTTTGTTGAGCAAACTCAGCCTCCTCATCTGTCTATGGGTCTAAGTCATCATTTCTTTTTCTGGACTACACTATTCTGAGTATGCATTGAGCCTAACTCCTCCAAATTTATGAAAATACTGGCACCTCTAACGTTATTTTGTTTTTTATGTGGCTTCTTCTTGGAGGATTTTCATTTCAAGTTTGGTCAGACTTGAGTTCTCTGCGTAACATAATCAGATCCAAAACCTTCTCACCAGGGGAACACATTTACTTTATTTCTGTTAAAATTGAGAAGAATAACAAGATGTAATATCATATTTATCTATAGTTAACAAAATTGCTATCAGATTTTAAAAATCTTAATATCTCACACACCTTATCAAGATTTCCTGGCCGGGCGAGGTGGCTCACGCCTGTAATCCCAGCACTTTGGGAGGCCGAGACGGGCGAATCACGAGGTCAGGAGATTGAGACCATCCTGGCTAAGACGGTGAAATCCTGCCTCTACTAAAAATACAAAAAATTAGCCGGGCTTGGTGGCAGGCGCCTGTAGTCCCAGCTACTTGGGAGGCTGAGGCAGGAGAATGGCGTGAACCCGGGAGGCAGAGCTTGCAGTGAGCCGAGATCGTGCCACTGCACTCCAGCCTGGGGGACAGAGCGAGACTCCATCTCAAAAAAAAAAAAAAAAAAAGATTTCCTATGCCTTTAAATTTAGACCTGGTTAAAATTAATTATAACTAATTCTGGTAATGTCTATTGTAGCCTAAAAAATGAACAGAGTAATTTTAATTGAAGCTGCAATCTGCCTATTGTAGTTTAATATTTTTTTGTAAGCATAAATTAATAATATTTTGTGTTTCTTATTGTTCACTTACAAGTTTAATACATATTTTCAAATATTCTTTCTTAAACAGTAGCATCGTAATATTTTAAATATATGCAGTTTTTAATAAAGAAATTTCTAACACCTGCCTTAAACAGTTCTCACCTTTTCAACCCAGTCACCCATGAATTTATCTGTTCTTTGTTTTTTCTTAAAAGATGAGTGGCTAACATATCAGGACAAGATAATATTTAAAGATATTTTCAGTTAAAATAGTCAATAAATCTGTGACTCTTTAGTATATTGTTTGGCTGTACTTCTGTTGTGATGGGCATCTTGTTATACACATGTGAGTGCTTAACTTAATAAATTATAGCTGTTTATCTTAATTCAGCTCAACTGTGATGCCAATTAGGTAAAAATGATTCATTTTAACATCATGTAAATGAGGCATTTTTGCAGAGGCAATTTTTCTCCATCCATCAAGTACATATCCCCTCTCAACTACTTTGTAGGTTCTAATATGTGTTTCCCGTCATAATGGAAAATTAGTATCAGGTAGGGTGAACATTTTAGCATAATCTATCACGACTGGCTAATTTTTGTATTTTTGTAGAGACAGGCTGTCACCATGTTGGCCAGGCTGGTCTTGAAATCCTGACCTCAGGTGATCCCCCTACCTTGGCCTTCCAAAGTGCTGGCATTACAGGTGTGAACCACTGTGCTCAGCCAGGAATATTTTTTAAAGGCAGCTTAGAATTGCTTTTTTTCCCCTCTAATGATAGTCCTGCAATATCATCTTAGCTCTTGGACTATCATGTATCAGTGAGACGGTAGAATTGTCAGGTTATAAGAATCTAGATAAAAAAGTAAATAACAACAATGCCATTTTCAGTTTATTTTATTTTAATTAATATTTACAAGAATAATTATCTGGTGCCTTGGACCAGAACTCAGTTTCCTGTGCAATATATTTCGGAAATATACCATCAAAACAAGTAATAATATTGAATTGGCAGGGGTTAAAAGACAGTGCATATACTGTCATAGGAAGCTAGGAGGTTAAAGTGGCCACAGATGTTAAATATAATGTGTTTTATGACTGGACTTTTTTGAAAGCAATGGAGCACTCTTAATCTGGGCTTAGCTCTATTACTTTCAATAAAAAACTCCTAATATAAATGTGCTGGATCAATCAATATTCAATTGAAAGCAGTACTGTAGTATGCAGAACATTTTCTCTCAAATCTTTGCTTCCAATGAATCAGCACATGATAGAATGCACTATTGATCACAATTAAAAAGTTATTAAGTAGACAGTGTGAGTATATAAAAGTCTATTTAAAAATATTAATATAACCAAATATCAAAAATGCTAATATTTGAAATGGAAAGGTATATATTAGGAAGTACCTCAAAATATAGCTTACTGAAATACACAACTCTTTTTCACAGAGGGTATAATATAGAGGTGTTATCATAGGAAGAAAGAAATCTAGGATTGGTATGAAAACAATAGTTTCAAGAAAAATCATGTTAAGTGCCTATTACAGCTCAACATTGTGCTAATATTGTTCAAATTATAATTTGTAAAGGGTAGGGATAGGGACATAACAGAAAATATAATGGATTTTTCAAACAATTGTCCCTAGAGGATTGTATCAGTAACTGAGGGAAAGTAGCAGATAGCAGTGATCTCAAAATAGTTACCACATAATCCCAGCCACCTGTTATTTTGAGATTCTTGAAGTCCCTGACCTGCATTAACTTACAAAGTATAGCATGAGGTAACAGTTTGTGAAGACTTAGATTAAGGGGCTGGATGCCCAAGCAGCTAATCGATAAGTATTGTGTGACTCCTTACACATATTTCCTAATGACATGGTCAGCCTCTACAATCAAAAATTTCAAAATAAAAACCACTCTCCACCATCACCTACCTAAACAAGTGATACACACACACAGGCACAGAGGACAATTGTAGACTGTGCTTACCAACTCAGAGCCAGTCAGCTGCTGATACTCTAAAATCAGCAATACTGGTAGCTGGATTTCAGAAAATAAATAATAAATGGAGGAATACAGCTTACCAGAAAAGAGTATTTTCTTTTATGAAAAGTTTAAGCGCTTTAATATGCCTCCCCCAAAATTGCTTATTTAGGATATTGCATAAAAAATTCTAGCAAGAACAAAACCATAGACAGATTGGAAATGCCTTGCTGTTGTGAAAGCCAGGAAAAAAGTACACACATATTTTGAAAAGGAATTTGGAACTATTTTCTTGCATGTTATGTCTTTTTTAATGTGAGTAATGTGATCCAGTTATGACTGAAGAGAAAAATGTGAAATGAAAGACAATCTTGAGTTCAAACAATAGGCATGCGATAAATTCTTCAGTCTAAACATAATAAAAAAAGTGTATACTTTTATGAACAGAAAAAAATCAGATTGCCTCTCTCCAAGGTAAATGCTAATTTCATATTTAAAAGCTATACATTTGATGAAATCCTAGGTTTTTAGCCTGCTTGAGGTGTCTTTATTTGCTCCAAGTTATTGACATGGAATAAAATAAAGTATAATATGGCCTAGGATGGTCATTAGGACTTCTAATGGATCAGGAAGGATAGAAGGATATGCTGAGAATTGAGTTGATTCTTAAAGTTTAGAAATTGAATTAGAAAAAAAAATGGGAGGGAGGAGGGGAATGCAGATTTATTTTCTGAGACATTATGTATTTGTAAAATGCTTCTGTTTTAATTAACTAGATATCGAAGGCAAAAAAATCACATATGTGGTTGAAAAACAACACAATCTCACATTTCCAAAATAGTCAGTTTGTATTTTTACTTTTTGAAGTATCATACAGTCAGAAGAGAAACTAGGGGATATCTCTTTTATTTCTTTAGCTCCTTCAAAAAGACCTTTGGTCACTTTGATGGTTAAGCTGTTTGAATGCTGCAGAACCTTGACTCACCACGTTTACTGGAGGAGCCACGAATCCATGATGAGGAAGGCAAGTTGCCTTTGTAAGTCAAAGATGCTCATAAGTTATTTTCATTATAGATTAATGAGCTGTGAAGATTCAAATCTCTCGAAGAGTTGGATGTATTGTGGTCTGTGTACTATGGTGCAGATGGGAAGTTACAAGTTGTTTCAGAGCTTTAGCCATTTAGAGGAAATCAATTCAGACTATAAAAATACCATTTAAGTCTTCTTCTAAGTGGATATTTTGTGGGCATCAATGCAGAACAGTATTATTTCTTTTACAGATATTATGAATGATGAGTATTTCATACTCTGATTTATTTTGAGATTTGGGAGGATGTCAAATTAAATAATATCCATTTACAATAATTATAATAATAATCTTTCTTGTTCACCATATCCCACTTGCCATAGACCAGTCACTGTGATAAATGCCTTACACACCTTAATTTAGTGCTTTTTAGAACTCTGTGAGGCAAATGAGAAAACCAAGGCAAGAGAAGCTTAATAACTGACCAAAAGTCATACAACTGATAAGTGGGAAAGTCAGAATTCAAACCCATACCCGTTTAATGAAAACCCGAATTTTTATTCCCTCCTCCATTAACTAAATGTAATTACCTTCCCCAAATCACATGAGTGCTGTGTTAGTCAAGAAGGTTTACTGCACATAACAGCTTAATAAAAGAAAAATGTGTTGGAAGATACAGTGGGTGTTCACAGAATTTTTTAAAAAAGACCTAAAGAAACCATAGCTGTTTTTGAGGACAGGGATTAGAACAAGGATCTGGAATAAAATCAGATCTGTTTTTCTTATTTCCTATATTGCGGTAGATGCAGAAATTTTATATGTATTATTTTATGTCTTCAAAAATTCTCTGGATAAGCATCCACTATTTCTTGTCACAGCTGTGATAACTAAGGCATGGGAAGTGAATTGATTTGTCCAAGATAGGTGGCTAATCAGTTGCAGAGGAAAGACTGGCGCTCAGCTTTCTTAGGCATGTATTCTGTTTCTGCTAACTTATTGTGTTATATAAAGCCAAACTGTATCAGCATTCCTATAAGTGTTACTTTTCTTATTTAAGTAAACAGGCAGGTTAATGGAGATATTAATATACATACATATTTTTGAGACGGAGTCTCACTCTGTCACCCAGGCTGGAGTGGATATTAATATTTTTTAAGGAGAAAACCAGTTTGATATTTGAGATTCTTATATGCCTCCTATATATATATATTAAATATATGTATTTAATATTGACAATATAAAACTCAAGAACAATATATTGGCAAACAATCTATATCTTAAACGTGTTCAGCATTATGTGATAGCAGCAAATGAAAGTTTATCTTTACTAACATGGATTTCATTAATTCTCTGTAGAATAAAGATTTCACTAAAATGCCTTTCTAATACACTGACTTTGGAATACAACATTTGGTCCATAGCAGATGCACAATGAGAAAAGGCTTTTTTGATAAAAATTATTCAGTGTTCTTTTATTAGCCATACCTTTTGTAGACATGCTAATAAAGGTAAAGCTGTTGATTAATTTCTGTGATATCAAGAACATTTTTTTTGCATTTTACTGTGTAAATGATTTCAAATACGTTTCCAAATTAGATACCTTATCCACAAGATGGTGTCCTAACATTAGCAACCAACTGGTTGCGCTTGTAAATGGAATCAACTTTACTTGGAAAAAATGTTTTTCAAGTTGAAAATGCCAAGTGCCCATGCATAAACATAATTACTCCTCAGCCTGTAGTTTTGTGCAAAATGTACTTGGGATAATGCATTGTTCAACTCAATTTGATTAACTCTCTTTGTTGTAGATTTGTATTTATTTATGTTAATGCTACAGTGGAATACTCAGTTCATTAACTTCTAATTTTGCTAAAACAGGAAAACTGTTTTCTTTGCAAATCACAACACATTTTCCAATGACAAAATACAAAATAGCTGAACTTTGTGATACATATATATATATATATATATATATATATATATATATATATATATATATATTTTATCGTATGTCAGCAGAAACACATTTAAGAATGTTAGATTTGTATCATGTATTAAAAATGTCCATAATGGTTTGTTGGTGAAATCAGGGATGGTAGTATCTAGCTATTCTTGCACCTGACTACATTTAAAATCTGAATATGGAACGTTGTATGTAGCTTTCCGAATTGAACATCATTGTTTTCTGTTTTTAAACCAATATTTATTCCCTGGATTCAGGAAATCGTTAGTTATAATTCTTACTGGCTATCCCTAATTTTTGAACATATTTAGTGGCATCACAATATCAATTCTGGGGGAAAAGAGGTTGGATACTTTTTATTGCTTCTAGGAGAGTCTGAATAACAAAAGAAATTGTTTTAGATAAATTTAAGTATATCAGTCATAAATTCTAGCTCCATTTAAAAAAAACTTAAAAAATATTTTATTAACTTAAAAAAAAGCTAGACTTGCCTTACAATTAATTGTAGTACTTTCGATTTTAAAAAAGAGTTTTCCATTTTTATGTTATCATCACTTCTACCAGTCTGTGAGTTTCTAAAATGAGTGGTTTTTCATTTTGTGTTTTCTGTTTTGGTGATCAAGTAGCACTTAAAACATTTTTTTTATAATGATACAATTTATGTATTTATTTGTCTATTTGACAAATAATTATATATATTTATCGTTTACAACATGATGTTTTGAAATATGAATACATTGTGGAATGGTTATATCAAGCTAATTAACATATCCATTATCTCACATGCTTATTTTTTTGTGGTGACACTTAAAATCTATTCTGTTAGCAATTTTTAAGTATGCAAATACATTGTTATTAAATATATTCACCATGTGTACAGTACATCTCTTCAACCTATTCTTTCTAACTGATATTTTGTATTCTTTGACCAACATATCCACAACCCCTGGCAACTACCATTCTGTTCTCTGTTTCTATGAGTTTGATTTTTTCAGATTCCACATCCATATGAGATCATGCAGTATTTGTCTTTCTGTGCCTAGCTTATTTCATTTAACATAGTATACTTCAGGTTCACAAATCACAAAATTTCCTTATTTTTTAAAGGCTGAATAATAGTCCATTGTGTATATATACCACATTTTAAAAATCCATTTACTGTTGATGGACATTTACATTAATTCCATAACTTGGCTATTGTCAATAATGCTGCAATTAACATGGGAGTGCAGATATCTTGTCAACATACTGACTTGATTTTTTTATATATGTATAACCAGAAGTGAGATTGCTAGATCATATGATAGTTCTATTTTAATTTTCTTTTGAGGAGCATCCATACTGTTTCTTGATATGCTGCACCATTTTACATTCCCACCAACAGTGGACAAAGGTTCTCTTTTTTCCACATCCTCACCAACACTTGTTATTTTTTGTCCTTTTGATTATAGCTATTCTAACAGATGTGAGGTGATACCACATTGCAGTTTTACTTTGTATTTCTCTGATAAGTAGTGATGTTGAACATTTTTTCATATATCTGTTGGCCATTTGCATGTCTTCTTTTGAGAAATGTCTATTTAGGTTCTTTGTCCATTTAAAAACTTGGGTTATTTATTTTCTTGCAATTGTGTTTTTTGAGTTCCTTATATACTTTGAATATTAACCTCTTACATGTATGGTTTACAAATACTTTCTCCCATTCTATGGGTTCCCTGTTGACTCTGTTGATTGTTTTCTTCGCTGTGAAGAAGATTTTTAGCCTGATGTAGTCTCATTTGTCTGGTTTTGCTTTTGTTGCCTGTGCTTTTAGGGTTATATCCAAAAAAATCTTTGCTGGATCGATTTTGGGGACCTCTCTAGACTTTCATCTTGAAAAAGAAAGTTTTCATTAAGTCATTTGTTTATGTATAGGACAAGAAAGAAATATATCACAATGACTTATATAGAATTATTTCATAAGTTATTCTTATTAATGGTACAAATGTGAATATTATAGGATTTTAGAAACAAATCTGGCAATATCTATGAAAATAAAATATACATATTTTTGAACCTATTATTATTTTTGGAAACCTACAGAAATGAAACTACCAGTCCATAGGGGCATATATACAATGATATTTACTCCAGCATTGTTCATGGGGGCCAAAACGAACACAAAACAAAACAGTAATCAAGATGAATGCCCAGCAAAAGATGAATGACTACATTATGATATGTCAACATCATGGAGTATTATGTAGCTACTCAAAGAATAAACTAAAGTTATAAAATGGTACAAGTTGTGTTGAAGGAATTTATACTATGTGCTATTGAATGGTAAAACTAAGAAATGTATAATATCCCATTAACAAAAACCAAAATCTTATATATTTATAACACTTTTATTCATGTATATGCCTACATACGTTTGTGTATGTGATTAAACTGTTATAGAAGGAAGCACGGAAGAATTCTTTTTTTTTTTTTTTTTAACATGGGGTCCTTGTTGAAGACTCTCACAGTCAGACTCCCTGGAAAGCGGTTCTGAGACAGAGATTGGCATTCAAGGAGTGAATGGGGGAGTGGCAGAGGGCTCCTTGTGTCAACCACTGAAGGGAAATGAAGGTAGGTCAAGCTTAGGGAGGGGTTGGGTTGTGATGAAGTCACAGCAAAAACTGGTTCCAGAAGGCCCTCTGGAGCTGAAATATCCCTGATATCCCCGCATGGTTTTTCCAAATAGGAGCAAGGGAGCTTTGTTTCCTGACATTCTCTGTATGCTTTCCCCTTCCAGCCCTCAGCACTGACTAGTCATTGGCTGTGGACTGCCCCAGGAAGGAGGTAAGATGTCATACCCGCAGCTCTCTTCAGCTGAGGGTGAAACTTGGAAGGAAGGATTCGCCTGTGAGCCATCAACTGTCAGCATTCCCAGAAGCTGAGAAGTAAGTTCTTTAGTCCTGAAAAGGGTAAGGAAATCTAGTTGGAATACCATAGTGTCTTCTAAAGGACTGAGTGAAGAATATGGTTGAAATGGGGGAGAGGAGAGGAAGAGGTAGCCATAAAAGAAAAGAAACAAATAATTTTAATAAAATAATGTAAAGAAATGGTAAATGTTACTCTCACTGCAAAGCTTATGGGAGTAATAATACTATGAAACATTCATAATGTTTTCCCTGAATAAACCTCCTTCTGAAATCTTTCTCAATCCAGTTTTCTGGGTCATCCTTACTTTTTAATGTACTGTATTTTCTTTGACAACACTGAAGAAATAAAATGCTCAGTAAAGGAGAATTGAGAAGGAAGCTTAAAGGTTTTATTTTTGGAAGGATAAATGGCTGATGGAGGTAGTTGCATCAGTCTATACACTTGGTACAGTATTTTGGCTATGGGAGCTGTATTCCCACTAAGATCTGTATTGGAAGAAGAAAATGGTTGGGATAAATAGGTAAGCTTGTTTATAATATACTGTGCCTCAATATATTACAAAATAGCTCTGAACTACTTTAGCTAGATTACACACACAGCTTTATAGTTTGATTTGCTTATTGAACAGCTATCATGTGCCAGGGAGTTTATTCGGCCCTGGGGACTAGAAAC
Organism: Homo sapiens; assembly: GCF_000001405.40. Classification (NCBI taxonomy): domain Eukaryota; kingdom Metazoa; phylum Chordata; class Mammalia; order Primates; family Hominidae; genus Homo; species Homo sapiens. The sequence continues at coordinate 121,866,772 of NC_000005.10, read as the reverse complement.
TAAAGATGGTGATTCAGAGCTTGTAGGATAGACAGACAAATAAAAGGCAATCACGGAGTGATAAGCATTGTGGTATGGATAGATACCGTGCTCTAGGAGCTAAAATGACTACCCAAACACAAACTAGAAGATAGTAAGTAGAGGATATCAAAACTTCTGGGAAGATGAAATTTCTGAATTATGGGGTGGATATTAGGGCCGGTGAATAGCAAGGAAGAAAACTGGAATGTAATAAGGGCACACTTGGGGAACTGTAAGTAGTTCAATGGGTTGCCGTTGAGACTGTAAGCAGTGTGGATTAGGATGAGGACTATTAAGAGATGCTGTTGGAGAAAGAGCAGGGACAAGACCATTGTCCAGACCCTGACAGGAAACACATGGCACAGTCAAGTGGAATTATTTGAAGAGAGTATAATAAAGCAGCTATTTACAAAAGATGGGGAGGAGAGGAGACCAAGAGTTGGATAATTCCTCCCCAGGCCTGATGCAGGAAGAATTACAGGGTTTTTTTTGGAACCTGGAGACAAAGGGACTAAGTAGAGGGGAGCTGCCTTACAGAAGATATCGCTTCTGTGGAGGGATGCTGCAAACCTGCAGCGACACTGAACACAAAGAGCTGAGAGAAGAAATACCTTGATGGGACCACAGGGCTCCACAGAGCAGGGGGGCCCATTAATATGTTCTTGTAGTTCAGCATCTTGAAGCATGGGGAGAGGTGGAGAAGAGCACAGAGTGGGTCTGGAGAGCAGACTGAGGCAGAGTAAATGTGGGAAGAAAACTTAGGAGACTATGCCAGTGGTCTGGGTGTCTGGGAGAGCAGTCATGGTAGTTGTGTTAGTGGAAAAGATGCAGAGTACAGATACAATCTAGAGATATTTAGAAAGTAAAAATCTCCAGACCTTGGCAACTATTTGGACATGGAAGTCGAGGGAAAGAAAATTGTTAAGCATGATTATCAGGTTTCTGACTAAATTAGACGCACTTTGTGAAAAAAATTCATTTTTCCTTTTGACGGTTATAACTTTTCTCCATATTTCCACTAACTCTTCCCACAAATCTTCATTTATTGCAATGATATTTCATCTATGCTTGATTGGTTTCCCTACATTACAAAATGAACTCATGTCCTCTTCTTACTTACTCAGTCACTACATCTTCAGAGATTTCCACCCCCGAGTTTCCTCCCCAAGTTCACACAGCACCTTCTTTCTAACTGCCTCCTCTTTTGGATGTACTCTGTGTGCAATTAGCAATGAATGGAAGTAGCATGCTGTCAGTTAGAAGTTTTGTGTCATTAAAATTCGTTGGTGACATTGAATTTTCCAGTTATAGTTTCTGTTTATTTCTATCTTGCTCATGTTTCCTTCTTCATAATTACCCCTCTTGTTATCCAAACAACCTATGTCCTTTGCTCTTTCAAGATTACTAATACAATATGTAGTGTCTAAGTATTTAAAAATGCAGAGTAGCCAGTAATAATATACAGTAGTTCACCCTAAAATAGTCAAGTTATTCCTCAAACACATTTTGTATGTATCTGTAAAGAAAATGTTGGAAACAAGTCTATCGAAATCTTTTTCTGTTTCAGTGATGGAATTGACTCTCCTGAACTCATGCACAGAAGAAAAAATAAAATACCATCAATTATTTTGTGTTACTAGCCTTGTCACGATAACTATTTTTTTCATTTGACCATATGAATCCAGTTGTGTATATATTTCATATGTGACAATAAAATACTGAAAACAAGAAACTGAATTCAGGTAATGCTGACATTTGTAACATTTTTGGTGTTAATTTTGAAAATAGGTCTAATATTACAGATTTGACATTATTATATTCCATTAATGATAATAGTTAGGTTCATAAATCACACATTCTTTAAAATGAAGCAGAAAGTTCATATTATCTGGTGGAAAAGAAGCATGACTACTTTCAGCTTGGCTTTGCAAGTTGAAACTATGCAAAGTGAGTTTAGTAATCATGGAAAAAATCATGATTTTTGTGGAGCGTTTAAATTTTTTGTCAAAACACTAAACACTCTCTTACTTCTGGGAATAAATATAAAGGAAAATAAAAACTAGTAAAACTAATATTTAGTACACTGTAATTAAAACAGTTGAAACATTAAAAATTAGTGTTTCATTTCTTTGAAAAAATAATAAGAGTAGTTTAAACAGTGCTTTTCTGCTTTTCTTCTTATAATGTAACTCAGCACATGGAGCCAACATCTTTTTTACACCTTGGAAAATTGTCATACTCCTTTCTAAATCTGAATCCGTTTCCAAAATGTTATTTTTTGTGTGTTTTGAGTGTTGTAAAATATTGTAAAATAGCTCCAAGAGTTTGATAATGTGAAGTTTTTTGCTGGCATAACCTCTCTGGTATATCTTTCATCCTTTTTGTCATAACTGCTCATTTAGGTGAATAAGTTCTAATAATATTCAATTTGACTTCCTGCATGATTGCTTTTCATTTATTTGCTGCACTTACTTCTTTTGACTGGCTCACTCTTTGGATTATCCATTTTTTATAAATGTTACCTGGCTTTATTACTGGGAAACAAGGAGACAACTACACACTTTATGATCTGGGGATAAACCTCATAACAGATGAATGATGACCAATCTCCAATCTCAGGCAGACCTTGAAAGAAGTGACATGATTGATTAGTACCTGATCATGACCTGCATCTGGTGGTTATATGGTGATTTGTGGGCCGAAGAGCCAGCAGCAAATCGGTTCTTTATGCAATTAATTCTCAGTAAATATACTGTGGTAGCTGAAGTTTGACCTGTGTTATTGGAGTATTGCTGTTATAAAACTAAACTGTAGTAACTGAAATTATGCATAGTGGAACAATGCAAAGTGAGGACTGCCTGTATTTTAATCTATGGCTAAAGGGAGAGTAAAACAAACAAAAATGTTGGGAAATGCCTTAGGCTGGATTAAACAAAAATACAAGTCCTCTTTTGATCAGTCTTCCAACTTGCTATTTGGATTACTTCTAAATTTAGTGTGGGAACATATTATAGTGAAGTGCAGTATATGTATGCTGTTTAGAAGTGAGTAAAATTAACAGCAGTTTTTAATTTATTTGCTATATTTACAGTTTACTGTTTTTGAATAGGTAATAAATTCAGGTGGTTAATATTTGAAGAGATACTAAAGGCTATACAATGAAAAAGTCTTACTGTGTTCCCTTTCCCAACTACTATTCTTTTCATTTAGGATAACTGACATTATCCTTCCAGAGATAGTTTATGCATATATAAGCAAAAAAATTCACAAACACATTCACATCACTTTCTCTCCCTTTAAAACACAAATTCTAAGCAGCTAATATTTACTGAGTATTTTCTAGGCACCAGATAATATGTGAACTATATATGCATTATCTCATTTAATCCCCACCATAAACTTTGTGGTGGGTTATTATTTAGTGGAGAAAAATCGGTCTCCGGCAGTTTAACTTCTTTCCAAAACCACACAGTCAGTATGTGGTGGAGTAGCTATTCTTATGTAGGTATTCTGCCTTCTCGAGGGGAGGCTCTTAATGACTAGATTACATTGCCTATGATCTGTATATAGGTCATGCAATTCCAATTCAGTAGTCTAGCAGTCCTTTTACGGTATTGGAAATTCTTTTTGCTATTTCAATCTGTGAAAACATGGTGCTTAGGGCGTTTGAGAGAAACTAAGGTATTTCCAAAAGCATTAGATATCTTTCTCAAGAGAATATTTGGCCATCATCTGTACTGGGAAATTGGCCGGCTTGCTTGGAGGAAGCCCAACCCTGAGTGCATGTCTGTGTCTGTTGTCCAGAATTGCCAGGCAGTCCCACTCCTTGTTGGGCATTGGAATTCCATCTGATACTCAGTATATATGCATTTATGCATGCACACACACATTTCTTTATTTATTCCTTCATTGACAAATATACCTATTAAGTGTCTTAATCATGCACAATAGAAATATGAAGTTCAGGAAAGCTAAAAATCACATCCCAAAGCCTATGTACTTTTCTGATTTTATTACCTGAGAGCTGCTTGGCAGTTTATGCTAACAGCCTGTTATAAGCAGAGATAATACAGTTGTCAGTTCTGCTTAGCAATTGTGCGTGTTTCCCAGACGTCTATTTTCTGAATACATCTCTTGGTGCAGTTTTGGAGGGAGTGGAGAAATGTCTTGTGAGGGAGTCTTTTTCTCCACCATGCATTCCTCTCACTTTTCTTTGTTGCATTGAAGGTGCTGGATGTTTTCTCTTGCCTTTTATCCAAGTGCAGAAAGCTTGAAGTTCATGTTCAAAATTTTAAAAAGTCAGGTCACACACACACACACACATGCACACACACACACTCACTCTTTTTTCTGGGAGATCTTGGCATGAATTTTAAGGGCTTCTCCAAGAAATTTCTACCTTTTAAATGAATTACACAAAACCTGATTAATAATTGAATATGAAGGATGATGATTTTCAAGAGCTACTAATGTTAGGGGACTGTACTATATGTTTTTCTGCAAGTCTGAAGGCCTTGGATCTTGGTATCACTGGGTATTTATGTTCAAAATTCATACAATCTATTCTAATATTTAGGGGCTTGGAATCATTTCTTTCAAATACTAGGTTTCTGTTTGGAAATATACCCTCCATTTTGCTCAATTCCAGGAACGTATTTTTTAAATTGTGAAAGCTTCTGTATTTAAATTTTAGACATAGGGTAAACACTTATTTCCTATCTGTAAAATAACTTACATTGACTTATTTTTGTAATAATACCTGAAACATAAAATTAAAATATTTCTGTATAGAGATAGCCATATCTCAGTCAATTATCTAATTTGCTCCTTTATTTAGAAGTTTGAGCTCAACCCATGTAAGCACCCTAAATGTGCCCTCTTCTCATTTTAAAACCTGTCACTTCTTCCCTCTTTCGTGCAAGCTAGTTTGGAATGACATGTTCTTCCAGGTTGCATCTGAGCTCTTTATCTTGTGCTTTGTTCTTCCATGGAACCTTGTTCTGTCACTTGCCTCTCATGTTTCTCCCTTTTGCTGGCTTATTTCCTTAGCCTAGCAATGTTCACAGCCATCCTTACCCTCTTTCTCCTTCAATTATTTTTAAAAAATAAACTCAAAAGAGAATTCTATGTTCTCCACCTCATTTATTTTACCACAACTCTTGAAGTCCCTCTTCTAAAATAATCAATGACTTATGATGGCCAACTCTGATGAATCCGTAATCTAATTAAACTGCAGGATTTGATAGAAGTTCTGTCATCTCATGGCTTACAAGTCCAGTGTTCCCTTTTCTGTATCCTTTCATGAGTTCTTTATTGAATCTCTCCTAAATGTAGACCTTCTCCCACTTTCTACGTTTCTGTATTTGGGTCCCTCTCCTCTGTTTCTCTTTTGTCTCCTGTTTCCTTTGTCAGTTCAGCTTTTTCACGGTTTTACTTATCAACTTTATATAAGTAACTTCCAGACTCATTTCTCTGATATTAACTGATACTGAGAGAGATTGAGAGAGAGGGAGTGGGGAGAAAGAGAGAAAGGCCTGGGGAAAGAGTTATAATGATACCTCTTTGACCTAACTATTCATATATCTATATGAATGTTAAGACCAAAAAGGTATCATATTCATATATTCATATACATGTGAATAGTGAGGTCAATATACAATATACATAGAGTACATACCATATCCAATATACATGTGTATACAAGCAATATACACACAGTATTATGTTGTATACATATATTAGTGTATGTATATTATACATAGTATATATTATATATATTGCATATAGTATATATTATTGTATGCATATTGTTGTTGGGAGCAAGCCCCCCAAAATCTGGCCATAAACTGTCCCCAAAACTGGCCATAAACAAAATCTCTGCAGCACTGTGACATGTTCATGATGGCCATGACGCCCAAGCTGGAAGTTTGTGGGTTTACTGGAATGAGGGCAAGGAACACCTGGCCAGCCCAGGGCGGAAAACCGCTTAAAGGCATTCTTAAGCCACAAACAATAAGCATGAGCGATTTATGCCTTCAGGGCAGGTTCCTGCAGCAGTTAACTAGCCAAACCTATTTCTTTAATTTGGCCCATCTTAGTTAATCTAATATCTATAGAAACAATGCTAATGACTGGCTTGCTGTTAATAAACATGTGGGTAAACGTCTGTTTGGGGGTCTCAGCTCTGAAGGCTGTGAGACCCCTGATTTCCCACTTCACACCTCTATATTTCTGTGTGTGTGTGTCTTTAATTCCTCTAGAGCTGCTGGGTTAGGGTCTCCTCCACCGAGCTGGTCTCAGCAAGTGGCTTCCATTCGTGGGGGCTCGAATCCAGGTCGAAGGGTCGCAAGAGCGATGGTTGGAACGGAAAACTAGCTGGAGGACACCGAGTACTCTTAAAGCAATCCCTGTGGTGAGTAAGAAGGGGAGCTCGGAAGCATCAGGGTAACAATGGGACAGGTATGGGGTCTGGTTCGCTCCACCTTGGAACTTTTTCACAGATAACAAGGAGGAACAAGAGTATAGCGAAGTAGCAGAAGAGGTTACAGAGCATGTTTATTTGCTGGCTAAAGCTAAAGCGGCAAAGGAAGGAGAGGTTCATCCCTACCATTCTGCACACCCTCCTTATTATTTTGAAGAAAATGACCCCCCAGATCTTTCTTTTCTGGAGGACGCTGGGTGAAAAACAGTTGCCCCAGTGACTGTTTGAGCAGCAGCAGCGCCTCAAGTGACTGCTCTTAGTTCTATTCAGGCAGGAATTCAGCAAGCTAGACAAGAGGGTGATTTAGAGGCTTGGCAGTTCCCTGTTAGAATACACCCCCTAGATCAACAGGGAAATATTACAGATACATTTGAACCTTTTCCTTTTAAATTACTCAAAGAATTTAAAGAAGCTATTCATACTAAAAAAGAATGTGGAAAAAATCAGTGAGTCAGGCCACCAGATAGGGGAAAAAAGAAAACTGCTGATCCTGAAATATGTCCAAAATGTAAAAAAGGAAAACACTGGGCTAGTCAGTGTCACTCTAAGTTTGATAAAGATGGGAACCCGATTTCGGGAAACGCCATGAGGGGCCTGTCCCGGGCCCCGTTCTAAACCAGGGCATTTCCAGCTCAGGCCATTCCCTCACCCCTATACAATGTCTGTCCCCTGCCACAGCCAGTAGTGCCGCAGTAGATTTATGCTGCACAAAAGCTGTGAGCTTTTTGCCTGGGGAACCCCCGCAAAAGGTCCCGACAGGAGTTGGTGGACCCTTGCCAGCAGGGACTATAGGATTACTTTTAGGAAGGTCTAGCGATAGTTTAAAAGGCGTACAAATACATACAGGAGTCATTGATTCCGATTACAATGGAGAAATTCAAATTGTTATATCTACTTCTGTTCCCTGGAAAGCAGAGCCAGGAGAGCACATAGCACAGCTCCTGATGGTGCCGTATGTGGGAATGGGAAAAAGTGAAATTAAACGAACAGGAGGATTTGCAAGCACAAATAAACAAGGCAAAGCAACTTATTAGGTAAATCAAATTACTGATAAACGCCCTACCTGTGAAATAACTATTCAAGGAAAGAAATTTAAAGGTTTGGTAGATACAGGAGCGGACATTTCAATCATTTCTCTACAGCACTGGCCGTCCACGTGGCCAATTCAACCCACTCAATTTAATATAGTTGGAGTTGGTAAAGCCGCTGAAGTATATCAAAGTACTTATATTTTGCATCGTGAGGGGCCTGATGGACAACCTGGGACTATTCAACCGATTGTAACTTCTGTACCTATAAATTTATGGGGAAGATATTTATTACAACAATGGGGAGCACAACTTCTAATTCCAGAACAATTATACAGCCCTCAAAGTCAATATACAATGCATGAATTGAGGTATGTCCCTGGTATGGGACTAGAAAAAAATTTGCAAGGTTTGAAAGAACTGCTTCAAGCGGAAAAACAAAGTTCCCGCCAAAGGTTAGGAAAAAATTTTTGATGGCAGCCATTGTTAAGCCTCCAGAACCTGTACCTTTACAATGGTTAACAGATAAGCCAATTTGGATAGAACAATGGCCGCTAAGTAAAGAAAAACTGGAGGCTTTAGAGAAATTAGTTGCTGAACAATTAGAAAATGGGCACATAGCTCCAACATTTTCTCCTTGGAATTCTCCAGTTTTCGTAATTAAGAAAAAAATCAGGTAAATGGAGAATGTTTACTGACTTAAGAGCCATCGATTCAGTTATACAACCTATGGTAGCATTACAGCCAGGATTGCCTTCTCCTGCTATAATTCCAAAAAATTGGCCTTTAATAGTCATAGATTTAAAAGACTGTTTCTTTACTATCCCTTTAGCTGAGCAAGACTGTGAACAGTTTGCATTTAGAATTCCTGCAGTAAACAACCTGTAGCCTGCTAAGCGTTTTCCTTGCTTTGCAGATGGGTCTGGTAATGGTAAAGCTTCTTATTCTGGCTCAAAAAGTAAAGTTTTTCCGACGTCCTATACCTCAGCTTAAAAAGCGGAGCTTGTAGTGGTAATTGAGGTATTGACTGCTTTTGATATGCCTATTAATGTGATTTCTGATTCTTCATACTTGGTTCACTCCACACAGTTAATTGAAAATGCTCAGTTACGATTTCTTACAGATGAACAACTGGTGACTTTATTTACCCAATTGCAAACAGCAGTTAGGAGTAGAATGCATCCTTTTTACATCACTCACATTAGAGCTCATACACCTCTTCCAGGACCTTTAACTAAAGGGAATCAAACGGCTGATCGCCTAGTTGCTACTGCAATATCTAATGCTAGACACTTTCGCAATGTAACTCATGTTAATGCCTCTGGTTTCAAACGTAGATACAGCATTACCTGGAAAGAAGCTAAAGCTATTATCCAGCGATGCCCAACTTGCCAAATGGTACATTCCTCATCTTTTACAGGAGGAGTTAATCCTTGAGGACTGGAACCTAACTCACTTTGGCAAATGGATGTCACACCTGTTCCCTCGTTTCGGAGACTCGCTTATGTACATGTGTGTGTGGACACCTTTTCTCACTTTGTCTGGGCTATATGCCAAACAGGAGAGTCTTCTGCCTGTGTTAAATGTCATCTTTTGCAATGTTTTGCGGTGATGGGCATCCCAGTTTCTATTAAAACAGATAATGCCCCTGGCTATACTAGCCAAGCTCTGGCTAAATTTTTCTCTATGTGGAATATTAAACACATTACTGGTATCCCATATAATTCTGAAGGTAAAATAATAACTTGGGGTAGAGGTTATGCTTGTGTTTCTCCAGGCAAAAATCAACAGCTGATTTGGATACCATCAAGACACCTGAAACCTTATGAGTCAGATTCCGGGAGGATCCCCAGGACCCCTCAGTTGCAGCCATGTTGAGACTGACGCTGAGGAGGACCCCATCTGTCACAAGCAACACCTGTCGAGCGCAGCACCCACCTGGGGACAGATCAAGAAGCTGTCAGAGATGGCGGAAGAAAATCTGAGGAAAGCAGGACAACCAGTCACAATGAATAATTTAATGGTAGCTATGATAGTGGTGATCACTATTGCTGTGAGTATTTCTTCAACAAGAGCTGACACAGAGAACAATTATACTTATTGGGCATATTTATCAATCTTGGCTGGCAATAATGCCTGGATGTAATCACTCTATGACACAGTTACACATGCTTTCTGATCTCAGTATTTACCATAATAAATCTGCTCCTATAATTGAGGCATACCGCCCTCAAAAACCTATTTGTAAACAGGATTGGACCCAGTTAGAAAAAATGAAGGTACTTGTTTAGGAAGATTGCTTTGCAGAACAGACAGAGGTGCTGCACAATGATTCCTATGGAATCATTATTAATTGGTCCCCTAAGGGAATGCTTAGCTTGAATTGCACCTCTCAGTCTGTGTGCCACGGGCACACTGTGTTCAGATCTTACCACCTCTTACACACACACACACACACATGCACACACACAGAGTACATATAGAAATATCAGGTCAAAAAGATTTTAGGATCTCATATCACAAAGCACCTTGTGGACTATAGTAAGGATCCTGACCTTGACTTTTTCTCCAAATTAAAGAAGTTATAGGAGAGTTTTGAGCAAAGAAATAACAATAAATGACTTATACTTGCAAAGGAACACTTTGGCTGCTTTGTGAAGAAGTGACTGAATGTTCCTAGGTGTGAAAGCAGTTAGATCTGTTAAGAGTGTGACATATTTGGATTGCCGGGAATATTAATTAAAAAAAAAAAACAAACAGAGTGTGACATAAAATGTGATAATGGAAAAAAAAGGTGAGAGCTTGTACAGAAGTGGCAATGATGAAGCCTTTAAAAAGTGGTGAGATTCGGGATCTATTTTAGAGGAAGACCTGAAAGAACTTGCTGAAAGACCTGACTTTGGTATGAAAGAGAGTAGTCAAGGATGACTGAGCCATGGAAACTGGTAGATTGGAGTTTCTATTCATTATGAAGCAAAAGACTGGGTTGAACAGGTTTTGGAGGGTGGTGAAATAAAGAGTATGGCTGTGACCCTGCTAAATATGAAGTGTCTATTAGGCATCTGAGGGGAAATATTGATTAGGTATTTAGATATGTAAGTCTGGAGTTCAAAGATGAGCTGAAGCAAACTAAAACATGCGATTTGTTAACCAATATATGTTTAAATAAAAGTCCCCGGATAGGATGAGATCTTTAAGGAACAAGTATAGATAAAGAAGTCCAGATGTGAGGACTGAGCTCTGGGACACTCCAAACTTTAACAGTCAGAAAGATGGGAAGAGATTAGAAAGAGCGACTGAAATACAGAACAGTAAGCACATGTTTCAACAGAGAATGGACAAGTACTTCTAGGAAGACTGGGAAATTGACCATTGAGCTTATTAACATGAAAGTCACTATTTTTATTGACAGGAAATAAAAAGGCTAGTGTAGTGGTGAACATGGGCTTCCTTGGGAGGGATCAAGAGAGAGCAGAACAAGAGGTGGAGACAGGAAGAAGAACAACTTTTTCAAGAGGTTTTGTTGTACGAGGGAGATGAGTAAAGAGGGGTAGCTTGGTGTTTGCTGGATGGAATGTGAGTCCAGAGGTGGCATTTTTTTAAGGATGAGGAGAAATAATACAGTGTTTGCATTCTCATGGTACTAAGTGATAAAGAAGGCAAAGCTGCTGCAAGAGAGAGGATAACCATAGGTGTGATATCCTTGTGTCCTTGCCTATGTGGGGAGGTTAGGATTGAGGACATTGGTTTTAAGGAGGAACACTGATGCAACAACCATTCTAGCAGAACAAAATCTAAGTGAACACAGATATAAGCATATGATTAATTCAATGATGAAAAAGTGTGAAGTTCTCCTTTAGTACTTCTAATTTCTCAGTGAAGTAAACGGATTATCAACTGACAGTGGGGAGGGAGAGGAGATTTGGAGATTTGAGGAGAAAAGAGAATCTGTAAAATAATTATCTAGGAGAGCAGCTATTGAAAGTTTTTGACAGAAACACAGAATAAGAAATATCACTATCCAGGATGTAAATTCACAACACACACACACACACACACTCTCTCTCTCTCTCGCTCACACACTCACACACCTGAAACAAGAGCTTCAGGAAATAATACCCTTACTTCACCTACTGTCGCTTCAATTCTACTCTATTTTATTCACAAAACGTGTGTAGTGACTCAGTAAATATTTCGTGACACACTAATGGGCTGCAAGGTACAGTTTGAAAACCATTCATCTAGAAAAATTGAAGAGATTTTGTATAGAAATATAACAGGATTCCTGAGCAGCAAAATAGGCCCACTTAAGAATAGAATGTAAAGTGAGAATGATCAACAAAATCAACAAAAATCATTATGCATTCCCCCACCTCCAATTATCCCTCCTGCTGAGATCTCTATTCTCAAATATCCTATTCTCTAGTAACTCAAATTTTAGACCCATCACGTTTTCTCCCACACCTCATTTCTTTAGCTCCAGTCATTAAATTGATCACAAAATTGAAATGATTCTGCCTCTAAACTCTTACCAGAATCTCTGTTTGTATTTCCATTGGTTTTACCATAATTCTGGCCTTTATTGCTTTTCCCTCCATCTTACGTTTTGCTTTTCTTGTCTTATTATAATAATGGCTGTCCATTATAACAAATGTATTTTTAAGAGACATGTAATTAAAGAAAATAAATATCAACCACAATCTCACTATTTAAAAGAATTTTCTGGCTTTGCTTGTTGGTATATATACTTTGTCATTTTATATACGTATATAATATGTCTTATAATTGTACATATAGAATTATATAACCCCATCTTGTAATATTCCTCATGTTTAACATAAAACATTGAGAATTTCTATCCACATCATAAGGTGTTTGTACAAAACCATATTTAACAATAGCTGCAGAGTATTCTGTGTATTAATCTAAAACACTGAGTGTTTGGTGTTTTAATCTAAGCCATTTTGTTGCGCTTGTGCCGTAATATGCATGTAGCTCTCAGGTCTTGGACTGCAGGGAGCACAATTTGCCAAGAGCCTCAGCTGCCGTGCTCTGAAATTGATTCATTACTTGGTTTGCTGCAAGTCCATACTTCCCAGTCAATACCTAAATACAGGAAAGGTACTTAGGCTCATTTCTGGGAGACTTGGGATTCCTGACTAGTGACTTTGGCTTGAGGCCTCCCTGACAGCCTTGCAGACCTTTCCAAAGAAATATGCACAACTTCCCTTCTTCATCCCCCCGGGGGATTACATTTGCATGAAGTCTGAAGGCTCTCCCTGCTTCTCCCACTTGCTGCTTTTCCATTTTCTCTCAGAGGTCTGTTTCCCCTAATTTCTTGTACACTTAATCCCATTTTGGCATCAGTGTTTCAGAAAACCCAAACTAACAGAGATATTTAGGTTGTTTTCAGATTCTTATTCTGTATAACCAGACTAAGCCTCAGATTGCTCCATTTTGAGCACTGTTTTCTTCTGTTAAGAGCCTTTGAAGACCTTGCTTTTGTCCCCTGAATTAAGCCCAAACCCTTCTCACCTCTGTACTCTGCCGCAGCTCATCTTTCCAATCACCACTCAGTGTTCTAGTCTATTCCAATGCTGGACTCTCCCACTCCTCACTTCCATGCCTAAAGAAAACATCTACCTGACTAGATGCCTCCTCTATTCTGGATCCCTTCTTGACTTTTTAAACCCCCATGTTCTTTTCTGTCCATTTTAAAGACCACAGAAAGGTGTTTTATGCAGTGTTTTCACTCTTCTTGGCAGGTTAAAAGAGAGACTCAATGGTGAAGTATATAGAGTGTGGAATCAGGTCTGGTTTGTTATATTACCAACATTAAAACAACAAAACACTGAGATTGCATATGTTTGGAAAACACTGAGCTAAACAAAAATAATTAAAGCTTTTATATTTATTAACTGCAAAACTTCCCAGAGCCCTTAAAATGTTAATATATGCTGTGATTTTCCAAGACTAACACTGATAATTCATGTAGCTTATCCCAAATTTGACTACGAATTCTTTTAAAAAACGATCTCCAGACAGTACTGCTTCTTGGGACACACTGGGAAAAGGCAAAAGCTGTCATAGCATTTTTGCATGTATAATTTTCACAGTACTAAATATTCTTCACTTATAGTTATTTGTATATTTTTATCCATTTTCCCACTTTAGCGTTTTGCATAAGGTATTGAATATGGCAGGCACTTGTTGAATTAAAAATCACAGAATTTAAGTGTAGGTTCATATTCTGATAATACTTGGCAACTGGAGAACGTTAGTTTGCACCCTCTTTCAGTAGCTTTTTGGAGTCTTTTTCTATACCATAGTTACCTGTGCTATCTTCGAGCCTGGGAAAATAACTGCCTTGATGGTTAGTAAAAAGCCCTTGTTAAACATGGGCAAAACATTTTTTTCTACAAATCACTTTATTGGAGGAATAGTATAACAGAAGAATATAAAGATGGAGGTGATTTTAAGGGCAAGAAAGCAGGAGACAGCTGACTTTGGTCTTTGGATCCACTAGCCTGGGAGGAAGGCAGCTCGTGGCTTAGTTCTGCTTGTTTTCATTTCCAAGGGTATGTGTGTCAAAAAGGTACTCCGCCAGGCCAGCATCCGGGGCCCCCATCTTCACTAAGTTGTGCACGTGGTCACCTAGTTCTTTGATAGACTTCACCTGCTCATTCAGGTAGTAGGTTTCCAGGAAATCGCACAAATGGGGGTCACCTTTATCTGAGGCTAGAGCGTGCAATTCCAGCAACGACTGGTTCACGTTCTTTTCCAAGAGTAGAGCACACTCCATGGCATGCAGCCCGCTTTCCCAGTCGTCCTGTTCCGGCTTCTTGATGTCCTGCAGGCGGATCCGGCCTCCTCGCTGGTTCTGCAGCCTCATCAGCTTCTCCGCGTGCTCGGTCTCCTCCCGGGACTGGTGAAGGAAATACCTGGAGAAGTTGTTCAAGGCCACGTCATCCCGGGAGAAGTAATAGGCCATGGACAAGTACACGTAGGACGCATAGAGCTCGAGGTTGATCTGGCGGTTGATGGCAGCCTCGGAGTCGGGGTGGAAGTTCTGGCGCACCCGAGAGGGGCCGGCGGCGGGCCCGGTAGGGTCCCGGGAGGAGGCGGCTGCGGCCAGGGGGCGGCGGGGGGCGATCTGCCTGGGGTCCAAGGGGCGCCCCGGGGCCCAACGCAGCGGGAGCGCGAAGCAGCAGCGCACCGGGCGCAGAGACGCCAGCGAAGGGCTGATGTGCCTGGAGAGGAGCCTGAAGCAGGACAGCATAGCGCCGCCTCCTTGGAAGTGGGGAAACTGAGGCCCGGCCCTCTTGGCGTGGGGTCGGGCGCTGGAGGCGTCAGATCTGATCAGAACGTGGCCCTAGGCAACGGTGACTGCGTCACACGCCCCTTCTGTTCCAGAGGCGCGGGGTTCCACGCGGAGGGCGCTGGGGAAGCGCCGCCGGGGGCTCTGGGGACCCGCGTGGGGCGCAGTCTAGGCGGAGGCCAGCGCAGATGCCCAGTCACGATTCCGTGAGCATTCGCCCCCACCGACGACGTGAGATTTCTGCTCTTTGGCGATTGTCACTGATTTCACCTGCGTTAAAAAGGCTGTCAGGAGAGTAGGCCCTGGGACTTCCCAAAGAAGGGACCAAGCTGTACTCCCCCTTCTTCTCTGACCTTTTCATAAGGACCAAGAGTTGGACTGGCAACACAGTGAAAAGGGTGAACCAAAAGTCACCAATTTACCTGTGAGAATAAAGGTCCACATCCAAAGCAAGTGTACATAAATTAACTGGTTATTTAACATGTAAGTGTGGAAACAATTGCCAGCATAGTGGGAAAATTTTTAAGACTCTGTTTCTTTTAAAATACATGCATAGTTTATTTTTAAACATAAAATGTATCTTCATTGTAAAGAAATGAGATACTGTAGGCCGGGTGCCGTGGCTCACGCCTTTGGGAGGCCGAGGCGGGCGGATCACAAGGTTAGGAGATCGAGACTATCCTGGCTAACACGGTGAAACCCCGTCTCTACTAAAAACACAAAAAATTAGCCGGGCGTGGTGGCAGGCTGCTGTAGTCCCAGCTACTTGGAAGGCTGAGGCAGGAGAATGGCGTGAACCCGGGGGGCGGAGCTTGCAGTGAGCCGAGATCGAGCCACTGCACTCCAGCCTGGGCGACAGAGCAAGACTCCGTCTCAAAAAAAAAAAAAAAAAGAAAAAAGAAAGAAAGAATGAGAAATGAGATACCGTAGAAACCCTAGGAGGAATAAAATGCCTCTGAACTCAAAATATGTTACTTTCCCATCTTTTCTTAGTGCAGAGATTATATCCTCTTAAAATAGCTCTTTAAAAATTAAACTTTAAATAGCATTTAGTGTTAAAATAGTATTTATGTAATTGTTGCAGGGTACTGAAGAAAAAAGGGTAAGCACGCAGAAGAAAGTTCAAAACAACCCTAATTCGTCTTCTGCCGAGATTACTATTGTTAAAATGTTGATGGTAATGCTCAGAGGTTTAAAAAAATGAAAAACGTGTATTACAGACCCACAAAAGCGAATACAGACATATAAAACAGCTTTATATAGAGATATATAATTGACATACAATAAACTGCAGTTGCGGATAGTTCATGTGAATAGAGTCAACAGTATGTGCTCCTTTTTACTTGCTTTCTTTTAGTCAGTGTAATTATTTTAGGTTCCATCCACACTGTATCTTGTTTCAGTAGTTCCTTTTATTGCTGAGTAGTATTCCATTGTATGGATATACCACAATTCGTTTATCCTTTCATCTGATGATGGACATTTTTGTTGTTATAGTTTTTGGCTATTAAAATGAAGTCGTTATAGACATTCCTGTACAAGTCTTTCTGTGGTCAGATGCTCTCATTTCTCTTGATAAAATACCTTGTAGGAAAAGCCGGATTACATGATAGGTATATGTTTACTTTTTAAAGAAATTTCCAAACTGTTTTCCAAGGTGATTATGGCATTTTACATTCCCATCAGCAGAGTGTTAAGAGTTCAAGTTCCTTCACATTTTATGCTTACACATGGTATTGTCAGTCATTTAATTTTAATTAAAATTTAAAAATTTCTAATGACTGTGTGCTGGTGTTTCAATGTGTTTTTAATTTGCATTGAAGTATGTTTGCACCTGCCTTCTGTCAACCACATATTCTTGGTGAAGTGTATATTCAAATCTTTGTCCATTCATATATTGAGCTATTTGTTTTTGTTATGGTTGTTTGATTCTTATGGTTATTATCTGTCTTTGATATTAGCACTGCTTCTGTTTAGGTCTTCTTTATGTTATCTGTATATTACTGTGTCTATATTACTTTCCCTTATCTCCTTGGTCAGCTCAGATTATCTTTCTAGGTTAGTTGCCTTAGTTGTGAATTGAGAAAACTATTTACCTCCCATGGGTGGTTGAAAGAATTAAATAAGAGAATGCATACAGAGCATTTATCACAGTGCTTGACACAGGATAAGCACTTGGAATGCCCTTTAGTAGTTTTTATTGGATAATTCCTGTTTAATTATTCAAAATTAATTATCTTAATTATTCAGTAAGCAAGTATTATTGTTATTGAATATGAAAAGACCTTTACAGCTTACAAAGGATGTTTACAGATATTATATTGTTGCTATAATATATGGGTAGTGAGGTGAAAATTCTTGTATTATATGGGAGTGTCAAACTTGTAGTTTACTAGTAAGCTCCCTGCTCTCATATAGCTTCTTAAAAGCTATATTACATTATATTATTTCCCTGTAAATAAAAGGGATGCTTAAGATCTAGTTGCACTTAAACTTTGCTATTAGAAGGTGATTGATATTCACCAGGTAATTTCTCACTAGTTTTCACTTCAACACACCCATCTTTAATTTTATTTTCCCCCAAATTTTTCTCTTCCTAAAATATAGTACCCTAAAGAGAGGTTATGAAAATGATTGTTTAGAGTAGTATTAAATGTTGACTGCTGCTACTAGCGTTTTAGGAAAATTGATGCTCTTCATATAAATGTTTATCCCCTAAGTAATAAAATGCATAGATATAAAACAAATGTAATACATGAAATGTAATGCAGAAATGCCATTAAACACAATACACATTGAAATATTATGTTAATTTGTCAAAAATATTTCTTCTTCATATTACAAAACTTGTCATATAATTTGCTAGACTTTGAAAATGCAAGGATGTGGTAGGTCTTATGTTTATCTTCTGGGCATTTTGATTTCTAGTATTTATAGTAAAATTAATGTTCTAAAAAAATACAAACCGAGATCATTGCCCACCACTCTTCACAACTCATTTCTTTCTTAGTTGTAATGTCTTCGCTTCCTCTAAAACACCCTAAGCTTTCAGGCTTCTCTGGATTTCTCTCTGCTTCTTCACTTTCTTTTCCTCGCAGCTAGAACTCATCTTTCCAACCTCCTTTCACTGTTTCATCAAATATATTACCTTTTCTGTAAAGTCTTATATAGCATCATTCAGAATTAATCATTACTTTGTATTTGGTTAAGTATTTTGCTTATATCAAGAGCATATTGTATTATGTTATAATTCCTTGTATATTCATGTGTGTATGTATATGTCCTTAAGGGCAGAGCCTACTATTTATTCATTTTTAAATCCCCAGGCCTCAGCCTACAGCTTGACACATATTAAAAAATAAACACATATAAATGCTTTAAAATGTCCAAATATATTGGAATAGAAATTCTTATTTCATACAGTATACCAGTTTAGCCTAATACATTTTCATAAAGTATATCGGGAGACATCTTCACTTTAATTTAAATTACTTGAGGCTTTGCAGAAAATCTCTGTACTTGGTGGTTTCAGTCTCCAAAGGAATAACAATATTCACTCATTTCTCCTTTATAGATATATTAGACAATCATTGATGATATATGTGAAAATGCTTTGCCAATGGGAAATTAACTATATGAATGTGGATTTTTTTATTAAGCCATGTTTTGATTTATGTAATATATAGATCACATTTTATTATATTATTTACTTGAAAGCACTTTATTTTAAACACTAAACATTTTTTAGAATTTAAATACCTTGAAAAATCTTTGAAGAATATGCTACTCTTTTACATTAACAGATGGGATCAGAGTCATAAACAATGAGGAAAAAAGGTAGAAAGTAACTTGACCCCTTTATATTTGCATTTGTAATGAAGACATTTTTCTCTTTTTCTCATTTTTAAAAAATTCTCTTTTATATAACAAAGTCAGTCATGTAAGCAACTCTTCATTTTCATTGCTGACCTTGGTCCCTTCTAAAATTACTTGCTATCAGAAGCCTGTAATGTGATGAAGCCAGGGTGGAGATAAGTCCATTGATCACTATGGATTATGCACTTGCTGTTAATGGAATATTTGAGGGTTTTGAATAGAAAACAATAGAGGGTTTGTTTTCTACTTTTTGGGAAAAGAAAAAGCATATAATATATGTATTGCTCTGTTATCACTAGGAAGTCTCTCAGAATTCTGACGAGAGTAGTTGGACTCAGCTATGGAGTACTTTTCTTTGCCTTATGCTGGGGTCCACTGAAAACTGGGAACGTTTTAGGTAAGAACCATATACGAGTCAGAACCAAACTCCCAAGTGTAGTACATACTGCCTTTAAAACCAAAAGAGGTCTAGCAAATTCTGCTTTATTCGTTCATTTTATTCATTTAGGAATGGAAGTGCAAGGTGCAGTAACTCTTTACCTTGCAAGAGATGTTGGCTTTTCTTAAACCACTGGACTCTTAAAACTTCACCAATATTCCAGTCACTGGTTACCTTTTACCCTCTTAGCTGACTATCCAGAGTACTTTTTCACTTATTAGGTCTATTAACTTAGTGTCATCATTCCAATATGGTGGAATGTTCAAATAAGCCAGTTGTCTTTAGATTTATCATGACAGCAGGCAAGTCAGCATATCTCTGGAGCAAGACTGAATATATACTGTTGCCCATCCTAGATGGATGTAAACTACCTCAGATGCTTTCATGAAGAATACTGAAAATTACATATGCACCCAAATCAAAATTCACATACCATGAACTAGAGACTTAGTTAGTCTGTTTTAGTAAAGACACCACACCCAGGATAAGAGCTGTGATTGTGGATACTGCTTGGACAAGTCCACCATACTTCACTAATATTTTTTTGTTTTTTGCAGAGTCTACATTGGTGAATTAAATGGTGATAGAGTGGGAACCAACACCCCTGCCTCATTTAATTCTTTAGGGGTAAAACTAACCTCTGCCATTCCAAACAGGATGTGGAACTCATTAGTTTGAAGAACTTTGATGAATGGGAAGTTTCAGGGGCTTCCTCTTGAGTTTTCTGTGGAGATTTTTACTCCATATGTCAAGGAATCAATGTGAGGGTCCTGGTGCCTGCTAAGTATATGCATTCCAATTATGCATTTAGGAACTGAGATGATAGCAACTGGTAGGTCCATGGATATACTGTATCCACAGTGAGATAACCCTAGGGGAGGACTTCATTTGTCACAGGTCTTCCCTCTACCCTTACTATAATAATGGGCTATGGTCGTGCTTTGGGTTTCTGGATATCAGCATCAGTTGGACTCTGTATCCAATCCTTAAAGAATTGGGTATTTTTCTTTCTCTAGTGTATTATTACACAAGCAAATGGCCATAGATCCTTTTAGGAAAGGAAAGAGTTAATTCAAACTACATATACCTGCAACCCCAGCACTTTGGGAGGCTGAAGAGGGAGGATTGCTTGCTTGAGATCAGGAGTTTGAGATCAGCCTGTGCAACATAAGGAAAACCCATATCTCCAATAAATAAATAAATTAGCTGATCTTGGTGGTGTATATCTTTGGTTCCAGCTACTAGGAAGGCTGGGGTGGGAGAATCGCCTGAGCCCAGGAGTTCAAGGCTGCAATGAGCCGTGATTGCACCACTGCACTACAGCCTGGATGACAGAATGAGACCCTGTCTCAAAAACAATCAAAACAGCTATATCTCCTTGCTGTGTAGTTGCAGGGTCATTCTACAAGGAGACACATGTTCAATTGCTATGTCTGGGTGTGAACTGGCTCATGTCAAAGGCCAAGTACAGTGGCTCTTTCCTGTAATCCCAGCACTTTAGGAGGCCAAGAGGGGCAGACGGCTTGAGCTCAGGAGTTTCAGACCAGCCTGGGCGATATAGCGAGATCCTGTCTCAATTAAAAAAAAAAAAGAATTGGATCATGTCTGGAAACTAGACAATTGATTATAAATTTCCATTGAGGCAGCTGATATCATCCACTCTGGACCCCTTTTTATTATATCACGTATCTCAAGCTGGCTACTCACTTGTCTTGCCACTAGTAACAGCATGGTCCATAGACATTACCATACGTGTTGGCAGGTCAATGCCCCTGGTTGCCGTTTGATCTTCTGGCTATTGTGGTAGATTCAATTTACCTCTCTCTAGTGGATAAACGCTGTTATCTGGCCTTGCTATTCTGAATCCTGTCATACTCATTGATACTAGGGAACTTAGTTCTATATAACAGCATCTTTAATAATCAGTCCTGGCCTATACAACTGATCTTCTGAATAATGTTGATGACTCCCGCATTATCACGTTCATTTTTGCCTTGTGTAAACGGTGTACTCTGCCATCTAAGGAATGTGGTCGTCTGGTGGATTCTTGGGCCTTATACAGTAAATCCATTCCAGCATGCTCATTTTCTGAACTTGATCTCTCCCTCAATTCTGCACAGGCAGTTCTGCTATTTCTGTATCATTTAACATGTAGTATCAGTTTTTTGAAGATTTCAAAGAGCCATGCAGCAGTGTATTAATATTTTCTCTAGGGTCTCTTCAGGGAATTAAATCTTTAGTCATGGGAAAAGTGCCCCCACATCAACAAAACCACTCTTGTCAGGGAATTAAATCTTTAGTCATGGGAAAAGTGCCCCCACATCAACAAAACCCGCTTTTTTTTTGGAAGACAGAGTCTCGCTCTGTCGCCCAGGCTGCAGTGCATTGGTACGTTCTCAGCTCACTGCAACCTCCGCCTGCTGGGTTCAAGCGATTCTCTTGCCTCAGCCTCTCAAGCAGCTGGGACTACAGGCATATGCCACCATGCCTGGCTAATTTTTTGTGTTTTTAGTAGAGAACAGGTTTCACCATGTTGGTCTGCCTGGTCTCAAACTCCTGGCCTCAAGCAATCTGCCCACCTTGGCCTCCCAAAGTTCTGGGATTATAGGCATGAGCCACCGTGCCTGGCCAATTCCTGCTCTTGCACAACTTTATATTGTGTATAGTGGGGAGAGTTAGAACTCTCCCCACTCTGCCACAGTTTACACCCTCAAGATCCACTCCCAAGCATTCTGTCTCAGTTGATGCCAGTATATATTTACCAGATTTGTAGCTCCCTCTAAGTATAAACCTTCTATTTCACAGCAGGGTCAGCATCAGTATTTCTCTGTTTGGGCCATGCTTAATGATTGATGCCTAATTATTGATGTCAGAGTGTCTGGGTTGAATAATATCCCCCCCAAACTTTATGCCCATCCAGAACCTGTGAATGTGACCTTATTTGAAAACATGATCTTTGCAGATATAATCAAGTTGAAATAAGATTACTGGCTTAGGGTATTTACTAATTCAATGACTGATGTCCTTATAAGAAGAGGGAAATTTAGACAGACACATATACACAGAGGAGAGAAGGCCATGTGAAGTCAGAGGCAGAAATTAGAGCGATGCATCTACAAGCCAAGGAACACTAAGGATTGCCAGTAACAATCAGAAGCTAGAATAGGCAAGGAAGAATTCTTCCTTTGGGTCTTTGGAAGGAAGACGGTCCTGCCAATAGATACAGTGATTTTGGATTTCTAGCATCCAGAACTGTAAGAGAATAAATGTCTGTTGATATAAGCCCCCTAGTTTATGATACTTTATTATGACAACCATAGGAAACTAATACAAGGGGCCATCAGGGGCGATGTGGATCGATTTTGAGGAAAAGCATTGTCCTACTGGCACTAGCCTTGTTGGTGCCTCTGCATTGTCTCTGACAGGTGGGTTTGCTTCTTCCTTCCAGCAAGAAGCAGTTGGCCACTTCTGCAAGCCAATATGGTTCAATAATAAGCCAATAAGAAAATCTGGCAGCTGAATGAACTTAAATGCATTTTACCCAGATGTTTCTATTCCAAGTTTCAGTCTTTCTCTATCAGAGCCATAATTTTGGTGAAGGCAATGCATTCAGCCTTCAGTGAAATTCTCCTACTTTTACAATCAAGTCCTGATATGGTTTGGCTGTGTCCCCACTCAAATCTCACATTGAATTGTAACAATCCCCACATGTCAAGAGCAGGGCCAGGTGGAGATAATTTAATCTTGACTCATGGGGGTGGTTTCCCCCATACTATTCTCGTGGTAGTGAGTAAGTCTCACAAGATCTGATAGTTTTATAAATGGGAGTTCCTCTTCACATGCTCTCTTGCTTGCCACCATGTACAATATGACTTTGCTCCCCCTTCGCCTTCTGCAATGTTTGTGAAGCCTCCCCAGCCATGTGGAACTGTGAGTCAATTAAACCTCTTTCCTTTATAAATTACCCAGTCTCAGGTATGTCTTTATTAGCAGTGTGAGAACACACTAGTACAAGTCCTGTGCCTTTTCTTCTGCTCA
The DNA here is from genome assembly GCF_000001405.40 of Homo sapiens. Taxonomy (NCBI): domain Eukaryota; kingdom Metazoa; phylum Chordata; class Mammalia; order Primates; family Hominidae; genus Homo; species Homo sapiens. The sequence goes on along the minus strand of NC_000005.10, from coordinate 121,843,571 downwards.
GGCTGGTTCTCAGACTCCAGGACAGGGATTTGCAAATTTCTTCTATAGATGGCCAGACAATAAATATTTTAGGCTTTGCAGGCCATACAGTCTCTGTTGCGACTATTAAACTGCTCTTGTAGTATGAATGCAGCCACAGGGAATGAATAAGCATGGTTGTGTGCTAATAATAATAATGCATAATTTATTTAATAAATTGTGTTGTGTATATTTGAGATTTACGACATGATGTGATGGGATACATATAAACGGTAATATGGTTACTATAGTGAAGATTAACAGATTAAAAATGTCTGTGATCTCACATTGTATTATTGTGACAAAAGCAGCTAAAACTATTTATTTAACAAAAATCCCTAATGCAATACAATTGTATTAAGTATAGTCCTCATGTTATATATCAGATTTCTAGACTTGTTCATCCTACACATCTGCTACTTTGCATCCTTTGACCTACATCTCCCCATTTCTCCCTTCATCCCCCCCCCATCCCTGGTAACCACTGTTTTATTTTCTGTCTGCATATTTTACCTTTTTTTCCCCTTAGATTTCACATATAACTGAGATCATGCGGTATTTTTCTTCCTGTGGTTGACTTATTTCACTTAACATTTATAAAAAACAATAAGGGATCAGATTTGGCCCAAGGTCTGGAGTTTGTTGACTCCTGCTCTAGGACATGAGGGTCCCTTTAAATTTCACTATGGGGAAATTTCTGATTTTCGTATCATTAAGCTGGTAAGTAAATCAGTTGAGTCTGCCATTTTCTCTTTTTTAAAACTTTAGTATAACCTAGTTAAAAGCAATCAATTCCACATTTTCACGATAGTCATAAATCAAGACAGATACTGCCCAAGCCAGGGCATCTCTTTGTATTTGTCCCAATTAAATAGGCGAATATTCTAGCAATTTCAGTGCCACAGAATTCCAGAAGCTATCAAACTCATCACCAGTATGGTGGAAAGGGAGTACAGTGTTTTATTATTTGCTAAGTATGTGATCCAGCTCCTGAATCCCATATTAAATTTGCTTCTCAGGAACACTTTCAGTAAAAACCGTTTTAGGTTAAATTGGTAAGCAGACTTTGACAAAAAGACTCATTCACAAGTGATTTATTAAGGAGATACTGCCAGGAGAAACCAATAAGGAGCTAGAGGTAGTAGGAAAGGGAGAAATAATAAAAGGGCCCGATTTCAGCAAAATCCAGTGAAGATAAAGATGACTTGGATGTGCAACCTCTGCAATTGCACAGGGACCTTCACTCAGAGGGGAGCTTGCTTGGCTTAATGTTCTGCTGTTATGTCTTGAAATTCTTAAACTTTATCTTTGAATTTGTATTTGTGGTTGAAGTTTGATGGGAAAATGGAGCATGCAATTGAGCAGAGGAGAGAAGTGCAATTTATGTGTTTCCCATTTCTTGCCTTCCCATTCATATGTAGCATTTGCAATGGCCCATAAGCATGGAATTTTGGTGACTCAGCAGTAGTGGGAGTTCAGCAAGACTCAAAGCAAGCACAAAAGTGGATTGAGTCTATGACTGAATACATCAGGGTGCCAACAGCTCCTAGAAGCTGTGCTTTCCCTTTAAAACAGCACTTGCTGAGAATGCAGAAAGAAGTCAATGGCATTCTCAGATACACACACAACCAAAGAAACATCAGGTTTATTCTTACTAGAGTTACCTCCCTGTGTTAGTGACTACTTATGCGAAAAACGATGACACAGAAGGAAAGTGGGAAATAAAGCAAACCACAGTTCATTTTTCTTTTACTCCTTCCTTCTCAGTAAGCCAAAGTGAGTGTTGATAGAATGTGAGCCTATCAATAAATGAAAGAAAAACACTTCCGTTACTTTTGTGTAGTGTATGCATTGTTTTGGTAACAATGAAATACATGTGCATGTACAAGCTACAAAATACAAATTGTGTAATTAGAGATTTTGCATATGAGTTAATTGCTTTTATATTGGTATTAAAACAGGCATTGCACAATCTAAAGATGAATGGGGAAATATAGGCTTACGATTTAAAATTTTAAGCTTTTTTAAAAAAACTTAGAATGACATAAAAGCAAATAAAAACGTCATGACAAGACAGATCATAGAAGAAAATATTCTATATTTTAGTACCTCTAATAGCACTTTGTTCCTGCTTTTTGAAGAAGGTAGCCACACGTTTTTTTGTACTGAATCCTCTGTGCAGAATAATATCAGTTGACCCCACAGGGAAAATCAGGAACACAGAAAATCAGGAGCTCAGAAATTGTCCTAAGATGGAGCGAGGGAGTTGGGCTTTCATACTCTTGCACCAGCCACTCATTGTCTCAGGACCACTCTGGAAAGATATAAACACCCATGTTCTGTGCTGGCTTTCATGTCCTATCAAAGTAGCTCCAGTAGTCTGAGGACTGATATCCTAATTGAGTTATAACTTCTCTTGTTAGAGGCAGCATGCAGATAGCGGGGTGGAGAGGCACACAAATAGTAAAATGTTTACAAAAAGGTCTTGGGCTGAATACCAACACCTATTCACTTGTTGTCTGACCTAATGTCTTATTGTGATTGGCACAGGAACCAGTAGAAAATAGATGGAGCATGTAAATTAGAATTCTAGACAGGTTTCATAGAAGGATTGTATACAAATGTATGTGAAGGGAGGTCAGAAAAGATAGTTGAGTGGCCTGGAGTTAGTCTCAAGGGGAGGTGTTATCAGAACCCAGGTGTGAGTGAGCTCTTCAGAGACAATCACATAGAGAAGAGTAGGGGCACCTGGTCAAGGAGCAGATAGCACCTCAGGAATCCTTGGAGGATAGAATTTAGGAGAATGAATACTCTGGCCTCTTTCTTACCTTGGATCTCTTAGGTTGAAACTAACAGGAAGCCATGAGATAGTGAATCCTCTGTTGTAGTGCATTCAGATCAGCCCCTTGGGAAGCAAACAGGGTAGGGGTGGATTTGTTGGGTCAAACATAAGGTATTAGGCTTTCTGATGCTCTTCCAATCTACTGTCCATAGAGAGGCAATAGATAACTTTTTAAAGTATAAATATGACTAAATTATTCCCATGCTTTAAACCTTTTAGTGTTTCTATATTAAACTATAGCCCTGCAAAGTATACTCTCTGTTGCTGCATTGTGGCTCTTCTTTTGCCAGTTCCAGCATCTTTTACTCTCCTCCAACCCCAATATGCTCCAGTCATTATGAACTTGCTTTTAGACAGCGGATGTACATTTTTTTCTTTCCCACAGGCTTCTGTATGCTGTGTCCACTACCTGGATCACTGGCCCATCCAGGACTAATCACAGAGGGAGTGTGGGCAGAGGATTACAAAGCTCTTTCCCCTTCTGTATGAAATTATGACCACCAGTTAACTGGCTCTGTTAAATATGGAGTCTATTTCTAGACAATCTTCCTTATGGGAACATTACCCTTGATTGGCAAAGTAACACTGGGCTTCTCTGAGTGTGGTGACTCTTATTTCCAGGTATATTCTTTGTGTGGTCACTGGAAAGTATGGAGTTGTTACAAGAGAGTGGCTCTTGTCAGCTATGAGGCTTTCCATCTAGGGAATCTCCTATATGCATTTTATGTGGATCCTGTCTCTTGGCTTTTGAGTTGTTACACAGGGGAGAAAATAGCTTCTGGAGAGCTATATGAGTTGCTGTATGAAATACTGCAGGTGTCCACATTGATGAGGAATGCTTGGTACTACACTACCAGTAAGCTGCAGTTCGTGTTCTGTGTCCTTCTTAGTGGCATGTGCTAGTGTTGTAAATTTAAATGTTTAGTTGAACTCAAGAAAACCCTTTGGTAGTCACTGAAGGGAATAAAAAAATTAGAGTGGATTTATCCTCTGACAGCTCCCATGCTGCTTCTTCTTTTCCATAGTTGTGCAACTGTGTCTACTCTCGCCCTGTCCTTTCGTGGCTTTGTTTGCTGGCTAATTCCCATCATTTGTCGCATCATTTCTTAGATGGTTCTTAGAAGCCTTCATTTCCCTATAGGGCATCTCAACTCCTTGTACTTACTCTGTCATAACACTGGATTATAATGATTTACTTTTTTAACCCCACTAAATTAAGAGATTCTGGTTGTTTGGGAATGTCCCTTTTCTCACTCCTGTGTATACAGCATTTAGTATGGTTCTCGATGCAATGGAGTCAATAATATTGTTAATGAACATAATTATGAACTAAACTTCCCTCAAATCCTCAAACTTTCTTAGTTCCAAATTATACTTTAGGAAAAAAGTCGAGGAGAGTTATGGTTTTTTTAAATTTAATTATAGTTCACTTAATGGCTTATTTTTGTCTAGCTCTATTGCTAGTAGAGGCAAGTGACCACATATTTTGAGCCTTACATGCTTAAAGATTAAATAGTTATCTTCAACTCAGCTAAATTCAGTTCAAAAAATGTCTTTAGAACCTGGTTCTAGAAGGGTAAGAATCAAATAATACTGCAAAAGAGTAAAAGTAAGTTGGATCGTATGGCCTATGTGGACTCATGGCAAAGTGGTAGAGCCACATTTAATCACAGAAAGTCATAGAAAGTCAGCTGTATTAGCATCTCAAACCCAAGTGCAGGAGAAGGATTAGTGAATGCCTTGTAGAGAAGGTAGGATTTGACTACAGTCTTAAAAAAGGTTGAGGGATGATGACTGTATGCAGAAAAAATAGAATCAGAAACTTAAAGGTGAAAGGTCAAACTTACATTTGGAGCAGGAAAAGTGTATACTAAACTTCTGTGGTGCTTGGTCCAATATGGCCAATATACATTGTACCTTAGAAGAGGATGGGTTTGAAATTGGGCTTGAGTTTTAAGTCGTCTTTCTAGTTCTAAAGAATTTAATAGTGTGTATGTCCTTGCTTGCTGTAATACGGAAATGATAATCTTAGGAAATGATAAAGTTCATGAAACATACATATGCTGGCCTTTATGTGTGCCAGGAGTAGAAATTTTAAGTGCTAGAACTCTTGCAAGGATGCTACTTCCATCAAAGATGTGGTTTACCACTGTCACTCAAGTTACATAAAAGAGAGTACTTCCAGTTCACAGATTGGACATAGAAAAACCAAGGATGCTTGATGACTAATTGTATTTTCGAAATCCTGTCTGCTTGTTATTTTTTAATTCTTTAACATTGGCTCACAAGTAAATATCTTTGAAAGTGTTTTTATTTATGTTAAAGTTCCCAAGACACTGCAGATTTTATGTCACTAAAACCTTTTTGATAATTATAACTTAATTCTCCTACTTTGAACAATTTCTATAACTTAAAACAGGATATGGTAATATAGCATTTAAACATAAGCTCTTGGCTTTCTCCAGTGATTATAATGAAGAAAGGTCATAGCCACTGAGTGCCTGTATATGGAGAATACTATACAAGACTTACTAAGAGCATCCTTTCATTGAACCTTCACAAACATGCTGTGCAGTAGGAATCAGTTTACCCATTTTTTTCTCTTTACAAATTGCAGAGAATATGCACACATTTATCTTCCATTTTATACAATTTGTATGAATATAGAAAAATGTTTCTGATAATTCAGTTTTTAATCAAAATGGGAGAAATATTTTAGATATTGAATAACATAGCAGTGCTCTATTGTTGTAGGAAAAAAATGAAAGGGTCAATCAATTTTCTTCAGAATGTTTACAAATATCAGTTCTGTATTTAGAATAGTCAACAACTCAATTAACTAGAGTCTGCTAACCCCATTTAGTCACTACCATATCTTGGAATATTATATGAATCATGTGGGAAGCTACAAGGAAAGAAAAGGCACTAATCCTGTTCTCAGGAATCTTATACAAAATTCTATAATTTAACCATTCCATTTTGAGAAATTTACCATATTGAAAAAAGGCAAAAGTATATATTGAAGTATATATTGATCCAATATCCTGTATTGGAAAAGGAGATAGTATATAAAGATGTATGTTAACTTCATTGCAGTGTGGTATATACAAATTAAAAACTGAATGTAAATTATCAACAGAACATTAAGAAATTACTGAAGAGTCATACCATGGAATACCACTCAGCCCTTTAATAAAACAAAGTAGTCCTCTTTGTGTTAATATGGGGAGATATTAATAAGATATTATTCATGGGAAAAGCAATGTATGCCTGTGTATGTGATTCTATATTTGGAGGGATAAAAAAAGGTGAATATGTAAGTATGTACACACACAGATGCACGAGAGAGAAAGAGAAAGACAAACGAATAAATAGGGTAAAATGTCAGAAAAGATTGGCAACAACCTATTAACCATGGCAACCTCTGACCATCACAATTGGATGGATTGGAGAAAGGAAATGTGACTTTAATTTTTTTATACATTAACTTTTTATACATTTTAAAATAGTGTGATTAAAAGCTATTTTACTTTTTCAGTATTAAAATTAAAAAAATTAAAAGAGACTTTTGAAGAGGCCAGATCATCATAGATGGGAGAAATAAATCTCAACACAGGCTAATGAATTTGGTCTACTCATCTGTCTGAGAGTGGTGGAATTTGTGGCACAGGGAGAGACATGGGGATGAGAAATAATTTGCAGAGATCAAGAGGCAAATTGAGATGGCAATGTAGGTTTAGGAAATGTTAGTAGAGAATTAAATAGAGTCAGTTGTGCAAAAGATTATGAACAAGTGTGCTTGCTGGAAGGGGAATGGGGATTTGTGCTAACTAGAATCTAGGGCTGTTGTATTGTCATTGGTATTGCAGTGTTTTCTATATTCAACCACATTTTAAAAATATTATTCATATTTTATTAGCATTACTATCAGTTATATTTTCCATCAACCATATTATTAACTTGGTCCACTTAGATATGAATTACACTATAGTAAAGATAATACAGGTTTCACTTCTTGTTTTTTTCCTGGGGTAAAAGTAATACAAATTTCAGTTCACAGACCTTCACAATAATTTCTTGTTGCCTTTGAGCATGAATAAATTTCTGTCCAAAAATCTGCAATGAATTTTAATAAATCAGAGTTTTGTGCTTCATCTAATTATAAGCCCAAAGCTAACTTGTGAATATATCTTCATGATATAGAAAAATGGTGTCACCAAACTTCTCATTCACCAAATTAATGACATGCACTCATGCATGCCTACTGGAAAAACACTAAAATAAATGGAATATGGAGATATTTTAGGATAGTGTATGCAGGACACTTTTGAGATTATCCCTTATCACCAAATAATTGTTTCCATAAATGTAGAAATTAGTCATTTTTACCCAACTAATTTTTCAAAATCCCATTTTTCCCTTTTTCCCTCTGTATAAAGTGAGATTTTATTGCTTTGCATTATTAAGTACCCATAAGGTACATGACATTCACAGTTTAAGGTCCCTGTCTATAGCACATTTGTAATCACATTTGTAATCCAATCCAGAGAATAGACAGCTGGATCAAGCATTTTATAAAGCATGTTATAAAATATGGTATAAAAATATGTTACTTCTCTTGCTTTCTCTAGCAGATAAACTAGTTCTCGGCGACAAAACCAATTACAGAGATTGCCAGAATATCATTGTTGTGGAATTCAGAGTTATTCATTTTCTTTGGCTTTGGGATTCTCTGCACTATTTTCCTTGATCTCTGGATTCTATTTGAAACCTCCTAGAACTTAATCTTCTCAGGTTAACTATTTGCATTGTAAGACTTTGTCTTAGTCTGTTTTGTTCTGCTCTAGCAGAACACCACAGACCGGGTAATTTATAATAAACAGAAGTTGATTGACTTTACAGTTGTGGAGGCTGGGAAGTCCAATGCCAGGGTGCTAGCAACTGGTGAGAGAGCCTTCATCATAGCATGGCAGAAGGGAAAAGAGAGAGGGGGAGTGAAAGAGAATGTGAGCAAGAGAGGCTGAACTCACTCCTGTGATAACAGCGTTAGTCAATTTATGAGGGCAGAGCCCTCATGACCTAAACACTTATTACTGGTCCCATCTCCCAGTACTGTCACAATGGCAAGAAAATTTCAACCTGAGTTTTAAAGGGGACAAACGCTGAAACCATATTAGGGTTGCATTGTTACCAGCAGTAAATCTGTATGGGTCTTTAGCAACCTCAATTCTAGCCTCTTCTGAAGACAGAATTCGGGCCAGGTGTGGTGGCTTATGCCTGTAATCCTAGCATTTTGGGAGGCTGAGGCAGGCGGATCATGAGGTCAAGAGATCGACACCATCCTGGCCAACATGGTGAAACCCCATCTCTACTAAAAATACATAAATTAGCTGCGTGTGGTGGTGTGTGCCTGTAGTTCATTACTAGGGAGGCTGAGACAGGAGAATCACTTGAACCCAGGAGGCAGAGGTTGCAGTGATCCGAGATCACGCCCTTGCACTCCAGCCTGGCAACAGAGTGAGACTCTGTCTCAAAAAATCAAGTGAGGGGCTTAAGGCAGAAGGAGATACCAAGGTAGGTTTTAGAGCAGGAGTGAAAGTTTATTAAAAAGATTCAGAGCAGGAATGAAAGGAAGTAAAGGACACTTAGAAGATGGCCAAGCAGTGACTTGAGAGATCAAGTGCCATGTTTGACCTTGACTTGAGGTTTTATATGTTGGCGTACTTCTAAGTTCTTGCATCCCTTTACCCCCGATTCTTCCCTTGGAGTGGGCTGTCCCCATGTGAGTGGCTTGCTAGCACTTCGGAGGTGAGCATGCACAGTGTTTACTGAAATTGTACACATGCACATTTGAGGCCTTCTTCCCTTACCAAGTAAATGTCCCTGGAAGATCACAAACCAGTCAAACTCTGCCATTTGGCCTCTTAATGTATATGCTTGAGCCTACTCGCCTGACTCCTAGATCTTACCGGGAAGCTGCTGATCACCAGTTGCAGGTGTTACCATCTACTGGGAGACAACCTTTCCCTGGTGCCAGCTGTGACCAATTATTACTTTAGAGAGACAGGGTGACAACTGCCTGACCATAATCTGATGGTCACCTGACATTCCTGGTGTGTGTTTGGGTCAGGGGGAGCCCTCTCCTGTCCTGCTCATGCCTGACTAGCTACCTGCTATAATAGCATTATACTGGAATGTTTGCTTGGTGACCTGTGTTGCTCCCCAATCATTCAGAGTCCCGCCACCTAAAACCAGGACTGTCATCTATGGTTGTGCGGTTTGTGCTCTTTGTAGAAGTGGGCACAATGGAGGGGTTTACAAGAGGCCAAAATCCTGCCTGTGTTTCCTCTTAAGTCTGTATCCATTAAATAAAAGGAAGCCCATAATTCACAATGCTGTTCATGTGACAATCTGGGCCCAGAGGGGTTGCTATTTTTTAATTTGCACAAAGGTGCTTTATGACCTGCAAGAATCCTTATAAATATGATACTCTTTCCAAACACAGATCTCATTGTCAGAACTAACTTCTTCTGTGTTCGTAAAGGTCTTGAATAAAACTTTGTTTTCACATTTAGAAAGCATCTCTAGAGGAAAGACCAGCCATTGTTCTTTCATGTTTAGAGCTGATGAATTCACGTAATGGTTGAAAGAGCTATTTTCTTGGAGGAATTAAAATAGAGATTTATTTTTGCTTACTAGTAATTACATATTTTTTGGTCTATGGAACAAGCTTTAATTTTTAAGTGAAACTTCTTAGCACTCATTATTTCCCTTTTAAATTGTTTAACTTGTAAACCTTCAGTTTGATGGTTATACATCTATACAAGTGCCTTTTATGCTTTAACAAAAGTATATTTCAGCATTGCTTGAGATGAGAAGCTGTTTTATTCTTCACAGCATGCGTGAGCCTAAATGTGTAATGAGTGTGTGTGTTTGTACATTAGCATTTCTATGAACAATTCTTATGTGAATGTGTATTGTCATTTATGAAGAACCTCTAAATTGGGAATATCTTCTGCTTAGATGAAAGCAGTTAAGAAAATAAAGTTACTTCTATATGTTTAAAATGATCTAATTTACAGCACTCTCAGCATGTTCCTTATGTGATTGCTAGAAATATTTTGAAGTGGCAGTCTTGAAAGTGATGAATCATTTTGACACAGAGTATTCTGAAAAGCCTTGAAGTCTTTAGTGCTGTGAGGTGTGATTTTTGCAGATATGCGTGATCATTAGTATCTGTCTTTTGTCACATCCAACACTTTCCGTTTAGGACCAACCACAGTCAAGAACCAGGTTAGGGAGAAAGATACTCAGAAAAGATTTAGTCCCCTAAACATGACATTGTCTGAAATACCCACAGGTCACAGAATTGGCTTGACCCCGCCTTATTAAAAAAAAGTAATGGTAGAAATCAGATAGTCTTATAGCATTTCTGTCTTAAGAAAGCCAAAAATGTAATAGTCTAATATGGAATGTATTAAAAAAATCATTTAGAAAGCTGGAAGGGACAGATTTTGTGACTCATTATTGAAATTTAAATTTAATCCTTGATGATGCTTATATAAAGAATTATATAAATAATTTAGAGTGAGACTTGATTCTTTTTTAACTTTGAGAAGTGGTGAATGAATGGCAGCTATATGTGCAGCATCTATAGTTAAAAGGCAGGTATGAATGTTATGCCTGTTTTTGATCAATGCTGTTTTTCTTTTATTTATAAAAATCTGAGAAAATGATAGTTATGAACTAAAGTTTTCTAAGTCTTTTACATTTTGGCTCTTACATTTTGTTTCTATCCAATGTTTTAACCCCATTCTGCTGAACCAGAAAAACATTCTTGGCAGAAATACAGAGGTCAGTTTTCAGATTTGATTTGTGGGCTAAAAATGAGTTTATTACTATTGTACCGGATAATTTTATAATTTTATTTTCAAATAATGGCATTTAACAATGACTTGATACTTAGAAATTATGTGTGAAGGTGATTTTAAATGTAGAAAGTACAAATTGGTTTCTAACAATGTCAAAAATATCCCACTTTTCTATATAAAGTAAGTTATACCTTACTTTATATGGAAGAATACATTATATTTAAATGTACTTATTGGAGCCTTTATTTCAATAGGTGCAAACAACTGAATTAGCCAGATATATTGATATAGAATATTTGAACTAAGTATCATATATAAGAAATGAATAGTGATTAAGCAAAACTACCACCTAAAAGATATACTTCTAAGAGACTGTCAACATAATAAATGAAAGGTAGCCTCCACCTTCACCCCAGATGTCTACCTCCTGGTATACACACCCTTGTGTAATCCCTTTCCTTTGATTGTGAACTGGAGTTACTGACTTGTTAATGACTAGAATATGGCAAACATTATGGAATATCACATACAACAGTAAGTGAAAAGAAGACTGTGGCTTCTATTTGGGGATTTCTCTTGCTTTTTCTTGGATTATTTTTGCTGTGGGGGGAAACCAGTTGCTATGTCATGAGGCAGACCTCTGCAGGGGACTGAGTGAGCTTAGATGCAGGTCTTCTGAGACCTGCCAACTGCCATATGATTTACCTTGGAGGTGCATTCTCTTCCTGTCCAGTCTCAGAGGAACACAGCTTCAGATAACAGTTTGATTGCCATTTCATGAAAGACCCTGAGCCAGAGGCACCAAAGTAAGCTACAACCGGAATTCTGATCCACAGACACTGGGGGATAATAAAGGTTTGTTGTTTTCGGCTGCTAATCTTACTATGCCGTGATAAGTAACTAACATATTTGTTAATTTATTAACTAGTATTAACTCATTAACCACCAGTCATTTCTATTTTAATATAATTTTTATATGCTTTCTTACTAAAGACAGCATGAATTGGACAATGCAGATCTACAGAGCATGTGAATTTGTTTATATTACATGTTACTGATATTTTCAGGAATAATATGTTTTAAAGGGTAGGAAAGTTTTATATTTCATAGTGTATATTTGATTTCTAAATTTCAGGCATACTTAAATTCAGGGAGGAAAGTGTGAGAAATTTAGAAATAGAAATTATAACATAAGATAAAATCCATTTATTTTAGACTTTTCTGACCATTGGTCTATATCATCTTTTGATAACCCTGTGTTTAAAATTAATTTCATGCAGCTCTTTATAGCATACAATTGCATGTATTGTTTATATACTAAACAGGATTTTTCTGACCCTCCTAACTTGCTTCAGTGGATCCATGCCTCTTATTTCTATGGATAAATAAGATAGAGTGTGTTCTACTAAGGGTTTAGATTACAGATAAATGAGTATTTTACATAAAACCATGCTGCCTCCTAACAACACTATAGAGGATGTCAAACATAATACCTCTAAGTATATTTCAGTAGTATAAAAATGGCAACAAATTGATTATGACAGTTTCAACAGGTGATCTCAAAACATTTTTTAAAAGTAAAATTCCCATGTCCAGTGCAGTTCCTAAATAGGGCAATGACTGTTATCTTTATGAAAAATACAAGAGCCCCTTATGACAAACCCATAGCCAACATCATACTGAATGAGCAAAAGCTGGAACCATTCCCCTTGAAAAATGGAACAAGACAAGGATACCTATTCTCAACACTCCTATTCAGCATAGTACTGGAACTTCTAGCCAGAGCAATCAGGCAAGATAAAGGAATAAAAGGCATCCAAATAGGAAAGGAAGGAAAATTATCCATCTTTGATGATATGATTCTATACCTAGAAAATCCTAAAGACTCTGACAAAAGGCTCTTAGAATTGATAAACAACCTTAGTAAAGTTTCAGAAAACAAAATTAAGATACAAAAATAAGTAGCATTTCTAAACACCAATATCCATACTGAGAGTGAAATAAAAAACACAATATCCCTTTCAATAGCCACAAAGAAACTGAATTACCTAGAAATACAACTAACCAAGGAGGTGAAAGATCTCTACAAGGAGAACTATAAAACACTGCTGAAAGAAATCAGACACAAATAAACGGAAAAACATTCTAAGCTCATGGATTGTAAGAATCAATATCATAAAAATGTCCATACTGCCCAAAGCTATTTACAAATTCAATGTTATTCCTATCAAACTACCAATGTCACTCTTTACCCAATTAGAAAAAAAAAATATTCTAAAATTCATATGGAACCAGAAAAGAGCCTGAATAGCCAAAGCAATTCTAAGCAAAAAGAACAAAGCTGGAGGCATTACACTACCCAACTTCAAACTGTACTAAAAAGCCACATTAACCCAAACAGCATGATATTGGTACAAAAACAGGCACTTAAACCAATGGAACATAATAGAAAACTCAGAAATAAAGCCACATGCCTACACCATCTGATCTTTGACAGTGCTGAAAAAAATAAGCAATGGGAAAAAACCCCTATTTAGTAAATGTTACTGGGATAATTGGCTAGCCATATGCAGAAGATTGAATCTGCACCCCTACCTTTCATCATATAAAAAATTTAACTCCAAATGGATTAAATATTTAAATGTAAGATCTCAAACTATAAAAATCCTGGAAGACAACCTGGGAAATATTCTTCTTGACATCAGCATTGGCAAAGAATTTTTGTCTAAGTCCCCAAAAACAATTGTAATAAAAACAAAAACAGATAAATCAGACCTAATTAAACTAAAGAGCTTCTGCACATCAAAAATAGAGCAAGCAGACACCCTGCAGAATGGGAGAAGATATTTACAAACTATGTATCCTACAAAGGCTTAATAGTCAGAATCTATAGGGAACTTCAATTGATAAGCAAAACCCAAATAACCTCATTCAAAAATAGGCAAAGGACATGAACAAAACACTTCTCAAAAGACATACAAGATCGCAGCTCCTACTCAGATAGACAGAGCAGTGTGCGGAGGCTTGCATCGTGAATTTTGGCTCCAGAACAACTGAAAGAACAAACCAGGAATCCCAAGAGGACCCACAGGTTCTCTAAAGGAAGGAAGCAGACTGTTCCTGCAGGACCCGGGAGACACCCCAAATACTGTGAGGCCCCAGCTGTGGAAGTGGGAAAGGGAGATTCACCACTCCCGAACAAACAACTCCACTGGGAAAACCGAAGGACTAGTTTGTGGGAGAAGTTTCCAACCTTACCTGGACCTGAGTCAATTTAGAGAGCTGAGCGAAATACAGGGGTAGAAGAAGCAAAGGGGAAGGACTTGGGAGCTGGCTGGTTCCCCAAGCAAGCCATTCCTGCCTGGCAACACAGGGATCCTTCTGGAGGGTGGCCAGAGGTGCGGGGGAAAACACCACAAGGAGAAGGAAGTCTCTGGCTGAACTCTGTGACAATTTGGACTGGGAGAGAAGACTCCTGGCCAGAACTTGGGAGGGTGTGAATCTGGCATGTAGAGTCCACAGGCTGGGGCAGAACCAAAGCCCTTTTCTTTCGCAGCTGCGAGGTGGGTAGCCTGAGGCAAGTTCTCAAGCCCTGCTCACCCGCTGTCTGGAAACAGACTTGGGGCTGTTATTGGGGGCATGGTGGGAACGAGACCGGCCCTTCAGATTGTGTGGGAGCTGGATGAGGCCTGTGACTGCTGGCTTTTCCCCACTTCCCTGAAAATCTGCATGACTCAGCAGAGGCAGCCATAATCTTTCTAGGTACATAACTCCATTGACCTAGGAACTTCACCCCCATGCCCCATACAACTGCAGCAAGAACTGCCTGAGGAGAGTCTGAGCTCAGACACACCTAGCCTTGCCCCCACCTGATGGTACCTTACCCACCCTGGTAGCTGAAGACAAAGGGCATATACTCTTGGGAGTTCTAGGGTCCCACCTACCACCAGTTTCTCTCTAAACTACCACAGCTGATGCTGTCTGGAAAGTGCCACCTCCTGGCAGGAGGCCAACCAACACACAGAACATTAAGCCACCAAAGCTAAGAACTCTCACAAAGTCCATTTCACAACCATACCCCCTGCCACCTCCACCAGAACAGGTGCTGGTATCCATGGCTGAGAGAACCATAGATGATTCACATCACAGGACTCTGTGCAGACAATCCCTAGTACCACCCTGGAGCTGGGTAGACTTGTTGGGTGGCTAGACCCAGAAGAGAAATAACAGTCACTGCAGCTCGGCTCACAGGAAGCCACATCCATAGGAAAGTGGGGAGAGTACTACATCAAGTGAACACTACCCCAAAGAATGTGAACAAAAACCTTCAGCCCTAGACCTTCCCTCTGACAGAGCCTACCCAAATGAGAAGGAACCAGAAAACCAACCCTGGTGATATGACAAAACAAGGCTCTTTAACACCGCCCCCCAACCCCCCCAACACACAAAATCATACTAGCTCAACAGCAATGGATCAAAGCCAAGAAGAAATCCCTGATTTACCTGAAAAAGAATTCAGGAGGTTAGTTATTAAGCTAATCAGGCACCAGAGAAAGGCAAAGCCTGATGCAAGGAAATCCAAAAAACAATACAGGAAGTGAAGGGAAAAATATTCAAGGAAACAGATAGTATAAATAATAAAAACTTCAGGAAACATTGGACACGCTTATAGAAATGCAAAATGCTTTGGAAAGTCTCAGCAATAGAATTGAACAAATAGAAGAAAGAACTTCAGAGCTCGGAGACAAAGTCTTTGAATTAACCCAACCCAACAGAGACAAAGAAAAACAAATAAAATATGAACAAAGCCTCTAAGAAGTCTGGGATTATGTTAAACAACCAAACCTATTGAAGTCTGAAAGTTTGGAAAACACATTTGAGGGAATAATCGAGGAAAATTTCCCTGGCCTTGCTAGAGACCTATACTTCCAAATGCAAGAAGCACAAATAACACCTGGGAAATTCACCACGAGAAGATCATTGCCTAGGCACATTGTCATCAGGTTATCTAAAGTTAATTTGAAGGAAAGACTCCTAAGAGCTGTGAGACAAAAGCACCAGGTAACCTAAAAAGGAAAGCCTATCAGATTAACAGCAGATTTCTCAGCAAAAACCCTACAAGCTAGAAGGGATTGGTGCCCTATTTTTAGCCTCCTCAAACAAAACAATTATCAGCAAAGAATTCTGTATCCAGTAAAACTAAGCATCATATATAAAGGAAAGATAGTCTTTTTCAGATAAACAAATACTGAGAGAATTAGCCGCTAGCAAGCCACCACTGCAAGAACTGCTAAAAGGAGCTCTAAATCTTGAAACAAATCCTGGAAATATATCAAAACAAAACCTCTTTAAAGCATAAATCACACAGGACCTATAAAACAAAAATACAAGTTAAAAAGCAAAAACAAAAAAAAAACACCAAGGTACACAGGCAACAAATAGCACAGTGAATGCAATGGTACCTCACATCTCAACACTAATATTGAATGTAAATGGCCTAAATGTTCCACTTAAAACATACAGAACCACAGAATGGATAAGAACTCGCTAACCAACTACCTGCTGCCTTCAGGAGACTCACCTAGCACACAAGGACTCACGTAAACTTAAAGGAGTAGAAAAAGGCATTTCATGCAAATGGACACCAAAAGTAAGCAGGGGGGTAGCTGTTCTTATATCAGATAAAACAAACTTTAAAGCAACAGCAGATAAAAAAGGGGGATATTATATAATGGTAAAAGGCCTTGTCCAATAGGAAAATATCATAACCATAAACATATTGTTAGGTTCCACTTAACACTGGAGCTCTCCCAAATTTATAAAACAATTACTAATAGACCTAAGAAATGAGATAGACAGCCATACAATAATAGTGGGGGACTTCAATACTCCACTGACAGCACTAGACAAGTCATCAAGACAAAGCCAACAAAGAGACAGTGGATTTAAACTATACCTTAGAACAAATGGACTTAAATATATACAGAATATTTCGTCCAACAACTGCAGAACACACATTCTATTCAATAGTGCGTGAAAATCAAAATGATATCAAACACTCTCTCAGACCACAGTGGAATAAAACTGGAAATCAACTCCAAAAGGAACCTTCAAAACTATGTAAATACATGGAAATTAACCTGTTCTTGAATAATCATTGAGTCAAAAATGAAATCAAGATGGAAATTAAAAAATTCTTCCAACTGAATGACAATGACAACCTATCAAAACCTCTGGGATACAGCAAAGGCAAAAGGAAAGTTCATAGCCCTAAATGCCTACATCAAAAGACAAAGAGCACAAACTGACAATCTTAAGGTCACACCTCAAGGAACTAGAGAAACGAGAACAAACTAAACCCAAACCCAACAGAAGAAGGGAAATAACCAAGATCAGAGCAGAACTAAATGTAATTGAAACAAAAAAGTACAAAAGATAAGCAAAAAACTCATCCTTTAAAAGATAAATAAAATTGATAAACCATTAGAAATATTAACTGAGAAGAGAGAAAACCCAAATATCTCCCATTTTGTTTCTTAATGAGGTTATTACAGCTGACACCACTGAAATACAAAAGATCATTCAAGGCTACTATGAACACCTTTATGCACATAAACTAGAAAACCTAAAAGAGATGGATAAATTCCTGGAAAATACAATCATCCTAGCTTAAATCAGGAAGAATTAGATACCCTGAACAGACTAATAAGTAGCAGCAAGATCAAAATGGTAATTTTAAAATTACAAACAAAAAAAATCCAGGACCAGATGCATTCACAACAGAGTACTACCAGACATTCAAAGAATTGGTACCAATCCTTTTGACACTATTTCACATGATAAAGAGGGGATCCTCTCTAATTCTATGAAGCCAGCATCACCCTAATATCAAAACCAGGAAAGGATATAACCAAAAAAAAAAAAAAAAAAACTACAGACCAATATCCCCGATGAACATAGATGCTAAAATCCTTAACAAAATACTAGCTAACCAAATCTAACAACATATCAAAAGGGTAATCCACCATGATCAAGTGGGTTTCATGCCAGGAATGCAGAGACGGTTTAACATACACAAGTCAATAAATGTGATACACCACATAAACAGAATTGAAAACAAAAATCACATGATTATCTCAATAGATGCAGAAAAAGCAATCAACAAAATCCAACATCCTTTTATGATTTAAATCTCTCAGCAAAATCAGCATACAGCAGACATACCTCAATGTAAAAAAAGCCATCTATGACAAACCCACAGGCAACATGGGAAAAGTTGAAAGAATTTCCTCTGAGAACAGGAAAAAGACAAGGATGACCACTCACACCACTCCTCTTCAACACAGTACTGGAAGCCCTAGGCAGAGCAATCAGACAAGAGGAAGAAATAAAGGGCATCCAAATCGGTAAAGAAGTCAAACTGTCACTGTTTGCTGATGATATGATCATTTACCTCAAAAAACCCTATGGACTCCTCCAGAAAGCTCCTAGAACTGATAAAAGAATTCAGGAAAGTTTCTGGATACAAGATTAATGTACACAAATCAGTAGGTCTTCTGTATACCAATAGTGACCAAGTGGAGAATCAAATCAAGAACTCAATCCTTTTCACAATAGCTGGAAAAAAAAAAGTACTTGGGACTATACCTAAGGAGTTGAAAGACCTCTATGAGGAAAACTACAAAACAGTGCTGAAAGAAATCATAGATGACACAAACAAATGGAAACACATCCCATGCTCATGAATGGGTAGAATCAATATTGTTAAAAGAACCATACTGTCAAAAGCAATCTACAAATTCAATGCAATCCCCATCAAAATATCACCATCATTCTTCACAGAATTAGAAAAAACAATTATATCTAAAATTCATATGGAACCAACAAAGAGCCCACATAGCCAAAACAAGACTAAGCAAAAAGAAGAAATCTGGAGGCATCATATTACCTGATTTCAAACTATACTATTAAGCCATAGTCACTAAAACAGCATGGTACTGGTATAAAAATAGACACATAGACTAATGGAACAGAATAGTGAACCCAGAAATAAACCCAAATACTTACAGCCAACTGATCTTCAACAAAGCAAACAAACAACAACAACAAAAAAAAAAAAAACGGGAAAAGAAACTGTTTTCAACAAATGGTGCTGGGATAATTGGCTAGCCACAAGTAGGAGAAAGAAAGTGGATCCTCATCTCTTGACTTATACAAAAATCAACTCGAGATGAATTAAGGACTTAAATCTAAGACCTGAAACTATAAAATTCTAGAAGATGACACTGGAAAAACCCTTCTAGACATTGGCTTAGGAAACGATTTCATGACCAAGAACCCCAAAGCAAATGCAATAAAAACAAAGATAAATAGCTGGGATTTAAACTAAAGAGTGTTTGCGTGGCAAAAGGAACAGTCAGCAGAGTAAACAGACAACCCACAGAGTGAGAGAATATCTTCACAATCCGTGCAGCCTGACAAAGGACTAATATCCAGAATCTACAACAAACTCAAATCAGCAAGAAAAAAAACAATCCCATCAAAAAGTGGGCTAAGGACATGAATAGACAATTCTCAAAGAAGATACACAAATGGCCAACAAACATATGAAAAAATCTTAAATGTCACTAATGATCAGGGAAATGCAAGTCAAAACCACGACGTGATACCACCTTACTCCTGTAAGAATAGCCATAATCAAAAAATCAAAAAACAGTAGATGTTGGCATGGATGCGGTAATCAGGGAACGCTTTTACACTGGTGGTCAGAATGTAAACTAGTACAGCCACTATGGAAAACAGCATGGAGCTTCCTTAAATAACTAAAAGTAGAACTACCATTTGATCCAGCAATCCCACTCCTGGGTATCTACCAGAGGAAAAGAAGTCATTTTACGAAAAAGATGCTTGCACACACATGTTTATAGCAGCACATTTTGCGAGTGCAAAATCGTGGAACCAACCCAAATGTCCATCAATCAATGAGTGGACAAAGAAACTGTGTGTGTATATATATAATAGAATACTACTCAGCCATAAAATGGAATAAATTAACAGCATTTGCAGCCACCTGGATGAAATTGGAGACTATTATTCTAAGTGAAGTAACTCAGGAGTGGAAAACCAAACATTTAATGTTCTCACTGATATGTGGGAGCTAAGCTGCGAGCACACAGAGGTGTAAGAATGATACGATGGACTTTGGGGACTTGGGGGGAAGGGTGGGAGGGGTCGAGGGATAAAAGGCTCCAAATAGAGTGCTGTGTATACTGCTTGGGTGATGGGTGAACCAAAATCTCTCAAATCACCACTAAAGAACTTACGTAATCAAATACCACCTGTACCCCAATAACCTATGAAAAATTAAAAAAAAAAGACATTCAGGTGGCCAAGAAACATATGAAAACATGCTAAGCATCACTAATCATCAGAGAAATGCAAATCAAAACCGTGATGAGATACCATCTTGCACCAGTCAGAATGGCTATTATTAAAAAGTAAAAAACAATAACAGATGCTGGCGAGGCTGTGGAGCAAAGAGAAAGTTTATACATTGTTGGTGGGAATTTAAATTAGTCCAGTCATTGTGGAAAACGTTCTAGAGATTCTGAAAGAGCTAATACAGAGCTACCATTTGACCCAGCTATCCCATTCCTAGGTATGTACCCAAAAGGAACTAAATCATTCTACCAAAAAGACACATGTACTCATATGTTCATTGTTTCACTATTCACAATAGCAAAGACATGGAGTCAACCCAGGTGCCCATCAATGGTAGATTGGATAAAAAAAATATGGTATATATGTACCATGGCATACTACACAGTTATAAAAAAGAATAACATGTCCTTTGCAGGGATATGGTTGGAGCTGGAGGCCATACTCCTAAGCAAATTAATACAAAGACAGAAAACCAAATACCATATGTACTCACTTATAAGTGGGAGCTAATCATTGAGCACGTATGGACGTAAATATGGAAACAATATATACTGTGGACTACCAGAGGGTGGAGGGAGGGGTGTTGGCGTAAAAAACTACCTATGAGGTACTATGTTTGCTACCAGGGTGATTGGATCCGTATTCCAAACCTCAGCATCACACAGTACTCCTGTGTAACAAATATGCACATATACTCTCTGTATCTAAAATAAAAGTGGAAATTTAAAAAAATTTGCAAAGACTTGGCAGTTTAAATAATGGTAATATTCAACTTATTTAAAAAATGTTTTCAATATTAAAAGAAAAGCACACCCAAATGTTAAACTTCTATCAAGAAAATAAAGAGGTGTAATACAGTGTGAGAAGGTTACAGTGACATATGCATATGGCTAGCCACCCCTCCTCAATCTCCAGAAAATCTAAGTCCTAGATCATAATGATAGTTGAGCTGGATCAAACAGCCACTCCACCCCTAACAGACCATTGCTATGTTTTTCCAATGGTTGCTGGTACTCTCTGGTTAGGTCTCCATTTCTAAAAGTAAAACAGATGCTCATTTTCCTTAAAATGAAGGTCAAAATTGAAATTTAGGAATTTAGCTAACATTTTTGGCTACGGAGAAAGTAGGCCATTTGTTTATTTGGAATAAAGGGTAGAGTAAATATGCTTGGTTTTCTGGCGAAAGCCCACCCTAAATTATCATTGCATAGGTTGGTTGAGTAGCCAATATTCGAACAGCTGTCCAAAACCGGTTGTCTGAAAACTAGCTAAAAAGCTGCTGCTGTTTGGTAACTGTCGTAAAGTGATAACTACAAAGCATACATCAACAACTCTGTCACTCCCTTTCCTTTTACAAAGTGTATTATGTGTACAGCGCAAAATTTTATACCCTTGGTCCAGTGCTATTATGAGTTTTTGTTTGCAACAAAGCACTGAAATGTCAGGCTTAATGAGAAAGGAAAGCATCATGCAGAGTGTGAGCACTTTCACTCCTTTGGAAAAGCATCTTCCTAACCAGGCTAATCAAGTTTTGTAGTGACACCAGAAAATGCTCCACCTGTTACACTGTAGGATAATGGAAGAATCTGAAATGCATTCTTATCTTCCTCTCTCCTAGGGCACTGAATGAGCTGTAAAAGGTCAGAAGAAGCCATCCTGAAGAAACAGCTAAATAAGTCATTAAATTTCTTTATATATCATGAAATTAAACACAATAGTCACAATACACTGTATTTAATCATTCCTTTCTTTCAGAGCTATTAGCTGCTTTCTCCTCCATCAGCTCTCTGAATGATGTGCATTTTATTGAGGCAGAACAGTGTGGTGCTTGAAGCCATGGTTATGAGAGAAGTAATAAGACAGAACTTTGGCATTTGTTGCTTCAACAATGTTTTCTAAAACCTATCATAGTTTGTTATTTTACCAAGTCACAAATTTGAATTGTATTCAGAGGGTGTTAGATATGGGAAAAGAGTCACCTTGTTTTTGAGTAAGCTTTGACTACTTTTAATGTTTGCAATTCAAGCAAATTTCATTGTCCCTTACTCAAATTGAGTAGTACTTTTGAAATGTTACTGTATTATTTGATATTTTGGGAAAGCATAAAGTTTTTCAAATTAATTCCTTAAGAATATCAAAGGCAACTGGTAAGAGTCCAGTTTGCCTGAGGTTTCCCGAGACCAGTAGAACCTTCCAGTTTGGGCACCTGATACCTTAATATTCTGGGGAGAAAGTAGGACTTCATGATTTGCTTAGAACAGTTTCTCCAATGAGAGAACTACACGTAAGCTTACCAAGGACAAGGCCGTTTTCTTGATTGAAGATCTATAAAGAGTAAGCTTTCATAACTCTCTGGATACCCTATTATTAAGTGTTGTTAACCAGAGAGAAGAAAGTAGCCAGAGAGTTGTTGATGGTTACAGCTTTAAGTTTATAGAAAATGTAAAATTTCACGTACCTCAAGTTCTGCTTAGACAAACACATTTTTTGGCAGCAACACAGCCCTCAAAAATCATGGTATATTGCTTTCTACAGATATTCAAAGGAAATAATTTTCCTCTTAAACATTTCAAAACATATTTTTCCAGCTAATTTTTGGTGGTTTCCTAGGAGGTATCAACAAGTGGCAATTGGCAGAAATTACACTGTAGTTGTTAAAGAAGTAATGTTTTCAGCAGATCTTTGAAAAGCAATGTTAAGCAGCAGACCAGTTTGGGAATCCTGTCATTGCACTGTTTGGTGATGATCCAATAAAATACTGACATCCTAGATAGATACCTACAGTCTGTTCTATACTTTATTTTTCATTTTAGATTTGTGGAAGCTAAATATAGAAATGAACAACAACAGAAAGAGAAAAAAGTTAAAATGATGCTTAGCAATGGCAAGAAGATTTTGAATATATTTGATAATGACAGATCACAAGTGAAGAAAATAGGACTCTCTATCTTGGCCAACAGTTGTTAATGGTAAAATCACAATATTGTTCCTAAAAGGGCAGACTGCTAAAAAATAACCTTAGAAATTTAATATCAAGTCTTCAAGTTCATTGGCTAAGAACTTAATTTTATGAGACTATTGATATTGCAATACTTGTCTCATATATTTTTTTCTCCACCAAACCTTGATAATGGTGTCTCCCTGGGACAAGAAAAATGTCTGTATTTAAATCAGAAAATTTAAGACAACCACAAGGGCCCTGTGTAGCAATGCAAGCTAATTAGAATTGTGAATATCACTTAATGGTAACAGGTGATGCGTCTTAAATGGTTTCCCAACTCAGCCATTATTTAAAAATAGTTTCAAAGGAACATGATGAGTGATGTTACCTTTCCAGAAAGCACATGATATATTTGTTTGCTTATCTCAGGGGATTCCGTGCTCCTAATCTGTGCCTGGCACTGCAAGATGCATACTTTTTGGAGCTCACGGGACACAGAGAGCAAAGGACAAGGTTTGTACTGTTATTTCCCTTTAATGGCCCTTTGGGAGGTATATTATCCCTGTCCTTGTGGATTGTCTTTCCT
Organism: Homo sapiens; assembly: GCF_000001405.40. Classification (NCBI taxonomy): domain Eukaryota; kingdom Metazoa; phylum Chordata; class Mammalia; order Primates; family Hominidae; genus Homo; species Homo sapiens. Next base: position 121,819,872 of record NC_000005.10, on the reverse strand, counting down.
CAGTGACAAGTCGGTTATGGTCAGTACACATAGCATAGGCCAAGAGCAGACACATAAATCAAATTGACATAAGTCTAATTCAAATCATAAATCAGTTTGATAAAAGCTGAATTTAAAATGTGTGAGCAGGCCAAGTTTTACTGTGATCCTTTGAAGCCGCTTAAATAGAAAGGTTTGAAATGGTGCATCATTTTGGGAAGATTTTTAGGAAAGGTTGAGAGGTATGCCACAACCTCACATAGGTCTCTGGAAAACTTAATCTTGATTAAAATAATTCCTTTATAGTTTTTTTCTTTTTAAAATTGCTTATGGCAGCAGTTACGATGACTTTTTTTTACATTGCCCTCAGGTGTGTACTCAGTATATTAGATATTATTAATAAATTCTCTTGTTCACATTATTTAAACAATTTTTATTGCTCTTATACTGCATTCTTATTTCATAGTTGTACTCTCATTTTTTCATGTCATATTTTTACCCTTATATATAATTTTGTCCAGGCAGAGGATATAATCTTTCAAATATAAGACTTTACTATCTCAAATCTTCCTGTACTCCCTAATAAATCACTTGGTGCCACCAGAATCTCTCCAATGACTAAAGGCATGTTCTTCTACTAAGGGATATAATTTCAGACTGTTACTAAAAGATACTCCTGAGAATGGTGTCCTCCTATAAATGATTAAATGCTATGTTAACATTGATTTCTTTTTTTAAAGCTTTTCAGGTTGTTTCTTAGAAGCCCATGATGTATCTGGCTTAGTAAAATTTTGTTCCTGTGGTATATGCTAACTTTTTATTTCGAGGATTACTAACACATGGCTGAATTCGATAATCCAGCTTCACTCTTTAATACTCAAATGGAGAAATTCAGTTTTTCTCACTTATATATCTTAATGTGCATATAAAGCACAGAAGCAACAATCTGTGGAAAATATTGTCATCTTTTTCAAAAACAGCAGAATATATGAGGATAGAGAAAAAGTGAGTTCTTCAAAGAAAAGTATTTATATACATTTCAAGAAACAGAGGTGTTCACATCCTGGGTGCTGTGTGTTGACTTCACTGGTAAACAGACCTCTTTCCAGGGGCTGCCAATGCCCTATCTGGGTGCAGGTGGTCATGCCAATCCCTATTTGTCCCTTCTTTTTTCTTTTTAAGGTAAAGATGTATTAGTGAGGAAGTATGTAATAACACAGAATTGTAAATGTTAGGAGACACAGAACCATGGTGGTTGTGAAAATTTGGACGAACAAGTTATCTCCTCTTAGGTCCAGGTTTCTCACATAAGATGGCAGTTGAAACACTGAGTGCTGAAATGTGAATCTATGAATTAAGTGCTAGAACTATAAAACACTAGCTATCACTGCATCTCTTTCCTTGTTCCACGGTCAATCTTCACCAGAATGATATTTTTACCACCATATCTATTTCTTTACCTCACTCACAGCTCAATGACACATTCGGTCAGACACTACAGCAGACAGTGTCACACCCACATCCCCTCAGCCCACCTGAAGTTCACCTGCAGGAAGAATGCCAATGGCTACCTGTGTCTCTGCTTGAAACATTATCTGCTTCTAGGATTACGCTCTACCCACAAATGTGCCAGACCAGCAGTACTGAAGAGTTAACAACTCTGGAGCAATCTCTTTAATGAAGAATGGGAGTTGGTGGAAATACCCCAGTTTCTTTATCCCATGCAAGATGACTCCAAGGGAGTATTCAATGCTATTTCTACTTATTCCAGTAGGAATAAGTTCTACTTGCCCACAGAGCAACAGAACATTTCTTAGCTGTTTTCCTTTCCCTCCCTTAGATCCCTATTAGCCTCATTGCACTTCCTACAATCATTTCCAAAATGAACCTCTTGCACCCAAATCCTTGTATCGAGCTCTATGTTTGAAGAAAATGTTTGTTTTGCATGTTGTGTGCTCCTCTCTGCTTCTGGGACAGCACCACTGATTTGTATTTTTAAGCCATCACGGTCTCTCGTCTCAATCAGCACCCACTTTCTTTTCCCCTCAGTTTGTTTTCGGTATGTGTTACTTTTGCAGGCAGTGACTGTTCAAGAGAAAATACTGTGATCCATGCTCCTCCTTTTGTTTGGGAGTGAGAGAGAGAGAGAGAGACAGACAGACAGACACAGACAGACAGAAATACTATGGTTACCTGATCTCTGAACCAGCGTTGGAGGTCACATAGCATCAGTTCCTTCTCATTCTAATTGCTAGAAGTTTTCCTTAAAAGTGATTTGTTAAAATCAATTCTTATTCAAGAAGAAGAGAATTAGACTCTGCCTTTTGATGGGAGGACTATCAAAAAATTGGGAGACATTTTAAAACAACTGTACTTGGCATTCTGATTAAATGTGTGGAAAGAGTGAGGCAGCTAGCTTTTCTACTGCCTTTTGGATATCTTTTTTTACTATCTTTTAGAAAACTTGTCAAAAAAAGATCTGTGCCTTTGAATATATTCTTCTTCCTTATTATTTCCTTGTCAAAGGTATGACCCTACAGGGTGTCTTTTTCCTCACCAAGTGCCCCATTCTGCACATAGTTGCTGCTCTTTGTGACTAGTCCTCATCCTACTTCTCACATATAGCAGCATATAGTAGGGTGTCTTCCTCCACCTCAGTCTTCTTTTTTTTTATTGTTGCCTCTGCATAATGTTCTTATTGTGATTATTCCTTGCTCATGTTTTGCTCTTGACCTGAAGTATCTTCATCATTTCTGTCTGTCCAGATTACATCCAGAATTCAAGTTTGGCCCACAATTTTGGATTCTCGGAGAAGAGGGAGTTTATATCCATCTTTGTATGACAATGTCTAGCAAATTGGGCCCCAAAAGATATATGTATACTGAATTGATAAAGTCCAGCTCACAAGGAAGCTTGGCTTTTAAATCTCTTAATTCCTGCAACATATGCCCCATATTCTTCATTGTTCCATCCATACTTATGGTTGTTTGAACCATAAGTAACAACATATTGTCATATGGAGAGGAGTCTTAGAGCTCAGATGAACCTGAATTTGATGTTCTGAAGTATCATTTCTAGATGTGTGATCTTGGGAAAGTCATTAAATATCTTGGACTTTGTCATTTAGGCATAACAATATCTACCATGGAGTGTGATTGAGAAAGTTTAAGATATAACATATGCGTTACCTGGTATTTTGTTGGGTAGAATTAGAGACTTAATATTCAAACATGTTGAGTTAGGCATTTTTCATTCTGCCTGCTAGAAAAAGCTCTTAAAACTGCGGGAATGATCTACTAGTGATGCATCAGATCATTTTAGTGGGTTTGACTCCCATTTAAACATAAAAAATATTGAGTAGAATAAAAAATTACCAAATTTCATTGGACATAGATAAGGCTCATCAATGTTTATTTTAGATGTATGTAATCTGAGGTTACATGTATTGTTTCCTGTTTGAAACAATAATGTGGTTTGCACAATACTGTGGTAGTAGAAGTTCTCTGTTTTGCAAAGACAAAACCTCATTAATGGCCATAGAACCTTGAGAGATAGAGGTAGTAGCCACATTCCTTGGTTTGCTTTTGCCTGAGGCTCAGAAGCCCAAAAAAAGAGCTTGAAATCTGTCTGACTTTGGTTTTCTGATGAATACAGTTATGTATGTTGAACTGGAGCAATAGAAATGAAAAACTAGATTTTAGGGATTGAGCTATTGTCAACCAGGCTCCTGAGAGAAATGAAAAATCTGACTTGAGTGAATAAAATTCAGTACTAGTTTTGCCTGTCAAGAGAGGTGGCAATACATCCAATATATAGTATAAACTGCTGAGGCTGAACATTTCCTGATATGTTCTCTAGTATCACCTCTATACTGTGTGCGTGCGTGTGTGTGTGTGTGTGTGTGTGTGTTTGCATGTGTGTACCTGTATGTGTAAGGGATTGGGGTAGGGAGGAAAGACTGTTATTAGTCTCCAAGTCACTCTGCTGAGGACTTCTTTCACCTTACTCTAGTGGAACTGTAAAAATAATAGGCAAGGGACCAAGCAAATAAACTGTGGGGAACTTCTTAAGAAAACTGTTTACTAGATGAGGAAAATGTTCATTTATTGGCCAGAGAATGAGTGAGTAACATCTAGAGGTAGGTAGAGAGAGCTCTGTGGGAGGTAGCAGAGTACTGGAGGAGCATTGGAGGTTGGTAATATGACATAGGCACCGCCTGTGGGCAGAGTGGAGGTCAGTGATCTGAAGATAATTGATAGGTACGTGGCCAGCTGCCTGGGTGGTGCATCAGCAATATGGTGGACATAACGAATTAATTAGGGAGAACAGAACCCCAGCAGACAGTAGGGCAGAGGGTCTGCAAAGATTATGGGAGAAGTTTGGTAGCTATTCTCCCTTGTCTTTACTACTCTCAAAGAGACCCACATGCGTGCATATCTGAGGTTCATGTACTAACAGGTGAAAACTATTGACTATAAGGGCAGAAACCCATATGATAATATATGGGTCCTAGGAGCCACCAGCTGGGCCAGGGAGACACTCCCACTTGGAGAGGTAAAACATTTGTCACATGTTTGCTTAACAAATGATAGTTACTTTTATCGGGAGAAATTTTAATATTAAATATATATAGACCACGAAGCTTCCTCACTTCTAGTTTTTCAAAGAAACCTGTTTTTAGTATTTGAGTTCCTGACTTCATCCAACTTCTGTTAGCCTTTACTTATTTAAACTTTCTGAGCAGCTGTTTTCTACCCATTTATTGTGCAAATTAATCATAAAATGTGTACAAAATCACTTCGTAAATTGTTTAGGATGTGTGAACATGAGTCAGGAAAAAATTATTTTCACTGGCAAACTTGGTGGCAATTATAATTAGTTCCATAGATTTGATTTTTGTTTTTATGATAAACCATTGATATCTTATATAGATTAACTACCTCCCCCTTGACCCTGTGAACTTATTTGATTGAATGTTTCTTTGAACAGACTACAGACAAAATCTTCTTTTCTTTTTCTTTACTATCTTTGTAAATTTTCCTCATCATATATCCTCCATCTCACCATCATAAGCTCTTTGATATTCTTGCTTTGGGCAGAGTGAGAAGAGAAAGTAAAGGGGAAAAATAAAGGCGATAATAATTTTATCCTTAAAATACAACAAAACAAGAAATTTGAAGCAAATGTAAACAACTGCAACACTATCTGCTGATGTAAATCTTTTAAGTTTGATTGATATTGACCATATAGCCTTTACTGTCTATCATAAAAGTGGGACTTATTACTTACCATCCTTCTACTGGGTTTTCTTAGCTGTTTTGTCCTCCCATTTCTAGATACAAATCTAGTTTTCTAGAGTTTCTTACACACTGTTGGATTTAAATAAATTTCTTAGAGGTTAATTCCTATTAACAGTTTTATTATTGTATTCCCTAGAGCATTATCCCTCACTGAATCATTTCATTGTCACTTAAGTCCTCTTATGACATAAACGCTGAAACCTCTGGTAGTGTAGTTGACAATTATATCTTCTTTGCTTTTCTACTAACTCCTCTGGTTGGTATATTAACACAACCATCTAAGGTGTAGGTATTTATACTCTGAAAGTAAAGTTAGTATAATTTATTGCGAGGTTTAGCAACAAATGTTTACAGAGTGTCCACTATGTCTGAGACACTGTGTAAGGCCTGTACCAACATAATTTTATCTTATTGGAGATCTGTTTTTGTGATTCACTTATAAAGACCAACTATAGAACTGTTTCTTGGAGCTCAGTGTTATAAATCTATTTGTTAAAATGAATTTTTTTTGTCTGCTCTCTAGGGCTTTTAGATGTGTACTTTCGTTGTGAAGTAGATAGATTATGTCTCTGCTACATTGTGACCCTTGTGAGAACAGGGACTGTGTTAATCTAAATTCTAATCCTGAAAGTGGTTAATACTATGGTTAATTGTAAATCACTTGTAATATGGTTGTAGGGAATAACTATAAGAATAGAAGGTAAAGGGGAAAAATAAAGGAGATAACGATTTATCCTTAAAATACAAAACAAGAAATTTGAAGCAAAAATAAATAACTGCAACACTATCTGCTAATGTAAATCTCTTAAGTTTGATTTATATTGATCCTGTAGCCTTCATTGTCTATCACAAAAGTGGCATTAATCACTTATCATCCTTCTACTGAGATAATATAGATGTTCAATCACTGTTGAAAATAGTAGTATAGAGTCTCTATGGACCACTAGACTTAACTTTTCCTCTTGATAGTTCTGAGAAATCCTGGTAGCCCAGATGGGTGTGTTTCCTCCCAGCAAAGCACACCCCCTCCACTAAGGTACAAAGTGCTTTGTTAAATGGGCCTTGTTCCCTGTGCCACCCAACTGGGTGAGACCCTCCAGCAGGGGTTGTTGGACACCCTATACAAGAATAATCCTGTTGGCATCAGGTTGGGGCCCCTCAAGTTCAGGGATCCCAGAAGAAGAAGCAGACATCCATCCTTGCTGTTCTTCGGCCTCCTTGAGTGACATCTCCAGGTGTAAAAGCGAATCAGATGAATAGGGCCTGAAGTGAACCCCCAGCAAACAACAGCAGCCCTACAGAAGAGGGACCTGACCATTGGGGGGAAAACAAACAAACCAACAAAAAACAGAAAGCAGCAATGACAGCCTCAACAACAACATAAAAGTCCCCACAAAAACCCCATCCAAGGGTCAGCAGACTCAAAGATTGAAACTAGACAAGCTCATGAAGATGAGAAAGAATCTATTAAATGCTGAAAACCCAAAAGGCCAGAGTGCCTCTTCTCCTCCAAATGATTGCAATGCCCCTTCAGCAAGGGCACACAACTGGATGGAGGATGAGACGGATGAATTGACAGAAGTAGGCTTCAGAAGACAGGTAATAAAAAACTCTGCTGAGCTAAAGGAACATGTTCTAACCCAATGCAAAGAGGCTAAGAACCTTAATAAAAGGTTAAAGGAGCTGCTAACTAGGATCAGAGGAGGACATGTGACCTGATGGAGCTGAAGAACACAGCATGAGAACTTCGTGAAGCATACACAAGTATCAATAGCCACATCAACCAAGCAGAAGAAAGGATATCATAGTTTGAAGACCACTTTGCTGAAATAAGGCATGCAGACAAGATTAGAGAAAAAAGAACAAAAAGAAATGAACAAACCTCCAAGAAATATGGGACTATGTAAAGACTGAACCTACAATTTATTGGAGTACCTGAAGGAGATGGGAAGAATGGAAACAAGCTGGAAAACACACTTCAGGATATTATCCAGGAGTAATTCCCCAACCCAGAAAGACAAACCAACATGCAACTTTAGGAAATACAGAGAACACCACTAAGATACTCCACGAGAAGATCAACCCCAAGACAAATAATTGTCAGATTCTCCAACGTCCAAATGAACAGAAAAATGTTAAGGGCAGCCAGAGAGAAACGTCAGGTTACCTATGGGAAGCCCGTCAGACTAACAGCTGATCTCTCTGCAGAAACCCTGCAAGCCAGAAGAGAGTGGGGGCCAATATTCAATTTTCTTAAAGTAAAGAATTTTCAATCCAAAATTTCATATCCAGTGAAACTAAGCTTCATAAGCGAAGGAGAAATAAAATCCTTTCCAGACAAGCAAATGCTGAGTGATTTTGTCACCACCAGGCCTGCCTTGCAAGAGCTCCTGAAGGAAGCATTAAATATAGAAAGGAAAAACTGGTACCAGTCACTGCAAAAACATACCAAAATATAAAGACCAATGACACTATGAAGAAACTGCATCAACTAGTGTGCAAAATAACCAGATAGTGTCATGATCAAATTCACACATAACAATACTAACCTTAAATGTAAATGGGCTAAGTGCCCCAATTAAAAGACACAGAGAAGCAAATTGGATAAAGAGTCCAGACCCATCGGTGTGCTGTATTAAGGAGAGCCATCTCACATGCAAAGACACACATAGGCTCAAAATAAAGGGATGGAAGAAAATTTACCAAGCAAATGGAAAGCAAAAAAAAAAAAAAAAAAAAAAAAAAAAAAAAAAAGGCAGGGATTGCAATCCTAGTCTCTGACGAAACAGACTTTACACCAAAAAAGATAAAAAAGGACAAAGAGGGCATTATGTAATGGTAAAGGGATCAATTCAACAAGAAGAGCTAACTATCCTAAATATATATGCACCCAATACAGGAGCATCCAGATTCGTAAAAGTTCTTAGAGATCTACAAAGAGACTCCCACACAATAATAATGGGAGACTTTAACACCCCACTGTCAATATTAGATCAATGAGACAGAAAATTAACAAGGATATTCAGGACTTGAACTCAGCTTTGGATCAAGTGGACCTAGGAGACATCTACGGAACTATCCACCCCAAACAATAGAATATACATTCTTCTCAGTGCCACATGGCACTTAATCTAAAATCGAACACATGATTGGCAGTAAAACACTCCTCAGCAAATGCAAAAGAACTGAAATTATAACAGTCTCTCAGACCACAGTGCAATCAAATTAGAACTCAGGATTAAGAAACTCACTCAAAACCACATAATTACATGGAAATCGAACAACCTGCTCCTCAATGACTCCTGGGTAAATAATGAAATTAAGGCAAAAATCAAGAAGTTCTTTGAAACCAATGAGAACAAAGATACAATATACCAGCATCTCTGGGCACAGCTAAAGCAGTGTTAAGAGGGAAATTTATAGAACCAAATGCCCACATCAGAAAGCTAGAAAGATCTCAAATCAATACCCTAACATCACAATGAAAAGAGCTAGAGAAGGAAGAACAAACTAATCCAAAAGCTAGCAGAAGACGAGAAATAAGTAAACTCAGAGCAGAATTGAAGGAGACAGAGACATGAAAAATGCTCCAAAAAATCAATGAATCCAAGAGCTGGGTTTTTGAAAAAATTAACAAAGTAGATAGACCACTAGATTAGTAAAGAAGAAAAGAGAGAAGAATCAAATAGACACAATAAAAAATATTAAACAGGATATTACCACTGACCTGACAGAAATACAAACTAAAATCAGAGAATACTATGAAACCTCCGTGCAAATAAACTAGAAAATCTAGAAGAAATGGATAAATTCCTAGACACACCCTCCCAAGACTAAACCAGGAAGAAGTCGAATCCCTGAATAGACCAATAACAACTTCCAAAATTGAGGCAGCAATTAATAGCCTAGCAACCAAAAAGAAAACCCAGGACTAGATGGATTCACAGTGTTTCACAGCTGCATTCTACCAGAGGTAGAAAGAGGAGCTGGTAACATTCCTTCTGAAACAATTCCAAACAATTGAAAAGGAGGGACTCCTACCTAACTCATCTTTTGAAGCCAGCATCATCCTAATACCAAAACCTGGCAGAGACACAACAAAAAGAAAACTTCAGGCCAATATCCCTGATGAACATTGATGTGAAAATCTTCAATAAAATACTGGCAAACTGAATCCAGCAGCACATCAAAAAACTTATCACGATCAAGTCAGCTTCATCCCTGGCATGCAAGGCTGGTTAAACCTATACAAGTTAATAAACATAATCCATTACATAAACAAAACCAAAGACAAAAACTAAATGATTATCTCAGTAGATGCAGAAAAGGCCTTTGATAAAATTCAACATTCCTTCATGTTAAAAACTCTCAATAAACTAGGTATTGATGGAACATATCTCAAAATAATAAGAGATATTTATGACAAACCCACAGCCAATATCATATTGAATGGGCAGAACATGGAAGAATTCCCATTGAAAACCAGTACAAGACAAGGATGCCCCCTCTCACCACTACTATACAACATCATATTGTAAGTTCTAGCCAGAGCAATCAGGCAAGAGAAGGAAATAAAGAGTATTCAAATAGGAGGAGAGGAAGTCAAATTTTCATTGGTTGTAGACAACATGGTTCTATATTTATAAATCCCATCATCTCAGCCAAAAAACTTCTTAAGCTGATAAGCAACTTCAGTAAAGTCTCAGGATACAAAAATCAATGTGCAAAAATCATAAGCATTCCTTTACACCAACAATAGACAGGTGGAGAGCCAAATCATGAATGAAATCTCATTCAAAATTGCTACAAAGGAATACAGCTAACAAGTGATGTGAAAGGCCTCTTCAAGGAGAACTACAAACCACTGCTCAAGGAAATAAGAGAGGACAAAAACAAATGGAAAAAAACATTCCATTCTCATGGATAGGAAGAATCAATATCATGAAAATGGCCATAATGCCCAAAGTAATTTATAGATTCGACAGTATTCCCATCAAGGTACCATTGACATTCTTCACAGAATTAGAAAAAACTACTTTAAATTTCGTATGGAACCAAAGAAGAGCCCATGTAGCCAAGACAATTCTAAGCAAAAAGAACAAAGCTTGAAAGCATCACGTTACCTGACTTCAAACTATACCACAAGCCTACAGTAACCAAAACAGCATGGTACTGGTACCAAAACAGACATATAGACCAATGGAACAGAACAGAGACCTCAGAAATAACACCATACATCTACAGTCACCCGATCTTCAACAAACCTGAATAAAACAAGCAATGGGGAAAGGATCTCCTATTCAATAAATGGTACTGGGAAAACTGGCTAGCCATATGGAGAAAACTGAAACTGGATCCCTTCCTTAACACCTTATACAAAAATTAACTCAAGATGGATTAAAGACTTAAATGTAAAATCCAAAACCATAAAAACCCTAGAAGAAAACCCAGCAATACCATTTAGGACATAGACATGGACAAAGACTTCATGATGAGGATGCCAATAGCAATTGCAAAAAAAGCCAAAAATTGACAAGTGGTATCTAACTAAACTAAAGAGCTTCTGCACAGCAAAAGAAAAGATCATCAGAGTGAACTGGCAACCTACAGAATGGGAGAATATTTTTGCAGTCTACCCAGCTGACAAAGGTCTAATATCCAGAATCTATAAGAAACTTAAACAAATTTGCAAGAAAAAACCCCATCAAAAAGTGGGCAAAGGATATGAGCAGACACTTCTCAGAAGAAGACATTTATGCGGCCAACAAACATACGAAAAAAAGCTCAGCATTGCTGATCATTAAAGAAATGCAAATCAAAACCACAATGAGATACCATCTCATGCCAGTCGGAATGGCAGTTATTAAAAAGTGAAACAATAGATGCTGGCGAGGCAGTGGAGAAATAGGAATACTTTTACACTTTTGGTAGGAATGTAAATTTGTTCAACCATTGTGGAAGACAGTGTGGCGATTCCTCAAGACTCTAGAACCAGAAATACCATTTGACCCAGCAGTCCCATTACTGGGTATATACCCAAAGGATTATAAGTCATTCTACTATAAAGACACATGCACACATATGTTTATAGTAATACTGTTTACAATAGCAAAGACACCAACTCAAATGCCCATCAATGATAGACTGGATAAAGAAAATGTGGTACCTATACACCATGGAATACTATGCAGCGATAAAAAGGAACGAGATCATTTCCTTTGGAGGGACATGGATGAAGCTGGAAGCCATCATCCTCAGAAAACTAACACAGGAACAGAAAACCAAACACTGCGTGTTCTCACTCATAAGTGGGAGTCGATCGATGAGAACACATGGACACAGGGAAGGGAACAACACACACCAGGCCTGTTAGTGGTGGGGGGCGAGGGGAGGGAACTTAAAGGATGGGTCAATAGGTGCAGCAAGCCTCCATGGCACATGTATACCTATGTAACAAACCTGCATGTTTTGTACATGTATCCCAAAACTTAAAGTATAAAAATAACAAAAATTAAAAAAATAGTATAGTACCTTGGCATAATTTTAAGACTTGATTCTAAATTCCCTTTGTATTTCTCCCATTTCCTCCCTCATCTCTGCTTTTAATTTTCAAGCCTGTCTCTGCTGGAAGTTAAGTTGGGAAAATTAGTTCTTTTTTACATATAAATTTTACATAAAATCTTTATTTTGTTTAAGAGCCTCTTTAGATTAATGTCATGGCTTTGTAAATCTTTATGTATTTGAAATAAAATTCAAAGTAATCTTCAACTTCCAGTTTTTGGATTTTTACTTTGGTGGCTTTATACTTTTTATTATATTTAAAGAAGAAATTCTAGGCTGAACAACAGTACCTACTAGCTTTGCATTTAAAAAACACTGCCTTTAGTAGTCTACAAATTTTAAAATTACTTTTGACATATTTATTTATTCCAAGAAGATTCTTGGACTGCCTACTGTGTAACAATCTCTGGGGTTAGATCCACCAGCACGCCAGTACACCAGTACGCCACATAAATATGAAGTTTATGCGTTTATTTCTATGATAATGCAGCCATTTGAAAGCAGAGCAGGCTCAACATGTGAGGGATGTGATTAAAATATGCCAACAAGACTTCTTGTGTTAAAGTTCATCCATAATATAAAATACCATGGCAACACTGCATTTAAATATTTGAGGAAATAAACTTTTCAGCAAATTTTGTTTCAATTCTGAAAACTGATTAATGGATGGAATGCCCTGGCAGGAAGTTGGCTGACTTTTAAAAAGAGGTAGCTGACTTTTATCTCTTTTTCAGAGCCATTCATGTCAAGTAGCTAATTATTCCTAGCCACTTACTATCTATACATAAACATATAACACTTAAATAACATTTACTATGTGTGTGTAGCACCTCATGAATTTAACATTAAACTTTTCTCAGCATTTCTTATTTATTAATTCCATATAATAATCTATGTGGTGTGTCTCTGGTACTTGTCATATATTTTAATGTTTTACCTTGTATTTGCTTTTTAATAAGTAAATACCTCTTCTAACTAGTAGAAAGCTCTTTGAGGAAAATTTCTAGATCTAACATTTTTTGTAACCTATAAAGTGTCAAGCACAAATGCTTTACATATAATAGGGGTTTAATAAACTATTTTAATGAACTGATTAGTGAAACTCCCAGTTATAAAATGTTAGAAAATACAAATCTCTATCTCTCTTTCTAAAGATAGGTAGAGTGAACAAACTACATTTGTACTTATTTTCTTTCTTGAAATATAAATCTTCAGTACATACTTAGATTAAAGAATATAGTTACGTAAGTTTAAGTGTTATGGAAAACATAGTTTGATTGACAGAAGAAAAATTGGACCTCAAAATTTGAAATGAAATCAGAAAACCAAAAAATCTTAGATTTAAACTCGGGTATCATCTCTTCCAACCCCCTTTATATTACTTATTGAACAGCAGAGGACTAGAACAGTTGAGTTTCATACTCTAGGGCGGCTATGTACCTAAAGATTACTGGAAAAACAACCACCACCAACAGCCAGATCTCTCAACTTTAATCCTTTTTGTGCAGTATAATTAATTCACTTTACTTTTTAAGATAGTACTACACAGGCTAGTGTAGACCATCATGTTTTAAAATGTTTCAACCCTCCTGATGAAAATGTTTTTCTTTAAGCAAATAAAATATCTAAATTCCAACGATGTAGCTTTCCAAACTTCTAACAAGAGGTATAGAAGACATTCATGCCATTGTCTTAATATTATATTTAATGTTTGTTTAGAGATATGTTAGTTTTGTGTATTGGTCTACCTTCGTTGCGTAACAAATTATAGTGGTTTGAAACAAAAAACGTTTTGTCTAGCTAGGCAATTTGTGCTAGGCCATTCCTCTGTTATTACCTGGCAGGCCTTCAGGGCCTGGATAATCTTGGATGGCTTTATTCATATGACTGGTGGTTAACCACCTCTCAAATGGGGTATGTGACTGGACCATATGTTTCTCATTAGCCAGTATGCTGCAATGGATGTATTCACATAGTGGCAGGGGCAAAGTCCCAGGAGCAGCAAGTGTGTAAGCTCTAACGTGCAAGAGCTTTTCAACTCTGTGCTTGTATCATTTGCTAATGTCTTATTTACCTGGCAAATTGTATTGCTAACCTTGATTCAAGAGGTGGAAAAATGGATTCTGCCTTTTAATGGGAGGAGGGATAATTGTAAACATTTTAAGAATCTACAGTCTACTCTCTGATCACAAATAATTCACTTTCCTTCCAGTTTCAAAATGCCCACATTTCCCAAGACTCCCCCATATTCTTTTTTTAATTATATTTTAAGTTCTGGGGTACATGTGCAGAAACTGCAGGTTTGTTACATAGGTATACATGTGCCATGGTGGTTTGCTGCACCCATCAACCCGTCATCTCCATTAGGTATTTCTCTTAATGCTATCCCTCTCCTAGCCCCCCAACCCCTGACAGGCCCTGGTGTGTGATATTCCCCTCCCTGTGTTCATGTGTTCTTATTGTTCAACTCCCACTTATGAGTTAGAACATGCGGTGTTTGGTTTTCTGTTCTTGTGTTACTTTGCTGAGAATGATGGGTTCCTGCTTCATCCATGTCCCTGCAAAGGACATGAACTCATCCTTTTTTACGGCTGCATAGTATTCCATGGTGTATATGTGCCTCATTTTCTTTATCCAGTCTATCATTGATGGTCATTTTGGTCTAAGTCTTTGCTATTGTAAATAGTGCTGCAATAACCATACATGTGCATGTGTCTTTATAGTAGAATGATTTATAATCATTTGGGAATATATCCAGTAATGGAATTGCTGGGTCAAATGATATTTCTGGTTCTAGATCCTTGAGGAATTGCCACACTGTCTTCCACAATGGTTGAACAAATTGACAGTCCCCCAACAGTGTAAAAACATTCCTATTTCTCCACAGCCTGTTGTTTCCTAACTTAGCCTGTGTAGTCAAGACAATCCTAAGCAAAAAGAACAAAGCTGGAGGCATTGTGCTGCCTGATTTCAAACTATACTACAAGGTTACAGTAACCAAAACAGCATAGTACTGGTACCAAAACAGATATGTAGACAGAACAGAGACCTCAGAAATAACACCATACATCTACAATCATCTGATCTTCGACAAACCTGACAAAAACAAGCAATGGGGAAAGGATTCCCTATTTAATAAATGGTGCTGGGAAAACTGGATAGCCATATGCAGAAAACTGAAACTGGACCCCTTCCTTGCACCTTACACAAAAATTATCTCAAGATGGATTAAAGACTTAAATGTAAAATCCAAAACCATAAAAACCCTAGAAGAAAACCTAGACAATACCATTCAGGACATAGGCATGGGCAAAGACTTCATGACTAAAACACCAAAAGCAATTGCAACAAAAGCGAAAGCTGACAAATGAGATCTAATTAAACTAAAGAGCTTCTGCACAGCAAAAGAAAAGATCATCAGAGTGAACTGGCAACCTACAGAGCGGGAGAGAATTTTTCCAATCTACCCATCTGACAAAGGTCTAATATCCAGAATCTACAAGGAACTTAAACAAGTTTACAAGAAAAATCAAACATCCAGCCAGGCGCCGTGGCTCATGCCTGTAATCTCAACACTTTGGGAGCCCGAGGCAGGTGAATCAGGAGGTCAGGAGTTTGAGACCAGCCTGGCCAACATGGTGAAACCCCGTCTCTACTAAAAATACAAAAAATTAGCTGGACATGGTGGTGGCTGCCTGTAATTCCAGCTGCTTGGGGGGCTGAGGTAGGAGAATTGCTTGAACCCGGGAGGTGGAGGTTGCAGTGAGCCAAGATTATGCCACTGCAGTCCAGCCTGGGCAACAGAGCGAGACTCCATTTCAAAAAAACAAATCCCCGTCAAAAAGTGGGCGAAGGATATGAACAGACACTTCTCAAAAGAAGACATTTATTTGGCCAACAAAATATGAAAAACTCATCACTCGTTGTTAGAGAAATGCATATCAAAACCACAATGAGATACCATCTCATACCAGTTAGAATGGTGATTATTAAATAGAACTTTTAAAGCAATTATTAGGCAAATGTTTCTTCTCCAGACAAATAATCCCATTTCTTTTACTATTCCTCATATATCCAAGTTATATTTGCAGTTATTTTAAAGCAAGCTTTGCTTGGATTGGTCCTAGAAAATATTGTTCTTAGAAGTGAATGGTACTGCCTTCGGTGTGGCTCATGACAATTTTAGGGTAAAAGCAAACCAGTGTGTTTTTAATAATTACGTATATATATATCAGAATAGAAACTATAAGAAATAAGATTGAAATGTTTTAGAGCCCTAGATAAGAATTTAACACCTCCTTGTACTAAACCTTTGCTGTTAACCAGTATACTTGTTCCAGTTTTGATTTCCCCTGTTGCTAATAATGTTTAGGATATCACATGAATAGCATCTCTCCCTACTTCTAATCCCTTTGGGGCTTCAAAACACCATTAAAATTCCTTGACTAAGCAAAACATTTAAAAAGCTTCATTCTCTGCCCTGTTTGTCAAATTGCTTTGGAATTCTATTTTCCCAATATTTCCCTTCTTTTTGAGAGTTATAAATTAGCTGGAATATCTGTCCGAGTAGTGTTTTTTTGTTGTTGTTTGTTTGTTGCCAATACCCTTTCCACTTCCTTTCCCACACTTCTGACATCAAATATGTAGACGTTTTCTCCTATACCAACTAATTCTCCAACTTTCTGGACACCAACTGGGTGTCCTGCAATCCACTGAGATCCTGCTACTACTTGGAGTTAATGCAGACCCTACATGTTAAGGGCTCAGTCCATACAACTGCCTCCACTCAGATATTAGTCAAAAGTCCCAGGTTTCCACCCGTACATCTGACTGATTGCCTGTACAAAGGGTTCCCATGTCCTCTGCCTTAGGTTTGATAATTTGCTGGAATGCCTCACAGGACTCCAGAAAATGCTTTACTTGCTATTACTTTTTTTTTTAAATAGATAATAAAACTGACCTAGAACCAAATGGAAGAGTTGAATAGGAAAAGGTGTGTGCGAAGGGGCATGAAGCGTCCATGCTTCTCCAAGGACTCCATTCTTCTAGCACCTCCATGTGTTTACCTATCCAAAATCTTTCTGAATCCCATGTTTTAAAGAGGTTCTATTACATATATATAATTGATTAAATCATTGGCCTTTGGGGATTAATTCAACTTCCAGCCGTTTTCTCCTCTTTAGTGGTTGTGAGGGTGGGACTGAAGGTTCTGACAAAATAATCATGCCTTAGTTGTTCTGGTGATGAGTCCCCCTTCTGAAGCTGGTTAGGGCTCACCAAGAGTCGCCTCAATATGAAAAAGTTTTTATTACCCTTATCACTCAAGAAATTAAAAGGAATTTAGGAGCTCTGTTAAGAACTGGGGTCAATGACCAACTATCTATTTCCCAATGTATCATACTTTCCATAAGGAAAAAACTGCAGAGAGATGTCTCTGCTTGTTCCATATATGTCAATATGTCCAGAATGCCTAGGACTCTATTTTTTCATTCAAACAGTTACAAAAGTAACAACCGAATACCTCTAATTTTTATTACGGCTAAATCCACTGTTGTCCCTTCCCAGTAGCATATTGACAATGGGTTAGAAATTAAAGTCATCATATCTTACGTAGAGTGCATTCCCAAAAGGCTTATTTTTAAAAGAGTGTATTCAAAGCAACAGAGTAGCATATTAAAGTTTTAACACCTTTTCAGATTAATAAACATTAAAATCAATCTTAACAAAGGAAACTTCCAAAAATTGGTTTCTACTTACATGCCAACCACTATGCCAGGTTCTTTATATGCGTCCTCTCTAA
This sequence comes from Homo sapiens, assembly GCF_000001405.40. NCBI lineage: Eukaryota > Metazoa > Chordata > Mammalia > Primates > Hominidae > Homo > Homo sapiens. The sequence continues at coordinate 121,802,232 of NC_000005.10, read as the reverse complement.
TTCTCATAATATTTCAAGGTATGTCTTACCCCATTTTACACATGAAGCTCAAATAGCTTAATTGACTTGCTCGTAACTACACAGTTCAGATGCAAATGTAGCAAGCACTGTCTGTAATACTGCTCCCCATGTCAGAAGCTTTTTCAAATGTTCTCTATACTTATGAAATGAATTATTACAAAATGAAAGGATGTTGGAAAATTTATAGTGGTATTACCTATTTTGAAGTTCCTGAAAAACTTCAGTTTGTCCCCTGCCAGTACCCAAGGGACATTCCCTTTATAGTTCAGCTTCTGGTTCCCTTTAATGAATTATACTATTGATGATGAAAAATGAAATTAAATCTGTGTCTTATATGATATCACACTGAAAACTGTACATCAGTTATTTTGATTTAAAATTCAAGAAAAAAAGGACATTTTCACCACATGTACACTTTTCTATTTGAATGCAAAGTGGCAAAATATAGCCATGAATATATGTATAGTACAGTTTTATTTCTAGAGTTTTTACTTCTTATTTAGGGCAATCAGTACATTTTCAGTGCTTTTTATGCAGAACAATTACACTTTATGTTTTGAGTTTTATAAAAAGCATTACATAACCATTGCAACATGTTTACTTTCTATCCTCTAGGTAAGAAAACTTACTCTTTGTATCCTTTGTTATTCAATAGTGCAAGAATTTTAACAGACATTCTATTGATTGACGATGATAGCTATTTGGATAAGAAGTATAAGCAGACTGTTATTAATCAATGTGGTACATGATATTGACAGTTTCAGGATCTGCAGTCTGACTTGCATATACTCTGCATACAAATGGAGAAAAATCACATAGTCTGACAAATTCTAATGTTTCATAGAAAATTCTTTTGTGAGTTGTCTATTTTGCATAGAACTGATTGGAATTAAATAGCTCTTTCTATTCAACTGAGAAATCGATATTCAGAATTCATCTGGTGTCAGATTTGGCTCCCAGTTTAATCCCATGGTTAATTGAAGCATCTCATATTTATATTTATTGTCCTTTTCAAAATTCTATACAGAAATAATATTCATAAACCTATGATTTTATCAAACAATTAAAAGATGAAATGTATAGAGCTAGAGGCCATTGTCCTAAGCAAACTAATACGGGAACAGAAAAGCAAATACTGTATGCTCTCACTTATAAGTGGGAGCTAAACAATGAGAACACATGGGTGCTAGGGGAACAACAGACATTGAGGCTCTCATGAGGATGGAGGATGAGAGGAGGGAGAGGAGCAGAAGAAATACCTATTGTGTGCTATGCTTATTACCTGGGTAACTACGCTATTTCCCCAGTGACAAAATTATCTGACCAAACCACCATGACATGCATTTGCCTATGTAACAAATCTGCACATGTAACTCTGAACCTAAAATAAAAGATAAAACAAGATAATTTAAGTGGCATAAATTTAACGAAAATGCAGAACTTTTGGCATTAAAGAAGGTTAAAAAACTTTGATTATTCAATTTACTCAACCATACTTTTGGCAGAAATACAACTCTTCAGCTTTCCTGTTCCTCTGTGGAACACATCATCATCTGGCATGACCTCAGAATATCTTCCAAGGTGAGTGTGACAGTGTGTGAAGTAAAAGTGACAAAAACAGGATGATGAAAGATTGCATGGTGGTCCCTAAAATTTACTTCTTCTTTTTGAAAGAGGATTATGAGTCTCATGCATTTCTAAGAAACTTTATATGCCTACTGTGTGGAATAGAAATTCCCCAGCAACATTGGACTTTGGCCAATGACATGTGATCAGAAGTTAGATACACAAGTCCAAGCAGAAATCTTGTTATTTTCTGTCTCCATTGCCCTGAGAATTATGTGTCCCAGACAGGTGCCTCATCTTCATCCTAGATCCTTGAATGAAAGGACACATCAAGCAGAGACCTATAGCTACCAAAATCAGACATCAATGATAAATAAACCTTTGTGTCATAAACTATTGAGATGTATGGGTTGATTATTACCACAACACAAATGATTAATACAAAATGGTTGCTTGTGTTTTTATCTCCAGAAATTGTAAATTGAGTAGGTTTCCTTCATTAATAAGGACAAAAAATATTGTTCCTTTTATTTTATTTTATTATTATTATACTTTAAGTTTTAGGGTACATGTGCACAGCGTTGCAGGTTTGTTACATATGTGTACATGTGCCATGTTGGCGTGCTGCACCCATTAACTCATCATTTAGCATTAGGTATATCTCCTAATGCTATCCCTCCCCCCTCCTCCTACCCCACAACAGTCCCCGGTGTGTGATGTTCCCCTTCCTGTGTCCATGTGTTCTCATTGTTCAATTCCCACCTATGAGTGAGAACATGCGGTGTTTGGTTTTTTGTCTTTGCGATAGTTTGCTGAGAATGATGGTTTCTAGCTTGTTCCTTTTAAGGTTTAGAGTACGAAAGTGGGATTAATCTCATTTTAGAACCACTCCATATTAAAAATTGACTCAAGTTAAAAGTACTGCTTTCAATTTATGAATAGAGATAATGATCTATTATTTAGAACTTTACTGTGATATGAAAAATGAGTAGTTTCTTTTACAGTGATATTTGTTTTTCAGTCCAAATGGCAAAAATTTTCAAGTCTAATACCATTTCAGTCAAATCTAAGAAACTGTCTAATACTTTGTTGAACCAAAATGGAATTTTATTGTACTGAATATTTTAAAAAATAAGTAGAACTTGTAGTTTGTAAATCTTTTCTTATGCTTCATTGTAACATTTGTTTTATGTAAACACAATTTGCATGTAACAATTATCTGGTCTAGTATAACAAGTTTAATTTTGCAAATCCAAATAATAATGGCTCAAAATAGTGTGGAACTGTGAAATATTTTGCTAACATTGTGGCTTTTATTCCCATATCTTTAAAATAGTTGTAAAAATAACTTAGTTACATAGTTAAGAAAACAACCAGAAGCTATATCATAGAGTCAAATATGAAAAGTAAAAAAATTACCTTTATTTATTTCATCCCACAGTCTTACTTTTTAGAGGTAATAACTTAAACATTTTTTTTTTTAGTTAAAGTTGTTACTCCCTCAGCTCCTCCATTGCCCATACTTCTAAATTCAATTCTTGAGTCTTGATTTCTTGATTTATCAACTTGAGAGTTTACCAGTTGACTTTTGATATCAAACACTAGTAATTTAAATCACTCACACCAATTTCTCAGACTTTAACAAGCAAACAAATCACTTGGTGATCTTATTAAAATATTCTTAACAGTTCTCCCCTGAGCTGGTGTTATTGTTTCTAAGATCTCCTATTTCCTTTCTATTAGATTTTATGTTTAAAACATTTATTTGGTTATTCACATAATCTTTACATAATCTGTTTATCCTGTGAATATCTTTATTTTGCTTTCAAACTTGTACATGGATAGTTATTCAAATTGGAATTTCTGTGATGGGTCAAGCGCTGGAGAACTGTATTCTGCTGTCTTGCTGATGTCCTTCCTCCTCATTTATTAATACATTGAGTATAGAATTATAGGTTAAAAATTTTTCCTTTCAAAATTCTGAAGGCATTGCGCCACCTTCTACTTTCCAATTTTTTGATGGGACATTTGATGCAAATTTTATTTTTATACCTTTGAAAGTAAACTTATTTTTTCTAGATGCTTTTAAAAGTTTTAATTTACTCTTGAAATTCTGAATATTATTAAAATGAATCTAGGGTTAAGTTGTTTAAAATTTGTTGTACTATTTTCGTTTAAAGATCCTTTAAAAATCTGAAGACTTGTGTCTGGATTTCAGTTACTGAAATTGCTTCCTTTACTTTCCCCATTTCCTCTTTGCTATATCTGGTGTGTAGTTCAGCATCTGAGTAATCTGTGAGTCCAGTTCTGTTGATTTCTTTGTTTCTTGACAATAAATTGTTCTTTGTGTGTGTGTGTATGTGTCATAATTTTTACGAGGTTATACATAATGTGTAGTACGGAAAAGATGAAGGAAAATAGCATTTATGCCAAGAAATGGGCAGGCATTTTCTGCTAGGCTCTTAGTTTAAAGCGTTGCTTCCATTTTATCAGGAGTTGAGACAGGTTTGGAATTTTTTGGTTGCCATGGTTACCCTCAGTGCACCTCCAGCTTCAAACCGCTCTGGTGTTTCTTTGTGTTTAAGCTAGGGGCTGGCCTGATGGAGAATATTTCTCAATGTTTCCTTGTGCCTCAGCTTTCTTTCCTGGGTCATAATGTGAATGTCTCTCCAAGCTTTCCACTCTCCTCCAGTGGCCGACTGCTGGGTGTTTTCTTGTCTGAAGGTGTGGGGCAAGAGGTGTTCTCTCTTGTCTGGGTCTTGTCTTGGTCTTAAGTAGGCTTTGGGCTTCTAGGTCTCGGGGTGGAGCTGTCTCAGTGATCCTGCTCCTTGTCTCCATGGCAGCTAATCTCGGCCTTCTATAGTTTGCAGATTTTGTTCTGGTACAGTTTTTCTGCTCCCCTCGCCAGAGTAGAATGCTTTTACTGGGATAGGAATCTGAGCCCAGGAATAATTTTTTGCCCCTCTCCCAGGGGTAGGATTTTCTCTTTTACCCTCCTTCAGCCACAGTGAATCTTTGCCTGTGCCCTGGGTGAGGACAGAACTTCCTTTTGTGCCTAAGCTGTTTAAGGATTTTGTTCCGTAAAGAAGTGTCTAGTTAGGGCTTCAGGCTTTTCTCACAGTGGTTGTCACTTCAGTCCTGTAGGCCTGAACCACTATGGAAGAATGTCTTCAATCTTTCACTTTACCTCCAGTCTTTCTTATGAACACGTGATGGACATCATTGGAAAGAAAGAAACCTCGAAGCAGGAGCAAAATCCCCTTGGGTACAATTTGGGTAAAATTTCTTTTATGTAAACATAATTTGCATGTAACAATTATCTGGTCTAGTATAACAAATTTAACTTTGCAAATCCAAAGAGTTAATGATGGCTTGAAACAACATGGAACTTTAAAATACTTTGCTAACGTTGTGGCTTTTATTTCTATATCTTTATAATAGTTGTAAAAATAACATAGATACATAGTTAACATAACAACCAGATGCTATACCATAGAGTCAAATATGAAAAGTAAAAAATTACCTTTATTTATTTCATCCCATAGTCTTACTTTTTAGCAGTAATAATTTAAACATTTTTTAAGGGCTTTAGCAATCGTGATGGTTAATTTTACCTGTCAACTTTGCTGGGCCATGGTGCCCGGAGGTGTGGTCAAGCATTATTATAGGTGATTCTGGTAGAGTGTTTTGGGATGAGATGAACATTTAAGATGGTGGACTTTGTGTCAAGCTATTGTCCTCAATAATATGAGTCAGTCTCATCCAATCAGCTGAAGGACAGAAGAGAACAAAAACTGGCCATTCTTGAAGGAGGGGTAATTTTGTCAACAGACTGCCTTTGGACTTAAATTGTAACACTGGTTCTTCCCCGGCCTTCAGCCTGCTAGCTCACCCTCCAGATTTTGGATGTGCCAGCCTCCATAACTGCATGAATCAATTCCTTAATATAAATCAATCAATCTCTCTCTCTCTCTCTCTCTGTCACACACAGACACACATACACACATGTATGTATATGTAGATATACATATATGTATATATACATAACATGAACATATACATATACATATATACGTATATACACACATATATAGACACACACACATGCACATCCTGGTGGTTCTGTTTCTCTAGAGAACTTTAATATGGCAATTAAAACTAAATTTACCTGAAATCATATAACCAGCTTGCATGATGCTTGAATTCTTGCATCTTCTGCCTGAGGTAACTCAGTGCTCACATCCCATATCTCTGAGGAGGGACCCATCTTCCCTTGGATTTAGGCTACTTGATTACCTTGCAAACTCAGCTCTGTAATAATTTCAAGAAAAATTGTGATTCTTCAAAATTTTTCCTCAGCATTTTCCTGCTTTTATGATGGAAGCAATATTCTTTCCAGTCTCTACATCCTTGACAGCAAAAGAATTTTCAGTAATAATAATCTTTTATTTCTCTTCATATAATACTGGTGGATGTTTTTCCTTTAATTATCCTTACAATATTGATATTTGACCCAGGGTTTTGTTTTTAAACCTAATGCTTGAAAAATTAATGTTTCTTTTTCATGCTGTTATTAGTGTGTTCAACCACTCCTGTTTATAGACAGAGGCCTATGCTGATTAACATAGATAGAGAGTAGTCACAGTTCAGATGTCTGCACATCCTCAAGCCTCCACCCTCAGTGGAATGCCTGGATATAGACTTTCTGTAACTGTATGGACTTTATCACCTGGAAGCCTACCTTTTTGTTACAAAGGTGGGGGACATCCAGACAGTCCCTGATGCATGGCAGTCATGCATTCTCTACTCTGGTGGGAGAGCACATGAACAATTTTATTCCTAGGAGGAGCTGTTTTCCTTTCTACTGCCTCCCCCACTGTGCTCCTGCAGGTCCTTGCAGAGGCATAGAATCACTGCAGGCTTTAATTTGCCTCTATCCCAATCCCTATCACTCACATCACGACTGGCCACTAGGAGAAACTTTTTCTCTTTATACAGTACTTTTTAGGGCTCTAGCTAGGAGCAGATCTAGGTATTCTATCAATTAATATATGATGGCTTCCCCACGGCCCATGCTTATTTTTTATCCCTGCCAATTCTAGCCTTAAGACCTTTTCAGGTCATTACCAGGCAAAGCAACTCCCCTCTCTGTATTAGCCTTTTCCAGTTAATGCTTTGGGTTGTAATTTCCTCTGGTCTGATTTGTCATTACATTCTCATATGCATGCTATCCTCCAGAAAATTCTTCCTTCATTAATGGCATATTCTCTATTTTCATAGTTGCCACAATTTGTTATTTATAGTATATCTTTACTGTCATTTTACTGTGATTTTAAAAGGTAGTAAAGGAACATGCTTACAGTAAATTTATCATCTTGAACCAGAATAGTCTTGGTGGATTTTTAGATGAAAGAGAGATAATAGTAGTTTTGGTGAAGGTGATTCAGTCCTGCTTAAAACTATATTAATTTCTCCATCTGTTCTTCTATCCATTCATTGGTTATTCATTCAATAAATATTGAGAACCTTCTATATATAAGGCACTATTTGAGGCCTTGTAGTTATAGTGGAGAACAGGATAGATGGAAGCTGGCTTATGTTCAGTTAGGAAAGTCATTAATTATTAGTGATTTAATTACAGTTGTAATAGATTCTATATGAAGAAATAAGTTTGGAATGACAGAATTTCCTATTAAATTTTCAGGATTCCTAATATAATCTGGAGGTGAGAGGAGATTTCTTAAAGTAAAACTCGAGTTCTGTTCTAGAGCGAGGAGACTGTCCATAAATTTCTAAGAAAGAAATTTGGGAAAAAACATTTTATGCCCAGAAAATAGAATCAAGTGAAGTCCCTATTATACTTGGAATTTAGTCAGATCTGCATCCTTCTCTTTCACAAAATTGAGTTCATTATTTCCTTTTTTTCTTTTATGTACAACTGTGCATCCTATAAGTTAATATCAGGGACTCAGACAGGATTCCAGTATCTACTCTGTTACTAATTAAAGTCTATGTTTTGGAAAGGTTACTCAACAATCTTATGCTCTATTAAAATGGTTTAAATAATTATAATTTCTATAAGAATTTTGAAGAGCAAAGTAATAAGAGATAATAAGATAAATCGAAATATTCATATGTTTGACTTAAACACCTTACTTCTGGTATTTAATTCTGCAGAACTAATGCAACAATGATATAAAGCTATGCCAAGTTTTCATTGTAGCATTATACAAAATAGCAAGAAACAATAGCCTAATTTTAATAATATAAAGGATGATTAGGTAAATTATGTTACATCATTTCCTGTTAAAATGAGTAGCTCCAGAAACCATATAGAAGCACGGGAAACTATATTCTAAAAGTAACATAAAGCATCATATACAAATTTACTTGGAACTGGGATTACAGCTATGCAACATATTTTGTATTATGCAAAGGCATAGATGAAATTTGCAGAAGTGAAAATAGTTTTGTTCATGTAGTGGCTTAGTGAGCTATTTTCTTTTTTCTTATAAGATTCTTTCATGTTATAAAAATTTAGAGGAAAGAAATGACAATATAGCTATAAAAAATGTGGCCCTTTTCCTTTGTCTTGGGGCTTAATAAAACAAAACTTGTCAAGCTAGTTTTGAGCTAGACATAGGAATGTTGTGATCTTCATGGATAACATAATTCTCATGCTTCAAATACAGAAGATGCTGCAAAGTGAGATAAGGGAACCAATTATCTCTCTGCATGTGTTAAATTCAATCATCCCTTTGGGCATTCAGCCTATTTGTCTTTAATAGATTTCTATTAAAACAAAAGTGGTCCTGGAAAGGGTAACTCCTTAAGGTGTTATAGAGTAGAGCCTTGGCTGACACTGGTTGGCTGAACCCATATTTCTATGACAAAAGGATATGAGAGAATCTAGGGTGAAAATGGAAAAGGTGAATAAGAAATTGGAGAGTAGAGAGTAGGGACTACACTAAGTCTAGGAGAATGCCCAAGAGATGTTATCCCAATTAACAGTTTTGTCTTAGCATTAGTCTCATATTTTTGTTTGCTTTTAAAAATATGTAGCAATACTTATTTGCCTGTCAATTTATTACATATCAATCATCAGTTTCTTTTTCACAAAGCACCCCTGAGGGGCACAGCAAGGCATTATATTTAAAAAGAAGTCTAAATGGGAAAATTAGAATGGGAGAAAATACCTATTAATAGAAAAATCAAAATCCTATGGAAGAAAACACAATTATATTATCAATGTGAACCAGCAGAAGTGTCACAGTTGGGCTTTAAATTTGACTCTAACTTTTCAGGAAGCCAAAAAAATAAATGAAGACATGGTTTATTAAATATTTCTGATTATAAAACTAACAAAAAGTAAGCATGTGAGTTTGACTAGAATCAAAGCATGTGATGCAATTCAGCAGTAAAATATTTCTTGTGCCTGGAGAGGGGAGCCCATTTTAAATTTTTTTCTCAGACCACTATTGTCATACAAAGTAGATGACCAAGTGCAATGCCAGAGTTCTGCACAATGGGAGGATTTTCCCTGGCCCCAGATTTGCACACCATTCCTTAGTGAGGGTAGTGTAACTGCTGTCCGTTTGTGATTTGCATTCGCATGCTAAGCTGACCCATGTCTGAACCAAGCTCAAACTTTTCTTCTTTAGTCAGCTGGTTAGGAGATTCCCTATATGGCTAAGGGTGTAAGCAGAGGGAGGTTTACTGGTGCAACAGCAATGAAGTGGAGGTCTGGGCTACATACTCATGCAGCTTGCTTATGATTGGTTCTGCTTGTGCTAGAACCCTGATGTACCATTTTCATCTTATGATCGATTTTGTTTGTCCTGTTATTCATATGAAAATATTCAGCTCATGATTGGCAAATATGCTGCATAATCATATAGTGCCCCGTGGACAAGCTCTCTATCTTAGTAATGTGGTAGGAGTTGCTTTTTCAAAAGGTATATAATTTTAGTTGCAGATGGCAAGACATTGCTCAATAGCTCTAGTAGTTCACATTGTGATTCTCACGTTGGACCTTTCCATAAGTTTCATGTGGCATATTTTCCTCCCACCAAAATGTCTTACACCATAGAGTCTGCCAGTTCATTTGCCTCAGTGATTGAGCTGTTTACATTGCAATGTGATGGTTCAGTGGGGTTTTTTCCTGCTCTCTAAGTCCCATAAAACGCTGCTAGGGTCCCATTCTTTCATAAATAGGGCTTTTATCTTGGCAGAACAAATCCATGACTATGAGCTATCAAGGAGGACCTCTGGCTTTCACAGTTAGCTATCAATTGGGGACTAATTGCTCTCAGACTTTCTTTATCTTTTCTTACATCATCAATTACTCTTAGTAATAACCACCCAATTGCATTGTCCACATAGTTACTATTTGCCTCATATTTTTCCAAATGCTTGACAAAATGCATCAACGAATGTATTTTCCTCCCTTGGAATATCATCCCAGTTTACCAGTGGTGAGAGTTTTTAACAGATGGCTTGTCACCTGTGCCAGGGTCTATAGTTCTCTATCTGCCAGCAGGTGTGGAGGTTCTTACTGCAAGGGGGTAGGAAGTGATACACTTCTAAACATCCATTTTAGTGCCTTTTTTTCTTGGGCCAACCTGTTACCAACTGTTGAAGATGTGTTCTCTAAGAAGCACACTCTGAGATGGAGTTTTAACACCTCCCTCTCTTTGCCCAAGATTGACATAGCCTTCCTCTCTCATTCATGAATTCCATCTTTCTGATGGCAGCTTCACAAGTTTTGTTGTGAATACATTACCCAGAGAGAGCTCTCAGACTACTGAGCTGAAATCCCAGGAAAATCTTTAAAGCATTATAATGAAAGCTAATTAGTTAGTTGATAAAAGAACAAATTTCATCAGTGTAAATTGGCACGTGTATGCTTTCCTATGCACGGAATACCAGAAATATTTACCTGAATATGACTGCCAAATTCATGGTAATTAAAAGCATAAATACAGGTTTCCATCATAAAGATTTCAGCAAGCTGTTAAAATTCATAGACACTCCTCTATCATTATACCCACTGGGCCTTATTACAGACTGTCCAGATACAGTCTGGTAGAGTGTCGAGTTCTGTTTATAGTTTAAAAAGTTGTGTTTGTTAGAAAAGTGACTGAACACTTGTGTGGCTTCTTGGGATCCTTAACTGCATAGTAGAGAGAGAATAACTTATATCCTTACTAATTTCCCAAGAGCAATGTAAGCATTAATTATATAACACCATGAGACATTCGAAGCTTTTTAATATTAAATCAAAGATTACTAGTAAAACTTTTAACTTTTTTCCACAAGTCTAAACTAATAGTTACTGAAACTTTTCAGTAAAAATTTAAAATACATGTCTTAGTCAGGCCATCTTAGCTTTTTTCAGTGATTAATCCCAATTATTGATTTAAGAATTCACCTTGTATATTAGTTTAACACTAAAACACGCTAGAATTTTAGAAACCAAAATCTTCTTGAAACTGCAAGAGGACTTTGGTAATCAATAATTAAGAGGTTATTTTATCAAAAGTTGAAAATTGTGGTTTATAGATATTTTCTGCAGGGCTGTGGCTGATCACTTTAGAGAAAATCCGGAACGAATATTGAAAATATAAAAATTGTTAATTAGAACACACCATAACACACAAGTATTGATTTCAAAATAATTATTTGATGGAGGCATAGTTTGCCTTGGATAGTTCCAAGACTTTTCTATGTAGCCACTTCTTCCATTAGTGGCTCAGTTATAGTCTTTCAATAATTTCCTTAGAATTGTGTTCCTATGTTCTTTTTATCTTTTTTCTTTGTAGTAATTATTTTTGGTCTCCAGAAATATTTGGAATTTAACAAGGGACAGAGTTAATCCAGAGAATAGAAAGAAATATCAGGTGTCAGAAAGCAGGTAAGATATTTTGTGAGGGATGTGAATTTGCTGGTTCTTCTTTTAAGAACAGTGAAATGTGTGAGGTTTTACCATACTTGCAAGCTAGCAAGTTTGCCTGTCGTAGTTTTATGGATGATGACAGAAGGCATGAGACTCCTACCTAGGTCAGAAACAAAGAGTTTTATTACTCATGACACATGAACTTCATGATCACACTGAGCATGAAATTCATGCTATCTTTAGTTCCTGTTGCCCCCTAAGTTCTGCAAAGGTTATGCAAAGTCAGGCCCAGGTGGATATGGTCTGCACACATGGATTTATATCACAACTGAAGGAACTTGGAGTTTAGGAAATCCTCAGTCTTATAAAGAGGGCTCTAAGCAAACCTACCCAACCTTTGCCTTAGAGGAACACCTATGCCTTATACATTATTGCTACTATTCTGGTCAGAAAACATATTGTCCTCTTCCTTAGAGTGGGGTAATATCTTCTTCCAAGATTGTTTTCTATACATACATTCTTGATAAGATAGTATGGAAAAAAGCTGTCAATACCTTTTCATAAAATGTTAAGAAATGCAAAATTCCCATAGGGAATTGTCTCTCAACTCTGTACTCACTTTCTTTATCCATTCACTCCTTTGCTCATTCATTTATTAAAAAATTGTTTTGATTACTTTCTGGAATGGTAGTTTGTACCTACAAGCCTTCAAGTAACTCACAGTCTAACTATAAATAGGAAAGTATCCATTTATCAGGCTGGAAGGCTTTGGCTGGCTCTTCCATTTTCATGTTGGAAATAAATATTTATGTAGTTTGTGGAACTTCTGAAAAAATGCCCTTAAAAAAAAGATAGTTTGCTAGTTTATCTTACTATCCAACTGTTTCCCTACCCCGTAGTTTGGTGGAACCATCTAAAATCTCATTAAAGATCCTTTGATGATTATTTATTTACAATATATTTTCTCTAGAAAAAATACAAAATCATGAGAATAGGATAGATAATTTGCTGAAAAGTACTTCAACTACTGGCTATCCATCTGAAAGGATATAAAATAAAACCAGTCTTTAACCACAAATAAGAACAATTCTAAATGAATGAAAGACCTATATGTAAAAAATAATTTTACCTTGCAAGAAAATCTAGGAGACTAGTTAAGTGTGGAGAAGACTTCTTAATTGAGAATAAAATTCTGATTTTATAAAAGAGAAGATAGAAATATTTAAACTTATAATGACAAAATACCATAAAGAAATAGACAAATGCTTAATTTGAGAAAAGAGATTTTTAGTGCAGATGATAACACATTTTAAAAAAGTTTTCAAAAGATTGACAAGGAGATGGCAAACAACTGAGTAGATAAATATGTACCTTATTGCAAAGCATATTCATATGTTCTCCCTACACACAAAAAGTTATTTAAAATCACTAGAAGTTAGTGAAATACAAATTAAAGTAAAATAAAATTTAAAAGATTTATAACATCTACTGCTAGTGGGGATATGAGAAAAAGGAAATTTCTATATACTACTGATGGAAACGCAAATTGTTTTTTTCACATTTTGGGGAAAACTGTTGACATCTATTAAAAATTCATATGCTATTTGACCTAGAAATGTCACTCTGAGGACTCTATCTCATAGAAACCAAAACATCAGTATGTGAGGAGATATATTAGAATATATGTACATTCATATTTACATTTTTTTATGTTGACAAAAATATTGAAAACCAAGTGAACGTACCTGATAGGGGGATAGTTGAATAAATTATGGAACTAACAATGTGGGAGGTTATGCCATTAAAAAGAATTAATTCAAACCATATTATTTAAAGTAAAGAGGTTTGGAAGAATTATTTCTCATGAGAGCAGATAAAAGGGTGTATCCTTTATTTTTCTAAAACAAATCATAAGACCATATTTTCTGTTTATTATCCCACGATCATGGAGAAAAATATGAACAGCTACAAACCAGATTTTAATTTGATCTACCTGCAGGGGTATGTCATGTGATGTGGGGAGGGGAGGAAGTGATAAAGAGTGAAAGATGGGAAGCAGGCAAAAATGGAAAACTAAAGCAAAAGCTGGCACTGAAAAAGGTGCAGATGATGTGATCACACTTATCCAGAAATAGGAATATTTTTTGAACATATGCATAAAGATTTTAGATAATGCTTAGAAAAAAATAAAGGGTAACATTCAAATATGTGTTTATATTCTCAATGATTGCCATCCATGTCTGTTTCTGATAGAATTAAATTTCATGCATAGTCACTATTTTTCTTGGTATATAAGAATGCCTTTATGCTATTTTTTATTCTCTGTGTGTAGATAATTGAATTTCTTATTATAAAATATTATATCCAGTTTTAAATAATATTATAGAAATATGGAATTATACATTTTTTAAAAAATGTGTAAATTATAGAAACTGGAGAATTCATAAGTTAAATATTTGGACAGAAATAAAAGTGACAAGCATTTTTAGTGAAGTCACACATCATGCACTGATATTAACATCACTTTGGCCAAAAGAGTTTTCTCCCTTACAAGTTAGCATTTAGTAGCTCACCATTTTATCTAACTTTGTCCCCTGAACTCCAGACCCCTTACACATCTGCATTTAGATATCTAGTGGACACCTCAAACCAAACATGCTTACATCAGAACGAATGTATTCTTCCTTTAAGCTTCTCATTTTAGAAAATGCCTTCTGCTTATCCAGCTGTTTAAGGGACAAGGGTGGGAGGGAATTATTTGAGTAATTCTTGATTCCTCTTTTACTTGTACAACTCACATTGTGGATATTAAAAACCGTACTGGTTGCACCTTTGAAATGTTCAAAATCCAGCCACTTCGTGCTTCCACTACAATGATTAGAGTCCAAGATATCTTCTCTCAATTGAACGATTTTACCAGCTTTCCCTTCTGTTTATTAGCCTTGCTCCCATGCCGGTTGTGTTACAGTGTATTCCCTAAAAGGAATCAAGATTTTTATTTTTAAATGTAAGATAAGTTATGCCACTCCTCTGCTGAAAGCCACCAGAGCTGCACTGTCCAGTATATTGGCATTAGTCACATGTGACTCTGTACTTTTAAATTTTAATAAATTTAAATTAAAATTTCAGTTCATCAGTTGTAGCTAGTAGCTACCTTTTTGGACAGTGCAGCTGTTTTCATCAATTTAGAAGGCTCTAGGCCACAGCTGAGCTTAGGGCCTATTCATTTCACACCAACTAAAATCCCAAGTGCTATCATCTACCATCCCCACTTCTCAGATCTCACTTCACACAGCTCTTTAATGTGCTGGGCTCCAGCTACAATTTCCATGCTCTGCCTGGAATGGAACACAGAGCCACAGTATTGCCTCATTGTCCCAAACTCTTTGCACATAATGTTTTTCTGCCTAGAAGGGTTAATTATTTATTATAATGTGAGATGTTACAGGTAGCTGCTATAGTAGTAACTTCATAGTCTCAGTGGCTAAAAAATCAGAAATCTATTTTACCTTCATTAAATATACTATACTTATCATGTACAGAATCACATATATATTATATATATATATATACACTACATACAGCATTACATTTATAAAGTATTAGGATGTTCATTATGGGAGTGGCACATTATGGGAGGTAATGGGGAAGAGGACTCTCTGTTTAAAGCAATAATGACAGGCTCAGTCTGAAGGACACTCTCTGCCACCTTAAAGCTTGCTGTTGGGTCAATATCCACTCAAGAGTTAGAGGAAAAAAGAAAGTAAAAAATGTTTGAGGAGGTTTGTTTGGGCCAGAATTACTTCTACCTATATTTCATCTCTGTTTAAATATCTCCTCCCCATAGGGATTTCACTGATCACTCTATCTAAGATAGCTCATTTCCACCCATCTTTTCCAGTCCCTTAGTTTGGTTTAAATTTTAAAATAGCCTTTATCATGAGCTGCTATATTATATATTTATTTTTTTATCTTATTTACCCAAAAGAATATAAGCATTATGATGGTATGTTTTTATCCTGTGTTGTTCACCACTCTATCCACAGTCCGCAGAACAATATCTGGAACATAGTAAGACTGAGCTCAACAGATGCGCACTAAATACATAAATGAAGTTCTTGCCTTACTCTCTTCCTGTTTTTCTTCTTACAAAAATAATTGAGCACTATTTACGCCACACTGCTAGTAGTTTGCCACTGATATAATATCTGTCATGGACAGATAAACCATAATCGATGCATGAGCAATGATTAAAGTAGGCATGTGGGTGATAAAGGAGGGCTATTTGCCCAGTTGTATATATGATTATGCAAAGAAATTTAAAAATGAAGAAAAAATAATAACTAAATGTAGTAGAGCCTAGAGAGAAAATAGATCATTGGAGCGGGGTGGGGGTGGCGAAGACAAGAACCAGGAAGCAGTAGAACTCAGTGTTGCTGTGAAGCCTTACCTTGGTGTCTGCGGTGTACTGTGAAGTCATATTGCCAGCAGCATTATGAGAAAAGGTCCCAGTCTAACCTGATGCAGGGATGTAGCGTGTGATGGTATCATCATCCTCAGAGATAAGCAGGGTATTATACTGGAGTAAGATATTTAAAGATAGTGATACTCCAGAATGTTAGCTTTTCAGTGGGTGAAGGCAGGGAACTTCAACAGAAGGTGGGGATGGAATAGCAAGATGTAGCATCAAGGGATGGTTTTTGTAGTATCTACAAGGACGAGGGGTATGTTGTGTCACATACACAAGACAAGGATACTGAGAGACATGGACATGTGAGACAGGGTTGTAGTCATGGTTACAATTGGGTGAGGACAAATAAATCCTTAAACAATATGTACATTAACTAATTTTTTAAACAACAATCAGTACTGTTATTACCATGTGACAATCACTTATCTAGGTATTATGGAAACAGCTCTGAACAAGACCAAATCATAGCCCTTATGAAGTTTACCTTGTAGTGGGGAGCCTGACAATAAGCTACTATTCTCTTCTCAGAATATAATTTTAGGCAATGATAAGTAATGTGGAACCAAGCAGGTAGAGAATGATGGGAAAATGGGCTGTTTTGTATTGAGGGGTGTGGGGAGGCCTCATTGGTAAGGTGACATTTGAACAAAAATTTGAAGTGAGAAGCCAATGTGTGCAATAATGTAAGTGAATTAAATAAGTTTCATATACAGTGATTAGTAAGTTTAAAGGATTCTTTTCTGTGAGTTCATAGTAGGTATACATATTTATGGGGTACATGAGATATTTTGATGCAGGCAGACAAAGCTCAGGATGCTATTTGGGAGAGTGGAAGAAAGAGCAGTTGTGAGACTCCCTGACGTATATTCTCATGCAGAACACAAGGACAATGCATGGCATAGCTGTGATATTGCTGCTTTTCATTACTGTTTCAGATTCTCATGGTACTTTATGTGAAATGCTAAACACACACTTCCTTATTGATATGGCTATAGAGGCATCTCTAAGAAGACTTTATAGGACTTCCACTGCGTTCCAATCACTCATGATGCATTCCTGTTTCCCAAATGTTCTCTCATTACAGTGCAATGATCTAATGACTTGTTTGTCCTCCCCACTTTCTCCTACTCCTAATATTACCAAGACCATTACCTCCTTGAGGGTAGAGAGTACCCCAACTGATGTTTAATATTTCCTTCATTTTAAATGTAGGCATGCACACAATAGAATCAGAATATGTTGAATAGAAATGGCAGATTTTTATACCCTCTTCTAGTTGTCACAGATATTACAAAATATAATTTGCACTTATTACTACATTGAAATTATGGTAGTTACTAGACTTACCTATGCAGTTTTTAATGCATTAAAAATAAAATAATTAACTTTGTTATAAATTTGATTTTAAATTTTGATAAATGTACTTCAAAATAATTAGTTTCTTTCATTATCCTATATATTTTACTTTAGGCATTGAGAAATATTATCTCAGATGGGGTCTGTAGGTTTCATCAGATCTCCAAAGGCATCCATGGCATAAAAAATGTTACTATCTCTGCTTTAAATCCAACTAATTTATATAAAAATGGTTTGGATAAATCAGAGCTAATCTTTTCTGTTTCCTCATAATACTCTCCCTAGGTGATCTCATTAATTCTTCTGGCATGGTGTTAATTACTGCCACATTCTGATAACTCTGTTCCCAGGCCAGACAACTTCTCTCAGTGGGAATGTAGGTATTTTGCTACTTATTCGACATTCTCATCTGATGTCCCAGATCATTTCAAACTTAACATATCCCAGATTGAATTTCTTATCCTCGCCTCTCAAGTCTGTTTCTACCCGCTGAGGGACATTCAACCTGTCGCTCAAGCTGAAAATCTAGTATTCATCTTTGATTTCTCCCTTTCTGTTACCCAACATCAAATCCCAGGGGAGATTCTGTCAGTTCTGTTCTCAACTTGAATGTGCCCACGTCTCTCCATCTCCACTGTCCTCACTTGAATGTAAGCCATCATCAGACTTTTTGTCTAGATTATTGCTACACCTTCCAAGGTGTTTTTAACATACCAGGCAGAGTAATCTGTTAAAATACAAATTGGATTATGTAATTCCCTTAAAATCCTTCCATGACTTCTCATTGCATTTAGAATAAGTTATAAATCCCTTTTGTCTTCTGAGTAATTTATTCCCTGCCTATCTACTCTTATTGGTAGCACTCCTCTTCTCACTACTATATTCCATTCATGCTAGATTTCTTTCAGTGTTCCTCTATTTTTCCTCTCTCCTTCTTTCTCCAACTTGCTCTCTGCCCTAGTAGGTCTTTATAGACCACATCAATGCTCTCTTTGCTGTGTAGCTCACTGGGTTGACTGACAGGGTGCCTTAGCAGATGTGAGGGAGAGATTATTTTTTTCCCTCATTCTCTCCCTGTGCAGCCGTCTCTGGCTGACTCCATCCATTGGAAGGTCAAGTCCTTTCAAGGTGGCCTGATCTCTCTTATTTTGGGTTCTGGTAGGCACTGCCCAATCTCATCCTTTTAAAGATGGTAATAGTTTCGCTTAATACGACCAGGACACTGTGTTCCCTGCTCAGAACTGCAAATCATCCCTTTAATAATTCCTCTTCTAATTAGCCTACTGTGAGTATGCCACTTGTTCCTGGCAGAACAGTGGCTCTCTAAATTTACTCCTATTTCAAGGCATTTCTACGTTCTGTTCTTTTATTTGGAATGTGCTTTCTCACATTCTTCACATTATTGTCATCTGTTTGTTTCTAAATATCAGTTGAAATGTCTTCTTCGGAGGTGTTCTCCTTAACCTAGGTACAGTATGGTGGGATCCCTAATATAGTTTTCAATGGCCATATGCTGTTTCTATTATACCATTTACACTTGCATTTATGTATTTGTTCGTTTCTTTGGTTTATTTGTCTCTCTTTCATAGTGGACTGCTAGCTTCCTGGGGTCACAGAGTTTGTCTGCCTTGCTTACTATTGTGTGCATCCCCAGTAACTAGCATAGTACGTCACATATGATAGTGTCTAAAGCGTATTGAATATTTACTCTGTGCCAAGAATTGTCTTAAATGCTTTATGTATGTTAACTCATTTAATCCTCACAGTAACTTTATGGCATGTGTGTCTGAATGTGTGTGCATATGATTATTATTTTTTTCCTATTTTACTTATGAAGACTCTGAGATGCAGAAAAATTAAGTATTTCACCCAAGATCACACCCTACTAAGCGACTTAAGTGGAGGCCTTATGTACATGCAAAGATACATTGTGCTTATCTGAATAGTACAATTTAGCCTGCATTTTGTAGGATTATCAAAAATACATGCCTGAACACTAAATGTGAAAACAAATCTTGTAAGCAGCTTAGGGCACAATTTGAGAGTGAACCACATCTTTGTTTGTTAGAAATGATTGGCATATTTAGTGCCTCAGTCTCATTTTATGACTTTGAGTTATTTTACAACAATCAGTAAACTGTATTAGATTATACTTTCTCAAACCTTCACTCTAAATAACACTGTGACCCAAAACATGATCTCATAAACAAAAATTTTACTCCATTCTTTCTAGCTGTTTCTTTTTACAGAGATGTGAATTGAAGGATCCAAGAGCACTTTTCATATTAGCCTATAGAAACTACTGGGGAAAATATAAGTCTTAGCTGAAGGAATCTTCCATCGGTTAGTTTCCCTCAATTTGCTGAGCATAATTGCATTTCCACATGTATAGAGCAAGGAATTCTCATTGTGTGTGATGTTTGAAAGAGTAGGGTTAATATATTTCATGATCTCTAACATACAACATCTAGGAATAAATAGTATGTAGATCTGCAATAGCACATTTACAACTATAGATTTATCTATTTTATGAATAAATAGAATAGCATTTACCAAAGCATTTTCTGCACAACACTAATATCACAGGATAAATGCTTAGTGTAATGGTTTCCTGATTAAATAAAATGTGAAAGCCTGCATAATCTATTGCCTCTTAAATTCGTTAAATGCTTGAGCATACCAAATGTTTTGAGAAGTCCTCAAGTAAACAAGAAATCTGTTAATTTAGTTATTTCAAACTTAGTTGAACAAGATTCATTTTTCTCTGAAACACCTACCAATGTATCATGGAAAAATTCTAAATAACAAGCTTGAAGAAATACTGCTATATGATTTTTAAAGTCTGTGTTTATATATTGGCATGAGTAAAATATTGTCTTGTAAATGTGAGAATAGATGTTGATCTAAAAATAACATATGAAAAGTCCTGAGGAGTTTCCTTTACCATTGTAGAAGTAGAAATAAATTATTTATTTACCAAAACTTTTATTATTCTTACTGTCCATATCCTCCACTATAGTAGCTATAAACTCTAGTTCCAATGAAACATGGTAGGTGCCCTTAGTAAATTTCACACAATAGAAGCATTTCCTCACATAAAATGTAAAAACAGACTGAATATCAGTGGTAAAGATAATGGTTACATTCCTGTGTATTATACTCTAAGAAATTCTATTTAAGGTTGCTAACAAAAATGATCTCTATTTACAAAATATTAGGATGTTTCTTCATTTATCATTTAAAATAAATAACCTTCGGAAAAAGCAAACCAGAGAAGAAAGAGCTATCACTATGAGTTATGGAACATTTTCAGAGGAAAATATAACAATTATTGAATTAAAAAATAGAAGGATTTTTTTGTTTTGCTTTAAATGTGGAACTTAAATACAGCATCTGAAGAATAGTTGTTTCCATGCAACTCAATGCTAATAACTCTTTAAGTTCCCTTTCTATTTAGTCAATTACTTTTCCTTATATTTGTCTTCTATAACTCTTTGTAATTTATTATCCTAAACTCTTTCTCTATTGAATAGATCTTTTAATGATTATTGCAGTGTCTTCACATTGGCTCTCCATTTCTTTCCCCTCCTGCCAAAATAAATACCTCCCAAACTCTATTCTGTGTGGGATGTGTGAAGGACAATCTTTCTTATTATAGACAGGCAAACAAAGCTTTGCCCTTTCAACTCTCCTTATTCCTCTTCCACCTTGTTTAGTTCTCAGCAGCCGCACCTGGGCCTGATGACGCTCACTTTCAGAAAGCATAAATTGAGAAATGATTATGCTTCTTTGTGTATTTTCTATTCACAAAACAGTCAGCCTCTGTGTGATTTTTTTCACATATGAAAAGTCTTTTTATGTTAAGTTGGGTTTAGGTGATTAATCAAATAGTATATCTTCTTTCTTTGAATAAAGGTAAATTAGGGACATTTAGTTATTGTAAGAACAGTAGGAGCCTTCTGTTGTGAGGCGTGTGACTTGTCCATTTAACTTTATTATGTCTGTAATGAAGCATCTTCAATTTTGGGGCAGGAGAATGTGTGCTTCATTGAGTCATAAACTCATCACTGGGGAAAGCTGCTTGGGAAAACTGTATTTGAAGGGTGACATCTTGATTAAAAGGAGTACTATGGAAAGGAAGTATACATTATTTCTTATTTCTAGGGGCTTCTGGCATGGAATTTATGATCTTAACAGAGTTAAAGGTTGCCAAAAATTCACTATGCATGGAAGTCATTATTGTCTTTTTATTTAAAATATTTTCAAATAAATTTATTTTAAGTCTTGGATAGATTATAAAATTGCTAACTGGGCATAATTTTCTCAAAGGCAAAATTTATTAATGCTCAGTTTTATAAATGAGTTTTGTAAGTATGGTATTCAAATTGTTTCAAAGTTATTTTGTTGCGGAAAAACAGGCTTTTGGTGAAAGCAGGTAATGGTTGTTTGAATTCTGGAAGTAAGGTGAATCAAAAAGATTACTTAATCCAGATATCAGCCCTCCTACCATCTCTAATTATGTGTTCGTGAATTATTTGCCTGTTATTCCCATATCCATATGTATACTGGTCAGTCCTTCTTCCAGTTTTCGTAAGGAATCAACCCATGCAGTGTCACTATTAGTGATCGAGTATCTTTTAATAAGAATTTCACAGGGGAGATAGATAAGGAAGTATATATATCACATTCCCAACATCAAACTACCAAAAAGAGCACACTGTTGTTCTCCACCATGTCACCTGAGTTGTCACCTCTTTCCTTGTCTCATGCAGTGCCCATTTTGGCCAGCTCCTATCATTTAAGATTTTCTCTTAAATATTTTCAAATCCTTTTTTTCTTCATAAATGTCAGTCCCAGCTTATAACCCAATTCTATTTCCCTAATTTCCTTCACAGCCAAACTTAGTCTTCCCACCTATAGAAACCACACTTCTTAATAAAATGAAAACTAAACATATAGAAACTCAAAAGTTATTTTCAAATAAAGTTAATTTGATCTTAAAGTAACACTACTGTTACATGGCACAATAAATACTCTGACCATGAAAATTTTTTCTTTATTATGATTATATCCATTCTTGCAGGAATAAGGTGGTATTGCATTGTGGTTTTGATTTGCACTTCCCAGATCATTAGTGATGTTGAGCATTTTTAATATGTTTGTTGGCCATTGGTATATCTTCTTTTGAGAAGTGTCTATTCATGTTCTTAGCCCACTTTTGGATGGGGTTGTTTGTTTATTTCTTGCTGATTTGTTAGAGTTCATTGTAGATTCTGAGTAATAGTCCTTGGTAAGATGTATAGATTGTGAATATTTTCTCCCACTTTGTGGGTTGTCTGTATACTCCGCTGACTGTTCCTTTTGCTGTGCAAAAGCTCTTTAGTTTAATTGAGTTCCAGCTATTCATCTTTGTTTTTATTGCATTTGCTTTTGGGTCCTTGGTCATGAAATCCTTGCCTAAGCCAATGTCTAGAAGGGTTTTTCCAATGTTATCTTCTAGAATTTTTATACTTTCAGGTCTTAGATTTAAGTACTTAATCCTTCTTGAGTTGATTTTTATGTTAAGTGAGAGATGAGGATCCAATTTCATTTTCCTACATGTGGCTAGCCAATTATCCCAGCACCATTTGTTGAAGAGAGTTTCCTTTCCCCACTCTATGTTTTTGTTTGCCTTGTTGAAGATCAGTTGGCTGTAAGTATTTGGGTTTATTTCTGGGTTCTCTATTCTGCTCCATTGGTCTGTGTGTCTATTTTTATACCACTACCCCACTGTTTTAGTGACTATGGCCTTATAGTATAGTTTGAAATCGGGTGTGTGTGTGATGCCTCCAGATTTGTTCTTTTTGCTTAGCCTTGCTTTGGCTATATGGGCTCTTTTTGTTTGTTTGTTTTTATCTTTTCATGGTTCCATATGAATTTTTGAATTTTTCTCTAATTCTGTGAAGAATGATGGTGATATTTTGATGGGGATTGCATTGAATTTGTAGATTGCTTTTGGCAGTATGGTCATTTTCAGAATATTGGTTCTACCCATCCATGATCATGGAATGTGTTTTCATTTGTTTGTGTCATTTATGATTTCTTTCGGCAGTATTTTGTAGTTTTCCTTGTAGAGATCTTTTAGCTTGGATGCTGTGATCAGGGAACACTTCTACACTGCTGGTGGAAATGTAAACTAGTACAGCCACTACGGAAAACAGTGTGGAGATTCCTTAAAGAGCTAAAAGTAGAACTACAATTTGATCCACAATCCCACTACAGGGTATCTACCCTGAGGAAAATAAGTCATTATATGAAAAAGATACTTGCATACATATGTTTATTGCAGCACAATTCACAATTGCAAAAATGTGGAACCAACACAAATGCCCATTAATCGATGAGTGGATAAAGAAACTGTGAGATATATATATATATATATACACACACACATATATATACACACATACACACACACACACACACAATGGACACTGCTCAGCCATAAAAGGAATGAATTAACAGCATTCACAGCAACCTGGATGAGACTGGAGTCTCTTGAGTCTTACTTAGAATAGTAGTCTTACTATTCTAAGTGAGACAACTCAGGAATGGAAAAGCCAAACATCATATGTCCTCATGGATATGTGGGAGCTAAGCTATGAGAACACAAAGGCATAAGAATGATACAATGGACTTTCAGGACTTGGGGGGAAAGGTGGGAGGGGGCGAGGGGTAAGAAACTATACATAGGGAATAATGTATACTGCTCGGATGTTGGGTGCACCCAAATCTCTCAAATCACCAGTAAAGAACTTATGTAATCAAACAGCATCTGTACCCCAATAATCTGTGGAAAAATAAAATATTTTAAAAATTAAAAAAATTGTTTCTGGTGATTCTGATAATTAACCCCAAATATACATTAACTGCTTTACTAGCCTGGCAGCATTGGTGGTTGAAAGTGCATGGAACTATAGCTATGTGTCTGTAGGCAGCAATAATTTAAAAAGGAACACCAATTAGCATTGTAAAAATCCATTAATGTTTGACACTAACTTATCCTAATTTTGATTTTTCATTTATGTGAATACTAGAGATTCAGGTATGGAGGAAAATCCCCAAGTTTCATTTAAAATACATGTTGTTATTACATGACTGCATTGGGATGACTCAAAAACAATCATAGACGTTTACAAGCTTATTACAAGGTAAATAACTGAGGACATCATGAAAATGATCAGGAAGACTTACACTCTGGTATGTTGTCCCACTGGCACCTGCAGTGTGCCAAATGGATGTATATATGCTATGGTATACTGCAACTCCAGTTCTGTGCATACAATTTATCTGGGAAAAGTTGGTCATTTACTTCATCTTAGTAATGAGCCCTTAGCAGAGATGGTGTTAAAATTTCTTCATGAAATAATTATTACATAAGTTTTCGTAATGTCATTCCTATTTTAAAAATAAGTTCCTACTGTATAGTTTGATTCAGAGAAAGGAATTACTTTGATACATAGAAAATGGCTACAGAATGACAACAATTGCCTTTGAAGTCATTTGCTATTTTACTATATCCTCTCTGTACTTGCAATGAATTAAATGTCATGAATGGAGTTAACCCTTTTGTTTTAATACTCTTTTGATATTTGTTTCATTTGAAAAAAATGTGTTGAAATTATTGAGTTACTAGACTGCTTATAATGGTATACATAAAGCCTTGGTTATGAGTAAAAATTAGCAAATTCATCCTGTGTTAAGATTCAGGAAGCATTCATGCATTTAACAAATGCTTACTGAGTGTCCCCTATTTGCCAAGCACAGTTCTAGACACAATGGAATAACAGTAAACTAACACAATGCCTACCCTCATGAAGCTTATATTTTAAACATAAGTAAGATAATCATGTAAATCAATATTAGGTAGTAAGTGATACTGAGGAAATAAAACAGAAAAAGAGGATAAAGGGTAAATGGTCTGTGATTTTAGGTAGAGTCAGAAGTGAAATATGAAAAGAGACCTAAAGGAATGCAAAGGGTGGACCATGTGGATATCTGGGAGAAGAACATTCCAGGCAGAGGGAACAGCAAAGGCAAAGGCCCTGAGAGATCATGTTTGTTGGATTCTTGCAACAGTTATTAGAGTATGATGATCAAGGTGAAAAGTGATCTGAGAATAGGTCAGAGAGGTATCCAGGGATTCAGTCATGTATAATTTTATAGGTGAAGGTAAAAAGTTTGGATTTTATTTTATGTCTAAAGGAAAGCTTTTGGAAAGTTTTAGGCATAAAAAGGACATGATTTTAGGAACAACTACATGTAAAATCTTTGTAGTAAAAATAGTTTTGGTTTTTTAAAATCTTAACTTACGGAGGCAACTGGAACATGTGGAAGAAGTTTTAATCCACTGGTTCTATGATGTCACATCTAAGTAGGTGTTAATTCCCAGAGCTTGATTTTATTTTGGTGAAGCAAAGAATGCTCCTATTAGATAAAACTCAGGGCTGACAGCTCTAGCATCTGTGGAGCAGTAAGAAAAAAATTAAAACAGTGGGATTTGGAGTAAGAGATTGTTTGAGGATAAGAGACTGAAGTTGCAGTTCTTTGCAATACACAGCTATATCTGACACCACATGCAGGCTTTCTGTTTCATTCTAGTGTTCAGGTGTGAGAGGCTTTCTGTGTGTCTGTACTCAATATGGCACTACAAAGTGCTCTATGTGGAATTTCTGAATGTCATAACAAATTGGTATCTTTTGTAACATAAATTGATTCTTCTAGATTCTTTAAAGAAAGGACCAGCTGCTTTGCTCTGTTATAATTATGCTTTGTTCTTTCATTCATTTGCAAAAAGCTGGTAATATGGCAGTCTGTGTTTCTCTTAGCCAGTGCCTTAAACATAGGATGGAAGGGCAACCACTAAGTATATCATTACATGATTGAAAGAAATGTCTACTCCTAATGACACTTCTTTTTGAAAGGGGATTTTTAGAAACTTCTTAGTATCAAAATGAAATATCCTAAATTCATTTAAAATGAAAAGTAGCTATTATATCCAGTTTAACACATTTTTATAATGGAATCATTTATTCAGCCCTAGGAGCAACCATAAAATTATCCTCAATAAAGCAGCATGTTGCATACACTGTGATGTTCAATCATTAAATATGCTCATGGAGAATCATCAAAAAAGAAAAATAATGATGTTCTCTAGCGGAAAATTCATCAACCTGTGTATGGCCTCTAGTAGCCTGGGAACCTCTGAAACTGTATTTATAATTTTATATATATGCATATTTTCAGGAGATAAAAAATCTTTCATCAAATTTTCAAGGAATATAACTTCATTAAGATATTAGTACTGATTACAGCTGAAAAATTAAGTAATTTCTTTTGGAGTCTCTTTGGGTCTACATATGATAAATATTATTTTAAGAGAAAACTACCACACTGCTCAATAGATAATAAATGTTCATGAAATGCTAGCTGAATTTCCATTGGCAAGACTAAGGCAAAAACGTTGCTGATGATCATTTAGAAAAGGAAGACATATCAATACATTTGGAAATAAGTGGAGATTTGAACAGGTGAAGTGAGAAAGAAAGCAAAAAGTTGTGCCTGCTGAAGGGAGCGATAATTTCCTCACACATCCCTTTATGGAACCTAGGCAAATGCCTGTTTTCATGGCATTCTTGGGATAAATTGGACCTCAGGACAAAGGGGATGGGGAAATATTAGTGATTATTGTTATAGATCAATGTTACATTTGAAATAACAAAACATCCAGTGGAAAGAATATAATTACTTCTCCTCAGTCATTTAAAAATCTTGTTCCCAATTCTGAAATTTAATATGTAAACATTTATCATTTATCATATCAAATATCATTTATTTGTCCGTGGATTTATATTTTTCCAAATTAAGATTTAAACTTGACTACAGACACGTTTTTTAAAAATATGCTAGATTGATACCTGAATGATTGTCATGAAAAATGTCTTGAAAGTATAGTAAACAAAAGGATGGATATCCAATAAATAGTGCTGGATGGATTGCATATCCATGGAAATATCTTTATTTCTCTCTCATACCATACCCGAAAATCACTTACAGAAGGATTTCCATCTAAATGAAAAAGGTAAACCACTAAAGTTTAGAAACACATGCATAGGAGAACATTTTCACGATTCTTTGTAGGCAAAGATTTCTTAGATGTACACAAAAAGTGTCCACTATAGAAGTTAAAATTTAAAAATTGATCTACAGTAAAATTGAAGAACTTTTGTTCATCAGGAGAGAGCATTAAGGGAGTGAATGGGTTTTCAAAATGGCATCCCCAAATATGCCACCTTACTATACTGATTACTTCAAACTGAGGGCACCCGGGGGACAGCAGATGCAGGGAGAGGCTTCATCTGGCCTCCCCTTATCTATCTAGGGATGCATTCTTCAAAAGGATTCAATTGTCATTGATCTCCAGGCTAGTGGTCAATACCACACCCAGACAAACGTTGTCACAGATGGTAACTTGTTTTTCAAAAGGCCCATTTGTCTTTCCCAAAAGCCATTTGTTCTTCCCTAAGTTGCCTACATCCCCCATTCCCCATGAAGAGGGAATGTAAGCTTTTGGGTCTCGCTGAGTTTTTGGCTATTCACTTTTCTTTCTTGTGATGCCCCTGTGCAGGTAAGAAATGTGTATACCTCTTCTACTGTGAATCTGCCTGTTGTCAGTTTATTTCATAGACTTAGTTATTGAGCCCTCAGAGGATAGAGGGAAAGTCTTCCCTCTCATATAGAAGGGAAAAGGTAGCTCCGAGAGTGGGAGAATATATTTATAATACATTTCTCTAAGAGTACTTATATCCATAATTTATAAACAAATTTTGAAAATTAAAAGAGAGCAGTAGAATAAGCAAAACAGTTGAACAATTATATGTTTGCATACCTATGAAATGCAAATATATAAAGAAATATATATATCTGCAATTTATATGAACAGAATCAGTATGTGGACAAAATCAAATATATGCAAATATATATTTATATTTGTAGCCAACTTACATAGAGATGATGTTCTAGCTCGATAATTGAGGAAATGCCAATTAAGCTCCAATGTCATGCCACTGCATACCTATCAGAATGTCTTAAAGACAATACCATATATTGATGAGCCGGTGAAGCAACTGGAACACTCAAATACTGTTGAGAGTGAATTAGGACAACTGATTTGTAAAACTGCTGTTATTTGTTAAATTTGAACATATACATATACCAAGACTCAGCAATATCACTCATAGGCAAAATCCAACAGAAATGCATACTGATTTTTACCAAAATATATACAAGAATGTTCATCAAAACCTGATTTGTAAATTTACCCAATTTGAGTAGCCCGAAGCTACTCAACAGTGTAACAGATAAAGTATGGCATAGTCACAAAATGAGAATATTATGTAGAATGAGAATGAAAGATCTATAAGAACATGCAACAAATATAATGAATGAAAGAAGTCAGACATGAAAAACTATATAAAGTAATAATACAACAAATTATGATGATAAAAGTCAGAATGGTGTTGAGCTTAGAGGCAGTGTTTGGAAAGAGGCATGAGGGCATCTTCTAGGGTGCTGGAAATGGACTGTTTCTTGATATGGGTATTAGTAACATGAATGCATGCAATTTTTAAAAATTTATAGATATACATGTATACTTGTATGTATATTATACTTCAATATAAAGTAACAAATCAAGACTGCCTGGAAAGAAAACTAATATTTAAAAAATTCGTTTATTTGACAATTTAAATGCCTTGCTAGATTCCAGTACTTTATTATTAGCGAAAGACTGCAGCATTGAGCTAAGCATAAACGTGCATTACTATGACCTTCCTTTGCACAGTGGGATAAGAGGCCATAATATATCAGGAGAAGTTTCCCAGGCAAGACTTCTGTAATAATGTGTGCTTCTGAAAACATATTATTTGCTGAAATAAACACTTCAATTGCTTTGAGGATTTGGAGAAACTGTTCATTAAACTGCAAAGAGAATGACACAAGAATTCATTGAACAGAAAATGAATAGCCTGCTATGTAGCTTTTCTCTCTCAGAAAGATGACTTGGAGATTAATGAGATTAGATTGGTGAAAATTGCTCTGTTCTTCCAAATGCAAACCAAATACAAATAAACTAATTGAAAAACATATCAAATCTGATGTGGTCCAAAGACTTTTTAATTTCTAGGAATAAAGTGAGTTTATAGACTTTTCAAAATATATACTACACAGGACACACTTAGAAAAACTACCTGGTGATAGAGTGAGTGAGAGTAGTTATCCAGAGATGAATTGCTGGGTTTGTTAATGGAACAACTTATGACTAACAACTTCTAGGAAATTAGCCCTTTCTCAGAAACAGCTTTCTCCATGTACTTTCCCATCTGGATGTTTTTGTTTATGTGGCTCTTTCTGCTTGAATTTACCACCATGTTTATGCCTAAGTTACTTTATTTGAACCTCCTGGGTAAACTTGACTTAATATCTTGCTTTCTATTTGCTTGCATGCTAGTTGATGAGGTTTAGGCCATTATTAATGGTAAAAAAAAGAGAATATAATCAATATTCAAACAGATAAAAGAAACTAATTCATGAGACGACCAAATAGGAAGTTATATATCCTATTTAGTATTAAATACCACAGTTGTTAATTCACAGGGTTAACGTAGGGAATGAAAGATGAAAGCAGTTCTGAGAGTAAAGAAGTCAATAGTTGAGGGTTTACAGAAGTACCATCTGGAAATTTTCTTAAGAAACTTGAGATATAACCCATTTTGATTCTTCCAAATTCATGTAGTACAGATTTTTACTTATAATAACATCAGACTAATTTTCTGAGACTTTTCTCTAAGAAAGCTGGGGGATGTTCCCCTTTTCCTTTTCAAATACCAATGGGTGATAAATCACTGAATGTAATAAGTAACTGGTACTGTTCTGGACAACACCAGAAACTGAAGGAAGAGGGAGCAGAAAGAAAGAGATGAGCCTTTAGGATGAAAAACATGAGTGGAACTAGAAGACTCTGCCGTCACAGCGGCTTGGACTCTTTCTCTGACTCCCTGAGTAGAATCTTGTTTCAAGGGAACCAAGAAGTCAAACAAGAGAGAGTCTTCATCACTGGCTGCACTGCCAATAAATAAATCTCAGGCAATCTATCTGTATTCATTTTCTGAGGCTGCTACAACAAATTACTAGGTACTGGGTGGCAATTTATTCTCTTACAATACTAGGGGTGAGAGAGTGAATCAAGGTATGAGCAGGGCTGTACTTTCTCTAGGAGGGAAAACATTTCCTCTTTTATCTTCTCATGGCTACAGAAGTTCTTTGGCTTGTGGCCACATGACTCCAATCTCTGCCTTTGTGGTCATGTTACCTCTTTCTTTTTTCTGTGTCTTCTCTGTATGTCAAAAATTTCTCTGCCTCTCTCTATGTGATTACATTTAGAGCCTACCTGGATAATCTAGAATATACTCTTTCTCAAGTTCCTTAACTTAGTCACATCTAGAGAGACCCTTTTCCTAAATAAGGTAACATTTGAAGGTTCCAGGGATTAGGATATGGACATATTCTTTTGGGCCACCATTCAGCCCAGTACACTAGCCAACATTTTTTGAAAATGCAGTTTCAAATATATAAACCAAATGAAGAAAAGCCATATTTCTTTGGACTTGTATTATGTGTTAGGCTGTTCTTGCGTTTCTATAAAGAAATACCTGGATTAGGTAATTTATAAAGAAAAGAGGTTTAATTGGCTCATGGTTCCATAGGCTGTATAGGAAATATGGCGCTGACATTGGCTTGGGTTCTGGGGAGACCCCAGGGAGATTTTACTCACAGTGGAAGGTGAAGCGAGAGCTTGCATGTCATATGGCAAAAACAGGAGCAACAGGGAATGGCAGAGTGAGGTGCCACACATGTAAACAACTAGATCTCATGAGTACTCACTCACTGTTGTGAGGAATCCACACTCATGAGCGATACACCTCCCACCAAGCCCCACATCCAACATTGGGGATTATATTTCAATGTGAGATTTGGATGAGGATAAATATCTAAACTATATTATTGCAACTCTGGCCCCTCAAATCTCATGTCCTTGTCACCCTGCAAAACACAAGCATGCCTTTCCAACAGTCCCCCAAAGTCTTAAGTCATTCTAGCACTAACTCCAAAGTCCAAAGTCTCATCTGAAACAAGGCAAGTTTCTTCCATCTATGAGCCTGTAAAATCAAAATAGTTATTTACTCCCGAAATACAATGGCAGTATAGGCATTGGGTAAACATTGCCCTTTCAAAAGAGAGATAGCAGCAAAAAGAAAGGGGCTATAGGCCATGCAGTTTCAAAACTCAGCAGGGCAGTCATTAAATCTTAAAGCTCCAAAATAGTCTCCTTGTAGGTTCCCATGGCTTTGGGAAACTCCACCCCTGCAGCTTTGCAGAGGTTAGCTCCCATGGATGTTGTCCAGGTTGTTGAGTGCCTGTGGCTTTTCTAGGCACAGGGTACAAGCTGCTGGTAGAGCTACCATTCTAAGATCTGGAGGATGGCGGTCCCACTCCCACAGCTCCACTAGGAAGTGTCCCAGTGAGGACTCTGTGTGGAACTTCCAAGCCTAAACTTCCTCTCCACATTGCCCTAGCAGAGGTTCTCAGTGAGGGATCCACCACTGCGGCAGGCTTCTGTCTGGGCATCCAGGCTTTTTCATACATCCTCTGAAATCTAGGTGGAGGCTACCAACCCTCCACTACTCTTGCACTCTGAGTGCCTGCCAGCTTAATACCACTTGGAAGCCACCAAGTGGACTCATGGCTTATGCCCTCCAGTTCTGTGGCCTGAGCTGTTCCTGGTACCCTCTGAGCTAAGGACGGAGCTGAAGTGGCCTGGATGTGGGGAGCAGTGTCCTGAGGCTGTGAAGGGTAGCAGAGCCCTGGGCCTGGCTCCTGAAACCATTTAGTAGTCCTGGGCCTTTGGGCTTGTCATGGAAGGGGTTGCCTAGAAGGTCTCTGAAATGCCTTCAAGGCCTTTTTCCCATTGTCTTGGCTTTTAGCACTTGGCTCCTTTTTAGTTACGCAGATTTCTCTAGCAAACTGTGGCTCCACAGCCTGCTTAAATTCATGTTCTGAAATTGGGTTTTTCTTTTCTACCAGATGGCCAGGCTGCATGTTTTTCAAACTTTTACACTGTGCTTACTGTTTAAATGTAAGTTCCAACTTTAAGTCATTTCTTTGTTCCCACATATGAACATAGGTTGTTTGAAGCAGCCAAGCCCAATTTTGAACATGTTGCTTAGAAATTTCTTCTGCTAAATACCATCAGTCATCATTGTGAAGTTAAACCTTCCACAGATCCCTAGGGCCTCAACAGAATGCAGCCAAGCTCTTCACTAAGGCATAAAACGGGTGACCTTTGCTCCAGTTCCCAATAAGTTCCTCATTTCCATCCAAGACCTTGTCAACCTGGATTTCACTGACCATATCACTATCAGCATTTTGGTCACAACCGTTAAACCAGTCTCTAAGAAGTTTCAAACATTCCCTCATCTTCCTATTTTCCTTTGAGCTCTCCAAACTCTTCTAACTTCTGCCCATTCCCCAGTTCCAAAGTTACTTCCACATTTTTAGGTATCTTTATACAATGCCCCACCCCTCAGTACTAATTTTCTGTTTCAGGCCATTCTTGCATTGCTATAAAGAAATACCTGAGACTGGGTAATTTATAAAGAAAAGAGGTTTAATTGGCTCATGGTTCTGCAGGCTGTACAAGATGTATGGTGCCAGCATCTGCCCAGCTTCTGGGAAGGCCTCAGGGAGCTTTCACTCATGGCGGAAGGTGAAGTGGGAGCTTGCATGTCAGATGGCAAAAGCAGGAGCCAGAAGAAGTTGGGAGCTTGGGAGGAGGGCATGGGTACCACACCCTTAAACAACCAGATCTCACAAGTACTACTCACTCACTATTGCAAGGATAGCACTAAACCATGAGGGATCTGCCCTCATAAGCAATATACCTCTCACCAGGCTCCACCTCCAACATTTGGGATTACATTTCAACATGAGATTTGGTGGGGACAAAATATCCAAACTATGTCATATTATAACCAACCTTTTCAAAGTATTCAGTAGTTTGGAATAGTCAGCCATGGGAATGTGGACTTGAAAACAGATTTGGAGGTAAAGTCCAATTTGCCCGTTTGACAGAAGAGAAATCTGCTGGCTAGAGATGCTTGGTCAACAATCCAGGACCTCTATTTGTTCTACTTTTTACTTCATCAAATTGAACAATCAAGATATTACCTACTATTATAATTTGTTTAAGTAACTCATTTGTGAAAACTGTTGAGTTTTTAAAAACTATTTTCAATAAGACAAACTTAAATCTGGTATTTTTATAATTAAGATAACTGATTATAAGAAATAGCAGTAATATTTATATACAAAAGTACAAATTATGCATGTAAGACAATACATGAAATTACAAATCAAATTATAGCACCCTCTGTATAATGGAAAATACATGAAACAAAGCTTTTAAAGGTTCTTCTGTGTTTGTCACTTTCATCTTGTTTTGCTGTCCATTCGAGCATTTGCAGTATAGTTTCAAAAGACGCCATTGCTTAGTAGAAATAAAGAAATATTTCCTTTTTGTTTTTATCCTTTGTAAGGTAGCTCCATTACTAGCCCATTAAGAATACTGAAATGAAATGCATTTATAAGAATAGCATTTCCCAGAGAAAGCATAAATACCTGAACAGAGCATACAGTTTCATAGTATTAAGTTATGCCTCTTACTTTCAGAATTACAGAAATGCATAGCTCTACATAAAAGTACATGTGGTTGTCTTTTCTCATCATGAAGAACTTCTTTTGAAATTGAAGATAAAAGAAATGGAAGTCAAAGTGAACCCTGTCTACTCATGGGATAATTTTTATGTCTACAAGATAAAACCAGGGAATCCAATTAGAAAAATTAGAGAATATTGTGCCAGGGAGGGAAGGGGTTGCAGGGAGGAAGGGGAAAAACCATTTATAAACTTAGAATCTCAGGGAAAGAGACAGTGGTTTAAAGCACGTTAGTGAACTCATAGCCAGTCTAAATATGTTCTAATGTTTATTAGAAAAAGTGTAATTTGTATGATACTTTTGTAAATAAATCTACTTTGAGTGAATGGTAACAATATGCTAAATTTTGTCTTTGCTGTGAATTTGGAAACATCCTTTGCCTTTCCCACCCCATCTTCAACAAACACTGAAGAACTTTGAGAATTAACGAGTAGATTTGTCTTCTAGTTAAAAACTGTTAATCAAGGCCATGGATATTAGGAAAACAACTCCCAAAAGAAAAATTTCATGTCTTCTAAGCTGGCAGGACCTAATATAACCAGTCTGAATTGACATTTTACAAATAGAATGTGTCAACCTGATACGGTTTTAGAGAAAAGTCAGGTCAATTTAGAAAAAAGGAGCATCATAGAGAAAAACGTTTTTAGTATTCACATTAGTTGTGTCCAAGAAAAAGACTTAGCCCACAAACTTGAATAGTTACAGTTTATTGTCTAGTAGGTTTAAAAGTTTACTTATACTGACAGGAGCAGATAAAATATAACCTCTTTTAAAAAAAATTAACTGGTTGGATTTTCCTCATTAAAATCTGTATTGCTGGATAATATGTATATGGAGGTGACAACCGAAGATTTGACTCCAAACTGGTAACTCAGTCTAATGTAATAATAAAATAACCTTTTAGATAAATGCTCAGTCTTAGAGTTCTACTCTCTCCCTTGTTCGTTTTCAAGTTGGTCATATGGAAAAGGGTATGATATATGTCCTCTTGGTGATGAAAAGCAGAAATTTATATGGAATCTTCTGTAATTTTTCTGATCTCTGCTAGATATAACTAGCCTGGGTTACTACCCTTTTGATGATAACTAGTCTCTCTGTTACGTTAAAAAATTTCCCAATTGATCTTAACCAGTTGATTTTGACCTGGTAACATAATCAACTCCCTAACCTGATCTGTTAGCTTCTTGGTTTTTGCCCTGGGATTTCCCTTCGTTTGGAGCAGGTCCATAGATGCTCAACTCAGCTGTCTTCCATGTACCCACAGGACACTGTGCCACATGGGAACCAAAGGATGGCTGGTCTTTTTTCACTTTATTTCACTCAGTTTATTTTGAGATGGCTGCTTCTAGGTTTGCTTGG
Source organism: Homo sapiens (assembly GCF_000001405.40). Taxonomy (NCBI): domain Eukaryota; kingdom Metazoa; phylum Chordata; class Mammalia; order Primates; family Hominidae; genus Homo; species Homo sapiens. The sequence continues at coordinate 121,766,695 of NC_000005.10, read as the reverse complement.
GGGTAATCTATAAGAAAACTGACTTCTAGAATCCTAAGTTTTTATCAAACTTTCTAACATAAGTCCCCCTTTTGGGCTTTTGGCATGAGAAAGGATATCACGTCATGTGTCTGAGTGTCTGCTTCTGTCAGCACTGAAATCTTACCACCTTTTGCTTGCTGTTTGGCCAATGTCTCTCTAATATAAAGCTCATTTATGAAGGCCATTAAGCCTGTATCCTTATTCCAAAATAGCAGATAAGGGAACTTATGACATTGCTTTCCTCTGACAAAGCTGTGCTTTCAAGCCTATTGTCTTATTGCAAAGAAAAGTAGATGATCTCTTTTTTCTCTTTATATTCTTGCTGTGACAAGCTGTTAATCCTCTCTCTGTCCCCAAATGTCCCTGTGACATTCCCTGTAGTAATTTCCTGTAGTAACTCTAAGGCCTAGGCCGACTAAGAATGTAACGTGGACAGAAATGCAAAGGGGAAAAACACATTCAAATAATTTAAACAGTATTACTCTGCTTGTAACAGTTGAGAGCATCCCAGTTGAGATAATTGGGATGCTATTAAGGGGTCAGGAGAGATTGTTGATATTTATCAGAAGTTTCAGAGCCAAAAATGGGAGAGGAGAAATATCTGTCATATATTTTCAATCCCTGATATATTTTATAATTTCAGTGTAAATTGTGTTTCTTCTGATAACCTTAAAGAGTTTGATATGCCTGTTCTGAGAAAGACTTTTTAAAGCTGAAAGTCTTCTTAGGCCTACAATTCGGTAAGGTTTTCACAGTATGTCTAATCCTGTGTGGGAGTTGAGGTGATAACCATTAACTTCTTTATATTATTTGAGATCATAAGCAATTTTGGAAACATGCCTTTCAGCACAAATTATCTAATTCAGTGTTTATGTGACTCTGTTTCTGTACTTCCTTGAATCAATTTTTATTCTGTGCTTCTTCCATATGGCACCCTATTTTCTATCTCCTTTAAAGATAATCAAGTTGCAATGGACAACAGATATACTATTTGGATGACAAAGCCTGTCAAATTCTCAGTATGATTTTTATTATTTTGACTTTGGCAGCCCAAAAGATTTGTTCTTATGGACTCTGAAAGTGAAAACGGAGACAAAACACAACCTCTGGGCCTTGAAATATTCTCCATGTGTTTTATAGATGCCAAAAATCAGGGAACCATATTTAAGTATGACCTCTCCAAAGTCATCTCATTCAGCTCTCATGTTTTCTCAATTCCTTCAGCCACATTGACCTCATTCGTGTTCTCTGGGGCTTTTGAAAGTCAGTCTTCTCTGCCAGGAATGTGGCTACCTGGGTTTTGACATGATTTGTTCAGATCAAAATGTTATCTCTTCTGACACATCTTCTCTTGACTTCTCTAAGCAAACTGTATAGCTGTGCAACTGTGGCAGCTAGGACTGCTCTAACAAAGTACCACAAACTGCATGGCTCAATCAGTGGAAATGTATTGTCTCACAATTCTGGAGACTAGAAATCCAAGATCAAGGTATTGGTAAGGCTGGTTCCTTCTAAGGCCTTTCACCTTAGCCTATAGATGACCATCTTCTCCCACATGTCTTTACATGATCTTCCTTCTGTGTGTGTCTGTGTCCCACTCTCTTTTTATAAGGACACTAGTCATATAGGTTTAAAGCTAACCCTAAAGACTTCATTTTATCTTAATTATCTCTTAAAAACCTTACCTTTAAATAGTCACATTCTGTTGTCCTGGGAATTAGGACTTCAACACGTGAATTTTGGAGGTATGCAATTCAGCCCATAACAATTACCTATAATAATATGGTCTTTTTGTTTATTTACTTTCTTTTATCTTTCCTCTCCACTTGAGATGAAGCCCCCCAAAGTCAGGGCTTTATCTAGTTTTTGCACACTCTCAAACCACTACCTAAACGAGTGCCTTGCTCTGAGTGTAGGCCAATGATCTTTATTTTTAAACTAAATTACTTAAATAGAAATACGATATATAATTTTTCCCAAATTGAAAAGACTTATTTATTACTGCCATTACTAAAATTCCCCTGGTGCAGTCTTTGCTTTGCAAATATTAAAAATAATATAAGAAAATATAAGGAATTTCTTGTTCTAAGCTCATAATCTGAGACAAGAGGATGATGCTTGGATCATAGCTCTTTTCACCACTCTTGGAACCCTTTCTATGTAACTCAACACTAGTATAGGTTTCTAGAGGCCAGTTTAGATTTTCTTGCAACATCAGTAAGGCATAAAAGTTGACTTTCCCTTTGCCTTTAACAGGACATTTTCACTGCTGTAGTGTCTTTAATATTAAATGACTTTGAAGACATTCTTTTCAGCTAAAACATTATTAACATTCCTTTACCTTATTTGGATTTTCCATGAATTAATTCAATTCTCCCATTATATTCACTTATTCTATTTCTAATGCTGTACAGCATCATACTACCTAAATGATTTGTTGTTGTCATTGTTAATTGTATGATCTGACGATGTTGAATTTTACCTGAGCCCTGTGCTTCTGGAACATAGTGGGGATTAAGAGATCCCCCTACACCTTTATATTCTGGAAAAAAATCCTCCCCCGCATCTGTAAGTCCCATAGGGGCAGACGTACGGATGCCCCTATTTAGCTATGACAAGGCCAGAGAGATGATTAGCTGAATTCTCTTTTCCCCATTGATCACTGAAACAAAATACTTATTAACTGAACTTCAGTAAAGTTTCTCTCCTTTCCCTATGCTCTCAAATTTGATCCTCCCTTGGCCTGAGCCAGCATACCGCCCCTACTTAACTGCAAGCTTCTGAGAATAGGCTGACCACTGAGAAAACATTCTCTGAGCTGCTGTCAGATCATGCCATCCTTCCTCCTTCCACTTCCCTGCATCTGGTTCTTTCTAGGCTTGTTGACTCTTTCGTATAAAAGAAAAGCTCTTTCTGTTTAACTTTTGAAAGGCTTGTAGATCTTAGGTTAGGATTTCTCTCTATTGGCAATTGTCCCTCTCTCCTTAGTAAAATAATCCTTTTGAATATAATCTCTCTTTAGCTAGGTCTAAATTTTGCTTTTTATTTTACAAATCAATAATGGCAAATTTATTTTTATATTGCTTAAAGACAAAACTTAGTAATTCAGTATGTGGACTGAGTTTCCTATTACCTTTCTTGACTTTTGTATGAGGTTAAAAAAAAAGAATAAAGTTCATTCACAGTAAGGTTCATTTTATTTTATTTTTGATAAGTTTAAATCTTGGCAGCCACTGCTGGCTACAGTAGGGAATGCATCATGAGTTGTTTATTCTTGTGATCATTCCAAATAAATATTATATGCTGAAAATACTCATAATTGAGGACTTGTTAAGGAACTGCAAACTTGGATTAAGGAAAGTAGGTTGGCTTGATGTTGTTTACTGATTGAATGGTCTTGTTTCAGGGATTGAAATTGCTAAAAAATGTAATTGGATGATTGTTAAGTTAGAAAAAAGAATGTGAACTTTAAAAAGTTTTAAATATGTCTTATTAGCTTAAGTATGATCAGTTTTATTTATCTGACATTTTACATTTCAAAAATGGCCAGGGGAAGGATCGGCAAATATTTTGGGAAAGATTCGGTAAGTTTAGAGGTCTTGAAGACCACCCACAGATTTAATAATTCACTAGAACAACCCACAGAACTCAGAAAAGCTATCATGTTCACAGTGAAAGTTTATTACAGCAGAAGAATACTGTTAAAATCAGCAAAGGCAAAATATGCATAGGGCCAAGTTCAGAAGAAACCAAGTTCAAGCTTCCATGTGTCTTCTTCCAGTGGTTATGTGACCAGTGCTTAATTCCACCAGAAAAAATGTGTGACAACATATACAAAGTATTGCTAGCTAGTGAAGCTCATCCAAGCCTTGGTATCCAAAGATTTTATTGAGGGTTATTTTCTAGGTTCTTCAGAGGTCAAACTAAAACTGTGTGGCCTAGGGACCCCACCATAAATCACACTGTTAGCACAAACTATGTGGCTTGGCCCAAGGACCCAGATAAGCAAAGACACTCCTTGTCTTTGTGTCCTACCAGGCAGGATATTCCAAGGACTTAGAGCTTATTTCCAGGAGCTGGTCAAGGGTCAGTCCTTTCATTGGAATGTGCAGGATTTCAACACCCCAGACCTCCTGAGTCAACCCTCTTTCTGTAAAGGGCCAGGTAGCATACATGTTTGGTATTACAAGCTGTATGATCATACTACTCAATTTTGCCATCGAAGTGCAAAAGCAACTATAGACAATACATAAATGAATGAGCATGATTGTGTTCCAATAAAATTTTATTTACAAAAACAGGTGGAGGACCAGATTTGGCCCATAGGCCGTGGGTTGCCAACTCTTGTTCTAAAGTATGCAACATAAAATTAGATGTTGGAAAATTGATTATCAAATTCCACTGCTTAGATAGCTTTGCTTTATGTTCATTTCTTTGCGTAAAGACCAAAGATAAAATGTTGCAAAGAATTTTTTCTAATGTAATGAAAATCTGGTAATCTTTAAAAATATTTATTTTTTCATAATAGATTTGAAGCTGTATGTCTGTTACGTAAATTCTAAATGATAATTTCTCTCATACTTGTACAAATAAATGTATGTTTTCCTCTTTAGAAAATTAATCTGAAATGAAGCTAAAAAGAGAATTATAGCATTCCAAGATGAAAAGTCAGATTATTTGTAGTAAAATTTGGTGGTTGGATTTTTTAAATTAATTTGGCAATATTGCTAAATATGTCATATGTTCTACTACTTTGAGGAATTCTTGATTTAATTTTCTTTCATGAGTTAATCAAGGTATGGCTTTTGCCTCTGAGTTCCTCAATTGGTTTAACCCTAGAAGCTAGTACCTTATCTGAAACTAGATCAGAGTTCTTGATTTCTGGTTTAGTCTTTTTGGTTTTGCGCTATAACTCCCTGTAGAATAGTAAAATTCTGTTTCAGAATCAAAACTGGGCTTGCATGATAAACATATTTCAGATGACATTTGATTTTCAAAAATTGATGGGATAAGCCTTAATTCTTGTTTTGACAGTAATATAAAAAAATCAGATGATCGATTATTACTTATTTACTATTATTACCAATTTGTCTTAATACTGTGGCTATTTTGAAAGTACCTGTACAAAGACAAAATCTTAATAGTTTATTTTTGGAGACTACTGTAATGACTATCTCAGAGCAGGTTAAGACTATGAGAGAAGAAATATTGTTCTTGACCACTTAACTATCCCTTTGAAAAACATCATGAAGGATAAAGTAAATTTTTAATATTTGCATTAAAATACTGATCATTAAAAAATAGACTGATTTTTTTTCAACTATCCAGAAAATGAACATAAATATGGAAAAATGCTATTAACTGAAATTATCTTCTACAAAGATGTAACATTGTATAATTCCTTAAATTTAGTTCAGTGTTCCCCAAACATTTTTTATCACCAGGAATCTCTTCAATTGTCTTTTACTTTTAACTCAGAAATTTCATTTTTTGAAAAGTTTTGGCAACAAGGCACTTACTGAATGATAGTTGATTTTCCCATTTTTAATTAATCAGTGGCACATAAAGTTGACCAACAGGATTTGGCATCAACATGACACAATATATTTGGTGGATACAGTTAAAAGCAAGAAAATATGCTTATTTAGTTTGTCTGGTATTGTTTAACAAAAACATCTGGTTTTGTTTTGGGAGTGGGGTGATTAGGCTTTTTGTGGAACACTCCTCCACACTGGGGTACTGGAGACAGAAGCCTGTTGTTGTCCCAAGTCCTGGTAGCTGGTTGGCTTTATTTTTCAGAGTTTACCTTTATGTAGGAGAATTAACATATCCACATGTTATTTTATATTCTTGATCTCTTATGCTTGGTCTAAATTTTGCCACAACATGTTATGATTTTTAATGAGACTTATGGAGTTTGAAAGATGCTTACAAAAGTGAAAGAGGGCAGGCAAACCAATGCTGCATGATGACCAGCTACTAAGCAGTGGTGATTTCTTTCCTCTCAATCTACTTAGGGATGGGTTTCAAATATGAGCACAGAGAGGATAGCAGTCTAGGGTGGACTGTAATCTTCCTAATTTTTTCTACACAAATAAATCTTTCATACCCTGAACCTATTGGAGGCTGCTCAGTGGCTTTACTTGCTGCATTCTTTTCTCTTAATCCCCAGGTGAAGATGCCTGTTGATATCCTTATTTTCCTACAAGGTCCAGCTCTCGTGCACTCTCTTCCAAAGTTACTCATTTTGTCATTGTCTTCCATTATTTATGTATTCATTATAGAATTATTAACATTATTGAATGAAAATGTTTCTTCCTGCATGAGGTTCAAAAGCCCTATATGAAAAAGATTTTATTGTAATACATATATTTGCATATTTTAGAGCTCCTAGCACTACTCTAATTTTAAATTTTATAGACACCCTAAAAATGTCTTTTTAAATATCTAATTTACTTTAAAGGATTAAATCTTAACTTAGTCATCTATTTGGATAATTTCTGGAGCACTAAGAGTCTTGGCTGTAGTTTTCTGTTTAATACTTCCTTCTTTAATTGGTTTGACATCTGTTCCTTATCTACTTATTAACCTGCTGTTAAAGCTCTGTATATTCCTTCCTTTTCCTGCCCTATATTTATATTCTGATAACTTGTATATTTGTATCATTTCTAATATTCAAAAGGTTTATTTTTTATTGATACATAGTAATTGTACATATTTATGTAGTACATGTAATATTTTGATACATGCATACAAAGTGTAATGATCAAATCAGGGTAATTGGTATATTTATCACCTCAAACATTTATCATTTGTTTGTGATGGGAACATTTCAAATAATTCCTTTTCGGTATTTAAAAATATACAATAAATTATTGATAACTGTAGTCACCCTACTGTGTTATAAAACATTAAAACTTATTCTATCTAACTGTATTTTTGTACCCCTTCACCAAATTCTCTTCATCCATCCCTCCCCATACCCTTCCCAACCTGTAGAAACATCATTCTATATTTTACCTCCATGAGATTCTCTTTTTCAACTCTCACATATGACTGAGAGGAGTGATATTTGTCTTTTTCTGCCAGCTTATTTTACTTATAATGTCCTCTAGGCTCATCCCTATTGCTGCAAGTGACAGGATTTTATTCTTTTTTAATGGCTGAATAATATTTCATTGTCCATGTATACCACATCATATTTTCTTTATTCATTCATCTGTTGATGGACTCCTGGGCTGATTCCATACCTGGGATATTATTAAAAGTGCTTCAGTAAACATGGTCACACAGATGTCTCATCGGTTTACTGATTTCCTTTCTTTGGATACATACTTAGCAGTGGGATTCCTGGATTATCTAACAATCTTCAAATTGTTAGAAAGGTTGATTTTAATTCTTTGTTATTTCTTAATTCGGCCATTTTGTACTACTGTTTTCTTAGTTTGTTGTCTACAAATAATACATCTTCAGTTTATTGTTAAACTACCAAGATATTTTAAATCACTCAGTAATCAAATGGTGTGGTAGACTAGTAGGAGAGAGACTAGTAGGAGACCTAACACAGCGGTCCCCAACCTTTTTTGGCACCAGGGACCAGTTTTGTGGAAGACAAATTTTCCACGGAATCGGGGAGAGGGATGGGGGTGGCAGGGGTAAAAGGGGAATGGTTTCAGGATGGAACTGTTCCACCTCAGATCATCAGGCATTAGTTAGATTCTCATAAGGAGTGCCCATCCTCACAGTTCACAATAGGGTTTGTGCTCCCGTGAGAATCGAATGCTACTGCTATCTGACAGGAGGCGGAACTAGGGTGGTAATCTTGCTTACCAGCTGCTTACCTCCTGCTGTGCAGCCCAATTCTTCATAGGCCATGGAACGCTACCAGTCCATTGCTCAGGGATTGGGGACTGCTGTTCTAATGTCAATTCTCCCTTCACCCCCCAGTCATAGGATGCCCATGTTTCAGCAAAGCTGTTGGCTGCCAGAATAAAAACATTTTTCTGCCTTCGCTGCAGACAGGAGTGACCATGTGACTAAATCTGCCGGAGTGACTGTATGTGGCAGCTTCTGGGGTTTTTAACATATAATGGCCCACTTTTGCTCAATCTTTTAAACCCCTGTTTTTTTTTTTTTTCCTGCTTCCTGTTTTGATCCCCTGGTTGTAACTTCCCCTTTGAACCATGAGGATGAGAAATACAGATGGTGAAGCAAACAGCTGGAAAAGATTTTGGTTCCTTAAGACTAAGTGAACTGGAGTTGCCCTCTACCTCAGGCCTATTAAGAAACAAAATTCCTGTTTGGTTTAACCAATGTTAATTTAGATCATCCTTACTCTCAGGTGATGCCAGTCCTAACTAATATACATGGTATTACCTATATTAATATATAAATGTCTGAATTCTTACATAAGGCCTTAAAGGTTCTCAGGTTATTTGTTCAGACTTGTACTCTTTATGGAATAATCTTATGTATATTAGTAGCTTAAACTTCATAGATAATTGTTTATTCATTATAAAAATCTGAAATTTCTAGTCTTGGCAATATGACCAGGACATGGCAGTTAATTACAGTGGCAGATGATTTTAGAGACATGGCTTGTCCTGAATAGTGCTTTCATGTCTCTTGGGTCTGTCTTAACAATCTGTAAATTTTAATTAATGCTTCAGTTACTTCACTTGACTTGCATAATTTTTAAGCTGCTTTGGTGAAAACAGTAATTTGACAGAGATGACTTGGCAGTTTTATAAACTAGTAATTGGAAATCAATGTGCGGTAAGCTTTGGGCAGAAAACATAATGAACAGGCCAGCCCATAGGGACAAAAGATTATATGTTACTACTACGAAAAGGTCAGAACTGTAGTAATTAAATTAAACCTGTGAGGCATTCCCAGCACCACTGCTGAATTATAACATTTCTTCAGAGAATGTAGAATTGGACAAGTGATAGTTGCATTGCACTGAGTCAGTTACCACCCATGCTTATTATATATTGTATATATTTTTAACTACAATGTGGACTCAACAGCATATTTTCCTTTTTCAAAAGCAAGCACATATAATTAAGTGAAATGAAATTTTTGTTAAAAAAGAAAAAAGATGTTGGCCTTTAAAATTGATGCTTGGATCCATTGAGATTTTTTTTAAAAACAAGTATTAATACATTATATATTTATATTTTAAATCAAGTTTCATGTCTTTAAGAAGATTCACTGCTGCTTATATTTCCATAGTTGTTTACATTTCCCTATATAATAATGTCTAATACATTTTATTATAGTCAGTTGTTAATCAGAACCTGATTAACAGTGTTCTTTGAAGGCAGAGATTGCATTATTTATATTTTTCAAACAAAAAGCATTACTAGGCAAATAGTGGATAATCAAATTGAAATAAATGAATAAATATATGAATGCATGCAAGAGTAAATTACTGAATAAATATGAAGAATATTCCTTATTTGTCTTAAACTTTGTGAAAGGTGGTGGTGGGGGAGTGGATTTTCTTCTGTTATGTTCATTGATGAATAGGGTGTAGAAAAGTACCTGGATCATAGTGTGTGTGTGTGTGTGTGTTTGTGTGTGTGTGTGTGTGTGTGGTGGGGGGCAAGGGATATTTATCAAGCCTAAGTTATCTGGAACTTTGCTTTTGCACATTGATTCCTTCCTACAGTTATATGAAGTAGATGATACTATCATTCCCTGTCATTATTTAGTACACAGGCCACAGAACCTTTCTGGAAGTGTCTAGGCAGTGACTCTGTATTAGTCAGTTAAACCTGTAAGGCATTCCCAGCACCACTTCTGAATTATAACATTCTTAGGAGTAATAGGCAACAGAAGTAATCTCTTTAGCCTGTTCCAGTTGATTGGGGGGAGCCCCCTAGACCACTGTTTTGAGGAAGATTCTGAAGCTTCCTCTATAAAAGATGCTCTTAGAGAATTTCCCACCCGGCATGAATGCATAGGAAATAAGAGGGAGCATGGCATACTTCACAGAAATATATCTGGGGAATATATTATTTAGTTTATTTCCATATAATAGAAAACTTTCATTTTCTTATCTTCTCTGTGCAACGCTGGTATTTAATTCTTCAGTTTACATTGTTGATTCCCCAGCTGAGTGAAATTAAGCATCAATCTTGCTCAACATTAACATTTTCACATGATGTGATCTTGTGCAATTTATTTATAAAGCTTAAGAACTCCTTTTTCTCCTCTATAAAATGGAAGTTAATAATATTATCTATAAGATTTCTGTGATGATTAAAGTATATATAACATGTTTTGCACTGTCCTTGGCAAACAGTAAGCCCTCAGTGTTAGCTATAATAATTTTATTCCCTTATCAATGCTTTCAGGTTTTAAAGGCAATAAGGAATCTTTACTACTAAATAGATCTCTGGCTTTTATTTTTTTTCTCTAAGGGTAGCCCTACTTCCAGAGACAAGGGATTTCATGAAGAGAATTGCTAGGAAAGGGAAGCTTGACTTTATAAAAAATAAATTGAAAAATGTCTATAACAGATGAGTCTTCAGTATAAGTGTTCTAGAGAAGTGAAATGGAGGTTAAGAAATTTCAAAGTTTAGATTTGGTAAATTCAAGGACCTGAATGAGTCCCATAGTATTTTCAAAATTAAAGCCAATGTCAGACCTGGGATTTATCTATGTGCATAAACCAGATATGTAGCAAGAAGCTGAACACTAAGCTGGATCATCTTCTGTTTCTTCATAGTCAATTCAAAGAGGAGCTATTTCCTAGGCCTTCAGCTGAGAAATTGACATTTCAAATCAAAATAGATGAAGGGGCATTCCCGAGTGGGTACAAAATAATCTGACCCAATTTACACTGGCCTTCAAGTTTGATTGCTTTGCATTTTTTAGTAGATGCCAGACGTAAGTGCTCTGCTAAAGAAAAATTTCTGCATCAAAACATGTTTTTAAATACCTGAAATTATGCTCTGTAAAGAATAGATCAGATAAGTGTGTATTTCCTCTAAAAAGTAATGGTAGGAAATATGGTTAAATACATTTTGTCATTTACTTACTGAAATGTTATGAAGCCATAAAAATGATAATTATTCAGACAATACATCAACATAAAAACATTGCAATATTAAAATGTTAAATTAAAAATACAGGGCAAAGAAATGAATATAAAATTTCAGCATAACTACATAAAATATGTGCGTAGACAAACACTAGAAGGCTATCTATAAATCTTAGTATGGTATAGTGTTAAGGCAGAAGAATCCATAAAACAGTTTTTCCCCAAGCATTAAAAACACTCTAAAGTCAGTGAAGTTGTTACTCGGTAATTTTTGTTTTACTTAAAAATTACAAGATAAGGCCAGACACGGTGGTTCATGCCTGTAATCACAGCACTTTGGGAGGCCGAGGCAAGCAGGTCATCTGAGGTCAGGAGTTTGAGACTAGTCTGGCCAACATAGTGAAACCCTGTCTCTACTAAAAATACAAAAATTAGCTGGGCATGGTGGCCAGTGCCTGTAATCCCAGCTACTCAGGAGTCTGAAGCAGGAGAATCGCTTGAACCCAGGAGGCAGAGGTTGCCAGTGAGCCGAGATGGCGCCATTTCACTCCAGCCTAGGCAACAAGCGAAACTCTGTCTCAAACAAACAAACAAACAAACAAGAAAAAAAAAAAAGACATGTCCTGCTATCCAAAAACTTTATGTTGTAAATACATGTGATATAAGGAAGACAAGTTAAAAGGTTTTTATGGTTATAACATTATATGCACTTTAATTCCTAAGTGTGAGTGTACACTTACATTTAGTACTACTATGTGCCAAGCACAGCACTAAATATTGAGGATACAAAAATAAAAACACATCATCTCTGCTTTTAAAGGAATAACAGTCTATTGTCCTAAAATAGTGCCCCTCCAATAGCAAATGAAAGCTATTTGCCTACCTGGTCTTTGTATCTCTGCGTTCCTAATTGAGCTAACAGTCACTCCTTCTTGTTTTTAGGTTCTGATGCCCACTTTCTGAAATAAATGTTCTGTCACATTCAGATATTTATACCTGAACTCCAATCAAATGGCAATATTGCTAGATATAAAATTGGAATATAATGACAGCAGTATATTTTTGAAAGTATATTATTTCCAAGAGGAGTCATTTCTTCTTACAGAGCATAAGTTTGAATACTATAACTGACCATAAACTTTTGGTACTAAGGAGCCAAAAAGTGGAAAATATTTATTTTCAGCAATCTAAATTTATAGACAAAAAAATCTAAATTTATAGACATAAAACTTTCTGATTTCTATTTACTTAATGTATTATTAGGGCTTCCCAGTGAGAAAGGAAATTAAATTTTGGGACCCCAAACTCATTTAGCCAAAGGGAAAGGTCAAACTGGCAACTGGGTCATGCAAATCTGGTTCCTAAATAAGATGGCTACGAGATGAAAAGCTACACGCCTCCCCCATATTTTGCCCACAAGGTAAATTCTTAGTGAGCTGTTAAAATTTCACCATGGCAATACAAATTGATAGCTTAGCATTACAGGTCCAGTCACCCCCAGCCCACCAGACACAAATGCGTATCTGATTATTCCCCTGCCCCATTTTGTCTATATCATCTTACGTAAAATACAGATTCCCTGCATTTTTCCTCTGCCCCATTTGTCTATGTCATCTTACGTAAAAAAAATGCAGATTCACTGAGCGAGACAAAGGTATGAATGACTATTTTTCCCTGCATACCTCTTAAAAGAAAACTGTGTACTTCTCAATATCCTACCCTTTTCCCTTTAAATTTGGAGCCCCCAAAATCATCTTTGGAGAAAGGCATAGACCTGCCTTCCAGGCATATGTCCTTAACTTTGGCAAATAAATCTCCGAAAATGATTGAGACTTGTCCTGTCATTTTTTTTCTTGATTGACATCAGTGAAACAGGACTAAAAGGTTATATATAGATATATTACAGATGATTTATCATGAGAATTGGCTCATGTGGTTATGGAGATCAGAAAGTCCCGCAACATGTTGTCTGCAAGCTGGAGATTCAAAAACAAGGAAGGCGGGTAGTATAATTCAGTCTGAGTCTAAAGGCACAAGGTTCAGGAGCTCCAAATCCTAAGAGTGTAAGATTGATGTCCCAGCTCAAGAAGAGAAAGAGAAATAGAGAGAGCAAGAGAGAGAGCTTACCCTTCTTCTGCCTTTTTGTTCTAATCAGGCCCTCAAGGACTGGCTGATGCCTGCTCACATTGGTGAGAGCAGATCTTCTTTACTCAGTGTAGTGATTCAAATGCTAACCTCTTTTGAAACATCCTCATTGACATACTCAGAAGACCTTTTACTGGCCATCTGGGCATCCCTTAGTTTACTCAAAGTGACCTGTAAAACTAACCATCATGCTCAACTCAACTGAAAGACAACTTCTTCCTTTAAAATTCAAGAGCTTTTGCCAGCTTAATCAAATAACTGCTTATTCCAGAACACAGATTATTATAATCATATCTTAGAACCTGAATGAGTTGAACTTTGGGTTTCACCTGAATCCACTGAAAATGCTGTTTTTTTTTTTTCATTTGTATTTTGCAGTGAAAAGATATAGTGCTTTTCTTTGGTTTCGTTTATTTTTTCTCATTTATTTTCTTTTTTAAAAAAGTTGGCAGATAATGTTGTGTGTATTTATATATAACATGATGTTTTATAGTAAATACATACTGTAGATTGGTTAAATGTAGCTAATTACCAAATGCATTACCTCATATAGTTGTCATTTTTGTTGTGAGGACACTTAACATCCACTCTCTTTGCATTTTTTCAAAATACAAAACTAAATTTTCAGTGTTGCTTTAAGAAAATATATTTTGGAAGATAAAGTATATTTAATTTAATTCAGATTTGTATTTTTCAATCTTAGTCCTAGGACTAGGTGCTGGCTTCTCCAGAATATGAAAATAGTGATAGCAATTGACATTCTCTGTGTCTGTTTATGATATTTGTAAAGACCGTAAATAGTCATGTGTTAATTTTTATTACAGGTGATATTATTACATATATGATTTAGACAAAAACTTTTCAAAAAAACTTAGAAATCAACATTATTTGCCAATTCAGATAAACGTAATTTAGAATAGATATTAAAAATAATTACTATTGTTGAGCATCGTTTGAATCCCTAACATTAGGAATGCATGCCCTAATGTGGTGCAGATAGAAGTAAACTATAATATTCAGAGGAAATTTTACATAATTTCAATTTAAAATATGTGTGCTCTCCTATGTGCAGCCCCAATGGCTTTGAAAATGAGCAATTTTCTTTCAGTGTAGATACATCCAGTTCTGAGAGCTGACTAATGACAGAAATTCTTTGATGCAGCTGTTAATGAGGAATTCTCAGAACTCTGACACACAGATAAGTGACTTACACTTTGAGAACTTTCAGATTTTTTTTTTTTTTTTGAGAAGAGAGACAAGGTGAGGAACAATATAGTGCTCTTGTTCTTCTAGTCTCCCATATTTGACTAGGAACTTTCATAGGAATGTTAGTAAATACGTTTGATAGAACCAAACTTGCAATTGTATTCAAAATGCTTCTAATAGTTTCACGCAAAATATCCTTTGGACACACAAATCTAAATTATCTTGGTTCACTAATGCTTGATCACTTGTGAGGTCAGTGGAGCTGCCACTTCATATCAATATAACATTAAGAAACATTAAGAGCTACATCAGCTAGTGTGGTAATCCCTGCAATTTTGGTTTTATTCCCAGCGCTTTCCTTTTTCTCCATGTTGGTCCCTGCCCAGAAAGAAAACTCTGTTGAGGTTTCCTGTGAGTAGACTGCATCAGTTCCTTCCATTTTTATAGTGACTCTCTTGCATTCACCAGGTAATGGAGTGGGTAAAATCCCTGGTGGTTGAGATTCAATTCTACAGTTGGCTGAAGCTCATTCTAGTCAATAACTCTTGGCTATTTCCAGTCAGACTCCTTATTGCTCCTCTCTCCTTTTTCTTCTGCAAATGCTGATATTGTGTAGCTCTTGTATATGTTGGTGATTTGTGTCCTTCTCTTAGTTTGTTTAATATTGGGCTAGTTATAGCTTTTCATGTCTCTCTGCAATGGTTGAGATAATCATAGTACTTAACTTTGTATGTTTGTTGTGAAGATTCAATTGCTTGATATAAAAAAACAAGTACAATGCCTGGCACAGAGTAAGTGCTTGGTTTTGCATGCATTCTTATGATCCTCTGCCTTTATAAATGGCATTACTACTCCTTCATTACCAGAGCAAGCACCTGGGGAATTATTATCAAATTCTTCCCTTACCTACTTCCAATCACTAAATGTCTATTCACTCACCAATTATTAAAGTGTACTATCTTCTCAATGAGTTTTCCTCTAGCCATGTGGAATCCGCAGAGTGAACAGAATGACTTTTATAATGCATAATATGTGATATGGTTTGGCTCTGTGTACCCACCCAAATCTCATCTTGAATTGTACTCCCATAATTCCCACATGTTGTGGGAGGGACCTAGTGGGAGATAATTTGAATCGTGAGGAGGTTTTTCCTCATATTGTTCTCTTGGTAGTGAATAAATCTCATGAGATCTGATAGTTTTATTGGGGTTTACACTTTTGCCTCTTCCCAATTTTTTTCTTGCCACTGCCATGTAAGAAGTGCATTTCACCTCCCGTCATGATTCTGAGGCCTCCCCAGCCATGTGGAACTGTAAGTCCAATTAAACCTCTTTTTCTTCCCAGTCCCAGGTATATCTTTAACAGCAGCATGAAAACAGACTAATGCAATATGGTAAATCACTTTTCAGCGTAAAAGTCTCTGGTAGCTCTTCATCCTTGGAGTGGTTTTACTACACCCTTCAAAATGTGGCTTCTGTTTGCTTGATTCCCTAGCTTCATTTCTTGCCACACAAACTTTCTTAAATTCATAAACAAGACTACCTTATGTGAACTTAATCTTTCAACACTGCTTGTTTTTTCTCTCTTCTCTTACCTTGGCCTTGAAATTTCTACTTAGCATTCAAGGCTCATCTTAGCTATCACTACTTTCAGAGATGACTTGCCCATGTAAACAAGTATAGGTGTCCTCTTGATGTTTCTCCAGCTGCTTTGTGGCTACTTCCCTTGTAGACTTCTAAATACAGAGAGTGTACATTTCTCTCTCTTTCAATAGAACGTAAACTTCTAGGCAGGAGCTGGGGTGTTCTTTGTTGTATTTCTGTTCCATGCACACCATATGGTATATAATGTCTATTCAATGCTGCTTCAATGAATGAATAAATGATTACGTAACGGTGGTGTTGTTAAATGAATTACACAAAGCATTTTTGGTATTATGTTTTTGGCTTTTAAAAAATAAATATGTTAGTATTTCTTCCTATAAATATAAAGCTTTTTCTAAAATGACCTTTAAAAAACTAGTTTTTCTTCTTAGAAAACCCTTGTGATGAAATCGATTCTCATTAAATTTGTAGTTTCTTAGAGATAAAGAAGAAAGCATAAAAAGTTAATTAAGGAAACAAGAATTCATGGAAATGTTTTGTCAGCCTTGAAATTGCACATAGAATTGAAAATACACTATTTTTAATGCCTTGTTGTTGTATGTTCTTTTCACTGAACATACTATTCCATTAACCTGTCATATCTCATCCCAGGACCATATTTCCACAGCAAGGGCTGAGACAATTTTACGTGGAACACCCAGCCGCATAGATGCCTAGAATGAGAGCAACTTAAATTTTTGTCTGGCAGCAATAGGAATTTAAAATTATAACTTGTGATTACATATTGATACTAGATAACTGAGCATGTAAAAAAGAGACTTTTTTGTTGAGAAGTAAAATCATTTTAATTTGGGGAGGATATTAATAAACATGAAATTTATGTATTATTTTAAAGAATATATTATCATTACAGAAATAATTCTTTTTAAAGGAAATTGATAGCAAGTATCCATTCCTCTAAGGTCGTGCTGTCAGTATGGTAGCTCCAATTCACATATGGTTATTGAGTACTTGAAACGTGGCTAGTCCAAATTGAGATGTACTGTGAGTGTAAAAAACATAAAAGAGTTCAAAAATTTGGTTTACAAAAGAATATCAGTATTGTGGATATATTGGGTCAAATAAAATATATTATTAAAAATAAAGAATTTAAATATGGATACTTGGACAAGTATTTATGTGGCTCACATTATAGTTCTACTGGACCACTTTACTTTAGGTGGCTTTTATTCTGTAGTTAGTTTTGTGTGCATGAGGTCCTGAGAAAATTTGTGATTAAAAAAACCTTCAGGCAAAGCACCATTAAAAAACCTAGCATAATACATTTCTGTCAGTGTGTACAATAATTTGTGGATAGGGCAAGTAAATGTAAATGGATATTTTATTTTTTTCTATAAAAAATTCAAACACATAAATCATATGACCTAATCTTACACACAGCTGTAGTTCACAGTTTAAATCTTGAGTCAGAGATTTTATGTTCTTTTAAACATTTTTGATAGAAAACTTAGATTTCCAAATCTTCAATTGAATTCTTACTTATTTCTGTTATTTTCTTTAAAATGTCTGAAGGGAGTTGGGGAGTTGCAACTTTTATTGCACTAGCATTGGGCAGCACTGTCAGATTCCTTCCCATCCCCTGGAACAGTGAATCAGGTTTGAGACTGCAGACCAGGGAACCTTGTGGGCAGGAGGGACTTGTCTGCTAGGGGCAGAGTGTGAAGCAAAGCAGACCTGAAGGTGTGCCAGTGAAAGCTGGAAACCAAAGCCCACAGAAAGCTCAACCAGGCTATTAGTGGAAAGAGTGACAGATTCTGCATAGGCTCCAACAGTTGGGAACTATGGAAACCAGACCAGAGTGAGAGTAAATAATGGTGGCAGGCAGCTCTAGAAAATCCCTTGAGCTGTAAGACAAGAGGCAGATGATATTTTTATGGGGCATCAGTGGCACTGGGCTGTGTGCAGGGGGACAGAGAGACCACCAGCCAATTTCAGACAACCAATTATAATTTGTACAATTTGAGTTTATTTAAAAATAAATTTCTATTTGATATAGAAAATAGTGAATGTAATTTGTGAATTGTGCCAAGCAATTATTTTGCATTATAAACATTAACACATAGTTTTATGTAATAAAAAGCTAAAATGCCCCATGAAAGAAAGAAATTGAATATAATCTCTTGGCTCAAAATTTTTAACTAGGCTCTCTTGTATTTGCTTTCCATTTTGGCACCACTGTCAAGTGAGAGCCATCCAGGTTCATTTGTACCAGATATATGGTTTTCCAAAATAGGAAATAAACCATTTGTTTGATTGCTCTTTGGTAATGTCTTCCACAGCCACAAACATACACACGTAAAACAACAAAACATCTATTTTTGTTTTTGTGTTTGGCTAACATGTTAGCAATTTATATAATATTATATGTACCCTTCTTAAGATATAGCTTTAATATAATTATAGATTCTAATATTTTGATATCTTTACCAGGTTCTTGGTGATTATACTAAGAATGATGACAATAAATTGTCTAGATTATCTCTAAAAGGATAAAATGATCCAAAGCAAGTGATTTATCAGGTCATAGGAAGAAGCATAGTGGGAGTGTGGCTTGGAAAGAATTGGGTTGGGAAGAGTTTCCCATTGGGGTACTGCTTCTTAATTTTGGGTAGAGTTGCTGAGAATGTAAATTAGTATCTTTACAGATGGGGGACATCTCCTCTTTGAAGCTTTTAGGAAGGAACAGAGGAGTGTGTTCTCTGGCTCCCACAATAAGAGTGGGACCTGGGAGCTCGGTTATTAAACTTCTTCACTTACCGTATAGTGACCCAGTTCAAGACTGACCACAGATTGGTTGTGTCCACTTTCTGCAGCTATTTAGGCTGTGAGAAAAAATGGAGGGGCTAATAACTGGGTTGATAAAGCACTGACTATAGAATTAAATAACAGTTTGATTAGAATATGAGCTCCAATACTTCCTAGTTGGGTAACTTAACCTCTTTGTATCTGATTTCTGTATGAAAATGGGGTTAAAATAACCCTCACCTTATGAGGCTGCTAGGAGGATTGAATAAAAGTTTAAATGAGAATTGTTCAGCCAGTTCCTTGCATGTAGTAAGTACTCAAAAATATTTTATTGTTATTATGGAGAAAAAAGAATGTCTTATCTACTGCTACATCTTCTTTGAGCGCCTTGTGCATGCCTCTTTAGGTACTGTAGGGCTGTAGAATAGGTTAAATGTTGTATAAAATATTGACAGGAGTCAGTTGATACACAAACATAATTCAAGACATTCTTGGAGGAAGCCCACATCTAGCATACTAATAGACCCCATAACAAGAGGCTGATAACCACCACCAAATTGCTATAAATTCAGAAATACCATGTAACTGAATTATTTTTAACGAAATTCCCACTTTCTCAAAACATAAATAATGGACAAGCTTTGAAAAATTAAGGTTGCCTTGAAAACTCTCAGAATGCTACTATACACTGACTTAGATTTTTCAATTCTATTTGTTACATCTTTTCTTTTTAAATTAAAAGGTGCTGCTTAGTCAATCATGCTGTGAATTGTATACTGTCCCTTCTAGAAAAGCCTTTCATTTAAGACACAGAGATGATATCCTAATTGGAGACTTTTTGTATTGTCTTGACACCATTTTTACTTATCAGATGAAGTATCACAAAGAGAAGAACATTTGGTGGATTGAATGACTGTCTTAAAACTTGATGAGTCATGACATAGCAGAAAAGTAAAATTTGAGGAATTACCATGTAACTGGTGACAGAAGAGCTGCAAGTGAGGGAGGCAAATGAAAAGGAACCATTTATTAAATAGACATGCAAGAAAAAATATTTTACATTCTAAGATTACAGGTACTTCAAAATGCAGATTGTAGGAATTATACATATCTGCTAAAACCTCATATTATGATTAAGAAATTTTTAGGCTAATTAGCTCCAGGGATCTGCAACTTTTCATTTAATATTTGAGGGCTAAAAAATGTAAACTCTTTTCCTTTGTTCCCCGTTTTTAGAGACAGGAGCCAGTGGCACCCATAGAAACAGAATGTAGAGTTCAGAAAGAACAATAAAGAAGAAGATCACATGGTGGATCAAAACATCAGGCAGACAGTCAGGGTTATAAGGCAATGTATACCCTGGAGAAAGTTTATTAACCTTGGAGCTTTACATTTCTCACTGGAAAAATTTAATGGATGACAGAATTCACCTTAGAGTAATTTTGTGAGACATTAATGTTTCAATTCATGTAAAGTTTCTAGAAAAATCTGCCATATAGTTGCCATTCTGCCAATTAATATTATCATTATTGGCA
Organism: Homo sapiens; assembly: GCF_000001405.40. Classification (NCBI taxonomy): domain Eukaryota; kingdom Metazoa; phylum Chordata; class Mammalia; order Primates; family Hominidae; genus Homo; species Homo sapiens. The sequence goes on along the minus strand of NC_000005.10, from coordinate 121,746,329 downwards.
TCATTATTATAGCCAGTAATATTCAAGTTGTATGAACAAATTTAGAAACAAATTCTTATCTATTCAAAACTAACTTTAGCATTAATTTCTGAAGTGTTTGTTTTAAAATAACAGGGTAAAAAAAACCAGTGAGATGAGAATGTAATTGACCAGAGGATTCCTTTTACCATCCAAATAGATCTACATGAAAATTCTAATCACCAATGTCAATTTTAGAAAAATAGGCATTGCCCTTATATCATTTGAATTTGTGGGATATTGTTAGATACATCTTGGACAGGTTTTGAGGAAAATGAGAGAATAATATTGTTGCTGGTAAATTGATTTATTTCTTTACTTTGTATTGGCTGCAAAGAAAAAACATACAGTTGAAAAAGGCAGTTCAGTGCCCAGGGAATGGAGAAGGGGAGCTCCTGCTGTGAAGGCACCTTCTGCCAGAGTAATGGGAGGCAGGGAGATTTTAGATAGTTAGATGTGGTTGGGGAGGTATATGTAAGCATGCACAGTGTGAAGTTCCAAACACACAGGCAGAGTCCCCAAACATGCTTCATTCCCTGCATGTACACAAAATGGCTATGACCTTCTTTTAGGGAAGAGGATTTTAGCATTGTAATAATACGTTAATTACCTAAAGGTAACTAGGGGTCACCCATTCTAGTTTGCAATAGTTTCATGAAGGGGTCTTATCTTTTATTTGGCCAAAGGGTCAAGAAGATCTGGTGGAATCCTGGGCCATCTGGTTTCTTTAAGCAGTTGTGCCTGTAGATAAAGGGACTAAAGAAAAACAGTAAGAAAATGTAACTTTTCCAGTTATTTCATCAGGACTGTCCTGGTGACAATATTACTTAATATTTTACTCCCTACAATGTACATATGTTAGTGTGGTTGGTTCCTTATATTCAAGTACATAAAAGATGAGACTCAAATGTGATACTTCCAATTCTTAAAGACATGCCTTCCAGCAACATTCTGGGCCTCAGTTCCTTTATTTCAATATTTACTGGGGTCTTGTCAAGTCCAAAATTCTACAATTCTGAGTGTTATGATTGAATTACAGCTAGGAATTCATGGTAACAATATTTTATAATTAACTCTAAGTCAAACTCAATAAAAACTATAAAGACTTCATTTACAGAAAGAAAAATAAGATGTGAAATGTAAGACATTTATGATAGAATATTGTACAGCATAAATTTTTAAAGAAGTTCTATACTAAGTATTTAAGTTCTCCTTCCACAAAGAAGGCACAGGGAAGGGAGGTTGTTTATTAAAAAAAAAAACTACTAAACTTTTAAATATATATACTATTTCCTAAATGAGGTTGTATGTACTTCAAAATCAAGAACTTCAATGCATGTACAACCTAACTGGAAAATTGACTATAAACTTAAAAAATACATAGATAGATTGTATTTGATAAGTAGCTAGTGCTCTTAATAGTGTACATTCTTAAATTTGTATTATTCTACTTAGATATGTTTAGTCAGGGGAAGTATACATCTCAGGCAAGAGAAATGGTGTGAACTAAGGTTTGATAGTAGGGATATATATGGCTTGAGTAGGAGTAGTGTGTAGACTAGTTTAGATGGAACAGAGGGTTTGGGGGAGTGGACAGACAGCTTCAAAGTAGGATGAGGAACATATTGTCAAGTGTCTTGAATGCCTGATAAAGATATACAACAAAATTCTGCAGAAAAAGTAGAATCATTACAAATTTTAATAAAAGAGTATAATGTATAGAATGCAATTTTTTGGACTGAAATTAATCTGGCAGCAATGTTTAGGATAAATTAGATGTAAAAAGAGTGGAGACAAGAAAGTTAGTGAAGATTGGTTTAACAGCAGTAGAAATATAGAAGAAGGGATAAATGCAAATATTGTGAGTTCCTGAAGTGCAAGTGTGATCTCATTTATCTTTGCATCCTAAGCACATAGAATATAGTAAATGCTTAATAATTTTTAATATAAAAACTTGATTTTTGATTGTTAGAAATGCCAGAGGGGAAGAAGTAAAAAACAATTCCAAATTTCAAGCCTAGGTGATTGAAAAATAATACTGACACAAATAGATTAATCTGTAGGGTAAGCTGATTTGGGGAAAGATAATAAATTCAGTTTTATACATTTTGAAGTTTAGCTGAGGAGAAGTCACTGACTAATCTATATTGAATTAAGTAGAAAATGTGTCAACATACCCATTTCAACAACAGAGGAAGGTTTTTGGGAAAAATGCTCTCCAAACTATCTTCTCTCTGTTAGGACTGAAATGAAAATTTCAGCTAGAAAAATAATGTTACTTATCTCAAGTGGCAATGGTCACTGATTATGCATAGCATGATGATTGTTTTGGTTTTATAGAATAATTATTTTTACTTAAGTTCTTGTTATAGTGATGGTGATCAAATATGCCAATATTGTTACATATCTGACAAGAATTGGGTGTTTAAAGATATATATGGATAGGGCCACTTAATTACTCTGGGAATCAAGTTAGACTAAAATACAATGCAGAAAAATTATTGAATCATATTCATGAATCAATAGAGTAATGCCACATCTGGCATTTTAGAAAATAAGATGCTGTTCAGAAAGACAGGAGACAGATGTTCAGCAGTACCACATAACCATTTATATAAGCATTCCTAAATAAATAAACATAACCAGAATAAATGTCTTGGACAAACAATGTTTTAGATGTACATTAATCATTATTTATTATCCAACACAACCCAGAATCTATTTACCCTCCTTCAGTGGGAAGCAGAACAATTAAGAGTTACTGTTTAGATGAGAGACCTATTCCTGTGAAAGAGTTCTTTTAGGGCCTGATTCATAGAAATAGTTATTGAGGGACGCTCCTTATTAATTAATGAATAATATCAGTATGTTATTCCTCTCTGCCAAACAATATTCTCTTCAAAATATCACTGCCGATATGACTTTCAAGATTTCAAGCAGGCTGAATTGACTTGTAACAAAAGTAAAGAAATTTAAAACATTCCCGTGTCTGGTTTAATAGTATTGAAGCTTTGAACATTGGGTAACTGATTTATAATATGAGGTTTGTTTTGAGAATACTGGTATTCCATTATCCTCCTCTTTTTAAAGAACACACATTTTCTCTCCTTTAAAGAAAAGAATTTGCTGGGTGCGGTGGCTTATGCCTGTAATCCCAGCACTTTGAGAGGCTGAGGCGGGCAGATCATGAGGTCAGGAGTTTGAGACTAGACTGCCCAGCATTGTGAAACCCCATTTCTACTAAAAACACTAAAAATTAGCCGGGCACGGTGGCGCGTGCACCTGTAGTCCCAACTACTTGAGAGGCTGAGGCAGGAGAATCTCTTGAACCCAGGAGGCGGAGGTTGCAGTGAGCTGAGATGGCGCCATTGCATTCCAGCCTGGGCAACAGAGCGAGACTCCATCTCCAAAAAAAAAGAAAAAGAAAAAAGAAAAGAATTACATAAGCCCGTGGACATGGCAAAACTGCTTTATTTCAGTAGTAATAAAATTTCATTCATGTACTCCAAGTTGTGTTCTATAGTTAAGGCTCTATAAAATTAATGGAGAATGTGGCCTTAAATATCATGTGTTTCCTAAAGACAGCTAATTTTTATCTCTAGCATTGATTCCCTGCGCTGAACTTCACACTCATATATTTAACAGTCTAAACTATATATCTCCACTTGAATACCTAATAAAGGCATCAAGCTTATATTTAAAACAGAACTCTTAGTTTTCCCCTACAAACCTGTTCCTCTCTCTCTTGTGTCTAGCTCTGTAGATAGCTCTGATATACATCCTGTTTCTGAGTCTAAATCTTTGGCGGCATCCTTGCTTTATATATTCCCTTCAAACTCCCCTCCTAATCAGTAAATTCTGTGGCCGCTCTCTATAACTGTGACTTGAATTAGAACAGATTTCTCCATTTACTACTGTAATAGCAACACCATATCTCACTTGAAATATGGCAACAGCCTCTTGATTCGACTATGTCTCAACATTTCATTCTCCAATAATAATTTAAATAATCAAAGTCCAGGATAAACACTAAATAGAACATATCACCTCCCCCCTCCGGCTTAAAAATATCGAATGACTTAAAAATTAGTCAGGGCTTTTATCTGCAAATAGTGAAAACCAATTCTTACTAAATCTAGCAGCCAGTCTTCAAGATGGTCCTCACTTATCCCCACCTTTTTGGTGTTTGTGCCCTTGTGCAGTATACTTCCATATTGAATAAGTCTGGCCTATGAAACCAATAAAATATTGTTACAATGATGAAATATGTCTTTGGAGGCTAGATTATAGAAGGGACTTCAGTTTCTACCTTGCTCTTCTTGGATAACTTGCTCTGGAAGAAGCCAACTTCCATGCCATGAGGAAGCTCAAGCAGCTCCAAGGAGAGGTCTACATGGTAAAGAACTGATGCCTCCTTCCAAGCTCAAAGCCAATAAAGGACTTAGGCCTCTTGATAACAGCCATGTAAATGAGGTATCTTGGAAGCAGATCTTCCAGCTTCTGTCAAGCTTTCAAGTGAGCAAATCTCTGGTTGACATTACGACTGCAACCTCTCGAGAAACTCTGAGCCAGAGCCACTCTGTTAAGCTGCTCCCAAATTTCTGACCAACAGAATATCACGTGATAATAAAGGTTTATTGTGGTTTTAAGCTGGTAAGTTTGAAGTTAATTTGTTATGCAACAATAAATAACTACTCTATTGTAAGCAGTTATATATTATATATGGAAAATAATTTAGTATAAATATATTGGTAATTCAAGGAATTTTGGGAAGATTTTGGAGAACCGGGTTTATTCAGTGAGCAGCCACATCACAGTCACACTGCAGAACTGGTCCATGGAGGACATTATCAAGGCCTTGCTGCTAATGACTGAAACAGTTGCCTGAGGGGACTGGGTACCGCCACCAACATTGCTCCTTCTCAGAAACTCAGTCTCCCTGCAACCACTGACACCATCTAAGGGAGTTTTTGTATTTCCTGTGACTCTTTCATAGTTTCAGTGGAAGCTGGTCACATTTCAGTTTCTTTAATGTGGTGTATAGGTTTTTCTTCCTACCAAGGTTCATAAGATGGGTGAAGCCTCTCCTCATATAAAGCGTGGTCAGATAATGGGCAGCCAGAATCAGCAATGTCTCTTCATCTCAATTAGAATACAACAAGCACCTTACTATAAGCCTTTACACATTTGGGCTCTGATCTCTTTCTGTAACTCCATCTTCCATCATTCTCTTCCACATTCCCTATGCCCCACATTGAGACTCTCTATCTTTTCAATACATAAAGCTGGTTCTCATCTATGTAACTGTGCACTTACTATTTCCTGTGCAAGCAGAATGTTTTTTCCTTCTCTTTCTTCATCCTTAGATTCCATGTTACCTCCTCAGAGAGGGATTTCCTGATCTTCATAGATAAGTTGTGACCACTCCTTTGCCAGTCTCTCTAATTTCTAATGTACTTTTTTGATTTTCTAAAATCATTATGTTTATTTTCTCATGGGTCACCCATTCTTGGACAACAGATTCTTTTCAGTAGAGAATCTACTCTACTCAAAAGAATGTGCACTGCTGTATTCCCAGTGCCTAGAATAATGTCTGTAGCCTAAATGTTTTCAGTAAATATTAGTTCAATAAATAGTTGAATAAATACAAAGGAATAATTATGCATCCTATTTATATAATATTTGAATATATGTAGATAATAAAAATGTAATACCAATTTATTTGTTATTCTTTGAAAAAAATCCCTATGGAGAAAAAATAGGCACTTAAAAATAGGCTTATTTTCTTCACAGAAATATTTGCTCTTAAATATATTGTTGTTTCATGAAATTTGTTTACCTCTCTCTAATCAGACATGAGATTTTCTAATCATGGATTATGGGTGAGACTGACTACCCACAAACCCCCAACTAAATCAGAGAATCACATTCCTGTCATCACAGTAACTACTTAGAGGTTGACAAGGGAACCGGGTTGGTTTAACCAAAAGAAAGTTCAACATTTTATGTGGTAGTTGCAGAAAAAGAGCATATTTATGTTCCCGAGTATTATGGACAAAAAAGCCTCTAATTCTGATTGAAGCTGGTAACTAATCTGAGAAACCAAGAAAATCCATATTGGGGAAAGGAGTGGAGAGTTAGTACAAAATTCAGAACTCATTAACATTATTGAGCAACTACATCTTCCATGTTTCAGTTAACTGAGACAGGAAATGGTTTCTATTACTTTCAACTGAAGCCAATTTACCTGCTATAAAATTAAACAGGAATAAAATCTCCTGCTTTTTCCAATGCCTTATGAGGATTAGTTTTTGAGTACTGTATATATTTCAACAAATTGGAAGAAGATTTCCTATTTATCATCTGTTAACCTTTCTCCTCCTGTGTTAGGAATGAACCTTCATAATTTAATGGAATAAATGAGGAACAATTGAAAATGACAGATAATGTTATAGTTGAAATAGGGTATCAGTGTGGCCTTTTCCATGATCATAGAGACAACTTAAATGAATAATGGTGATTTTATGCCCATAGTAAAGCACAAGGATACTTTTACTCCTTGGTTGAGTTATATCCAATGTCGTCAAATTCAGTTTGTGTGCCAAAACAGCCAGTGTCAGAGGGCATAATTGTTGGTAGTGTTACAGTAAGTAGCTAGTCAGGTATGAGTGGGGCATTAGAGGACTCCCCGCCATCCACCAGGAATGTCCGGCGACCATCAGGTGATGGTCTGGCAGCTGCCATACTAAAATGATAATTGGTCATACTTGGAGCCAGGGAGAAGCAATTTCCCAATACATTAAAAACACTTGAAATTGGTATTAGGCAGCTTCCAGTAAACTCTCAGGAATTAGGTGAGTGGGCACGAGCATGTGTGTTAAGAGATGAAGTGGTGGAGTATGGCCTTCCGGGGGCATTCCGCCAGAAGAGGGAAGAACACCTCAGGTGAACATGCATACAACTTCTTAAACACACTGGGCATGCTTACCTCCAAGTGCAAAGAGGGCAACCTGCATGTGGGAGGCTCACCCCAAGGAAGAATGAAGGGGGACTCAAGACGCCGGAAGTGGGCCAGCATATAAAGTCCTAGAATCAAGGTTAAACAAAGCATTTGACCTCCACAGTGCCCGCTTGGATCTCTTCCAAGTGTGCTTTCCTTTCTTTCCTGTTCTAAAGCTTTTTAATAAACTTCCAGTCCTTCACTGAAACTTGCCCAGTCTCTTTCTGCCTTATGCCCCTCAGTTGAATTCTTTTTTCTGAGGAGGCCAAAATTGAGGTTGCTGCATACCCATATGGATTCACCACGCGGATCTTGGAGATTCCCCGCCCGTAACAGTAGCAGTTCAAGAATGATGATTTGCAACATGCTAAATAACCAAACTCAATTTGACTTTTCAAATCATAGGAGCTATTTCATCATACTTTCTCAACCATAGTATAAGGGAGTAGATTTCTTCTTATACAATGCAAAAAGAAATATTTTTGTCTAATCTTTCATTGACTATATATTGTCACCATATATAGTAATGATAAACATAGATTATATAAACACATGTGTGTTTATTCTCTATATACACGCATGTAAAATATACATGAATGTAGCATATTTCTCTAGAATAGCAGATTCCCCTGGAAGTAAACTGTTTTCTGAACAATTTCTCTTCTAGAAATATATAAAAATTATTCGTATACAGCTATTCTGTTTGTATAAATATACACAAATCGAATTTTTGAGAGAACTTCTTTATAATGAGGCACTGACTCATGAATACAGTAATGTAAACTATAATGAAAATAGTTCAATAAAACATCTGACAATTTTCTGGAAATCAAGTTAGACTAAAATACGATGTAGAAAATATATAGGTACACTCCAGTTGTACTCAGTAAATCTGTGGATACTTGGGGACAAGATAGATTATCAACATAAAATAATTTTGATAAAAATAGTTAAATGAGTGTTAAAGTAGAGAAATTATGGGTTTTTTCATAATATTTTCTGTAATACTGTTGTCATCTTAAGTTTTCGATGAAAATGATGAGTTCAATAAAATATCTGAGGAAAATTTTACAAACAAGATGTATTTTTATTCCAAAAATGTTTTTGAGAAAGTGGTAGAATTCTCACATACATAAAAAATTAACGTATCACTATTTATGGAAGACAATCATTTGATCTTCTGATACTTAAAAGTCATGTTCCAGTGACCCTCTGGATAGGTAAGCTGCATGGACCAGGCTCATTGAGAATGTACTGACACTTCCAGGAGGCAGGGCTGTGCCCGCTTCTCAACTGTTCATATATTGATGCTTTTGGGTCACTGAAAAGAGAATAAAGCTGCTGGTCCCTAAAAATACATCATAATTTAGATTAATTAAAATAATTGAAAATGTCTCAAATCCATCCTTCAAATGCATAATGAGATAATCGGTCTCTAGTGATAAAATAATCCTTCAATAAAGACAGCAATCCAAGCCTTCTAGAAATTTTCAGTCTATTAAAACTGTCATTTCTTTATTTTAATAGAAAATCTTAAGGATTTTTAAAAATACACATCCTTCTCATTTGGTTATTTTATTTTAATTTTTGAAATTTACTTTTGTCTTTTTATTTTAAAAATTATGCATTTCTAAACAATTAAAAAATTATTCTGAGAAAACTAAGTGCTGCCTAGACCCTCAGTTCCCTCCTTTTGATTGCCAGAGGTGACCAGAGTTACTGGTTTCTTATGTATCCTTCCATTAAAATTCTATAGCCTTCCTTATATGGTTTTGTTTAGATGTGTGAGTATATTTAGTGGATAAATTTTGTAATAGTATTTTTAGGTCAGGGAGCATATAAGTCAGGGGAGGTGAGGTTCCACTGCAGTAACCAATAATTCCAAAGTCTATGAGACTTAAAACAACAGAAATTTAATGCTGACTCATGCTATTTGTTTATGCATGTTCAGTTGAGGTCTCTGCACTGCCCAGATTAATGAAGCAGCCAGTACCTGGAAGATTGTTGGTCAAGATTAATGTATAGGGTTGATCTTCATTCTCAGACATGTGCAGAGTGGCAAAAAATTTGAGTTGTGCAACAGTGCAGGTTTCCAGCTGAGGTCAAACAAGATGATGCTCCGCATTCTTATTTCAGCTCTCACACCTTGTTCTTTTTTGTTTGTTTGTTCGATCTATTTAGTACTGCTTTTTTACATTTTATGATTTTTTGTTGGTAATTTTGCCATTTAAAATGGCCCAAAGTGTAGTGCTAAAGTGCTGTTTAGTGTTCCTATGCACGACAAGGCTGTGATGTGCCTTATGGAGAAAATGCATGTGTCCAATACGCTGTTTTCAGGCATGAATTACAATGTTGTTGACCATGAGTTTAATGTTAACAAATCAGTAATACAGTAAATTCAGAAAAGAGGAAATGTGCCAATCTATATATCAGGCTGACCCAGGAAGTACGCAAGTAACTTCTATTGTATTAGGATTCAAGCTATATGGTAACAACTTTGTTGTTGTTGTTTTTGTTTTGTTTTGTTTTGGGACGGAGTTTCGCTCTTGTTGCCCAGGCTAGAGTGCAGTGGTGTGATCTCTGCTCACTGCAACCTCCGCCTCCTGGGTTCAAGCAATTCTCCTGCCTCAGCCTCCCAAATAGCTGGAATTACAGGCGCCTGCCACTACACCTGGCTAATTTTTGTATTTTTAGTAGAGACTAGGTTTCACCATGTTGGCCAGGCTGGTCTCAAACTCCTGACCTTAGGTGATCCACCTGTCTCAGCCTCCCAAAGTGCTGGGATTACAGGTGTGAGCCACTGCCAGGTCAGTAACATCTTAAAATATGCAGAAGATGAAAAAATGGCTAGACTTGTGGATTCACTAGATGATGAACAATAAAGATGGGGTGAAACATTGTTATGAGGTTGAAAACTAAAGAAATTTTTAGTCATGTTACCCAAGGTGAAGAAAATGCTAAACTGTTCTTGGCTAGTGTTTTATTATAAAAAAAATAAGCACTGCATATAATTATTTGTAAGAAATATATATTCATTAAGATATCTTTAAACAGAAAGACCTGTTAAAAAAGTATTAATGGTTGAATTGATTGGTAAATAGTCTAAATGTTGTGACCAGAGGTTAATAGAAACCTAGTAGTGCATTTCTCCTCAGAGCAATGACAGTATTTGATGAACAATCTTCATCATTCATGGAAACTTTGTATAACATAACTACTGTGAATGTTGAGAATTTCCTATAGCTTGCATTTGTCCTTAAAGCCCCAAAGTGAGACATATAATTTCTTCTTACATTTTATTGTCCAAAGCAAGTCACATGTCCATTATAGGCTTCAATGCACTAAGGAAGAATAATTTTACTACCGGTAAGGGAACTGGCTACCGGTAAATTATAATGCATACACCAAAAAGGGTTTAGAATAGCCACAATCCCTTCAAGAAGATTGTATTCCTAACAGTTTGGGAGTGCCTGTTTCCCCACACATTCACCTGCTGACATTAGTAAGGTGTCAAAAGCAGATCAAATATTGCCTTTCTTTATCTACAGCCTGTGTAACTTCCTATAAATGTACTATTGACCAAGGAGAAATGTTTATTGTTCCTTTGGGAATTTCCTCTAAAGAATTATTTCTCAGTTGTCATTCTTTTTGGCTTGTCAGAATGCTTCTCTGTGTGTCATGCATGGGGGTAATATTGAGAAAAGATTATTTCTGTTTAGCAAAATAAGATTAGCTGTGCTATATTTACTCTATTTTATCTAGATTAATATCTTTTAAAAAATATTGAGCATGTTTAAGGTCTTAGATTTATTCTGAGATGTGGCAGTGCACATGAGCTATTGTAAGGTTGCTGAAAGAGTGGATCCAAGCTCTAGTGTCTGTTTAACATCATAAGATTATATCAATACTTATTTTAAAGGCTCTTGTCCAGAGGAGTAAGTGGTTCCCACATCAACGCTTACTTTTACAAGAAAACTCCAAACTTTTTGTCTGGGTGTTCTATTAATTACCTACTGAAAAGTATCAATCTCCTTTTAGTTTTTAAATTTATTTTTTCTAGGTTTTTCAATTTTGATTTATATATTTTGAGGCCATATTTTTCAGTGAGCAAAATTTTTAATTTATAGATCATTATTGTGAGTCAAAATCATTTTACTTCAAGAAAGTTTATTTTTTTATTTTTATTTTTTTTGAGACAGAGCCTTACTCTGTTACTCAGGCTGGAGTGCAGTGGTGCGATCTCGGCTCACTGCAACCTCCGCCACCCGGGTTCAAGCTATTCTCCTGCCTCAGCCTCCTGAGTAGCTGGGATTACAGGTATGTGCATCATGCCCTGCTAATTTTTGTATTTTTAGTAGAGATGGGGTTTCTCCATGTTGACCAGGCTGGTCTTGAACTCCTGACCTCAGATGATCCGCCGTCCTCAGCCTCCCAAAGTGCTGGGATTACAGGCGTCAGTCACTGCAACCGCCCCCCACAAAAAGTTTTATTATCTTAAATTCTATTTGTTTGAAATTATTTTAATAATTTTGGGGAGTATTTGCATGACATATTCTATTCCTTTGTTTTAGTTTATATTCTCTGTAACTGTGTTTTAAATGTATCAAAAAGAATTTCATAAGTTGATTTTTTTTTTACTGAAATATCAACTGGATGTACATTTAATGCATTTATTGATGTATTTGAAATTAATCCTATCATCATACTACATGCCTTTTTTACCCCCCTCTACAAACGATATTGTTTAACCTGAGAGGTACGGCCTCTTAGTTTTCAGCTGCTCAGGTGTGTTTTAAATCCCAGTCCTCTGTGTCAAATAAGTTACAGGAAATGCATACTGGGGATGCTTACAGAGCCTTTGAGAAGCCCCATTCATTTGGATTAATACAAGAAGAAGCATTCTTTCCCTGCCCTCATGGAGTGGTACTATCTCACTGACAAACTTTTCCAAACCTCCTGTGACTATTCAGTCTTTACCTTGTTTATATTTATGGAAGGTGACTGACCTTGTAAAATCTAAGAAACATTTGTCATGTTCTTGTATAGATGAACTAACATCTCACTGTAAGGTGTATGGTTACTTGGCACACACTCTGTAGTTCTCAGCCTTTGAGGGCCCAGCCAAAATCAGGATAGAAAGATTATCATTTTAAACTCTAGTTACATTAGTCTTGAGAATATGCTGGCATCCTTATATTTTTTTAAATAGGATTGTACTTTTAAACCTGAAGATTTGAACAGACTTCTGTATTTCTTTTAATATCATTTGCATAGATTAAGTTGCAGTAGTTTTCTATTAATACTATAAAATGTGTTTTATAAAAATGTGTCAGAACAGAGTAATGCTGATTTCATTAAAATTACAAACCTATAGTTCAAGGTCACCCTAAAGATTATGTTAATAGAATGAGCTGTAGATTTGTTGAAGTTCAGCAAAAAATTTGTAACTGCAATTTGAAAAAGACTTTTGGCAATAAATACTCACTCCTAAACCCTGCAAATGAAAATATTATTTTCCTTAAACGTTTACTACTCCTTGCCAAAGGCCATTAGATTGACCTAATAACATTTAAAACTTGTGATTTCTGTACCATCTCTTTTGTTCCAGGATAAGAATATATTTTCATACAGTGTTCAAACCACTAGGCTGCAGACTGTATTTTATTTGGTTTGGGCACATGTTCTGTCTCTTTTACGTTCTGTTTTTCTCTGTTCCTTACACATATGAATACCTATATGTTTGAAATAGAAGAACAACTTCTTGTGATGGTTAGAGAGCTCTTCTCTCTCCTTTAGGATGTTTTGGACTGTTTCATGGTAGGTTGTGAGATAATTATGAACCACGATAACATTTAAGTTCATGGGTAGAGGTAAATTCAGTTTGGTAAGATAAAAGGAAAGATAATTAGTAAAAGGAAAAGTCTCTTTTAATCTTACAATGGGGCCAAAGAATTCTGCAGTTTTACTTGAGGACAATGTTTATGGATAAAAATAAAAAGTGAATTTAAATTCGTTTTTGCTTGTTTTTACTTAAGTGTTACTGGCATCTATTAAATTCTTATGTACTCATCTGACATTCATAAGCATTAGTTGTACTGGAATCAGGCAGCAGAAGAGTGAGCCTGACATTGTTTTTGTAATATCTGGATGAACATGGTAGCCTATTTTGGCTACTTCTTTCATCTTCTACTTTCCATTAAAGATCAACTTTGCAGACAGATTTTCTAATATTTATAAGCTAAAGTAGTTTTTGCTTTGCCTGACAAACTTGCATTGATTCTATACACTTCCTCCATTTCTAGAATCTTTGTCACTTTTAATGGTTTCTCACAGCCCTGGGGAATGTGGACACAAAACCCTCTTCAACCTGAAAACTATTAGTGAGGCAGATGGAAGGCAAATTGAGAGCCAGATATGGGGATTCATGGATTTTTCTCCCTCCAGTATACATTAGCTTGACTGGAGAGCAAGAAAAGGCACTTCTCAAATTCATGCCTAGACATTCAAAGAGTATGGCAGGAAGGAGAGAGGCAGCCTCTGACACAAAACTTGCTGTAACATTTATTATTTTTATCTCCACTACATGGATGAGTGAAGAAAGACTTAAGGTCTTTAAGGCTTTTTTTGTAAAGTTGCGTGGAAAGATTGTTATATTCACAAGTTCCTTAAGTTTGTTCTTACACAACTTTTTTACCAACTGTTCTATTTTCCTACGTAATTGATAAGGAAGTTGTCAGTACAAAGTAGTGAGATAATTTGTTCAAGGTCACACAACTAATTTGTAAGGCATTTTGAATCCTAATGCTTTGCCTTTTTTCTTATTATACCTGCTACTTTTGGGATTGGATTTTTTCCCTCTGCTACCAATGTGCTAATTCTTAGCGTCGAACATCTGAATCTTGTGACACAACATAAAGAGCTGAAGATTCTGTTCCCAAATTAGTCCTGTGTTTGAATTTCAGCTCCTGCATTAATGCCTGTGGCCCCTTAAGTGATCAAGTTTCTAATGAACCTTAGGCTCAGATTGCCAGCCTGTAAAATGCGGATAATAACACTAAGTTGAGTGGCTGTTATTACATTAGAAAAAATACGTAATGCCCACTAAATAATAGACTATTAGTGAATAGTACATATTTTCATCAATATCTATATTTTTTATATCTTTGTGTTATACCTTAAAAGCTGTATTTCAGTAATATGAGTAAGAGGGAATGTATAGGACAGAAAAATAGCCATGGAAATAACCCAGCTTTAGAGAGGCTTTTTGTAGAGGGGAGGTTTCCAATGAGACATATCAGAAAGTCATTGTAAATTCTACAGAAGCTGTAATGAGTATGGAGTGTAGGGCTGGAGAATCAGACCGACATGGCAGATATAAAAACTGGAATTCAGAGAGGGACAATTCCTTGTCACCCATTGAGTTATGGTCTGGGTAGCCAGTTCATTCACAGTGGATCTCCAGTAATGCAACTGCAAGAGCTAGGGTTCTGTGCACAGCTATAGTCCCATTAGGAAAGAAGGATTCTAGGAAAAAGACCAAGGCAGAAATCAAGTTTCTCAAAATGATTCAACATGTAATGAAGGGGGCAGGAAATATTACAGTGTGGAGATCATACAAGCCCTCTGTGCTCACTTTTAGAGCAACACATATTGGGCCTGTTGACAAGTTCATTCCATCTATGTGGTGCTGCAAATGCTGATCTAAATATAGCAAGAATCTACCCATGAGTGAGGAAAGGGCAGACGCCACCACTATCATGTCTACAGATGCCATTACTACCAAGTCAGCCTGTGAGAATCTGAGGAAAACAGGGGCTGACAGGAGGGAAAGGAGACCGAGACAGAAGCATGGTTATTGTCATGGCCTTTGCTGTAGTGAAAAGTGAAAGCCGGTTAGAAAATCAACTAGCAGTGATTGCCTCCTCTTTTTTTTTTTTATTTTTTGTTGTTGTTGTTTGCCTACCCTTCTGCAGGTTGGAGTAGCTTCTTTTTGCTCACAAACAACAAAAGGATTCCTGAGTAACTGTATTTCAAAGCTGCAGATACTTTAGATCTGCTCCATGTGGGGTGTGTGTGTTTTTGTGTGTGTATGTGTGTTTGTGTGTGTTCATGTGTTACAGCAGGAAGAGACCAGTGGAGAGTGGGAAATAGGACAATAATGTTATTTCTAAAATAGAAATACATCTGCTTCCACTACAGTACTTGGTTCTCATGTTTAAATTTAGCCTTTGTTAATCCACCTATGTACACAGTCATGCACCACTTAACAACAGGGATACTTTGTGAATTGGGTCCCTAGGTCATTCTGTTGTTGTGCAAACGTCATAGAATATACTTACACAAACCTATATGGTATAGCTTGCTACACACCTAGACTACATAGTATGGCCTCTTGCTCATAGGCTACAAACCTGTACAGCATGTTACTGTACTGAGTA
Organism: Homo sapiens; assembly: GCF_000001405.40. Lineage (NCBI taxonomy): Eukaryota > Metazoa > Chordata > Mammalia > Primates > Hominidae > Homo > Homo sapiens. Next base: position 121,730,873 of record NC_000005.10, on the reverse strand, counting down.
CTGTAGGCAACTGTAGCACAATGGAAATAATTTGTGTATCTATACGTATCTAAACATGGAAAAGGTACAGTAAAAATACTGTGTTATAATCTTATGGAATCACCATATATGCAGTCTGCTATTGATTGAAACATTGCTAAGAGGTACCTTATTGTGTATATGCATAAAATATGTACTAAATATCTCTATCATCAGTCAATTCCCTTGAAACAAAAGGCGGGGGAGTTTTTAAACACTAGGGTAAGGTAGTGAAAAAGAACTGGAAGTTGTTAGTGGGGAGGTTGGTCAATGAGATTAGGCCAGCTGTTTGATAATTGGCACTTATCAAACTTATGCATGTATTCTTCCACAGAGACAAAGAGATGGGATTACAGGCATGTACCACCATGCCCAGCTGATTTTTTACATTTTTAGTAGAGGTGGGGTTTCACCATGTTGTCCAGGCTGGTCTCGAACTCCTGGCCTCAAGTGAACTGCCCGCCTCTGCCTCCTAAAATGCTGGGACTATAGGCATAAGTCACTGTGCCTGACTTGGTTAAAATTTAAAAAGGAAAAAAGGTAGAAGAGTAAGAAAGCTTTCACTCAAGGGAAGCACAGAGACTAATCACATGATTAATAGCAGAAAAGATTCAGCTTCTTACACAGCATCAAATCCTCCCCTGGTAAATACAGGTACTTACAAGCCTAATGCTCCATTAATATTGGCCAGTGCACAGTAAGACATGAAAAACAATGGAATGCTAAACACTTTGTCAGAAATCTCACAACCAAAACCAAAAATGATGCAGGCATAAAAGAATATTCTCCTGGATAAACAATAAATGGGTGGTTACAATAAAAATAATTAGATGATAACTAATATAACACCTAATGTACAAAGAAAAATTAGCATTATAAAATCTTGAAGCAGAGGTTAAGGATACTGAAACAAATGGGGTTATTTTGTTTGTATCTTTTAGTTTAGGTTACCATGCTCTAAATCTTTTTGTACTTACTATAGTGCTATCTGCACTCAGTAAATACTTATGGGAAGAAGGGAAAGGAAGGAGGAAGGAAAGGAAGGAAACAAGGAAGGAAGGAAGGGAGAAAAAAACAGAAGGAAGGAAAGAAGGATTGGAGAAATAAATAATCTTCATGCCAATATAGTAGAGAGAAAGAACACAATTGAATATTGAGTAAGTGTTATCAAATTTATGTGCATGCAAGATGACATAAAAGTGACTACAAAATCTGGACAGAATTGTACACATATTTGTGCAGTAAAGTAGTAGAGAAATAAAACTTCCCTTATCTCCCTGAAAGACAAGAGGACCTACTTTGTGATTATCTCTGGTATCGTGAAAGACTTTTAAGCTAATCTCAGAGAAGCGTGTTTATACTTTCAATGGTCAGGAGGTCCTGGATCTTATATTGAAAATGAAAAGGTTGGGCCTTTTATTGGGACTCTTATGTTTTTAAAAAGATACTCAAGCAGGGAGAGGTTGGGGAACCAATTGCCTTCTTTCTTTTTATTAAACAAAGAAAGTGTGATCTTTGTTTACTGAACGCTAGATTATTCTACCTTTACAGTAGGAAGAGGAGGAGGGAAGGAAGGCAAAAGCAAGAAGGAGGAGAAGACAGAAGGAGGCGGGAAACTGAATGGGCAAGAGGTTCAGTGATGTAAAGCCTAGAGAATGTCCCACAGCAAATCGGGCACCCTTCCATTTCCCTGGTTGGGGTTCCCAGGAATAGCACCTTCATATTCCTTTGTTAACAGAAAAGCTAAACTCTAAAATATTTTAAAGAGGTTTATTCTAAACCAGTCTGAGTGACTGTGGCCCAGGAAACAGTCTCAAGAGATCCTGAGAATGCTTAAGGTGGTTGGATTATAGGTTAGTTTTATACATTTTAGGGAGACAAGAATTATAGGTAAAATCAGAAATCAATACATGGAAGATGAACATTGGTTCAGGATACAGGGGCAGGATATCTTGAAAGAGGGGGAGGATGGGGATGGGGCCTTATAAGACATAGGTGGATTCAAAGATTTTCTGATTGGCAATTGACTGAAAGAGTTGAGCTATGTTTAAAGACTTGAAGTTGTTAGCACCAGCGAATATGTACGGGTCTGCAGCAAACTCACTTTTTGCCACTTCAGGAGACAGGATTCAACTGAGGGAATGTAAGGCCGAGTGAGAGACTGAGGCAAGTTTTAGAGCAGAAGTGAAGTTTATTTTAAAAGTTTTAGGACAGGAAGTAAAGTACACTTTGGAGAGTGCCAAGCAGGCAACTTGAGAGAGTCAAGTGTGTGGTTTGTCCTTTGACCTGGGGTCTTATACATTGGCATGATTCCGGGGTCTTGCATCTCTTCTCTCCTGATTCTTCCCTTGGGGTGGGCTGTCTGCATGTGCAGTAGCCTGCCAGCATTCGGGAGGGGCCTAACGTGCCATGTAACACTGAAATTGTGCACATGCTCATTTGAGGCGTCTTCCCTTACCAATAGAGTGTTCCTAGGAGAAGGTCATATACCAGTCAAACTCTGCCATTTTGCCTCATAGTGCACATGCTTGAGCCCACTCACCCAGTTCCTGGGATCTTATCAGGAAGCTGCTAATCCCCGTTTCAGGAGATTTCTATCGATTGGGAGACTGCTTTTCCCTGGTGCTGGCTGTGAACAATTATTATTTTAGAGAGACAGTTTAACAACAGATCGACCATCACCTGATAGTTGCCTGATATTCCTGGTGAGGGGATCCCTCTCCTGTCCTGCTCACTTCTGCCTGACTACCTCCTGTAACACAATGAAATATTTCCATAAGTATTCCAATTATGATTTGTAGAAAATATTTTTTCTCATATCAGAAAATGTGTTATTTACTATATTACATTCTTTTCTCCAGAGAATTTTTGTGTTGTCTTAGTTCCAGAGGAACTGATTATATTTTAAACACTGTATATAAAATTCAGGAGATTCACTTTAATTTACCAGTTCAGATGTCTTGTTTTATTATGTAATTAAAATTTATATTTACCACTAACAAACTCACCTCCAATTACAAGTGAAATATTATTTATGAAATGTAAGTATTTTGATTTCACACACCCTATTTTCTTTGCCACAGAGAGTAACAAATTCTGTTTATCTGTCATAACCTCCTGCCCCTTGAAATTTCTCAATTTGGTAGATTGCCAATGTAATTCATCAAGGTAGCTATAATATAAGTATTTTTAATTTAACACTTCTACAAACAATTTTATAGCTAGACAATTTTTAAAAATTTATTTTTAATTGACAAATAATTTCATATATCAATGGAGTACAAAGTGATATTTTGATACATGTGTACAGGTAGAATGATTAAATCAGGCTAATTAATAGATACATCACCTAGAGTGAAATAAATCCCAATACTCAATCACAAATGAAGTTTCTCAATCAGTCCCATCTGGTTACTAATTCTTTGCTTGTTCGTTTAGTCACATAAGAAACACTTTTGCACTGTACAATTTCCCTCAAATAAACTTCTGACATTTGGACATGACAGCCAAGTTGGGATCAATCAGTGCCCATTAAATTCGATGCTTTTGTTTCCCTTGAATAAAGGGCGTTCTGATTACATATTTACAACAAAATTTTCAGAAAGTTGTTTGGCTAGAGCCAAAGAGAAAGAGTTCATGTTTAATGCAATAAGCAATAAAAACGGGCTGCTGGCCAGATGGCCAAATAAGAACAGCTCAGGCCTGCAGCTCCCAGCGAGACCAACGCAGAAGACGGGTTATTTCTGCATTTCCAACAGAGGTACCCTGTTCATCTCATTGGGACTGGTTAGGCAGTGGGTGCAGCCCACATAGGGCGAGCAGAAGCAGGTTGGGGCATCACCTCACCGGGGAAGTGCAAGGAATAGGGGAGCCCCCTCACCCAACTCCACGTACCTCAGCCAAGGGAAGCCGGGAAGGACTGTGCTATCGGGCCCAGATACTATGCTTCTCCCAATTTTTTTGCAATCTGCAGACCAGGAGATTCCCTCGTGTGCCTTCACCACCAGGGCCCTGGGTTTCAAGCACAAAACTGGGTGGCTGTTCAGGCCGACACTGAGCTAGCCACAGGAGGTTTTTTGTTGTTGTTGTGTTCCCCCCCCACGACCCCCTGCCTCCATATCCGAGTGACTGGAACCCCAGCGAGACAGAAACATTCACTCCCATGGAAAGGGGGCTGAAGCCAGGGAGATTCAGTGGGTCTCACTCCTACTGAGCCCAGCAAGCTAAGAACCAATGGCTTGAAATTATCGCTGCCAGCACAGCCAACTGAAGTCAACCTGGGACCATCAAGCTTGCTGAAAGGAGGGGCCTCCACCATTACAGAGGCTTGAATAGGCAGTTTTCCCCTGATCGCACTATAAAGGCCTGGAAGTTCGGACTGCGTGGAACTCAACACAGCGTGGCAAAGTGGCTGTGGCCAGAGTGCCTCTGTAAATTCCTCTTCACTGGGCAGGGCATCTCTGAAAGAAAGATAGCAGACCCAGTCAGGGGCATATAGATAATAACCCCATCTCCATGGGACAGAGCAGCTGGGGGAAGGGGCGGCTGTGGGTGTGTCTTCAACCAGACTTAAATGTTCCTGCGTGCTGGCTCTGAAGAGAGCAGCAAATCCTGACCAGGAGGGTTTTCCTAGCACAGCACTCAAGCTGTGCTACGGGACAGACTGCCTCCTCAAGTGGGTCCCTGATTCCCGTGCCTCCTGACTAAGAGAGACCTCCTAACTGGGTTTGATAGACATCTCATACAGGAGAGCTCTGGCTGGCAACAGGTCAGTGCCCCTCTGGGACGAAGCTTCCAGGGGAAGGAGCAGGCCTCAATCTTTGCTGTTCTGCAGCCTCTGCTGGTGATACCCAGGCAAACAGGGTCTGGAGTGGACCTCCAGCAAACTGCAGCAGACCTGCAGAAGAGGGGCCTGACTGTTAGAAGAAAATCTAATAAACAGAAAACAATAACAACAACACTAACAAAAAGAAGCCCCACACAGAAACCGCATCCAAAGGTCATCAACCTCAAAGATAAAAGGTAGATAAATCCACAACTATGAGAAAAATCAGAGCAAACATGCTGCAAATTCCAAAAACCAGAATGCCTCTTCCCCTCCAAGTGACTGCAACTCCTTTCCAGCAAGGGCACAAAACTGGTTGGAGAATGAAACTGATGAATTGACAGAGGAAGGCTTCAGAAGTTGGGTAATAACAAATTCCTCTGAGCTAAAGGAGCATGTTCTAACACAATGTAAGCAAGCTAAGAATCTCGATAAAAGGTTACAGGAACTGCCAACTAGAATAACCAGTTTAGAGAAGAACATAAATGACCTGATGGAGATGAAAAACACAGCACAAGAACTTGGAGAAACACACACAAGTATAAACAGCTTGAATCAATCAGGCAGAAGAGAGGGTATCAGAATTTGAAGATCAACTTAGTGAAATGAGGCATGAAGACAAGATTAGAGAAAAAAAGATAGAAAAGGAATGAACAAAGCCTCTAAGAAATGTGGGACTATGTGAAAAGACCAAACCTACGATTGATTGGCATACCTGAAAGTGACGGGGAGAATGGAACCAAGTTGGAAAACACACTTCAGGATATTATCCAGGAGAATTTCCCCAACCTAGCAAGACAGGCCAACATTCAAATTCAGGAAATACAAAGAGCAACACTAAGATACTCCTTGAGAAGAGCAACCCCAAGACACATAATTGTCAGATTCTCCAAGGTTGAAATGAAGGAAAAATTGTTAAGGACAGCCCGAGAGAAAGGTCTGGTTACCTTTCAGGGCTTCAGGGAAGCCCATCAGACTAACAGTGGATCTCTACAGAAACCCTGCAAGCCAGAAGAGAATGGGGGCCAATATTCAACATTCTCTTTCTTCTTTTTTTGAAACGGAGTCTCACTCTGTCACCCAGGCTGGAGTGCAGTGGCACAATCTCGGCTCACTGCAACCTCTGCCTCCCAGATTCAAGCGATTCTCCTGCCTTAGCCTCCTGAGTAGCTGGGATTACAGGTGCATGCCACCACATCCAGCTAGTTTTTGTATGCTTTTTTTTTTAGTAGAGATGGAGTTTCACCATGTTGGTCAGGCTGGTTTTGAACTCCTGACCTTGCGATCCACCTACCTCGGCTTCCCAAAGTGCTGGGATTGTAGGCATGAGCACCCTGCCTGGCCTCAACGTTCTTAAAGAAAAGAATTTTTAACTCAGAATTTCATATTCAGCCAGACTAAGCTTATGAGTGAAGCAGCAATAAAATCCTTTACAGACAAGCAATGCTGAGGGATTTTGTTACCAACAGGCCTGCCTTACAAGAGCTCCTGAAAGAAGCACTAAATATGGAAAAGAAAAACCAGTATCAGCCACTGCAAAAACACACCAAAATATAAAGACCAACGACACTATGAAGAAACTGCATCAACTAATGTGCAGAATAGCCAGCTAGCATCATGAAGACAGGATCAAATTCACCCATAACAATAGTAACCTTAAATGTAAATGGGCTAAATGCCACAATTAAAAGACACAGACTGGCAAATTGAATACAGATTCAAGACCAATTGGTGTGCTGTATTCAGGAGACCCATCTCATGTGCAAAGACACACATAGGGTCAAAATAAAGGGATGGAGGAATATTTACCAAGCAAATGGAAAGAAAAATAAAAAAGAAGGAGTTGCAATCCTAGTCTCTGATAAAACATATTTTAAATCAACAAAGATCAAAAAAGACAAAAAAAGGCATTACATGGTAAAGGGATCAATGCAACAAGAAGAGCTAAATATCCTAAATATATATGCACCCAATACAAGAGCATCCAGATTCATAAAACAAGGTCTTAGATACCTACAAAGAGACTTAGACTCCCACACAATAATAGTGGGAGACTTTAACACCCCACTGTCAGTATTAGACAGATGGAGACAGAAAATTCACAAGGATATTCAGGACTTGAACTCAGCTCTGGACCAAGCAGACTTAATAGATATCTATAGAACTCTCTGCCCCAGATCAACAGAATATACATTTTTCTTAACACCACATAGCACTTATTCTAAAATCGACCACATAATTAGAAGTAAAACTCCTCAGCAAATGCAAAAGAATGGAAATCATAACAAACAGCCTCTCAGACCACAGTGCAATCAAATTAGAACTCAGGATTAAGAAACGCACTCAAAACCGCACAACTACATGGAAACTGAACAACATGCTCCTGAAGGACTACTTGGTAAATAACAAATTTAAGCAGAAATAATGAAGTTCTTTGAACCCAATGAGATAAAAGACAACGTACAAGAATCTCTGGGATACAACTAAAGCAGTATTTAGAGGAAAATGTATAGCACTAAATGCCCACATCAGAAAGCAGGAAAGATCTAAAATTGACACCCTAACATCACAATTAAAAGAACTAGAGAAGCAAGACAAAATAAATTCAAAAGCTTTCTGAAGACAAGAAATAATTAAGATCAGGGCAGAACTGAAAGAGATAGAGACATGAAAAACCCTTTAAAAAATCATTGAATCCAGGAGCTGTTTTCTTTTTGAAAAGATTAACAAAATGGATAGACTGCTAGCCAGATTAATAAAGAAGAAAACAGAGAAGAACAACATAGGCACAATAAAAATGATAAAGGGGATATCACCAGTGATCCCACACAAATACGAACTACCATCAGAGAATACTATAAACACCTCTACATAAATTAACTAGACAATCTAGAAGAAATTGATAAATTCCAGGGCACATACACTCTCCCAAGACTAGATGAGGAAGAAGCCAAATCCCTGAATAGACCCATAATAATTTCTGAAACTGAGGCAGTAATTAGTAGCCTACCAATGAAAAAAAAAGCACAAAAGCATACAAATTCACAGCCAAATTCTACCAGAAGTACAAAGAGGAGCTGGTACCATTTCTTATGAAACAATTTCAAACAATAAAAAAGAGGGACTCCTCCCTAACTCATTTTATGAGGCCAGCATCATCCTGATACCAAAACCTGGCAGAGACACAACAAAAAAAGAAAATTTCAGGCCAATATCCTGGACGGACATCTATGCAAAAGCCTCAATAAAACACTGGCAAACCGAATCCAGCAGCACATCAAAAAGCTTATCAACAACAAGCAAATTGGCTTCATCTATGGGATGCAAGTCTTGTTTAACATATGCAAATCAAGAAATGTAATCCATCGCATAAACAGAACCAATGACAAAAACCACATGATTATCTCAATAGATGCAGAAAAGGCCTTTGATAAAATTCAGCACCCCTTCATGCTAAAAACTCTCAATAAAATAGGTATTGATGGAGCATATCTCAAAATAATAAGAGCTATTTATGACAAACCCATAGCCAATATCATACTGAATGGGCAAAAGCTGGAAGCATTCCCTTTGAAAACTGGCACAAGGCAAGGATGCCCTCTCTCACCATTCCTATTCAACATAGTATTGGAAATTCTGGCCAGAGCAATCAGGCAAGACAAAGAAATAAAATGTATTCAGATATGAAGAGAGGAAGTCAAATTGTCTCTGTTTGCAGACGACATGATTGTATATTTAGAAAACCCCATCATATCAGCCCCAAAACTCCTTAAACTGATAAACAACTTCAGCAGAGTCTCAGGATACAAAATCAATGTGCAAAAATCACATGTATTCCTATACATCAATAATAGACAAGCGGAGAGTCAAATCATGAGTGAACTCCCATTCACAATTGCTATAAAGAAAATAAAATACCTAGGAATCCAACTTACAAGGGACGTGAAGGACCTCTTCAAGGAGAACTACAAACCACTGCTCAAGGAAATAAGAGAGGACATAAACTAATGGAAAAATATTCCATGCTCATGGATAGGAAGAATCAATATTGTGAAAATGGCCATATTGTCCAAAGTAATTTATAGGTTCATTGCTGTTCCCATCAAGCTACTATTGACTTTCTTCACAGAATTAGAAAAAAGTACTTTTAATTTTACATGAAACTCAGAAAGAGCTTGTATAGCCAAGACAATCCTAAGAAAAAAGGACAAAGCTGGAAGTATCACGCTATCTGACTTCAAACTATACTACAATGCTACAGTAACCAAAACAGCATGGTACTGGTACCAAAACAGAGGTATAGAACCATGGGACAGAACAGAGGTCTCAGAAATAACACCACACATCTACAACCATCTGATCTTTGACAAACCTGACAAAAACTAGCCATGGGGAAACGAATCCCTATTCAATAAATGGTGCTGGGAAAACAGGCTATCCATATGCAGAAAACAGAAACTGGACCCCTTCCTTACATCTTATACAGAAGTTAACTCAAGATGGATTAAAGACTTAAACATAAAACCTAAAACTATAAAAACCCTAGAATAAAACCTAGGCAATACCATTCAGGACATAGGCATGGGCAAAGACTTCATGATTAAAACACCAAAAGCAATTGCAACCAAAGCCAAAATTGGCAAATGGGATCTAATTAACCTAAAGAGCTTCTGCTTAGCAGAAGAAAATATCATCGGAATGAACAGGCAACCAACAGAATGGGAGAAAATTTTTGCAATCCATCTGACAGAGGGCTAATATCTAGAATCTACAAGGAACCTAAACAAACTTACAAGAAAAAACAACCCCATCAAAAAGTGGGCAAAGTATATGAACAGACACTTCTTAAAAGAAGACATTTATGTGGCCAACAAACATACAAAAAAAAGGTCAGCATCACTGGTCATTAAAGACATGCAAATCAAAACCACAGTGAGATACCATGTTACGCCAGTTAGAATGGTGATCATTAAAAAGTCTGGAAACAACAGATGCTGGAGAGGATGGTGAAATAGGAATGCATTTACACTCTTGATGGGAGTATAAGTTAGTTCAACCATTGTGGAAGACATTGTGGCAATTCCTCAAGGATCTAGAACCAGAAATATTTGGCCCAGCAATCCCATTGCTGGGTACATACCCAAAGGATTATAAATCATTCTACTATAAAGACATATGAACATGTATGTTTATTGCAGCACTATTTACAATAGCAAAGACTTGGAAGTAACCTAAATGCCCATCAATGATAGACTGGTTAAAGAAAATGTGGCACATATATACCATGGAATACTATGTAGCCATAAAAACAATGAGTTCATGTCCTTTGCAGGGACATGGATGAAGCTGGAAACCATCATCCTCAGCAAACTAACACAAGAACAGAAAATCAAACATCGCATGTTCTCACTCATAAGTGGGAGGTGAAAAATGAGAACACATGGTCACAGGGAGGGGAACATCACACACCGGGGCCTGTTGGGGGCTGGGGAGAAAGGGGAGGGAGAGCACTAGGACAAATACCTAATGCATGCAGAGCTTAAAACGTAGATGATGGATTGATAGGTGCAGCAAACCACCATGGCACACATATACATAAGTAACAAACCTGCACATTTAACTCATGTATCCCAGAACTTAAAATAAAAACAAATAAATAAAATAAGCAATAAAAACTTTACTAGCTAAATTGGAAGGAATTTGAGATTTCAGGCCTATTTATGTTTTCTTAAATTGCCACTGCCTGTGTGAGAGACCGGAATATGCCACCCCAAAGATGCTTGTTGAGCTGAAGACAAGAAGTAGATACAGAAAAGCTCTCAGTCCTCTCTCAATTTGTCTAAAAGCAGGATATAGATATACGAAGATAAGAGGTTCCTTGACACCCCTTCTGCCAAGGAGAGTAAAGATTAACTACTGATGGCAACTTTACAACCTTATTGGCCTGAATATGTTTCCATAGTGCCACCAATGGGCTGGAGGAGGTTCCCAAAAATCAGTGGGACCTTGACCCCACCGATGTCCAGACTCTTGTCAGTGTTGTGAAAAGGAATTCAAGGATGAGTTGAAAAATAGTGAAAGTATGGAGATTTATTACAAAGCAAAACTATACACTCAAGAAAGGAGAGTGTGGGTGTATTCGAGAGAGAGAGTTGCTCAGTGAGTTTTGGGATTTCTATATTGATGGGTTTCTTTAACCAAGAGATGGAATATTTTTGAAAATTCCTGAAAAAGCTGAAGATTCCTTGGAACTGTGGTGCCACACATTTTTACACCAAATACGAGTGTTCTTGGAACTGTTGCGCCTATCATTTAGTATGTTAATAAACACATAATGAGGTACTAGGTGAAACCTAGGTCAAATTCAGTGCCATGTTGGGTCCAGTCAGTCTTAGCCAGCTTTGCCTATACCCTGGTTTCAGGGTCTTATCAGTCAGCCTCTAGCTTATGCAGCTTTTTCAACAGTTTCCTTTTTGCTAATCATGTGAAACTACTGCCTGGAATTTTATATTGTCCTGTGACCATCTGTATTATTCCTGTCTCAAAAGGAACCTACATTAACAAGCTTTACTAACTAGCCATTATCTGCTATAATACGCTTTTCTGCAAGTTGCCACCCCTAGAGGCTCAAAGCCCTTTTACTTCATTGTGTCACTTGTCACTGTTCTTTGTTGAACATGAAATATAAGTTAGAATTCAAAGCCAGGTTTTTAAGAACTACCTTTTCGCTGGGTGTCTTCCATGTACATATTAAACATACATGTAAGTAAACTTCAGTTTGTTTTTCTTGTTAATTTATCTTTTGTTATAGTGTCAGTTTCAACTATGAACCTATGGCGGTTGAAGAAAAACTTCCACACCTGCTATTAAATTAAAGAAAAAAGAAGCATGTCTGTGAAATGCTGATTTTCAGGAATTTGTTTTAAGAAACAAAGATCCCTTGTCTCAAAGATAAGAGTATTCCCCCCACTCTGGATTTTCTTACTCTCCTTTAGCTTTTCCATGAGAGTCCATTGACTGAGATAAAATGGTTTCACATTATATAGTGGTACTTCAGGTATTGATTCTTATGAGAAAACAGATAAACTAATAAATGGACAAAAACACACACATTTATAGACTGTGAAAATTATCAAGAGTCCACCAAATTTTTTGAAGAAGTTTTAGATCAAATGTAAAATATATAATCTGGAAAACAATAATGTGTCTTCTCATGTTAATATAATTTTTGGGATTCATCAAGTAACCATTTTACACTAGGATAAATAACAGTAATAAAAATCAAACAATAAAATAAAAAATATATTTCTCAGTCTTATAAAAATCCTCATGCTGAATATTTTCCTCTCATTCTATTTGAACTTCTATTAACATAACATACCACTAAATTTCTTTAATATTTATAAATATATAAATATAAACACACACATTAACCACCACAAAAATTCCACATATTTAAAGTAAATTAATGTCTAAGGAGTAACACACAGAGAGATTTAAGCTAGTTTTGCCACTGTTTCTGTAGTCAGCCTGAATTTACATGACATTTTGATGAATTGAAGCCCTAACTTACCAAGAGACTTGCCATGATTTGTATTAAATAAACATATGTAGGCAGACAAAGCAACTGATTGTGCCTTACCTGCCCTCAAACAAAAAGAAAAAATAATCAAAAAGAGGTTTTGAATGAAATGGTAAAGATAAATGACATAAAGGAAATGCTTGTTACCTGAGAATAATCTTTACCTCATACAGTCACCAACAGAATCCATTAAAAATTGAAATGAAAATTTTATTGTAACTAACAAAATGTTTAATTTGGATTATATGTTGAACAATTAAACTTACATTTATTATATATATGATTAAATATTGCTGTAATTCCCATAATGAACTTTCGTGTAATTTTGGTTATACATTTGTAAGGTGTAATACATTAGTAGTTGCTGTATTTTACTTGTAACTTTTGCCATATGATCTCAGACCATGAAAAAAAAATCCAAGAGTTTTATACATTTTCCTAAAGGCCACTTCTGATCCTTCAATATTTGAGTCATTGTTTTTGAAAACATCTTGCCTTTCACCATTCTTGCTGATTTTCTCTTTCAATTAAGTGGTCTAAGCTGGTTAGATCTTCGCTTGCGGTGCAGATTGGTAGTTTCGATATGATTCAAGTAATTCCTCAACAAAAATTACATGCAATCTTTGACGAGATTTGCAAGTTTACTTTGCAGTTACTTTTAATTTTATTTCAATTTTATTGTTTGATGTTTAGAATACTAAGCTCTCCATGTGATGAGATCTAATAAGGTACTCATTAGAAATAAGATTCACAGGGCTGTTAGAGTAAACATTAAATATTTACAAATGCTCAATTAACTGGTATACATTTTCAATTTATGCAACTGCAAAGACTTGTGTAATGGACACTCCAGATAATGAGCAATCTAAAAACTTCAAAAAAAATCATCAAATATTAAACGTATATTATATAGTCATGATGATTAAATAACCATAGTAAAGTATAAATTCTACCAGTACCTGTCAGGGAAGATTTATTTCACCTGATTTTACTGCTTTTCATTTGTAATTATTATTTCAATTAGTTTATAAGGGATGATAGTTTCCATTGCTACCATAGGTTCTTTTGAGCACTTTCTTTGATTTTAAATTGTAATTATTTAGCAAACCAAAATTTTCATTTCCATATGCAAAATAGCAAATGATGAGTAATTATCAGAGACTTTTCAAAAAATCTGTGCAGTGTGGACCATTTGTCTTCATTCACAAAGCTATCATTAGCTTATGAAATATTTTATACTGCTACTTAGTTGACCATGACATAATGATTTCAAAGAAATAGAGATGAGCATTGTTAGAAAATCCAACCAGCAACCAAGAGAATTTGTTTTACTTTAATAGAAAGAAATAACATATAGAAACAAATAGTTTAAGTATTATCTATCTTTTATTTTATTTGTTTAGGTAGTTTTTTTTTTTTAAAAAAAACTCTTTATTAACAAAATTAAAAATGCAACAAAATGCAATATGTGTATGTTTTTAAGGTTTGAGTTCCTTGAGTAGCTACTTTGTTTCTTTCCCTAATAATGAATATTATGTAATTCAACCTGTGTCTATCTCTTTTTTAACATTGAGATATCTTTTTTATCATTATTTTTGAATTTCAATAGGTTTTCTGGGGAGAGGTAGTGTTTCTTACAAGGATAAGTTCTTTAGTGGTGATTTTTGAGATTTTGGTGCACCCATCACCCGAGCAGTGTACACTGTACCCAATGTGTAGTCTTTTACTCCTCACACCCCCCTCACCCTTTCCGCCAAATCCCCAAAGTCCATTGCATCATTCTCATGCCTTTGTGCCCTCACAGCTTAGTTCCCACTTATGAGTGAGAACGTACGATGTTTGGGTTCCCATTCCTGAGTTACTTCACTTAGAGAATAATGGTCTCCAATTTCTTCCAGGTTGCGGCAAATAATATGATTTCGTTCCTTTTTATGGATGAGTAGTAATCCATGGTATAATTATACCACATTTTCTTTATCCACTTGTTAATTGATGGGCATTTGGGCTGGTTCCATATTTTTTGCAGTTGTGAATTGTGCTGCTATAAACATGCTTGTGCAAGTATTTTTTTTTTGTATGACCCTTTTTCCTCTGGGTAGATACCCAGTAGTGGGTTGCTGGATCAAATGTTAGATCTACTTTTAATAATTTAAGAAATCTCCACACTGTTTTCCACAGTGATTGTGCTAGTTTACAGGCTTACCAGCAGTGTAAAAATATTCCCTTTTCATCACATCCATGCCAATATGAATTATCTTTTTAAAATTTTTGATTATTGCCACTCTTGCAGGAGGAAGATGGTATCGTATTGTGGTTTTGATTTTCATTTCTCTGATAATCAGTGATGTTGGACTTTTTTATATATGTTTCTTGGTCATTTGTATAACGTATCTTCTTTTGAGAATTGTCTATTCATGTCCTTAGCTCACTTTGTGATGGGATTGTTTATTTTTTTTCTTGCTGATTTGTTTGTGTTCTTTGTAGATTCTGGATATTAGTCCTTTGTCAAATGTATAGATTGTGAAGATTTCTCCCACTCTGTGGGTTGTCTGTTTACTCTGCTGATTATTTCATTTGCTGTGCAGAAGCTTTTTAGTTTAATGAAGTCCCATCTATTTATCTTTGTTTTAGTTGCATTTGCTTTTGGGTTATTGGTCATGAAGTCTTTGCCTACACCAATTTCTAGAAGGGTTTTTCCAATGTTACCTTCTAGAATTTTTATGTTTCCAGGTCTTAGATTTAAATTTTTGATCCATCTTCAGTTGTTTTTTGTATAAGGTGAGAGATGAGGATCCAGTTTCCTTCTTCTACATGTGGCTTGCCAATTATCCCCATGCGGCTTACCATTTGTTGAATAGGGTGTCTTTTCCCCACTTTTTGTTTTCATTTACTTTGTTGAAGATCAATTGGGTATAAGTAATCGGGTTTATTTCTGGGCTCTCTATTCTGTTCCATTGGTCTAGGTGCCTATTTTTATACCAGTACCATGCTGTTTTGGTGACTATGGCCTTATAGTATAGTTTGAAGTCAGGTAGTGGATGCCTCCTGGTTTGTTCTTTTTGGTTAGTCTTGCTTTGGCTGTGTGCGCTGGTTCCACACGAATTTTAGGATTTTTTATTTTTTTTTTTAGTTCTGTGAAGAATGACGGTGGTATTTTGATGGGAATTGCATTGAATTTGTAGATTGCTTTTGATGGTATGGTCATTTTCACAATATTGATTCTACCAATTCATGAGCATAGGATATGTTTGCATTTGTTTGTGTCATCTATGATTTCTTTCAGTAGTGTTTTGTAGTTTTCCATGTAGAGGTCTTACCCCTTCTTGGTTAGGTATATTTCCAAGTATCTTATTTTATTTATTTATTTTTGCAGCTATTATAAAAGGGGTTGAGTTCTTATTTGATATTCAGGTTTGTCGTTGTTGGTGTCTAGCAGTGCTACTGACTTGTGTACATTAATTTTGTATCCTAAAACTTTATTTAATTCATTTATCAGTTCTACGATCTTTTTGGATAAGTCTTTAGGGTTTTCTAGGTATATAATCATATCATCAGCTAACAGTGACAGTTCGACTACCTCTTTACCAATTTGGATGCCCTTTATTTCTTTCTCTTGTCTGACTGCTCTGGCTAGGATTTCCAGTACTACATTGAATAGAAGTGGTGAAAGTAGGCATCCTTATCTTGTTCCAGTTCTCAGGGAGACTTCTTTCAACTTTTCTCTGTTCAGTATAATTTTGGCTGTGGGTTTGTCATAGATGGCTTTATTACCTTAGGGTGTGTCCCTTCTATGCCAGTTTTGCTGAGGGTTTTAATCATCAAATGATGCTGGATTTTGTCAAATGCTTTTTTCATGTCTGTTGAGATGATCATGTGATTTTTGTTTCTAATTCTGTTTATGTGATGTATCGTATTCATTGACTTGTGTATGTTAAGACATCCCTACATCTCTGGTATGAAACCCATTTGATCATGGGGGATTATCTTTTTGAGATGTTGTTGGATTTAGTTTGCTACTGTTTTGTTGAGGACTTTTTCATCTATGTTCATCAGGGATCAGGGATATTGGTCTGTAGTTTTTTTCATTGTTGTTGTTGTGTTCTTTCCTGGCTTTGATATTAGGGTGATACCAGCTTCATATAATGATTTAGGGAGGATTCCCTCTTTCTCTATCTTGTGGAACAGTGTCAATAGGATTGGTACCAATTCTTATTTAAATGTCTGATAGAATCCAGCTGTAAATCCACCTGGTCCTGGACTTTTTTTTGTTGGCACTTTTTAAATTACCATTTCAATCATGCTGCTTGTTATTGGTCTGTTCAGAATTTCTATTTCTTCCTGGATTAATATAGGAGGCTTGTATATTTCCAGAAATTTATCCATGTCCTCTAGGTTTTCTAGTTTGTGCATGTAAAGGTGTTCATAGTAGCCTTGAATGATCTTTAGTATTTCTGTGATATCAGTTATACTATCATCTCCTGTTTTGTTTCTAATTGAGCTTATTTGGATCTTGTCTCTTCTATTCTTGATTAATCTCACTAATGGTCTATCAAGTTTATTTATCTTTTCAAAGAACCGGCTCTTTGTTTCATTTATCTTTTGTATTTCCTGGTTTCAGTTTCATTTACTTCTGCTCTGGTATTTGTTTTTTCTTTTCTTACACTGGGTTTGGATTTGGTTTGTTCTTGTTTCTCTAGTTCCTTGAGGTGTGACCTTAGATGTCCATTTGTGCTCTTTCAGACTTTTTGATGTAGGCATTTAATACTATGAACTTTCTTCTTAGCACCGCTTTTGCTGTATCTTAGAAGTTTTGATAGGTTATGTCACTATTATTGTTTAGTTCAAAGAATTTTTAAATTTCCGTCTTGATTTGATTGTTGACCCATCAATCATTCAAGAGCAGGTTATTTAATTTCTATGTATTTTCTTGGTTTTAAGGGTGCCTTTTTGAGTTGATTTTCAATTTTATTCCACTGTGGTCTGAGAGAGTACTCGATATAATTTCACTTTTCTTAAATTTACTGAGACAGGTTGTGTGGCCTATCATATCATATGTTGGAGAGTGTTCCATGTGCTGATGAGTAGAATCTATATTCTGCAGTTGTTGAGTGGAATGTCCTATAAATATCTGTTAAGTCCATTTGATGTAGAATATGGTTTAAATCCATTGTTTCTTTGTTGACTTTCTGTCCTGAGGACCTGTGTAGTTCTGTCAGTGGAGTATTAAAATCTCCCACTATTATTGAGTTGTTGTCTATCTCATTTCATAGGTCTAATAGTAATTGTTTTATAAATTTGGGAGTTCCAATGTTAGGTGCATATAAATTTTGTGATATTTTCCTATTGGACTAGAATCTTTTATCATTATATAATGTCTCTTTGTCTTTTTTAACTGTTGCTGCTTTAAAGTTCGTTTTGTCTGATATAAGAATAACCACTCCTGTTCACTTTGGGGGTCCATTTGCATAGAATATCTTTTTTCACCCCTTTACCTTAAGTTTATGTGAGTCCTCATGTGTCAGGTGAGTCTGTTGAAGACAGCAGGTACTTAGTTGGTGAATTCTTATTCATTCTGCTGTTCTGTATCTCTTAAGTGAAGCATTTAGGCCATTACATTTCAATGTTAGTATTGAGATGTGAGGTAGTATTCTATTCATCTTTCTTTTCCTTTGTCTACTAAAATGTTGAACTCATTTAGCTTTCAGGTAGTGCCTGAAAAGTACAGTTTTATTTTTTACTGCTTTGTTAAGAAATACCTTATTTAGATTTGGACTTCATTTATAATAAGAAAAATCATCAGAAGATGCAATTAGATGTTGATATCAATTGTATAGGCCCAGGCCCCACGTCAAAACCAATGGCCATTGGTTTCCTTCATTTAAAAAAAATTTTTTTTTAACTAGAATTGAGACTCCTAGTTAATTGAGACTTCTAGGTAATTTAATTTAATTTCTCTTTGCACTGACTTGGGAACTTTTAGACTGCTACTTCTTTCTTTCTTCTCTAGTTGACTCACTGTGTCCTTTATTTCCTTGTCATTATCAATCTGGGAGACACAAGCAATGAAGTTACTGGGTGGAAGTTCTCACCATTTCTCACTCATTTCACATGCCAGCTACACCTTTTTATGCCTTTCCTTTTAAGACAAACTGGCATGAATTAAGATAGGATAAAACAAAACCCTTCAGTTTGCCTTCTCTGTGACCTCTCCTTCATGCTGATGTACCAGCTTTTGAAACTTTATTCATATTAGTTTCTTTTCCCCATCTTCTAAAATGGATGGTAGTATCTTACTCTCAAGCATGTCTGTGAAATACATAAATAATGCATAACAACACTCTTTTTTGTCTGGATAAAACACGATTTCAGGGTACTTTATAACACGTTACTCCAACTGATTGAGGTTGGCACATGGAAAGAAATCCACTTGCCATCCCATTTCCTGAGATAGGCTACAGTCTTCCACTGGCTATGTCCAAAGTGTAATTAAGGACTATCACAAAATGGCTTGTAATGGGCTATTATCACTTACCAGTCATTTGTTTGGGATTAGGAATGCCTTTCTGGTTTTGCACAGAAACGGTGGATAATTAATTGTTGTTGCAGTATCAAGATGGCCCCAGAAAGCTTATTATGAAATCATTTATTAACTAGCATTGCTCAAGAAATCTTTAGATGTCACTTATGGCATAATTTTTATGGGAAAACAGATTTTATATTTTAGTGCAGCTCTCCAGAAATAGCTCTCTTTATACTGATTTCCATCTTCTTTACCTTGGCTGTCTTGGTTCCTTTGGATTTTTATTTCCAACAGTCATGTGTTTGGATGTAAGGAAGCTGCTCCCTGGGTGCCAGGTTTTCATATGCCTTTTCCATTCTGGAGTCACTAAAGTAAATTTTGCATATTCACAGCTTAAAATATAGTTATTATGTTGTTTCCATAGTGAAAATATGATGGATAAAATTGTAATTTGAGGTCAAAGTAGGTTATTTAAGATAAATGAAAAACATCATTTAAAATATGCTTAATTTAAAATATGCCCATCTTTTTATAGTTAGTAGTATATAAGTATTTTTCATTCATCCACATAATATTGGACTTATGAGGTTCTCTAAACACCTTTACCAGAGTGTATGCAGGGTCATTTGTATGAGTTTAAGAAGGTCAACAAAGACTGAGAAATGCCTTGAACACCTGTAAATTTAGAATGCATTCTATGTCGTGAGAACCAAAAGTTGAGGACCAAATCAGAGCTCTCAAGTAGAAAGCCACCAGCAGGCAAAATTGGCACCTGCTCCTGCACACTCCTTTGCCTGCCCAACAGCAGCCTAATGTAAACCTGCAAACTCTTCTCCTTTATTTATATTGGGGGCTCCCATCTTTTAATAACATATTTAGGTGGCAGTTTAAGGAGGAGAGGTAGGATAGATCTTAAAATAGAATATTCCTGTTTTGGTGGGTCTGACATTGTATAATCAAGTTCAAAAATGCTTAAGTCATTTCCGAATCTGTTTCACCTAAGGTCCACATATTTTGCTAGTTACCTTGACTCCAGTCTCTCAGAGGACATTTAAATTGTCAAGTATTAACTAACTCCTATATGTAACTTAATCTCCACCTTGAAATATCAAGGGAGATGTATCTATCCTTCCTGCTTCAAAGGAAGTGTATACTTTCCTACACTCTAGATCTAATTCCTTATGTGTCTCCATATGTTGCCTTCATGATTATCCCTCCTCTCTTTAGCAACTTCAACTTCTCTCTTTCCTTTGGCTCCTCCCACTCTGCTTTCAAAAATTGCAAAGAATGTTCTCATCGAAAAAAGTCAAAATCTTAATCACTTATCAAGTTATCATTTGTTGAATAATTAATAAGTGCCTGTTTAAATGCAAACTCCATGGTGGACACACCTGTTAGAATCATCCTACCTTTCTCTTTCCTGTCTTCACTGCATGTTTGTGATACCTGATCTAAAATTGTTTCATCTGAATTCCTTTATAACAACATAAAATTTAGTTTCAGGTTCTACCACACTAATGCTATTCTCTTGTGGTTTCTATATATCCTCTAAACAAATTCTTCTTGGCATTTATCTTATTTTCATTTTAGAATTTAACACTATCAAATCTTTCTTGCTTTTTTGAATACTCTCATATTGTTTCTGTATTTTTGCTATTTCTCTATTTTGCTTCTCCTCAAATTACTTTTCTGTTACATTTTCCCCCAGTATCTGAATAAAAACATTCCTCAAGACTCCAACTTTGACACTTGCTCATTTTGATATACCGTTATCATTGTTTTAACTATTGTTCCTATGACTTCCAAATGTAGATGAGATCTCTGACTTTTGCTCCAGCGTCATTTTTTCAGTTTCTTTCTCATCTACTCTATTTGCATGTTTTGTCATTAATTCTGTTGTCTAAATATCCCTACATCTTGGCAGATTCTGCACATAAAATAAATTCAGACTAACCATAACTCAAATTCCAGTGGCTCTGACCCCCATGTGCATACCCAGGACACCAAAGTCTGGGTTTGATTCAGAGTTTATCTAGGCATCTTCCATGTATTCAAAAGCTTCTATGTCCTGCTTGTCTACTTTGGTCTTCTCATAGAAGAGGAGTTCAGTGCTCACAAAACACTTGAAGCATAGAAGTTCAATGCTCACAAAACACTTGAAGGAAGCTGTCAGTGTTATAAATGCCCTTTTTGAGAACATTAGTTCCCTTCCAGGTGCTGTCTCCTCTGACCACTCAACTTTCCTATACTCCATTCTTTCTCTTACCTTGTTTTCATTTTGTTCATAACCCTTATTGCTACCAGACATTATATATTTTTAAAATATTCTTTATTTTCTAAATTTTGTTAGACAAGACTTGATCTAGTGTTGGGCACTATCCCCAGTGCCTATACCAGTGTCTGACAGACTGGAGAGGCTTAATACATATTTATTTAATGAAGAAATAAATGAATCAATAAACTTGGGATGCCAACCCATAATGCCAAGGTAGTGCCATTTTTTTTACTGAAACCTGGGCATCAACCCTGTGGTCCTGTGCCCTGTGCTCCCATAATTACACATGCCAGCCAAGGGGCAAACTTGCAAGCAAGGCATTCTAAGGATAGCAGTCTCAGGTCCACTGTGTGAGCATAAAAACAAAGGTCAATAATGAAAACTTCAGTAGAATTATTTAATTGCAAGTATTATACTGAACACATGTCCAAATCAAATTAGCTGAAGTCCTTATTCCATACTTGAATGCATGACAGCTAGACTTTTAGCTTGTTTCCTTCCTTCAGTGTTGCAGAGAGTTTCCCAGGAATTCTTCATGCCCCACAGTTTAGTCCTGTAGTCGATGACCATGTCATCCAGGCATGGACCACTGCTCTGCTATTTTCAATGGTTACTGCTCTCTCCATTGCTGGTTACCTGCTGCCATCTCAAGGTGTATTCCTCTCAACCCACTGCCCCTCTCTCCTGCAAGTAACATTTCTCCCCAAAATTGGCACACAGTTTTTCTCATTGACTCAAAAAGATATGTGAAAATAGGCTGTAACTTTTAATCAAATACAGAAAGACTGGGAGTTATAGAAGACAAGTGGGGTACAAATATACTTTGACTCCTAAATGTGACTTACAAGCAGACACCACCAGCTATAATCCAAAATTTCAGAAGCCTTCCTAAGGTGTTCCTCAGGCTACTTGCTAGCCTGATGTCACTTGATAAAAGCGAGTTTACCCTGCAGCAGTGTTTTAATATCTCCATTCAAAACTGCTGCCATGATCCTGAAAGACCAATTCATTTCTCTGGCACTTCCAGTGAAGGGTCTACAACTTCATTTCCATTTTTGTCATTAAATTTCTAGTAGTCCGGAATATCCAATCTTCTTATTTAAAATCTCACTTCTACCTCCAGGGATGTGGTCTGGTCTTATTCTTTCAATACAATAATCTAGTATTAGAATATCCACTGAAGTCTGAGTTATTCAGTCTTAAATACAATCACATGTGAGCTATCACCAGGGCAGAGCAACACATTCTTGAGTAGAAAATCAGGCTAACAGGCCTTTCCTGTAGTCTATTTTTTCTCTGCTTCTGATACCCTGTAACTTCTTGATCAAGAATACATACATACAACTGTCTGAAAACAAACACTAATGTACACGTATAGGGAGGAAAAATGTTATACAAGAAACGTTTCTGCAAAGAACACATGGCCCAGATTGCTGCAGATCTGCCTGCACCCCAGCCAAACTCTTTTTTTTTATCACTTAGATTTTCCCAAACAATTGATAGTTCAAGTTTTTACCTTCTGCACAGAGAAGAGTGATGCTTAAAGTTCCGAAATTGCGTGATTTTGTTGTTTTTTAACCTACGACATATACCTTCCTCACTGGAAAAAGAAAACTAATGTTTCTCAACTATATATATATTTATGGCATCAGACAGGATTTAAAATTAATTGCCATTTTGATGTAACCGTATGCATGCTTTGTATTCTTGATTTGAAAATCATGAATGAGAAATATGTCTCCCAAGGAACTCTAGGAGACACTGCAGATGTATTGTTTCAAGTTTGATTTTATCTAAGAAAGTGAAGCTAATTAGGCATTTTTGCCGTCATATTAAAATAAAACTTTAAATATATAGATGTGTAAAATCTAGAGATTTCCAATTATTTTTAGAAAAGTCTTGTACACAAAATTTGGATTCTTTGGGTTAGCTTTAGTGTCTCGATAATTTGTTGATTGCTATTAAGTGAAAGTAAAACATTTACACAGCAATGCCAATGATAATTTGTGGAGTAATACCATGCAGGAGTTAAAAAAATTACCATGAGAAAACATAAGTTTGAGCAGCCTTTATAAGTAAGAGTACATTTAACTTTTTTATATTTCATTGGTTTAATGTTGAGATGTAAAACAAGGAGTATTTCACAACTAAAATTCTGACATTCAAATTGACCTTTGACAGAAATTTTGCCAATACTTGGATGAATGCTTGCAAAAATGTTTGAGAAACTTCTAGCAAATTCAAAAAGAAAAAATGCAAAGCATTTTAAAATGATGACTTTGCTGGGAGGAGAACCAGGGTCATAGATAACGCATTTTGGAACATATGATGACAGGGTAGAGTTGCTTGCTAATCTGGGAATATTTTATGTAAAAATCTGTCAGTATTACCCTGGCAGGTTAAAAATTAAGTACATTAATTTTTATAGTTATTTTCTAGTTCAGACCCTGAAGAAAATTTAGTGTTCATGTAAACATTTGATTAATTTTGGTGGGGAGTTTCTGACATAAGTGAAAAGAGATGAAAATGACTGCTCTTTAAAAGAATGAATGGCTCTTAATGATGTTATCATATTCAAAATAAATATTAAAAAAGGCCTCCAGCTGGTTATTATTTTAACTCTTGTTTATGAGTCATAAACGTAAGCTAAATGACAAGTAATTTGCCTAAAGACACTTACTAAACAGAATGTTAAAGGAGAATGGTTTTGGAAAGCTAGACTATGGATTCTTCTCAAAAGCAACATTGAGCCAATGGCTTGAGGTTTAATTGCAAAGGCCAGAAACGAAGGCCAGGAAAGCTGGGATTCTATGACTTAGATTCATGGAAAATAAGCTTATTATCCATAAAGTTTCCTGAAAATTGAAATTGCATGTGGTTCCCAAAGATCTTCAAAAAATATTGGCCAATTGACACTCAAAGAGGAATTTTCTCCACTTGGCACAAACAGAAGTATTTAAATGAGACTTTCAGGAAAAGTAACACCATCCTCAAGCCACAGCCCCAAAGTATGCTGAGATTTGCCCTTTAGATCCTGGAAAATAATGAATAGAAATATTTATGAAATGGAGATTCCTTTTACATAATTTGGTTTTTTTTAATCGTGAGGGAACAATAATTTACTAAGTTTGTGATCACCAACCAGGTAACTTAATTTAGCCACACGGATATACTAGGAACTTCTGATGACTTTCTTTCTTTTCTTGCTATTATTTCTCCTTGAAATTGTTTTATTATGCAGATACCACATTGCTCTGCTTCTCTTCTTACTTTTTTGGCTGCTACTTTTTGATCTTCTTTATAGATTTTTTTTCTCATCTCTCTAATCTCTTAATATTGAACTGTCCCAACATACAGTCCTTTACTTCTTTATTTTTTTTTCTACTGATTCCCTCTCTTGGGAAATCTCAAGTCTTAAGGCTTTAATATCTGTATACAAGCTAATTGACCCAGCATGTATATCTACATCTTACCTCCCCTTTCAACTCTAGACTCATGTAATCAATTAACTTTCCAAATATCTCCTGTTGGATATCTAATGGACATTCCTAACTTGACATTTTAAAAATCAAGCTTGTAATCTCACCACCACCCACAAAACCCTATCCCTCCATAACAGGCACCTTTCTTCCTCTATTTGCTTTGACTAAAATCTTTGGAAGCATCCTTTACTCTTTTTGGTCAGTCATATGTCATACTTTATCCATCAGAAAAATCTGTTACTCTACCTTCAAATTATATCCAAAGTCTTTGTCTCCCAATCTCTAGAGTTGATGCCCTGCCCAAACTACTGTTACCTCTTTTCCTACACATTCTATTGCAATGGTGCCAAATTAGTTATGTTGCTTTGTTTGCTCCCTTTGATCTATTTCCAACAGAACCACTAGAGTAATATTGTTTAGAGTCATATTTCTCCTCATGCTTTATTTTTCTTTATAGCACTCATTACCTTGTAACATATTGTGTATTAACTATTTATCTTATTTGTGTCTTTTTTATCCACTCAATAGTTCTTTCCTCCCTTCCTTCCTTCCTTCCTTCCTCTCTCTCCCTCTCTCTCTTTCTTTCTTTCTTTCTCTCTCTCTCTCCCTCTCTCTCTTTCTTTCTTTCTCTCTCTCTCTCCTTCCCCCTCTCTCTTTCTTTCTCTCTCTCTCCCTCTCTCTCTTTCTTTATTTCTCTCTCTCTCCCTCTCTCTCTTTCTTTCTTTCTCTCTCTCTCCCTCCCTCTCTCTTTCTTTCTTTCTCTCTCTCTCCCTCTCTCTCTTTCTTTCTTTCTCTCTCTCCCTCTCTCTCTTTCTTTCTTTCTTTCTTTCTCTCTCTCTCCCTCTCTCTCTTTCTTTCTTTTTCTCTCTCTCCCTCTCTCTCTTTCTTTCTTTCTCTCTCTCTCTCCCTCTCTCTCTTTCTTTCTTTCTCTCTCTCCCTCTCTCTCTTTCTTTCTTTTCTTTCTCTTTCTCTCTCTCTCTCTCCCTCTCTCTCTTTCTTTCTTTCTCTCTCTCTCTCTTTCTTTCTTTCTCTCTCTCTCTCCCGCTCTTTCTTTCTTTCTCTCTCTCTCCCCCTCCCTCCCTCCCTCCCTCTCTCTCTCTGTCTCTTTCTCTCTCTCTCGCTCTCTTTCCTGAGACGGAGTCTCACTGTGTCACCCAGGAGAGAGTGTAGTGGCATGTGATCTCGGCTCATTGCAAGCTCCACCCCCAGGTTCAAGCAATTCTCCTTCATCAGCCTCCTGAGTAGCTGGGATTACAGGTGCCTGTCACTATGCCAAGCTAAATTTTGTATTTTTTTTTTTTTAGTAGAAATGGGGTTTCACTATGTTGGCCAGGCTGGTCTTGAACTCCTGACCTTGTGATCCACTTACCTCGGCCTCCCAATGTGCTGGGATTAGAGTTGTGAGCCACCACATCTGGCACACTTTTTAAGGATGAGAATTTGTTTTCTTTTGTTTCATGTTACAATACCAGTACCTAGAACAGGGCCTTTCTTGTAATAGATACTCATTTGCTTAATCAGTGATTGAAACAAACCACCAAGGTTGCAGCAGAATATAGTTTGACCTAGTTCTTAATCAAAGCTTTCTGATTCAGTATAGTAAAGGAAACATACAGGACATTTCAAGCACTATATAAAGGAAGAGTTAGAACTGAGTCATTCTTGGGGCTCAAACTGGGCAGGCTGACAGGTGGAAATATTTGACCCAGAGGTAGGCAAGAGTAGCAGCACTAAAAATCTATCATGTATGAATCAAGTTATGCACAATGATTTACTGTAATAAATTTCCTTGTATTTATATCCAGAAAAGTGTAGCCAAGGAAATTTCTTTTTATATAGTGAGTAAGAATTCAAATCTTAAATAGAGAAATTATCTTGTTTTCTATTTAATTGCTTATAAGCCACTCTGAGTAATTTACAGAGTGCTTTGTATAGAACAATCGATCATGGTGTGGGTTTAATATGTAATCAAGGTCTTGGGGACTGTATGGATCACTTCAAGGAAGCAACAAGGGAAAGTCTTACTCTGTGCATAGTTTGAATCTGTAAGAAAAGTCTGGTTGGCTGCTGAAGTAGTAGGAACCAGAACCTTGGAACAAGAGCAACACGAAAGACAAAGGCACATTCTTTTTGGAAATACCCTTTTGGATGTCTAAGATCCAAAAGGATATTTCAAAAAGTTTTCAGATAATAAAAAGTTATTTTTCAGAGGAGAAATTCCAAGAAAATGTTAGTCTCAGAGAGGAAGTTCTGTAGTTTAATTGCACATGGAAATTATATTGTAATGATAAATATATTTTGAGACATCTAAGGAATCTGCAATATCTACAGAGAACTCCCTGGTAATTTACAATTGAAGTAATACATAGACAAATTGGAAGAGTAACACATAATTAAAGCCAAGGAGCAAGGAGTGCTACAATACAATTGTAATAATTGAGAAAGAAAAAGCCAAAATTAAGCTAACTCTTTAGAAAAGCATGTAAAAATAATTTAAAGGGTTTTAAAGATATGTTCGGAACAAAACAAACTACACTTATTAGATTATTTGCTTGTAAGAAATTGAACATATAGCAATGACACATATAAAGAAAAATTAATTCCAATTTTGTGTGTGTGGTCAAAGATAGTCATTTTATACTGAAAAATGTGAAACAACTATGCTTAAAAGAGATCTGAAGTCTAAGAAAAGTAAAAGAAGGTATACTTCTAGATTGGGAAGAGAATGAGATCCACCGGGAAGAGATTTCATAACTGTAATGATTTGGGGAGAAATTTTCACCTAAGTTCAAATTTTTACTATAGAGAGACCTATAAAAGAAAGATCTTGTAAAATAAATGATGTCACTTTAAGTTCTCTTCCTTTTGTCCTTTTCCTATGGCTTTCACTCTTAGGTGTATAACATCTCATATAAGTCTAAGCTGTCTTGGTATCTAGATACATTCTGTCAATATTTTTCATATTGTTTCTTTCTAACAAAATATACTTTTCATCAGTGTATTTAACATACTAAATAACTCCAGCAATAGTTATAAAACCACATTTACTTCTTCATTTACTTCCAGTTGATGTAATTTATTACCCAAGAGAGTGAGATTTCTCTTCTTTGTGGACTTGGATTCTTGGTGCAGTGGAAAAGCGCAGGGCACCACAGTGGTGCATTGTGACAGCAATGAGTTATGGCAGTGAGGACAATGGCAGTGAACAGATCCCAGCACTCTCTTGCATTTTCCAGGAAACTATATAGGAGGTGGCGTCTAGAGCATGTGAACAATGCTTTTTGCCTGTGTAATGTGAGCTGTGGAGTTGGTATGAATTTTAGTTGGAAGGAAACTGAGATGTAAAATAGTTTACTTCCAAAACTGAAAAGCCATTAATAGTATTAACATCTGTATTTGTTGATTATTTGCCATATCTTTCTTCTTCTTCCAAAGTTTCGTAATATTTGATTAAAAGACGAAATTGCTACTTTTGCTCCAAACTTATTTTCTACAGAGACAGGAAATAAAATAAAATAAAATCATGGCCTAATTTTATTCAGTGTGTATGTTATTTCAATGTGATTTTAGATTTTGTGATGTGGCACTCAAGAATTACATGTTGAATAAATGAAAGGGAGAGAACTTCACAGTTAACCATGTGAAAGGATCAAGTCACTTAACTTCAAGTGACTGTTTTGTAAAGCTTTAGATTACTTGAACTTGTATCCTTAGAGATTTTTTAAATTTGCCCTTTAAGTCACTTCATTATTTGCTTGTTCACTAGAAAATTTTCAAAATGGAAAATAGCTCTTATTACCTTGATATCTATGGTTATTATTAAGAAAAATACACTATTTTGGTATGTTGTTTGGTTTAATGGTTTAAAAACTCTGGGAGTGTAATTGTTGTCCTGATTTGGTATATGAAATTAAATCAGGTTTTGATTTTTTTCTATTTTTGATTCGGTGAATGTTATTAGTCATTGCCACTTAAGATTTCTTTTATGAAATTAGATCTCTTTAAGCTCCTTATGTGTGCTTTTCTAAGGTACACATTTCTAAGACTAGTAAAGATTATAAACCTGTTAGGAAGAATTTAGGACTATAAATCCAAATCCAGTTAGCATAAATTTAGGTAGCACCCTTGAAGTTATTCAGTTGTTCTTATGGGTATTGCTTAACTTCTGAACCAAAATGTAAATGAAAAGATAAGCCTGAGAATCTTCTTCTGCTGGTAGTTTTCTCTTTATTTAGAAAGCAACAGAAGCCTTGGCAGTTGTTCAGACAGCATTTAATTTATTGGCTTAAAATGAAACATAAGTTGTGTTTTTAATTCTCCGCTGAATCCAAATTAAAAATTCTAATTTTTTATTATTTAGAATTTTTTAAGTTTATTTAAAATAGTAATTGATAAAGAATAGTATTCAATGCAATTGTAATTGTACCTTTTCTGTGGGTTTCAGAAGAAAACAAGGAGAGTTAAGATCTTGCTCATTGTGGAATAACCTGGGAGTGGGGTGACCAGTGAGAAGTGGATTCTAATACAGAGGACAAGAGTGGAGGTAAGAAACATAAACCCAGATTGAAGCTGTGCCATTGGCTTCATGATATCCCTTTCAGGATGACAGTTTAGGACCCAAACATACTCCCATGGCTTTCTCCAAATGGAAAAAGTGAGGCTTTCCAAGCTGAGTAGATGATACAGCAAAGGCCATTAACATTGCTTCTGTTCTAATGAAGATTAGAACATAATGTTTCATTTTAATTCTTCTTTAGAATATAGTTCAGCTCTTGTTTGTCTGCTGATGCAATTAATCCTAGTGCAGTTAACCTAGTGCAATTAATCTAACCAACTACGCAAGACACTAACTTCTATGAATGTGTCTGATTGGAAATGTGGCATTCAAGGTTTTTTTTTTTTTTCCTTACAATTCAACAGGGATAATCAATAGCAACCATTTCTTAGTTACCCAGCTAGCTAAATCTGATATCCTTTTTTATTTTACATATTGTAGTCATACCCCAATCTGGTCACAAGGATCTTCCATTCTTCCCTTTAAAAAATCCTCCCAGCACACAAAATGTAAATGCTTGTGCACATATCTTCTGTGGCTCCATTGTGAGAGAACTCTTGGAAGCGTGAGCCTTGTTTCTTCTCAACATCACTCCAAATAACTTTTCTTTTTGTGAATTTTGCTTTGTATTTTTTTCCTGCACTGAATCATAGTTCTGACTATATTCTGGGGCTGAGTCCTTTTAATGAATCACTGAAACTGGGGGTCTTTGGGACCCTTGAAAGATAGAGTTAATAAATCTGTAAGTACTTTACATTAGTTACACTCTATAGGGTTATGAGAAACAATCTTACCCAGGATTCCTTTGAGATAAGTTTACTGCAAAGTTACACAGAACCGTGAAAGACCAAAAAATGAAAAGTGTTGCCCTCCTTTTAACTATTGCTCATTCTGGAACTGACTGTTCCCATAATGGAAGTATACTATAGGCATTCTGAGAAACAGAACAATAACACATTTTGGTGACTGTCTGTCAGAGGCCCAAGAGACAAGCTCTGGTTGGGCAGTTTTTTCATCATTATATATAGAACACCCCTATTAGGCAGAATTTAGGCCAGGCTTCCTCAAGGATTGGTGGCCTTCTTCATTTCCAGCCTAGACATGTTTGCCCTTGAGTTGGGCACCAGCTTCTGATCTAATCATTTGTAGCTAATTTGTCAGTGTTGTTATGGCTTATGTGTCACAAGAATAGCAGAATTAGGAAGAATGAGCCCTTCAGATTCATGTTTCACTTATGGGCATTGGTTGTGGCAGACACTCAGATTTTATTAAAATAAACTCTTAGCCAGTAGACAGAAAGAGGTATAATAAGAATGCATAGTTATTCTCCCTTTATAATAAAGACAGGACAGGGGAAAATGTCATTAATTGAAAATAAGTTAAGAAAGGGACACTTATTAGGATCTAAATAAAAATGTACTGATGCTCCTAAGAACAATGTTGCAGAGAAGTATAAGATACGGTAAGCTCTATAAGGATGTGGTGTCTGCTCTAGTCCCCACAAAATATGTCTCTTGTATTTTTGTTCATTCTTTCAAATTTTGTAAAATTGAATCACATTTAGTTAGTCTTGCATGTTTTCACTCACTAATAACCAAGCTACTTTTCCTAGCTCCCTAGATGAGCATTTTCACAAGTATCATGCTCTGGCATTAGGGACCCGCAACCAGGTGAAAAATTCAAACACCTGAAGATGAAGTGTTTGAATTAAATTATTAAGGACAGGTCTGAAAAGTAACAAGATTGTCAAGCAATGCTGAAAAATAAGTGGCAGAAGAGGATGAAATTTGCCTATAAAAATAAATGGTAGCTTTGCAAATTCTATTTTTTATAAGACCCACCAGAGTATTCTTGAGAGTATCCTAAGCACAAAGACCTTTTCTTTTAACTTATATCTGTAGTAGATGACTTGAGGTAATTAAGCTAATATAACTTCTGGAGAAAGACAATATAATCAATAGAAATTACTGGAAAATGAAAATTAAAAGTAGTGGCAAAAACCACAATTACTTTTGCACCAACCTAGTGGATTGTAAGTGATTAAACTGTGATTACATTTTGTGTCTAATATACTTGGCAATTATTGATGACCCTTCAACTTGGTAGTTTGTTATACCTTTTCCGACTTGATCTACTGGGAATTCGGAGCCATTTTATTCATATCAAGGGCAGATAGCTGCCCAAAGTGGCCCTGACCAGTGAAAGAAATCATTATCAGAAAACAAAGAGTAAATCTAATTTATGCACATTAGACCCTACTATTATAGGGACCAAATGGTTAATTTGAAAATTTTCTCTGTATTTGGCTCTTTCTCTGTACTTACAGAACTTCCATTCTAAAAGGGGACTCACAGATGTCAGACCAGTATCATGGTCTGAAGACTCTCCTGGTCTATTTCTCCTGCTTCCATTTTTACAGACACTACCTCTAATTAATTCTAATTCCATGTTGGCATCTGCTTCTTAGAGAACCCAAAATGTCTCAAATGCTCTTCCCAGATTTGTACACCTGAATAATTCTCATTAGTAATAACTAAAAAAGAGGAAAGAACTGAGGAACAGGTTTTTAATAATGCAGTCTTGGTAGGGATGAAAGAAAGTGAATGAATATGTTCTCTGTCCTTCATTCATTGTGGAAGACAGAGATAATACTTGTGTAAGGGAGTTGATAGTAGAATTGGGCATTCCACTATGACTACGCTTCTACAGGAAGTCATTATGATTAAATCTATGGCCTTTTGTGCCTGTGGTCTGGGGAGAGAGTTAAGACCAAATCCTCAGTGCCTCTTTGAATAGTATTGCACAAAACAGCCTTTCCACATTTTCTCTCCGAGGCATTAAAGCTACTCATGACCTCAGGAACCACTAACATCTCAAATCCAAGGTATCATAATTTCTCCCTATTTTCCCAGACGAAACCTGAGTTTGGTACCACTCCTCTGTGTGTGTTACAATTAAAGGCTATTGGATTTACTATTTCAATTCTTTATTAATATTTATTTTATAGTGACTCTGCTAGACTACCACTTATTTGAGGATAAGAAAGAAGGCTGGCTTTTTAAATATTGCCATCACTTATTACAATGACTGGCACATGGAGTGTCCCTCACATACCTAAGTGGAGTGAAAAATGTTTCATTATTTGACTTTTTAGCATATAAACTCTCTCTTCGCTGACTTGGATTTTCCTCAGTTAATGACTTTCTTGCCATATATATCTATTTAGAGATATGTATTAAGAAAAAAAGAAACATAGCAACAAAAACACATTGCATTCTTGTAACATATTTTTGGCATTGCATTGCTGAATGATTTCTGTGGTAATATAATTGTCTTTGCCAAAGCATATTGAGGAAAATAAGATTGAACAAAGATGATATTTAGATTTTAGAACATTATTTATTAGCCACAATTCCTCAGTTATTGAAAATTAACTCTGCCAATGTCAATGTGTAAGGTATTTTTTTCCATTAATTATGGAGACATTCATTTCTTGGCATTCAGAACCACTAATAATATTGCCATTTAAAAATAGAAATTTAAAAGAGGAAAACAACATTTAAAACTGCAGTTATGGGTCAATGTTCTCAGAGGGCAGGATTCTTGAACATATGGTTACTTGATTATACATATTTATAATAGCTATCTATGGTGTTAGATATCTATCAGTTTTACATTTTTACTTTTATAGAGGAAGTGAATGCCAAATTTAGAAGTCTCTTAAAATATAAAATGCTGAGTAAAAACTAAAGTAAAAGTGTTATCTAGGAAAGGGGAAAAATGAATTCATGGCTCTTGAATAGAGTTTTCTCTAACCAATACCACCCCTCCAGTAACTACCTGGCAATATACAGAGAGTCCACTAAGTACTCAACCATAATAAGACCAAGTATGAATGGTGCTTTTATTCCTCTAGAGTATCTAGTGGTTTTCTTAGAAGGAGGGAAGAGATGTGCAGGTAACATCATCTGGGAATAAGAAGCCTCACACATACTAGGAAGAAATGTATGCCATCACCTCTGATCCATTATGACTTTTGAGGCAGGGGTCACACAGGGTAAAGAGGTACCAAGGACCC
Organism: Homo sapiens; assembly: GCF_000001405.40. Taxonomy (NCBI): domain Eukaryota; kingdom Metazoa; phylum Chordata; class Mammalia; order Primates; family Hominidae; genus Homo; species Homo sapiens. Next base: position 121,697,538 of record NC_000005.10, on the reverse strand, counting down.
AGTCACTGGGACAGGTCAGGGTACCAGAGGCAGGAAGAAACCCCTGAGACACTGGGAGCTCTAAATTCTGCAGGTAGGGTGGAGTTCAGAGCAGAGAGTTGTCTCTGATATGCCTTCCAGGGTTTAATTACCATTTTGGTGGGCCATCTTTTATACCTTCTCGCGTTTTATATTTCATACTTTGATATATTTAAACATAGTGGCTGGGCGCGGTGGCTCACGCCTGTCATCCCAGCACTTTGGGATGTCGAGGTGGGTGGATCACCTGAGGCTGGGAATTTGAGACCAGCCTGACCAACATGGAGAAACCCTGTCTCTATTAAAAATACAAAACTAGCCGGGGGTGGTGGTGCATGCCTGTAATCCCAGCTACTTGGGAGGCTGAGACAGGAGAATTGCTTGAACCTGGGAGGCGGAGGTTGCAGTGAGCTGAGATCGCGCCATTGCACTCTATCCTGGGCACCAAGAGTGAGACTCTGTCTCAAAAAAAAAAAAAAAAAAAAAAAAAAAAAAAAGACATAGTAAGTATACTTATTTTATATTGTTTGATAATTCTAGTATTTTAAGTCTGTATGAGTCAGACGCTTCATTAAGTCTGAGCTGGGGGAGGGATAGCATTAGGAAAAATACCTAATGTAAATGATGAGTTGATGGGTGCAGCAGACCAACATGGCACATGTATACCTATGTAACAAACCTGTATGTTGTGCACATGTACCCCAGAACTTAAAGTATAATAAAAAAAATGCCACCATTTTTCTTGGACATTTATCAGTGAGTATTCTCTGATGTTTGAATTGAAAGTGGCTCCCTTGAGAAGAGATTTATATTTGCTTCCCCCAGGCATTTGAAAATACTCTTTTCCAGCCAGGGCCACGTCACGCTTAATTCTCCTTCAGGTTTTTCACATTTCTCAGGATTCAGGATGCAAACTTACCTGAGAACCAACTTAATGTTGCAAATCCTTAGAGGAAATGTTTTCTCCCTTTAGTCTGTGACTATTTTCAAGGCAGATCATTTTCCTTGCTGCTCACTGAATATGTATCTGCGTTGTTAGGACTCCCTTACGCTGAGGTCATTATCTTTGGATTTAGGGGGGTTCTCCTAAAAGATTCTACAATTTGAGTAGGCTGTGGACTTTTCCCCTCACAAGTATTAAACTTGGCAACTTTCCTTAAGGGAAATGACAAATATAGGGCTCCACTTATGTTCTGGACTCTATAGATCCAGGGAGTTGCAATCTTTTTCTGCTAAGGGCCATATAACAAATATCTTAGTGTTTGCAGGTCATGTACTTCAGGCCACATTATTTCTGTTGCCTATTTTTTTTTAAATTTTTCTTATAATTCTTTAAAACTGTAATAACCATTCTTGGCTCCAGAGCCATAAAAAACCAGGCCATGGTTTTGATTTGGCCCATTGCTTATCGACTCCTGCCTAAGAGTCTAAATTCCCCTTTCACATATTTTTTGACCTGAGAGATCCTTCACAGTTCACTGATGTCTTTTTAAAGTCTATAAAATATTTTTTTTCTGGCATTTTCAATAGTTTTCAGTTGGAGTGTCAGGCTATCTAGTACTGCTGAGAATAGAAGTTTTATTTTATTTTATGCAGTCTATAAATATTTATTTAGATTACTGCCCACATTTGCCATTTTCTATTTTTCCCATGTTTTTCGTCTCAGACCTTCTTTCTGGCATAACCTTCTCTTTCAAATATATTCCTCAGCTGTTAGTCTGTTGGTTAAATTCTTGCAATCTGCATTCTTTTTAAAAGATTATTTCACCTTGTATGCAATTATATGTTCAATTTTATTTTCCTCAAAACTTGAAAGGTACTGTTGGTTTCATTTTATTTACCCTGAATGGGATTAACTGTACTTTCTAATTTTGGAGAATTATATTTTTTATTAACCCTGGGAAAATCTCAACAGCTATCTCTTTGAATTATTGATCCCTCATTCTATTTTTCTGTTCTTTTGAAACTCCAATTAGATATGTGTGAGACCTCTCAGTGTCGTTTATGTCTTTTACTTTCTCTTTCATTCTCTCCCTTTATTTCTTTCTCTCTCTCTTTCTCCCTGCACTCCTCCCTATATGACTTCCCAGTAATTTTCTGTAATCTATTTTCTAGTTCACTCAGGCTCTCATTCATTACTGTTCTGTTTTTTAATTCGTCTATTGTATGTATTTTTGTTTCTGTAGGTTTTTATCCTCATATTCTAATTCATTTTTGGTGATCTCTTATTATCTCATGTTGTTGGTTTTTTTCATTTACATCCTTAAAAACATTAAACATGCTGGATTTTGTAGCTTGTGTCTGATAATTAGAACATCTGAAGAGTCTGAAGTTCTATTTGTGTTATTTTACTCACTGTATCTGATGGTTTTATTGGGATATTCCACGTGTTAATTCAATGATGCCTACAATGAGAAGGTGGGCTTTCCTCAGGTACCTGGGTGCTTATCAAATCCAGGAAAGTTGGTTTAAATTAATTAAATTAAATTAATTAATTAAGACTTTTAAACCAAGTGAGTAGTAACCATTTAAATCCATTTAAATGTCATTCCTGCATGTGGCCTTACTTTACGGTAAAGTTCTCAGGGGGCAATAAATCTCTCTACTCATGACCGAATCAGAGATCAACAAATTTTGTTGCTATTTCTTTTGGCAGTGTTTGGTTATTTTTCTAACTTATGTTTTCACTAATGGTGAATCTTTTCCAAGGCACAAGCTTTAAGGGTTTTCTGTGTTCAGACTCTCCATTAGCTTTTTATAATAAAAGCTCTTTGTTGCCACGAATCAGCAAATGTTTCCAGGTGCTGCTGTATTCAGTGATTTCTATGCCTGCTTTGTTTCTAGCCTCTTGAGATTTTTCCTTTTTTCTCCACCTATATTTAAAAATGGACATCTTTAATAGTTTCTGTGTCGTATTTAGGTGTTTGAGAGCATGAGAATTTTCAGGATTTAAAAAATATTGTGTTAGACATCTAACTTTATTTTTTTTTCCTTCAGAAAATATAAAATACTTAAGATACAGGTTCTAATCTTTTACTGGAGTTAGTTACTATTCCCATGCTCTTAGGGAAGTCATTTACACTTAGAATCTCAGTTTCTTTGTCAATGAAATTAGGGTTCTAAGAATACCAATCTCACAGCACTGCGGGCTGGTGTGTATATGGTAATGGGTATCAACATACTTTTCACAACCATTGTTAAAGCAAACTATGGCCTGAAAAGGACTCTACTTCTATATTTGAGTCCTTGTGGATGAACTGCAACCTAACTTAATAGGTAGACAAGATTGAAAACCTAACTTAGGAGTATGTGCTTGTAACAATAGCTGAGTCTTGGCCAATCCCACAAGCCATACTTCAACCACTCATACACTGCTGAGTGTTCAGACTGTGTTGAAATAAGGCCAACGATGAGCTGTAACCAACCCAGTTGTTTCTATACCTCACTTTTGATTTCTATATGTCACTGAGACAGCCAAGTGTGGAGAGGTCCCTAGGGGAACTCCAGCCTGTGCAATGGGAGAACAGGGTGGAGTTTTGGGATGTTCCCATCATTTGCAGGAAGGAGGAGCCTGGCTTCTCCTGTCCCAGAATGGAACCTGGAATTCAATCTGCAAGGCAGGAAGCCTATACTAGCAGGACTGTCACTTTGCTGAGGGTCCCTGTTTCCCTTTTTCCCCCGCTTTTTTTCTCAATAAATTTCATTTTCCTCACCCTTCAAAGTGTCTGTAAGCCTCATATTTCATGGGCGTGTGACAAGGACCCTATTTTCAGCTGAAATAAGGAGAAAGTTCTACAATATCACTTCTCCCCCCCCTTTTTTTTTTCGGTCTATAAATTTATTCTCACCATGAGGCATCCCTGGAGTCTCCTTGAATCTGCTGTGAAACTGGGGGCTGCCTAACTCAGGAATTGTTCATTGCTCAATTAAACTTTAATTTGAGTGAAATTTTTTCAACACCATAATGTGCTATACAAACATTCAATATTATTATTATTATTATTATTATCATTATTCACATGCCTCAATCAGGTTCTTTAGCCAAAAGTTAGAACTATTGCTGATATATAATGATAAATTTCAAATGTTTCTGATACAGAAAAAGAAGTGTTTCTCCATGGACCTTATGAAAATGAATACTGTTTTTTGGAAAATAAAACAAAAATCACATCTACAATTAAAATGAAAATTTATTTATATGTATGTGTCACTTAGGAAAATAAGGTTAAATAAAACAAGTAAAAATAAAACACAGTTCTCTGATAATACTCTTGTTAACTTTGCTAATATTCCAGGGAAGAAACAAAATATCTCTCATTCCTAAGCCAAAGTCAAATATGAATATTCACTTTTTCAATATAAAATGCTGTTCACAAGCAAGGTAGAATTAAACTCTCACAAATAGTTTCAGGAACAAAATATTCAATTATCTGCGTATTGTGGTAAATATGCCATCTATACAATTTAAAAGACTGTTACTACAACTTTTGATTACAGAATCTATCTTTTCCTTATTTCCTGCAATAGATTTGCATGGAAGTTTTAATCATAATTATTCATACAACTTATAGTGATGTATTATGTTTCTGTGCTATATTATTTATTTGCCTGAAAAAGAATTTACTATTTTACCTTCTAGCAAGGGCAGTACAGGAAGACAGACTTTTTTCTCAACTATACATTGTTGAAAGTTCATCTAGTTACACATATGCTTTGTTTCAGGATCACATGGTTACATTTGGGGCTTCTGTGGGAAATACTATTGTAATACATGTTTATTTTTTGGCTAATTTTTGGTGAAGAATCAAAGCATTGAATATCAATGCCAGAAGATATATTATCCTTCTTAGTTCAGTAAGAATTTAACTGGGCACATTTAGAAAATTTATGACAGGGAAAGTAAGGCTTGCTTCCAGAGAGCAAATGCAAAACAGCAAATCAGAATTCAACTTGAAATACTTTTTTGAAGTTTCTATTTATCTATTTTTTGAAAGTTTAAAAAAAAATTCTTCAATTCACAAAACACTAATAGAAATAGCTAACACTATAACTATACTTCTAAGTGCTGAATAATGTTAATTTACTTAAACAGCCCAATAAACTTGTGTGTCTGTTTACTACAGACGAGAAAACACAGAAAATTGTGTAAATAACGAGTACAAGGAAATTTAGATAATAGGGAGTGAAGTCCACATTTGAACATGGCTTTGGAGTCTGTTACCTCCTTTCTATATTGCCTCCAAGTCAGTTGTTAGGGAACTAATTTTTCATTCCCAGTACTGTTGATGAAGTCCTCATCACTCTCCTGATTTTTGAGTGATTGGTCTTAAAAATATTTGAATTTTAAAATACTGCTTGATGGCTTAAATAATGTTTTATTCATCTAATTTCAGTGAATATAATAAGGCAAAATGAAAAAAATCAAGGCAGCTGAAAGGAACCCATTTTTGTATATGGGGACACCCAGGGAGCATGCTCTGACCAATAAGTGTCATCCCTTAATTTTGCAGCTATTCTCTAGCTTTACAATTCTGAATTAGTTCTAAGTGCATTACCAAGAGAGCTTTAATATTCCCCTCAGCTCTATTAAATTTTAGACAGGCATTTTGACTTTAGGTCCCCGACCTTCCTTTTCTTAGAGCATTTACCTAAGAAAATTTTCCTTTGTAAATTCTTTCTCTGACTCTTTGAGATGTAAGTCTTCCCCTGGCCTCTTGCCAGGGTTACAACACTGGAGTGCATTTCTCAAGGACCTTGAGGCCAACCCTTAGAAATATAATCAAGAAAGATAAGGCCACTGTCTTCTAATCTCTGTGGAAGGGTAGGAGCCAGTTAGCAAATACAGATGACTTAATCACATTAACCAACTCCCCACTCCCTTACACCAAAGTCCTCTAGTACTTTTCCACTACCTCACCCCAGCATTTAAAAGTCCTCCTGCCTTTTGTTTCAGCCAGGCCCTCTACCCTACTGCCATAGCCTTGACTCCTATTGCACTTGTCTTGAATAAAATCTTTCTTGTCATGTTTAACAAGTGTTCAGTACAACTTTTCTCGTACAAGGTCAAGATATCCCTCCATATCTCTGGAGATGAGATCAAGATCCAGAGGTGGACTGTTTTCAAATAAATATTTATGTATGTTGTTGACTGCTTTATATTGCTTTCTTTTTTCATTTTTAGTTATTATCTTAGTACATTCTGATAATTTTTTGATGTGATCCAGCCTATGTAGACTCAGATATAAAATCCAACCCATTAGTCAAACACAGTAAATTAGGATATGTTCCCAGATGAAAGACAGCCTTTAGCTTTGTCATATTCAACAAATATTTGTATCGTTACATAAGCATCTCCATTTAACTATTAATAATTGCTAACACACTAGGCACTTTTAAAGTGCTGGGTTTATAATGGAACAAGTGAGACAAATTCCCTGACCTCAAGGGGCTGGCATTCTATTTCGTTATTATGAGTAACAAAAACAAAAAGACCTCTACTTCGTATTATTTAAGGATGAGGAAAAATCCTAAGCTGAAAAGGATAAGCATTGGATCTATGAGCATTTAAGATGTTTAGTAAATATATACAATCAGGATAGGGTTTACCGTTTCAAAAAAGTACTGCAGTTTTGTATTCTTTCTGTATGTTTTCTTTATGTTGTGCTCCTATTTTCTAGAGAAGGTCATTAACTGCTGATACACACTTTGTCAATTATGATATTTAGCTCTGGCTTGGCATGACTTGCCCTCTGCAAATCCTTAGAGCTGCTAAATGGAGCAGAATGCTGAGCTGATTGAGGAACGGAAATCTTACATTTCAATAAGGTTTTTGAGGAGACACACACACATACATAATATTGGGTGAGAAAAAAGAAAAATTCTGTATGGGGCAAGAAAAAATGAGAAATTTGTTAAGAGTTTATGCAAAAGTCAAATGTTTTATAATCTATGATATTTTCCTGATAGTATTTTACTTAGAATATAAAATGGCCCTAGAGTTTTCTCTCTTATGTATTTACATCAGCATTTTATTTCTTTATCTTGCTATAGAATACCTAATTTATTTAAATGTTATTGTATTTTTGAATTGTGATACAATTATATTGCCATGTCAATAATCATACTTATTTTTATTGCTGTCCTAAAGGTAATAACATGCTCATTACTGAATGTATTACAAGCGGAATGTGGGTGCAATTTCTGGGTAACATTCCAGAGATCTCATTTCTGTGACTTGATCAGGTACTTTAAAAACTGTAATAATTAGAATAAGCACAACTATTTTGGTTTATGAGTGTTAAGTAATGAGAAAAGACAAGTCTGAAACGAACTGTTTTTCAGGAAAAAAATCTGTTAGAGGAATTCTGTACAAAACAACTGTTCTGCCATAAGCTTTAAATTACATCTTGTTACCGACAAGAAAGTTATAGCCTATTGATTTTCTTAGCTATTAATTCACTCAAGGCATCATTTCAGTCTCTATAGAATTTAGCTGTTTTAATTTACTTATCAAAGCTAAGGATAATCAGCTTCCTTTCACTAGGCAAATCAACAGAGTAATTTTCTCTAATCAGATACTATTGAATTGCAAAGAAACAAATCTCATAGCACCCTGGCTGGTCACTTCAAATAAACAAACAACAAACAGACAAATCTCTTAATAAAACCATTATTTTAGTTTCATAAGGGTGACTGAAAATATGGTAAAACCATTGCTTTGCACACTATAACACCACTGGCCATCTAATTCTTTTTTTATTTTGCTTCTGTGTATATGTATTCGTGTTACTGTGTGTTGCAGCAGTAACAGTTAAAAAGTTGCAGTGTGTTGAATTGCCCATTATGTCTAAATATTGAATTTGATGCCAAATTCAACTTCTATGACAAAGAAAACACAACCTTTACTCAGGTATGTAAATCTAAATCTCCTGTTGAAATTCCAGCATTAGTTTTTTCTTGAACTTTGTCTGAACATTATTATCCTATTGCTCTTTATCTAGCCACATTACCAAGTAAATTCATGCATGCTTGAGGTTTTAGTTACATCAAGGAGATATGCACTATTCTATCCAGCCTTGAGCCTCCTCAAATCTCAGCCTTCTCATATTATAATTATTATTAAAGGAAATAACAATGAAGACATCTTTTTTACATACTCTACATTTATATAACTTGGAAAATATGCTCACGTATATTATCTTGTTTTACATTTGAAATACACTGAGTTTAGTGGTAAAGGTAGCATTTTTTTCCTGATGTGTCATCTAATTAGATGCCCTAATATTCCCTCAAGCCTAACATCAACAGAATTAACCTCACTTTCCTACCCTCCCCATTGCTTCCTCTCAGAAATCCAGGCTAGCCACCTCCGCTGCCTTCTCTGCCTTCTACCTGTTCTGTGAGAACATCCTATTGTTTGTTTGAGATGGCTCTGTACCTCCTCTACTTCCACATCCCTTCCCCATTTTTGCTCTTCATCATTGCATAGTTAACTCACTCTAACAACTTCCAGATGGTTTCCTTAACTAGATTTTTTTCTCCTCATACAGCATACTGAAACCAAGCCATCTTCCTAGTCTGAGAATTTCAGCAGAAGGCAAGCTCGAAGAAAATCACTGTTTTTCCATTTTCCTTTGTATAAATCCAAACTCCTCCTAGGCATCTAAGGAACTTTATTCTCTGGCCCATCTTGCATTTCTCACTTTATTATCTTTTAGTACATCCCAACATGGCCTCCTGAGTTCAGTCAGATTTGACTCGTTAGTATTGGCCTTACACACTGCTTTCATTCTGACACCTGGATTTTGGCATATGATGTCTGACACTTCACAAAGTCTGTTCTTAACCATACCATAAAGCCGAAGTCTAATCCCACTTTCTCAAATCCTTCCAGCCAAAACTTAACTCCTCTTCTGAACCTTAATTTTTATACTTGTAATGGTTAGCTCTTTGTGTTTTTCTTTACTCTGTCTTACTACATTCACTTAGAGGTCATATTGTAAATACCATTTTTTTTTCTGTGCAGTGTGAACCATCTAAATTGTATTGTTTTTTATATATTCTATGTTTTGTGGAGCAGTAGGAAAATTATTTTTCCTTTTACTTTCTTCCTTTTGCCTAAACTTCTGTGATTGGTTAAACTTTAACCTGCTGTACAGACACTCAGATTGGCATGTAGGTGGTGAGAGCTCTGCATTTGGTTTATCTTTCACTATGAATTTGTGGTGACTAGAAACCTCTGCTCCTCAAACTAACGATTCATCTCAAGTTCTAAATACAAGCATCATGGCAGCTTGGGACTGCAAGGTAGTGTGGTCTACCATGAGTACACAAATTAATTTATTTCATATGGCCAATATATCCACAAATATCAATAAAATGCTTTGTTTTCCTTTTTAAAGTTGAGTAACAAATTTACAATGAGTATTTTTTTGTTTCTGTTTTACCGTGTCAGCCAGAAGGGTCTCGATCTCCTGACCTCATGATCTGACTGTCTCAGCCTCCCAAAGTGCTAGGATTACAGGTGTGAGCCACCACACCTGGCCTACAGTGAGTGTTATTTTAAGATGATTACCGAACATGTTAAGGGGTTAAGTTTGACATTAAACCTCATACATGAGATCACTGACTAAGACAAAACAAAACAAAACAACAACAACAACAAGAAAACCATAACTAAAAACCTTAGTTATAACATTTAGTCTCTGGAAGAGGGAGAATAGGAGTCATGAGCAGAGACTTGTGGAGATCATCATTTTCAATCTTCTATTAAAGTAGCTGAAGGAGTTGATACTTCTTAATAACGCAAAGCACCATTTTTTAAAATGAATACATTAAAGTAAAAATAAGTTTTTAACAAAGTCCATTTTTTATAACATATGTCAAAGCGTCAAGTGCCACAAAACTGACACTGATTCAAGCACCCGGTCTGGAGGTTGAAAGGGCACCAATGAGAAGTGTGACATTGGGCTTTATGAGAAGCATCAGTAAGCTTCCTAAGTGGCATGTTTTTAGCAAGTGCTATGGACTACAAAATCAAAATCAAGGTTTTTTGTTTTGTTTTGTTTTGTTTTTTTGTAGAGACATTAACTTTCATTTGAAGGCAACTATTTTCCTCAATTCTATTCCTTTTTCTATACTTTTCGTGGGTAATAAAATACATATAATGTAACATTTCTCCTTTTAACCATTTTAAAGTATGCAATTCAGTGGCATATAGTAAATTCAGTGTTGTGCAGCTATCACCGCTGTCTAGTTTCAGAATATTTTCATCAACCCTAAAGGAAACCCTGGACCCACCAAGCAGCTATTCCCTATTTTCTCCTCCACCCAGCCCCTACCACCACTAATCTGCTGATTATCTCCATAGAGTCACCTACTTGGATGTTTCATATAGACAAAATCATGCAATATGTGGCTGTGTCTAACTTATTTAACTAGTATCATATTTTCAGATTCATTCATGTGGGTACTGAAATGGCCTCATTGTCTGGAGTAACACCTGAGGTTTGTTGTTTCACGGCCACGGAGAACAAGGACGTGAACACATAAAGAGTGAGGTTGAGAGTGGAAGTTTAATACGTGAAAGAAAGAGAATAGCTCTCTGCTGCAGAGAGGGGACTCAGAAAAATGGGTTGCTGAATCCTTGGTGAAATGCAGGGGGTCTTATAGATAAGCTGGTGAGGAGGCAGTGTCTGATTTGCATAGGGCATGAAAAACTGGTTAGACCACCAGGTGTGTCATTTGCCTAGGATGCAAATCTCTGGTAGCCTCCACCCTAATCGTTTATTACGCAGGCAAGTTCTCTGCCTGAGCTGTGCCGTGTTGTCCATTTCTTTGTTCTTGTACACATGGTAACACAAAGGGAAGATGTAGCCTCTATGTTGGATATGCCTGGCCCCGAGGTAGCCCTTTTCTATTGGTGCAGCTGCCAGGATTAGCCCATGCAAGCTTCTAGCTTGCTTATTTATATTTGCAGCTCCATTTTTCAGGCTGCTCTTTGTTAGAAAAGAAATGCTTTTGGGGGCTGGTTTTTGTTAGAAGGGAAGCTTTGCTGAGGACTCTTTTGCCCTCACGGTCTGCCTAAATAATTTCTTTCTACCTCCTGTATCAGTAGCATATACTAGTACTTTATTCTTTTTATGACTGAACATATTCCATTGCTTGGTAATACCACATTTTGATTATTCCTTCATTAGTTGATGACATTTTCAGTTTTTCTTTCTTTTTGGTTATTGTGAACAGTCCTGCTCTGAACATTTGTGAACAAGTATTTGTTTAGACATTTGTTTTTTATTCTTTTGGGTATATCTAGGAATGGAATTCCTGGGTCATATGATAATTCTCCATTTAACTTATTATGGAGCAATCAAACTCTTTTCTATAGTGGCTAAATCATTTTACATTCCCATTAGCAATGTGTTACACTTCTAATTTCTCTACATCATCATTAACACTTGTTATTTTCTATTAAAAATGTTTTATTTTTATTATAGCCATCCTAGTATGTGGGAAGTTCTGTGGTTTTGATATGCATTTCTCTAATGTCTAATGACACTGAACATTTTTTCATGTTTTTATTGGCCATTTGTATTTCTTCCTGTGCCTAATACTTTACATTGATCCTATAATTCTAATACTTTTAATCTATAGCATAATTCAACCTATATTCACCCAAGGATTATCTATAGGCTAATGCTAAAAGATGCTTTTTAAAAAGTTCTTACTAAGTTGTCAGGGAAAAAGACTATCCATGTAATTTAGTAAACTGCTTAGTTTATAATTTTTGGCTAATTTTTAATGTAACATTTATTAGTAAATTTTTGTTCTTCAAACAGCATGAGATTTAAAAAGTACATAATACATGTTTCCCTGAAAAGCAATTATTAACTAAGGTAAGGTTCCAGTATCTTGCTTTTTCTCCCCATTTTAAAAGAACTTTTGACTAAATTCAATAAACTAGTGGGTAGCTGGGTGTTGGGGTTCTGAGAGGACAATATCTTCTCTAAAAATTGTATCATTAGATTCTCCCACCCAATAGTTCTGCCCTGTTCTATTGCTGTCATTCACATCTCTATCATTTTAGCCAGAAACAGTTTTGCCTACTCATTGAGTTTATTATTCTATCCAAAAAAGTGAGACAAACTGTCTCCTTCCATTGTGATGACTCTTTTTTCTAAGACCTTAATTATCTCTCTTGAAGTTTTTTCTTTTTTTTCTTTCATCTAACACTTAACAAATTAGAAAGAGCCCAAGAGCCTGGTGAAGTGAGGGGATTTCAGCTTTGTGTTGGGGGATAGGGAGGAGTGGGGGTTGCAGAGTTGCTGGAGGCAGTTGTGGGGCATTGCTTCAACCACACTGATTCTCCCTAGGATTTATTTAAAATGAAAAAGGAGCAGCTGAATTCTCCTTCTGCCTGCTGCAGGCTATTCTTTACACCCTGAGTTTTATAATGGTTATAAGTATCCACTACTTTCTTTCTTTTTTTTTTTTTTTGGAGACAGAGCCTCACTTTATTGCCAGGTTGGAGTGCAGTGGTGCAATCTCGGCTCACTGCAACTTCCACCTCTTGGGTTCAAGTGATTCTCCTGCCTCAGCCTCCCGAGTAGCTGGGATTACAGGCACCTGCCACCACACCCAGCTAATTTTTGCATTTTTAGTAGAGACGGGGTTTCACCATATTGGCCAGGATGGTCTTGATCTCTTGACTTCGTGATCCACCTGCCTTGGCCTCCCAAAGTGCTGGGATTACAGACGTGAGCCACTGTGCCCAGCCGTATCCACCACTTTCAAAAGAAAAACATGTTGAGTGTGACTGTTGTTTCAGAGAAAACTTTTAGTAACTTGTCTGCAAGTAGATTCCTATCTCACTCTCATGGTGCTTGAGGATAATCTTAATTGAGTGTACTTACCATAAATAAAAATGTATGTTTGCTAAATATAATATAGCTGCACACCTCAAAAGGGGAAGCAAATTTTATTTGTTATATCTGAAACTTTCTAATTGTACAGAAAAGTACATTAGGTAATTATTGCAGTTAATTAACTGTGGCTGTAATAGGCTATGTTGCAGAGCAATTAGCCACTTCACTGTCATATGAGAGAGCACAAGAGACCAAAAAATACTGTCATTGTAATTATTCAATGTTATTGTAGAGAATGCTTGTCTATATCGCATGTTTAAAATGACCCTGCATCAACATAAGCAAATTAGTGATGCCTCTTTTGATACTTTCCAAAAATACTATTACTGGTTTATTCAACCAAATTTATGTAAAACTTTGAGGCAACCCTAACAAGATTAGGCAAATCTAAAAATGATAAGCAACCATACATGCTATTGAAAACAAGTTATTGAAAAAAAATTAGTGTTCATTAGGGTTACTTCCAGAGAATAGGAACTTAGAAAATTTCACTTTCTAGTTTGTTTCATACATAAAAAAATTTAATATAATTATTTATATATTGAAGAAAATTAGTGTTGGAAACAAGCTGGTAAATATATAAAGAATTTGCTACTATTCAAAGTTCACGCTTTGACTTTTGCTTTACATTGTCTATAGAAACAAATAACTAAGGACGAAATCCCTGACGGGAATTAACTCTGACAGATGGTCATACGCTGAAGTTTATATTTACCACTTCCATGCTTGGAAAGGGCTTTCTTTTAGAATTATTTCCAAACTGTGACTCATTTGTAATTTACTGGAAAAGACAAAATATAGCAAAGTTCATTAAGGAGATGAAAGTACAATGTATCTGATTGTTTTGGGCATATTATAGTCTTTAGGTGATCTCCAAGCAAAAGAATTATATGTGTTGTGATTAAAGGATATTAAAACAGAGCCAATTAGTATATTCCATAGAGACTTGTTTTATAATTGTGTCTTTGGTATAAATCAGTCAAAGTCTTATGTCAGGATCTTTACCAAAATTCTCTAGTGTTCTTCAGAGAGAGGGTGGGTTGAAGACCAGTTTCTCCAGTGGACAGCCAGCAGAGAAAGGAACAGGAATGGGCTGAAAAATACTTTTGCTTGCAGGGTAAGACATGTTCTTCACAGTGACAAAATTTGTGCTGCTTTACTTATTTCTGCTTCCTGAAACCTTACATAAAATAGTGCTCTTAAAAAAGAGGAACAAAAGGACACTATGAATGTGAAGGGCTTGTTAATGTTGCTCATTTACTCAGTCATTGATTCAACAGGCATTTTTTTTCAGCATCTACATTGGATTAGAAATGTTGAAATTAATAAATCATGTTTTCTCAAGGTGTTTCCTCAAGGAGGTCACAGTCTAGTAAAGTGATGGACTCAAATAAGTACATCAGTATTTTAGTTTCTAATAAAGGTATGCATAGAGGGTATTCTAATGGGGTATAAAGGAAGGAGTGGCCATTTTTTGGTAGGGATGACCTTATAGGAAAATAACCAGAATGTATTTGTTCATTAATTCAACAACTATTTAAAGATTACATGGTATTTTCCAGGCTAGAGATATACTAACAAGCATGACAAAGTCCCTGTTATCCAGAAACTTTACAGTGTTTTGAAAAATGGATGGTTATCACCAGCAGACAAGGAGGAGAAGAGCATATTTCAGATGAAAGCACAGAGGCTTTGTGTATGTACTGGATGTTAGTCACATGCCTGTCCTACCCACCTGCCACTTCTAGCTTAAACTGCTAAATTCCCCACTACCTCACCACCTCCTGCCCCTACCACACACAGAGAAATAATGCTGAATTATTTTTCTGTATAAAGGAAGATATTGGTGATTAAGTGGAGAAACAGGGATGTGAGACAATCAACATGTGGTTTGACTATAGAGCTAAAGTTTTGCCAAGTAGTGAGTAAATGGGCTAGATTTTTAACTAAATAACATAGAATCATCAGTTGGCCATGGCTGTGGAGCTGAGAGGACTTTATATACTCTGGATGGTGATCATGTTGTTCCATGTGCAAGATGAGCTGAACAGAGAGACCATATCAACAAAATAAAAAAAATGGAACAGACTCAGAGAGACAGAAATTAGAGACCATGTATAAATTTGCCAACTTCATAAAGACTT
This sequence comes from Homo sapiens, assembly GCF_000001405.40. Classification (NCBI taxonomy): domain Eukaryota; kingdom Metazoa; phylum Chordata; class Mammalia; order Primates; family Hominidae; genus Homo; species Homo sapiens. The sequence continues at coordinate 121,682,453 of NC_000005.10, read as the reverse complement.
TCTAATTCAGAGTTTACTCTTCATGGCATGAATTGTACTTCCAATATCAGATTCTATGACCTATTAATACCTTTGTCACAATTGTCTTCCATTTTCAGCTTGGCCATCTACACTATTCTATGATCAGGATGAGCATTCAATTCAAAATACATATTAAAGTGCTTTCAGTGGGTTTCTGTTGCTTGTATCCAAAAGTAGCAAGTAGTGTTGGGTATCTTTAGGCAGTTTGGCAAGGCTAGAAAATAGTGTGAGAAAACAAGGCACAGGAAGTAGACCTGAGACTGGAAAGAAAGCCAGGGACATAGCACAAATAATTTTGTATACCATGGTTAAAGGTTTAGCTTTATAATCTAAACAATGGAAATCACTGCAGGCCTCCAGACAAAGGAGTGGTATGATCAGGTTGCATTATACAAAGATCACTTGGGAGCTTTAGAGAGCTTATAAATGGAGACAGAGCAAGGCCTCTTAGGAAGCTATGAGAATATCATTAGTACGAGATATTAAGAATCTGTAGTAAGGCAGTGGGTATGGAAATAGAAAGATATTTAAGATATCAATGTTGTGAAATTTATAAGACTTGGACATTGATTTCCAAAAAAGAAGAATGACAGATTAATGACTGATACATGCCAATGCTTCTTCGATAAGGGAAATCCTAGAAGTAATGGTACAAAGAATTAGTGAAATTGGGGAGGTATTAGTGAAGTAGTCTCATTGTCTGAGGTATTACCCAAAGTTCTTTGTCTCATGACCAAGAAGAATAAGGGGTGTGGTCATCGAGGGTGAGTTTGAGTGAAAGTTTAATAAGAGAGAGAGAAAAGCTATCCACTGCGGGGAGGGGGCCCGAGGAAGGTTGGCATTTCACAGTTGAGTACAAAGGCTTTTATGCAAAAGCGAATGAGGTGGGGTGTTTCATTTACATAAGGTGGAAAAAACCAGTTAGGACTGGGCATCTTATTTGCATAAAGCAGAAATTTGTGACAGCTCCACCCTGCCCCTCTAGTGAGCATGTGGTTCCTTAGCCTGAGTCATGTGTCAGGAGATGGAATTTTCCACTGTGGACGTGTTTGGTTTGTGTAAATCCTCTTATCTCTGCAGCTGCAAGCATGTCTTAAGGAAGTCCCTAGTCTAAGTTCCCTTATCTGAGTATGCCCAAAAAGGAAAGCCCACTGTGTATGGACAGAACTCACTGGTTGCATAAAAGACAAAGGTTTATTATTATTATTATTATACTTCAAGTTCTGCAATACATATGCAGAACATGCAGGTTTGTTGCCATGGTGGTTTGCTGCACTCATCAACCTGTCATCTACATTAGGTATTTCTCCTAATGCTATCCCCCCCCTAGTCCCCCACCCCCTGTCAGGCCCCGGTGTGTGATGTTCCCCTCCCCGTGTCCATGTGTTCTCATTGTTCAACTTCCACTTATGAGAGAGAACATGCGGTGTTTTGTTTTCTGTTCCTGTGTTAGTTTGCTGAGAATAAAGGTTTCCAGCTTCATCCATGTCCTGCAAAGGACATGAACTCATCTTTTTTATAAGGCTGCATAGTATTCCATGGTGTATATGTGCCACATTTTCTTAATCCAGTCTATCACTGATGGGCATTTGGGTTGGTTCCAAGTCTTTGCTACTGTGAACAGTTCTGCAATAAACATAGGTGTGCATGTGTCTTTGTAGTAGAATGGTTTATAATCCTTTGGCTATATACCCAGTAATGGGAGTGCTGGGTCAAATGGTAATTCTAGTTCTAGATCCTTGAGGAATCGCCAAACTGTCTTTCACAATGGTTGAACTAATTTACACTCCCACCAAACAGTGTAAAAGTATTCCTTTTTCTCCACATCTTCTCTAGCATCTGTTGTTTCCTAACTTTTAATGATCATTGTTCTAACTGGTGTAAGATGGAATCTCATTGTGATTTTGATTTGTATTTCTCTAATGACTAGTGATTATGAGCTTTTTTTCATGTGTTTGTGGGCCACATAAACATCTTCTTTTGAGAAGTGTCTGTTCATATCCTTTGCCCACTTTTTTATGGGGTTGTTTGGTGTTTTTTCTTGTAAATTTAAATTCTTTGTAGATTGTGGATATTAGCCCTTTGTCAGATGGGTAGATTGCAAAAATTTTCTTCGATTCTGTAGGTTGCCTGTTCACTCTGATGATAATTTCTTTTGCTCTGCAGAAGCTCTTTAGTTTAATTAGATCCCATTTGTCAGTTTATTGCTTTTGTTGCCATTGCTTTTGGTGTTTTAGTCATGAAGTCTCTGCCCATGTCTATGTCCTGAATGGTATTGCCTAGGTTTTATTCTAGGGTTTTTATAGTTTTAGGTCTTACATTTAAGTCTTTAATCCATCTTGAATTAATTTTTGTATAAGGTGTAAGGCAGGGATCCAGGTTCAGATTTCTGCATATGGATAGTTTGTTTTCCCAACACAATTTATTAAATAGGGCATCCTTTCCTCCATTGCTTGTTTTTGTCAGGTTTGTCATAGATCAGATGGTTGTAGATGTGTAGTGTTATTTCTGAGGCCTCTGTTCTGTTCCATTGGTCTATGTATCTGTTTTGGTACCAGTACCATGCTGTTTTGGTTACTGTAGCCTTGTAGTATAGTTTGAAGTCAGGTAGCGTGATGACTCCAGCTTTATTCTTTTTGCTTAGGATTCTCTTGGCTATACAGGCTCTTCTTTTGTTCTATATGAAATTTAAAGTAGATTTTTCTAATTATGTGAAGAAAGTTGGTGGTAGCTTGATGGGGATAGCATTGAGTTTATAAATTACTTTGGGCAGCATGGCCATTTTCATGACATTGATTCTTCCTATCCATGAGCATGGAATGTTTTTCCATTTGTTTGTGTCCTTTCTTATTTTCTTGAGCAGTGGTTTGTAGTTCTCCTTGAAGAGATAGTTCACATCCCTTGTAGGTTGTATTCCTAGGTATTTTATTCTCTTTGAAGCAATTATGAATGGGAGTTGACTCATGATTTGGCTCTCTGTTTTGTCTATGATTGGCTTACAGGAATGCTCGTGATTTTTGCACACTGATTTTGTATCCTGAGACATTGCTGAAGTTGCTTATCAGCTTAAGGAGATTTTGTGCTGAAACGATGGGATTTTCTAAATATACAATCATATGATCTGCAAACAGAGACAATTTGACTTTCTCTCTTCCTATTTGAATAGCTTTATTTCTTTCTCTTGCCTGATTGCCCTGGCCAGAACTTCCAATACTGTGTTGAATAGAAGTGGTGAAAGAGAGCATCCTTGTCTTGTGCCAGTTTTCAAAGGGAATGCTTCTGAAATTGAGGAAGTAATTAATAGCCTAGCAACCAAAAAAAGCCATGGATCAGACGGATTCACAGCTGAATTCTACCAGAGGTATAAAGAGGACCTGTTACCATTCCCTCTGAAATTATTCCAAACAACAAAAAAAGAGGGGATCCTCCCTAACTCATTTTATGAGGCCAGCATCATCCTGATACCAAAACCTGGCAGAGACACAACAACAACAAAAAAGAAAATTCAGGCCAATATCCCTGATTAACATCGATGTGAAAATCCTCAATTAAATACTGACAAACCAAATCCAGCCACCACGATCAAGTCAGCTTCGTCCTTAGGATGCAAGGCTGGTTCAACATACACAAGTCAGTAAATGTAATCCATCACATAAACAGAACCAATGACAAAAACCTCATGATTATCTCAATAGATGCAGAAAAAGCCTTCAATAAAATTCAAAACCTCTTCATGCTAAAAACTCTGAATAAACTAGGTATTGATGGAATGTATCTCAAAATAGTAAAAGCTATTTATGACAAACTCACAGCCAATATCATACTGAAGGAACAAAGGTGTTTTTATGGTAGACCTTGCTTCCTTATCTGTGCTTGCTGCTTGATTTTTCAGGCTGCTCTTTGTTGGAAAGAATTCTACCAAGGATCTGCCCTAACTGCCTGCATAGCTGCCTTCCTTTCTCCTCTCTTTTGGTGTGGGATTTTGCTTTCGTATGTACTTCTGAGATCATACAGTATTTGTTTTTCTGTGTTTGCCTTATTTTACTTAGTATTATGTCCTCAAGACACATCCATATTGTTACAAATAGAAGAATTTCATTCTTTTTTTATATACTTTAAGTTCTAGGGTACATGTGCACAATGTGCAGGTTTGTTAATATGTATACATGTGCCATGTTGGTGTGCTGCACCTGTTAACTCATCATTTACATTAGGTATATCACCTAATGCTATCCCTCCCCCCTCCCTCCACCCTATGACAGGCCCGAGTGTGTGATGTTCCCCACCCTGTGTCCAAGTGTCCTTATTGTTTAATTCCCACCTATGAGTGAGAACATGTGGTGTTTGGTTTTCTGTCCTTGCGATAGTTTGCTCAGAATGATGGTTTCTAGCTTCATCCATGTCCCTATAAAGGACATGAACTCATCATTTTTTATGGCTGCATAGTATTCCATGGTGCATATGTGCCACATTTTCTTAATGCAGTTTGTCATTGATGGACATTCGGGTTGGTTCCAAGTCTTTGCTATTGTGAATAGTGCTGCAATAAACATACGTGTGCATGTGTCTTTATAGCAGCATGATTTATAATCCTTTGGGTATATGCCCAGTAATGGGATGGCTGGGTCAAATGGTATTTCTAATTCTAGATCCTTGAGGAATTGCCACACTGTCATCCACAATGGTTGAACTAGTTTACAGTCCCACCGACAGTGTAAAAGTTTTTCTATTTCTCCACATCCTCTCCAGCACCTGCTGTTTCCTGGCTTTTTAATGATCACCATTCATAATATTTGGTGTGTGTGTGTGTGTGTGTGTGTGTGTGTGTGTGTGTGCATGTGTGTTTATATCCATTCATCTGTCAATGAACATTCAGGTTGTTTTCATAACTTGGCTATTGTGAATAATATTGCAATGAACATGGGGGTGGAGATATCTCTTTGAAATGAAGATTTTATTTCCTTTGTATATATACCCAGAGGAGGGATTGCTGGATCATATGTTATTTCTATTTTTTACATTTGAGGAAATCTTCAGGCTATTTTCCATAATGGCTATACGAATTTACATTTCCATCAACAGTGTACAAATTTTTCTTTCCTCCACATCATTACCAGCACTTCTCTTTGTCTTTTTGCTAATAGTGATTCTACAGTTACATAAGATGAGTGAGTTATGTAGCTCTAATATGCAGGATGGTGACTATAGTTAACAATATTGTGTTGTGTACTTACAATTTTCTGAGAGGATAAACCTTAAGTGTTGTTAGCACATAGAAAAAGAGAGAAGAAAAGAAAATCGTATCTGAGTTGAGAGATACGTTAATCAGCTTGATTATGGTGATCATTTCACAATGTATATATTATATATCAAAACATCAAGTTGTATGCCTTAAACATATAGAGTTTGTATTTGTAAAAAAAAAAACTGGTAATTGAACATCAGATGTAAATTTCCCCAAGCCTTACATCTTTTTAATAAACTTGATGAAGACATTCTAAGTACAATGGAAGTCTCTGTGTTAAGTGTAATGTAATGTAAATTCTTGACCAGATGATTTTACAAAGGTAATATTCATTTTTCAAAATTAAACAACTGACATACTAAATGCCCCCATAAATGGCTTACAATTTTAATAAAGAGCAGAATTCAACTTAGGGAATTCAGCAGGGATATACAGCTGGGTAATAAACACTTCCTAAGATCATTGTTATTAAGTTATACCTACACTTATTTTATCCTTTTAAAAATTATTATAGCTGTCATTTGGAGACTCTATGCCAGAGACAGGGTAACAAATTCATATGCATTATTTAAATTGTCCTAATAATTATTCTCTGGAGCAGCTTTTAATATCTCCATTTTACTGATGAGAAAACATAGACACAATGAGCGTTCAGTTCAAGAGCTTGCCAAAGGTCATAGTATCTATTTAAGCAGAGATCTGAGGCCACTTCTGTCTGACTCCATAGCCTGTGCAATGAACAGTTGTGTTGTGTATTGCCTCCCAAATACCAAATAACAGGTGAATGAAGAATGCACAACTCTCTATAGGATTGAACCTGCCCAGCTGCCATTTGGTTTCTTCAGTTCTGTCACATTCCAGACAAGTTTTCTGGTGACTCTGTGGGCTGGGCAATAGTGGGCAGGGTGAGAAGAAAGAAGATGCCATGGTGGAAAAGCAGATTTAGGAGCAGAGAACCAAATGGTGATGTCTTTCTCCTTTTTAGCCTCTGTGGCAGCAACTACTGAACCTTAGTATTAGCCCCAGCAGCATATGAGAACAGGAGGCCGTGTGTGGTTGGTTCCACCTCCCGGTGTCACAAGAGAGACTCAGTGTGAGGGACTATTTATTTTTGAGAGGTGAGATCACAAGACACAGACTTGAGACCAGCTTTTTGATTTATATTGCAAGTAAGACCAATTTTTCCTTGCTGCAAATAAGAGAAAAGTCACTTTTTATTAAATAGGGCACAGAGCAAATCTTAAATAGTTAATGTTAGTAACATCCTAGGAAACCTTTGCAAATGCCATCTCTTAGCTTGTTCTCCAAATGTAAAGGTTAGAAATCATTTCAGGAAGCATGGTCACATGTTTTAAATAACTTCTCCTTTCATTTAAGATGTTATAAATTTATATACATAATTCACTGTTTTTCATTAAGGAATAATGCCAAGAGAAGAAAACGGGTTAAAAAAGTGATCTAATACTGGAGAGGAAGCAAGAAACCAGGCCTGGACATCTTTCTAGACATAGAGTGGGCCCTTTCTAGACAGAATATTCCATGTTTTTTGGGTAGTTTGCTTTGGGGCAGAATATAGGTTACCTGGTCTTACATGATTCAATACTGTAACTATTTAGCCACAAGGGGCTGTTTGGATTAAAATTAAAAGCAGCTCGAAATTTAATCCTTAGTCATGCTAGAAATCAGAAACCAGAAAACAGATTAAAAAAACAGTAATGAGTAGGAGGGAGTAGTCTATATCAAAGAATGTTGCTTAATTAGCCCTGCCTTTTGTATTTAGATTGTGTCAGATATCTTTGATGTAAACTTCCTTCACATTCATTTATTTCCAACTATTTCTTTCTTTTTTTATTATTTTTTTAATTATTATTCTTCTTCAAGTTTTAGGGTACATGTGAACAATGTGCAGGTTAGTTACATATGTATACATGTGCCATGCTGGTGTGCTGCACCCATTAACTCGTCATTTAGCATTAGGTATATCTCCTAAAGCTATCCCTTCCCCCTCCCCCAACCCCACAACAGTCCCCAGAGTGTGATGTTCCCCTTCCTGTGTCCATGTGTTCTCATTGTTCAATTCCCACCTATAAGTGAGAATATGCAGTGTTTGGTTTTTTGTTCTTGCGATAGTTTACTGAGAATGATGATTTCCAATTTCATCCATGTCCCTACAAAGGACATGGACTCATCATTTTTTATGGCTGCATAGTATTCCATGGTGTATATGTGCCACATTTTCTTAATGCAGTATATCATTGTTGGACATTTGGGTTGATTCCAAGTCTTTGCTATTGTGAATAGTGCAGCAATAAACATATGTGTGCATGTGTCTTTATAGCAGCATGATTTATAGTCCTTTGGGTATATACCCAGTAATGGGATTGCTGGGTCAAATGGTATTTCTAGTTCTAGATCCCTGAGGAATCGCCACACTGACTTCCACAATGGTTGAACTAGTTTACAGTCCCACCAACAGTGTAAAAGTGTTTCTATTTCTCCACATGCTCTCTAGCACCTGTTGTTTCCTGACTTTTTAATGATCACCATTCTAACTGGTGTGAGATGGTATCTCATTGTGGTTTTGATTTGCATTTCTCTGATGGCCAGTGATGGTGAGCATTTTTTCATGTGTTTTTTGGCTGCATAAATGTCTTCTTTTGAGAAGTGTCTGTTCATGTCCTTTGCCCACTTTTTGATGGGATTGTTTGTTTTTTTCTTGTAAATTTGTCTAAGTTCATTGTAGATTCTGGATATTAGCCCTTTGTCAGATGAGTAGGTTGCGAAAATTTTCTCCTATTTTGTAGGTTGCCTGTTCACTCTGATGGTAGTTTCTTTTGCTGTGCAGAAGCTCTTTAGTTTAATTAGATCCCATTTGTCGATTTTGGCTTTTGTTGAAATTGCTTTTGGTGTTTTAGACATGAAATCCTTGCCCATGCCTATGTCCTGAATGGTAATGCCTAGGTTTTCTTCTAGGGTTTTTATGGTTTCAGGTCTAACATTTAAGTCTTTAATCCATCTTGAGTTAATTTTTGTATAAGGTGTAAGGAAGGGATCCAGTTTCAGCTTTCTACATATGGCTAGCCAATTTTCCCAGCACCATTTATTAAATAGGGAATCCTTTCCCCATTGCTTGTTTTTCTCAGGTTTGTCAAAGATCAGATAGTTGTAGATATGCAGCGTTATTTCTGAGGGTTCTGTTCTGTTCCATTGATCTATATCTCTGTTTTGGTACCAGTACCATGCTGTTTTGGTTACTGTAGCCTTGTAGTATAATTTGAAGTCAGGTAGCATGATGCCTCCAGCTTTGTTCTTTTGGCTAAGGATTGACTTGGCGATGCGGGCTCTTTTTTGGTTCCATATGAACTTTAAAGTAGTTTTTTCCAATTCTGTGAAGAAAGTCATTGGTAGCTTGATGGGGATGGCATTGAATCTATAAATTACCTTGGGCAGTATGGCCATTTTCACGATATTGATTCTTCCTACTCATGAGCATGGAATGTTCTTCCATTTGTTTGTGTTCCTCTTTTATTTTGTTGAGCAGTGGTTTGTAGTTCTCCTTGAAGAGGTCCTTCACATCCCTTGTAAGTTGGATTCCTAGGTATTTTATTCTCTTTGAAGCAATTGTGAATGGGAGTTCACTCATGATTTGGCTCTCTGTTTGTCTGTTATTGGTGTATAAGAATGCTTGTGATTTTTGTACATTGATTTTGTATCCTGAGACTTTGCTGAAGTTGCTTATCAGCTTAAGGAGATTTGGGGCTGAGACAATGGGGTTTTCTAGGTATACAATCATGTCATCTGCAAACAGGGACAATTTGACTTCCTCTTTTCCTAATTGAATACCCTTTATTTCCTTCTCCTGCCTCATTGCGCTGGCCAGAACTTCCAACACTATGTTGAATAGGAGTGGTGAGAGAGGGCATCCCTGTCTTGTGGCAGTTTTCAAAGGGAATGCTTCCAGTTTTTGCCCATTCAGTATGATATTGGCTGTGGGTTTGTCATAGATAGCTCTTATTATTTTGAGATACGTCCCATCAATACCTAATTTATTGAGAGTTTTTAGCATGAAGGTTGTTGAATTTTGTCAAAGGCCTTTTCTGCCACTATTGAGATAATCATGTGGTTTTTGTCTTTGGTTCTCTTTATATGCTGGATTACATTTATTGATTTGCGTATATTGAACCAGCCTTGCATCCCAGGGATGAAGCCCACTTGATCATGGTGGATAAGCTTTTTGACGTGCTGCTGGATTCGTTTTGCCAGTATTTTATTGAGGATTTTTGCATCAATGTTCATCAAGGATATTGGTCTAAAATTCTCTTTTTTGGTTGTGTCTCTGTCAGGCTTTCGTATCAGGATGATACTGGCCTCATAAAATGAGTGAGGGAGGGTCCCCTCTTTTTCTATTGATTGGAATAGTTTCAGAAGGAATGGTACCAGCTCCTCCTTGTACCTCTGGAAGAATTCGGCTGTGAATCCATCTGATCCTGGACTCTTTTTGGTTGGTAAGCTATTGATTTTTGCCACAATTTCAGAGCCTGTTATTGGTCTATTCAGAGATTCAACTTCTTCCTGGTTTAGTCTTGGGAGGATGTATGTGTCGAGGAATTTATCCATTTCTTCTAGATTTTCTAGTTTATTTGCATAGAGGTGTTTGTAGTATTCTCTGATGGTAGTTTGTATTTCTGTGGGATCGGTGGTGATATCCCCTTCATTACTATTTCTTTAAAAATTAAAATCTGCCTCTATCTGTATTTTTTTCTTTTCCTTTAAGCTAAGACAAAACACTTTGGAATGGTGCAAGTACTATGAACATCTGTTCATTCATCTGTCCATCCATCTACCCAGCTATCATCTATGTTTCTAGAAATTTCTTTAGCTTCATAAATGTGTGAAAAAGTAAATAATCGTAATGAACTATATTCTATTCACTATCTAAATATTTTGGATTGAAATAAGTACCCTCTTATAGGATATGTGTCTCTGTAAGCATTATCAAATGATCTATGAAGTTAAATATATAAATAATATATTTAGTATGAATATATATAAACATATTTGTACATTTCTTAATAAAAGATCTTTATTACACAAATTTATTAAGTGTTATATACACATACACCCATATGAAAGAAGTGAATAATGCAAAATTATTTGATTTTTTAAAAATGATATTATTAATAGACAGCTAGATTCTAGATCCTTTCAATAGATCCAAGAATGAAGAATTGTTGGTTGTAATGTAAACTCAAAACTTAAGTTTCAACTTCTACTTAAAGTTGGTATTTGGTTGGTGGGAACCACACAGTTTCAACATGCCTATTTGGAATTGTTATTTTTGTTCAGGGCCCATGTACTCTGGACCCTGGCCACTGCATGATGTTTGTTTGCAAAGATTGCAAGGTGTTCAGATTTTGTAAATAGAAATGCCATAAAAACTTTAAAAAGAAATACATCCTTGCAATTTCAGGTGGACCAAAGCATTCCAGAAAGCAGCTGGTAAAGAGCTTAGAGTGAATTATTCATTTGATCTTTGAAAAACGTAGACACGAACCTATGAAATACCAGCAAGAGCTATGGAATAAAACTACTGATGCAATGAAGAGAGTTGAAGAGATCAAACAGAAACGTCAAGCTAAATTTATAATGAACAGATTGAAGAAAAATAAGGAGCTACAGAAAGTTCAGGAGATCAAAAAAAGTCAAGCAAAACATCCATCTTATCCGAGCCCCTCTTGTAGGCAAAGGAAAGCAGCTGTAAGAGAAAATGGTACAGCAATTACAACAGGATGTGGACATGGAAGACGTTTCTTAAAAACCTCACATTTCTACAAGTACATTTGAAAATATCCTTTGGAGACTTAGAACTTCTAAATTATTCACTTATTTTTTTACAGTGGGTCACTTAAAAGGTGATTAAAAACGTTTCTCCTACATTGCTGTCTGTAAAACATCAGATATTATGAATGTTAGCTTTCTTCTCAGTGCGATACTTCACTGATAGATGTACTTGTGTAAATCATGAAAATTCTGTTTGTAAATTCAGAAATGAATTGTGGACATAAAATGGTCACACTATTTGGATAATGGCACCAGGAGGCATTTATGTAATAACTAATGAAAAAAATTCATGACTAGTGATATATAAAATGAAATATCCTTTGCAGTAAAATATTCCCTTTATTAGTGTTATAGAAGGGGAATACAATAAGGAACTAAGTATTTGTGAGACAGGTATCCTCAAATAATATCTTTTATTTTGATTTCAGTGTTTCCTGTTTTAGTTTATTAGCATCTTAGAAGAAAATAATAGCCTTGTTTGATGAAGCCTAATTATGCTGGACTATTTTGACCTGGTTTAATATTTCTGATAGGTAACTGCGGATGTTGGAGATGAGAGATGAATAATCTTTGCCTCAAATGGCACTAAACTCTATAATCTCTGCTTTGAAGAATACTCAGTTCTGACTTGCAATTCCTGGTAGAAAAATCTTCGTTTTTCTAGCTTAGCAATGATCTAGAAGTAGAGGAATTCCAGTGCTTTTTAAAATTCATTGTTCTGGCTTGTAGGGTTCTCACTCATAGGTGGGAATTGAACAATGAGATCACATGGACACAGGAAGGGGAATATCACACTCTGGGGACTGTGGTGGGGTCGGGGGAGGGGGGAGGGATAGCAATGGGAGATATACCTAATGCTAGATGACACGTTAGTGGGTGCAGCGCACCAGCATGGCACATGTATACATATGTAACTAACCTGCACAATGTGCACATGTACCCTAAAACTTAGAGTATAATAAAAAAAAAAATTCAAAAAAAATAAAAAATAAAAAAAAATAAAGTAAAATTCATTGTGTGGTTTTCTTCTCTAAAAAAGCTCCTAGCTGTTTTTGGAAAATAGAATTTATGGGTAGAACACTGTTTAATATTTGCATATAAATTAAAACTATTTTTAAAGTAGAAAACAAAAACAAGAAAAAAAACCCTGAAATTTCCCAAAGTGTGATAATTTGTCTTAGTTTTTTTACTCACTTAGATTCTGTGCCACTCTGTGTCTATTAATGTGATCAGTAGATGGTAAAATACCACCCTTCCTGAGATCCCTTCAAGTTCTTTCATTGTATTGCATATCTTTTAAAATAAACTATTACTAAATTCAATCTACTTCACCGCACACTGAGACTAATGAATGTTTACATTAATATTTGACTTTATTGACAGAAATAATATAAAATGTGTTAGGTATTTGAATGATAGATTCTTTAAACTGTAGGTTGAAATTATAAGACCAATTTGTCTATTAGTTTTGGCCAATTAATGATCAAATTGTTATTAATATCTACTTTCAATAATATTTCAATGCTTCATTATGATTATTTCTGTAGCAATTGTACATTTGTTTGGATTCCTTCCTATTTTATTTTTTTCCCTATTTAATTAAAATAATTTGGGGGGGTACATAGTAGGTATATATATTTATGGGGTGCATGAAATGTTTTGATACAGTGTGTAATGTGAAATGAGAACATCATGAAGAATGGGGTATCCATCCCCTTAAGCATTTATTTGTTGAGCTGCGAACAATTCAATTATATTCTTTAAATTATTTGAAAATGTACAGTTGTTATTGACTATAGCCACCCTGTTTTGTACTTTTTTGAGTGTCTTTTCACTGACCTTGAAAGAATGCAGACATCTTAGTTCAGTCTAAATTTAGACGAATATTCAGAAAAAAAAGTGGTACCGACTTTTGAACTTTGCAATTTCCAGATATTGTAAAATTAAGTTGTGACTATGAAAGAATTATAATTTCTTTAAAGTAAATTGAATGTGATATCAATGAAGTAAAGTTTACAGATTTTAAATAATACTTCACATTTATAATTGCTACTTAATTGTTTTAGGACCATGAAAAATTTATTATTTGAGATTGGGAATCTTTCTGAATTGGTGTCAGCCCAAAGATTATCTGTAAGATGACAGGAGGCAAAGAATATGCTGTTTCTTGACCAAAGAAATATAGTATTGAAACTGTTCCTGTACACTTTATAAAATTAATCAGTGAAGAACGGAAAGGGAGAAGCAAAAATAAACCAAGCTTGCAGCACATTCATCATTAACCGTAAGGTCGACTTGCTCTCTGGTCTGCTTTGTCAGAGCTGTCTGTTGCCTGTTGTCCTAGAATCACATAGACATTAGATTACAGTTCCCTTAACTGTTCTCTAATAAAAACTTGAACACTATGAAATGTTTTCCCTTTGAGATATTCTTTCAGCTCCTGCATACTGACATCAGCTAGTCTGACACACCCCACTAACACCAGGTGATCTGAAGGACCCCCAAGGAGCTGACTCACCAAATAATGTGGTTTCCACATCCTGATGATTTTATTCCCCTTGCCCTGACCAATAGATGACTCAAATTTTCCATCCCCTGGCCCTCCACGATCCCCTTAAAAACTCCACTTCAGGACTCCTGAGGGAGATGGATTTGAGGGTCCCCTTGCATCTCCTATCTCAGTATTCTGTAATCATTAAACTCTCTCTGCTGCAAACCATGCCATCTCAGTGTATTGATATGTTACTGTACAGCGGGAATACAAACGTATTGGTGGTATAATAGTATTAAAAATAGTTAATGATTCTTTTCACTTATTAGTCTTTGTTGGATGTCAAGACTAATATTGCTAAGCATGTGAATTTTCTTAGAAAAGCTTTTATTCTTTTTTTTTTTTAATTTTTTATTTTTTATTTTTTATTTTTTTTATTTATTTTTTTTTAATTTTTTTTTTATTATACTTTAAGTTTTAGGGTACATGTGCACATTGTGCAGGTTAGTTACATATGTATACATGTGCCATGCTGGTGCGCTGCACCCACCAACGTGTCATCTATCAGGTATATCTCCCACTGCTATCCCTCCCCCCTCCCCCGACCCCACCACCATCCCCAGAGTGTGATATTCCCCTTCCTGTGTCCTTGTGATCTCATTGTTCAATTCCCACCTATGAGTGAGAATATGCGGTGTTTGGTTTTTTGTTCTTGCGATAGTTTACTGAGAATGATGGTTTCCAATTTCATCCACGTCCCTACAAAGGACATGAACTCATCATTTTTTATGGCTGCATAGTATTCCATGGTGTATATGTGCCACATTTTCTTAACTTAATAGACATTTACTAGCAATTTTGTTTAGACTTTCAATCTTCCATTTTGTCTTTTAGATAAACTTACACCCTGTAGACTCACAGGGCTAGAGGAGACCCACAGAAGCTATGCTTTTACTAAGTCATCTTAGTCATCTAATTATAGGTACTTCATCCAAAATTGTGCACCTGACCCAAGTAAGCCAGTTAGATTTTTTTTTTCCCATAGTGGGTGTGTGTAAATGTCTACGATATATGTTACAGACACACACACACACACACACACACACACACACATATATACAGAGAGAAGGAGAGATAGAGATTGTCAGTATTTTGTATAACCATAACTGGTAATTTCAGGAGCTTCAAACAGATACTGTATACCAAATGCAATGGTGTGCAGAAGAAACCCGTCTGTAGAAAGAGTAAAAACGTATGTGCAAAAAGCAGAGTTAAGAGTCTGTTTCTGTGCCTCCAGTATCACTTAGATTCACATGTGTGTAATCCTGAGGCTTATCTACTTCCCCTTCCACACCCGATACTCTTTAGGTTTTGAGAGAGCTCTATAGCCTTCAGATAAAACTTATCTTTCTGTATAAGACTTCCTTACAGAAAATCAAACAGTCCTAGCTTGCACATTTGGGAAGAAAAAACATTGTTGGAAGGACAAATAACCAATTATTTTTAAGATGCTTTTTCTGTTTGCTGCTGATGGTGCTGCTGCTACTGCTGCAAAAAAAAAAAAAAAAATGCATTTTGGATCTCTAGAGAAAGGCTTTATGTGTTTGTCTTTGCATGACATTTAAAGATATTTGAGTTCTGTTAAAATACAGTTTTGTGAATTATGCTTATAGTGGGCCACAGAGATACTGTTGAACATCTTTGTCTTTGATAGACACAGTAAAATGCATGGCAGTATCATTGCTATTGGTTTGGTGAGGATAGAGTCTCATCATGTTACTTGTAGTGAGGTACTTTTTTGCTGGTCTTTTTTTTTTAAATATTATTTTTAGAGACAAGGTCTCACTCTTTTTTTTTTTTTTGAGACGGAGTCTCGCTCTGTCGCCCAGGCTGGAGTGCAGTGGCGGGATCTCGGCTCACTGCAAGCTCCGCCTCCCGGGTTCACGCCATTCTTCTGCCTCAGCCTCCCAAGTAGCTGGGACTACAGGCGCCCGCCACTACGCCCGGCTAATTTTTTGTATTTTTAGTAGAGACGGGGTTTCACCGTTTTAGCCGGGATGGTCTCGATCTCCTGACCTCGTGATCCGCCCGCCTCGGCCTCCCAAAGTGCTGGGATTACAGGCGTGAGCCACCGCGCCCGGCCCAAGGTCTCACTCTTTACTGAGGCTAGAGTGCAGAGGCATGTTCATGGCTCACTATAACCTCAAGCCCTTAGCTCAAGTGATCTTCCTTTCTTAACGTCCTGAGTGGCTAGGACTACGGGCATGCACCACCACACCAGGATAATATTTAAATTTGTTGTAGAGGCACGGTTCTCACTATGTTGCCCAGGTTGGTCTCAAACTCCTCAAGTATCCTCCTGCCTCAGCCTCCCAAAGCACAGGGGCTACAGGCATGAGGTATTGCATGTGACCTGCTGCTAGTCTGTCTTAATCTGCTGTTCTTTAAATATTGAAATAGCATTTTGGAGACCTTACTGTGTCAGTAATTAAATTTAACAGCTTTTAAATGTATTAAATAATGTTTATAATATATAGTCATGTGAAATATACCCTGACCAAAATTAAGAAGTTAAGACCTTGATTTTAAAAAGTATAGATTTGAGTGACATTTATTTGTGATAAAATGTTTAGTAAGATATATATCATCTAATGCCTAATTTAAAATATTGCTGATTTCGTTAAAACCCATTTAGACCTATCCAGGGAGGGAGGACTAGGAATCAAATTGAGGGAACTGGAAAAAGTTGCCTTTACTTTCAATTATTGCACAGTGTGAATTTAATATTTGTTTAAAATTATTTTACAATTATGCTTTAAGTCCTAGGGTACATGTGCACAACATGCAGGTATGTTACATAGGTATACATTTGCCATGTTGGTTTGCTGCACTTATCAACTCGTCATTTACATTACGTATTTCTCCTAAAGCTATCTCTCCCCTAGCCCCCTACCCCCTGACAGGCCCTGGTGTGTGATGTTCCCCGCCCTGTGTCCAAGTGTTCTCATTATGTAATTCCCACCTAAGAGTGAGAACATGCGGTGTTTGGTTTTCTGTCCTTGTGATAGTTTGCTGAGAATGATGGTTTCCAGCTTTATCCATGTCCCTGCAAAGGACATGAACTCATCCTTTTTCATGGGTGCATAGTATTCCATGGTGTATATGTGCCACATTTTCTTAATCCAGTCTATCACTAATGGACATTTGGATTGGTTCTGAGTCTTTGCTATTGAGAATAGTGCTGCAATAAACATACGTGTGCATGTGTCTTTATAGTAGCATGATTTATAATCCTTTGGGTATATACCCAGTAATGGGATTGCTGGGTCAAATGGGATTTCTAGTTCTAGATCCTCGAGAAATCACCACACTGTCTTCCACAGTGGTTGAACTAATTTACTCTATACCACCAACAGTGTAAAAGCATTCCTATTTCTCCACATCCTCTCCAGCATCTGTTGTTTCCTGACTTTTTAAATGATTGCCATTCTAACTTGTGTGAGATGGTATCTCATTGTGGTTTTGATTTGTATTTCTCTGATGGCCAGTGATGATGAGCATTTTTTCATGTGTCTGTTGGCTGCATAAATGTCTTCTTTTGAGAAGTGTCTGTTCATATCCTTTGCCCACTTTTTGATGGGTGGTTTGTTTTTTTCTTGTAAATTTAAGTTCTTTGTAGATTCTGGATATTAGCCCTTTGTCAGATGGGTAGATTGCAAAAATTTTCTCCCATTCTGTAGGTTGCCTGTTCACCCAGATGGTAGTATCTTTGCCATGCATAAGCTCTTTAGTTTAATTAGATCCTATTTGTCTATTTTGGCTTTTGTTGCCATTACTTTTGGTGTTTAATCATGAAGTCCTTGCCGATGTCTCTGTCCTGAATGGTATTGCCTAGGTTTTCTTGTAGGGTTTTTATGGTTTTAGGTCTAACATTTAAGTCTTTAATCCACTTCAATTAATTTTTGTATAAGGCGTAAGGAAGGGATCCAGTTTCAGCTTTCTACATATGGCTAGCCAGTTTTCCCAGCACCATTTATTAAATAGGGAATCCTTTCCCCATTTCTTGTTCTTGTCAGTTCTGTCAAAGGTCAGATGGTTGTAGATGTGTGGTGTTATTTCTGTGGCCTGTGTTCTGTTCCATTGGTCTATATCTCTGTTTTGGTACCAGTACCATGCTGTTTTGGTTACTGTAGCTTTGTAGTATAGCTGGAAGTCAGGTAGCATGATGCCTCTAGCATTGTTCTTTTTGCTTAGGATTGTCTTGGCAATGAGGGCTCTCTTTGGTTCCATATGAACTTTAAAGTAGTTTTTTCCAATTTTGTGAAGAAGACATTTGTAGCTTGATGGAGAGGGCATTGAATTTATAAATTACCTTGGGCAGTATGGCCATTTTCATGATGTTGATTCTTCTTATCCATGAGCATGGAATGTTCTTCCATTTGCGTCCTCTTTTATTTTGTTGAGCTGTGGGTTGTAGTTCTCCTTGAAGAGGTCTTTCACATCCCTTGTAATTTGTATTCCTAGGTATTTTATTCCCTTTGAAGCAATTGTGAATGGGAGTTCACTTATGATTTGGCTCTCTGTTTGTCTGTTATTGGTGTATAGGAATGCTTGTAATTTTTGCACATTGATTTTGTATCCTGAGACTTTGCTGAAGTTGCTTATCAGCTTAAGATGATTTTGGGCTGAGACAATGGGGTTTTCTAAATATGCAATCATGTCATCTGCAAACAGGGACAATTTGACTTTCTCTTTTCCTTATTGAATACCGTTTATTTCTTTTTCTTGCCTGATTGCCCTGACCAGAACTTCCAAAACTATGTTGAATAGGAGTGGTGAAAGAAGGCATCCCTGTCTTGTGCCCGTTTTCAAAGGGAATGCTTCCAGTTTTTGCCCATTCAGTAAGATATTGTCTGTGGGTTTGTCATAAATAGCTCTTATTATT
This sequence comes from Homo sapiens, assembly GCF_000001405.40. Lineage (NCBI taxonomy): Eukaryota > Metazoa > Chordata > Mammalia > Primates > Hominidae > Homo > Homo sapiens. The sequence continues at coordinate 121,663,910 of NC_000005.10, read as the reverse complement.
TTGATATACATTCCATCAATACCTAGTTTATTGAGAGTTTTTAGCATGAAGGGCTGTTGAATTTTGTCAAAGGCCTTTTCTGCATCTATTGAGATAATTGTGGTTTTTGTCATTGGTTGTGTTTATGTGATGGATTACGTTTATTGATTTGCATATGTTGAACCAGCCTTGCATCCTAGGAGTGAAGCCCTCTTGATCGTGGTGGATAAGTTTTTTGATGTGCTGATGGATTCGGTTTGCCAGTACTTTACTGAGGATTTTCACACTGATGTTCATTAGAGATATTGGTCTAAAATTCTCATTTTTTGTTGTGTCTCTAGCAGACTTTGGTATCAGGATGATGTTGGCCTCATAAAATGAGTTAGGGAGGATTCCCTCTTTTTCTATGGCTTGGAATAGTTTCAGAAGGAATGGTATCAACTCCTCTTCATACCTCCGATAGAATTCAGCTGTGAATCCATCTGGTCCTGTGCTATTTTTGGTTGGTAGGCTATTAATTATTGCCTCAATTTCAGAGCCTGTTATTGATCTATTCATAGATTCAACTTCTTCCTGGTTTAGTCTTGGGAGGGTATATGTTTCCAGGAATTTATCCATTTGTTCTAAATTTTCTAGTTTATTTGTGTAGAGGTGTTTATGGTATTCTCTGATGGTAGTTTGTATTTCTGTGGGATCAGTGGTGATATCCCCTTTATCATTTTTTATTGCATCTATTTGATTCTTCTCTCTTTTCTTTGTTACTAGTCTTGCTCACAGTCTATCAATTTTGTTCATCTTTTCAAAATACCAGCTCCTGGATTCATTGATTTTTGAAGGGATTTTGTGTCTCTATCTCTTTCAGTTCTGCTCTGATCTTAGTTATTTATTGCCTTCTTCTAGCATTTGAATGTGTTTTCTCTTGCTTCTTCTTTTAATTGTGATGTTAGGGTGTCCATTTTCTATCTTTCCTCCTTTCTCTTGTGGGCATTTAGTGCTATAAATTTCCCTCTACACACTGCTTTAAATGTGTCCCAGAGATTCTGGTACATTCTATCTTTGTTCTCATTGGTTTCACAGAAAATCTTTATTTCTGCCTTCATTTTGTTATTTGCCCAGTAGTCATTCAGGAGCACTTTGTTCAGTTTCCATGTAGTTGTGTGGTTGTGAGTGAGTTTCTTAATCCTGAGTTCTAATTTGATTGCACTGTGTCTGAGAGACAGTTTGTTGTGATTTCTGTTGTTTTGCATTTGCTGAGGAGTGCTTTACTTCCAATTATGTGGTCAGTTTTAGAATAAGTGAGATGTGGTGCTGTGAAGCATGTATATTCTTTTGATTCAGAGTGGATAATTCTGTAAGTGTCTATTAGGTCTGCTTGGTGCAGAGCTGAGTTCAAGTCCTGGATATCTTTGTTAACCTTCTGTCTCGTTGGTCTGTCTAATGTTGACAGTGGGGTGTTAAAGTCTCCCATTATTATTGTGTGGGAGTCTAAGTCTCTTTGTAGATCTGAGGACTTGCTTTATGAATCTGGGTGCTCCTGTATTGGGTGCATATATATTTAGCGTAGTTAGCTCTTCTTGTTGAATTGATCCCTTTACCGTTATGTAATGTCTTTATTTGTCTCTTTTGATCTTTGTTGATTTAAAGTCTAGGTTTAAACCTTTTTTGGTTTTATCAAAGACTAGGATTGCAGCCCTTGCTATTTTGCTTTCCATTTGTTTGGTAGATCTTCATCCGTCCCTATATTTTGAGCCTATGTTTGTCTCTGCATGTGAGATGGGTCTCCTGAATACAGCACACTGATGGGTCTTGACTCTATCCAATTTGCCAGTCTGTGTCTTTTAATTGGGGCATTTAGCCCCTTTACATTTAAGGTTAATATTGCTATGTGTGAATGTGATCCTGTCATTATGATGTTAGTTGGTTATTTTGCCTGTTAATTGATGCAGTTTCTTCATAGCATCGATGGTCTCTACAATTTGGCATGGTTTTGCAGTGGCTGGTACTGGTTGTTTTTTTCCATGTTTAGTGCTTCCTTCAGGAGCTCTTCTAAGGTAGGCCTGGTGGTGACAAAATCCCTCAGCATTTGCTTGTCTGTAAAGGATTTTATTTCTCCTTCACTTATGAAGCTTAGTTTGGCTGGATATGAAATTCTGGGTTGAAAATTCTTTTCTTTAAGAATGTTGTATATTGGCCCCTACTTTCTTCTGGCTTGCAGGGTTTCTGCCAAGAAATCTGCTGTTAGTCGGATGTGCTTCCCTTAGTGGTTAGCTCGACCTTTCCCTCTGGCTACCCTTAACATTTTTTCCTTCATTTCAACATTGGTGAATCTGGCAATTATGTAACTTGGAGTTGCTCTTCTCGAGGAGTATCTTTGTGGCGTTCTCTGTATTTCCTGAATTTGAATGTTTGCCTGCCTTGCTAGATTGGGGAAGTTCTCCTGGATAATACCCTGAAAAGTGTTTTCCAACTTTGTTCCATTCTCCCCATCACTTTCAGGTACACCAATCAAATGTAGATTTGGTCGTTTCACATAGTTCCATATTTCTTGGAGGCTTCATTCATTTCTTTTTACTCTTTTTCTCTAAACTTCTTTTCTTGCTTTATTTCTCTAATTTGATCTTCAATCACCAATATCCTTTCTTCCACTTGATTGAATCAGCTATTGAAGTTTGTGCATGCATCACGAAGTTCTCTTGCCATGGTTTTCAGCTCCATCAGCTCATTTAAGGTCTTCTCTACACTGTTTATTCTAGTTAGCCACTCGTCTAACCTTTTTTCAAGGTTTTTAGCTTCCTTGCAATGGGTTTGAACATGCTCCTTTAGCTCGGAGAATTTTGTTGTTACTGATCTTCTGAAGCCTCCTTCTGTCAACTCAACAAAGTCATTCTCCATCCAGCTTTGTTCGGTTGCTTGTGAGGAGCTATGATCCTTTGGAGGAGAAGACACACTCTGGTTTTTAGACTTTTTAGCTTTTTTGCTCTGGTTTCTCCCCATCTTTGTGATTTTATCTACCTTTGGTCTTTGATGATGGTGACCTACAGATGGGGTTTTGGTGTGGATATCCTTTTTGTGGATGTTGATGCTATTCCTTTCTGTTTGTTAGTTTTCCTTCTAACAGTCAGGTCCCTCAGTGGCAGGTCTGTTGGAGTTGCTGGAGGTCCACTCCCGACACTGTTTGCCTGGGTATCACCAGTGGAGGCTGCAGAACAGCAAATATTGTAGAACAGAATAGATTGCTGCCTGATCCCTTCCCCGGAAGCTTTGTCCCATAGGTGCAACCTGCTGTATGAGGTGTCTGTTGGCCCCTACTTGGAGGTGTCTCCTAGTTAGGCCTACATGGGGCTCAGGGACCCACTTGAGGAGGCAGTCTGTCCATTCTGAGAACTCAAACACCATGCTGGGAGAACCACTGCTCTCTTCAGAGCTGTCAGGCAGGGACGTTTAGGTCTGCAGAAGTTTCCATTGCCTCTTGTTCAGCTATGCCCTGCCCACAGAGGCGGAGTCTGTAGAGGCTGTAGGCCTTGCTGAGCTGTGGTTAGCTCCGCCCAGTTTGAGCTTCTTGGCTGCTTTGTGTACCTACTCAAGCCTCAGCAATGGTGGACACCCCTCCCCCCGCCAGACTGCTGCCTCGCAGGTCAATCTCAGACTGCTGCACTAGCAGTGAGGAAGGCTCTGTGGAAGTGGGACCCACCAAGCCAGGCATGGGAGAGTATTTCCTGGTCTACTGGTTGCTGAGACCATGGGAGAAGTGCAGTATTTGGGCAGGGAGTGTCCCGTTTTTCCAGGTATGGTCTGTCACATCTTTTCTTAGCTAGGAAAGGGAAATCCCCCCACCCCTTGCACTTCCTGGGTGAGGCGACACCCCACCTTGTTTCACCTTGCCCTCCATGGGCTGCACTCACTGTCCAACCAGTCCCAATGAGATGAACCAGGTACCTCAGCTGGAAATGCAGAAATCACCCGTCTTCTGCATCAATCACGCTGGGATCTCTAGACCGGAGCTGTTCCTATTTGGCCATCTTGGAATGGACAATATTTGTTTAAAATTTTTAGTTAAGCTTCCTCTATCCAACTCTTTCCAAGTACAACACAACTGGTGAATATGCATAAACAAGCTAATTGTTTATAACTGAAGCTGTTTTCCATCCAATTGCCAGGCAGACAATTTAATCTGGTAATACTTATAAAGTGTTCCCTGTGTGGCAAGAATTGTGTTTTTATAAGGCTTAGGGAATTATGCATTACTAATTTGTAGGGAAAGATAGACCTGTAGAACTGATATTTAAAATAGTTCTAAGAGCTATTACTGAGGCATGACAGGGTCCTGTAGGACACAAATGAGAGAAATTAACCTAGGCTAGTGTTTTTTACATCACTTTCAGGAGAAGGTGGCACTCTATGGGTGAGTAGAATTAGCTAAGTGGACAAGGAAGGGCTATTTTATAAATTCCAAACTTTATGCTAAGGGCAAAGTCACAAAAGAGAGTATCTGTGAAACTGCAAACAGTTTTATGTGTTTAAAAAACTGGATATCTCAATGACAAGGGTGGAAAATGAGGTTAAGAAGTCAACTCAAAGGCTTCATGAAGTCTATATTTTATCCTTAAGACATTGTGGAACCGTTGAAAGATTTCATGCTGTGGAGAGACATGACAATATTGAGATTTCTAGATAAGACACTTTTGTTATTAAGATATAACACATATACAGAGAAGGGCACATATCTTAAGATTACAACCTAATAAATTACCACAAAGTGAACACTACATGGATCAAGAAATTAAGATACTACCTGCGCAACAGAAGCCCTTTCCTTCACAACCTTGCTCTCCTCCCCAAAGGTAACCATTGCTTTGATTTCAAACATTATGAATTGTCTGTTTTCAAAAGTTTCATACAAATTAAATAATGCAGCATACGTCTTTGTGTGCAATTCTTTCTCTCAAATGTTTCTTGTGAAATTCATCAATTTGGTTGTGGCATCTGATGTTTATTAAGTTTATTTCTGTATAGTATTATATCATATAATGGATATTTCTTAGTAAACTACAATTTATTTAACCTTTCAACTGCTGGCAGACATTAGTATTTTTTTGTCTGGAGTTATTATGAATAATGCTGCTATAAACATTGTACATATCTTCTGGGTCATGTAAAACTATTTCTGTTTGCTACAAATCTAGGAGTGAAATTGTTGGATCATGTTCAAATTTAATACATCATGTAAAACAGTTTTCAAAAGTGATTGTACCAATTTACATTTCTATTTTCATCAATAGTGTATGAGGTTCCAGTTATTCAACATCCATGCTATCATATGACATTATCAGGGTGTCTGATTGTGTCTTTATTCCAACCATGCTGGTAGATTATATAGTGGTATTCTATTGATGCTTTAATTTGTGTTTCCTTGAGCAATAACAATGTTGAGCAACTTTAAAAAAGCTATTGATTATTTTGCTCTCTCCTGTTTGGTGAAGTGCCTATTCAAATTTATTGCCCATATAAAAATTGCTTTGTCATCTTTTTCTTCTCAACTAGTAAAAGGTCTTGATTATTTCTTTTCACTACTGCTCTATAGTGCCAATTTTGTCAAAATCAAGTGTCCATTTCTCAGTGGTTCTAGCTGTGGACTATCTATTCAGTCCAATTGGCCTGTTTATCTCTTGCACAAATACCACATCATCTTAATTGCTGTAATTTTATAAAAATTCTTGGTATGGTAGATGTTTCTAACTTACTCTTAGCTATTTTGAGCTCATTTATGTATCTATTAATTTTAGAATCAGCTTGTTAATTTCCAAAAGAAAATAATTTGTAGAATTCTATTGGGATAACATTGAAGTTATATATCAATTTGAGAAGTCTTTCTATCCATGGACATGACATTTCTCTTTCTTTATTAAAATACTCTTTAATTTCTCTAGTAAAGTTTTATATATTCCTTGTACAAAAGCTTTGTTAGATCTCTTCTTTAGCACTTTGTTTTTGATGCTATTTAAAATGCTATTGTTTTAAAAGTTTTATTCTGTTGATGATGTAAATAAATAATGTGTTATATATTTCAAAGTAAGAGAACAAATTTCAAATGTCATGCCTAAAAAATGATAGGTAAGCAAGGTGATGGTTATTTAATAAGCTTGATTTAATCATGCCACTATATATATATATATATATATATATATACATATATATACATATGTGTATATATATATATATATATACACACACATATATATATATAGTGGATCTAATTCCACTGGATCTAATTCCAAGCTGGATCTAATTCCAGTTTGAGGCTTGGAGGCTCAAATATCCCAACAATGACTCTGGGTATGGGACAGAAGGGAATCGACAGAAAGAAAATCATATTTAGTGAACACCTGTTGTTTTAGGCACCTTATAACTATTAAGCACTGTAATTCTTGCAACAAATCTGGTGGTAGATATTATTGTTATGTTCCTTATTTTTTAAAAGGAGACTCTGAGATATGGAGAGCTTGTAGTAAATTGCCTGTGACTCACAGCAAATAAGCGACAGCCCTGGGATTTGGGCATTGGTGTGTTCATCCCTGGATACCATCTCTTATTCACTCTATCATATGGCAGATAAGGAAACTAAGGATCAGAAAGATTTTCATTACTCAAACATGTGGTGTAACCTGTATCTATGACCACGTTTGTCTCAGTCTTTAGTCTGTGCATTTCCTCTTTTATAAGCTTTGAGAAACTATATATGCACCTTCTCATTCTAGGGGCTTTATAATTTAAATTAATATACTGAAATCTATGAAAAGTCTTTAAAAAACCCGGTTTTATTCAACTAAGCAGTCCTAGCATGTTCCAAATTTATTTGACTATGCTATATCTATTTTTCTTGTGGAATCTATTACTTTCAGCTGATTTCTTACTTTATGAAGCTCATTGAGAAATGGTGCCTCACATCGGATGGCATCGTAATTGACCAAAAAGTGTCAAGTGAAATAACAAAGACAAATTACACCTACCCACTTTAGAAGGGCTTTACTGCTGCTCATTGAATATGCACCTCTTATATTGTTTGAGTGGGAAGAGTAAGAATATTTTTGAGACATTTTCCGCTTTGCTTTATTGAAGTCATCTAGCCCTGAGAGAAAACACATAATGAATAGTTATAATTCCATAATTTTCAAAGACTATTTAAAAAACAAACTAGGGGAAAGAGATGATGAAACTAGTTTTGGAATCTGAAATTAACTTGTGTACTGCCTAAAACAGTTATTTTTGGTGGAGTTCAGATTAGCATTCAGGTCTTTTCCTAGCTCAAAGTGTTAAGTGGAATTATGTAGCAGTGTGCAAAATCTTTAACAGCAAATCAGACTTTGTTAAAAATTTCACACTGGGTATGAAAGAGATTTAACTTTAAAAATAGATGAACAGGGTAACCTGACTTCTTGTTGAGGGAAAGTGTTGCTATTCCCAGAGCTCCTGCAAATAATCTGTTCCGTGAATTACCTAGAAACAATTTAAATGCAATCAGATAATGTGATGAAGTGTTTAGTGAGCTGTAGCTAATTCCTACTTACATCCAACTGAGCTGCAAACGTGATCTGTGTAAAGATGGATTTTGTGGCTTTGTGAAATATTTGTGACAAGGGCAGGCAGCATATTCTTATATAATTTTACACTGGACATCATTTAGTTATTATCTTTCTTTTGACTTTTTTCCTCTTGTCCTATATTTCCAATATTCTATGATTCCTGCCCCCACACACAAAAAAGCCAAACTCAATTTGAATAATGTGCTTAAGTGAGAGATGGAAGTGGGGAGTGAGAAAGAGAGATAGGGGAGATTGAGTGGTTATTACTTTTAGTATTAAAACTATGTTTTAGAGAGGGCAAACATTAAGAGTATGTTATAGGTTAGCAGAAACAACAGGTGCTTAAAGTTTGTACTTTAACATAGTAGTTAAAGTTGTACGTATAATTATAAAAACCCAATTGGGTACTCAGAATATGGACTTGTCTCAAGGCATAAGATTTTCATAAAAAAATTAGCTTAAATACAATTAGGCATAATTTGCTGTGCATATTTTCTTCTTTTTGTGCATATGATTCTATTTTCCCATTATTAAATGTTAAAATTCATGACAGGGATCATTTTTGATGGACTCAATTTTTCATTTATATTTTATAAGTGAAAAAACTTTATATAAAGATTTTTAAAGAAAATATTCCCAAAGATAAAATATACTGTAGCAGAATGAGGGAGAAAGGATTCATCTCTATTTATGGTTAATAGGATTTACCTTAGACTTTCTATGGTTATTAAAATAAAGATTTACTTTCCAAGGCTAAGAAGTCATAGAGAAGCAAACAATTGAGTAGAGTAGTCAAAATTTTTAAGGGATTATTTTCCCAGTGCGTATTATTGAGGGTGGAAAATGGGGTGTGGAGAACTTATTGTTGAGCATGGTTTATACAGGACTTGACAAATAAAGATGATTTGCCTTTATTTGTCTTTTTGAGGTTTGGATTTGGAAGTTTCATAATTGAATTGAGAGACAGGTAAAGAGAAGTATTTTATTATATTTCCCTTGTCCATAATTCATTTGATAACATCAGTGTAGCCCATCAATGTTGTATGTGGTGGAGCATGGGTAGAAAAATAAATGTGTGTATTTAAACTGTGATACTTCCCTTTATATACATATTATAAATAGCATTCTCTCTATGGATCATTTTGATGCTATTTCTAGAAGAATTTCAGAAATGTTAAAATGCAAATTATGAGTGTTTAATTTCAAAGATAGAAGTAAGACTTAAACAAGTCAAATAGAGGAGATCATTTTCATGTGGCTCAGTGTGAAACAGTCTTTGATGCTCAATTTTGGTCTTTTGAATTCAACGTTTCAGGGCATTATAATTATTGTTTATGCATAGATGAGTTACAGCATTATTCTTTGTAAAGCAACTTTCCATTAGATTTGAGCATGATTTAGCATCTATATGGCTCATTAGGCCTCAGAAATGGAGGCAAAATATTGTTTCATGTATATTGCAGTATAATAAAAAGTAACAATATGCTAGAATATAAACTTGGGCAAACTATTGATACATTCATTGACATTTATAAATGTGTGAGCTAATAATTTTTTTTCAATAAATGGATCAATGGAATCACATTTGAAAGTAACTTAGTCATGAACCACTAAATTCTCCATCTTGTTCCCCTGGCTTTTCCTTCTAGCTCAAATTTCATGTCCACATGAATGATTCTTAATAGCTCTAACTCTGCCGTCTCTTGAAAACATTGCACACATTAGCTTCTTCATTAACAGGTAGCACTAAAAGTACAATAAAATTATGTCATCAGCTTTTGATCATCTGCAGCATTGTAGCTTCTCATTCTCTGGCAGGACCTGAGAAATTTACTGTCACACATATCCTTTCATAAACACCATGAAAATCCCTATCAGAAGCAAATGTATCCCTATTTATATAAATAAGAAAACAGTACAAAAAGATAAACTTCTCCCAAATCTATAACTAATAATTATCAGGAATCAGTTTCAAATTTAGCTCTGATAGACTGTAAATGTCATATTTCCACTACACGGTTTCTTTCCAGTAGCAGCATTCAAATAATCTGTAAGAATCAATAATTTTATTTGATTCTCAGCAAATCAGTATTAAATAACAATGCACTTCATTATAATGTTATCATGGCGGCTTTAAAGAATAAGACATTTTCCATGAGGGATAAATGTTATTTATTCTATTCTGCTTGGGGATACCTAGTGAGTTCTGTATCTAACCACAATGGAAGATTAAGAATATTAATATCAAGACAATACGGAAATGTTGTAAAAGCTGTCTGTCTCTGCTTTAGCATGAACCTAGGCCAGCCCTATTTATTAGAGCCACGGTAGTGGTCTAGATACTTCAAGCCTAGCATTATAAATTTGCTTATTTTCCTGCCTGTGACCTTGTCACTTGTCTAGAACTTTTTGAAAAGTTCTTTCTTCCTTTGGCTGGGTTCTAAGTTCTCTGTGATTTGCTAGATGGACAAAACAGTCACTGGCCTGTCAACTTAGAGTTTATGATGTAGGAGGATATACTACATGTATATATATGCATTTTATACACATATGTATATATGTATATGGATATATGTATACACTTTTGTTTAAATGTTATGTGCTATAAAATTAATTAGAACAGTGCATGAGAGACAACAAAGGTTAAGGATATAATTTAGATGGGGAGGTTCTGGCAGTCATCATTTGAAGTAATATTCAGGCTGAAACCTGGAAGATGAGCAGGAATTAACTCAGTGAAATAGTTGGGAGAGGAAAAGTGTGTCTCCTTTAAAGATATGACAGCAGACCAGTGTGTTTAGATCATAGTGAATGGGCCAGAGAATCATATGAGATAATATTGGAGAGGTGAGCTGGTTCAGATTATGTGATCATCTCAGCACCTTCAAACCCTTTGGATTTAGGTCTAAGTATAGAAATAGCATTGAAGAGAGAGGCTGTTAATATGGAATCTATTTGCACTTTTAAAATAATACTCTGGCTGCTGCATAGGAGATGGATCCTAGAAAGCCAAAAGTGGGAATATTCGTTAAGCAACTGTTGTATTGAGAATACTAAAGGTATTACTGCCCTCAACCAAGAAAGACAGTAATAGAAATAAAGAGAGGTAGACGGATGAAAGACATATCAGGTGTGGACATGAGCCAAGAATGACTCCTAGGTTTCTAATGTGACCAACCGGTAACTGCAAGTGTGTTTGGCATTGTGTAAAGGAAAAGCAGTTTAGTGTCAAGCATCAGTGACTCAATTTTGGACTTTTTCAGTGTGAGAAACCTGTGGAATATCAGAGGATGTCTCAACAAGACGGTCAAAATATATACCTGGAATTCAGAGAATAGGTCTGTACCAAGTTACCTGAGGGTAATTAGCTCATAGATGTTAGCAAATGTCAAAGGAAGAAATATCAAGTATGAAGCAACTGTAAGAAAATAAAAAAAAAGAAAGAGAAAAAAAAAGAAAAAGAGAGACCCAAGAGAAATCCTGAGGAATTCTAAATTTTAGTAATTTCACAAAGGAGAACTATCACTGTATTTCCTAATGAAGGAGGAAAAAATAGGAGACACCAGTTTCACAGAAACTAAATGTTTCAATAAGGGGGAAATAAGTAAATGTGTCAAAATTTCTGTATGTTCTAGTCAAGAGTTGAACTGAAAAGGGTACCTGAGATTTGACAATATAGGGTTCAGTGGCTGCAGGTAACAGAAAATCAGCTGGAAGTGTTTTCAACAGTAAAGGAATTTATTCTCCCACATGACAAGAAGGGCAGTCAGAGCTGTTCTAAGATTGGTTTAGTCAATGGCACAATGAAGGAATCGCCTTTCCTTTTTATAATTCTCACCACAATGGCTTTGTCTTCAGGCCAGATTCCAGGCTGCAACACTTCCAGGTGGCATACCTAGACAGAAGTGTCAGACAAAAGAGATAATGTGGGATTTTGTGAGGATACCTTTCCCATGATCCCTTAGTAGTCTTAACACTTGGGTTACATTGACTAGAATTGCATCACATATCTATGCTTAGATCAATTGTGTAGGGTAATATAATCACTGAGACTGATTTATGAAATTTAAGATTCACTCACTGGGGCTGAAGATTATTCTAGAATTCTCAGAAATGTCAGGAGGAGAGGGTATACATGAACAAAATCATAGTTCTGTAAGAAAGGAGAGAGGGAGCAGATATGTATGGGAAAGTGATCAAAAGTGTCTGCTACACAAGAATACCTATGGTAAACTAACAATTTACCTTGGTTTGGAAAATCCCATTATATTTTATTATTCTCAGATTTGGATAGGATCATATATGTCATTTCATTTCATTATTTTACGCTGGATTCAATGGGTTACATGTGCAGGTTTGTTACATGGATATATTGCCTGATGCTGAGATTTGGACTTCTAACAATACTTTTGCCCAAGTAATGAACATAGTACCCAATAGGTATTTTTTCAATACTTGATTCCTCTCCATCCCTACCCCCTTTAGAAATACCCAGTGTTAATTGTTCCCAACTTTGTGTCTATGTGTACTCAGTGTTTAGCACCTACTCATAAGTAAGAACATGTGGTACTTGGTTTTCTGTTACTAATGATTTGCTTAGGATAATGGCATCCAGCTGAAATCCCTGTTACTACAAAGAACATTATTTCATTCTTTTTTAATGGCTGCATAGTATTTCATGGTTTATATGTACCACATTCTGTTTATTCAGTCTACTGTTTATGGGCACCTGGGTGGATTCCATGTCTTTACAATTGTGAATTGTGCTATGATAAATATTCAAATGCAGGTGGCTTTTTGGTAGAACAGTTTATTTTCCTTTTGCCCAGTATTGAGATTGCTGGGTCAAGTAGTAATTCTATTTTAGTTATTTGAGAAACCTCCAAACAGTTTTCCACAGGGGCTGGAATAATGTGTGTTCCCACCAACAGTGTTTAAGTGTTCCCTTTTATCTGCAACGTCACCAGTATCTGTTATTTTTTTACTTTTTTGGTGGGGGTGGCAGGGGCAGTGTTTGCAATTCTATTTATTTATTTTTTAACTTTTAGGTTCAGGGGAACATGTGCAGGTTTGTTATATAGATAAATTGCATGTCTGACTGGTGTGAGATTGTATCTCATTGTGGTTTTGATTTGCATCTCTGATAATTAGTAATGTTGAGTATTTTTTTTTCATATGTTTGCTGCTTATATGTCTCCTTTTGGGAAACATCTGTTCATATTCTTTGCTCACTTTTTAAGGGGATTGTATTTTTCTCATTCATTTGTTTAAGGTCCTTATAGATTCTAGATGGCAGTTATTTGTTAATTCATAGTTTGCAAATATTTTCTACCATTCTGTAGGTTGTCTATTTACTCTTCTGATAGTTCCTTGTGCTGTGAAGAAGCTCTTTAGGTTCCAATTGTCAATTTTTGTTTTTGCTGCATTTGCTTTTGAAGATGTAGTCACAAATTATTTTGCCTAAGCCAATATTTAGAAGATAATTTCCTAGGTTTCCTTTCAGGATTTTTATAGTTTGAGGTCTTACATTTAAATGTTTAATCCATCTAAAGTTTATTTTTGTATATGGTCACAGGGGCTGAAATAACTTGTGTTCCCACACACAATGAATCTCTGTTTCATTCTCCTGCTTGTGGTTAGCCAGTTTTCCCAGTGCCATTTATTGAATAGGGTATCCTTTCTCGATTGCTTATTTTTGTTGACTGTGCCAAAGATCAGTTGATTATTGGTGTGTGGCTTTATTTTAGGGGTACCTGTTCTGTTTCATCGATCCATATGTCTATTTTTGTACCAGCAATATGCTGTTTTGGCCACCGTAGCCTTGTAATATAGTTTGAAGTTAGGTAATGTGGTGTCTCTGGCTTTATTCTTTTTGTATAGAATTGCCTGGGCTATTCCAACCATTTTGGTTCTATGTAAATTTTAGAAAAGTTTTTCCTAATTATGTGAAAAATGATGTTGGTAATTTGATAGAATAGTCTTAAATCTGTATATTGTGCTGGGTAGTATGAATGTTTTAATGATACTGATTCTTCCAATCCATTGTCATGAAATGCTTTTTCATTTGTTTGTCATGTATGATTTCTTTTAGCAGTGTTTTGTAGTGCTCCTTGTATAGATCTTTTGCCTCCTTGGTGAGATGTATTCCTAGGTATTTTATTTTGTTGTGGCTATTGCAAGTGGGATTGTATTCTTGATTTTGTTTTCAGCTTGAATAGTATTGATGCATAGAAATGCTACAGATTTTTGTGCACTGACTTTGTATCCTAAGACTTTACTGAAGTTGTTTATCAGTTCTAGGAGCCTTTGGGCAGAATGTTTAGGATTTTCTAGGTATAGAATCATATCATCTGTGAAGAGACATAGTTTGAATTATTTTCTTCCTATTTGGATGTCTTTTGTTTCTTCTTCTTGCCTGATTGCTCTGGCAAGAACTTCCAGTACTATATTGAATAAGACAGGTGAGAATGCCAAAACGCTATCTGTAGGTCACCAACATCAAAGACCAAAGGTAGATAAAACCACAAAGATGGGGAGAAACCAGAGCAGAAAAGCTGAAAATTTTAAAAATCAGAGTGCTTCTTCTCCTCCAAAGGACCGTAGCTCCTCGCCAGCAACGGAGCAAAGCTAGACGGAGAATGACTTTGATGAGCTGACAAAAGTAGGCTTCAGAAGATCAGTAATAACAAACTTCTCTGAGCTAAAGGAGTATGTTCGAACCCGTTGCAAGGAAGCTAAAAACCTTGAGAAAACGTTAGATGAATAGCTAACTAGAATAAAGAGTGTAGAGAAGACCTTAAATGACCTGATGGAGCTGAAAACCATGGCATGAGAACTTCGTGATGCATGCACAAGCTTCAATAGCTGATTCGATCAAATGGAAGAAAGGGTGTCAGTGATTGAAGATCAAATTAATGAAATAAGGTGAGAAGACAAAGTTAGAGAAAAAAGAGTAAAAAGAAATGAACAAATCCTCCAAGAAATATGGGACGATGTGATTGGTGCACCTGAAAGTGATGGGGAGAATGGAAGGAAGTCAGAAAACACTCTTAAGGATATTATCCAGGAGAACTTCCCCAACCTAGCAAGGCAGGCCAACATTCAAATTCAGGAAATACAGAGAACACCACAAAGATACTCCTCGAGAAGAGCGACCCCAAGACAAACAATTGTCAGATTCACCAAGGTTGAAATGAAGGAAAAAATGTTAAGGGCAGCCAGAGAGATAGGTCAAGTTACTCACAAAGGGAAGCCCATCAGACTAAGGTGGATCTCTCAGCAGAAACTCTACAAGCCAGAAGAGAGTGGGGGCCAATATTCAACCTTCTTAAAGAAAAGAATTTTCAACCCAGAATTTCATATCCAGCCAAACTAAGCTTCATAAATGAAGGAGAAATAAAATCCTTTACAGACAAGCAAAAGCTGAGGGATTTCATCACCACCAGGTCTGCCTTACAAGAGCTCCTGAAGGAAACACTAAACATGGACAGAAACAACTGGTAACTGCCACTGCAAAAACATGCCAAATTGTAAAGACCATCAATGCTATGAAGAAACTGCATCAGTTAACGGGCAAAATAACCAGCTAATATCATAATGACAGGATCAAATTCACACATAAAAATATTAACCTCAAATGTAAAGGGGCTAAATTCCCCAATTAAAAGACTCAGACTGGCAAATTGGATAAAGAGTCAAGACCCATCAGTGTGCTGTATTCAGGAGACCCATCACACGTGCAAAGACACACACAGGCTCAAAATAAAGGGATGGAGGAAGATCTACCAAGCAAATGGAAAGCAAAAAAAAAAAAAAAAAAAAAAAAAAAAAAAAAAAAAAAAAAAAAAAGCAGGGGTTGCAATCCTAGTCTCTGATAAAACAGACTTTAAACCAAAAAAGATCAAAAGAGACAAAGAAGGCCATTATATAATGGTAAAGGGATCATCTCAACAAGAAGACCTAACTATCCTGAATATATATGCACCCAATATGGGAGCACCCAGATTCATAAAGCAAGTCCTTGGAGACCTACAAAGAGACTTAGACTCCCACACAATAATAATGGGAGACTTTAACACCCCACTGTCAATATTAGACAGATCAATGAGACAGAAGGTTAACAAGGATATTCAGGACTTGAACTCAGCTCTGCACCAAGCAGACTTAATGGACATGCACAGAATTCTCCACCCCAAATCAACAGAATATACATTCTTCTCAGCACCACATCACACTTATTCTAAAATTGACGACATAATTGGAAGTAAAGCACTCCTCAGCAAATGTAAAAGAATGGAAATCACAACAAACTGCCTCTCAGACCACAGTGCAATCAAATTAGAACTCAGGATTAAGAAACTCACTCACAACCACACAACTACATGGAAACTGAACAACCTGCTCCTGAATGACTACTGGGCAAATAACGAAATGAAGGCAGAAATAAAGATGTTCTGTGAAACCAATGACAGCAAAGACACAACATACCAGAATCTCTGGGACACATTTAAAGCAGTGTGTAGAAGGAAATTTATAGCACCAAATACCCACAAGAGAAAGCAGGAAAGATAAAAAATTGACACCCTAACATCACAATTAAAAGAACTCAAGAAGCAAGAGCAAAGAAATTCAAAAGCTAGCAGAAGGCAATAAATAACTAAGATCAGAGAAGAACTGAAAGAGATAGAGATACAAAAGACCCTTGAAAAAATCAATGAATCCAAGAGCTGGTTTTTTGAAAAGATCAACAAAATTTATCTGCTAGGAAGACTGATAAAGAAGAAAGGAGAGAAGAATCAAATAGATGAAATAAAAAATGATAAAGAGAATATTACCACTGATCCCACAGAAATACAAACTACCATCAGAGAATATTATAAACACCTCTATGCAAATAAACTAGATAATCTAGAAGAAATGGATAAATTCCTGGACGCATACACCCTCCCAAGTCTAAACCAGGAAGAAGTTGAATCTCAGAATAGACCAATAACAGGCTCTGAAATTGAGGCAATAATTAATAGCCTACCAACCAAAAAAAGTCCAGGACCAGATGGATTCACAGCTGAATTCTACTAGAGGTACAAAGAGAAGCTGGTACCATTCCTTCTGAAACTATTCCAATCAATAGAAAAAGAGGGAATCCTCCCTGACTCATTTTATGAGGCCAGCATCGTCCTGATACCAAAGCCTGGTAGAGACACAACAAAAAAGTGAGAATTTTAGATGAATATCCCTGATGAACATCGATGCAAAAATTCTGAATAAAATATTGGCAAACCAAATCCAGCACCACATAAAAAAGCTTATCCATCACGATCAGGTCAGCTTCTTCCCTGGGATGCAAGGCTGGTTCAACATATGCAAATCAATAAACGTAATCTATCACATAAACAGAACCAATGACAAAAAACACATGATTATCTCAATAGATGCAGATAAGGCGTTTGACAAAATTCAACAGCCCTTCATGCTAAAAACTCTCAATAAACTAGGTATTGATGGAATGTATCTCAAAATAATAAGAACTATTTATGACAAACCCATAGCCAATATCATACTGAATGGGCAAAAACTGGAAGCATTCCCTTTGAAAACTGGCACAAGACAAGGATGCCCTCTCTCACCACGCCTATTCAACATAGTGTTGGAAGTTCTGGCCAGGGCAATCAGGCAAGAGAAAAAAATAAAGGTTATTCACTTAGGAAAAGTGGAAGTCAAATTGTCCCTGTTTGTAGATGATATGAGTGTATATTTAGAAAATCCCATTGTCTCAGCCCCAAATCTCCTTAACCTAATTAACAATTTCAGCAGAGTCTCAGCATACAAAATCGATGTGCAAAAATCACAAGCATTCCTATACACCAATAACAGACAAACAGAGAGCCAAATCATGAGTTAATTCCCATTCACAATTGCTACAAAGATAATAAAATACCTAGGAATCCAACTTACAAGGGATGTGAAGGACCTCTTCAAGGAGAACTACAAACCACTGCTCAACAAAATAAAAGAGGAACACAAACAAATGGAAGAACATTCCACGCTCATGGGGAGAAAGAATCAATATCGTGAGAATGGCCATACTGCCCAAGGTAATTTATAGATTCAATGCCATCCCCATCAAGCTACCAATGACTTTCTTCACAGAATTGGAAAAAACTACTTTAAAGTTTATATGGAACCAAAAAAGAGCCCACATCGCCAAGTCAATCCTTAGCCAAAAGAACAAAGCTGGAGGCATCACGCTACCTGACTTCAAATTATACTACAAGTCTACAGTAACCAAAACAGCATGGTACTGGTACCAAAACAGAGATATAGATCAATTGAACAGAACAGAGCCCTCAGAAATAACGCTGCATATCTACAACTATCTGATCTTTGACAAACCTGAGAAAAACAAGCAATGGGGAAAGGATTCCCTATTTAATAAATGGTGCTGGGAAAATTGGCTATCCATATGTAGAAAGCTGAAACTGGATCCCTTCCTTACATCTTACGCAAAAATTAATTCAAAATGGATTAAAGACTCACATGTTAGACCTAAAACCATAAAAACCCTAGAATAAAACCTAGGCAATATCATTCAGGACATAGGCATGGGCAAGGGCTTCATGACTAAAACACCAAAAGTAATGGCAACAAAAGCCAAAATTGACAAATGGGATCTAATTAAACTAAAGAGCTTCTGCACAGCAAAAGAAACTACCATCAGAGTGAAGAGGCAACCTACAGAATGGGAGAAAAATTTTGCAACGTACCCATCTGACAAAGGGCTAATATCCAGATTCTACAAAGAACTCAAACAAATTTACAAGAAAAAAACAAACAAGCCCATCAAAAAGTGGGCAAAGGATATGAACAGACACTTTTCAAAAAAAGACATCTATGCAGCCAACAGACACATGAAAAAATGCTCATCATTACTGCTCATCAGAGCAATGCAATTCCAAACCACAATGAGATACCATCTCATGCCAGTTAGAATGGAAATTATTAAAAAGTTAGGAAACAAGAGATGCTGGAGAGGATGTGGAGAAATAGGAATGCTTTTCCACTGTTGGTGGGACTGTTAACTAGTTCAACCATTGTGGAAGACAGTGTGGTGATCCCTCAAGGATCTAGAACTAGAAATCCCATTTGACCCAGCAATCCCATTACTGGGTATATACCCAAAGGATTATAAATCATGCTGCTATAAAGACACATGCACACGTATGTTTATTGCGGCACTATTCACAATAGCAAAGACTTGGAACCAACCCAAATGTCCAACAATGATAGACTGGATTAAGAAAATGTGACACATATACACCATGGAATACTATGCAGCTATAAAAAAGGATGAGTTCATGTCCTTTGCAGGGACATGGATGAAGCTGGAGACCATCATTCTCAGCAAAATATCACAAGGACAAAAAACCAAACACTGCATGTTCTCACTCATAAGTGGGACTTGAACAATGAGAATTCATGGACACAGGGAGGGGAACATCACACACCTGGCCTGTTGTGGGGTGGGGGACTGGGGGAGGGATAGCCTTAGGAGAAATACCTAATGTAAATGATGAGTTGATGGGTGCAGCAAACCACCATGGCACATGTATACCTATGTAATAAGCCTGCACGTTGTGCACATGTACCCTAGAACTTAAAGTTTTGTTTTCTTTTTTAAAGAATGGTGAGAATGAACATCTATATCTTGTTCTGGTTCTTAAGGGTAATGCTTCCAGCTTTTGTCCCTTCAGTATAATGCTAGTTGTTGATAAGTAATATTAGCTCTTATAATTTTGAGGTATGTTCCTTTAATACCTAGTGTGTTGAGGGTTTTTATCAAGAATGTATGTTGTATTTTATAGAATGCTTTTTCTACATATATTGAGATGATCATATGGTTTTGTTTTAAATTCTATTTATGTGGTGAATCACATTTACTGATTGGTGTATGGTGAAACATCCTTGTATCCCAGGAATAAAGCCCACTTGATTGTGTTGAACTAACTTTTTGATGTGATGCTGGACATGGTCTGCTATTATTTTATTGAAGATATTTTGCGTCTATATTAATCAGGGACATGGGCCTGTAGTTTCCTTTTTTGTTGTGTCTTGCCAGGTTTTGGTATCAGGATGGTACATGCTTTATAGAATGAGTTATGGAGGAGTTTCTCCCCCCCCAAATTTTTGGAATAGTTTCAATGAGATTGATACAAGCTCTTTGTATGTCTGGGAGAATTTGGCCACGAACCCATCTGGACCAGGCCTTTTTTTGGTTGGTAGCTTTTTTATTACTATTGATTCAACTCCATTATTCATTATTGGTCAGTTCAGGATTTCCATTTCTTTCTGGTTCTACCTTGGGAGGTTTTGTGTTTTCAGGAATTTATCCACTTTTTTCTAGAGTTTCTAGTTTGTGTGCATGTAAGTGTTCATAATCGTCTCTGAGGATCTTTTGTATTTCTGTGGCATCCTTTATGATGCCACCTTTGTCATTACTGATTGTCCTTATTGGGATATCTTTTTTCTTTGTTAATCTAGCTATCAATCAATCTATCAATTGTGATCTATCAATCTTGTTTATCCTTTCAAAAAAAACTTTACTTTTTGTTGATCCTTTGTTTTTTGTGGAGTTTAAATTTCATTTAGTTCTGCTCTAATTTTTGTTGTTTCTTTTCTTCTGCTAGTTTTGGGTTTACTTTGTTCTTGTTTTCCTAGTTCCATTAAATGTAAGGTTAGATTGTTAATTTGAGACCTTTCTATCTTCTTGAGGTAGGTGTTTAGTGCTATAAGCTTTTCCTTTAACAATGCTTTTGCTGTATCTTAGAGGTTTTGGTATGTTGTGTCTCTATTTTCATTTGTTTCAAAGAACATTTTGACTTCTGCCTTAATTTTGTTGTTCACTCAAAAGTCATTCCAGGAGTAAGTTGTTTAGTTTCCATGCATTTGTGTGGCTTTGAGAGTTCCTCCTGGTATTGATTTCTGTTGATTTTACTGTGATCCAAGAA
This sequence comes from Homo sapiens, assembly GCF_000001405.40. Classification (NCBI taxonomy): domain Eukaryota; kingdom Metazoa; phylum Chordata; class Mammalia; order Primates; family Hominidae; genus Homo; species Homo sapiens. The sequence continues at coordinate 121,643,347 of NC_000005.10, read as the reverse complement.
GATGCTTGGTATGACTTCAGTTATTTTGAATTTATTGAGATTTGCTTTATGGCTGATTATGTGGTCAATCTTGGAGTATCTTCCATGTGCATATGAGAAGAATGTATATTCTATGTTTAGGTGGTGTATTCTATAGACATCTGTTAGGTCTAATCGCTCAAGGGTCAATTTTAAGTCCAGAATTTGTTAGTGTTTACCTTCATGATCTGTCTAATGCTGTCAGTGGAATGTTGAAGGCCCCCACTATTATTATATGTCTAAGTCTTTTCCTAGTCTAGAAGTAATTGTTTTATAAACCCAGGGCTCCAATGTTGGCCGCATATATATTTAGGATAATTAAGTCTTGTTGAATGCAACCCTTTATCCTTATGAAATGTTCTTCTTTGTTCCCTTTTACTGTTGTTAAAGTCTAAGTTATCTGATAGAAGAATGCTAACTGATATGGTTTGGCTCTATGTCCCCACCAAAATCTCACCTTGACTTGTAATCATCTCCATGTGTCATGGGAGCGACCTGGTGGGAAATAATTGAATCATGCATTTGGGTCTTTTCTGTGCTGCTCTTGTGATAGTGATCTCATGAGATCTCATGAGATCTGATGGTTTTATAAAAGGGCAGTTCCCCTACACACACTCTCTTCTCTGCCACCATATAAGATGTGCCTTTGCTTCTCCTTCCATCATGATTGTGAGGCCTCCCCAGCCACGTGGAACTATGAGTCCATTAAACCTCTTTCCTTTTTAAATTACCCAGTCTCTGGTATGCCTTTATTAGCAGCATGAGAACAGACTAACACACCAAACTCTGCTCTTTTTTGTTTTCCATGTGCATAATGAATCTTTCTCCATCCAATTACAATGAACCTCTGCATGTCATTATGTGTGAAATTTCTCTCTTGAAGACAGCAGAAGGATGGATTATAGTGTGTGTGTGTGTATGTGTGTGTGTGTGTGTGTCTGTGTGTGTGTTTGTTTTAAAAATCTAATTGGCCACTCCATGTTTTAAGTGGATTGTTTATACCATTTGTATTCAAGACTAATATTGGTATGTGAGGTTTAGTTCCTGTTGTAGTGTTGTTAACTACTTGCTTCATAGTCTCAATTGTGTAGTTGCCTTATAGGATCCACAAGCTATGTGTTTGCATGTGCTTTTTTGGTAGCAAGTATTCTTCTTTAGTTTCCATGTTTAGAACTCCATTAAGTATCTCTTGTAGGACCAATCTGATGGTGACAAATTTCCTTGGTGATTGCTTGTTTGGGAAAGACTTTATTATCTTTTGTTTATGAAGCTTAGTTTTGCAGGATATGAAATTCTTGGCTGAAATTTCTTTGAATGTTAAAATTGGGTCTCCAATCTTTTCTGACTTGTAAGGTTTTTGCTGGGAAGTCTGCTGTTATTCTGATAGTCTTCCCTTTATTGGTAATGCAACCCTTTTCCCTAAGTGCCTTTAAGATTTTTTTCTTTTGTATTGACTTTGAATAGTCCGATGACTTCGGGTCTTGGGGATGGTATTCTTGCATAGTAACAGGATTTCTCTGGGTTTTTATCTCTGTGTGTTGACCTCTCTAGCAAGATTAGGTATTATAAATTTTCCTGAATTATATTCTCAAATATGGTTTCCAAGTTGCTTACTTTCTCTTCTTTTCTCTCAGGAATGCCAATATGTCATAGATTTGGTTGCTTTACATAATCCCATATTTCTTGAAGGCTTTGCTCATTATTTAAATTTTTTGTTTTGATTTTTGTCTGATTGGGTTGATGTGAAGGATTGGACTTTGAACTTTGAAGTTCTTTGTTCTGCTCGGTCTAGTTTGTTGTTAAGGCTTCTGATTTTATTTTGAATTCCTGTAGTGAATTGTTCGATTCCAGAGTTCTGTTTCGTTCTTTCTTAATATACCTATGTCATCTTTCAAAACTTAGGTGGCTTTTCTGGCTTGTGTTGCATTTAAACTTTCTCTTGGATCCCACTGAGTTTATTTGCCATCCATATTCTGAATTCTGTATCTGCCATTTCAGAGATATCATTCTGTAAGGATCCATTGCTTGAGACATTGTGGGATCCTTTGGAGGGGATGTAACATTCTGGCTTTTGTGTAGCTGAATTTCTTGTGCTAATTCCTTCTCATCTAGACGGATGATATGGCTTTTTTTTTTTTTTGAATTTGCTATCTTTTAAATAGGGCTTCTTGATTTTTTATTTTGTTTCCTTTGAGGATATGACCATGGTGTATATTATATATGATTGGTTGGCATAATTTCTGGCTGCTTTCAGGGTACCAAGTCGCTGTGTTCTTTAGTTGCAGATAGGTTCATGCAGTGGGTTTCTCAGATGTTGCTTGTTGTAGTGACGTAATTTTGTTTGGTGGCATAATTCAGGCTGCAATCCAGTATATGGTACTTAAGAATAAGAGCGAGCAGGTAGGAACAGGGGCAGAGGCAATGGAGAAACATGAAATGTGCCCTCCCCCAGTGCACCTTTATCTTCAGTGGTGGTGGAGCCACGAAGAAGCCTGAGAAGCAGTGTCTTTCAGCCCATACTCCTGGGTCCCAACAAGAAGAGCTGCTGCTGAGTCTGCAAAAGTGCACCGAGGACGGAAATGGAGGGTAAGCAATGACACCTTCTGTGTGTCTTCTCCTGGACTTTGGTGATGCTGCATTCAGTGACTGGCACTGTGCTTGTGTTTTCTTTGACCCAAAAGGGGCTTTGGTGGGCTGCAATTCCTGCTCCCTTTGAGGTGAACTGCACCAAGGGTTATACCCTGGTTTGTACCCTGATTATCCAAGGAAGCAGGCTGGGTGCATCTGGCAATTACACATGCAGACAGAGATCATATTTCAAAGCTATTCCTGGCTGCATGTCTCACCACCTGGTAGAATCATCAGCTTCAGCAACTCTTCCTGCTCCAGTCCTGCAATGGGAGAGAGCCTAATTCCAGCATCTACTGCTAGATAATATTCATGGCTCGATTCTGCCTATGAGGGCCCTTTCCCAATTGCAGAGCAAGAACTCCAATCTCTAGCCAGAGACTAAAATGCCTGTTGTGGCCACTGCTGCCAGGTTGCCAAACAGTGTTCTCAAAATGGTGCCATGCGTGGGCTTACGGCTAGAAAGGATAGGGTGCCTTTCAGGCAAGGAGCATGGATAAGAAGCTGTGGGAGATAAAGCCTGCTCAAGCCTCAGTCTCACAGCAGCCAGTTGTGAGGTAGTGGGTATTGTCTTAAATATGCATAGAATAGGCCGGGCGTGATGGCTCATGCCTGTAATCCCAGCACTTTCGGAGGCCGAGGTGAGTGGATCACTAGGTCAGGAGTTTGGGACCAGCCTGGCCAACGTGGTAAAACCCCATCTCTACTAAAAATAGAAAAATTAGCTGGGTGTGGTGTTGTGCACCTGTAATTCCAGCTACTCAGGAAGCTGAGGCAGGAGAATCGCTTGGACCTGGGAGGTGGAGGCTGCAGTGAGCTGAGATTGTGACTCTGTACTCCAGCCTGGGTGACAGAGTGAGACTCCATCTCTCTCTCTCTCTCTCTCTCTCTCTCTCTCAATACATACATATATATAATGTGGAATAGCCTGGTTTCCCTATTGGTCCTTGGCCTTGAGGTGGCTATAGCCACCTCAGTCCAAACTCAGGCCAAGGATGTAGTGCAGTTCAGCATTAAACTCTCAAAATGGTGCTTTGGGCCTGGAATCAAAGAGGGTAGAGTACCACCTAGGCAAGCAGTGTGAGCAAAAAGCTGCGGGGAGTGTGGTTCATTTCCATCTCAGTCTCAACAGCAGCTTATAGCAGGGCAGCAAGTACACTCCCAGAGGTGTATATGTAACCATTCTCCCTCTCCCTCCTTAGAGCAGTGCAATGGCTGCAGCTCTGTCTGTAGATGCCTGGTATCTGACCACTTGAAATGGCTCCCATTTAAGGCTGCTCTGAGCTCAGATGACTGTGGGATTCCATGTGGGTTCCCCTTCTGGAGCAATGTCTCTGCACAGTCTTTAAGCAGCTCCATATGCCAGGCACATGGCCCCAGTCGGTTGAAGGTTTCTCTTGTAGCCAAGATTAATAAAGCCCATTTCACAGCTCTGGGGATTCCTCGCCTACTGTTTCCCCATGTCCAGGAACTTCTTCTGGCTTTTAGTCAGTTCCTGGTTGGGTAAGCTAACTCAAACCCTCTTCTTACTTACTTCTGGCACTTCGTGTCTCTTATCTGATGAATCCCAGCATTCTCTCCTAGCTGACCTGTTTTAAATGTGAATATCTACTTACTATTCTGACTCTTCTCTGTGGAGGAAGCACAAACTACCTACATCCAGTCAGCCACTTTGATTCCTCTATATTTTTCAAATACCCAGTATGTCTGATAAAATGAAAAGGATAAAGTTCATCTTCCAGACTCATCTCTTTTTTTTTCTATTACTTTTAGCTCTGTCATCAAGGGGTTTTGACTTGGCAATCTTATGCTATTGACTTTCTCTTTGATCATCTGTATCTAAGTTTACCAAGTTACTATTTTCTTCCTCTTTTTTGATAAGTATCAAAGTATTTGAAGGTGTTAATTACTGATTTGGCATAATAGAGTACCCCTCTCAGGTAATGCTTGGAATTTAAGAGCCATGTTTAACATTACAGAGCAAAAGAAGGAAAAACAAAAAGAGAAGGAGGGGGAGGAGAAAAAGGAGAGGAGATGAAGAAAAAGAGAAGAATAATTATGGTATAAATTTTTAGGTTCTAAGACAGGCTGATGTTAAAGATATTTTGGGTAGAAGACCGCTCTTTGTCTTATGCAAAAAATTTAAACAGGTCCTTATTTTGCTTAAAACCATGCCTTTTATATGTAGCAAACCTTGCTGTTAGCCCACAAGAAATAATGCTTCATAATTATCAAATCAGTTAGTTGTGATAAGGTTAAGTGGTTTGTAGGAGTCTCTCACAATATTATGATATTTAGCTTAGTGCTCTCCCTTGACAGCTGTTTTGCTAATATTTCTAAAGAATACACACATATGTATGTACATATGTAAATAACTATTCTTTGTGCTTTCAGTCCTTTTCCTTTCATCACTATTGACATGTGCTAAGTTGTCTATGTATCTATGAGGGCACATTTTTGCTCAGTTTACGTGGGAAATTAAGCACGGCATTTTATTTATTTATTTTTTCAGCTCTCACCTTATAGTACTCCCCTTCTCATTCACTTTACCAGCTGATGGGTCATGAAAAACATACATTCTAATGTACTGTTGTTCTTTGTCACTGATATTGATGGTGAATTGTAGTTTTAGTTTTAATCTGATTAATAAAGCTTTTTCCTTCTAATAGAAAGGGGAATAGATTATCTTCAGATAACATGAGAACTAATACAGGTTAATCTCAGCATGTCCAGATTGACCACATTCTTATTCCTAAAGTTACTTGAAGTAGGATAGTGATGTTTGGGCAATGTTATAAAATAAATTAATTAAATAGCGATAATACTTTATCTTTGGGTTTGTGAGATTTTTCAGGACATACCAATCTGTTAGCATTGTTTGGTAATTATAACTGGATTTATGGTTTCCATGAAGTCTTGGAGGATTAAATAGTTAAGGGTGGTATGGTATAATAACTATATATATATTAGGTTTTTTGGCCCAGGTTCCTAGCACAGAGCTCCTACAATCTGAATTACCTGAGAAATAAGTATGTCTTTTGTATACTAATGAGAGGACTCTTGGTTGAGGGACCCCTAGAGAGCTTCAAAATGGAGGCTGGTCATCAGAGAAGCCTATCACATGACTAGACGGTTTGAAGTTTCAGCTCCTCTTTATCTTCCAGGAATAGGGAAGGCATTGGAAATTGTGTTATAGAATCATTTGATAATGAGGTTCAGAGAGCTTCCAGGTTGGTGAACACATTAACGTGTTGAGAGGGTGGTGCACTCAAAGAGGCCATGGAAGCTCTGCACCACCCCTGTCTATGCATAATTTAACTCTTCCATTTGGCTCTTCCAGAGTTGTATCCTTTATAATAAAGCTGTAATAGTAAGTATAGCACTTTCTGAGTTCTGTGAGTCATTCTAGAAAATTATTGAACCTGAATGGAAGTTCAGGTTGTGGGAACTCCTAAATTTGTAGTCAGCTTGATTGAAGTGTAGGTAGCTTGGGCACCCCATTTGCGGCTGGCAGCCACAGACAATCTTGTGGGTCTGCAATAACTATGAATAGTGTCAGAATTGAACTGAATTGTTGGATACCCAGTTGGTCTTGGAGGACTGGAGAAACGGTTGCTGAATTGAATGGAAAACATCACAGATGGTCACTGTGATAGTTAATACTAGGTGTCAACTTGACTGGATTGAGGAATGCCTAGATGGCTGATCAAGGATTGTTTCTGCATGTGTCTATAAGGGTGTTGCCAGAGGGCACTGACATTTGAGAGAGCACAATGAGAGACGAAGACCTGCCCTCGATGTTGGTGGATACCATCCAGTCAGCTGCCAGTGTGGCTAGAACACAGTAGGTAGAAGAAGGTATATGCAGCTTGCTGGGCCTCTTGCTCTCTCTCTTTCCTTGTGTCAGATATTTGCTTCTTCTCTTCCTGCCCTTAGACATCGGACTCCAGAGATCTTCATCCTTTAGGATCTGGGATTTGCACCATTCGCCTCTTGGGGGCTCTTAGGCTTTAGGTTTCAAACTAATGGCTGCACTGTTGGCTTCCCTGGTTTTGAGTCTTGTACTGAATCATGCTGAAGTGGGGTTGGAACCTCTACACAGACTCCCTTCTGGGGCATGCCTAGTGGAGCTGTGGAAAGAGGGCCACTGCCTTCCTGACCCCAGCATGGTAGATCCACCAGCATCTTGCACTCTGCATTTGAAAAAGCCACAGGCACTCACCTCCAACTTGTAAGAGCAGTCACAGGGGCTGCACTTTGCAAAGCCATAGGGGAGAGCTGCCCAAGGTGTTGGGAGTGCACCCGTTTCATCAGTGCCCCCTGGATGTGGAGCATGGAGTCAAAGGAGATGATTTTGGAGCTATAAGATTATTTTCAGATAGTCATTATATTTCTTAATTTTTCTAAAATCCCTATTTTTTTACAGGATAGGGTGATAGTGCTTCCTACCAGTTACTTTATACTTGTCTACTTCTTTTATATATTATTGGAATCACAAAGAAAATTTTAGTAGTCCTGTAAGTCCTGCATAATTTTAGTCAGATAATATATTTATCACATTCATTTATCTCCCTGTACAAGTGTAAAATTTACTTGTGATTATTTCAGAATTTTTGTGAATACATACAATTTTACCACAATATTGATAGCCTAGTATTCTTACTGTTGGAGAGTGTCCAGGTTCTTGGCATCTTGAAAAAAGAATTGGACAAAATGCACAAACAAAGCAAGGAAAGAATGAAGCAACAAAAGCAGAGATTTATTGAAAACGAAGGTATACTCCACAGGGTGGGAACGGGCCGAGCATAGGGGTTCAAGAGCCTGGTTACAGAACTTTCTGGGGTTTAAATACCCTCTAGAGGTTTCTATTTGTTACCTGGTGTATGCCTTATGTAAGTGAAGAGGATGAGGTAAAGGTACAAAGCTATTTACTTGGTGTACACTCTATGCAAATGAAGAGGATGAAGTGAGGTTACAAAGTTATTTACTTGGTGTACAATCTATGCAAATGAAGAGGATGTGTCCTGCCATAGTTCAAGTCGAGTTACATAGTTATTGGGCTTACAAGGTTGGGGTTTTACATTTAATTTAGCTCTAGGAAGTCCTTAGGTTCCCTGCCTCCAGGCCCTATTCTACTGGCTCAGTATACCTAGATATTTTTTAGAAATGTAAACAATATCTGTATGTGCAAATGACTAATGAATAAATTATTAGTATTAACACATCACAAGCACAAGGCAGTTTTGTGATATTTTAAATAGTAGCAAATTGAGTAAGTGCTTTATGTGCTAATAATTGAATAATGGTGAATACAAGCAGTGTTATATGTAACCAGCAATTTTTACATTTCTACTTTGAAGAATTAGAAAAATTCAGTTAATGTAGTTAATTAAAATTAAAAGCTTGTTTTCAATACTACATTTCAATATGACTGTCTCATTCAAATTTTAGTGACTAGCAACTGGGTAGCCTGTACATGGCAGATACACCCTAGCAATCACTTTGCAACAAGCAGTTTTATATTTTCAGACATCTCGTGGGCATCTTCTACTTTTGACAGCCATCTTCCCCCATAATCACCCACACATGAAGCAGCAGCACCAGTTTCTTATTACAACTGCAATAAGGAGCTCCAAATAAAGCACTAAATTAACAGAAAAAAAAACACACAAAAAATCACATGGCCATTTGCCTACTATTGGATTCCTTCCTGCACCGCTTATTGTTTATCTAATGTCAATCTTCCAAAATGAAATATTTGGATATGGTTTTCTGAGTCATAGATTGCCTAGGAAAAATGATTTCATAGTTTCTTTGTGGAAGGCACAATTCCTATTTGCTTCCTGTGTAGTTTACCAATGGAAACTTCTAGAATTATTTTGGTATATGACAAATGTCGAAACTTGAATGGACTTAATAAAAGACATAGGATCATAACTATAAAAATATTTTCGTTTTCACCAGAGGATGCCGTAATCATAGGATTTTTAAAAATAATTTAGTTTAAGCCCATTAGCTGGCTAGAAATAGAAGTTAGTGCTCTAAAACATAATACATAGTTGGTATTTGAATTTTTATAACTTGAGTTGGAAAAATGATTCCTTTACTCCTTAGCTGGATAAACATGAGCTAAGCAACTGGATTCTCTGAGTTTTAGCACTGTCATTTATAAGGTGGGAATAATAATCACCTCCTCACCTCCCTTTTGTGTATCTTTGAATATTACTATGTGGATAAAAGCATCCAATGATGATTCTTCATAAAGCCATTCCTTATGTTCCTGGTATTGTTTGCATTTGTGTACACTTATTTATCGAAGACCTTATCTTCTGTTTAGAATTACAGTTTTTTCTATAATTGCCTAACAATGTCAGTTTTGGAGTTTAACTTATTTGAGGAAACTACGTACTGCTAACATTGTATCTTCAACACGAACAAGCATAGTGCCTGCTATCCAGCAATGATGACAAAAAGTATTTTATATATCACTTTAGGAGTGTATTCACATTCAAACACCAATTTATCAGAAAACAATCATCTCTCTCTCACACACACACACACAAAATCCACACACAAATATCTATCTGAGATAAGAATTTTGAGCTCTGACCTGTGGAAAACAATTAGGAAAACTGATAGTTGAATTTATCCTCCATTTTCAAGAATACATGACTAAGGCCAAGCTTTGAGATCAATTTTACCAAGAGCGGTGATGATGTCTGGAGTGACTTAGATAGCTGCACTTTTCTTGCTTAGTGTTAAAAACAATAATGGTAAATGAGTGTAGGTTTGTATGTGTGTTTCCAGGTTTGGGGAGGGGCAATAGGATGCTTTAGTAACAGGACTCTACAACATTTTTCAGGTGGAGTAGAGGAGAAATGTAATAGTCTTGAAGGAAATTGCCCTGAATTAGGGGCAGGGAGTGCAATTTTCACACTGGAGTCTGACTTATTAGCTCAGATATGCCAGTTAATCTCCCCCAGCATTTTCTTGTCTGACAAATGATCAAGAAGAATGACTGAGGCTGAGTCCTGGAATATTTGGAGGAAGCAGGAAAGGTGAGAGTGAGACTTAATTCTCGCTTTAAATGGAATCAGATTTTGTGAGTGTTTCATTTCCCATAGAATATTGAAAATAACAAGAATGTTTTAAATTGAGGGGACAGGTTGACTACTGGGTATGGTTGCATCCACTGCTATTCACTGCATTAAGTAAAAAATATGGTACGTGGTTCACTTTTCTTTTTTTTAAACTTTTAAATTCAGGAGTACATGTTCAGGTTTGTTATATAGGTAAACTTGTATCATGGGGGTTTGTTGTACAGATTATTTCATCGTCTGGGCATTAAGCTTAGTACACTTTACTTATTTTTCCTGATCCTCTCTCTCTTCTCACTGTCCAGCCTCTGATAGGCCCCAGTGTCTGTTGTTCCACTCTATGTGTAAAAGCTGACCACTCTGCCAAAAGATCTATGATTACATTCCAGCTCAGAACATAAACCCCCAAACTCTCCATGATAATCATCAGAATGTCTGTCTTTAAAGAGATCAAACCTTTGGAAGACCATAATGTTTACAAGAGATACACTTAAATAGATATTTGGTTAAAAGTAAAATGATGGGAAAATATATCACAAACACACACTAATAATAGAATTCAGGGGGCAAAACATAGCACCCATAGTAAAAGAGGAACATTTCATCATATTGGTAACAAGATAACTTAAATAGTTTAAAACTGGAAAATAACTTTGTTGTTAAACTGACTTAAAACATATTTTGCTAAAGTTTAATATTCTATCAGATTTCTAATTTTTTAGGGCTTTACAAGATTTTGGAATTCTTTATATCCTTAAAGGATTATTTCATTTTTTAAAAACTGGTGGATTCCAGTTGAGTTTATATGTTGTATATGTTGTAAGCAAATTTCTCCATCAAAAATTATTTTAGAACTCTGCTTGAAAAAGTTCATACCAATGATGCAATTATGATAAGACCTTTATCTGGTGTTATGTATGTATTAGTCTTGGTAATACACAGTTTAAAAAAATATAATTTCTTTCCATAATTCCTCTTTTAACCCACCCTTTTATTGGTCATGCCTTCTCTTTTCTATGTTTAGCTCAACTCTTTTTAAAAGATGGGCTTCTTCTTCTTCTTCTTTTTTTTTTTTTTTTTTTTTTTTTTTTGGTGGAGGGAGGCTTCCATTTTTAAGAGTGTATGTTTTCCCCCCACTAAGTATCTTCCTGGGCTGGCCTTCGTTTAATTTACAGGATTGATTTGCTTGTTATTACTGCTATTTTAATTTTGTGTAAATAAACATTTAAACCACGTTGTGACTATATACCTTTTTCTATTTGTTACTTGTAAAATGTACTCACAGTAATTGCTTTTGTGAAAAAAAAATGTTACAACCACAGCATTTCCCAGAAACACGATGCCAATTCAAAGAAGTTTGTATTAAATTTTGAAAAATATTTGTTTTATGAATGTACTGGACAATGAAGTTCACAGGTATAAATGAAGGGAAGTGTTTTACAGCTAGCAATTTCATTACATGTTTAAGGACATGTGGGTTTTCTTTATCTGCATTAAAATAATTTTTTTAGTAAACATAATTTCCATTAATTTTAAAGATCCCTTTTCAATTACATTGCTGTTTTTCTAGCATTTATGTTGAAGTATTAGGTTGCATGGTCTTTAAACTATGCTTTATAAAATCAAATTCCATCTTATGCTTTTGTGATCCACAAACATCTTTAAAATAATCTGCATGGATCTCCTTGAGATTGCCCTATAACTGATAACTTTTGATATTCACTGTTTAAAATTTTCTTTTTGAGTGAGGGGGATCTTCTTAGGCAAGGGAATAGTACACTAACATTTACCTATTCTTGGAAAACACAGATTACATGAAAATAACTGATTAATTGATTAAATTATTTTCCAAACCGGTGTTATTTGTATAGAGACATAATCTAATATGTCAATCAAAAATTACACACATATGTTGACAAAATAACTAAGTGTTCCATTACGCAGTTTAGGGTTTTGTTTTATTTTTAACCTTAGTTGTTGACTGATCATATCATGTGGCATTCTATCAAAGTCACCCTGTAGTGAATAAATGTTTACTAAGATTACATTTGATAAACTTGTACTCGTTTAAAATAATTTCTTCATTGAGTGAAGTATGGGGGAGTATAATATTTCTTAACTCTCCTCCCCAAAACCAACCAAAGAAAACAACAAAAGTCAGAAGAGATAAAACAGAACTCTTCTTTGAAAACAACTCTAAAGAAGCATTATCTATGAAGGAACTGACAAATGCAGTGATCTTTGGACAAAATTTAGGATGGTGGACAACAATCCATACCATGTTGAATTTTGGTCATGAAAGAGTAAAAATGTTTCCAGACTGAAAGAGAGAAAAATCAACTTAGACTGAAAAAGAAAAAAGCAGCCCTGCAATTAATCAGTCTGGGAGAACAGACACAGATACTAAGTCAGCTGCAAAGTTAACAGGAAACATTATTTTTCCCCTAGGCAAGTTATATTGCAGCTGGAGAATGCCAAAACAATCCCCTCTTTGAGTGATTATTGCTTTATTATCAATGATGCCACCAAATTCGTTTTTCTATACCCATCTATTACTGGGGATACTCAGTTGCTAAGCTGGCCCCTACCACATTCTAATACTCAATCCTTAGCTTATCTCATGTATCCTGATCTTTTCTCAGAAATAACAAACATTTCATACTGATTCCTACTTCTCTTGGGTTCTCTCTCTTGGGTTAACTCCCAGGTTATTCAGAATGAACCAAAGCCTTACAAAAGGACACCCTCCTTCCTCTTGTCAAGTAGCATTCCTAATTCCTCTGGACTGCTATCCCTTGCTGCATTGAGCCAATAAATCTGATCTTGTCAGACTATAGATTTGTTTCTGGTGGTCTTTACCTGATCAGCTTTTAATAGTCAACATAGATTTCTTTCAAATTTTGTGCACAGGCTGAGAGGCTAAATTAAGAATCCCTTTCTTAAAACATTTGGATTCTGAGTCTGAGATGGGTAAGCGCCTAGTAAATAGCAGGAAATATGGATACGGAAACGCACATGGAGAATGCCATCTGCCGACAGAAGCAGAGATTGTAGTAACTCAGCTGCAAGGTAGGGAACACAAGAACTGGGGCTTCCACTTAGCAAAAGAGACAAGTAAACATTCTCTTTAGAGTTTCAGAGGTAGAATGCCTCTGCTGACACCTTGATTTCAAAGTGCTCGTTTCCAGAATGGCAAGAAAATAAATTTCTGTTGTTTTAAGGCACCCAGTTTACGGTACTTTGTCACTGCAGTGTTAGGAAATTAATAAAGATGCTGGCACTGGAATGACAGGGACTGATGTAACGATAACTAAAATATAAAAGTGGCTTTGAAGTAAGTAATTGGTAGGATCTTGGAAGCATTTTGAGGCATTTGGTAGTAAAAACCCTAGATTGCCCTGAAGAAATTGTTGGTAGGAATGTGGACATTACAAGTGAATCCTGTGAGTGCTCAGAAAGAAGTGAGGAAAGCGGTAAAGAAAGCTTCTATGATTTTAAAGAATACGTACATCCGCAAAGGCATAAGAATGATATACATTGGACTTCGGGGACTCGGGGGAAAGGGTGGGGGGTGGGGAGGCACAAAAGACTGCATATTGGGTACAGGGTACACTGTTCAGGTGTTGGGTGCACCAAAATCTCAGAAATCACCACTAAAGGACTTATTCATGTAACCAAATACTACCTGTTCCCCCAAAACCTATTGAAATAAAAACATTAAAAACAGTTTTAAAAGTAGAAAAAATAGAAAAAAAAACAGATCATCACAAGCCACATGTTATGAAAAATATGAAAGTTAAAGGTGTTTGTGGTCAAGTTTCAAATGGAAATGAGGGACATGTTATTGGACAATGGAAGAAAAGTGATTCTTGTTATAAAGTAGCAGAGGACTTGGCTGAATTATGTTCTTCTGTTAGGTGGATAGTAGAACTTGTAGGTAATGCACTTGGATATTTAGCTGAGCAAAGTATGGAAGATGCAACATGGTTTCTTGTTTTTGTTTTAGGAAAATGTGAGAATAAATTAGGAAATGATTTAAGTCAAGTCAGAGGAAACCAGCAGTTGATAATTTGGAAAATGATTAGCCTCTTCAGATAGTGTGCTCTGGCAACAGAGCCAAGGGTGTGACTGGGCAACCATTTACTAAAATGATTGGCATGTAACTCGCGAATTCAATCAACCCTCTCAGCAGAAGCCAGGAATAGGGATGTGATTATCCAGGAAAGAGCCCTTGTATCTAATGTTTCAGATGATGATATTTAGGACTCTTTGAATTGATAATATTTAGATGAAATTTTGGACTTACAGTTGTGTTGGAATGAGCTACAGTTTCCAGCGATGTTGGCATGGGATAAGTGTAATTTGCATATCAGAAGGACATGAATTTTGGAGTGTTAGAGAGCACACTGTTATGGGTTAAATTGTGTCCTCCGAAATGGTATGTTGAAATACTAACCTCTAGCGCCCCAGGATGTGACCTGATTTGGAAACTGGGCTGTTGGTTGTTGCAGGTGTAATTAGTTAAGATCAGTTCATACTGAAGTAAGGTGGATCCTTAATCCAATCTGACTGGCAGCTTTGTGAGAAGAGACAGAGAGAATGTCATGTGACAAAAGAGGCAGAGAATGGTGTGATGCAACTGCAGATGGATGAGTGCCAAAGTTTGACAGCCACCACCAGAAGCTAGAAAGAGGCAAGAAATATTAGACCTAGAGTCTCAGAGAGAACATTTCCCCACTGATGCCCTAATTTTGGACTTCTATCTCCAGGACTGTGAAAGAGTAAATTTCCATTGTTTACGGCCACCCAACAAACTGGAACCTTGCTATTAGGTCTTTCTTATATTGTATTATAAACTTCCTTCATTTTCTCCTTAAAGAGCTTACATATCTTCAATTCTTCCTATGTGCTTTACATTTTTATTCTTATTACAAATGATATTTATAAACTTATTTTCTAGCTGTTTCTTGAAGGTATATAGAAAATTTTAAAAATTCATATTAGGTAACTGCTTACCTCCCTTATACATATTTAATAATTTATCTGTGAATTATCTTTTGTCTGGTATATAAGATGTTGTATCATCTTCAAATAAGAATAATTTTTCATTTTAATCCTTATATGTTTAATTTGCTTTTATTACTTTTTTATGTAGATTAGGACTTCAGGTACAATATTGAGCAAAAGTAGTAAAAACAAATAAACTTGTTCTAGACTTAGTTTAATAAAATGCTTCTAACTTTCCACCATTGTGTATTACAATGCCTTAAGAACTTTTACTCGTAGTCTTAATTAAAGTAATTCCCTTAAATTTATAATTTATTAAAAATTTTAATTTAAAATGTGATCAGATTCTATATTCAGTATTTAAAAATAGAGAATTTTTTTTCTTCTTTAATGTATAAGTAAAATAAACTATATTAATGAATTTTCTAATGTTCAACCAACTCATCTTTGATATAAGTTTTGAGGGGATAAATATTCAAACTATAGCACTTCATTTTCAAATAATTGACATGGAATATCTCACAATATTCTTTTATTATCTTGTTAATCTCTTATGAATCTTTATTTTCTACTTTTATATTTATTTTTTGGAATCAAATATGCAAAATATTTATCCACTATTAGTCTTTTCAACATACTGTAACTTTACTTCATCAATCCTCTAATTTATTTTTATTTTCCAACTCATTATTTTTTATTAAGTTTTATCCCTTCCTTATGCTTACTGTGAGTTTACTTTGCATTTTTATAATATCGCAAGTAGAAATTTTATGTCTTCAATTTTAATTCTATATTTTATGTCCAGTAGTAAATATTTTAACTCTTGTCTATGCTATTAATGTTTATATTAATATATCTTTCAGCATCAATTTTCTGTATACCATTGCTTCTTGCACTCACACTTTACTTCTGATGTCACCATACACCAAATTGGCTTGCTCCCAGATGGTGGGGCTTCCCAGCCTCCAGAACTGTGAGAAGTACATATTGTTTAAGCCACCCTCTTTATATAGCATGCTTTATAGAAGGATAAGATGACTAAGGAATTATGATTATTTCTACCTTGTTTATACAAAAATAAGTATGTTTTGAGTAATTAATAATAAAATATTTTGGTATTAGTACTTACTGAATTTGACACCTATTTTGGCAATGTACAAATTTTTCATTCTTTTGTTTTGTGTCAGCTTTATGTGGCTGGATATGAGGATGCCTTCATGAATATGATGAATGTACAGTATATTTAGAAAAATTACAAATGAGAAATCTACGTTTAGTCATTACTAACTTTGGTAAGGCTACAAGAAGTCTATTTAGTAGAGTTTGAGGCTAATTATCAAGTCCCTGTTCAAGCATTAATTTTGCCTGAAAAACTTTTACCCCAGTGACTTTTAATGGTCTTCTTTAGCTTCAGTACAGAAAACTTATGGAAACTATATGGAAATCCCACTACAACTATAACAGTAAGGAAGACCCCCATGCATTGCCCACTTAGTGAACATGGACCTAAAAAAGGACAAAACTTAGCATGCCAAGAGAATGGGCTGCAGAAGTGGCAGTCCAGGAAGGGGAAAAACAACAAACATAAAATTCACCTCCAACCTAAAAAACTGATTTTTCAAACCTTGATTTAGACTATACACTCTCATCATAACAACACTGTGGTGTCCAATAAATTAAATTTCTTGAGTCTAGGAAGCTTTTTACCTCTAGCCTTTACCGTATTTTTTACCTCTAGAATATACTGTAAGAAGTCACAAAGTCCCTGATTGTTCCAGCTGGTTCTTAGATTAACTCTTCTTCAGGTCCTAGCACTGACTCTGGCAGAGGTATAGTGTTGGCTAAGTGTTAATAGCTTGCTAGGAAGCCAGCATCCATTTTAGCAGATGAACACAGGTCTGTTCTAGACATTTGCTATTGTCAGTTATGTAACATGCTTATGTATCGGAGAGTTGTATTTCACAAATTTTTATTGGCAAATTATTAGTAATAAGAAAGTAATTGGGTAATTCCAATGGTAATTCAAATGGCTAATCATTATTTACTACTCTAGTAGATTTCCCTAGACATCAGATAAAGATATATTAGTACACAGAAATAAGTTTTCTATAACTATAATTTTTGTTGTTGGATCACTGTTCAATAATCCCTACCTACCTTTCATTAGAAAACTTAGGCAAGGTGAACATGTTAGGTTGAATTTTTAGAATGTAAAAAAATTATAATTTGTAATGTTAATATTAGTTTTCATTAAGAAAATGCTTTTATAGCATTAGTAATTTTAATTTTTAGTTTATAAAGTATATGAAAATAAATTTAAACTTGATGGTTTCAAATACTTGTTTTTTGTATATATATATATTTTATATACATATATAAAATATGTATGTATATCTATATATATATCTCTCTAGAGATATAGAGAGAGAGGGAAAGAGAGAGAGGATTATATTTAGTTTAAAATGCTTCTTTCCCTTATTTCTTAGCTTGGAATAGTTAGATTGTATTTCACATTTTTGTTTTATCTTTATTTCTTCCTGAAACAAGATTTCTTTTGTTCATTTTTACCTTTATTCCTTCCTGAGACACAATTTCTCTTTTTAGTGAATTGAGTAATGACACATTGTTTTGAATTTTAAAAAGCATTTTTAGCTACTTAAAGTTTAGTATTAACAGATTTCTGCGCATACACACACACACACAAGAATTTAAATATTAAAACTTAGTATTTGAAACTTAGTATTTGAAACTTAGTATTTGAAATTTAGTATTATTTGAAACTTAGTATTGAAAACTTAGTATTGAAACTTAGTATTTGAAACTTAGTATTATTTGAAATACTATTGTTTCATTTAATAATGATGATAAATGTATGATATAGCAATTTTGAAAGTGATAGGCTTGTCATCTTAATTCATGCAAGAAGCTCTGATAAAATATATTATTGATTACTAAAGTTGAACTCTGCTACAGTGACACGGGTCAGCCAGTCATCCATGGTTGCTACATTTTGTCTACTTGCCAGAGAAAAAGAGTTGATAATGAGAAATAAGAGATCCATTTTAAGGGAAACCCAGATGATTCAAGAAGAATCAAAATTCAATGCACAGGGCAAATTTCAGAACACAGGGAAGAATTATGGCAAATTATGGCCAGATGCTTAAGAACAACACTAAACTTTCTCAACTTGGACTGGAGGAGCCAGGTGGATACCTGTGGATTAAAAGAAGAAGGTATGCCACAGACTTGTAGTTTATAAATTCAAATAGGAAAGTCTACAATTACATCACAGTTCAACCAACTTAGCAGCTACTGTCTTTGGCTCCTCTTACTGCAATATTTGACACATTAGCCTGGGTCTGTGGTGAGAGACAGCAAGGTACCCTCTTCTCTCTAAGTCTGCATACACTCAGTCAAGTGCTGACCCTTCTTCTCCTTTCTTAATCTTAAACAGATCTCACTCAGATATTAGATACCCAAACAAAACTCTTATTTATAGATACAGACAGTACCCAAGTTAGGATGATTTGGTTCTAGGGTAATAAATCAATATCTCACACCACAATCATTTACTTTCCAAGCTGGAGGTACACCCAAATGAGCTTCATTCCTGGTGCACTTTCTGAAAATCTTTATAACTCAGTCTGGTTCTATATTATCTTATCACCATCTACACCAATAAGATCTCTCACCTTGCAGATGACATAGTAACAATAATTGGTTAATAATGAATAGAAGGGAGGGTGGAAATTGTCTAAGCTGAAAATTGTCAAGAGAGATGTAGAAAAAATACGTTGGAGTATAGTTTGAAGTCAGGTAGCATGATGCCTCCAGCTTTGTTCCTTTGGCTTAGGATTGACTTGGCAATGCGGGCTCTTTTTTGGTTCCATATGAACTTTAAAGTAGTTTTTTCCAATTCTGTGAAGAAAGTCATTGGTAGCTTGATGGGGATGGCATTGAATATATAAATTACCTTGGGCAGTATGGCCGTTTTCATGATATTGATTCTTCCTACCCATGAGCATGGGGACTGTTGTGGGGTGGGGGGAGGGGGGAGGGATAGCTTTAGGAGATATACCTAATGCTAAATGATGAGTTAATGGGTGCAGCACACCAGCATGGCACATGTATACATATGTAACTAACCTGCACATTGTGCACATGTACTCTAAAACTTAAAGTATAATAATAATAAAAACAAAACAAAACAAAACAAAAACAGAATTAACATGTGATTTTAGCAGGTTTGGGATCAAGAACTAACAGACCAGTGGAATAGAATAATTTAGAAACAACCATTTATGTATCAGAATTTAACATATATTAAAGAAGGCACGAAAAATCCAAAAAAAAAAAACATTGGAGTCAGCAATAATGACCTTTGTAGGTAGTAAACATTTAAAGAACTAACCTCCTTTTAGGAAAATAAAAACCATGAGTTATCAAGGTATTTTTAGAAAAGTGCTCCAATAGGAGACAGTCTGGAGGAGTAGGGCCAGCTCTGACAGCAGTCTAAGTCTTTCTTTCATAAGCTTCAACTTCGCCTTAAATTCCTAGGAGCACCTGTAGACTTGCCTCTAACACAGCGGCTCTCAACGTGTGTTCCATGATCAGCAGCATTAGTGTCACCTGGAAACTTGTTAAAAATGCAAATTCTTGCATTCCACTCCAGATCTATTGAATCAAATATTCTAGGTATAGGTTCCATTAATTGTGTTTTAACAAGACAATTAGGTTAATTGGTTTCACAATGAAGTTTGAGACCAGCTCTTTTATTAACACTGACATAGACCAAGGGAAGAGTACAAACGGAGGGCTGTAGTCAGAGGAACTAAGAAATGATGGTATGCAACATATTCATTACTGTTTCTTTTTCTAAATAAAGGAAGGAAAATTAGGTAGAAATAAGAAATGCTGAAGTACTGGGTCCAATAATTCAGTCAATCACTTGCAGTTAGAATGTATTCATGAAGGTAGAATACAATCTCTGTACTATCTCTCAAGCTTGGAACGATGTATGATACATAATGAGTACTTGAAAATATTTGTTAAATAAATAAGGGCAAATTTCATTGCAAATAATATGAGCTATTTATGTATTTTTTTAAGAGTCCAGGTTTGTTGCTGCACGCCATAGGGAAGACCAGAGTGAATACTCTCTGTGGGAGGCAGATCCGGGAAGAGGGAATCCAGAAGGAGCTGAGCCACCAGAACAATTTTCTTCTCTGAAGTTCACCAATCAAACAAATCACTTCTTCACCCTGGGAAGAAGTTAGTCAAGGTATGGAAAACACAAAGGTTTTTATTCTAGTAAAATTCCTAATACAATAATATTCAAATCCCAAAATAAATGTTTCTTTTGTTTGATTTTAAAAATCTTAAGAGCTGTATTGAGGTTTAATTGACATACTGTAACAGCAGTTACATAAAATGTACAATTTGATAAGCTTTGACATATTTATATACCTGTAAAACCATCTCCATAATCAAAATACTGAACACATCACACCCCAGAATTTTCTTTTGACCTTTCATAATGACTTGTTTTAATCCATTTCTGTTTTTTCTTATCCCAGACAACAATTGATCTGTTTTCTGTCACTATAGATTAGTCAGCATTTGCCAGAATTTTATGTAAATGAAATTACAGGGTATGTGCTTTTTGTTTGGCTACCTTCCCTCACCATAATAATTTTGAAATTCATCCACTTTGTTATGTGCCCAATAATCAATCCCCTTTTACAAAGAAGCAGTATTTCATTGTATGTTTATATCAGAATTTATTTGTCCAAATGGGCATTTGGATTATTTCTAGTTTCTGGCAATTATAAGTACAGTTGCTTAAACATTCATGTATAAGTCTTGGTGTGGACAGTTGCCTTATTTCTCCTGGGTAAATGCCCTGAAGTAGAATGGCTGGATCATATCTTAAGTGTATGTTTCACTTTTTCAGAAACTGCCAAAACATTTTAAAGCCATTGTACCATTGTTCATTTCACAGTTTGAGAGTTTCATCCTAATAGGTACATACTGATATCTTATTGTAGTTTCAATTTGCATTTCTCTAATTATTAATGATAGTGGGGTTATTGTCATATGGATTTTGTGATTGTCTACTTTGGTATGCGCTTAAATATTTTGCCCATTTTTAATTTGCTTGTGTTATTGTGCTTTGAGAGTTTTTTATGCATTTTAGATAAAAATCCTTCATCAGATATGTAAGTTACAAATGTTTTTCCCAGTCTGTATCTTGTTTTTCATTCTTGCAGTGGTGTGTTTTTGAAGAGCAGAAGTTTTTAGTTTTGATGACATTCAGTTTGTAAATTGGGCTGATTTTGCCTGCTTGGTTTTTCTTCTCATTATGGTTCATATTTTATTGCTTTTTTTCACGGCTAGTAATTTTTTACTGGATGCCAGACTTTGTAGATTTTATTTTCTTAGGTGCTGGATATGTTTGTATTTCTATAAATATATTTGGGCTTTGTTATATGATGCAGTTAAGTTACTTGGAAACATTTTGTTCATTTGGGGACTTGCTTTTACGTTTTGTTAAGTGAGGCCGGGACAAAGTTTTCTGTGGGGCTGATTTTAAACCAGTTCTGAGTCCTTCACTTGATATATCTGAATTATGAGTTTTTTCACACTGGCTAAGGGATTTGTTCCCTTAAGACTTTCAGGTGGTTCTTTCTTAGATATTAGGTAGCTTCCTCATATGCATGTGATGATCTTCTGTAGATTTCTAGAGTACTTTATCTTCATAACTCTATCCTTTTTGGTACTCCACCTAATGAATTTTGGCCACCTTGGTCTCTTCAGACTTCCAGATCCATCTGCTCATCTGAGGGAAATTACTGGGCTCTGCCTGGGGTTCTTCTTCCTTGTCCTATGATCAGGATATGCTCTCCAGGCAGCAAACTGAGAAAATCTTGGGGACTATTTTTTTTTCCTATTTATCTGGGAATCACTGATGTGTCTTGAAAACCATTGCTTAAGATATATTTTTCTTTCTTTGGTTGTTTTGGGCAAAAGGGTAAATCTGGCCAGTATTAATTCTTTTCTTCCCAAAGCAGGTTTATCCAATTTCTGATATTAAGACCGAGGAATTATAGAGGCACATACATGTTATATATGATTTCATGGTATTAGTTACATATGGTCTTGTCTATTTGTTTATAACCACTTTAAACAAAGATATATGGGGTTAGTAGTTCTTTTATATAAAATAAGTGAATTAAATGGTTGTTGTAGCATACTGAATTATTAGTGGTCTTGAACTTGGTCTCAATACATTAACGTCTCTGGTAAAATATGTGTACTGGGAAAAAATGCACTTAAATTATAACATTTTCAACACAGTACCTTTTCAGGAATATAATTATTTATAAATATGAGGTCTGGAAGTAATGCTCCCATATGGATCACAAGTATTAGGGAATCCTGGGGAAAACCAACCTGCTTATTCTAAGGTGTAAGATATAGAAAATTCAGTATTCCTTTTTCCAATTTTCCATGTTGTAGATGAACATAAAAATCCTCTAGCTTAACTATTCCCAGTGTCAGAGCACACAGTGGGTATACTACAAATGAGTGATGGATATGTCTGAGATTTTGCTTCCTGTGGCCCTTCACATGGTCTGATTGGGCCTTAGGAGGCTAGAATTGATAGAATTCCCTCTAGCCGTAATCATTCTCAGCTTACTGCAGTGTGCCCTACAAATATTATATTTTCCTATATGTGCTATGATGTGGAAAAGGTCACGATATGCTGCTCTGGTAGTTATATGTTTCCCTACTGTTTATCTTCTATCATGCCACTCTCAGTTTATAAATTTCTCTTGCTTTTCTTATTTCAAGGGATGGCTGATTTGAGGAGAAGAGGAATTTAGCCAATGGAAAGGAGAAGAATGGGCTTTCTGTAACTGTCTTTATTTCTGAATTCTATTGCCTTAGGGAGATTTTATTGTTAAAATGAAAATTCATGTGTGTCTTGACTAATACATAATATCTATAGTTGTAGAGTTAAATATATTAACAATGTAAATCAATACAGCATATGCTTTCTTAAAAAGTGATTCTCATCTTTTAAATAAATTTCCTAAGGGGAATTGATTTATTTTATAACAGATTTGATGCTTTTGCAAATACATAAGTAGATGATTATAACATGCTTTAATTTACCTGTCTGGTGTTCTAGCTTTCCCTTTAGAAATATATAAATAAAATGTACTTAGTATTTTCAGGAAAGAAGAAATCTTAAGTCGTGATATTTAGGAAGTGAAAAGTTTTTATTACCTAGCTCATGTACATTTTTCGAATTTAAGAGTCTTGTGGACTAGACATTCTATGCTACTTTTCGCAAGTTCCAGCTATACTTTGTTTATATATGTGGCCTGAAGCATTTTAAGGGGCCACTTTAAAGAAATTTTTGGATTAGAATTTGAATTTCATAGGAGTGACAGGTTTGCTTAAAGTTCTTGCATCATTTTTTCTACTAAGGGAGAGAAAGCTAAGAGAACAAACGGGCACAGACATTGAGATAGTTAAAATTCCTACCCTTATCGTCTTGTAATTATGGTATAATTGGAGAGCATAATACTTGAAGATTTCCTGTATTCCGTAATATATAATTTACCATTTCTCTTTTCATGTGAACTTTGACACCAGATGAACAGCAGAAATAGAAAAGTATGAGTAAATAGTATTTATTTTTATTTAGTAGAGAGAAAAGTCAGACAAGTGGCCAATTCCACACATTTTAAATTAAAATGAATATATATAAAACAGTGCAGACATACCTTTTGCTTTTATAACTATTTTTACAACTTAATTGAAGTATAATTGATATATGACAAACTGCCCATATTTAAAGTATGCAATTCGATATGTTTGACCTAGTTATATGCTGATGAAGCCATCACTATAATCAAGATAATGAACATATCTATTATGGCAAAGTCTCATTGTCCTTCTTTGTAATCACATCATCCCATTCAGCTTACCCAAGATAATCACTGAACAGCTTTTTGCCATTATAGATTACTTTATATTTTCCATAAATTTATATAAATTGAATCCTACAGTATGTACCATCTTTTGTCTGCCTTTTTCACTCAGCATTATTATTTTGAGAGTCCTCTATGTTGCTACATGCATCCTTAGTTCATTACATTTATAGCTGAATAGTATTCCCTTTTATGAATATGCCATAATCCATTTATTGAGTCAGCTGTTTTTGGACATTTGGGTTATTTCCAGTTTTGAGCAACAGCATGTAAGGACCATATGAACATTCATATAAAATCCTTTGTATGAAGATATTCTTTGATTTATGTTTAGGTATATACATCTACGAGTAAAATATATGGGACATAAGCCAGGTATATGTTTAACTTTAAAATAAAAAAGCTAATTTTTTTTCCCAAAGTGATTGCAGCATTTTACATTTCCAAGAAGCAGTGTTTGAAAGCTTCAGTTGCTCTACATTCTCACCAACACTTGGTCTGCTGTCTTGATAATTGTGGCCATTCTGAAAGGTGTGTAGTGATACCTTATTGTGGTTTTAATTTCTATGTAACTAATGACTAATGATATTAAAAACCTTTTTATGTGGTTACTGTATCTACTTTGGTGAAGTGTCTATTCAAATATTTTGCCTATTTTTAATAGGTTTGTTTGTGCTTATATTTTGAGTTTTAAAAAAATGTATTCTTAATACAAGTACTTTTTCAGACAGTTATTTGTGACTGTATTTTCCCAGGTTGGCCTTTATTTTCATTTTCTTAATAATGTTTTTCAAAGAGAAGATATTCTTAATTTTGATGAAGTGCTATCATTTTAAAAAGTGAATCATGCTTTTTGCTGTCATAACCAAGAAATTTTTACCTAATCCAAAGTCTTAAAGGTTTTCACCTATGCTTTCTTCAAGAAATTTTACAGTTTTACTTTTTACATTTAGGTCTATGATCATTTTGGGTTAATTATTTTATACCATGGGACATAACATTTGGTTTTAGTATGGATATTGAATTGTTCCAGTAACATTTTTTGAAATGATTTTTTATATTAAATTGTTTTTGTGTGTTTTAGAAATCAGTTGACTATAGATTTGTCAGTTTATTTTAGACTCCATTTTCTATTTTTATTAGCTGTCTTGATGCCAGTACCATACTTGATTGTTGTTTTAAAATAATTCTTATAATCAGGTAGTATAAATCCACCAACTTTTTTATCAATATTGTCTTCAAATGTTTAGATCCTTTCATTTTTGTATAGAATTTAGAGTCAGCTTATCAATTTCTACTAAAAAGCTGGGAGTTTGATTGGGATTGCATTAACTGTATAGATCAATTTTGGAAGAATTGACATCTTAACACTATTCAGTTGTCTGAACTAGGAGCACAGTGTATCTATTTGTCTACGTTCTCTTCAATTTCTCTCAGCGACGTTTTGTAGTTTGCAATGCATAGGTCTTCCTCTTCTTTTGCCAAATTTGTCTTGAGGTCAAAAGGTGACCATACACAATTAGCAACACTAAGTTACCCTCTTTATAAAATAAACTAATTGGAATGGAATTTAATGTCACACTGCATGTGCACATGCACATAATTGACAAATGAAACTTTCTTAATTTTTCTCTTGGCGCTAATTTAGTCTTCTTTTTAAATTGTGAAAATCCTTGTTATGCCCTGCATAAGCTTTGGGAAAAGAAACCTTTTAAAATCCTTTCCAGGCATCTTTTAGCAGGCTTTGATTTTGTGCCCAGAATTTGTTCCTTCTGGTGCGTTCCTGCTCTCGCTGACTTCAAGAATGAAGCCGCGCACCCTCGTGGTGAGTGTTACAGTTCTTAAAGATGGTGTGTCTATAGTTTGTTCCTTCCGATATTCAGATATGTCCAGAGTTTCTTCGTTCTGGTGGGTTCGTGGTCTCGCTTGACTTCAGGAGTGAAGCCCAGACCTTCACAGTGCGTGTTACAGCTCTTAAAGGTGGCGCGTCCGGAGTTGTTTCTTCCTTCTGATGGACTCGTGGTCTTGCTGACTTCAAGAGTGAAGCTGCAGACCTTCGCGGTCAGTGTTACAGCTCTTAAAGGTGCCGCGTCCACAGTTGTTCGTTCCTCCTGGTGGGTTCACGGTGTCTCTGACTTCAGGAGTGAAGCCAGAGACCTTCGCAGTGAGTGTTACAGCTCTTAAAGATGGCGCGTCGGGAGTTGTTCGTGCCTGCGGGCGGGTTTGTGGTCTCTCTGACTTCAGGAGTGAAGCTGCAGACTTTGCGTTAAGTGTTACAACTCATAAAGGTAGTGTGAACCCAAAGAGTGAGTAGCAGCAAGATTTATTGCAAAGAGCAAAAGAACAAAGCTGCCACAGCATGGAAGGGGACCCAAGTGGGTTGCTGCTGCTGGTTGGGGTGGCCAGCTTTTATTCCCTTATTTGGCCTCACCCACATCCTGCTGATTGGTCCATTTTACAGAGTGTTGATTGGTCCGTTTTTACAGAGTGCTGATTGGTGTTTTTACAAACCTTTAGCTGGACACAGAACACTGATTGGTGCATTTTTACAGAGTGCTGATTGGTACGTTTACAAACCTTTAGCTAGACACAGAGCGCTGATTGGTGCATTTACAATCCTTTAGCTAGACAGAAAAGTTCCCCAAGTCCCTACCCCACCCAGAAGCCCAGCCTGCTTCACCTCTCAATTTCACTAAAGGAGGAGCCATAGTTTCCCATTTCTTAATTTCTTTTTTTTTTGTCAGTATCCAAAATCATTTTAATAAAGTGTAGGATCCAGGGTTTGTTTTCATATCTTCGGCTGGCCCGTAGGCCTCCACTGCACTCAAACTTTCGGACCTTGGAGCAAACGTAGGGTTTGGTGTGGCTGTGCCGGGTTCCCGGGGCCTTGCTGAAATGCCAGTACACCTCTGGACCCTTGTGAAGATCGGAGAGCATAACGGTGCTGCAGCCCTTGCAGGAGTCCAGGGCCAGCTGGTCAAAAGTGAGGATCTTGCCCCGACCCTGAGGATGCTGCTGCGGTCTGGCCAGCTGGTCACGCGCAGCACACACACCTTCAGTTTGGGCACCTCCTGAACCCGCACATCATCCATTGTGGTCCCCACAACCACAGCCGTTTTGTTTTCCCGGCCGAGAAGCTTCATCATCCGGATCATCTGGCAAAGGGACAGAGGTGGCTGTTTGGTGCGACTCATAAACAACCTCTTCAGCACAACCTGGTTGAATGTGGAGTTGGTTAATCTGGCCAGAAACCTGTACAGCTTGACCAACAGCCTCAGGTAGATATCCTGGCTCTTGGGCTCCTTGCGCTGAACCTTTGGTCCTTGTTGTGGTGGATGTGGACTCCCATGATGGCGCCTACGCTGGGGCAGGTCCATAAAGCTTAGTTTTCCATTTCTAACAACTTAAGGGAAAAACCTCTCTTTTTAAAAACCTTTCCTAGTTCCACAGCTTTTTTGAGTCTTCCCCCCGCCATAACTTACAATAAATATATTTTTAAAAAATCACAGTTGATAAAATACTAGCTTTCATTAAAGTAGCATAACAACTGAGAGTTTTTCTCCCCCAACATTTTTTGAATGCAACTTGTAAGTGTCAATAGTCCTTTATTTTGTAAGAACTTATTTTGTAAGTTTTATGACATTCCATGTTTTGGTAATCCACAGTTGCTTTATATATAATTGAACAAATTTACATTTTTTAAAAAAATTATAAAACCCTGCATCTTCTGTAGAATAGTTTATTGCCTATGTTTTGAAAGAGAGTTCGCTATCTAAATGGAATTTGCGTCACTCCATATGATATAACTTTACAAAATCCATTTAAATAGAACAGATTTAAAATAGATTTCTAAAGTGATTTCTACCATAAAAGTTGGGGCAGGGCAAAAGACACATCCTGCCTTGAAGATTTGTGACAAATTTTTCTCACAGAGTGAATTAACTTTAGTTTTTACTTTCTATATAGATCAAGAATTTATAATTTTTACATTGTCTTAAAACTAATACAAATTATTTATGGTTGCCAGTTATATGTCATCCTCTGCCATATGTGATGCCCTACTATGTATGGGATTGTCAGCATTTTTCACTCTTGGATATATAAATTGTAACATGCAAACTTCATTTTGACATTTTGGAGTATATTATGACTTAATGTGAGGCCCTTCTTCCATTTTGCCATGGCCAGAAACCATACTGATTCTTCATAAGGTACAGAATATAAAAGTAATATGATATATTATTTTTCTTTAATGAGCATAAAATTAAGGTAAAGTTTTAAAAATCCACACGTGGAACAAATAAAGGGAATGTGTAGAAACAAGTACTTATTTGGTAAAGGTGTAGATACGGTATTGTGTAGTAGAAAAGTCACAGGCTGTGATTAAAGAAAAGTGCATTTGATTTATATCCTTCTCAGTGACTGGCTGAATCATCTTCAGAAAGTTATGTGACCACTTCAAGCTTCAGATTCTACATCTGTACATTGGCTACAATAATGCCTACCTCATATAATTGACGTTAAAATTAATTATCAAAACTATGTAGCAGTGAGAACTCATGTAATAGCACCTATACCTGCTCTGTATTCTAGTTTATTCTATAGTAGAATTCTAAGTGTTATGTGGTATAAATAATACATCCTTCTCTAGCTAGTGATTTACTTAGCAGCAGTACTGATAATGTAATTATGTATTATGTATTCACATTACAGAATATGACATTATAGAAATGTGTAGTAGTTAAATATTGGGATAAAGAATATAGATACTTTGGAGGTTTTCAAGGGGTGGAATAGGTAGAAAAAAGCCGTGATGAATTTAGATGTTTTAGAAGAGTCAAGTAAATATGCGGTTATATTCACAAAAAATTACAGCACCTTTCCCCATTCAGTTATGATTTCATTTAAAATAAATTTGAATATTTCATTAATCATTAATTACTCTGGAGTTAAAATTTGATGTCCAAACTTAAAAACTGAAGAATAACGAGAAATAGTAAAAGCTGAATATAACAGAATGTATATTGACTCATTTAAAACTCGCTTAGCTTATTAAGATTTGAGGATTCTACAATACAAAATTAAAATTTTCACCTATAGTTGTAGGAAAAGATTGAATTCTTTAAGATTTTAAAATTCTGGAATCTTGTTGTCTAGTAGTGTGAAAGATAGATTAAAATAGGCAAGAAGAAACATTAATACCATTCCAAGTGCGAAGAGAGTGGTTTCTTCTGCCAGTAGGCTCAAAAAGTCCCTGGAGAGAAAGAATTTCTGAGTGAAAATCTGTTGCTCCACCTGCTTTTCCTCACCTCCCTTGCCCCCATGTAATGCCTTCAGAAAAGCAGAGGATAATTGTTACTTTCGGAAAAACCCAGATATTAGAAGACAGTTGCCCAGAAAAGGACGTATTAGAAAGCGTAAGCATTCCTGAGAACATTTGGCAGACGATCACAATATAGTGTCATCTGAATGAAATATATGGTGGTATAATTCAAATAACTCTTTATTCTAGAATTAGTGCAATAGCCTTCTGTTTTTATATGTTGAATATAATAACAAAACCAAAGGCCACTGGACTCCAGTTGTCTTTCATTCATGTCAGTATTATAGAAAGATATTCTCTGATAAATTGGCACATTTGGTCATAGTTCTCTTTTCAGGTACAACTTTAATACAGTTTCTTTATGGCTATCCCTGTTTTTGCTTATAATTTAGCCATATTTCCAATTTTTACACTTGATCTTAGCCAAAAGGCTGAAAGGCGATACGTTTCTGGTTTTTAAATGCTCTTATAGTTTCTTTTATCTTAAAACATTTTATTTCTTTAGCAATAGGCTGTTTATAGAAACATACATTAAACAGACCAAATCCATTCCATTATATGAACAATATAAGATAAGTATTCCTATTTAATACAAAAAAAATAATACCATTGCCTTCTGGGAGTTCATTCTATCAGGTTGTATAGAGATTCACTTTAACTGTCATATGATACACTGTCTGGTAAATGCTGTAAAATACTAGTGAAGTAAATTTGAGTATATTGATTTACTTTTAAACTTGTTTCATTCCACTGCATACAGAAAAACTCATAATTTGCTTGGAGTCGTATTCAAAAATGAGTTCTATTCACATCATAATTTTATTTTGTGACAGAACAGTGAATCTTGATTAGATAAAAGTTAAAAAATGGCTTAAAATATTCATTTAGTCAACATCAAAAAATATGGTAAAGATCTAAACTAAATATAGAAAATGTTTAAATTATTATATTGAACATAACTTTTTGTATATTGCTACAGAAGCTTTTTTTTTTTAGTTGACATATTCCTATTCTAAAAATACCTTTTAAAACCTTGGATAAATGAATTATCTCCATATATCAACTATTCTAATATTTTTACCTACTTAAATCAGGGTTACATGGACTGCAAATTGAAAGCTATAGAAAGACTGATGAAACCTTCTGAATTTACCATTTGGTAACTATCACATTAAAAGTTGTTTCAGGTAATAATCATCAATGGATGTTAAAAATAGTGTACAAAAGTTTAATTAGAGGCAGAATATTTATAGCATCTTAACATTTTGACATAAGATATTTATTAAATAGAAAGGGAAAAAGATTAACTTTACAGTGAAAAAGAAATCTGGCAAATATTATCTAAACTAAGTGATCAAAGTTAACATCACCAATAAAGGAACAGAGCAGACGTTTGCCTATGAATATGATGCACTTGAAAAAAACATATCATTTCTATAGAATCTGTTAGAAAAACTTGTAACATGAATCTGTTTATGAGAAAACATCAAGCAAACCCAGTTTAAGGAACAGTCAATAAAATAAATGAAACCCTTCAAAAATATCAACTTCATGAAAAACAAGAAAACTAAGGTACTGTTTGAGATAAAAAGAGATGAAACAGGCCGGGTGCGGTGGCTCATGCCTGTAATCCCAGCACTTTGGGAGGCCAAGGCGGGCAGATCACCTGAGGTCGGGAATTCGAGACCCACCGTGACCAACACGGAGAGACCCCGTCTCTACTAAAAATACAAAATTAGCCGGGTATGGTGGTGCATGCCTGTAATCCCAGCTAATTGGGAGGCTGAGGCAGAAGAATCGTTTGAATCCAGGAGGTGGAGGTTGCAGTGGGCCGAGATTGCACCATTGCACTCCAGCCTGAGCAATAAGAGCAAAACTCTGTCTCAAAAAAAAAAAAAAAAAAAAAGAGTTGAAAGAAATATGAAAACTGACAACAATGAGGTATTTTTGTGGGGTGCCTTTTTGTTGGTATTTTACTGTTTTTCTCATGATTAAACTGGGGTTGTAGGTTTTACAGAGAAATACTGTAGGCATAAAGTGTTATTTTTATAATCTTGAGTATGTACTTTCACTGTATGATTGCTGATAATGACCTTGATCACCTGGCTCAGGTATCATTTGCCATGTTTTTCCACTGCAATTTTCCAGAGTAATATTACTCTATCCATCCCCCCCTTTTATACTGTATTCTCTGAAGGAGTTACTACATGCAGCCTAGATTTAAGAAGTGAGGAGTTAGCTCTCACCATTTGAGGACACAGAGTCTTCATTAGCTATTTGGAATTCTTCTGTATAGGAGATTTGCCTATTCTCACTCCCATTCATTTATTTATTAATTTTTTTTAAGTATGTACATAGATATTTATTTTATACTTTGGGTTATAACCCAATACTATTTTGTTCTTTTTTCTTTTCCTTTGCTTGACTTGTTTTAGCTTGGGCCCTTGGCAAATCTTTCAATTGACTCCTGTGTCCTTTTGACATAACTCCATAATTGTGTGTATTTGTGTGTGTTGTGTGAGTGTGTTAATACTTTTTTGGCACAATAAAATTCTCCCAGTTCATCTGTTATATTTTCTGCCGAAGTTTCAGAATCAGACATTGCTCCAAGGAGCCTTGGCTTATTTTACTGGAGAACAGTATTAGGACTCTAGATCTGAGCACTATTCTGCTTATTACTACTGGGTGTCATTGTTTTTAGGCCCTCTCAGCTGACAGAGCTGGATAATATATGCATTAATAACCCATGAATATAGACATATCTATAAATTTTGTTTTATGTAACCACTTGTATCTTTATGAAATTAAACATGAGTTCACACTGATGTCTTCAACTGTAATCCATCACCACATAAGTCACTTCAGCCTTCTTATTTGGCTTATCTGTAAATTTTCACTCCAACAATATGAAATTTGGCTCCAACAATTTGCCACTTATTTATTTATTTGCTCATTTCCAATATTTATAGATAGCAGTATCAGAAATGTTAGTCCCAAAAGCAATCTATCTTCAAAACGCAGTTCCCATCACAATACCACCATTATTCATGGAACACAATGTGGAGATTCCTTAAAGAACTAAAAGTGGAATTACCATTTGATCCAGCAATCCCACTGCTGGGTATTTCCCAGAGGAAAAGAAGTCATTATATGAAAAAGATGCTTGCACATGCGTGTTTGTAGCAGCACAATTCACAATTGCAAAAACAAGGAACCAACTCAAATGCCCATCAATCAATGATAAAGAAACTGTGGTATATATGTGTATATATATGTGTGTGTATATATATGTGTATATATATGTATTATATATGTGTGTATATATGTGTATATATATACATTTATAATACAGTACGATTGACTTGCCACCACCTGCATTCCTTTCTGAGATCACTTCAACTTCTAAATGACTTTTTATATTTGCTTACATGAAGGCTTTTGTGCTATAAAGTTTTGCTGCCAACATTGGTTACCATATGGTTATATGTCAAAGTGTGGAGAAATGGCACATTTTATGTTGCAGTCTTATGTGTCTGCCTTTATCTTTCCTTTTCTCTTTTCTTCCTTTTGTTTTTTCATTTTATCTTCTTACTCTTCTTATTTCTCCTCCCCTATCTCTTCTTACTCTCCCTCTTCCTCTTCTCTTCTGGCTGCTCTATTTCTTCTACCTCCTTTCTCTTCTTTTATCTCCTTGATTTTCTCTATTTCTTCTTCTCCTTTTCTTAATTGCTCTCCTTTTTATTTATTGGTCTCCTGCCTGCAAAACCTTGCAATTGGATAAAGTGGTCTTTAACTTACTACCGTAATTTCTAAATCACTTTTTATTTAGTTTAAGAACAATCATAAAACCAGTTGCTGTCATTGGAGAGTAGAAAAAATACTTTATAGGAGTGAATGGCTGGAGATAGTAAACATTTTTTTTTCTGCATAAGGTAAATACTAAGTGAAGTAACTCAGGAATGGAAAGCCAAATATTGTATGTTTTAGAAATGAATAGATTCAGGTGAGAAGGAACTAAAATAGTGCACATTTTAATTAATAGAGTAGAAATAAGAATGAAATGATTATATATAGCAGATAATCATCCTTCCATATTATAATTAGCAGCTATTCTACTTGAGCTAATGAACTCCCTGGGTTTCTTGTTTCCACACTTCATGTTCTGCAGAGGAGCAGGCCCCTCTCCAGCCCAATAGAGTGAATTTTTTTCAGCATGCACTCCTACACTAAACAAAATTCACACTAAACAAAATCCACCCTGAGAAAGCATGTGATGCAGTTGTAAACAACTATTGTGAGGGCAGTAAATCTACCAGAAGGCTCTGGGAAGGGTTTGAGGTTTATAAAGTTTTATAAAGAGTCTTTTAAGCAATCCTTTTTTTTGCAAGTTGTCTTTGACATGTCAGCATGTGGTACATGAGATTTTAGCAACTGTCTAGGGTTAGGAGAGAAGCTAAACTGAAGACAACATGTTAACAGTGACAGACCGGATGAAATGGAAGGTACTTTGGGATTTGAAT
The DNA here is from genome assembly GCF_000001405.40 of Homo sapiens. NCBI lineage: Eukaryota > Metazoa > Chordata > Mammalia > Primates > Hominidae > Homo > Homo sapiens. Next base: position 121,609,752 of record NC_000005.10, on the reverse strand, counting down.
GAAAATATTAAACAACCGTATTAACCTCAAATACTACCCTAGTCTAGAGTTCTGCTTATGTGGGATTATGAATTATTTTGTTGGCTAAGCCTTTTGGAGTTGTGTTCACTGTTACTTGTAACTACAAACTTTGAGTCTTTTTGACATGCTGCTAAAAAAATTTCTAAGATATTGAGATTATTTCCAGATCACAGAAGTTATAGTTTTAAGATTTCTTAAGAAACATTTATTTTCCAGAGAATAGAAAATATGACACCTCACACATACCATATAATTTCCTTATTTAAAGTGTACAGTTTAGTTTTGTTTAATATATTTGCAGGATGAGCAACTATCACCAAAATTAATTTTCAAATAGTTTTATTACTCTCTTCCTCCAAAAACCCCATACCCATTAGCAGTCATTCCCCATTCCTTCTCTGCTGCCACCTTTCCAACTCAGTCCCAGGCAACTTCTTCTGATTTTTCTGACTATAGATTTGCCTGTTCTAGACATTTCACATAAATGGGATCACATGATATGCAGCCTTTTGTGACTGAGTTCTTTTACTTAGTGTAAATGTTTCCAAGGTTTACCTGTGTTGTTCTATGTACAAATTCTTGATCCTTATTTCTGAATAATATTTTGTTATATGAGTATATGACACTTTGTTTATTCATTCCTGTCAGCTGATGGAATTATGGACTGTCTTTACTTTTTGAGTATATGAGTAATGCTGCTATGATAATTCATGTGCAAGTTTTTTGTGGGCGTGTTTTTATTTATCTTGGGTACACCTAGGAGTGGAATTGTTGGGTCATATGGCGACTCTATTATTAAGACTTGAAAACCTGCCAAACTATTTTCCAATATGACTGCAGCACTTTGCATTTCTACCAATAATGGATGAGGGACCCTGTTTCTCCACATTATCATCAATCCTTGCCGTTGTCTTAAATGTAGACATCCTGGTGAGTGTGAAATTGTATGTTGCCCCTAATGATGTTGAGCATCTTTTCTTTGTCTTATTGGCCATTTGTGTGTCTTCTTTGGAGAAATACCTATTCAAATCCTGTGACTATTTTTAATTTGGGTGAGCTACCTATGGGCTGTCTTTTCATTTCTTGATAGTGTCCTTTGAAGCACAAAAGTTTTAATTTGATGAAGTCTTATGCTTTTTTTTTTTTTTAAATTAGACTTTAAGTTCTGGGATACAAGGGCAGAATGTGCAGATTTGTTACATAGGTATACACGAGCCATGGTCGTTTGCTGCACCTATCAACCCATCATCTATTTCTTCTAATGTTATCCCTCCCTAAGCCCCCCACCCCCCGACAGGCCCCGGTGTGTGATGTTTCCCTCTCTGTGTCCATGTGTTCTCATTGTTCAGCTCCCACTTATGAGTGAGAACATGCTGTGTTTTGTTTTCTATTCCTGTGTTAGTTTGCTGAGAATGATGGTTTCCAGCTTCATCCATGTCCCTGCAAAGAACATGAACTCATCCTTTTTCATGGCTGCGTAGAATTCCATGGTGTATATGTGCCACATTTTCTTTATCCAGTCTATCATTGATGGGCATTTGGCTTGGTTCCAAGTCTTTGCTATTGCGAATAGTGCTGCAATAAACATACGTGTGCATGTGTCTTTATAGTAGAATGATTTATAATCCTTTGGGTATATCCCCAGTAATGGGATTGCTGGGTCAAATGGTATTTCTGGTTCTAGATCCTTGAGGAATTGCCAAACTGTCTTCCACAATGGTTGAACTAATTTACACTGCCACCAAGAGTGTAAAAGTGTTCCTATTTCTCCACATCTTCACCACCATCTGTTGTTTCCTGACTTTTTAATGATCACCATTCTAACTGACATGAGATGGTATCTCATTGTGGTTTTAATTTGCATTTCTCTAATGACCAGTGATGATGAGCTTTTTTTCATATGTTTGTTGGCTGCATAAATGTATTCTTTTGAGAAGTGTCTGTTCATATCCTTTGCCCACTTTTTGATGTGATTGTTTGTTCAAGTTCCTTGTAGATTCTGGATATTAACCGTTTGTCGATGGATAGATTGCAAAAATTTTCTTCCATTCTGTAGGTTGCCTGTTTACTCTGATGATAGCTTTTTTTGCTGGGCAGACGTTTTTTTGTGCTTGTTTGTTTGTTTTCTGAGACAGAATCTCACTCTGTTGCCAGAATGGAGTGCAGTTGTGCAATCTTGGCTCACTGCAACCTCCACCTGTTGGGTTCAAGTGATTCTCCTGCATAGGGCTACTGAGTGGCTGAGACTAGAGGTGTGCACAACCACACCCAGCTAATTTTTGTATTTTTACTAGAGATGGGATTTCACCATGTTGGCCAGGATGGTCTCGATTTCTTGACCTAATGATCCGCCTGCCTCGGCCTCCCAAAGTGCTAGGATTACAGGCATGAGCCACCGTGTCTGGCCAAAAGCCCTTTAGTTTAATTAGATCCCATTTACCAACTTTGGCTCTTTTTGCCTTTGCTTTTGGTGTTTTAATCCTGAACTCTGTGCCCATTCCTATGTCCTGAATGGTATTGCCTAGGTTTTCTTCTAGTGTTTTTATGGCTTTAGGTCTTACGTTTAAGTCTTTAATCCATCTCGAGTTAATTTTTGTGTAAGGTGTAAGGAAGGAGTCCAGTTTCAGTTTTCTGCATATGGCTAGCCAGTTTTCCCAACACTATTTATTAAATAGGGAGTCCTTTCCCTATTGCTTGTTTTTGTCAGGTTTGTCAAATATCAGATGGTTGTAGATGTGTGACATCATTGCTGAGGCCTCTGGTCTGTTCCATTGGACTATATATCTGTTTTGGTACTACTACCATGCTGATTTGGTTACTGTAGCCTTGCAGTATAGTTTGAAGTCAGGTAATGTGATGCCTCCAGCTTTGTTCTTTTTGCATAGGGCTGTATGGGATTTTTTTTTTTTTTGGTTCCATATGAACTTTAAAGTAGTTTTTTCTAATTCTGTGAAGGAAGTCATTGGTAGCTTGATGGGGATAGCATTAAATCTATAAATTACTTTGGGCAGTATGGCCATTTTCACGATATTGATTCTTCCTATCCATGAGCATGAAATGTTTTTCCACTAGTTTGTGTCCTCTCTTATTTCCTTGAGCAGTGGTTTGTAGTTCTTGAAAAGGTCCATCACATCCTTTGTAAGTTCTATTGCTAGGTATTTTATTCTCTTTGAAGCAATAATGAATGTGAGTTCACTCATGATTTGGCTCTCTGTTTATCCGTTATTGGTATGTAGGAATGCTTGTGATTTTTGCACATTGATTTTGTATCCTGAGACTTTGCTGAAGTTGCTTATCAGCTTAAGGAGATTTTGGGCTGAGACGATGGGGTTTTCTAAATATGCAATCAATGTCATCTGCACACAGAGACAGTTTGACATCCTCTCTTCCTATTTGAATACCGTTTATTTCTTTCTCTTGCCTGATTGCTGTGGCCAGAACTTCCAATACTGTGTTGAATAGGAGTGGTGAGATGGGGCATCCTTTTCTTGTGCTGGTTTTCAAAGGGAATGCTTCCAGTTCTTGCCCATTCAGTATGATATTGGCTGTGGGTTTGTCATAAATAGCTCTTATTATTTTGAGACACATTCCATCAATACTGAGTTTATTGAGAATTTTTAGCATGAAGGTGTGTTGAATTTTATCGAATAGCTTTTCTGCATCTATTGAGATAATCATGTAATTTTTGTCACTGGTTCTGTTTACGTGATGGATTACGTTTATTGACTTACGTATGTTGAATCAGCCTTGCATCCCAGGGATGAAGCCAACTTGATCGTGTTGGATAAGCTTTTTGATGTGCTGCTGGATTTGGTTTGTCAGAATTTAATTGCGGATTTTCACATTGATGTTCATCAGGGATATTGGCCTGAGGTGTTCTTTTTTTGTTGTGTCTCTTCCAGGCTTTGGTATCAGGATGATGCTGGCCTCAATATGTGAGTTAGGGAGGAGTCCCTCTTTTTCTATTGTTTGAAATAGTTTCATAAGGAATGGTGCCAGCTCCTCTTTGTACCTCTGGTGAATTTGGCTGAGAATCTGTCTGGTCCTGGGCTTTTTTTAGTCGGTAGGCTAACAATTACTGCCTCAATTTCAGAACTTGTTATTGGTCTATTCAGGGATTCAAGTTCTTCCTGGTTTAGAACTGGGAGGGTGTATGTTTACAGGAATTTATCCATTTCTTCTAGATTTTCTAGTTTATTTGAATAGCAGTGTTTATAGTATTCTCTGATGGTAGTTTGTATTTCTGTGGGATCAGTGGTGATATCCCCTTTTTCATTTCTTATTGTGTCTATTTGATTCTTCTCTCTTTTCTTTATTAGTCTGCCCAGCTGACTAGCTATTTTGTTAATATTTTCAAAAAACCAGCTCCTGGATTCATTGATTTTTTGAAGGGTTTTTTGTGTCTCTGTCTCCCTCAGTTCTGCTCTGGTCTTAGTTATTTCTTGTCTTCTGCTACCTTTTGAATTTGTTTGCTTTTGCTTCTCTAGTTTTTTTTAATTGTGATATTAGGATGTCGATTTTAGAACTTCTTCCTTTCTCCTTTGGGCATTTAGTGCTGTAAATTTCCCTCTAAACACTGCTTTAGCTGTGTCTGAGGGATTCTGGTACACTGTGTCTTTTTCTCATTGTTTTCAAAGAACTTATTTATTTCTGCCTTAATTTTGTTATTTACCCAGTAGTCATTCAGGAGCAGGTTGTTCATTTTCCATGTAGTTGTGCAGTTTTGAGTGAGTTTCTTAATCCTGAGTTCTAATTTGATTGCACTGTGGTCTGAGAGACTGTTATGATTTCCATTCTTTTACATTTGCTGAGGAGTGTTTTACTTCCAATTATGTGGTGAACTTTATAATAAGTGCAATGTGGTGCTGAGAAGAATGTATAATCTGTTAATTTGGGGTGGAGAGTTCTGTAGATGTCTATTAGGTCTGCTTGGTCCAGAGCTGAGTTCAAGTCCTGAATATCCTTGTTAATTTTCTGTCTCATTGATTTGTCTAATATTGACAGTGGGGTGTTAAAATCTCCCACTATTATTGTTTGGGAGTCCATGTCTCTTTGTAGGTCTCTAAGAACTTGCTTTATGAATCTGGGTGGTACTGTATGGGGTGCATATATATTTAGGATAGTTAGCTCTTCTTGTTGCATTGATTCCTTTACCATTATGTAATACCCTTGTTTGTCTCTTTTGATCTTTGTTGTTTTAAAGTGTGTTTTATCAGTGACTAGGACTGCAACCTCTGCTTTTTTTTTTTTTTCTTTTCATTTGCTTGGTAAATCTTCCTGAATCCCTTTGTTTTGAGCCTATGTGTGTCTTTGCATGTGAGATGGGTCTCCTGAATACAGCACACTGATGGGTCTTGACTCTATCCAATTTGCCAGTCTGCACCTTTTAATTTGGGCATTTAGCCCATTTACATTTAAGGTTAATATTATTACATGTGAATTTGATCCTGTCATTATGATGCTAGCTGGTTATTTTGCCTGTTAGTTGATGCAGTTTCTTCATAGCGTCGATGGTTTTTACAATTGGGTATGTTTAGCAGTGGCTGGTACCTGTTTTTCCTTTCCATATTTATTCCTTCCTTCAGGAGCTCTTGTAAGACAGGCCTGGTGGTGACAAAAATCTCTCAGGATTTGCTTGTCTGTAACAGATTTTATTTCTCCTTTGCTTATGACACTTAGTTTGGCTGGATATGAAATTCTGGGTTGAAAAAAATTTTTTTAAGAATGTTGAATATTGGTCCCCACTCTTCTGGCTTGTAGGGTTTCTTGCAGAGAGATCAGCTGTTAGTCTGATGGGCTTCCCTTTGTGGGTAACCCTACCTTTCTCTCTCTGTGGCTGCCCTTAACATTTTTTCCTTCTTTTTAACCTTGGTGAATCTGATGATTTTGTGTCTTGGGGTTGCTCTTATCGATGAGTATCTTTGTGGTGTTCCCTGTATTTCCTGAATTTGAATGTTTGCCTGTCTTGCTAGGTTGGGGAAGTTCTCCTGGAAAATATTCTGAAGAGTGTTTTCCAACTTGGTTCCATTCTCCCTGTCACTTTCAGGTACACCAATCAAACATAGGTTTGGTCTTTTCACATAGTCCCATATTTCTTGGAGGCTTTGTTCATTCATTTTCTTTCTTTTTCTCTAATCTTGTCTTCATGCTTTATTTCTTTAAGTTGATCTTCAATCTCTGATATCCTTTCTTCTGCTTGATTGATTTGGCTATTGATACTTGTGTATGCTTCATGAAGTTCTTGTGCTGTGTTTTTCAGCTCCATCAGGTCATTTATGTTCTTCTCCATACTGGTTATTCTAGTTAGCATTTCCTCTAACCTTTTTTTCAAGCTTCTTAGCTTCCTTGCATTGGGTTCAAACATGCTCCTTTAGCTCAGAGAAGTTTTTTATTACCCACCTTCTGAAGCATATTTCTGTCAGTTCATCAAACTCATTCTCTGTTCAGTTTTGTCCCTTGCTGGTGAAGAGTTGTGATCCTTTGGAGGAGAAGAGGCATTCTGGTTTTAGGAATTTTCAGCCTTTTTTTGCTGGTTTTTCCTCATCTTCATGGATTTGTCTACCTTTGGCCTTTGATGTTGGTGACCTTCAGATGGAGTTTCTGTGTGGATGTCCTTTTTGTTGATGTTTGTGCTGTTCCCTTCTGTTTGTTAGTTTTCCTTTTAACAGTCAGGCCCCTCTGCTGCACGTCTGTTGGAGTTTGCTGGAGGTCCACTCCAGACCCTGTTTGCCTGGGTATCACCAGTGGAGGCTGCAGAACAGCAAAGATTGCTGCCTGTTCCTTCCTCTGGAAGCTTCGTCCCAGAGGGGCACCTGCCAGATGTCTGCCGGAGCTCTCCTGTATGTCTGTTGACCCCTGCTGGGAGCTGTCTCCCAGTCAGGAGGCACGGGGGTCAGGGACCCACTTGAAGAGGCAGTCTGTCCCTTAGCAGAGCTCAAGCACTGCGCTGGGAGATCTGCTGCTCTCTTCAGAGCTGGCAGGCAGAAACGTTTAAATCTGCTTAAGGTGTGCCCACAGTTGCCCCTTCCCCCAGGTGCTCTGTTCCAGGGAGATGGGAGTTTGATCTATAAGCCCCTGAGTGGGGCTGCTGCCTTTTTTTCAGAGATGCCCTGCCCGGAGAGGACGAATTTGTTATTACCCACTTTCTGAAGCCTACTTCTGTTAATTCATCAAACTCATTTTCTGTCCAGTTTTGTTCCCTTGCTGGCAAGGAGTTGTGATCCTTTGGAGGAGAAGAGGCATTCTGGTTTTTGGAATTTTCAGAGCTGTGGTGTACTCCACCAAGTCCAAACTTTCTGGAAGCTTTGTTTACACTGTGAAGGGAAAACTGCCTACTCAAGCCTCAGTAATGGAGGATGCCCCTCCCCCCACCAAGCTCAAGAGTCTCAGGTCGACTTCAAACTGCTGTGCTGGCAGTGAGAATTTCAAGTAAGTGGATCTTAGCTTGCTGGGCTCCATGGGGTTGGAACCTGCTGAGTTAGACAACTTGGCCCCCTGGCTTTAGGCCCCTTTCCAGGGGAGTGAACAGTTCTGTCTCGCTGGCATTCCAGGCACCACTGGGATATGAAAAAAAACTCCTGCAGCTAGCTTGGTGTCTGCCCAAATGGCTGCCCAGTATTCTGCTCAAAACCCAGGGCCGTGGTGGTGTAGGCACCTGAGGGAATCTCCTGGTCTGCAGGTTGTGAAGACTGTGGGAAAAGCAAATTAGATATAAAAGTAATGTTTTTTAACTCAATAAAGGTCATATATGATAAACCCACAGTTAACTTCATACTCAGTGATGAAAAGTTGAAAGGTTTTTCTTTAAGATCTGAAATAAAACAAGGATGCCCACTCTTAAAACTTCTATTCAATATAGTACTGAAAGTCTTTGCCAGAGCAATTAGGTAAGAAAAAGGAAAGACATCCCAATAGTAAAAAAGGTTTAATTGTCTATGTTTGCTGATGACATGATCTCATATACAGAGAACCCTATGGACTCTTCCAAAAAACTGTTAGAGCTGATAAATTCAATACAAGTACAATATACAAAATCATTATATAAAAATCAGCAGTTTTTGTATGCACTAATAATGACTTATGTAGGAGAGAGAGCAAGGAAACAATACTATTTACAATAGATAAAAAACAATATTCTTAGGAATATATTTAACTGAGAAGGTAAAAATCTATACACTGAAAAATATAAAACATTGATGAAAAAATTGTCAAAGGCACGAATAAATGAAAAGATATCCCATGTTCATGGATTGGAAGAATTAGTATTGTTAAAATGTCCAAACTACTCAAAGTGATCTACAGATTTAATGTAATCCCTATCAAAATTCCAATGCCATTTTCACAGTAATAAATAAAAAATCCCAAAATTTGTCTAGAATCATGAAAGACCCCAAATAAGCAAATCAATCTTGAGAAAGAAGAAAGCTGGAGGCATTATACTTACTGATTTCAAAATATATTAAAAGCTGTGGTACTCAAAACAACATGGTACTGGCATACAAACAGACACATTAACAAATGGAACGGATAGAGAGCCCAAAAATGAACTCACAGATTTTCATTCAATCGATTTTTGGCAAAAGTGCTAAGAACACACAATGGGGAAAGGGGAATCTATTCAATAATTGGTGTTGGTATGATTGGATATCCACATGCACAAGAGTAAAACTGGATGTTTATCTCACACCATATTCAAAGGTCATACCATATTCAAAGGTCAACTTGCAATAAATTAAAGACTCAAATGTAAGTCTTAGAGTGTAAAACTAGTAGAAGAAAACAGGGGAAATGCTCCATGATGTTGGTCTGGACAATAATCTTTTTTTTTCCTGATATAGCAACAAAAGCATAGGCAATAAAAGCAAAAAATAGACAGATGGAACCATATCAAACTAGAAAGATTCTACACAGCCAAGGAAACAATAAAGAGAGTGATGAGACAACCTATGAAGTGAGAGAAAATGGGCAAAAAAATCATAAAATGGGCAAAAAATCAAAAAACCTATGAAATGAGAGAAAATGGGCAAAAAATCTGAATAGCCATTTCTCAGGAGAAAATATATAAATGGCGAACAGGTTTCTGAAAACATGCTAAAAATCACTAATAATCAGGAAAATGAAAATTAAAACTATAATGAAATATTATCTTTCACTTGCTAGAATGGCTATTATCTAAAGGACCAAAGATAACACCCGTTGAAGATGTGAAGAAAGGGAACCCTTATACACTATTAGAGATGATGTAAATTAGTACACTTGTTATGGAAAACAGCATGGAAATTTCTCAGAAAACTAAAAGTAGGACTACTATATGATTCAGCCCTACCTCTTCTGTTTGTATATCAAAAGGAAATGACATGAGTATGTTGAAGAAGTATACGGACTCTCATTTTCATGGAAGCATTATTCACAACTGACAAGATATGAAATCAGCCTAAGTGCATAACAACAGATGAATGAATACAGAAATTTTGGTACATATAAACAATATAATACTATTTCACCTTTACAAAGAAGGAAAACTACTTATTTGTGACAACATGGATGAACCTGCAGGACATTATGTTAAGTGAAATAAGCCAGACAGAAAGATGAGTATTGCATAATTTCACTTATAGGTAGAACTTTGTAAGTTAAATTTATAGAAGTAGAGAGTTGAATGGTAGGTAATAGAGGCTGGAAGTGGGGAGGAGATTGCAAAAGAGGACAGGTTGGTCAAAGTGTACAAAATTTCAGTTAGACAGGAAGTGTATTTGTCCCAAGTGTCTACTGCTACCATCTTTATGTCCATGAGTATCCAATGTTTAGCCCTCACTTATAAGTGAGAACATATGGCATTTAGTTTTCTGTTCCTGTGGTAATTTGCTTAGGATAATGACCCCCAGCAACATTCGTGTTTCTGCAAAAGACATGATTTCAATTTTTAATGTCTGCATAGTATTCCATGGGGTGTGTGTGTGTGTGTTTGTGTGTGTGTATATATATATATGTGTGTATATATATATATATATATATATGTGTATATATATATATGTGTGTATATATATATGTGTATATATATATATATGTGTATATATATATATATTATATATAATATTTTCTTTATCCAGTCCACTGTTGATGGGCACCTAAGCTGATTCCATGTCTTTGACATTGTGAATAGTGCTGTAATGAACATACAAGTGCACGTGTATTTTTGGTAGAACAATTTATTTTCTTTTGGATATATACCTACTATTGGTATTGATTGCTGGGTCAAATGGTAGTTTTGATTTAAGTTCTTTGAGTAATCTCCAAACTGCTTTCCACAATGGCTGAACTAATTTACATTCCCACCAACAAGTGTATAAGCATTACCTTTTAGGAAACACCACTTAGCCTTGGGAAAGAATTTATGATGAAATCCTCAAAAGCAATTGTAACAAAAACAAAAATTTGACAAGTGGGATCTAATTAAACTGAAAAGCTTCTGTACAGAAAAAGAAACTATCAACAAACAGAGAATGTACATAATGGGAGAAAATATTCACAAACTATGCAACTGACAGAGGTGTAATATCCAGAATCTATAAGGAACTTAAGCAAGTCAACAAGCAAAAACCAACCACATTAAAGAGAGGGCAAAAGATACAAACACACTTTCTCAAAAGAAGACTTACAAGTGGCCAAAAAACATATGAAAAAATGGTCAACATAAGTAATCATCAAAGAAATGCAAATGAAAAGCATGGTGAGATTGTATTCAGTATAAAGATTGAGAGCTATTGAGGTCACTCTTCAGTCTCTGGTCTTGGCTTCTAAATTTAGAGGCAACGGGTATAAGCTGAGTTAGTTTTGCACAAATTGCATGGCTTATTTTCTGCCTTGACTGCAATACCCAACTTAGTGTTTGCATTTTTGCAGTGGGTTCTCTTTCTGGCTTGCTTGTGGAGTTTTTGCTTGTCCTACAAAACTCAAGTATAATTATTTGCAGTCTAAGGCACCCGATTTACGGATGAAGTCTTTGCAACTGGAATTGAATTTAACACTTTCAAATTCAGTTTCCAAAGAAGACTTGACAATGAATCAATCAGTCAATCTATCTCTCTCTTTTTGTTTGTGTTGCCTATTTTCTCTGTACTTTCGCATACTTGCTATCATAGAGTCAACTGGGGCCTCAAGATGCTTAGTGTTTCCTTTGTAACAACTTTTAGTTAAATGCAATATAGTCCTCCTCTTTTAAAGTATCAGAGGGCTATACTTGTTATTTGTTTTGACCAACTCATAAAGAGTGCCAAGTGCTAACACAAGGGCAGGCAATAGGTAGAATATAATCTTTGTTGGTGAACAGGAATCAAGAAAAGTAGCCATATTATTTAAGTCCAACTCAGTAAGAATTATATATAAGTGTCTAATCATAGGAAATGACATTCATATTGCCTAAACTGTCCTAACTTGACATTTGTGATTAGATTTATGTTGAATAATACTCTTTTTAGCAGCACTGTGCACAATTGCTAGTGGAGTTGAGAGGTTTAGCCTTCTTACTTTAGTTTAATGTGGAAACAAATACTGCACAGAGTTATTAAAGAATCATAGAAATTATATTTTATTTTCTATAACTGATTCCATTTTTTTCATGAGACATTACACAGTAGGGTTACTGGGAAGGAACTGGAGAAGGAGAAGGCACTTAAAACTGATTCAACTTCCATTCTAATACTGTCTTTTTGACTTTGTCTCTTGGGGGCAAAAGTTCTTGCAGAATTTTTCACCCTCCTTCTCTCCTACCCTGGAGAGTGACTTACCTGACTACAGTGAGAAGGAGCTGGGCCTTTGGATAGGCAGGCTCCTTTCTGTTTTTTGATGTTCTCTGATAGGTGCAGGTTAGTCTAGTCTACACACTATGCTGCTGCCCTGCTGAGACCAGCTCAGTCGGGGAGACCCTAACCCAGCGGTGCTAGAGGAATTAAAGACACACACACAGAAATATAGAGGTATGAAGTGGGAAATCAGGTGTCTCACAGCCTTTAGAGCTGAGAGCCCTGAACAGAGATTTACCCATGTATTTATTAACAGCAAGCCAGTCATTAGCATTGTTTCTATAGATATTAAATTAACTAAAATATCCTTTATGGGAAACAAAGGATGGGCCGAATTAAAGGAATAGGTTAGGCTAGTTAACTGCAGCAGGATCATGTCCTTAAGGCAGAGATTGCTCATGCTATTGTTTGTGGCTTAAGAATGCCTTTAAGCGGTTTTCTGCCCTGGGCGGGCCAAGTGTTCCTTGCCCTCATTCCGTAAACCCACAACCTTCCGGCGTGGGCGTTATGGCCATCATGAACATGCCACAGTGCTGCAGAGATTTGGTTTATGGCCAGTTATGGGGCCAGTTTATGGCCAGATTTTGCGGGGCTTGTTCCCAACAGTGCCCAACCCAATGACACTACTCCTGCCTGGCGTTTTGCAAGCTTCCATGGCTGAAGTCTACAGACCACACTACTTGCTCCCTGTTGTAAAGATCTCACTCATTACACTTCTTATCAATCTCTTAATTTCACTGGCCAACTGGTTCTCTCAGCTGCCGGGTCTTTCCCACAGACCTGGCTAACCGACAGATGAAAGGAGTACTCAGACACAGGTACACAGTATAAGAGCAGCTAGGGGACTGCTGGGCTCTAGTGGCCAAAGTGCCGCCACCCTGAGAAGCTGGAGCTGCTTGCTTTTATTCAGTGTAGGCACAATGCCAAAAGCCTGGAGCAAACACAATCTGTGGGTAATTAACATTTATTGTTCCCCTTTCAGGGAACATCAGGCATGTGGATGATCAAAGGTCTGCTCCTGGTCAACATAAATAAACAAGCCTGTTTAAGATGAATTCCCCTACACTCCCTTGTACCTACTCCTTGCCCTCTGCCTCAAGGTGAGAGAACAGCTGCCTTCAGCTATTCTCCCCTAAAGCTCTGCAGAGCCTTCTGACCTTTCATAAGGCCTGCTCCTTTCCCTGTAGTTTCTCTCACCACTCTGACCAATCTCCTACAGTCAGCATTTCTAAGTCAGCTCACTGAGGCATGTGGAGTGTTCTAGATACACTAAGTACTATTTGCAGACTATAGGGAGTAAGGGATATGAAGTTTGTCTCAGTCTGATTGATCTTGACATCTCTTTGTTTCTGTGCCATTCTAGTGCTCCTGCCTCACATTTGAATTGGGAATAAACCAAATGCCAGGCTTCCCACAAAATACTACATTTTCACCCAGGCTATGCCTATGGAAGTATGTCACTTGTCCTGATGTTTTCAGGTTCCTTAACATTAAAATGTAATCCCTTACACTGAAGTTTAGCCCCATACAGGCAGTATATCAATAACTGATTCCTGACCAGCTCCCCTCATGTGTCTCTTTCCTTCTTTTCACATATTCTCTGGGTAGAAGGAATGGGACTTCTACTTGCCCTTTTTCTTTGGACTTCTACTTCCCCTTTTCCTTTGGACTTCTGCTTCCCCTTTCTATTATGTCACATTTTCCTTCTTCCCAGGAATACTGAGTCCTATGGCTGAGCATTAAAAACAGATAAATAAGAGTTAAGATAAACTCATCTCATGATAAGGGGACACATTAGGAAAATATTTTTATCTGTCACATGTACATTTTTGAAAATCACATTTCTTTTTTTTTTTTTTTTTTTTTTTTGAGATGGAGTCTTACTCTGTCACCAGGCTGGAGAGTGCAGTGGAACGATCTCAGCTCACTGCAACCTCCGCCTCCCAGGTTCAAGTGATTCTCCTGCCTCAGCCTCCTCAGTAGCTGGGGCTACAGGTGTGTGCCACCATGCCCAGCTAATTTTTGTGTTTTTAGTAGAGACAGGGTTTCACCATTTGGCCAGGATAGTCTCAATCTCTTGACCTTGTGATCTACCTGCCTCGGCCTCCCAAAGTGCTGGGATTATAGGCGTGAGCCACCATGCCCAGCCACATTTCTTTTTGAGCTCTGCTGGCAAAGACACCTGGAGCTAATAGAAACGTTGGAAATGTTTGTTTTCTGGATGTTTTGACCCTAACTCTACCACCCCAAGAAATTGTCACCAATACTTTAATATAAATAATTAGTTCAATAAATACATTGAAAGCTTGCTGTGTATCAAGCATTATTCTTAGAAGATAATTCTTGGATAGTGACTAAGAGTAAATTGGTCAAAGAAAGTAGGAGGCAATTGGAGTTCACAGTATGTGTGAAGTGATGGGAAGTTGTACAAAAGATGATCTTGGTTCTGTAGAATATAGGATCCTATTCTTGAGTAACTCATAGTCCAGATGGCCAGGGTGGCATTTAACAAAATACTTATATTTACTTAATAGGCAAATGATTTTAAAATGTCAATTATAAAGTTATATGGAAGTTTAGGTGAAAAAGTGACTGATTCTGCATGGGGAAGTTTAGAGCTATTGGTGCTTGAGAACATTTAATGATGAATTTATTGCTGCCTTAAGGCAATTCCAGTCAGCACAGCAGGACTGGTTTTGCTTATGAGCATTTAGTCAAGCTTGTATTATGTTTCTTTACTGTTGTTAAGTTGGCGGAAATGTTTTTATCATTGAGAACTGAAATGGTATATATTTCAGACTTAGGTCCTCATTTTGTTAAAGCAATTTTTGTATGAGCTGAAAAAAAAATCAGAAGTAATTCTAGTCCTTACCAAACACAGTGTGCATAAGGCATAGAAGATAGGCCAGGGTGCCTGGATGTCAGGAGAAAAGAGATAGGATGTGAAGTTAGAATCATGTAGAGCCATTTAGGCCATAAAAAGTTGGGATTTTGTCATAAGAGTAATGAGCAGACATAGATGAGTTTTAAGTAAACCAGTAATAAAAGTCTCATTTGCAATTTTAAGTATCACTCTACTGTGTGGCAAATGGTTTACATGACGGTAAGAGAACTATTGCAATAGCCTATTTAAGAGGTGATAATGGCTTAGTCAATAATGATTATAGTAAAAATGGTGAAAAATAATTGGATTCACTTGTACATTGAAGATAAAGCCAATGTGGCTCCCTGTTATATTGAGTAGAAGCTGGGAGGAAAAGGACAGAATCAAAAATAGTAATTACAATTTTATCTTTAAGCATAAGGGGTAGATGGTGGTACCATTTACTGAAATAGAACTTGGGGAAGAATAAAATAGGGGTAAAATTGATAGTTCCATTCTAAACATAGTATCTCTAAGAAGCCCACTATGAATATTGTCTAATTAGAAATATATGAATCTGAAATACTTCAAAGGAATACAGGCTGGAGGCTTGCATTTGGATGTGATAGGGAAGTTTAAGTCATTGGGCTAAATAAGATGAGCTGCAACAAGTGTTCCAAAATAGAATAGATGAGCAGAGATGGTTTAAGCAGAGATAGAGCAACCTGAAAAAGTGACTGGTAAAGAGTGGTGAGAGAAAAAAGAGGAATGATGACAGAATTTTAAATTCCTTTTCTCAAAGAGAAAAAAAAAGGTCTATCAAATGCTACAGACTTGACAATCAAAACAAGGCATAGATGTGACCACAGAATTTGGTATCAAAGAAGACATTTTGATGATGTAATTTGTATATTTTAAATAACTCTATTGAGGTACAATTGACATACAATACAGAAACCTCTTGTACTTAAAGTGTACTATTCAGTAAGTTTTGACATAAGTATAGAACCAAGATAATAAGTACATTTACCACTCCCAAGAGTTTTCTTGTTCCCTTTCATTCTTATTCCTCTCTGACTCCTTTTTGTTCCCAGCCAACCACTTCTCTATTTTTCTCTATATATATTAGTTTGATTTTCTTAGAATTGTCTAGTGTGGGCTCCTTTTTTTTCCTGACTTTTTTATTTAACATAATTTGAGGTTTATCCAAGTTGTTATGTGTATTGATAGTTCATATGCTTTTACTGCTTAGTAGTAATTCATTGTATTAATACTCTACAGTTGTTTATTTATTCACTTGTTGAAGAACATGTGGGTTGCTTCCAATTTTAGCTTCTAAAATTAAAGCTTCTATGAACATTTGTATAGATGGCTTTGGTGGATGTGGGTAGATCATATAGTGTAATGAACTGCCTAAAAATCTGTCATGGCTTGATATTACATACAATTCTTTGTATAACCCAATTTTTTGAAGTTTTATAAATATGTTTACATTTAGTTCTATGATTCATTTTGAGTGAACTGTTGAATATGGCATGAGGTATAAATTAAAGTAACTTTTATCTACATATGGATATCCAACTGTACTAGCACAATTTGTTGAAATGCTATTTGTTGTACACCTAATTACTTTTGGAACTTTGTCAAAATTGTTCATTTATGAGTGGATTTTTTTTCTGGGCTTTTTTGTGTTCCATTGAAATATGTTTTTATTTTAATGCTGTCATTGTCATGCTGTCATGATTATTGTAACTTTATAATAAATCTTGCAGTTGGGTAATATTTGTCCTCCAACTTTGTTCTTTTTCAAAATATTTTGGCTATGCTTGGTCCTTGCCATTTCCATATGAATTTTATAACCAGTTTGTCAATTTCAGAAAATCTGCCTCTTAACAGTTTCGAATGGGCTTATGTTATATCTATAGACCAGTCTGTGGAGAATTGACATGTTAACAATATGGTGCCTTCCAATCCATGAACATGGCATATATCTTTCCACATCTTTAGATCTGCTTTATTTTCTCTCAGTAACATCTTGTAGTTTTCAATATACAATTCTTTTCTATCTTTTGCCAGATTTATCTTAAGTATTTCGAATTTCTGATGCTATTATAAATGGTATTTTTCTTCCCTTTTCAATAGCTTGTGAGCAAAATCTAGACATATAATTGTTTTCTGTTTCTGCTAACTTGATTTTATTTAGGGGGTGTATGTGCAGGTTTTTCACATGGGTAAATGCATGTTTCGTGTACAGATTATTTTTTCACTCAGGCTATGAGCATATTACCCAATAGGTAGATTTTTTTTTTATTCTCACCATCCTCCCATTCTCACCCTCAAGTAGTCTCCAGTGTCTATTGTTCCCTTCTTTGTGTCCATGTGTACTCAGTGTTTAGCTCCTACTTATAAAAGGAAACACACGGTAGTTAGCTATCTATTTCTGCATTAATTCACTTAGGATAATGGCCACCAGCTGTATTCATGTTGCTGCAAAGGACGTAGTTTCATTCCTTTTATGGCTGCATAGTATTCTATTATATATATGTATCACATTTTCTTTATCCAACACACTATTCATGGGGACCTAGTTTGATTCCATGTCTTTGCTATTGTGAAAAGTGCTGTGATGAACATAGGCATGCATGTGTCTTTATGGCCAAAAGATATATATTCCTTTGGGAATAAACCCAGTAATGGGATAGCTGGGTCAAATAGTAGTTTTGTTTTAAATCCTTTGAGAAATCTCCAAACTCATTTCCCCAGTGGCTGAACTAAATAGATTTCCAGTAGCAGTGTGTAAGCCTTCTCTTTTCTATGCAACCTCAACAACCTATGTTATTTTTTGACTTTTTAATAATAGCTATTCTACCTAGTGTGAGATGGTATCTCTGATTTGCATTTCTTTAATATTAGTGATATTCTCATGTTTTCATATGCTTGTTGGCTGCTGGTATGTATTCTTTGAGAAGCATCTGTTAATATTCTTTGCTGATTTTTTAATAGGGTTATTTGGGTTTTACTTGTTGATTTGCTTAAGTTTCTTATGGATTCTGGATACCAGACTTTTGTCAGTTGCATAGTTTGCAAATATTTTCTCACTTTCTATTGGTTATCTGTTTACTCTGTTGATAGTTTCTTTTGCTGTGCAGAAGCTCTTTGGTTTAATTAAGTCCCATTTTTGTTACAATTGCTTTTGGAGTCTTCATCATGAATTCTTTGCTAGGTCCTATGTCCGGAATAGTATTTCCTAGGTTTTCTTTTAGGGTTTGTATACTTTTAGGTTTTATATTTAAGTCTTTAATCTGTCTTGAGTTGTTTTTGCATACGGTAAAAAGAAGGGGTCCAGTTTCAATCTTCTGCATATGACTAGCCATTTATCCCAGCACCACTGAATAGGGAGTCCTTTCCCTTTTGCTTGTTATTTTTGACTTTGTTGAAGATCAAATGTTCCATTTATCTATGTGTCTCTTTCTATATCAGTACCGTGCTGTTTTTATTTCTATAGTCTTGTAGTATAGTGAAGTTGGGTAGTGTGATACTTCCAACTTTGTTTTTCTTTTCCCTTAGGATTTCTTTGTCTATTTGAGCTCTTATTTTTGTTTCACATGAATTTTAGAATAATCTTTTTTTTAATTCTGAGAAAAATGTCATTGGTTGTTTGATTGGAATAGCATTGGATCTGTAAATTGCTTTGGGCAGAAAGACCATTTTAACAACATTGATTCTTCCTATTCATGAGCATGGAATATTTTTTCTGTTTGTTTCTGTTATGTTTGATTTCTTTCAGCAATGTTTTGTAATCTTGTTATACAGATTTGTCACCTCCCTGGTTAGCTGTATTCCTAGGTATGTTATTTCTTTTGCGGCTATTTTGAATGGGATTGTGTTCTTGATTTCACTCTCAGCTTGGATATTATTTGTGTATAGAAATGCTACTGATTTTTGTGCATTGATTTTGTATCCAGAAACTTTGCTAAAGTTGTTTATCAAACCTAGGTGCCTTTGGGCAGAGACTGTGGGATTTTCTAGGTACTGAATCATATCATCTGTGAAGAGAGATCATTTAACTTCCTCTCTGCCTATTTATTTTTCTTGTTTAATTGCTCTGGCTGGGACTTCCAGTACTGTATTGCATAGGAGTGGTGAGAGTGGATATCTTGTCTTGTTCTGATTCCCAGGGGAATACTTTCAGCTTTTTCCCATTTAGTATGATGTTGCCTGTGGTTTTGTCCAAAATGGCTCTTATTATTTTGAGTTGTGTTCCTTCAATGTCTTGTTTGTTGAGGATTTTTAACATGAAGGGATGCTAAACTTTATTGAAAGCCTTTTCTGTAGACACGTTGAGATAATCAAGGGTGTTTTGTTTTTAGATCTGTTTATGTAGAAATACAGGTTTTTTCCATGTATTTAACCTATGCAACCTTGCTACCCTCACTTGTTAGTTCTAGTAGCACATTTTTAGTTATGTAGGATGTTCTATATAGATCATATTGTCTTATGAAAATTATGGCATCTCTATTTCTTCTTTTCAAATCTAGATGCCTTTTATTTCTTTATCGTGTCTGATTGCTCTGGATCATACTTCCAGTAAAATATTTAATAGATTTACTGAGAGCAGATATCCTTGTCCCTTTTTGGCTTTGGGAAAGCAAGCATATGAAATATGACGTTAGCTGTAAATTTTTACTTGTTACCTTTCATCTTTTTAAGAAAACTCCCTTTTCTTCTGACTCTGCTGTGAATTTTTATTAGAAAAGAATGTTGGATTTGTCAAATGCTTTCCCTGTATCTTTTGAAAGATCATATGATTCTTTCCTTTTTAGTTTTTTTAATGATATTTAATATTGACTAATTTTCAATGTTAAGAATTTTTTCTCTTGGACAGAATCCTATTTGACCATGAAATTCTTCTTATATATTAGATACTTGATTTATTAAAAATTGTGTTCATGGAGAATTTGTATTATACATTTTATATTCTTTTTAATTATTATTTTAAAATTTTATTTTAAATTGAGAAATATATATTTATGGAGTTCAAGGTGATGTTTCGATATATGTTTATGATGTGGAATAATATCATCGGCTTACTAAGAAATCCATCACCTCACATACTTTTTTTTTTGTATTAAAAACATTTAACATCTGCTTTTTTAGCAATTTTGTAATACACAACTTATTATTTATTATACTCACCATTCCGTACAATACATCACTAAAGCTTATTCCTCCTAACTGAAACTTTGTACTCATTGATCAATATCTCTCTTTTTCCCTATCTCTGGTAACCATCATTCTATTCTGTGCTTCCATGAGTTCAACATTTCTAGATTCCATCTATGTGTGAGAGCATGCATTATTTGTATTTCTGTGCCTGGCTTATTTCACTCAACTTAATGTTCTCCAGACTCATTAATGTTATTGAAAATGACAAGATCCCCCCATCTCCTTTTAAGGCTGAATAGTATTTCACTGTGTATATACACTACATTTTATGTATGTATGTATTTATTTATTTATTTGAGACAGAGCCTCACTGTTGCCTAGGCTGGATGGAGTGCAGTGGCATGATCTCTACTCACTGCAACCTCTGCCTCCTGGGTTCAAGAGATTCTCCTGCTTTGGCCTCCCAAAGTGCTGGGATTACAGGTGTGAGCCTCCGTGCCTGGCTTCTTTATCCATTTATGATGTACACCTATATTGCCTCCATATCTTAGCTACTGTGAATAATGATGCAATGATATCAAGTTTTCCCAGTACCATTTGTTGAAGACTGTTCTGTCTCCATTGTGTGTTCTTGGCACCTTTGTCAAAAATCAATTAACCATAAATATGTGTATGTATTTCTGGGTGCTATATCCTTCCATTGATCATTGTGTCTATTTTTATGGTAGTACCATGTTCTTTTGATTAGGATAGCTTTGTAGTATATTTTGAAGGCAGGTAACGTAAAAACACCAGCTTTGTTCTTTTTTCTCAAGATTAATTTGGCTATTTGAGATCTTTTATGGTTCCAAACAAATTATAAGATTTTTTTTCTATTTCTATATTAAATAACATTGGAAATTTGAAAGTGATTACATTGAATCTGCAGATTTCTTTGTGTGGTATGGACATTTAAACAATGTTAATACTTTTTTTTAATATACTTTAAGTTTTAGGGTACATGTGCACAATGTGCCGGTTAGTTACGTATTATACATGTGCCATGTTGGTGTGCTGCACCCATTAACTCATCATTTAACATAGGTATATCTCCTAATGCTATCCCTCCCCCCTTCCCCCACCCCACAACAGGCCCCTGTGTGTGATGTTCCCCTTCCTGTGTCCATGTGTTCTCATTGTTCAATTCCCACCTATGAGTGAGAACATGTGGTGTTTGGTTTTTTGTCCTTGCGATAGTTTGCTGAGAATGATGGTTTCCAGCTATCAAAAAGTGGGCAAAGGGTATGAACAGACACTTCTCAAAAGAAGACATTTATGCAGCCAAAAGAAACAATGTTAATTCTTTGACAATGAACATGGGATAGCTTTCCATTTATTTATGCCTTCTATAATTTCTTTCATCAATGATTTATTATTTCAGTATGCTGATCTTTCCCTCTTTAGTTAAATTTACTCCTAAGTATTTTTTATACTGCTGTAAATGGGTTTAATTTCTTAATTTTTTCAGATAATTTATTAGTGTGAAAAAATGCCATTAATTTTTTTATGTTGATTTTGTACCCTAAAATATTTTGTATGTTGATTTTGTACCGTAAAATTTTTGCATGTTGATTTTGTACCCTAAAATATTCTTGGATTTGTTTATCAGTTCTAACAGTTTTTTTGATGCAGTCTTTAGAGTTGCCTGTAAAAAATCATATCATCAGCAAACAGAGACAAACTTTTTCCTTTCCTATTTGGATATCTTTTATTTCTTTTCCTTGTTAAATTGCTCTGTCTAGAACTTACAATACTATGTTGAATAGTAGTGAATAGTAGTGGTGAAAGCAGGCATCCCTGTCTTATTCATAATCTTAGAGGAAAAGCTTTCAACTTTTCACCTTAGCATAATGTTGGTCATAGGCTTTTTCTTTCCTTTCTCTTTCTCTTTTTCTTTCTTTCTTTCTTTTTTTTTAGACAGAATTTCACTCTTGTTGCCCAGGCTGGAGTGCAACAGCACAATCTTGGCTCCCTGCAACCACCACCTCCCAAATTCAAGCAATTCTCCTGTCTCGGCCTCCTGAGTAGCTGGGATTACAGGTGCCCACCACCATGTCCGGCTAATTTTTTGTACTTTTAGTAGAGAGAGGGGGTTTCACCGTGTTGGCCAGGCTGGTCTTGAACTCCTGACCTCAGGTGATCCATCCACCTCAGCCTCCCAAAGTGTGGGATTACAGGCGTGAGCCACCGCGCCCGGCCTGTCACAGGCTTTTTATATATGCCCTTTGTTGTGTTGAGGTACATTCCTTCTATGCTTAATTGATTAAGAGTTTTTATCATAAAAGGATGTTGAATTTTATCAAAAGCTTTTCCTGCATCTATTGTGATGATCATATGGTTTTTGTCCTTTATTCTTGTCCTTTAACATGGTATATCACATTTATTAATTGTCTTCTCTATGTTGAACTACCTTTGCATCCCAGGAATAAATTGTCCCGATGAAAGTTTTAATTCTTTCATTACTGTCTGGCTTTGGTATAGAAATGTTGGTCTTGTAGAATGAATTTGGTAGTATTATCTCTTCCTCAATTTTCTGTAATAGTTTCATTAGAAATGGTAATTATTCCTTTATTAAATATTGGCAGAATTAAATCAGGAAAGTCTTATGGGCCAGGATTATTTTGTGGCAGGGGAAGTGATCTTAGTTACACTAGAGTGAGATTTATTAATATGTGCTCAAGAAATTAATCTATTTCACTTAAGTTGTCAAATTTATTGGCATAAATATTTTATAATATTCCCATACCCTGTTAATATCTGTAACATCTGTGGTAATGTCACCTCTGTCTTTCCTGGTATTAGTAATCTGTCACTTTTTATTTTTCCTAATCAGTATGCTTAAAAGTTTATCAATTTTATGGAACTTCTGAAAGAACCAGGTTTTGAACTACTGATTTTTCTCTATTGTTTATCTGTTTTATATTCCATCTGTATCCCCCTTTGTTTATTTCACTTCTGTTTACTTTAGTTTTGATTTGCTTTCTTTTTTATAGCTTCTTATGATGCAAACTAAGATAATACATTTGAGATCTATTTTCATTTCAAATAGGCATTTAGAGCCATAATTTTCCTTCTAAGTACTGGTTTAGTGACATCACGCACATTTTAAAGATATTATGTTATCATTTTCATTTAGATGAAAATATTTCGTAGTTTTTCTTTTGAGATGAGTTATTTAGAAGTATGTTATTTTGATTTTATATCTTCTATAGTTGTTTATACATCTTTCTGTAATTTTTTAGGTACTCATACTGTGGTTAGAAAACACATTTCAAATTTCATCTGATATGTTTTATAATTAATTTGGTTTTTCTTTGTGGACAGTAAAAATATGTATTCTACTGTTGAGTGTTCTATAAATGCCAGTTAGATCAGGTTCTTTGATATCATTTTAAGTCTTATATATCTTTATTGATTTTCTGTTTTATTGTTCATTCAATTATTGAGAGAAGAGTATTGAAATCTTTGAATATCATTATGTATTTTTCTATTTATCTTTGCAATTCTATAAGTTTGTTTATGTTGACAGAAGGTGGTGTGAAAACAGAGAAATACAGACCACTGTCTGGGTGCTAAAGTCATGAGGCAGCATTAGATCAAGGAGATAATTAGATAGTAAGAGAGTGGGTTGACAGCGGACAGAGGAATAAACTCTATTGGTAAGACCTTTAGGAAAACCTGTGTATTGTGAAGAAGATGAGAAGATTTAGTTCCCCAAAAATGTCAACTATCTTACTGCCAGGCCTTGAGGTATGCATGGGGCTGCATACAAAAATGCCACCATTAGATAGCACTAAAGAGAAAGAGATAAGCTTGGGGTAAAGTCTATTATACAATAATTGCAAAGCTAATTTGCATCTTCTATGAGAAAAAAAGAAAATACATGCTATGGACTAAATGTTTGTGTCCTCCCCAAATTAATAAGTACTTTGATAGTAATTAGATCATGAGAGTGGAACTCCCATGATGAAATTAGCATCCCAAGAAGAAGAGGAAGAGAGTTAGCCCTCTCTGTTCTCTGTCATATGAAAATACAATAAGAAAATGGCCATCTGCAAACCAGGAGACAGGTCCTCACCAGACACTGAATGTGCTGACATGTTGATAAGGAGATTAGTATGAGTGTGACCCATGGACTTAATCAGCTATCTCAACACAAACCAGGAATGGAGATAGTATTATACTAGCATAAACATTGCAAGTTGGAAAGAAAGGGAACAGAGAAAATAAGATGAAATGAAGGAAGGCTACGAATGTGCTTTTCTTTCAAGAAAAGGGAAGAAGGACCCAGGTGATTCACAGATCAGTTTGGCCACTGCCTAGGTTTCAACAGGGCAAGAGGCCTGCAAGAAAAGCTGTGAGTATGGGGCTGCCCACGGGAGCCCTAGGAGTGAATCCTGTCCCAGCAGAGAATATAAATGAGTCCCTGAAAGGGAGCTGTGGCATGGGCATTACTCCACTAAGCTGTGGGGATGAGGCTGACACCCCAGTGGGCATGGAGGACAGAGTGTCAAGCTAGAGAGGAATATCCTTGAGCTTTGAGATCTCATGGAGTTTATCTTGCTAGGTTTTGGACTTTCTTGAAACCTATTACCTCCTCTCTTTCCCATTTCTCCATTTTAGAATGGGAATTCCTATTTTATGTCTTTCCCACTATTAAATTTTGGGAGCACATAACTTGTTTGGTTTTATAGGTTTATAGTTGGAGAGGAATTTTGCCTCAAAGTGAATTATACCTTGAGTTTCACCCCTATATGATTTAGATAATATTTAGATGAGACTTTGGACTTTAAACTGAGTTGATTCTGGAACAAGTTAAGAATTATGGGGCTGTTGGAATGGAAAGAATATATTTTGATTGTCAGAAGGACATGCATTTTAGCGGGCAGGAGTGAAATGCTTTGGATTGAATACTTGTATCACCCCCAAATTCATATATGGAACCCCTAATGTGATGGTTTTGGGATATGGGGATGTTGTGATGTAATTAGGCCATGAGGATGGAGCTGCCATGATAGGATTAGTGTCCTTACAGTAAGAGAGAGAGAGCTAGCCCCATATCTCTGCTCTCTGCCCTCTGCCATGTAGAGATACAGTAAGTAGATGGCCATCAGCAAACCAGGAAGCATGCCCATACCAGACACTGATCTGCTGGCACACTGATCTTGTACTTCCCAACCTCTGCACAACTTTGTAAAATAAATGTATGTCATTCAAGCCACCCAGTTTGTGACAATTTGTTATAGCAGCACGAACTGGTGAAGGCTATATTTTTGTGTGTGTGTCTATCAATTGATCGATAGTAATTACTATAGAGTTAGGCATTGTTTAATAATAGAGATAGATTCTGAGAAATGTGTCACTAGGCTATTTTTTCATTTATGAACATCGAAAAGTATACGCACATAAACCTCTACGCATCTAGGCTATGTGGTGTAGCCTATTGCCCCTAAGCTACAAATCTGTAGAGCATGTTACTGTACTGAAACTACTGTAACACAATGATATTTGTGTATCTGTACATTTTAAAGTATAGAAAAAATGCTCCCATGGCTGCTAGGTGATAGGAATTTTTCAGCTCCATTATAATCTTATGGGACCACTGTTGCATATGTAGTCTTTCATTGACCAAAAAGTTGTTATATGGTAGACACACACACACACACACACATACACACACACACATACACACAAGTAGCCTATAAGTGGACCCAAACCAGGAATAATTCCTAAGAGACTTTTAAATTCATGGCCTACTAAAGAAAATTAACATATTTTCTACCTGGACCACATGACCATGATGAGATAGTAGGTCCTGGTGTTTTTACTTAAGCAACAGTGGTATGAATTTCTTTAACTTTTAATTTTGAAACAAATAATCTGAGAAAAAGAACCATAGTAATGGCCTAATATATATTTCATGGCTAACTAAAACACATCGAAAATTGATTGCAATGCATCCAACATGTCCACATCTGACTTTTTAAATCACTCTTTCCTCCTCATGTAGTCCTCGTCTTCCTGTGTTGAGATTCATTCTGCTGACAATAATGCTGCTAGGCATTTATAGCAGCATGACTTCTTAAATCTCTCTCGTATACTAATAACGAAGTTTTGCTGCCTATGCTTTTGTGTTCCAAATGCTGTTGTTATTCTGCTTCATTTCCTTTTCACCTTTTATTAATTTTCTTGCTTGGCTTTTTTGACATTTGAGGCTGGTCACACGTTACTGAGTGAGTAAAAGATAGCTCTCTCTGGAGAAGAAATTTTAATTATTTGTAATGTATAGTAAGGTCAGTTTTCTGATGCTACTCATTTAGGTTTTTATTAAAATCTACTTCCTTTTGAACTACTTCATTTATTCCCTAAGGCTCTTCTTTGGTCAACTACTCTGTAAAACAGGATTCTATGAGACTACATTAGAGTTTCTCAGACTTAGAGTCGATGATCTAAATGGGGACATAATTATGTTGGAAACATTAATTTCTACTCTAATTTCCACAGAAATTTTTATGTAAACAATTTCTTGTGAGCAAATGCACTCTTTTCATGTCATTGAGACAACAATATTTTCATATTTGTCATAAAAAAGCAAAACCTTCCCTGTCTTCCAGAGTGTGGAAGCAAGCTAAGATTCTTATACCTTGTTTTGAAGGAGTCAGTTTTCTGAAGGGAGAAAATAATAGCAGGGGAAGTCTATACGTAAATAAATTCTGAGCTATTTTCCCACCCGTTTTCATCTTCAAATTCAACTACTCTGAGGATATCCTCTAAATGCTATAGCTGAAAACTGAGAAGAAAAAAAACAAAAACAGAAATTGTAAGAGCAATCAGAACGTCTTGCTTTGTGGTTTGGTTTAATCTGTGTGTAACTGACATCCCAGAATACTGCCAGAAGTATTCTTAAAATAATAAGCTCTAACTGTGAGATTATCCAATACAATAAATGTGAGTATTGATGAATTCAGACAAATTCTAAGAAGCATTCTTTTGAAAATGCTGGATTTTCCTGTGGTGATAGTTTACTTCCTTTGCCCACTGATCAAAGCCCCTAAATGTACTAGTGTTTATAAATCAAATTCTCATTTTTCCCCTTACTGATTTTTGTTGTTGTTGTTGTTCTGAGGGTAAAGCTCAAGCTGGGCCAGATGACTCTGCATGATTCTAAGGTTATATTGATCGGACTTCCAAACTGAAGATTTGCTGTAAATAGTAAATGATAAACCAAACAGATGGGGTAGTATTTGTTTTTTTTTATATACATTCACTAAAACAAGAATAGACACACTCTGGTATAGATCAAGGATTTTTGAACCCTGGGCAGCTCTTGAAAGCCAAAGGCCATATCTGTGTTGTCAAGGCATAGTTTGCTGTATAGTTATATGAGGCAATTCTAAGCTTTTGATTCAGACATAGTGGATTATTTACAAGAAATCCAGGTGTATTATTTTCTGCTACCTATGGAGAAAACCTGTTTTTTTTAAATTTTATTTATTTATTTTTACTTACCTTCGCATACTACAATGGCTTCAGTGTAGGTTTAGTCAAAATCAGCAAGATATTTAGAAAAGACAGCTGTATGCAGACTTGTTTTGAGGGATAGGAGGAAAATGTCCTTTTGCCTCCCATTACAAACTACAAAGCCCATATGTTACTACTAATTAAATGTTTAACATTCACAAATGTTGATCAAGGTTACTATTAAACCTCCACTTATTACTAACCCTGCTATTATAGGCATGGTCTTAACATTTCTGAGCCTTAGTTTATCTATCTTTTCCAAAGGTTATAATGATGGTATAGATATCATGTAATTGTTTTGAGGACTATGTGAAACAGTCTATATGAAGTGCTCAATACTGCTACTAACAACTTAATTTTAGTTGTAGTTATTGTTACTATCATCCTCATTATTCTCATGAGGCCTTTCCAAATCTTTATACCTTTGAGGACACTCAGTCCTTCTCTGTGGTAGGAGAGAAGAGAAAAATCAGTCAGTGGAGTAAGCAGCTACTGTCGTTAACAGTTCACGTCAATTCATCACAGTCACCTAGAGAATGTACTTTCCTGTCATCCAGGCTTTGGGCTTCTGCCCATATAGCAATGGGTCTAGATAGCACAATGGAAGCCACATTGAGGTATTTATACCCAGGACATATCCACTAACTATGTTCATGTTGCAGAGTGAGACAGATCCACAGAGTGAAGTTCTGTGAAGTTCTCTATGTTGAAACTTCAGTACATTTTTTACATCACCTGTGGCCAAAGAGCTGTGATTTCATCCATTATCCACAGTCAAAACTCCTCCTTCTGCTATACATCACTCTATACCTAATTAATATCATCATTTATATGTGACTTATTTTATCATTATATTATTATCATGAGGAGGATCCCCATAAAAGAGTCACCAGAAGTTGTGTCTCTAAATTGTAGTCTTTGCTTGGCTTTGTCCTGCCCTTGGATAAATGGCAGCTTTGTTCCTATCTCATCTTACTCTTATGGTCACAAATGTAAACGTACTACAGCTTCCCTTCCTAGTGCAGGCTGACAGGACAAATGCATAGCAAAACAGATCAGCTCAGGAAAATAAACGAGTCATACAAGGTGAAGAATGAGACAACCAGTTAATCCATATTTATGAGATGAATTATCCAATGCTCAGACCAACTATGTCCTTAATAGATCAACAATATAAGGCACATTTTTCTTTTAAAATAACTTAGTTTTTTTTCACAGTTTAAGAAAAGAAGAAATATAGTCACATTAGGAAAAAATAGAACTTTTCTGAATTTTCTTATACTTGTCTTATAATTTATTATGTAGAATTGGAGTCAAAAGTGGAGGAAGGTAGCATATGTCATCTATTCAATCCCTAGAATTTGCCCTGGTTATTTTTCTAGAAAATGGCATTCGGAAGCCAATATCTGGGTGCTGGATGTAGTCCTTTTTTAAAATGTTCTGCTTCCAAACCTTCTCAATGGACAGAACTTAAAAAGTTATGTATACATATAAATATGTGTTGTGTATATACACACATAAACACATCATGTCTAAAATTATTTACACATTTATCTATTCCTTTTGAAGGCAGTGGGTATATACCAATACTTCCAATGTAAAGCCACCATTGTTCATTTTGCTTGCTCCATATTTTTGACTGCCTTCTTCTATACTGAGAAACATGGCTTCCCTTATATTTAATGTACTTATTTATTTCATTAAAACCACAATGTGTCAATCTCCTATCACCACCGATGCACCTTCTGGCAAATCCTCATCACCCCACTCTGAAACCCTGCCCCTCGCTCTCCAGGACAGCTTCAACAACAAGTGCAGACTGCTCATCCCACTCTCTTTTCTTTACGTAGATGACCTTCATACCTGACTCAGTCTTCAAAACCGTGCATGAAGCTTTTGTTCTGCTTAGACACCCTATTTTCTAACTCAGGCTCAGATACTCCATGTAGGACCATGTACCTCATGTACAAGAATATCCTCTTCATCCCTCTGTCTCCAACACCCCACACTGGGTGCCCTCCAGGGAAAGCTTTTCTCACCCTGGTCTGGCTCCAACACACCACACTGGATGGATTCCCTCCTTACCTGTTAGACTAAATGCCCTGTGCTGGGCCACACCCCCATGGAGATTCCCTTCTCATTCTGCTCAGTTTCTGGCCCTATGTGCCAGGCTATCCCCTTACCACAGGAATGTCTTCCTCACTCCATTTAAGCTCTGACATCCCACACTGGGAAGCCCTTCCATGTGGATGTCCTCATCATCAGCTTGGGATGTTACCCATTATGGCTCCTTCTAATATGTTCATGTTGGTTTTCATGGATCAATATTCTCCATCTTAATCATTTGCTTCATAATTTCCATTTCTTTATATTTTTAGTTCGATTTTGGAATAATGGTTTTTTAGACCATTAAATGAGTTTTCCACAGAGGCCAGACATTTCTTTATTCCATGTATTATACTGCTAACTAAAAAATAATAACTAATTTTTAATCTAGAAAGTCTTGTATATTTTGCTCTTACTGTATTTCTTTTAAAATTGTACACTGCTATGTGTTTCCTCTAGCACTCTGTTTTACTCACTGTGGGTTTGCTGTTTTTGTTCTTTCATTTTTTTGTTTGTTTTTTTCAGTGATCTCCCTTTCTCTAATTTTTAGGTCTCCCTAAATGGGTCATTGGGTATAGCAGATCAGGTCTAGTCATTGGAGGAGTCCTAACACCTCACAAGTGGTGGATGATAAAGCATCCTCCCTTCTTGTAGTTTACTGTAGAAGGAACATACAAGCCTGCGTGCCCCTGCTGAGGAAACTTGGGTAGTCCTCCAACTTCCCCAATCTCTTTGCGGAAAAATAAAACAAGGGACTTGGAAAACAGCAAGGGGAAATTGATGAGTAGCATCAAGAAACACAGAGAAGAAAATGTAGTAAAGTTTTAAAGTAAGTACCAGAACATAAAGATTGAAAGGTAAATAGAAAGACAATCAGCACCTTATTTCTTGGCAGTTATTCTTCCCTTCTCTGCTGGTCACTAAGATACCCCATTATATTTGCATCTTCTTTTTTTCTTCATTTTGATTTGTTTTGTTTCTCCCTGGATCTTTTTTCACCTCCTTCTGAGAATTCTGTATATGCTCTGTTATTTTTTTTTAAGTTTAGATAACTAACATAAATTTCATTTGAATTTGTTTAAATTTCAAGGGTATTACTTAAGATAGTTGCAAAGGCCTCCCCTATGACAGCCTCTGGCACTCCCTCTTGGTCAGAAGAGCACAGAAATGCATTGCTAACATGAAGTACTTCCATGCTCATCAACATGCCACCCTGCCCTGGCCCTCACACACGTTATTCTCTTGTGGTGAAATTCCACGCTCTCTCACAGGCTGTCACCCATGGCATAGGCAGTTTGGTTTACTAGAATTAGCTCATCCTCCCTCAGCATTTGTCGCTGGCCCCAGGCATTTGTTCTTAGGCCTGTGATTGTTACACTGGCCCATTTATCCTTTTAAAGTTGATTCATAGCTTAGTAGGCAGCTTATCAAGGCAGGATAGAAAACTGAGGGAAGTCCATACAGTTCCAGAATTTGTCTTTACCAATTTTATTGGCTAGGTGATTTTCTACAGCCACTCAAATATATGGGATGAGAAGCTTTTTTTTTCCTTTAAGAAAACAGGCCGGGGGCCTACAAACCTGTAATATTTCTCATTGGCAAGTAAGATGAGATTGTAGTGTTGTTTACAAAAACTTCATTTTTAATTAAGAGTAACACCCCAGTAAGGTGTTAAAAAAGATACCAAATAATTTTTTCTTTAGTGATTTTTATTTTTTAATAAAATCTTTACTATTTTTATTTTTTAAATTAAATTATATTAAATATATTTTCAGACAAAGTCTCACTCTGTTGCCTAGGCTGGAGTGCAGTGGTCCTTTCTCAGCTCACTGCAACCTCCACCTCCTGGGTTCAAGCAATTCTCATGCCTCAGTCATCAAGTAGCTGGGATTATAGGCATCCGCCACCATGCCTGGCTAATTTTTGTATTTTTAGTAGAGTTAGGGTTTTGTTATGTTGGCCAGGCTGGTCTCGAACTCCTGGCCTCAAGTGATCCACCCGCCTGGGACTCCCAAAGTGTTTTTATGTTTTTAAAGTGTCATACTTGGTTTTTAAATTATTTTTTCTCCAGAATTATTTTGAAGTCTTATTTGATCGGTATCAAGTATTTGGTAACCATAGCTAGGGAGAAAAGTACTGTTGTATAAATCTGAATATCATCCCAGTAGGAAAAACTCATTTGTTTTCTTAATTATTTTAACAGCTCCTTTTATTTTATGTAACTGTTATTCCTGGTTATTTCTCAGTGTCCTAAATATAACTAATAAACAAGAAAACCATTTTAACTAGTTTCTGAAAACATTATCAGTTCATAAACAGTACCTTTTTTTTTTTTTTTTTTTTTGAGACGGAGTCTCGCTCTGTCACCCAGGCTGGAGCCAGTGGCGCGATCACGGCTCACTGCAAGCTCCGCCTCCCGGGTTCACGCCATTCTCCTGCCTCGGCCTCCCAAGTAGCTGGGACTACAGGAGCCCGCCACCACGCCCAGCTAATTTTTTTTTTTTTTTTTTTTGTATTTTTAGTAGAGACGGGGTTTCACCGTGTAAGCCCTGATGGCCTCGATCTCCTGACCTTGCGATCTGCCCGCCTCGGCCTCCCAAAGTGCTGGGGTTACAGGCGTGAGCTACTGCGCTGGCCACAGTACCTTGTACCTTTAAAATCATTTCATATGTTTATTTTTAAATAAAACTCTGGAGATGACATAGGGAGAAAATACTTTATAATTGATATAAAGGTATTAGAAAATTTAAAAATTGCTAAATACCTCTTCAACTGCTATTGTGTTTAACTGAATTAATAAGAGATGTGTTAAGACCTTATCCCCTCGTTACTACAAATTTTTTTCCATACAGGAATTTTAATTTTTAACCAATACTGAGCTATTACATTCGGTAAACTCAGAAGTACTTGCTACTTGCCTGATATTTTCTCCTAGTTTCTAAGAGGACCTCGATGCCAGCGATTACTTTTCTAATAAGTGTTTTCCTTTTAAATACAACTTTAATTTCATCCCTCATATTTCCATATTCAAGATTTTTCCTTGAGTTCAAATTATTTTATGCTTTGTATTGTGATATTTTCTTTGACCCTTGGTTTATTAGTAAATGCATTTCTTATTCTTGTTTTTTCTTTTTTGAGACAAGAGTCTTGCTCTGTCACCCAGGCTGGAGTGCAGTGGTGCCATCTCAGCCCACTGCAGCCTGCATCTCCCTGGTTCAAGCAGTTCTCCTGCCTCAGCCTCCTGAGTAGCTGGGATTACAGGTGCTGACCACCATGCCCATCTTAACCACATGGAAATTTTAAAAAAGGCCCGTTTTCTTACACTTCTTTCCATTCACAAGTAGATTAAGATTTATAAAATTCATATAGAGAAAATTTAATTGTTATGAAGTCCACAATTTCTACATCTTCACCATTCTCAGTAGTGACAAACATCTTGGAAAGTGCTCTCCTTCACCAGGCACAACTGTGCTAAGTTGCATATTTTGTATGATTTCATGGAGGAGGAAACAAGAATGTTCCATGTTTATTTCAGAAAAATCAGCATTATATTTTAGAATAAAAGAAACTGTTAGTGGATATATGGTACTGTTTTAAGTAATATACATTTATTATTGAAAAATTAATGAATAATTATTTCAATTATTTATTTCAGTATTCAATTGAATATTCAATGAATAATATTCAATTATTTCAATAATTATTTTGATTTTCTCTGGCAAAACTTTTGTTTCATATACATTTGTATTATTTTTACTTTTGCATAGATCTTTCTACTATCACTTTTCAATCATTTTTCTCTTTTTGCACCCTTTTCTTCCATGTACTTATTAGACTTACATTACCTCAATTGAAATATTTATCTTTGAGCGCTATAAGCCCATTGTAATGGGCCTCAGAGACCCTTTTCACAAGATGGCATCGAAGGAGAAGAAGGAAGCTCCTACCCCTCCTAAAGCAGGAGCCAAAGCAAGGCTTTGAAGGTCAAAGTCAAGTAGGCAATGTTGAAGGGTGTCAAGAGTTACAAAAAAAATAAGATCCATATGTCACCCACCTCCCGGCGGTCCAAGACACTGAAACTCTGGAGGTAGCCCAGATATCCTCAGAAGAGTGCCGCCAGGAGAAACAATCTTGACTACTATGCTGTCATCAAGTTTCTGTTGACCACTGAGTCTGCCATGAAGAATATAGAAGACAACAACATGCTTGTATTCATTGTGGATGTTAAAGCCAACAAGCACCAGATCAAACAGGCTGTGAAGAAGCTCTATGACATCGATGTAGCCAAGGTCAACACCCTGATTAGGCCTGAGGGAGAGAAGGCATATGTTCAACTGGCTCCTGATTACGATGCTTTGGATGTTGCCAACAAAATTGGGTTCATGTAAACTGAGTCCAACTGGCTAATTATATATGTATATATCATTTCACCAGAAAAAAAAGAAATAGTTATCTTCTATTGAAAAAATGCCAAACAGTAACATCCTTTGAAAGCCTTGCAGGTAGAAGTAGCCTATAAATTTCTTTTAAGTATGAATTTTTAAAGAGTAGATTAAAATATACTCCTAAAAATAGAACTTCTATTCATGTACATGTTAGGATAAAATTATTCTAATATGCAGTGATATAAAGTCCCGCCCTCTAGATATCCAAACACGATGAGGAAAGTAATAAAATGCTAGACCAACCACACAATTCACCACTTGACCATAGCCAGTACTAGGTGAACACGTCCTACCTGGTAACTATTGTATGTGACAATTCCCCTTGTCAATCTTCTCTTTTATTTCACCAAACTATAAAAAATTCTAAGTAGAGCAAAGAAAAGAGGTACAAAACAAAAGAGGAATCTATAATTCGTGTCTACAGTTTCATTTACTTATATATTTTTTATGATGTACTAAAACACTCCTTCTACTAGGAAAAGTAAGAGTGACTACAAACCTGTTATACCAAGAGAATGCATTTATAAAAATAGATATGTCTTATAATAAAAAAGATTCATTACTGGACATGTTAAATGAGATATACCAATAAAAATACCACAAGAATATTAATGCCATTCTGACAGGTTTTATTAGAGAAAGGCTCTTAAATCTAAAATCAAAGTGAGGATTTGTTTTCTAATGATAAAAATGAAGAGTAGTGAATTCTAGAATATTTTGGATATAATACCTCAACTTCTTTTTTTATATTAATTGTGGGACAAAACAAATTTTAACATACATTACCAATTTACTTGCCCTCATAGTATATAAACAGTTAATAGGTAAACATCAGTTTATTTTCTATATAAAATCATCTAAATGTTTGATCTATTGTTTTATTATTTCCTTCCAAATTAGTGTATATAAACCATTGCCAATATATAGCATGCATGTCAAAGGCATTTCTGGATACTTTTAGGTCATCTGAAGCAGCAAGCTCAAGAAAATTAAACTAAGGTAGAAATTATGTTTAAGACATAGTCATATTTCTTCTTGACTTTATCTTATATTTCTGATAAGTACCATTGCCTATCTTTTTTTGCATACATCCACTTTTATGATACCACTAATTTGACTAGTCTTTACTACATATTTTACTTTATGATTTATTTGCATTTTATCATTTAAAAATTTGCTTCTCCTAGTCTTTGCATGCGTTTGTTCACTTTTTCAATGTGGGTTCAGCTCACAGTTGAGAGGAAAAATTCAATGATGATTAATGTGTTGTTTAATAACTTCATTAATGTAATATTTTTGAGCATATACGATTTGGTAGTCACTTAGGTACCACTGGTTTGAAAAAGTTTTCAATAAATTATAAATGAATGATAACTTTCTTATTTTCCTGAACCTAGAATGATTATATTATGAAAACATAGTTTTTAATTAGCAATGAAGCTCTTTCCTGGAATATGTGGGGAAAAATTTTTGAGAATAGAGCACCAATGCTATTTCTTAGTATTTCTTATCAATTCCAAATAACCACCCTCTCTTTGAACAAATTGTTTTTAACGTTAAGGGCACTGGAAAACATAATGAGATCTCTCATCCTTATATACCCAAATGTTGGTTCTCTCAAGTAATGAGACTATCACAAAATATCTGAAACAAACCACAATAACCACCAAATCCCACTCAGCTGAATTTATTGCAAACTAAAGTAAGAGAACATTATATTGACCAGACACAGTCACTTCTAGAAGAACAAACTACTGACTTTTATAGAGATTTGTGAGAATGTATTAAACAGAGATCAGGGATTGGCAAACTTTCATAAGTGTGAGTACATTAATGTCAACTGCAGAAGCATGAGGCTCTTGATTTGTTGACATTGTGAAATGTATTCATTTGGAGCAGGGCCAACTACATAATTTAAAAGGCTCAGTACAAAATTCAAATGTAGGGTCTCTCTTTCAAAAGCTAGAAAAAGAACCCTTTTTCCTTTCTGCCATGATCTCTGTTGATCTTTAAGAGTGTTATTATTTTACTATATGATGTTACACCACAGTGTGGACAGTAAATGTAGATCCTTACAGGAACACTGAGTAGGACTAGAGGAGAAGGCAGCTGAGAACCATCGCAGGGATGCGGAGTGGCAGTGGGTGATGGGACCATTAATGAACCAAAGATCTAAGCCCCTGACTCATACTTTGTTGTCCCATTGGACTTCATTTTTTTGTTGAAAACTGGACATTTTATATACTGTATTGTAACAAGTGGGGATCACATTCTTCCACATCGTGCCCCACCCCCATCAAGGTCTGTATTACACTTTTTGTTTTCATTTGTGTTATTTGTTGCTGGGATATATTTTTTTAATTTTTTACTCATTATTTAGCATAATTCTTGAAACAAATTTGTAGTTTCTGTATTCTTTCCAGTGTGTTACCCCTGAGTTCTCTGTTGGCTTTATTATTATTATTATTATTTTTAATTTTAATCTTGACTTCTTAGGTGTCATGCTTTATTCAGTGTAATTTAATGTGAGCTGATGATTGCTTGGGAGATTTTTTTATTTCATTGTCTTTGTATATTTCACTCTGTGAAAAGATGACCTGAGTGATAAGGCATGCCTTCAAACTTTAGACAGTTTACAAGACAAACTTAGCTTGCACTTTCTTCTGCAAAGCTTCAGGGTCAATCAACGGTGATCCACTGGTGCCGTCTTCTGTCTCAGGTCTTCTCCGGCATGTGCACTGGCTTGCACAAGCATACAATCTTTTAGATTCCTAGGAATAACTGGACACTTTTCAAAGTATCCTATGGTCATCTACTTCCCCAGGATTTCCTTTTAAAGATGTGTGCAGGCTCTCATATGGCCCAACTAAAATCACAACTTTATGTAAGTGAGATATGACCAGTAGTTTGCTATTTTATGGGTAATATCCTAGTGTTAGACTCTCCTCCCTCTTTTGAGAGGAGTTCTAAATCAAATCAAATAGCTACTGTACTCTAAGAATATATATTTTCCAGTGAACTTCAAATGTAGACAAAATGTTGATAGCCCTCTGGGGATGGTGCTTTTAACAGAGGTCTAAGAGTGTTTAGGGATCTTTCTCTCTCAATCTGTTTCTCTCTCTGTCTGTCTTTCTCTTTTGCTGTACTGCTGGCTTTTGTCTACTGTACCACTGAACTGGAAAAGGAAGGGGAATGGG
Source organism: Homo sapiens (assembly GCF_000001405.40). Lineage (NCBI taxonomy): Eukaryota > Metazoa > Chordata > Mammalia > Primates > Hominidae > Homo > Homo sapiens. Next base: position 121,572,593 of record NC_000005.10, on the reverse strand, counting down.
GAAACATCACAGAACCTGCTCTTTTACCAAGGTTCAGTAGTATCTTTCAGATAGATTATTTTCCTACCTTTATGTAGTTGTGTTAATTGTCAGAGTACTAAAATGGTTGATTTTAGTTGATTTGCCCACATTTTAATGGTTTTAGAGGGAGAACAAGTTCACTGAGATCCTCACTCCACCATTTTGGAAGTTTATCTCTCTATGGAGACTTCTTGTAGTAATAGCAGTGACTTTCCGTCAAGAGACACTGCTTTTTAGTATTAACTCTATAGGAAAGGAATCAAGAGAATGAATACCCTGACCTTATTTTATTTGAACTCCTTCCTGTGTTCTCCTTTGGCCAAACTAATCAGAAGTCAGAAACCACAGGCATCTCATTATTCATCCATGCAAACCAGTCTTCAAAGGAATAGAAAAGAGAAGAAAATTGTTAAAAAAAAAAACAGATAATTTGAGAATTATCATCTACAATGACATAATTTCTTTGAATAATATAAAGTATATATTAATTTGAAATACAGTGACATTAATTTTTTCTATTAATGAAGTTAGAAAAGTTAGAAATCAGCAGTAGATTCCAATAAACTAAGTTCACTTTGTTATTGCAAAACAAGATATTAGAAAAAATTAAAACCATAGTTAGCTAGATAAGATATAAAAATGAGTTTTTGTACCAATAAAAGAGCAGTTATAGACTATTTGTTTGAATTTTTGCCTTTAAATTGCCTCTCTGAAGTCTTCCTATATTGGGAGTAATTGAAGATGCTCCTATCCCATTGAACATAATCATAGCAAGAAATTGTAGTCTGCAGTACTCCTGTAGGACCATGTTTTCATTTTTGCATTTAAATTTGAACACTGTGTAATCAAAAATTTATGAGCAGACTGGGGAAAGTTGAGTGAATATTTTGAGTGAAATGATTAAAGAACCTTGAGAAATTATTTATGTGGCAAGATAAAAAGTGTTCAATATGTACACTGTCAAAGGATGAAATGAGGAATAAGATAACTACTTTCAAACACTAATCAGAGGCATACACAAAGAAGAATGACTTAAAATGTGCCAAATAGTATAGTGAAGAATAATGGAAACAAATCAAGAAGATCTTTAAAATGTAAGCTAATCTCAAGAATATTTTTCCCATTGCTACCTTAATTGAACATGACTATTGAACTATACATGGTTACTGAAAGAATCTATCAAGCAAAAGCATGAGTCAAATAATACTTGATTAATTGACAATTTAGAAATCTGGAAAATTACTATATTAGACTAACATTATCTGTTAATGTTGTTCTTCTTAACTCTTATTTGGTAACTCTTATTTGGTGGGGCTTCAGATTAATTTTCTCATTTGGTGAGTTGATGCACTTTGTGTAATTGATATGGTTTGGCTGTGTGTGTCTTCCACAAATCTTATCGTTAATTGTAGCTCCCATAATTCCCACGTGTTGTGGGAGGAACCTGGTGGGAGATAGTTGAATCACGGCGGCAGTTTCCCCCATGCTGTTCTCGTGGTAGTGAATAAGTTTCATGAGATCTGATGGTTTCATAAGGGGAAACCTCTTTCACTTGGCTCTCATTCTCTCGTCTGCCTCCATGTACGATGTGCCCTTTGCCTTCTGCCATGATCGTGAGGCCTGCCCAGCCACATGGAACTGTGAGTCCATTGAATCTTTCTCTTTATAAATTACCCAGGCTTGGGTATGTCTTCATCAGCAGCATGAAACTGGACTAATATAATAATGAAAGCAATAAAAACATAGTTGGAATTCTGTATGCATTTCTGGAGAATTATTTATGGGAAAACATAATGGATTTTGCAAAAAACCCTAAAGTAATAAGTTAAACCATCATACCATATGATGAAAAAGAAAAAATGAAAAGCACTTGAAAATTCAAAGACTAAGAAAAACTGTAAAAGTCTGTAAGTGTATAAAATATTTGTATAACCATCACCTATTTATCAAATACAAGAATGCTGGAAGTAGGCAAAATACTTTGAAGTTCAATAGACTACATACAAATATTTATTAATTCCACAGCACAAATGTTGCACACAATATTTATGGGAAGTATGTGAGATCTTTGGTATGTAACAGTAAATAAGGTACAGTTTTAGTTCTCAAAGAATTTACATCATCGTGAGAGGAAGAAGTAATAAAATGTGCAATGACACATGTAAATGCATAGTTCTATACAAGCACATTGGAAGGGCATCTAACAACATTTATGAAGGTACATGGAGACTAAGAGGCGCAATCATAGAAGATTTAAGGGTGATTTAGGGATTGGGAAAGATTTTTAAGAATAGAGAAAACAGCATTTCCAAAAATCTGAAAATAGAATTACCATTCCATCCAGCAATCTCACTACTGAGTATCTACTGAAAGAAAAATAAATTAATATATCAAAGAGATACTTGCACTCACCTCACACATTTATTATGGCACTATTCACATTAGAAAAGCTATGGAATCAACTTAAGCATCCATCAACAGATTAATGGATAAAGAAAATGTGGTATATACACACGATAGAATACTATTCAGCCATACAAAAGTGGAATCATGTCCTTTGCAGCAACATGGATGGAACTGGAGGCCATTCTTTTAAGTGAAATAAACCAGTCACAAAAAGACAAATATTGCATGTTCTCATTTATATGTGGGAGCTAAAACTTTTGAACACATGGAGGTAGAGAGTGAAAAATAGAAAGTATAGATTGGGAAGGGTGGGGGGAGGATAAAGAGAAATAGGCTAATGCATACAAACATACAGTAATATAGATGGAATTGTATTTGTCCATTCTCATGGTGCTGATAAAGAAATACCTGAGACTGGGCAATTTACAAAAGAAAGAGATGTTTAATGGACTTACAGTTCCATGTGGCTGGGGAGGCCTCACAATCATGGCAAAAGGCAGGGAAACACCCCTTATCGGATCTCCTGAGACTTATTCACTATCACAAGAACAGCACAGGAAAGACCTGCCTCCATGATTCACTTACCTCCCACTGGGTCCCTCCCACAACACGTGTGAATTCAAAATGAGATCTGGGTGGGGACACAGCCATACCATATCAGGAATAAATACAATGTTTGGTAGGATGACTATATTTAAAAATGTCTTGTACGTGGGTGATGGACACACTGAATACCCTGACTTTATTACTGCACATTATATGCATATAACATAATATTTCATGTACCTTGTAAATATGTATGCATTTTTAAAAAATGAAATAAAGCTATAAAAAAGGACATTATGAAAATAGATAACTTATATTTTCAGGTCTCTAAGAAATTCTGATATGAAAATCAATCTCCACCACTCCCCAAAAAGGGAGAAAATCTATTTTAATAAAATTTTGTCTTGTTTCAATATATACATATTTTTAAATTTGAGACAGGGTCTCACTCTGTTATCCAGCCTGGAGTGCAGTGGCACAATCTTGGCTCATTGCAACCTCTGCCTCCCAGGTTCAAGCAATTTTCCTGCCTCAGCCTCCCTAGTATTTGGGACTAAAGCTGTGCACCATCATGCCCGGCTAATTTTTGTATTTTTTTTTTTTTAATAGAGATGGAGTTTCACCATGTTGGCCAGCCTGGCCTCGAAGTCCTGACCTCAGGTGATCTGCCTGCTTCAGCCTCCCAAAGTGTTGGGATTACAGGTGCAAGTGACATACTGGGCCATATTTCAATAATATTTTGTTAGTGATGTTAGGTGGGAAAATGTTATGTGTTATATGGTTAATAACTGCCAATTAGTTCAAATATTGGAGATAACAAGCTTAAGAAATTAGTCATCTGAAACATTCATTTAAATTGGATTTCTAAAAGAAAATCCTGGAAGAATGATTGTAATAGCTAAACTTCTCTCAAACCAGGGTACTTTCAATTTAGAAAGCACATTTTTTACTATATTAAAAAAGATGTATTAAGAGTACTGAGAGGAATTTTAATATTTCCAAAGGCATTAAGTGTCAGCCTTGTGAGTAAATTTCAATACTTCTGAAGCTTGTAGGTGTGCCTTATGACACCACTAATTACATTACATCAGTATAATAGAGTTTAAGTTATAATTTGCCATTTAATCATCTCAGCTGATAAACTGTTAGCAAATTTAAAATTAAACAGTGATTTTGAAGCTTTTTGTTAATTCCTCTGTGTAGCAGGTTATTTATAAATTTACAGTAGCTTACTTCTAGGTAACATATTAATGAGCTCTGAGGCTTTAATGCCTTGAAAATCTGTTATATTACCAAGCTGTCATTTTAGTAAGAAATTTTGGTCTAATAATTACTTGACTTAAAAAGATCATATTCAATTATACTTTTCTACAGCTGCAGTGTAGTTAAAAATTATTCCTTAGGAATCCATTTGCCTTTTTTCACATTTAATTGATTTTTTAAATGTTTAAATTGACAAATACAAATTGTATATATTTATCATGCACATGTGGTTTTAAAATATGTGTACATTATAAAATCGCTAACGAGCTAATTAACATATATATTACCTAACACTGATTTTTTTGTGATGCAAATACTTAAAAACTACCCTTTTTCCAATTTTCAAAAATAAAATTCATTGATATTAACTATAATAATCATTTTGTACCATAGATCTTTTGAATTTACACCTCCCATATAAGTGAAATTTTGTATCTTTTGATTAATGTCTCCCCACATTTACCCCACACCACAGTCCCTGGTAACCGCCACTCTACTCCCTACTAGTATGAATTCAGCTTTTTTAGATTCAACATATAAGTGGGATCACACAGTATTTGTCTTTTTGTCCCTGGCTTGTTTTGTTTAATATAATATCCTTAAGGTTAATTTATGTTGTTACAAATGACAGGATTTCTTTCTTTTTAAGGCTGAATAGTATTCCATCGTGTATATATGCCACATTTTAAAATCCATTATCTGTTGATGAACACTTAGGTTGAATCCATATCAGGGCCAGTGTGACTAATACTGCAATGAGCATGGAAGTGAAGACATTCCTTCTGCATAGTGATTTCATTTTCTTTAGATATATATTCAGAATCAGAATTGTTGGATGATCTGGTACTTCTATTTTTAATTTTTGATGAACTTCTATACTGTTTTCTTTGATGGTTGCACTAATTTATATTCTCACAAATAATGTGCAAAGGTACCCTCTTCTCCACATCCTTATCAACGAGTGTCTTTCACCTTTTTGTTAATATGTGTTCTAACAGGTTTTAGGTGATATCTCATTGTGGTTTTAATTTACTTTTCTGTGATAATTAGTGATGTTGAACATTTTTTCATATACTCATTGGCCATCTGTATGTATATATTTTTGAGAAATGCCTATTTAGATCTTATGTTCATTTTTTTTAATTGTGTCATTTGGTTTCTTACTATTGAATTGTTTAGATTCTTTATATATTTAGAATATTAGTACTTTATCAGATGTATATTTGCAAATACTTTCTCCTACTATGTAGGTTGTCTCTTTACTCTGTTGATTGTTTCCTTAGCAGAGAAGAAGCAGTTTGATTTGATGTAATCCTATTTGTCTAATTTTGCTTTTGTTGCCTGTGCTTTTGGGTTCATATCTCAAAAATCATTGCTGAAACCAGTGTGTAGGAGCTTTTCTCCTATTTTTTCCTACTAGTTTTACAGTTGAAGAATTATATTTAAGTCTTTACTATATTTTGAGTTGATTTTTTTATATGGTGTGAGATGTTGGCCTAATTTCATCCTTCTGCATGTAGATAATCCATGTGTCCATTTATTGAAGAGGGCTTTCTTTCCCAATTGTGTGTTATTAGCAACTTTGTAAAAATGAATTGACCACACATGTGGATTTATTTCTGGCATCTCTATTCTGTTGCATTGGCCTATGTGTCTGTTTTTGTGCCAGTTCCATGATGTTTTGGTTAGTATAGCTTTGTAAAGTAGGTAGTGTGATACCTCCAGCTTGGTTCTTTTTGCTCAAGATTGCTTTGTCTATTCAGTATTTTGTGGTTTCATACACATTCTAGATTTTTTTCTGTTTCTGTGAAGAATGTCATTGAAATTGTGATGGAATTGCATTGAATCTTCAAATTCTTTTGGGAAGTAGGGACATTTTAACAATATTAATTCTTCCTATTTGTAAACATGGGATTTCCTACTATATACTTGAGTTTTCTTCATTTTCTTTCATTATTGTTTTATAATTTGGAGTGTACAAGGCTTTCACCTGCTTGGTTAAATTTATTCCTATGTATTTTTTGGTAGCTGTTATAAATGGAATTGTTTTCTTGATTTATTTTTTGGATAGTTTCGTGTTAGTGTGTAGAAATGCTGCAATGTTTTGTGCTGTTTTTTGTTTATTTTCTATTTTTTTTTATTTTTTGTGTACTGAATTTATCAGTTCTTAGAGATTTTTTTTAGTGTGGCATCTTTAGGGTTTTCTACATAAAAGATTATATTATCTCAAAATAGGAAAAATGTAGTTTTTTTCTTTCCATTTCTAATGTCTCTTGCCTCTCTCTCTTTTGTGTAATTGCTCTAGCTAGGACATTCAGTACTATGTTGAATAGAAGCAGCGAAAGTGAGTATCCTTGTATTCCTGATGTTAGAGGAAAAGCTTTCAAATTTCACCTTAGAATATGATACTAGCTGTATGTTTGTTATATATGCCCTTTTATTGTGTTGAAGTACATTTCTTCTATACCAATTTGTTGAGAGTCTTATTATGAAAGGATGTTGAATTATGTCAAATGCTTTTCCTGCCTTATTGAGATGATTATGTAATTTCTGTACATCATTCTGTTAATGTGCTATATTGCATTTATAGATTTGGCTTTGTTGAACCATTCTTGTATTCCTGGGATAAATCTTACTTGGTGATGGTGAATTGTCAACAATCCTTTTAATGTGGTATTGAATTTTGCTTGCTATGTTTTTGCTGAGGATTTTTATACATGTGTTTATCAAGCATATAGCCTTGTAACTTTTATTATAGTATTCTTGTCTGGCTTTAATATTAGGATAATGATACTTAGTGAAATGAATTTGGAAGTACTTCTTTCTCTTCAATTTTTTGAAACAGTTTGAGTTAGCTTGGTTTAGTTCTTCAAATGTTTGGTAGAATTCATCAGTGAAGCCATCAGGTTCTGGGCTTTTCTTTGATGGGAGATATTTTATTATTGATTCAATCTCCTAACTTGTTACTTGTCTGTTTAGAATTTCTATTTCTTCATGATTCAGTCTTAGTAGGTTGTATGGTCTAGAAATGAATACATTTCCTCTGGTTATACATTTTGAGGAGTGTATAATTCTCCATAGTGCTCTCCTGTAATCCTTTGTACTTCCATGCTGTTAGTTGTAATGTCTCCTCTTATATTTCTAATTTTATTTATTTGAATCTTCTGTATTTTTCTTGGTCCAGCTAAATGTCTGCTGATACTGTGTATACTTTCAAAAAGCCAACTCTTAATTTTATTAATGTTTTCTCTTACTTTTCTAGTCTCTATTTTATGTATTTTCATTTAGATCTTTATTATTTTCTCTCTTCCCGCCCTTTTTTTATTTTGAGATGGAGTTTCACTTTTGTTGCCCATGCTGGAGTGCAGCCTAATGTTGTGGCATCTACTCTGGCATTAGAAAAAGCCTGGATGATCTATTTGTGCATACCAGATTTTAATCTGGGGCTACAAGAGACTTCAATGCTGAGTTTTACTGGGGCAGGCTTAGTTTTGAGGTCCAAGGCAAAATACAGTGCTCATCTCCCTCTCCTCTTGCATCCAGGGTTTTTAATCTATCCTAGAGAATGTTCCATGTATGCTACTATTATTGTTTTGCAATCTCTCTCTCTCTTCAGGTTTATTAATATTTCCTGTATTTATTTAGGTTACTCAATGTTTAGTACAAATATATTTATAATCATTATATTTTCTTGTTGAATTAACTCCTTCATTATAAAATAATAATTGTATTAGTCTGTTCTTGCACTGGTATAAAGATACTACCCAAGACTGGGTAATATATAAAGGAAAGAGGTTTAATTGACTCACAGTTTCATAAAGCTAGGGAGGCCTCAGGAAACTTACAATCATGGCTGAAGGAAAAGGGGAAGCAGGCACCTTCTTCACAAGGTGGCAGGAAAGACAGAAAGCAATAGTTCAGGAAAAACTACCGTTTATAAAACCATCAGATCTGATGAGCATTCACTCACTATCAGGAGAACAGAGTAGGGGAAACTGCCCCCGTGATTCAATAACTTACTTCCCTTGACACATGTGGATTATAATTTGAGATGAGATTTGGGTAGGGACACAGAGTCAAACCATGTCAATGATCTATTTTATTCTGCTTACAGTTTTTGACATAAAGTCTATTTTATCTGATACAAGTATAGCTACTCTTCCTTCCTTTTGTTGTCCAATTGTATGAAATAATCTTTTAGTACTTCCTCACTTTCAGGGTATATGCATCTTTATGGGTGAAGTGAGTCTTTTGTAGTTGATTCTTTTTTTAATCTATTGAGTCACTCTATGTCTTTTGATTGATGTATTTAATCCATTTATAGTTAAGGTAAATATTGTTAAGTAAGAACTTACTACTACCATTTTGTTGCTTTATTTGTAAATCCTTTATTCCTTGCTGTCTTTTTTTGTAATTAAGTGATTTTTTCTGGTAATATACTTTTATTTCTTGCTGTTTATCTTTTTGTCTCTACCATTGGCTTTTGCTTTGTGGTCAACATAAGGCTTACAAAAAAATCTTACAGCCTACCTTAAACAAATTAACAAATTTGCCTACAAAATAGTTTTACTCCTTCCAAAAACTTTACATTTTTAATGTCACAATTTACATATTTTTATATGGTATTTCCCTGAACGGATTTTTTGCTATTATTTTTTATAGTTTTATCTTCTAACCTTCATACTTAAGATATAAGTGATATATGCATCACTATTACAGTTTCAGAGTATTCTGAATTTGATGATATATTTACTTATAACAGTGAACTTTATACTTTCGTATTATTTTGTGTTACTAATTAGAATTCTTTGATTTCAGTTTGTAGCATTTTCTTTAGCATTTCTTGTAAGATATGTTTAATGGTGATGAACATTCTTAACGTTCGTTCATCTGGGAAAGTTTATCTTTCCTTCATTTATGAAGAACAGATTTATTGAGTTTAGTTTTCTTGGTTGGAAGTTTTTTTTTGTTTTTTTTCTTCAGCATTTTGAATATATCATCCCATTCTTTCCTGGCTGTGATGTGTCTGCTGAGATATAAGGTGTTCGCCTTATTAGAACTCCCTTATATATCATTTTTCTTCTTTTCTATTGCAGCTTTCATGATTTTCTCATTGTTTTTTGACTTTTGATATTTTGATTATAATATGCCTTGCTGTATTCTTATTTGCATTGAATCTAATTGGAGACCTTTTACTATTCTGTACTTGATTATTTATCTTTCCCACAATATTTAAATTATTCATTTAAATAATCTTTCCTCCCCTTTGATCTTCTATTTTCTGTCATTAACTCTTATAACTCAAAAAATTTGCCCTATAGTTCTGTCCCATAAGCTTTCTTCATTCCTTTGCATTCTTTCATTTTTTCTCTAACTGTATATTTTAAAATAACCTAGTTTTGAGTTCAGAGAGTTTTTCTTCTGCTTGATAATTCTGCTCTTGATAATCTCTATTGCATTTTTTACTTGAATCATCATATTTTTTTCATCTCCATGGTTTCATTTTGTTTTAATTACCATCTTTGGTTTTTTATTTTTTCATTTACTATTTTTCTAATATTATTGAATCCTTTCTTTTTATTTTCTTGAAGTTTGTTATCTTCTTTAAAACAATTATTTTGAATTTTTTTTGTCAGCCTATTTATATATCTTCATTTTTGGGGGGTGGGGTGTGGCTGCCTATTGGGAGATTATTGTAGTGTTTTGGTGTTTGCTCTGGTTTGAATATTTGTCCCCTCCAAAACTCATGTTAAAATTTGGTCACTGTCGTGGTGGTGTTAGAAACTGAGAATTTAGGAGGTAAAAAGGCCATTAGGGCTCTGCTCTTATTGGTGGGATCAGTGTTGTTATAAAGGACAAATTTGGCTTTTTTTTTTTTTTTTCATCTTTACTCTTCTGTCCTCCACCATGTGAAGACAAAGAATTCCACCCTGAGGGAAAATGTGATATTCAAGGTACCATCTCGAAATCAGAATCACTGAAGCTGCCAACATCTTAATGTTGAACTTCTAAGCCTCCAGAACTTTGAACCAATAAATTCCTGTTCATTCTAAACTACTCAGTCAGTTATTCTGTTATAGTAGCACTAATGGACTAAGACTATTATGTCTCCTAGGATTTTTATGTTTCTTGTTGCCTTACATTGATGTCTGCCGCTTTGAAAAAGTAGGGACTTATTCCAGTCTTTGCAGCCTGGCTTTGCCTCGGAAAGTCCAGGATCAGTCAGCCCATATAAAAATTCTCAGTATGCCATCTAGTGTAGTTTGAGGGAGTTATAGTTTGCTGGATTCCTTGGGCGGGTTGGCCTGGCACCTGGGTTTGCAGGGCTGAGCCCGAAGCCTGGATCCTCTGGGGTGAACCTATTCATTAGGTCTGAAGGAATGGGCCTTTAGCCTGTATCTATTAGGGTAAGCTTGGAGCCTGTCTTGTAGGTGCTGTCATAAATCCTGGGTTCACAGGGGTTGACTTGGCAGTGGGGTGGCCTTGAGCCTAAGTCTACATGGGCTGGTCAGATGTTGGGTGGCTCAGATAGAGCCTGGGTTCAAAGGGATAGGCCTGGTGCCTAAGTCCATGGGGGTAGGCCTGGTACCTAAGACCACTGGGAAAGGCCTGGATCCTGAGTCCTTAGGATTCCATTGTGCACACTAGATCCTGAGGGTATGAAATTATGCCTGGCACCAAGGTGGGCTTGAAGGCTCAGTATTTGGACACTAGTCTGGAGCTTGGGGCTGCACACCCTGGAGTCTGTATCCACAGGGCCCAAACTGTTGGCTAAGTCCTCAGGTGTCAGCCTGAGGACTAGGACTACAGGGTGTGGAGGTCTGTGCTGGGTCTTGTCTGGAACCTGAAGCCACCGGGGTCAGTCTGGCTGTTGGGTGGCCTAGAGATTAAGTCTGCCACGACTTGTGGGCCTAGAACCTGGGGTTGTAGAATCAAGTCTGGCAATGGAGTGAGCATGGAGGCTCAGTTGTAAGTACCAGTGTGGAGTCTGGGTCCATGGGGTCCATTAAATCCTGTGTAAGACTGGATTTAACTGGGGTGGACTTTCTCTGGGGTCCAAGGCAAAGTACAGTGCTCACTTCCTTCTCCTTCTCCTAAGCAAAGATATCTCTCTCCAGGTTGTGCTGCCTGGGGTTGAGCAAAGGGAAAAGAAGGTAATATAAAACTATCTTTCCTATGCTCATTAATGCATTTTTTTTCTTCTTTTTGTGCTATACCCAGGTTCTTGAATCTCTCACTGGGTTTCTTTAGCTCTGTGAAGGTGTTTTGTATATAAATAGTTGTTGAAATTGATGTTTCGATGGTGGGATGAGCACTTGAAACTCTTCATCTTTGTTATTTTTGAAAAGAAAATTAAAATTTTTAAATTAGCAAGAATAAGCAAATTGTGTTTCATATAAAATTAAAATGGTGCATGAAGAATGTTTGCTGTTAATGTTTTCTTTATCATTTAATATAATGAATAATCAAATTAGTTATTAAATGGATTGTTAGGTTATTTTAACTAAATGTATCTAGTAACAAGGAGATTAGACATAGGAGCATAATATATTCCCAATGTTGAGCTTCTAGCAACTTACACTGAAAAGGTTCAAATCTCTAACGGCACATGGCATTCTAATGAAACTCATGATAATATGGAGCTCCTGCAAAGAGGAAAAGGATTAAATCTTCTATGCAACACTTAAAGCCGATAATTTGTTTGGCATGTTACTTCAACATTTATCTGATATAGTAAAATATCTGGTTATAGTTTTTTCTCTATAATATCACCCTCAATTTATTCTGAGTATAACATATTGTATTTACATTTAAATATGGATTTATCTTTTTTATTTAAAAATTTTATTTTGAAATAATTGTATATTCATCTGCAGTTTTAAGAAATAATAGAGACAAATTGTATTTCCTTTACCCAATTTTTTCCTAATGGCAATATATTGCAAAAACTATAGTCTGACATCACAACCAGACTATTGTCATTAATATAGTTAGCATGTAGAATGTTTTCGCTAGCATAAAGACTTCTTCTATTGCCCTTTTATAGATGCATCCATCTCACTTCTGTTCCACGCGTTTCTTTCATCACTCAGAATAATTCTCTGGAGATTCACTCACGTTGTTTCGTGTATCAACAGATCATTCTATGAAATTATTGAATAGCATTCCATTTTGTAGTTATACCATAGTTTCTTTAGCAGTTCAGCTGTTGAAAAACATCTAGTTGTTTCCAGTTTTTGGCTATTACAAATAAAACTGCTATAAACATTTGTGTATAGGTTTTTGTGAACATAATTTTTTAATTTGTTTTCTGGAATAAATGCTTAGCAGTGCAATTTGTGGTAGGAAGGAAGGAAGAAAAAAAGAAGAGAGAGAGAGAGAGAAAGAAGAAAGAAAGACTGATTAGTGGACTGATTCCTTCCACTTTGTTATCTCTCAAAATTGTTTTTGCTCTTCCAGTTCTTTGCCTTTTCATTTAATTTTAGAATAATCTTGTCTATATCTCCAATAGTCTCAAGATTCTAATAACAGTTGCATTAAATCTATATGTAAATTTGAAGAAAACTTACATCTTTACTATGTTGAGTTTTACAATCCATGAGCATGTTATGTTTCTTCATTTATTGAGATACTCAAAATTTTTTATCACAATCATACAGTTTTCAGTATAAAAATCCTGTCTATTATATTAGATTTACCTATGTATTACATTATTTTGAGCTACTATAAAATTATATCACTTGGTATTGTTTATTGCTAGGACATTGATGAAATTATAGATTTATGGGGTTTTTTTATTTTGGTTAATTTACTTATTCTAGGCTGTTTTTTTTTCTTATGATAGATTTTATGGGACTTTCTAAGTATACATTCATATCACTTGCACAAAAGGACTGTTTTATATCTTCATTTTTCATCCCTATACCATATATTTCTATTGCATTGGCTACAATTTTCTTCAGTGTGGTGAATACAGTTGGTGAGGGTGAATATCTTTGCCTTGTTCCTGATCTTAAGGGGAAAGCATGCAGTTCTTCAACAGTATGTACTATGTTAGCTGTAGGGTTTTTTGGTAGATGCTCTTTATCAACTTGAGGAAGATCTCTGTTCCTATTTTGGTGGAGTTTTTATCATAAATGAGTGATGGCTTTTTTCAAAGACTTCTGCATTGACTGGTATGATCATGGGACTTTTTCCCTTCCCTTATTAATATAACGAATTACTTTGTTTGATTTTTGAACACTGAACCAGATTTGCATCCCCAGAATGAAACTTATTTGGTCATAATGTGTAATTATTTTTATATAATGCTCAATCTGTTTGCTAATATTTTGTTAAAGGTTTTTGAATCTACACGGGAAATATTAGTTTGTACTTTTCTTTCTTTTATAGGCTGTATTTTTCTACTTGGCTATCAGTTTATACATACCTTCAAACAACATACTGGGAAGATTCTCTCCTCTTTTTTATTGTAGAAGAGATTGTACAGTTTCTGGTCTCAGTGTTTCTTTAAATATTTGGTAGAATTTCCCAGTTACTTTGGTTCTGTTTATATGCTGGATTATGTTTATTGATTTGCGTATGTTGAACCAGGCTTGCATCCCAGGGATGAAGCCCACTTGATCATGGTGGATAAGCTTTTTGATGTGCTGCTGGATTCGGTTTGCCAGTATTTTATTGAGGTTTTTGCATCGATGTTCATCAGGGATATTGGTCTAAAATGATATTTTTTTGTTGTGTCTCTGCCAGGCTTTGGTATCAGGATGATGCTGGCCTCATAAAATGAGTTAGGGAGGACTCCCTCTTTTTCTACTGATTGGAATAGTTTCAGAAGGAATGGTACCAGCTCCTCTTTGTACCTCTGGTAGAATTCGGCTGTGAATCCATCTGGTCCTGGACTTTTTTTGGTTGGTAAGCTGTTAATTATTGCCTCAATTTCAGAGCCTGTTATTGGTCTATTCAGAGATTCAACTTCTTCCTGGTTTAGTCTTGGGAGGGTGTATGTGTCGAGGAATTTATCCATTTCTTCTAGATTTTCTAGTTTATTTGCATAGAGGTGTTTATAGTATTCTCTGATGGTAGTTTGTATTTCTGTGGGATCGGTGGTGATATCCCCTTTATCATTTTTTATTGCGTCTATTTGATTCTTCTCTCTTTTCTTCTTTATTAGCCTTGGTAGGGGTCTATCAATTTTGTTGATCCTTTCAAAAAAACAGCTCCTGGATTCATTGATTTTTTGAAGGGTTTTTTTGTGTCTCTATCTCCTTCAGTTCTGCTCTGATCTTACTTATTTCTTGCCTTCTTCTAGCTTTTGAATGTATTTGCTCTTGCTTCTCTAGTTCTTTTAATTGTGATGTTAGGGTGTCAATTTTAGATCTTTCCTGCTTTCTCTTGTGGGCATTTAGTGCTATAAATTTCCCTCTACACACTGCTTTGAATGTGTCCCAGAGATTCTGTTATGTTGTGTCTTTGTTCTTGTTGGTTTCAAAGAACATCTTTATTTCTGCCTTCATTTTGTTATGTACCCAGTAGTCACTCAGGAGCAGGTTGTTCAGTTTCCATGTAGCTGAGCAGTTTTGAGTGAGTATCTTAATCCTGAGTTCTAATTTGATTGCACTGTGGTCCGAGAGACAGTTTGTTATAATTATTGTTGTTTTACATTTGCTGAGGAGTGCTTTACTTCCACAATTTACATGTGGTCAATTTTGGAATAAGTACCATGTGGTGCTGAGAAGAATGTATATTCTGTTGATTTGGGGTGGAGAGTTCTGTAGATGTCTATTAGGTCTGCTTGGTACAGAGCTGAGTACAATTCCTGGATATCCTTGTTAACTTTCTGTCTCATTGATCTGTCTAATGTTGACAGTGGGGTGTTAAAGTCTCCCATTATTATTGTGTGGGAGTCTAAGTCTCTTTGTAGGTCTCTAAGGACTTGCTTTATGAATCTGGGTGCTCCTGTGTTGGGTGCATATATATTTAGGATAGTTATCTCTTCTTGTTGAACTGTACCCTTTACCAGTATGTAATGACCTTCCTTGTCTCTTCTGATCTTTGTTGGTTTAAAGTCTGTTTTAACAGAAACTAGGATTGCAACCCCTGCCTTTTTTTATTTTCCCTTTGCTTGGTAGATCTTCCTCCATCCCTTTATTTTGAGCCTATGTATGTCTCTGCACGTGAGATGGGTTTCCTGAACACAGCACACTGATGGGTCTTGACTCTTTATCCAATTTTCCAGTCTGTGTCTTTTAATTGGAGCATTTAGCCCATTTACATTTAAGGTTAATATTGTTATGCGTGAATTTGATCCTGTCATTATGACGTTAGCTGTAATCCAGCATATAAACAGAACCAAAGACAAAAACCACATGATTATCTCAATAGATGCAGAAAAGGCCTTTGATAAAATTCAACAGCCCTTCATGCTAAAAACTCTCAATAAACTAGGTATTGATGGAACGTATCTCAAAATAATTAGAGCTATTTATGACAAACCCACAGCCAATATCATACTGAATGGGCAAAAACTGGAAGCATTCCCTTTGACAACTGGCACAAGACAGGGATGCCCTCTCTCACCACTCCTATTCAACGTAGTGTTGGAAGTTCTGGCCAGGGCAATCAGGCAGGAGAAAGAAATAAAGGGTATTCCATTAGGAAAAGAGGAAGTCAAATTGTCCCTGTTTGCAGATGACATGATTGTATATCTAGAAAACCCCATTGTCTCAGCCCCAAATCTCCTTAAGCTGATAAGCAACTTCAGCAGTCTTAGGATACAAAATCAATGTGCAAAAATCACAAGCATTCTTATACACCAATAACAGACAAACAGAGAGTCAAATCATGAGTGAACTCCCATTCATAATTGCTTCAAAGAGAATAAAATACCTAGGAATCTAACTTACAAGGGATGTGAAGGACCTCTTCAGGGATAACTACAAACCACTGCTCAACAAAATGAAAGAGGACACAAACAAATGGAAGAACATTCCATGCTCATGGATAGGAAGAATCAATATGAAAATGGCCATACTGCCCAAGGTAATTTGTAGATTCAATGCCATCCCCATCAAGCTACCAATGACTTTCTTCACAGAATTGGAAAAAATACTTTAAAGTTCATACGGAACCAAAAAGGAGCCCGCACTGCCAAGTCAATCCTAACCCAAAAGAACACAGCTAGAGGCATCATGCTACCTGACTTCAAACTATACTACAAGGCTACAGTAACCAAAACAGCATGGCACTGGTACCAAAACAGAGATATAGACCAATGGAGCAGAACAGAGCCCTCAGAAATAATTCCACACATCTACAACCATCTGATCTTTGACAAACCTGACAAAAACAAGAAATTGGGAAAGGATTCCCTATTTAATAAATGGTTTTGGGAAAACTGGCTAGCCATATGTGGAAAGCTGAAACTGGACCCCTTCCTTACACCTTATACAAAAATTAATTCAAGATGGATTAAAGACTTAAATGTTAGACCTAAAACCATAAAAACCCTAGAAGAAAACCTAGGCAATACCATTCAGGACATAGGCATGGGCAAGGACTTCATGTCTAAAACACCAAAAGCAATGGCAAGAAAAGCCAAAATCAACAAATGGGATCTAATTAAACTAAAGAGCTTCTGCACAGCAAAAGAAACAACCATCAGAGTGAACAGGCAACCTACAGAATGGGAGAAAATTTTTGCAATCTATTCATCTGACAAAGGGCTAATATCCAGAATCTACAAAGAACTCAAACAAATTTAGAAGAAAAAAACAACCCCATCAACAAGTGGGCAAAGGATATGAACACACACTTCTCAAAAGAAGACATTTATGCAGCCAACAGATACATGAAAAAATGCTCATCATCACTGGCCATCAGAGAAATGCAAATCAAAACCACAATGAGATACCATCTCACACAAGTTAGAATGGCAATCATTAAAAAGTCAGGAAACAACAGGTGCTGGAGAGGATGTGGAGAAGTGGGAACATTTTTACACTGTTGGTGGGACTGTGAACTAGTTCAACCATTGTGGAAGACAGTGTGGTGATTCCTCAGGGATCTAGAACTAGAAATACCGTTTGACCCCAGCCATCCCATTACTGGGTATATACCCAAAGGATTATAAATCATGCTGCTATAAAGACACATGCACACGTATGTTTATTGTGGCACTATTCACAATAGCAAAGACTTGGAACCAACCCAAATGTCCAACAATGATAGACTGGATTAAGAAAATGTGGCACATATACACCATGGAATACTATGCAGCCATAAAAAATGATGAGTTCATGTCGTTTGTAGGGACATGGATGAAGCTGGAAACCATTATTCTCAGCAAACTATCGCAAGGACAGAAAACCAAACACCGCATGTTCTCACTCATAGGTGGGAATTGAATAATGAGAACACATGGACACAGGAAGGGGAACATCACACACCGGGGACTGTTGTGGGGTTGGGGGAGGGGTGAGGGATAGCATTAGGAGATATACCTAATGTAAATGACGAGTTACTGGGTGTAGCTCACCAACATGGCACATGTATACATATGTAACAAACCTGCATGTTGTGCACATGTACCCTAGAACTTAAAGTTTAATAATAATAATAATAAAAGAATTTCCCAGTAACATAATTTTAGCCAGAAAATGTATTTCTGTAAGTTTTAATCATAAAATCAATTTTCTTAATAGAGATACTAATTTTATCTATTTCATATTGGATGTCTTGTAGTTTGTATTTTTTGAGGAATTTGTTCATTGTTTCTAAGCTGCCAAATTTATGCGTGCAGAGTTGTTCATAGTAGTCCCTTATTCTTTTGATGCCTGTAGGGTCTGTATTGGCAGCCTATAATTCCAGGTATTTGTAGTTTGCATCTTTTCTCTTTTTTTGTCAGTCTTACTAGAGTTTGTAAATTGTATTGATCTTTAAAAAAACATGATATTTGTTTCATTAGGTTTTCTCTAAAAACGAGTTTTGCTGGTTTTAATGTCATTCATTTCCGCTATTATTTTTTATTATTTCCTTGCTTCTGTTTTCTTTTTATATAACAAGGAAAAAACAGGTTAATAACATGCATACCTCATCTATGTTGGAAGAAATACAGAGAAAATTACGTTAATCTCTAAGACTCAGCTTTGAGTTCAGGCTTAAATACCATCTTCAACTGAAACAAAAAGAAGGTAGACAAAGTCCAGTAATGGGGAGTTTGCCAAGAACTGAAGGTAAACAAGAGTAAGGTTTGTTGTCAGATTTAAGTTGGTATATTTTCCCTGATCAAAGTTTCTAATGATTTAGAGTAACCTATTTTTCTGGGTACAAAAAGTGGGAGATACCCTTACAAATCCAAGTCTATCTTTTATAAATATGAATTTCTCTTTTAAAAACTAAATTTCTACTCTTGTTTTTAGAGCTCTTCCTCTGTCTGAAATTTTTCAAAATAATTAGCTCAAATAATATTTATGCCAAGAGACATATTTGGCAGTAACATATTCTTGTTTTCTACAGTCATATTTTGGAGCAGTATGTCCTAAGCCCCATTATTCACTCATCTGAAACTTTCCAAATAAGTTTCATAGTCCTAAGGTTGAGTTGGTAGAATATCCCATAACTCATTAAACTAGGTTCTTGGGATGAGAGCTTGGAGTATTAATTTGAGAGTTTTTTCTCCTTTCTAATGTATGCATTTAGTGCTATAAATTTCCTTTTCAGTCCTGCTTTAGCTATGTTTTACAAATTTGGATATGGCTTAATTTTATTAATTCAGTTCAATGTAATTATTAAAATTTCCCTTGAGGCTTTCTCTTTGAACCGTGGAATACTTAGAAGTACATGGTTTAGTTCCTTTCTTTCCCTTTCCCTCCCTCCCTCCCTGCTTCCCTCCCTCCCTTCCTTCCTTCCTTCATTCTTTTCTTTCTTTTCTTTCTTTCTCTTTTCTCAGAATCTCGCTCTGTTGCCAGTCTGGAGTACAGCGGCGTGATCTCGGCTCACTGCAACCTCTGCCTCCTGGGTTCAAGGAATTCTCCTCCCTAGGCCTCCTGAGTAGCTGGGATTACAGGTGCTCATGCCCAGCTAATTTTTGTATTTTTAGTAGAGACAAGGTTTCACCACATTAGACAGGATGGTCTTGATCTCTTGACCTCTTGATCCCCCTGCCTCAGCCTCCGAAGGTGCTGGGATTACAGGCGTGAGCCACCTCACCCGGCCACATGGTTTAGTTTCTATGTGTTGGGAGACGTCTGTTGTCTTTCTGCTATTTATTTTCATTGTAGTTAGAGGATAAATTCTATGATTTCAAGTCTTTTAAATTTGTTTTAGGTTTGTTTTATGACTCAGGATATGGTCTATCTTAGTATACAATACAGGAAACTTGAAAAAAATTCATATTGTGCTATTGTTGGATATTGTTGATTTCTCCTATGTTCTGCTGATTTTCTTTTTAAATATAAAAATTTTTGGCAGAGGGATATTTAAGTCTGTATTTGTGTATTTTCCCTCTCAGTTATCTCAGTGTTCTGTTCACCTGTTTTGTAGCTCTGTTGTTTGGTATACACACAGGATAGCTATGTTTTCTTGTTGAATAACCTTCAAAAATTACATAATGCCCCATTCTGTATCTAATAACTTTTTTCTTTCTTCATTATCTGATATTAATATAGCAACTTCTAATATTATTGGATTATGTATAATACATCTTTTTGCATCCTTTTACTTTAAGTGTGTCTACATTGTTATATTTGATGAGAATTTTTTATAGACATCATATAGTGGGTTATGTTATATAGTTTTCTCTGCTAATTGCTGTCTGTTAATTTGTGTCTTTAGACCATTTACATATACTCTAGTTATTGATATATTCATGATTAAGTCCACCTTTTTGTTTTCTTTTGTTTCCCGTTTATTATGTTTTTTACTTCTCTGTTTTATTTTTTCTGTCATTCCTTGGGTTACTTAAACACTTTTTACAATTTCTTTTTGATGTATCTATAGGTCTCTTGATTGTATCACTTTGTATATTTTTATTAATGGTTGTTATAAGTATTTGTTATGTATATATAGCTTATCATTGTCTCCTGGGGATGTCATTTTATCGGTTTGAGTGAAGTGAAGAAAACTTACTTCCTTTTATGTCCCTTTAATATCCCCCATTTATAATTATCTTAAATATTTGTCTGGGTACATTTAGTACCACATTAATCAGCATTATTATTGTTGCTTCAACCATAAAACACAACTTGAAAAACTCAAAAGGAAGAGAAAAGCCTACTCTGTATACCCATATTTTTTGCTGGCCATGTTCTTTATCCCTGATGTTCGAAGCTTTCTTGTTTCATTCTTTTTCTTTTTATATAAATTGCTTTAGTTATTCCCTCAGGGTAGATCTGATGGCAATAAATTTTAATTTTTCTTCGTCTGAGAATGTCCTAATCACCCCCTTTTCCCTGAAATATATCAGGTATAAGATTCTGAGATGATTGTTGTTTATCTAGCGTTTGAAAAAATATTGTGCCACTACCCTTGGGCCTTCATGGTTTTTTATGAGAAATCTTATTTTACTTTAATTGTTTTTTTCCCTAAAGGTAAAGTGCACTCAAGATTTTTCTTTATCTTTACATTTCATAAGTTTAGTTATGTTATATCTTCTTATGGATTTCTTTGGAATTATCATGTTTAAGATTTGCCCAAATAATTGAATTTTGTGTTTGTGTCTCTTGACAAATCTGAGACATTTTGGTTATTACATCTTCATATACTTTTTTTAGCCTTGCCCTTTTCTCTTTTCCTTTCAGTATATGGATGACATAAATATAGGTTTTTGTTTTCATCCCATAAATTGCTGAAGCTCAAATCTTTTTTTCTAGTTTATTTTCTCTTTGTTGCTCATATTTGGTAATTTCTCTTGTTCTGTCTTCAAGTTCACTGATTCTTTTCTCTGTCTTCTCCATTTTAATGTTGTTTGCCTTCATTGAGACTATTATTTCAATTATTTTATTTTCCACTTTTAAATTTTTCTTCTGTTACTTAATTATATCTTCTATTTATTTGCAGACAATTTGTTTCTTTGTGGAGACTATTTTTTTTCATCTGTGTCAAGTGTGTTCATTATTGCTGAAGTATTTTATCTGATGGTTGCTTTGACATATTTGTCAGATAATTCTAACATCTCTGTCATTTGGTATTGTCATTTATTATCTTTATCATCCAGTTTGACATCTTCCTGGTTCTTGGTGTGACAAATAATTTTCTATTGAAATGTGGATATTTTTATTTTTATGATATAGGACTCTGGATCTTATTTAAGCCTTCTCTATTAGTTGGCTTCCTATGATATGAGTCTGGCAGGGGATCTGGAGGGACTAACTCATTACTGGTAAGTGGGTTAGAAATCCAGGTTCCTCACTTGATCTCCACTGACATTTAATGGGGAAAACTCCTAGTTACTGCTGGGTGACTGTGAAAGTTTCAGCTACCCACTGGGCCTCCATTCATACCTCTCTGCTGAGAAGCATAGAAATATGCCATTATTGCTCCCCATGTGGCCTCTGTTGAGACCCACTGAGAAAGTGTGGTGGCCTTATTCACACTAGGTGGTTAAAAAAGTCTGGTTCTCCATTAGTTTTCCTCTTATACCATGCTAGGGGATTGGGGAGAGGGAGGATGCCTCATTACTGCTTGGTCCTTGTAGTGCCGGCTTCCCTTGTGGTCTCCACTGATTCCTTGGGCAGAAGGGGGGTGTAATTACTCCATGGCAGGAAAGAAAAGCTCACCTCCCTACTAACCCTTCACTGACACCACCCCAGTGGCAGTTGAGGTACCATATTACAATCTGACAAGGATGGAAATCTAGGCTCCCTGCTCAGTATTTGATGGCAGAGATGCATAGCAGCCACTTTTTTTTTTTTTTCCTATGTTGTTCTGTGGAATAGAGTGGTTATTATTTAAAATTTTCAATATTACCATATTTCTGTTTTTCTTGACTCCTGCTAAGGAGGGCAGTCTTTTCTTCTGGCTTTTTATTTGTCTATGCCTATAGGTATTTCTGGGTTGATGACTTATTCAGTTCCAAATGTGGCATGTATGAGGCAAAAAGAACACTCAGTGAACTCACATCAGTGATGTTTCTTAGAACCTGAAGTCCCTAGCCAATCTGTTATTTTCTCTTTACCTTTTAGAATTTTTGTTTGTTTTATACATAATTTATGAGAAGGAATAGAGAAAAGTACATCTCCATCTCCCTAGAAACAGAAATAGTGAACAATATTTTGAAAGTATTAAATATGTATATTTTATATGTGTGTGTGTTTTTTCCCATAAATGACATTTTTCTGAAAATTTCCTGCCTTTAAGTCTTACAGCCATTATAAGGCTTATTGTCAGAAGTAAATAAAAGGAGTTTAGTCCCATAAGAGCAAATCCATTGACAAGCTTTGGTTGATTTATTGTGCCAATTATAGAAAACAAAATCAACATCTAGTCATTGTTTTGTACACATAAAAGTTGTTGATTTCTTTTCTAAATTAGTATAACTCCCTTTCCATATTAGAACATGATAGGTGTTTTGAAGTCTTGGGTATTAATGCCTAATTATAAATTATTGGTAGAAAGAACTGAGGAAGGTATTTCTTATAAGATTTCATAAGAAGGTCTTAACAGCAAGAGGAAGTAGAAGATCCTTTGGAGGGCTGGGATAGAAGTGAGATAAGTGGTGTTTTGGAAGTGTTCTTGTTTCTCTCTAACTCAACTCAAAATGGAAGGAAAATCCCAAACAGTGGGGACTTGTGCCTTATTTTCTTCTTCAGGACTCTGATTAAAGGCAGTTTACAAAAAGTCTCATACCAATAGCAGTAGCTGCAAAGTAAATATAGAGAGAGCTAGAAGTAGCTCCACTGTATTATACTAAAGGTTTAGAAATTTCTTTCACCTCCCAGTTGGAAGGGCAACTAAGAGTTGGCAGTCAGTGATCCTGGAATGGAATAGCAGCAACAAGGGGAAAAAGATAAAGTAATGCTCTTGCAGAAGTCAAGTTTTCACACCTAATCCAGGGGCAAGGCAGAGGATGTGGATGAGACTCAAAGAACCTGCACAGTGAGCTAGCATTGAGTTAGAGCTGAATTAGTGGAGGAAAGAAGGTGCATTTGACCCCTGCTATGATGAGAGATTACATTCTAGGTTCTGCCATTACTTGAGGAGTAAAATCTAAGATGACAATCAGTCTGTGTGGAAAAATTTCCTCTCAGGCCAGTGAAAAATCAGACGAATAGCAAAGGGATTACTCAGTTTGGGCACATTTTCCCACGTTGTTTCTTTATATCCCAACTCCAACTTGAAGAAGAAAAATTGCAAAGGCAAACATTTGTGACAAGAAAGTCAATTCTTAGGTATGTAGACTTTACCTTAAAATTTAATAAATCTTTATCTGAACAGGGCTTAGAGAAACCCAATTTAAGATAATACTAATATAACTTTAAATGGCAAGTTATTTTTTATTTTTGTTATTTTATTTTTATTTTATTTTATTTTATTTGTTTTGTTTTGTTTTCTTGAGATGGAGGTTTGCTCTGTCGCCCAGGCTGGAGTGCAGTGGTGTGATCTTGGCTCACCGTAATCTCTGCTTCCCAGGTTCAAGTGATTCTCCTGCCTCAGCCTCCCGAGTAGCTGGGATTACATGCATGCACCACTTCGGTTGGCTAATTTTTACATTTTTAGTAGAGACGGGGTTTCACCATGTTGGCCAGGCTGGTTTCAAACTCCTGACCTCAGGTGATCCACCGCCTCGGCCTCCCAAAGTGCTGGGATTACAGGAATGAGACATTGTGCCTGGCGGGCAAGTTATTTTTTAATCTTATGGATTAGGAACTCCAGATGGAATCATTACAAAAATAACAATAACACCAACAAAGAAAAAACATAGCAATAGTTGCACAACATTGTTGTACATTTTTGCACATGATTTTCCCCACCCTCAAATCTAATTGAAATGCTTGCAAGGTACATTCAGTTAACATAAATGCTTTATCTGGACTAGATGTAGAAAAAAATGTGCTAAGCTACTTTTACTGAGTCTAAATATACAATTGCTTACTTATAGTGCCTTGTAAAATTCTGCATAGATACTTAAACAGCCTAACAAAATATCCAGTGCAACACTCCATCTGTTGGGTAGATAGCTCTCTTCTCCTTAAGGTGGATTGAGCCATCTTTGAACCAATTATAATTTTCAAAAAATCATTTATGATATTGAGCCTAAAATTATCCTATAACTTGTATAAACAGTCTATTATTTCTAGGCCCAACTAGGAGTAAAGCTACTCTTTCTTTCAAACTTCCTTCATGTAATTGAAAATGACTGTGTTATACTCCTAGTAATTCATAGTAAAGCCTGTTTTGACTTTCCTTACTACTGTCATTATTGTACCCTCAGTGAGTTCCATTTTTGTATTTTGCACTTGAATTGTGGTAGTCAGGATTAAATGCATTCTTCCTAGTAGAATATAACCAGCTCCACATGTTATGGATATGACTGTTTGTAAACAATACCAAATCTTTCAACTTGCAAATCCCAATGGATAGACTTTTCTTTGAAAGAAAATATATCTTAAAAGGTTCATTGGCATTACAACAAGGAGAAATCAGAACTTGCAATTTGTCACACCCGCCATAATAGAGCTCAAATTGGGGACAACTCTGCAACAGGAAGAAGAAAATGAACACATAAGCCTTGTCCCTGAGAGGGACTAAAAGATTGGTGTCAATTACTGCACACTTCAGAAAGGAATTCTGTTAGCAGGAGTATACAGTCACTAAGTTAGGCAATGAGAGTTAACACTAGATACCAGATTGAGCTTGGGTCTTCATGGGGTTTGAAATTTACTAGTCAGGGCCAGGTTATCATAAAAAAGGGTTCTAGATAACTAGAAGTGACTTGTAAACCAGTATTATAGGTGTCATTGTTCCCATTGAAATATGGAGTCTATATCAAAGTTTAATCATTTACCTTAATAAATACAATGAGTGAATAGCATACCTGACATTCCACTTCGCATTTTTTTGAACACAAGATTAGTTATCTTTTTACTATATTCTGTTTTGCTCTGTTTCAGTTAGCTAATCTCACACATTAAAAAAAAATTAACAAGCTACTCAGAATTTGGTGGCCGAAATTAGTAATTTTTTATTCTCATTATCTGTGAGTCCTCTGAGGTTCAGGTAATATAGGTTCAACTCAGCTGGACAACTATGCTTGAGGCTGCAGCAGCTGGTATGGATCTGCTTCTCACTGCTGGTCTGTGAGCGGGCTGCCCTGTTCTAGGTGCTTCTCATTCTTCTTGACCCAGTGGGCTAGCTGTGGTACACTATTCTCACAGCAGTGACAGAGGCAAGAGGATCTCTCCTACCTCTCTGAAGGTCTAAGATTGGAGCTGACACATTGTTATTCCTTGTCCATTTCACTGGCTCAAGCAAATCTTTTGGCCAAGCTCTAAACCCAAAAATGGAAAAGTGAAAATTGTTTATAATCCCTTCCACAAAAGAAGGGATATTGAAGAGATAATTAATCAATACGCTTCACTGCGTGTTAAGACCAGAATGTTCTTACAAAATAGAACAGTTGATATGCTTTATTTCCTGATGACTACACTGAAGGTTGTAATTTTTACACGCAATATAAAATAAACATATACCCAGAAACTTGAATAACTCAGAATGTAGTGATGAACAAAATAGCAAAGGGGAAAATATAAAAAGAATGCCAGAGACTTTTGCTTATTAAACTTTTTTCTGTTTGAACCTCTAAATTTATTCTAATTGCTAGAAATTTTGATTTATCTTCTTCAAGAAAGTGGTTATTTTACCAATTGTTAGCTTTAATAAAATAACAAGGCCGGACGTGGTGACTCAGGCCTGTAATCCCAGCACTTTGGGAAGCCGAGGTGGGCAGATCGTGAGATCAGGAGATCAAGACCATCCTGGCCAATATGGTGAAACCCCGTCTCTGCTAAAAAAAAAAAAAAAAACCTAGGCATGGTGGCTCAGGCCTGTAGTCCCAGCTACTCAGGAGGCTGAGGCAAGGGAATCGCTTAAACCTGGGAGGCGGAGGTTTCAGTGACCTGAGATCGCAACACTGCACTCCACCCTGGCGACAGAGCGAGACTCCATCTCAAAAATAAATGAATAAATAAAAATAAAATATTTAATAAGTTTGTTAAACAATACAGTATGAAGTAATAATATCTGAAGTATCTCATTCAAGTTTTTCCTTCAAAGTGTCATTAAATTTAAAAAAATTTTGTTTTCTCCAAAATATATGTCCTGCTGAATTAAACAATTAACTATTGTTGGTGAGAATGTAAATTAATACAGCCATTATGAAAAATGGTATGGAGGTTTCTCAAAACACTAAAAATAGAAGTATCATATGATTCAGTAATCCCACTTCTGGGATATTCAGAGGACCTAAAAGTCATATGTCAGAGGGATATCTGCACTTTATGTTCGTTGCAGCATTATTCACAATAGCCAAGATATGGAATCAAACTAAGTGTTCATCAACACATGAGTAGATTTAAAAATATGGCATTTATACACAATGTATACTATTGAGTCTTTACAAAAAAGAAATCCTGTCATATGCATCAACATGGATGAGTCTGAAGAACATTATGCTAAGTGAAATAAGCCAGGCACAGAAAGACAAATGCTACGTGATCTCACTTACATGTGGAATCTAAACAAGTTGAACTCATAGAAGTAAAGAGTAAAATGATGGTTGCCAGAAGATGGGGCTGGAGGTGGGAAGGGATGCAATAGGGATTATTTATCAAAAAGTACAAGTTGCTGATAGAAGGAGTAGGTTTTGAAATCTATTGCACAAAAATATGACTACAGTCAATAATAATGTGTATTTCAAAACAAGAGAGTTAATTTCAAATGTCTAATTATAAAAAAAGATAACTGAGGTGATGGATATGTTAATGAGCTTAATATAATCATTCCATATATTAAAATATCACATCACATACTATATATGTACACAATTATGATTCATCAATAAAAATATTGATAATAAAAATGTTTTCCAATTTTTATGAGGCTTTGAATACAGATGTTTACAAAATCAGAATAGAATATTGTTCTGCCTTCTTTTCTACAAAGAAACTCATATTTGTTGATAATTTTGTTTTTCTTGGAGATGTTAAATTTCTTTTTATATTCTTTTAATTGACAGAAAAATAATTTTGGATATATTTTCTAAGCCTAGCTAATGCTTTTAATCAATAGGTACTTTGCTGAATCCTACGTAGGCTTTTCAATACTGTCCTATATTATACACCACAATTTATACTTTGCTTTGGATTAATCTAATCAATTTGCTTGGAAGCTTAAAATAATCCTTATTTTTATCTTGACATTTTACCCATATATGCTTATTCTTTATTTTTACTAACTTATTACAGAAATCTAGGTTTCATTATTTTCCCATTTTTACATTCTAAAGAAAGACATGTTTATGCCTCATATTTTCTATATTAATTATGAAAAACACGATTTATATTTTTGAAACTACATTTGAAGGATTCATGCTGCAGCATTAATCAAGAATATTGACCTACAAAAACTGCAGCTTTGGTGTAACCTAAGCATTATTTACTTATCACATACAATGCTGAGTACCTGTCTCATTTTTTGTTTTCTAGTATTGTTATATGCCCACCAAGATGCTTTGTTCAAAGTAGTGGGTACCTGTATTAGTCAGGGTTCTCTAGAGGGACAGAATTAATAGGATAGATGTATATACAAAGAGGAGTTTATTAAGGAGTATTAACTCACACGATAACAAGGTGAGGTCACACAAGAGGCTGTCTGCAAGCTGAGGAGCAAGGCAGCCAGTCCAAGTCCCACAGCTGAAGAACTCGGGACTTGTTCTTTTTAACTCCCAGAGCTACAACATTACATGCAGAATCCTTCCTTACTTAGGGGGCCCAAATCAATAAATTCAGACTGATCCAACTCTATGTTCCTTCCACCATTATCCCACACCCTTAATATCCATTCCCATGCCTGTTCTCCAGATTTCTGCTTATATAAATTAGAAAACTCAAGCAGTTCTTTTGGAGTATAGCTCACCTCCTCATGGGTCACACTCTCAACCTCACATCTAGGGCCCTGCTGGGACTTTAGTTATAGGTCTAGAAGCAAACAGGGGTGTTGAGGGTAGGTTCTGAGGAGAATCAACATTGTCCTGCATGGCAACTGCCTTGGGGGAGGCAATCACTGTTGCCTCAGGCAGTGCAGGGTTTATGTTCTCAGACAAAGGGGAAAAGGTTGATGGTACCTGGTTTAGGGAGGGGATAGGGGAAGCTGTTTCTTCTGCAAAAAAAGTTCATCAGAGTTTACAAGCTCAGTGTCCCGAGCTTCATCAGGTTCTTTCCACATGTCTCCATTCCAAGTTGCAAGGTCACATTCTTTTCCAATCAATGCCCTCACTTTAACAGTAGACACCTGATGAGGCTGTGCATGCACCTTTCATTGCAGGTCAGCCACTCTCATGATAAGAGTTCGTGTCTGATTTTCCACAATTTTAGCTCTTTTTCTATAGGAGATAAGACTGTCACTTAGGGCAGTCTTAGCAGATTTGAGGCTCAGTATCTGCTTCTGAAGTGGGGAGTTAGAATCCCTGAGTTCCTCATTTTCTTTCATCACTTTGTCCAGTGAACTTAGGAGCAATCAATCAGCTTTATTATGTTCCTTGGTTCTCCACAGATGATCAAAGGTTT
This sequence comes from Homo sapiens, assembly GCF_000001405.40. Taxonomy (NCBI): domain Eukaryota; kingdom Metazoa; phylum Chordata; class Mammalia; order Primates; family Hominidae; genus Homo; species Homo sapiens. The sequence continues at coordinate 121,543,578 of NC_000005.10, read as the reverse complement.
TATGTATAGAATCACTAAAGTCCTTGCCTCTCATGAGCTGTGAATCAGGATTACCAAATGCATTTATTTTGCATAACTCTTTAAATAGTTCACGCCAAGGACTATCAGTGTTCTCCATACTATTAGAAGTAGAGCCCTTAGCATTTTTGGGTCTAATCATATAAGCAGCCAACTCCAGAAACCCAAAACCAACTAAAGAACTCCATCCTTAATATTTCTGTTCCTCTACAACCACTCCTGGTACCAAAATCTGTATTAGAGTTCTCTAGAGGGACAAAACTAATAGGATGGATGTATATATAAAAGATAGTTTATTAAGGAGTATTAACTCACATGATCACAAGGTGAGGCCCCCATTAGGCTGCAAGCTGAGGAGCAAGGAAGCACGTATGATCCCCAAAGCTGAAAAACCTGGAGACTGACATTCAAGGGCAGGAAGCATCCAGCACGGAAGAAAGATGTAGGCTCAGAAGGTAAGCTAGTCTGATCTCTCCACGTTCTTCTGCCTGCTTTTATTCTGGCCTTGCTGGCTGATGACTAGATGATACTCCCCCAGATTGAGGGTAGGTCTGCCTTTCCCCAGTCCATGGACTCAAATGTTAATCTCCTTTGGCAGTACCCTCACAGACACACCCAGGAACAATACTTTGCATCCTTCAATCCCATCAAGTTGACATTTAATATTAACCCTCACAGTACTTGATAAATATAAAACATTTTTATTGAATTAAAGACCTTTTTCAGTTCTTATACGCCTAGAAAGTAAAAGGCCTTAAGAATTTCTTGACAAATTGCCTCTATCCTAATAGTTAAATATCTCCCACCTCTGAAAGGAATGCCATGCAACTGTTTTTCAATTTTTTTCTTAAATGAAAAGCTAAATAACAAAATGTAGAGTTTATGCAAAAATATTCTGCAGTGATACTAATGACTGTGATACTAAAAACAAATCCTTACAATATTTCAAAATTTTGCACAAAATATGACAATCACCCTCAATCTTAACAGCTTCATTCACAAATACAACTTCTAAATTATATATCTAGTTTTCATATTTGTAATTTCTAATATCTACATAATGTTCCATGAAATTAATATTTATAATGAGGAAAAAGTATTTACTTATTTCCAGTTATTATGTATTTTATTTTGCTACAATACTTTCATAAACAATAGCTTATTTATCTTTTCATGAAAAATATCCTATGAGTAAATTCCCTAAAAAACAGCAAGTACATTCTTGTTTAGATACATCTGGCACAATTTTACTTTTGTTACATTAGGTAAATAAAGCACCAATAATAATATGAAAAGGGTCATGCCCAAGTTAGGATCATTTAAAAACCTTTTTGGAGACTTACTGGCCATTTACATTGGGCATATAGAGAATTCAATTTCAGGGTTGATTTTGAAATTTTTATTTAATTTTCTTAATAAATTTGTTACCAGGCCTTATCTTTACCTTTGAAATTTAGATCTTAGGTATATTCAATCATCTGATTAATCCAGAAACTTACATGTTCAAAAGAAATATTTAGTTTCAAAAAAAAAATCTTACATTGATCAATCCCGTTTTACATATTGGTATCAGCCAGCAATTTTGGGGACTACGTAGCTGAAGTATATGTACTATAAGACTGTTAAAATGGAGTTATTTCCCAAAAGTAGCACAATGCTGAATGATATGCACACAATAGAAATAAACTGGCAGTCTTCCTGTCTTCTCACTCTCCTGTGCCACTCTGACATATCCCCTAACTGTGGCAGTCTTAAGCTTCTTGTCAGCTTGATTAAACTTTAGACTGGTACCTTCCGATACCCCCCGATCTTCCTTTTCTTAAAGCATTTATTTTAGAAAAATTGGCATTATAATTTTTTTCTCTGCCTCTTTAAGATATCTTCTGCAAGTTTTACAACCTAGGAATGTCTTTCTCAAGGATTTGGAGTCATCCCTATGAAATGTTATCATAATAAAGAGAGTGCCTCACATATTTACATATGTAACAATCTTGCACATCCTGCACATGTAACCCGGAACTTAAATGTTGATTAAAAAAAAAAAAAGGAATGAAGGAAGGAAAGAAAAAGAGAGAGTGAAAAAGAAAGAAAGAAACAAGAAAAAAAAAAAGAAAAGAAAGAAACAAAGTGCCTGTATCTATTAGTGTCTTTGTAAGGGTAGCAGCCTAACCTCAATTAGCCAATTAGCATCAGTTAGCAAATACTGATGGCTTAATCACATTGATCAACTTCCCCACTCAACCATCACTCTAACCTTAATGTCTTCCAGTACTTTTTCAGTACTTGGTTAGTTAACTGCAGTGCTTAAAACTCTCCTGACTTTTGTTTCAGCAGAATTGAGTTTAATCTCTGTCTCCTATTGCAATAATCTGGAATAAAATCTTGGTTATTTAACTCCATTAGGTGTATTCTTTTGACACCTTCCTGAGGCTCTCCAGCATCTCACGACACCCCATTCCACAAAATTAGACAATTCTTGAACAACCTAGGATTAGTACAAAGAAATCTCCCAAACAAGGTCTGTGAGGACTCAAATTTATCAGATTCTTCAGTTGTTTTTGTAAATAGAGTTTTACAAATATTAGAGTGAAAATATCATATACTATTTCTTCTGTGGAATTTTATTGGAAATCACTGTGATGATTAATGGTATGTCAATTTGGGTAGGCCACATTATTAAATTTTTGGTAAAACATCATTCTTGATATATCTATCAAGTTTTTTTTTCACTGTGGATAATATTTAAATGAGTAGATTTGATTAATGCAGATTTCCCTCCCTAATGTTGGTGGGCCTTGTCTAATCAGTCAAAGGCCTTAAGAGAAAAGACTGACTTTCCCAAAAAAGAAGGAATTCTTCCTTCAAATAGCATTGTTTTCTTCCAACTTTTATTTTAGATTCAGGGAGTATACATGCAGGGTTGTTACATGTGTAAATTACATGTCACTGAGGTATGGTATATGTCACCTAGGTAGTGAGCACAGTACCCAATAGGTAGTTTTTAAAGTCTCACCAACCTCTTGCCCTCCACCCACAAGTGAGTACCAGACACTATTTTTCCCCATTTTGTGCCCATGTGTATTCAATGTATAGCACCTACTAATTTGTTTTTGTGGTGGTAAGAATATGTGATATTTTGTTTTCTGTTTCTGCATTAATTAACTTAGGATAATGGCCTGCAGCTCCATTTCTGTTGCTGCAAAGGACATGATCTCATTCTTTTTTATAGCTGCATAGTATTCCATGGTTTATATGTACCACATTTTTAAAAAATTCAGTCTACTGTTGATGGGGATTTAAGTTGATTCCATGTCTTTGCTGTTGTAAAGAGTGCTGTGATGAACATACATGTCCATGTGTCTTTGTGGTATAATAGAATTATTTATATTCCCTTGGGTATACACCCAGTAATGGGATTGCTGGGTTGAATTGTAATTCTGTTTTAAGTTCTTTAAGAAATCTCCAAGATGTTTTCCACAGTTACTGAACTTATTAACATTCTCACTGGCAGTGTATGTGTTCTCTTTTCTCTGCAACCTCACTAGCATCTGTTATTTTTTGATTTTTAAATAATAGCCATTTTGACTGGTGTGAGATGGTATCTCATTGTGGTTTTGATCTGCATTTCTCTAATGATTAGTGATGTCGAGCATTTTTTTGTATATATGTTGGCCACATATATGTCTTCTTTCTAAAAGTGTCTGTTTTTGTCCTTTGTCCCACTTTTTAATGGGGTTGATTTTTTTGCCTGTAAATTTGCTTACGTTTCGTATAGATTCCAGATATTAGATCTTTGTCAGAAGCATAGTTTGCAAATATTTTCCCCATTCTATATGTTGTGTATTTACTCCGTTAATAGTTTCTTTTGCTGTACAGAAACTCTTTAATTTAATTAAGCTCCACTTGTCAATTTTTGTTTTTGTTATAGATTGCTTTTAGAGTCTTCATCATTAAATTTTTGCTAAAGCTCATGTCTAGAATGGTATTTCCTAGGTTTCATTCTAGGGTTCTTTATAGCTTTAGGTTTTATGTTTAAGTCTTTAATCAATCTTGAGTTGATTTTTGTATATGAGGTAAGAAAGGGGTCCAGTTTCAATCTTCTGCATATGGCTAGCCAGCTATACCAGCATCTTTTATTGAATAGGGTGTCCTTTCTCTATTGCTTGTTGTTGTCAACTTTGTCAAAGATCAAATGGCTGTAGTTTTGTGGTTTTATTTCTGGGTTGACTGAGCTGTTTCATTGGTCTATGTATTTGTTTTTGTACCAGTACCATGCTGTTTTGGTTACTATAGCCATATTGTATTGTTTGAAGACTGGCAGTGTGATGCCTCCAGCTTTGTTGTTTTTGTTTGGATTGTTTGGCTATTCATGAACTTTTATGGCTGCATATGAATTTTAGAATAGTTTTTTTTTTTATTCTGTGAAGAATGACATTGGTAGTTTTATAGGAACAGCATTCAATCTGTAAGTTGCTTTGGGTAGTATGGCCATTTTCACAATATTGATTCTTCCTAACCAAGAGCATGGAATGTTTTCTATTTGTGTTGTCTCTGAATTCTTTCGGCAGTGTTTCAGAATTCTCATTGTAGACATCTTTCACTTCCCTGGTTAGCTGTATTGCTCAATATTTTATTCATTTTGCGGCTATTGGGAATGGAATTGCATCCTTTGATTTGGCTCTCAGCTTGGACATTCTTGGTATATAGAAGTGCTACTGACTTTTGTACACTGATTTTTGTATGCTAAAATTTTATGGAAGTTGTTGATCAGTTATAGGAACCTTTGTGCAGGGGCTTGGGGTTTTCTAGGTAGAGAATCATATCGTATGTGAAGAGACATAGTTTTACTGCCTCTTTTCCTGTTGGATACTTTTTATTTCTTCCTCTGATTAGTACAATATTGGCAGTGTGCGATAGATGGCTCTTATTATTTTGAGGTATTTTCCTTCAACTCTTTGTTGAGGGTTTTTAATATGAAGGAATGTTGAATTTTATCAACAGCCTTTTCAGCATCTATTACAATGACTGTGTAGTTTTTGTTTTTACTTCTCTTTATGTGATGAATCATATTTATTGATTTGTGTATGATGAAACAACCTTGCATCCAAGAATAAAGCCTACTTGATCATGGAGGAATAGCTTTTTGATGTGTTGCTGGATTAGATTTGCAAGTACTTCGTTGAGGATTTTTACATCTCTATTCATCAGGGATATTGGCCTGAAGTTTTCTTTTTTCTTGTTGTGTCTCTGCTAGGTTTTGCTATCAAAATTTTGCTGGCTTCACAGAATGAGTTAGGGAGATGTCCTGCCTCCTTGATGTTTTTGGAATCGTTGCAATGGGACTGCTACTTGCTCTTCTTTGTGTATCTGTTAGAATTTGGCTGTGAATCCATTATGTCCAGGGCTTTTTCGGGTTTGTAGGGTTTTTATTACAGATTCAATTTTGGAACTTAATCTTGGTCAGCTGAAGTACTGAATTTCTTCCTGGTTTAATCTTGGGAGGATGTCTGTTTCCAGAAATTTGTCCATTTCTTCTAGGATTTCTAGTTTGTCTGCATAGAAGTGCTCATAATAGTCTCTAAGGGTTTTTGTATTTCTGTGGGGTAGATGGTAAGATTCCCTTTCTCATTTCTAATTGTGTTTATTTGAATCTTCTCTAATTAGTCTAGCTAGACATCTATCAATCTTATTTACTCTTTTGAAGAAACAACTTTTAATTTTGTTGAGCTTTTATATAGATCTTTACATCTCAGTTTCATTCAGTTGAGTTCTGATTTTGGTTGTTTTTTCAGCTAGCTTTGGTATTGGTTTAGGTTAGGTTGTTAATTTTGAGACCTTTTTGACCTTTTTTCAATGTAGGTTGGCATTTAATACTATAGACTTTCTTCTTAACACTGCTTTAGCTGCATCCCAGAGGTTCTGTTATGTTGTAACTTTGTTTTCATTAGTTTCAAAGAATTTCTTGATTCCTGCCTTAATTTCATTTGTTACCCAGCAGTCATTCATGAGTGGGTTGTTTAATTTCCATATAATTACATGGTTTTGAGAGATCTTATTGGTATTGATTTCTATTTTTATTGCACTGTGGTCTGAGAGTGTAGTTGTGATTTCCATTTTTTTTTTTGGAATTTATAAGGAATTCCTTTATGGCTGAGCATGCATTCAATCTTAGAGTATGTGCTGTGTGCAGTTAGGTGAATGTATTTTCTGTTGTTGTTGGGTGGAGTGTTCTATAGATGTATGTTAGGTTTATTTGGTCAAGTGTCAAATTTAGGTCCCTAGTATCTTTGTTAGTATTCTGCCTTGATGATCTGTCTAGGGGTGTTGAAGTCTCCCACTATAATTGTGTGGTTATCTATGTCTCTTAATAGATCTCTAAGAACTATTTTATGAGTTTGGGTGTTCCAGTATTTAGTGGATTTACATTTAGGATAGTTAAGTCATCTCGTTGAATTGAACAGTTTATCATTTTATAATGCTCTTCTAATGCTTTTCTTTGTCCTTTTTGATCATTATTGGTTTAAACTTTTTTTTTCCTGAAAAAAGAATAGCAACCTCTGTTCTCTTTTATTTTCCTTTTGCTTGATAGATCTTTCTCCATCCCTTTACTTTGAGCCTATGGTTGTCATTGCATGTGAGATGAATCTCTTGAAGACAGCATACAGTTGGGTATTAGTTCTTTAGTCAGCTTGCCACTCTGTGCCTTTTTACTTGGGGCATTTATCTTGTTTATGTGCAATGTCAGTATTATGTGAGTTTGTAATCCCGTCATCATGTTGTTAGCTGGTTGTGACGTACACTGTAGAGTTGTTTTATAGCGTCAGTGGGCTATGTACTTAAGTGTGTTTTTGCAGTTTCAGGTAAGAGTCTTTTGTTTCCATGTTTAGCACTCTCTTAAGGACCTCTTATAAGGCAGGTCTGGTAGAAAAAAATTCGTTTAGCATTTGCCTGTCTAAATAGGATTTTATTTCTCTTTGCTTATAAAACTTAATTTAGCTGAATAGGATATTCTTGGTTGAAATTTCTTTCCTTTAATGTTGCTAAATATAGGCCCCCAGAATCTTCTGTCTTGTAAGATTTCTGCTGAACTGTCCCCTCTTAGCCTGATCTGGTTCCTTTTATACATGACATGTGCCTTTTCTCTAGCTGCCTTTAAATTTTTTCTTTAACATTGACATTGAAGAATCTGATAACTATTTGTTTTGGGGATGGTTGTCTTGTATATGATCTTGCTGAAGTTCTCTGAATTTCCTGAATTTGTATGTTGACCTTTTTGGCGAGTTTGGGGAAATTTTTGTGGAAAATATTCTTAAATATGTTTTCCAAGTTTCTTGTTCTCTCTCCCTCTCTTTCTGGGATACCAATGAGGCATAGGTTTGTCTCTTTACATAATCTCATAGTTCTCAGAGGTTTTATTCATTAATTTTTAAAAATTTTTGTCTCAATTCAAATAACTAGTCTTTGAGCTCTGAGATTCTTTCCTCAGATTGGTCAATTCTGCTGTTATCACTTCCAATTGTATTATGAAATTCTGGTTGTGAGTTTTTTCAGCTTTAGATCACTTTGGTTCTTTATGGAAATGTATATCTGAAAATAGACATTTCTATTTCTGATAATTTCTTTCTATTTCTTTCTGAAAATTTATCACTTTATTGGATTCCTTAGATTCCTTGGATTGGGTTTCAACTTTCCCTTGAATTTCTAGATTCATTTCCATCTACATTATGAATTCTATTTCTGTCATTTCAGCCATTTCTGTGTGATTAATAACCATTGCTGGAAAGCTAGTACAGTTGTTTGGAGGTTAGAGGACATTCTGGCTTTTAGAGTTGCCAGAGTTCTTGCACGGATTCTTCCTCACCAATGTGAGCCGATGTTCCTTTAATCTTTGAAGTTGCTGTCCTTTGGGTAGGGCATTTTGATTTATATTCTTTGATACCTTTGGGGGTTAACTGTATATAAGTTGGGTTTAGTCAATTGGCTTTGTTTCCGTATGATTTCAGGAGGCAAAGGCTCAGCTCAGCCCTCCCTGGGTGTCATGCTCTCACCCTTGGTGACTGGGACTAGGCTTGCAAATTTTTTCTCTGGTCCCTCAAGGTTAAGCACTGACTGTACTGAAGGGGCCAAGGTGTTCACAATCCACTGACCACAACACTCCAATGAGGGATGCCAGCAAAAGCACTTCAGTGGGGGTCCAGTGGGTAGTGGGAGTCTCCATGTGCAAATGCAGTGAAGGAGCAGAGAGAGGCTGCAAGTGAGTGTGCACTGGTGAAGCAGCAGGGTGAGACTCTGGGCAATTGTGTGCTGACAGGGGAAGGCTGTGGGTGGTTTTCCACCTGCAGGGGACTGCCTGCAGAAGCTCTCTGACTCTTAGGTAGGGTCTGTTGGCAAAAGAGCTGTGACCATGGCAAGCTCCTCTGCTGGGCAGCTGAGGCCACACTGCAAGCAGGCATGGCCAGGCAGTGACTCTTGGATAGGCTGGCAGAAAAGGTGGTGCTCAGATCAGACTGGCCTCTTCCCATGGGCAAGATAACCTTGCCCTGCCCAGATCTGACAGGCAACAAAGGGCTAAGCGTCCTTAGAGGAACATGGCAAGCATTGAGAAATCAGCGTCTATGACTGTTCTCCACTATAGCCACTCCCGGGCGAAACCCTCTGGACTCCATGCAGCCTGGAGTTCTGTCTCTGGCAACTTGCTGAGCAGATCTCCCTGCTAGTTCAAATATCTGTGGGAGTCATGTGTTTTCCTGCAGCAAGGATTCCAGAGGTCAGTGACAAGACTGGGCCACTCCATGCCTATTTGACCCACCCCTTTCTCAAGAGCTCTTCAAGGCAGGAATGAGTCCTGGTGCTCACTAACCCCATGCAGGATTCCTGGGTTCCTCTGCTTTCAGCCTAGGGTCTGCATTTTCCCTCCACTAATTCTCAGTGCCTTCTTTCCAAATACCTGTTTGGAGTGTGCCAGTCTACTTGATAGTATGGTCTCTCTTAGTAGGAGAAACTCTTACTGGCGGTGTGTAGTTGGCCATCTTGGCTCCCTCCTCAAAGTCCAGTCGCCACTTGTACTAGAGACTGCAATATCAGCTCTTCCCTGTGTCTCCAGCCTGCTGACCTACCTGGCAGTTTTCAGACTTGCCATCCCCATAATCATATAAGCCAATTCCTTAAAATAATCCCCCCCCTTCTCTCTGTGTGTGAGTTGTGTTCATATGTGTTTGTGTATGTGTATCCTGTTAGTCCTGTTTCTCTGGAGAACTCTGACCAATTCATATATGCATAAAATTAATCTAGCAGCCTGTAGTAGCAATAAGAGGATCATTTTATACCTCTCTGATAGAATCATTCTGGAATAATTTGTACTTAATATTTGAAGCTCTTATCGCTATATTTCAAAGGGAATCAGTGCTATGGAAATTTTGAGGTTTCTTCTTTGAGTATTAAGTAATATTGCAATGCAGAAATATCAAAGTCATTCACTTGAAGGGGAAGTACACTGATTCTAATGCCAGTGTCAGCAGGGCCTCACATGATTCTTTAATCATTTTCTGCCACACATGCATCTTGTGCTTCTTTGAGCTCTATTTTTAGGCAGGAAGATTAGAGAAGAGATGAAGTAAGCTAGGAATTAAGCTGCATTATGTGATTCGTTCCCTTGCGTTATATAAGGGAAGTGGCTACAGATAAGACATGAATTAAAAAGTTGTCCTTGGGACAAACCAGACCTAAGTATTTAGATTTAGATTAAATATTCTGCTTTACCTTTCTTTTGATAATATGATCAAATTAAGCACCAAAGGGTAAGGTATCTACTTATTTTGCAGAATAAAATTATGTAAAACTGACTGAAAGCGCACTTTGATTAAAAGTACCTTAAGTCATTATTTTCCTAAAGGCTTATGCCAGTTTGAAAACCATTATTATAAAAAACAATTATCTATCTATTGAAAGATTAAATTAGAAATTTCAAATTCTATAGCATCAGACACTATGAGAACAAGAAATAAGTAAGCTGCATTCGGCCTAGCGTGGTGGCTCACGCCTGTAATCCCAGCACTTTGGGAGGCCGACACAGGCGGATCACCAGGTCAGGAGATTGAGACCATCCTGGCTAACATGGTGAAATCCCGTCTCTACTAAAAATACAAAAAATTAGCCAGGCGTGGTGGCGGGTGCCTATAGTCCCAGCTACTTGGGAGGCTGAGGCAGGAGAATGGCGTGAACCCAGGAGGCAGAGCTTGCAGTGAGCCGAGATTGGGCCACTGCTCTCCAGCCTGGGCGACAGAGCAAGACTCCGTCTTAAAAAAAAAAAAAAGTAAATAAATAAAAATAAATAAATAAGCTACATATCTCATATATGTAACAATCTAAAAATATAAATATTAAAAAAGACAAAGCAATATATAAAATAAAAATATAAAAATTGGCCTATTCTCCCAGGCGCAGTGGCTCACACCTGTAATCCCAACACTTTGGGAGGCCGAGGCGGGTGGATCACCTGAGGTCAGGAGTTTAAGACCAGTCTGGCCAACATGGTGAAACCCCGTCTCTACCAAAATACAAAAATTAGCCAGGCATGATGGCACATGCCTGTAATCCCAGCTACTCAAGAGTCTGAGACTGGAGAATTGCTTGATCCCGGGAGACGGTGTTTGTAGTGGGCTGAGATCACACCACTGCACTCCAGTCTGGGCGGCTGAGCAAGACACCGTCTCAAAAAAAAAAGCCTATTCTCAATGAGATACTATTTCACACACTTCAATTTTGCACAAATTAGATAATCATATAGTACCAATTGTTAACAAGTCTATTGAAAGAAAATCTTACCACATTATTTAACACATGTATAAGATAATTGGATTTCTCTGGAAAATTTTTTGGCATGACTTTGTGAAGGTAAAGATGAACATATTCTATAAAGCAGCAGTCAAAGGTATATACCCCAAAGGGATAACCCTGAATTTGTGTACAAATACATATATAGATGCATTTTTATTTCAATATATGTTTAATGGGACCCACTTTGAAACAAATATCCAAATATAATGAAATGTATAAAGAAACATTACCATTTTACCATAATTTATTTCTATAATACAGTCAAAATGGATAAATCAGGTATGTTTGTTAATACAGATAAATCTTAACAGCAGTATGCTGATGAAAAAGAAAGAAAATTAGAAGAATTTAAATGTTACACAACTTATTATTGGGGAAAAAAAACACTACTGCATTGCCTATAGATCTGTATATATGCTGCAGATTTCTTACAACCATTTATTGGAAGAAGATGTATTAACTGTGGCAGAGGAAGGGGAGGTGGAAAAATGAAATGATTAGGAAAACTTTAAATCATTTGTGATATTTTATTTCTTAAAAATATTCTGAAGTAAATATACAAATGTGTTATTTTTTGTATTTGGGTTTATTTTGCCTTTGTTTTAAAAATACTTCATAACTCACAATTAAAACATTGTTTAAAGTTGTATTCAGTTGCATTTTAATTAGTATTAGACATACATTGAAAAGACATTTTATCACACATTTTTATATTTCTCACATTACAAATTAGTTGGTCAAAAAGATCTTTTCTATATTTCATTAAAAAAACACCCAGGTTTGGTGGATTAGAAAACCAAAAACAATCTATATCACCTACTGACTCAGATATGCAGGAAAAATATATTCACTGCTTGAGTCTGACGAAATATAATAACTAATGTTTATAAGAAATAATTGAATTATACAATTTTATGTTCTTTTTTTTTTTTTTTTTTTGAGATGGAGTTTCACTTTTGTCGCCCAGGCTGGAGTGCAGTAGCTCAATCTCGGCTCACTGCAACCTCCGCCTCCTGGGTTCAAGCAATTCTCCTGCCTTAGCTTCCTGAGTAGCCAGGATTACAGGTGCGCATCACCACGCCCGGCTAATTTTTTTTGTATTTTTAGTAGAGATGGGGTTTCTCCATGTTGGTCAGGCTGGTCTCAAACTCCTGACCTTGTGATCCACCTGCCTTGGCCTCCCAAAGTGCTGGGATTACAGGCATGAGTCACCATGCCTGGCCCTATGTTCTTTTTTAAATGAAGAAAAATTCTAATTTTTAAAAGCCTTCTGTCTTCATCATAGGTTTACTTTATAATTATGAAAAGAAATACAAGTGTCTCTCTTTTTTTTTTTTTTTTTTTGAGATGGAGTCTCGTTCTGTTGCCCAGGCTGGAGTGCAGTGGCGCGATCTTGGCTCACTGCAAACTCTGCCTCCTGGATTCAAGCAGTTCTTTGTATTAACCTCCTGAGTGTCTGGGAATACAGGTGCCCGCCACCACACCCAGCTAATTTTTGTATTTTTAGTAGAGATACTGTTTCACCATCTTGGCTGGGCTGGTCTTGAACTCCTGACCTCGTGATCCACCCACCTTGGCCTCCCAAAGTGCTAGGATTACAGGTGTGAGCCACCGCACTTGGCCACAACTATGTCTTTTTAATTAAAATGGAAGTTTTTGACTAGAAATAGTTTTTACGAAATTTGCATGATTTTCAGAAACACATGGAATTAAATAAACCAATTGAATATCTGCTGTCCTGAGCAGTTCAATATCCGAGGTAATACTATTTTTTCTAGTTCTGAAATATTAATAGGTCTGTTTTTATTAATATCTGTATTGCAAGCACTTGTTTTTTATCCTGGCTTGTATGACAAACCATATGCATTTTGTATGGTTTATATATGATTACATATAGCTTGAACACCCACCTTCTCTATTTTGTACTATGGGAATCTTTGCAGCATTATGTACATTTACATTACTTTTACTCATTAGATACCTAATGAAAGAATATTTATAATGAAGAGACTAATTAGGTATCTCTTTTTACAAAAACGTTGTGTGTAACACGTATGCCATCTGTTTATAGTATATTCAAAGAACAATTTACAGTAATTTGCCTTCCTAATTGCAATACTAATCAGTTCTGAATTGCAGTTTATTTATGCAAAAGTATGCCAGTTGAAGGCACTAGCAATGTTTGTGGATCAAAAGATAAGGCCAACCTTGAATAAGGTTCTCTCTTTTGCATATTAAATTACTTTCTTACTGAGTCTTGTTGAATAATAAAATCATATTTTTTGTTTTATTGATTAAAGCTTTTAAAATCTATTAAAGCTTTTAAAAGTTAGAAAACTTAAAATGATGAAACTTAAACTGCATCATTTTTTCATCTTGTATTAAAGCAATATAGGAGTATGTCTTACCTGTTGTATATCCGTGAATATTCAACCTTTATGTGAGACTGTGCATATTTTGATTTTTTTTTTTTTTTTGAGAAAGTGTCTTGCTCTGTTGACCAGGCTAGAGTGCAGTGGCACGATCTTGGATCACTGCAACCTCTGTCTCCCAGACTCAAGCAGTTCTCCTGCCTCAGCTTCCTGAGTAGCTGGGATTACAGGCATATGCCACCACGCCTGGCTAATTTTTGTATATTTAGTAGAGACGGGGTTTCACCATGTTGGCCAGGATGGTCTTGAACTACTGACCTCAGGTAGTCCGCCCACCTCGGCCCCCCAAATTGCTGGGATTACAGGCATGAACAACCCCGCCCGGCCTCTTTCTGAAGGGTTTTTTAGTTCTTCTGTGGATATTTTTTACCTCCATGCTTAGCTGTATTCTTAGGTATTTCATTTTCTTTGAGACTGTTGTAAATGGGCTTGGGTTCTTAGTTTGACTGTCAGCCTGGATGCTATTGGTATATAAAAAATGCTACTGATTTTTGTACATTGATTTTATATCATGAAATTGGGATGCAAAAATCAATAAAAAAGTTTAACGAAACCAAATGTTTGTCTTTCAAAATAATAAATAAGTGTAATAGACCGCTAGCTAGATTAACAAAGTAAAAACGGAAAGGGCCAAATAAACACAATCAGAAATGACAAAGATGATATTACAGCTGATCCACAGAAATACGAAAGACCTCAGAGAATACTATGAACAACTCTGTGCACACAAGTTAGAAAATCTAGAGAAGGCCAGGCGCAGTGGCTCACACCTGTAATTCAAGCACTTTGGGAGGGCAAGGTGAGCAGATCACCTGAGGTCAGGAGTTTGAGACCAGCCTGGCCAACATGGCAAAACCCTGTCTCCACTAAATATACAAAAATTAGCTGAGCGTGGTGGTGGATGCCTGTATTCCCAGCTACTCAGGATGCTGAAGCAGGAGAATCACTTGAATCCGGGAGGCGGAGATTGCAGTGAGCCAAGATTGCACCACTGCCCTCCAGCCTATGCAACAGAGTGAGACTCTGTCTCAAAAAAAAAAAAAAAAAAGAAAAAAAAAGAAAAGAAAAAATCTAAAATGAATAAATTCTTGGAAACGCACAATCACTCAAGATAGACTCAGAAAGAGATTGAAACCCTTTAATAGGCCAATTTTAAAGTCTGAAATTGAATTAGTATTAAGAAACCCACCAACCTGTAAAAGCCTGGACCAGATGGATTCACAGTCTAATTCTATCATACATAAAAAGAACTGGTTCTGAACCTACTGAGACTAGTTCAGATATTCAAAGAGGAGGGACTCCTTCCTTATAAATTCTAAGAAGCCAGCATTGCCTAATACCAAAATCTGGCAGAGATATGACAAAAAACAAATAAAGAAACAAAAAAACTTCAGGCTAATATCCTTGATGATTATACATGAAAAATTCTCAACAAAATTCTAGCAAACTGCATCCAGCAGCACATCTAAAAGTTAATTCACCTTGATCAAGCAGGCTTTATTTCTGGGATGCAAGGTTGATTCAACATGTGCAAATCAACAAATGTGATTCACTACATAAAATTAAAAACACACAAAACAGTGATCATCTCAGTAGACTCAGAAAAAGCTTTCAACAAAATTCAACATCCCTTCATGATAAAATCCCTCAACAGACTAGGCATCAAGGGTACATACCTCAAAATAATAAAAGCCATCTATGAAAAACTCACAGTCAACATCATAGTGAATGGGCAAAAGCTGGAATCATTCACCTTGAGAGCTGGAACAATACAAGGATGCCCACTCTTAACCACTCCTACTCAACATGATACTGAACATGCTAGCCAGAGCAATCAGGCAAGAAAAAGAAATACATGTATCCACATAGCAAAATAAGTCAAACTCTCTTCACTGAAAATATGATTCTGTACTTAGAAAGCTCCACCAAAAGTCTACTGGAACTGATTAATGGTTTTATTAATGTTTTGTGTTTGTCTAATTATTTCTATCATTTTATGCTACTCTATGATAGAAGAGTAATTCAGCTTTTTTTGGTAATTGTGTTGAAGACTGATACATTAATTTTTGGTAGTTAATTAGTAGTATTCTTGTCTAAAGTTCTTACAGATAACTAGTTGACAAAGAAAGAAAAAATAAATATAAAAAATAAATATTTAACAATAACCAGTAAAATATTTGCTAAGATATAAATTAAATAGTAGATTCTGTGACATATTGTCATTACTGTTAGTGAATTAAGAAATAAAAATATTCCTTTTTTGTCTGGTAATTTTTATTTAATTTTTTGCTCTGAAGTTTACTTTGTCTTATATTAATATAGACACTCCTGCTTACTACTGAATAGTGTTACTATGGTATATCTTATGCTTTTTGCCTACCTGTGTTACTATGGTTATAATGAGTTTCTTGTTGGTAGTATAGAGTTGTGTCAGGTGTTGCTTTTTAATCCATTTTGACAAGTTCTGTTTTTAATTGATGTTTTCAGAATATTTACACCTGAAATAATTATGGTGTGGCTATAGATTATAATTTTATTGTTCATTTTTTGTTCATTCTTTTTTCTTCTACTTTAGTTTGTATATTGTGATTTTGAATATATTTCTTTGTATAGTTTTTAATTGTTACTCTAGGGTTTTTAAAATGTGCAAAAACTCTCCATAGCCTATTTAAAAATCAATCTTTTTATACTTAAGTTAGAATATAAAAATGTTACCATCATAGGCATGTATTTA
Organism: Homo sapiens; assembly: GCF_000001405.40. Lineage (NCBI taxonomy): Eukaryota > Metazoa > Chordata > Mammalia > Primates > Hominidae > Homo > Homo sapiens. Next base: position 121,527,558 of record NC_000005.10, on the reverse strand, counting down.
CCTTATCCCCTAATGCTATACATGTCTTATATATTGCATGCACATATTTTAAAAACACCATCAGACAATGTTTCAACTTTTGTTTCAAATGTCAAACATGTATTGAAGATTTCAAGAGGAGACCAATAATCTATTGTATTTACATAGTTTATTTACTGTTTGCCTCATTTCCATTCATTCTTAATTTTCCACATTTCTTTCCAGTATCATTTCCTTCTATATTAAGGATATTCTTTACAAATTCTTTTAGATCAGGTCCGTTGGCTATAATTTTTCTTTTTCTTTCATCTGAGAAAGTTGTTAATTTACCTTTACTCCTTAAGAAAATTTTCAATGAATGCAGAATCCTGAGTTAATAGACATTTTTATTTACCACTTTCAAAATATTCCAGATCTTTCTGCCCTCCAATTTTTTGTGTGTCTAAGAAGGTCATTCATTATTGTCAATGTAGCAAAAATGAATGACCATATTGTCAATTCAGCTTTCTTTATATTTATTTATTTTATACTACTTTATCTTAAATTGCCAAATAAAAATTATCATGTACAACATACTCTTTTGAAATATGTATTCATTGAAGAATGGCTACATCAAGCTAATTAGCATATGCATGACATTAAATCCTTTTTTGGTGAAAACCCTCAAAGTCTGCCTTTAGCAATTTTCAGGAATGTAATATATTGTTATTGTCAATAGTCACTATGTTGTGAATTGTATCTCTGGACATTATTCCTCCTATATGACTGAATTTTTGAATACTTTGACCAATATCTTCCCAACTCCATGCCACCCCTATCCTCAGGTAACCATTATTCTACTCTACTTCTTCAGTTAAACTTTTTTAGGTGTAACATATAAGTGCAATCATGTAATATATATATATATTTTTTGAGACTGAGTTTCTCTCTTTTTGCCCAGGCTGGAGTGCAGTGGCATGATCCCGGCTCACTGCAACATCCGCCTCCCGGGTTCAAGCAATTCTCCTGCCTCAGCCTCCCGTGTGATATTTGTGTTTTTGGGCCTGGTTTATGTCACCTAATATAATGTCTTCCAGGTTTATTCATTTTGTTGCAAATGACAATATTTCCTTCCTTTTTAGAGCTGAACTGGAATATATGCCATTTTGAATATATGCCATATTTCCTTTATCCATTCATCCACTGATGTACACTTAAGTAGATTCCATATCTTGGCTATTGTGAGTAATGCTGCAATGAACAGGGGAGTAAAGATATCTCTTCAACTATATTATTTTATTTTATTTTATTTTTATTTGAGTCAGGCTCTCGTTCTGTCTCGCAGGCTGGAGTGCAGTGGCACAATCACTGCTCACTGCAGCCTTGACCTCTTAGGCTCAGTCAATCCTCCTGCCTCAGCCTCCTGAGTGGCTGGGAGTATAGGCAAGCACCACCACGCCCAGCTAATTTTTGTATTTTATTTTATTTTTTGTAGAAATGGTGTTTTTCCTTGTTGCCCAGGGTAGTCTTGAACTCCTAAACTCAAGTGATCTGCCTGCCTTGGCCTCCCAAAGTGCTGGGATTACACTCATTTTATTTTCTTTGGATATATGCCCAGTAGTAGAATTGCTGAATCATATGGCAATTTAATTTTTTTTGAGGAAATTCGATACCATTTTCCAGGACAGTTGTACTAGTTTACAATGACGCCACCAGTGTGCAATATTCTATTTCCCCACATCCTCACCAACATTTATCTTTCATCTTTTTTATAATATCCATTTTAATTGGTATGAGATGCTATCTCATAGTGGTTTTAGTTTGTATTTCTCTGATGATTAATGTTGCTCAGTATTGTTTTTATGTAATTGACGATTTGTATATCTTCTTTTGAGAAATATCTATCTAAATTTTATGTCTATTTTTAAATCAGTTGTTTTCTTACTATTGAGTTATTTGAGTTCCTTATATATTTTGGATATTAACTCCTTATCAAATTTATGGTTATGAAATATTTTGTCCCATGCTGTAGGCTGTCTTTTCACTCTATTGATTCTTTCCTTGACTGAGCAGAAATTTTATAGTTTGATGTAATTCCATTTGTCCATTTTTGCTTTTAGTTTCTGTGCTTTTTAGTTTATATCGAAAAAAAATAATTGCCCAAACCAGTGTCATGGAACATTTCCACCATGGTTTCTTCAAGTAGTTTTATAGTTTCAGGCTTACATTAAAGTCTTTAATATATTTTCAGTTGATTTTTGTATGTCATATGAGACATGAGTCTAATTTCATTCTTCTGCATGTGGATATTAAATAGTCCCAACACAAATTATTGAAGAGACTGTCTTTTCCCAAATGTGTGCTTTTTGCTTCTTTATTGAAGATAAATTGGTCATAAATGTGTAGATTTATTTCTTGGCTCTCTGTTCTGTTTCTTTAGTCTGTGTGTCTGTTTTTATGCCAGTATCATGCTGTTTTATTTACTATACCTTTATAATATATTTTGAGTTTAGAATTTGTGGATCCTCCAGTTTTGTTCTTTTTGCTCAAGATTGCTTTTGCTATTTGGGGCCTTTTGTGATTCAACACAGATTTTAGGATTTCTTTATTTCTGTGAAAATGTCTTTGGAAGTTTGATATAAGGATTATATTAAATCTGTAGATCACTTTGGGTAGTTAGGAGATTTTAATAGTATTAATTCTTCCAATCTATGAGAAAAAGTTATCTTTCCATTCATTTGTGCTTACTTGTATTTCCTTCAGTAATGTTTTATAGATTTCAGTGTACAGGTCTTTCACATGTGTGGTTAAAGTTATTCCCAAGTAATTTTTTGGTAGCTATGTAAATGATATTATTTTATTAATTTTTTTTTTACAGATAGTGTGTTGTTAGTATATACAGAAACACTACTGGTTTTTGTGTGTTGGTTTTTGTATCTTGAAACTTTACTGAATTTGTTTATCAATTCTAACAGGTTTTATTGGAGTTGAGTTTTCCTTATATAATATGTTTGTAAGTAGGAACAATGTAATTTCCTTCTTTCTATTTTGGATGTTTTAATTTCTCCCTCTTGCCAGTTGCCCTAGCTAGGTTTTCAGTACCATGTTAAATAGAAGCAGTGAAGGTGAGCATCCTTTTCTTCTGGATTTTAGAAGAAAAGCTTTCAACTTTCACCTTAGAGTATGACGTTAGCTGTGGGTTTTTAATATGTGGCCTTTATTATGTTGAGGTACATTCCTTCTATACCTATTTTTTTTTTAGAGTTTTCATTATGAAAGGTTGTAGAATTATGTCAGATGCTTTTTCTGTATCTGCTAAGATGGTCATATAATTTTGGGCCTTCATTCTGTTAATGTGGTGTATTATATTTATAGATTTGCATTATTGGATCATTCTTGCATCTCTGGGATAAATCTTACTAGATGAGGGTGGAATGGTCAATGATACTTTTAATATGCTTTTGAATTCAGTTTGCTAGGATTTTGTTGGAGATTTTTACATCTATTTTCATCAGGGACATTGGCTTCTAATTTTGCTTTTTTGTAATATCCTTGTCAGTTTTTGGTGTGAGGGTAATTCTGGCCTTGTAAATTAATTTGGAAGTGTTCTCTCCTCTTCAATTTTTTGAAAGAGTTTGAGATGGATTGGTATTAGATCTATAAATATTTGGCAGAATTCAGCAGTGAAACCATCAGGCCCTGGGCTTTTATTTGATAGGATACTTTTTATTATTAATTAAATCTTCTTACTCAGTATTCTGTTCAGATGTCCTATTTCTTCGTGATTCAGTTTTGGTAGGTTATATATTTCTAGGAATTCATCCATTTCTTCTAGGTTATCTAATGTTATATAATTTCTCACATCAGTCTCTTTTGATCCTTTATACATCTGTACTATCAGTTTTAATGTCCACTGTTTCATTTCTAATTTTATTGATTTGGGTCATCTGTCTTTTTTCTAAGTTAGTCTAAGCTAAAGCTTTGTTGATTTTATCATTCCAAGATCTAGCTCTGTTTCACTGATATTTTATTGTTATTTTTAGTCTCCATGTTACTTAATTCTGCTTTAATTATCATTTTTCAATCATTTTTCTCCCAATTAGTTTGAATGCTTTCCATTGCTCTATGTCAAGTGTCTATTGCCTCTTTCCATGGCCATCTCCATTCTTCTATTGAAACCATACAATAAGAAGTTCACTTCAGTTATTGAATATTTTAGTCCTAAAATTTATATTTGCTTCTTCTCTAATCCATTTCTTTGCTGAGTGATATGGTTTGGCTGTGTTCTCACCCAAATCTTATCTTGAATTGTAGCTCCCATAATCCCCATGTGTTGTGGAAGAGACCCACTGGGAAGTAATAGAATCATGGGGGTTTTTCTCATGCTGTTCTTGTGGTAATTAATGTGGGGTTTTTTTCACGCTGTTCTCATGATAATGAATAAGTCTCACAAGAGCTGATGGTTTTATAAAGGGCAGTTCCCCTGTACATGTTTGCTTGCCTACCGCCATGTAAGATGTTCCTTTGCTACTCCTTTGCCTTCCACCATGATTGTAAGGCCTCCCCAGCCATGTGGAACTGTGAGTCCATTAAACCTCTTTTTCTTTAAAAATTACCCAGTCTCAGGTTTTTCTTCATAGAATTTTGAAAATGGGCTAATACACTGAACCGTTTAATTGTTTTGCATTTAAAAAAGAATGTTCACAATAATTGGTTTGAGCATTTTAATACTCATTTTAAAGTCTTTATTGGATAACTTATCCGTGTGATATTTTGGCGTTAGTTCATTTTTGTGTGTTTCTTTGTATGCCAAGTGATTGTATGTTGTAAACTGGTTATTTTCAGCATTACATTTTAATACTCTGGGCCTTGTCTAAGTCCTGTGCATAACATTGCATAATGTTAAGCAGGCAATCCATCTGGTTAAGTTATCAGCCAAAGTTTTGAACACACCTTATGTGGGCTTTGGTTCCATTGTTACCTTATTTTTCAAATTTATGCCCTGCTCTTTGGATCTGTCCCTGAGATGTACCACCCAAGTGATCATTCTGGAACTTGAGTAATTTTCTATTTATTGATTTGGTTCTCAAAGTTTTTGTGACATGCTAGTTGAAAACAAATCTATGGATGTAAAATATTAAGAGTGCTAGTTTGAGAAATGTTGTTCTGTATTGTTTGAAATTTTTACTATGGCATGTATTATTTTAATATTTATTAGCTATTTGTGGTATGCTGTTTGCAGAAAATGGCCCCGATTATTCCTCTCCTTGTATTCATGTTCCTTTTCCTCTTAATTTATAGATATTCTTATGAAGAGCTATAGTTGATTTCTCTACTCCTTGAATCTATGCTGCTCTAGGGTTTTCTTTGATCTGTAGAATGCAGGAGAAATGATCGTGTGCCAGTCTGAGCCTAGGCCTCAAGAAATCTAATATGCTGTTGTCTCTTGTCACCTTGCTTCTGACTAAAGATACCTGAGTGAGTCAAGCTGAAAACCAGCCCTAATTGCTGACTTCAATAATTAGATGTAAATAAATTATAGTGTTTTGAGTTAAAAGAAAGTATAATTGTAAAGTAATACCATGGTAAATAAATGTATATAAACACATGTGAGTCTAAAATTTAAAACTTTCAAACTTGACACCTTCCCCTACCCACACTAATTAGGTGGCCTATGCTTTAAAGTAAGTTTTTTAGAGACTGTATATGTTAGAATGTATAGATTTCCATCTGTTCGCATAAGCAGAAATATGTTATGTCATTTCACGATTTTGATGTCTTTTTATTCTATGCACGATTATCTATTTCAAGAAGTAAAATATATTCCCTTTTCCCCTAGGCAGTAATTGAAAAAGAATCTAATAACTAACCAAAAGTGACCAGATTTACACTGTTTAAAGTGATCGATTTGATTATATTAGTTTAGTTTCCTACTCAGCTGTCTGGAGTCACGAAATAAATGGCTTGAGCAGTGGGCTTAGAGATGATGAGAGATCATTTTACTGTGTCAAGAAAGGAGGAAAATGAGCATAATTAAAGATATTTGCTAAGAAGTAGCTACAGAGATCCCATACTTCCAATTAAAGTGTACTCTGAAATTTTATTTATTTATTTACTTCTATATTGCATTAGTTTTCAATTAAATTCAAAATTTTCTGTCTTTTGTAATTATATTTCTCTTGAGTATATCTGACTGTAAAAGAGTAGACTTTCTCTTTTGAAACAGATGTTATAATTAATAAAATTTATTTTCATTTTTAAGATTTCTAAGCTCATTTGTTATACTGTTTGTATCTGGCATAACACTTGACCTAATTCTAATTTGTAGAACATAATTAGAACTTAGGGATGCCACTATTCATAATACTTTGTAAATTATATCAAATGAGAGATAACCTGCAAATAAAGAATGACATGCAAAGGAAACTGAATTGTTTCTTACCCTCTTCTTAAATGTGGATAGAAACAGAACCATTCCTTGCTAACTCTCCATTGCTGATATTTCACCCATAGTATATATATGAGGTCTCATAGTTTGTCTTGGAAAATTATCTACCTGTACATATTGGCAGTTTGGTAAAATAAACCCCTTCAGAATTTGCTTTTCTAAAAAACACTCTTTTAAATTGTATTCGAAGAGCATAAGTAGAGTGCAAAATTTGGGCAAATGTTATCGTTGCTAATGCCCATTACTTTACTAAAATTTGATAAATTCTTTAATATATTTTTCCTAAGTTAGTAATTGAAGATTATTTACATTACTAGAATTTATTATTGGGTGCATTTACCAAAAATGCATAATTTTACTTCTAGCCTCATAGATGTTTGAAATATCATACTCAAAATTTTAAAACGTTAACCTTAAAGTAAAAAGGGTGTGTAATAAACAGAACTTGATGCATTGGCTTTGTTATCATAGTTAAGTAATTTAAACTCTTTGGCCATTAGAATTATTATAAATAAAATAAGGATAATTCTGTTTTTCCTAACTCAGAGCTTTTATAATTGACCAAAACTCTTTTGAGAAAATTAATGATAGTTACAATACTCTATTTCTTATAGCCATCCTTGTTTGCAAAAACACTTAAGGTAGCTAATTGCTATATTATAGATTGATCAGAGGGTTATTGAAAATAGCAGCTACCATTGATTCAAGATTTTTTAATGTGATAAACATTAAAAAATGTATGCTATTGTATTCAATCCTCCAAAAAACTTTTTGTGGTTCAGAGAGTTGGAAAAAATTATTCTTTATTAGTTAGCTAGTATTTGGGAAAGCTAAAATTCTAATCCATGACTATCTTATACCAAGTCAATGGTTTATTTTGAGAATTAAAGATAAAACACATATAATATGCTTAAATTACTACCTACGATATAAGAGCTCAATGTAAATTAGTAATCATTGTATTTTTATTCTGTCTTGATAGGAGCAATATAATACTGTGAAGTTCATTCCTCAATTTATTTGAGCTTTGGCACTATTAGGTAACACAGTATTTTTTAAATTTGGATTTATTTTGCTCATCCCTAAACAAGAAAAGGGTTATTGAATTTGAATGCTTATGTTAATTCTAACTAATTTGTTACCAAATGTTCTCTTTAAGTCTAAAACTTTTTACTAGAGGCTCTTGAGTTATGTAGGTAAACAATCATACCAAGACAAAAGAGGAAGTTCTATCTCTATTAAAGAACCTATGAGATATTTTACTTTTTAAATATTTCATATTCTAAAATCTCCAAGACAATATTGACAGTAATAACAATGGAGATTATGAATTATTTCCTTCTCTTTAAATGGAAATTATTTTAGTCATTTTGTATGTAGGATAATGTATTTTTTTTTTATAGTTTCTTAAAAATTAAGTTTCAATAGTTTGGTTGTATTATATCCTAAGTATCACTGCAGTATTTATTTGAACTTTTGATTATATTTATTATGTGTATTTTTAATATCTACAGATCTTAATAAGTTTGTAAAATGGATCATGACAAGTAATTTTTAAACACTGAATTTGTATTTCTTTCATGGAAAAAGTTTATTCAGAATTTTTATCATTGTATTTAAAAGTAATATTTTGTTTTATTTTTCTATTATCTTCTGGATATAAATGTTATGTTGACTTCCTAAAACAAATTTAGGAGTTGTATTTCTCTGGTATAAAATAATTTAAATATAATTGACATTATTACTGCAATAAGCAGTAAGTAAAATTCAGCAGCGAACCCATTTATTCTAGTGCTTTTCTATCCTAGATATTTTATCGCTTTCCCAATATTCCTTCTGGTAATTCAGTTTTTTATTTCTTTTTGGGTTAATTTTATATAATTTATATTTTTCTAGAAAATTATAAATTTCCTAACAGTTGCTTCCATAGTTACAGCTATAATAATGTTCTTATAATGGCTTTTTAAAATTTCATAATTATTTATATTTACTCATTGCTAATCTTGTTTATTTTGTAGACTTTCTCATTTTTAAAAGAATTGGTTTGTAAAGGATTTATTATTTTACTGTTCTCTTCAAAGAACCACTTAAAATAGCATTAAAGTAATTTAATACTTTTACTATTTTTGGTACTATTTTGTTAATTTGAGTTTTTCTCATCTTCAATTTTCTAGGCCTGAGCAAGAGGAGTTGTTGCTATTGTTTTTTTTTCTAACGTATTTTGCAGATTTGAGTACTTTACTTCTTTCATTTTTGCCTTTATTTCTTAATAATGAAGACATGTGCCACTACCTCATATTTATTTTACTAGTTTTGGAATAATATATTCTTTTTATTGATTTATAGGTGTTTAGCAATATTTCTTTAAATAATTTAAATAACTAATATTTATTGAGCTCTGTATTTGCACTTCTCCTGTTTCTGACAAACAGTTTCTTACAATAAGGTACTACACATAAGTGCTTTCTCTGCTTTCTGTTTCTGGAAAAATAGACAAACAGCTCAACAGATATTAACTATTAAAACTATTTTAAGGGATATTATTAAGCTTCCATTTCCTCAGTAACAACTTGGAAGTGACAATAACTACATTGTCAGTCTTTCTGGGTTGTGAGAGTTATTTGAGTATAAAACGTAAATATGCTTTGAAAAAGGTGAATTGTTATACAGATATAGGTACCTATGAAATTTGGGCATATTGTCTTCAGATTCACTCCAAACCTGCTCCCCTTATCTCAGGTCATTCCTTTCCCTGGGAGAGGAACACTGCAGGGAACAAAGTGGAATATCAAAAAGATATTACGCTTTGGAATTAAATTTATGTTTTAATCTTAGAAACTTGTTAGCTGCAAAGGCTTAGAAACAAACATTGTATTAAACTTTTAAATGTTGTTGTTATTATTTGCCTGTTGCATATATGGCAAGTTATGATTCTTACCGGGCTTCAGTGTGATTACCAAGAAACGACGTAGTCACTGTTGCATGAAGCACAGAGCCTGAGAGTTTTCACAGTGAGGAGCCCTCACTAGTTTGCACTTATGTTCTACAAATCCGTGAATACCTCAAGCGATGTTTCAAGAGCAATGAATATTGACTTTATTATACCAAGTTATGTTATTCATGAAGAAATGCATAATTTTTCACCCTGTCCCTTTTGATTGGGAGGAAGAAAGGCTCTAAATGTGTTCTAATTTATTACTAACCTTCAGCACACAGAGCAAAAAAGGACAAAACCTTTGCATGCTTTCACACACAGTGTTTCTGTTTCTTACACAAGTGACATTAAAAGTATAAAAACATGGCTAGGGGATCATACAAAGAAGATAGCATGAAGATGTTTTCTCAAAATATACAGATATGTTATCTCACAATAATAGTAGGTAAAATGTATAAAGTCGGTCTTTTAAGTGATTTATTGAATGTTGTACAGCAATAACAACAACAACAACAAAATCAGGGAAAGTAAGGCAGCTATTGTGCAACAGAAAAGAGAAATTAATATAACTGTAGTGGTGGAAAACAGACTTAAGTTTTGCCTAATGGTTCAGGTTATTCATTACAGGGGAGGAGAGAGGTACAATGTCTGACTATACCTACAGAGAAGAAACATCTGATTGTGTACAATGTGACCTGTCTTAGAATAGGATTAGATGACATTTTGTCTCCCAGCTAATTGTTTGCTTTATTCCTGTTTTCCTGGACAGGTAGGACAACATTGCTTTGTTTCCGTAAACAACACCCTCTATTATTTTAAATTGCTGTGAAGATTTCTCTGGGATTAACTCTGCCTAATCTCTAAAATACTAGTGATACTTGTCATTCATAGCATGAGAATGTAAAGTTTCAGTGTATCTAGAAGTTATTAGAGAAGAATATTTTGTTTTTCAAAAAATAATTCACAGTATAATATGAAGGAAGATTTAAGGAAACAAGAATAGTGTGAATATTGGAAAAAAATAAAATGTCAGCAATATTAACAGGAAAGACACTTGAGAATTAATTGTGAGTCTTCCTCATTTTTGTATTTCCTGTGCAGAACATGATGTCTGGCACAGGGTAGAGATATTAAAAAGGAGTTGACCAAGATATTTGCATTTTATATTTCTTTTACAGACCTGAACTTATTTTTTTTCCACTAAAAATGTTTTCAGTATATTGTCATTTAGTAATGAATGATTATAATTAATATGTTAAGAGCTGGAAAATCTTCAAGAGACATTAATTTCTTCTACACCCATTGTGGAAAACAAATCTTCAAAAACATTTTGTTATGTTCTTGTTTTTTTTTTTCTGTTTACCAACTGCAGTTACCACACCAGAACATTATACATTACTTCATATTTTGGGAAATAGAATATACTTGTTTTAGTCAAAACGGACACTATCTTTCTTGCTCTTTCTGTCTTTCCAATTCCTAATGCCAACACTCTCAAGGCCTAATTTTCATTCATATTTGGTAATATGTTTCATTAATTTGTATAGATTTATAAATGCTCTATAATTCTAAATTTTATTAAGTGGCCTTTTGCAAGATGTGTTTATATTTTAGTTAAATTCAGCTGTGGAATTAATGAGGACTGATTTCTATTAATACCTAGATTTAGACTGAATTTTCTATCTGTATTAAACATTTACATTGGCAAAAATTAAGGGAATTGACAGATAATTGTGAAACATATAGTTTATACTCACTATTAATCTGGTTACTGTGTTACTCTAAGATATAATTATTACCTAAAGAGAAAGCTTAAACATATATAGAGATGAGGCCAATGTAAATGGCCTAAATGAGTAGTTTACTATGACTCATTACACATTATACAGTTAATGATTTCATTAGTCGTGGTGGTTCCAGCCAATATTCAACCTGAAAAATTATGGTTGCAATTTTTACAAATTCTGATAGAATTTAAAAATCTGTAACCCTCATATATATTTCTCTTAATTTTCTTCTATATGGTTTTCAAACTATATGATTGTCCGGCCTTCCAGTTTGACATTATGGCACTTGTATAATAGTTCTACTGTGTTCAATTCAACCATTTTGAGCATCTAATATGTGCTGAACTTTGTGTTAAGTCCAGGGGATGGAGGATTTATCTGTATCTGATGGCGGAGGAAGTCATCGTAACTCATTCTTGAACTGTTAGGTAAAAGAATGCCAAAGGCAAAGGCAAACGAATGCCAAAGGCACATAGCAACTGGTCCTGTAGATGGGCTGGGGTAGAAGTAGGGTAGAGAAGACTTCTTGTGGATGGATATATTTCAGAAGACTTGATTTGAGCAGGGTAGTTCACACAGCAAAGTTAAAGAGACATATTAAGCTTTATGGCTAGGAAAAAAAAAGAGGGGAATTTCTCTGGCTCTGAATCTGGGGAGTAACATTAAAGTAATCTATAATGCAAGAAATGACTAGGTGAGCTTAAGGTTGGGAACAATATTCCTGGTGTTCCTAGGACAGTACTACTTAAGTCTGTGTTACAGAATATTATTAATGACACCTCTTTTCTTCCTCAAACTATCCAGCAAATTAAAATCACAGTGAGGTATCACTTCATACCTTTTAGAATGACTGTTTTCAACAAAAATAAATGATAACAAGTATTGATGAAGATATGGAGAAAAGTGAACCCTGGCACACTGTGTGGAGAAATGTAAAATATTACTGCCATTTTTGAAAATAGTATGGAGGTTCCTCAAAAAATTAAAATTGAATTACCATATGATTCAATAATGTAATTTCTAAAGATGTATCCAAAGTTATTGACATTGATTTGTTAAAGAGATATCTACACTCCCATGTTCATTTTAATATTATTCATGATAGCTAAGATATGAAATCAACCTAAGTGTCCATCAACAGATGAATGGATCAAGAAAACGTGGCATATATACACAATAGAATAGTATTCAGCCTTTAAAAAGAAGGAAATTCTATCATTTGTAACAACATCAATGAAATTGGACAACGTTATGCTAAGTGAAATAAGGCAGGCACAGAAATACAAATACTGTATGATCTCACTTAGATGTGGAATCTAAAAAAGTTGATCTGATAGAAATGGAGAGTAGAAACGTAATTACTTGAGGCTGGAGAGGAGGAGAAACCACAGGAAAGGGGAAGATGTTGATCAAAGGGTGAAAAGTCTCAGACTGAAGGAATAAGTTTTAGCAATCAATTGTACTTTATGTGACCACAGCTAATAATGTATTGTATATTTCAAAAGTGTTAAAAGAATAGATTTTTAACATACTCACCAGACAAAAAGGTAAGTTGGTGAGGTGATGGATATATTAATGAGCTTGACTGAATCTTTCTACAATGTATACTTAGATGAAAATATCACATTATACCTTATAAATATACATGATTATTTTTCAATTAAAAATAGATTTAAAAATTTCTAAAAAACTGTCCTAATGTGGACATTGTTGATCTACTTTTAGGGAAGAGAAAACTGTGCTTTATATATTTTACACATTTAAAATCACCTGAGATACTGGCTACAAATGTTCGTAAGAATTTAGTCAGCCCCTCATTGCCCTCTCTGAACTCTGATTTTTTATTTATCCTTAAATGCTGGTTATTGTTCCTTAACACTAATTTATATTATTCTCTTAGATTCTGATTATGGAACATCCCATAAAATTCTGGGAGTTCACCATGGCCTACCCCATTTCTTGTTTTACCACTTCTATCTTAATATAGCCAGTTTGAGAACTAGAGCAGGACAGAAGTTTTATGCCATGATATGAAGACAAAGTCAGAAAAATTGCCCAAATATAGGTCAACTTATAGGAAGGTATAGACCAAACTAATGAGAAGATACAGTTTATTTTTGTTATCTAATCATTTCCCATGATATGTCTTCTAATGCTGGCATTACAGGTTTTATTAGAAGAAGGGCCATTGAATTTGGTGCTAATACTTATTCCTGAGAAATTAATAAACAAAGGATAATTAAAAATACAAAATGAACATACTTAATATTGATTTTGATACTCTTTCCAAGATATTCTTATAGATACTAGAATAGTTAGAATTATGAAAGAATCTATAATGAGCCAGATTCCATTATTTATTTAGTCAATTTCATATAATTTCCAAGATGGGAAAGCATTATACATAGGAGAAACAACCAGAAGAATTATGAAATAGTGTATTATGATACATGAGACTACTATATAGCCCATGATCCTTAGGACTATGTATCACCCAGTAGGCATACATTCCTGAATTGATCTAAGTGGGAGCATTGATTATTGGGACCCATGTACTTTCTAGTAACGAAAGCCTTTCAGAGGAAGAAAAATATATGCTAACTAATACACCTTTTCTTAGTCTAGAAGTAAGAAACATATGTTTGCAAATAGTATGACCTAGGCTGCTTTTCTGAATAAATAGGCCCAGCATGAAATAGGCTAATATTCAATGCTACTAGATACAAAAGAAGAAAAAAGCAAAAGATAATATTTTTTTTTTGAGACAGTGTCTTGCTCTGTTGCCCAGGGTGAAGTGCAGTGGCGCAATAATGACTCATTGTAGCCTCAACGACCTCCTGGACTCAAATGATCCTCCCATCTCAGTGTCCCGAGTAGCTGGGACTACAGGCATGCACCACCATGCCAGGCTAATTTTTGTATTTGTGTGTGTGTGTGTGTGTGTGTATATATATATATATATTTTTTTTTTTTTGGTCGAGACAAGGTTTTGCCACATTGAAAGGCTGATACTGAACTCTCGGGCTTAAATTATCCACCTGTCTTGACCTCCCAACGTATTAGGATTACAGGCATGAGCCACTACACCCAGCCAAGATAAGCTTCTTCATGTAACATTAATTTCTGATATATTTCTGAGGTCTGTTTATGGAATGTGCTTTGTTCTCATCAGAGAAATAGAAAGTCACTGAAAAGAACATTTCCTGTTCTATGGATCTTTGGCAGAGTAGAGCTAGGGCAAGATGAAGTAAAGGATAGAGGATCATGTGAGGTGAAATGAAAGTGGTTTAGAATCAGCATTGTTTTTTGGAGATAAAAATGTGCTTGAAGTGTAGAGAGGCATGGTTGATAATAAAAAACAGACAAGAAATTGGGTAGGAATGTTTCATATGCAGCTAAAAATATGAGAACCAAAAATCTCATATTTACTTTTATTCTGCTTAGATTTATATTTTTTATATTTAGATTTATATTTTTTAATTCTTCCTTGGAAACAAAATTTCAGACAAGCCTCTTGATATTGGGTATAGGAAACAATGTGTTTTAAAGCACATTCCACTGAGTTGGCAGGATCATAGTCACAATCCTTGCCTCCAGAGCCCAGTAAGACATGAAGTGTTTCTCAGAAATGGATTCTATTTATGTAGAAAAAAAAAATATGAGATTGCAGGCAAAATCATTAAGTTTTTAATGTTTGCCTTTAACATATCCTATCACTCCTATAATAACTGTGGCAAATAAAATTTTTTCTTATGCTTAGATCTATCCTATATCCTCAGATACAGTAGATAAGCAGTCTCTTATCTTCTTGGATGGAAATCAGAGCACTCTGACGTTGTTGCTGTTGCATCTTTAATTGTACCTGGTGAAGTACTCGGGAATATGGCAGACCTGCTGAAAGACTCAATTGTGTGTGTTTGTGTATGTGTGTGTTGGGAAGTTGTGTGTGGTCATATAAGAAGACATGTGTTCTCCCTGTGTTTAAAAGGCACCAAGAACCTTCAGCCTAAGTTCAGAAACCTGCCAGCAATTATAGCCAGCTTCTACTCCACAAAATTCAGTGAGAAATATGTGAGCCCAGCTCTGCCAACACTCATTTATCCATAGTTGATATAAATGATAATGTAAAGAACAGTGGGCCATGTGAAAAATGTTCCCATGGAAAAAGAAAGCAAATAGTTTTTCCCATAAGAGAGAAGAGGAGGTATTTCCTCTCTCTAAATCTAAGGGAGTTGAGCTCTAAAAGAATAACTTTTAAAGACCTGGGCCCCTATAAAAGGTGAGAGTATTGGTCTTTCATACACTAGTTAAGTGCCTGTGCTACTGGAAAACAGGCAAAGAGGAACCAGTTTCCCCAAATTAAAGAGGATATATCCAAAACATATAGACATGCATGGTGGCCTCAAGATTGAGACAGCAGTCTTGAGGATCTGGCCATAAAATGCGATGCAAGAATGTGTATCAGCAGAATATTGTGTAATGTCTCTCAATGAAGAATGACCCTAAATGCTGGCTACACTTGTAAATCATCTATTCATTAGAGACGTGTGTCATGACATCTCCATGAATCCCATAGCTCATGAACAATTGAAACAGCCCAACCAAACACAGATTGGTATTAAGGGATGAGAGCAGAATGTGATCACTATTAGTCACATAAGGAGATATCTATATTTTCCCTCTTTATCTGCAAACAATGCCTTTCTACCATGTCAAAAAAAAAAAAGAAAACAATCCTCTGTGGTAAGAGGTAGATATAAGGAAAGCTTTATAGACACTTTAGATTGAAATTTTAAAATAAACTGGACTAGGTTGTAGGAAGTGCATTGAAAGTATTTTAGTATTTCAAAACTAATTAAAAAGTCATGAGGGGAGGGAGAGCATTAGGAAAAATAGCTAATGCATGCTGGGCTTAATACCTAGGTGATGGGTTGATGGGTGCAGCAACCCATGATGGCACACGTTTACCTATGTAACAAGCCTGCACATCCTGCACATGTACCCTGGAATTTAAAACAAAAAGGAAAAATCATAAAATAATAAAATAAAAAGTCATGAAACTGTGATGAGAGCTAAATGAATGACTTGTTTGTCAAGTGGGAGTCTATGTGTGGAGTATATGAGACATTTTTATTAGAAATAAGAAAAACTTTATTGTCCAATGATTTGAAAGTCATCACTAACCTAACGATTTGAATGTATGGGTAAGTGGTGAGGTACAAAATTTAGCTAAAAAAATGGCTTTATGGTACTATATGAGCTGAGGTTGGAACACTTTACCTTGAATATCAATAGAACTAAAATTATAAAAGATAAATAACTTATCTTTTATAGAATAACATTTATATATTCTTATCATTAATTTATGTGACAAGATGGTGAAACACCCTCAGCAGATTAGTGGACGGAAGTTGTCACTAATGAAATTTTTGTAGCCTCTGTTGCCATGGGGTTCAGTCAGGCCTTTGTACTTGCTCAATACTTTTTTATAAAATTTTGCCTTTACTCTGCTTTTGAATTTTATAGGTTTCAAATAATGGATACTCTTGCAGGGAAAGCAGAGCTAGTACTTTCTGCTCCACCTTTCTCTCCTCTGCTGAGATGTGACTCCAGTATCTAGAGTTCATTGCCAGCTATCCCATTTTTCTCTACCTAGTATATTCTAGCACAGCTGGACTTGTAAGCACTAGCCAACTTTGCGAATCTAGTCCAGAAACGGGTCATACCAATAGTATATGTCTCTCTAGTTAGTGTTTTATAATCTTTAAAACTAGTACAACAATAACCAGCACATCAGGAAATAGCAATAGAGAATTAAAACACACATCTTTTCAATCTCCACTGCCACTTATTTTTAATGTTAATATATGTTCATAAAAATGTATTATTAAAATGATATTTATTTAAATTCATTCCTATGTATATGCTAGGAATATTGTCACATCAAGAATCTTATCTCGGCTGGGTGTAGTGGCTCATGCCTGTAATCCTAATACGTTGAGAGGGCAAGACAGGTGAATCATTTGAGCCCGAGAGTTTAGTATCAGCCTTTCAACATGGCAAAACCTTGTCTCAACCAAAAAAGAAAAAACAAAAACAAAAATACAACAATACACCTAGAGGTCTATCAACAGAATTATTTGCTAAATGACTTATCAGTGACAATTCGAGTAGTTCTTTAATTTTATTGAATTAAATAAAATTAATTGACTATTTTTCTTGATGTGATTAGTACTATACTGATAAGAAGTAAATTAGGATTTATCAAATAATTATTTAGGATACTTAATACTCATCCACTTACAGGCATCTTATTTAGCTCAAAATGCTCAGAAATGATTGGAAAAATTGAAATATTACTAATTTAAAAAGATTTTGAACAGTACTTTTTGGGTATATGAAACTCCTGTCTTAATGCATGTATTGCATGTCTTTTGGTCCAAACCTTGAAGCTGCATATTAAGCTCATTCACTTTTTAATGGAAAACATGCATATGTACCAAAAGGCCTAGTTAACAAAAACTGTCCTTATTAAAACAATACAACAAACCAAACTAGAAAATAGTAAAATTGGAGCACATGCAGGGCTAACTATAAAACAAATCTTGATAAATATATATCAGATGAAACCACATCATGGATGTTCTCTGACAAAAGCAGAATTAAATTAGTAACTAGTTATAATAAGATATCTAGGAAAACATCAAATATTAAAAAGTTAAATAAACTGCTTCATATAACACAGCAAAAAAGAAGAAGAAAATCAGAAAAAAATTAAACTGAATGATAATAAAAATACATGATACCAACACATGAACTATGTAGCTAGAGCATTATTTAGAGGAGACATTTACAGCATTAAATGATTATATTAGTAAGGAATAAAGATTTAAAATCAAACATTCTTTCAAGAAGTTAGGAATATTACAGTAAAGCCAACATATATAAAAACTGAAATAATGAGTAGAAACAACGAAAGAAAAAGCAGAAAATAGAGAAAATTAACAAAGCTAAAAGCTGGTTCTCAAAAAAAGATCAATAAAGTTGACAAACACTTAGCTAAACTGTTCATACATACAAAAAATAGAGCACAAAACACACTCAGGGAGAAACAAACAACCTGAACAGCTCTGTATCTATTAAAGAAATTGAATTTCTATTTTAGCAAAGTTATTGGCTTAATTCTGTGCCTTTCAAATTGATATGTTGAAGTGCTAACCCCTAGTATCTTAAAATGTGACTGTATTTGTACATAAGATCTTCAAAAAAATAACTAATTCAAAATGAAGCCATTAAGGTGGGCCCTAACCATCTGACTGACAAAAAGAAGAAATTTGGATACACAGATAGATACCAGGGATATGCACACAAACATAGATAAAAAGAAATGTGAGATACAGCCAGAAGGCAGTTCCTGCAAGGCAAGGAAAGAGGCATCCAGAGAAATCAAATCTGCAGATACATTTATATTGGACTTCTAGCCTTCAGAACTGAGACAAAAAGAAATTACTGTTGTTGCAGCCACCCAGTCTGTGGTATTTTGTTATGGCAGCCTTAGTAAACTAATACTAAATACTTCCTACAAAGGCAACTAAATGACCTGGTGGCTTAATTAGTAAATTACATAAAATAAGGAAGAAATATTGCCAATTCTGCACAAACTTTTCAGAGAAATTGGTAGAGGAGGAAACATTTGCAGCTAATATTATGAGATGTGCATTATTCTCTGATAAAATCGGGTAAAAGCGTTACGATAAAAATGATATACATGGATGCAACTGGGAAATTTAGCAATGTGTAAAAAGGATACAGATTATGAGTAAGTGTGTTTATCCCTAGAATGCAAAGTTTAACACTTGAAAATCAGTCAATATACATCACAGAATGAAGAAGAAAATCATATGATCCTTTTAACAGAATTAGAAAAGTCATTTCTAAAAAGTCAATCCTCTTTTATTTAAAAAATAAATAAACTAGGAATTGAAGAGAACCATTATAAACTGATAAAGATTATCTACGTAAAAACCTGACTAGAGTGTTCTCAAAAGAAGATATACAAAGACCAACAGCTATATGAAAGGTGCTCAACATCACTAATCATCAGGGAAATGAAAATTTAAACAATGTGATATCACTACACACCTGTAAGAATGGATTATATATATTATATGTGGTGAGGACTTAGAGAAAAGGGAACCCTGGTACACTGTTGGTAGAAATGTAAAATATTACAGTTATATTGAAAAATGTATGGGGGTTCCTCAAAAAACTTAAAAATAGAACTACCATATAACCCACCAATTCCTCTTTTGAATATGTATCTAAAGGAAATAAAAGTAGTATGTCAAAAAGGTATCTTCACTCTGATGTTCATTGCAGCATTATTCACAATAGTCAAGATATGGAATTAACCAAAGGGTTCATCAACGGATGAATGGATAAAGTAATTGTGGTACATATGCACAATGGTATTATTCAGCTTAAAAAAGAAAAAGAAATTTTGTCATTTGCAAAAATATGAATAAATCTGGAGGACATTATATCTAGTGAACTACCCAGTCACAGAAAGCCGAATTGTTCATGATCTCCTTTATATGTGGAATTTAATAATCTAGCTCATAGAAACAGGAAGTGGAATGGTGGTTAACGGGCTGCTTGGGAGGGCAAAGATGTTGGGTAAACAGTTAAACATTTCAGTTAGACATAGGGAATAGTTCTGGAGATCTATTGTCGGCAGGGTGACTGTAATTAATAATAATGGGCTGGGCAGGGTGGCTCACACCTGTAATCCCAGCACTTTGGGAGGCCAAGGTGGGTGGGTCACTTAAGGTCACAAGTTCCAGACCAGCCTGGCCAGCATGGTGAAACCCCATCTCTACTAAAAATACAAAAATCAGCCGAGAGTGGTGGTGTGTGCCTGTAGTCCCAGCTACTTGGGAGGCTGAGCCAGGACAATCATTTGAACCCCAGTGGCAGAGTTTACACCACTGCACTCCAGACTGAGTGACAGAGCGAAACCCTGTCTTGAAAACAACAACAAAATAATAATGCATAGCATATTTTAAAATTGCTCAGAAAGTAGACTTTAAATGTTCTCATCACAAAAATATTAAGTATATTATGTGATCAATATGTTAATTAGTTGTATTTAATCATTCCATAATGTATACATATATCAAAACATCAGTTTTATATTATAAATATGTAGTTTGTCACTAGTCAATCAAACAATTATAACACACAATTTATTTCATTTTGCTGTTGAACTGTTGAATGCATTTCTCCTAAAATAGTGAACAAGGACAGAAATCTTCTTTTATCACTTTTATTCAATATTGTATGAAGGTTCTACCTTTTGCAGTATGGCAAAAAAAAAGTTATACGGTTTAGGAATGACTAAATAAAACTGACACTACTTGCAGTTGACATGATTGTTGATTGTTTACCTAGGAAATCTAAAGGAATGAACAGCAACAAAAAAAATCTACCAGATACAAATTAAGTTTAGAGGTTTTTAGGATACAATGCTAATATAAAGATGAATTGTGTTTTTCTAAATTCTAAATTTCAATATTTAAAAAATTTAATGTGTAAAAATTACAAAATATCTAGGAATATTTTAAACAAAAAATATGCAAACCTCTAAGATAAAGACTGTAGCATATTTTTAAATATTGAAAACCTACATAATTGGAGAGTTATTGTGATCATGGATTAGAAAACTTAATATTCCAGATCTTCAAAAATTGATACATATTCATTGCAATTAAAATAAATATACTCAGTCTTTTTCTGAAATTTTCATAAGTTGATTTTAAAACATATATGGGAATAAAAACAAACTACTATAGTTAAAGTAATATTAAAAAGAAGAACCAAATCAGAAGACCTACACTACCTGATTTCAAGACTTATTTAAAGTGACATTAATCAAGGACATGAGGTTTTGGTAGCAGGATAGATATGTAGATTAAACATAGTGGGATAAAGTCCAGAAACAAATATGTATGTAGAATCTATATATCTATATCTATATCTATATCTATCTATATATAGTAGAATATAGATATCTGTATATCAGTAGATCCATATTGATATATGGATTTATATATCACATTATATCTAGATAGATCTATAGATTGATATCTATCAATATAGATATCTAAGGATCTATATATCAATATGATCTATCTAGATATCTGTACTATAGCAATATAGATATTTTTATATATCGCACTTTATCATACTATATATATATGTGTGCTTGTGTGTGTGTGTGTGTGTGTGTGTGTGTGTGTGTCCAGTTAATTTTTAACAGAGTTACCAAGGCAATTCAATTGGGAAAGTAATTTTTTTATTTCAATAGATCTTAGGGAACAGGTGGTATTTTGTTACATGGATAAGTTCTTTAGTGGTGATTTCTGAGATTTTGGTGCACCCACCACCGGAACAGTGTACACTGTACCCAATGTGTAGTCTTTTATCCCTCACCACCCCTCCCTCCCACCTTTTCCCCCAAGGCCCCAAAGTCCACTGTATCACTCTTATGCCTTTGCAACCTCATAGCTTAACTCCTGGTTATAAGTGAGAACATACTGTGTTTGGTTTTCCATGCCTGAGTGACTTCATTTAGAATAATCGTCTCCAGCTTCATCTGGGTTGCCATCAGTGCCATTATTTTGTTCCTTTTTATGGCTAAGTAGTATTCCATGTTATATATATACACCATGTTTTCTTTCTTCACTTGTTGATTGATGGGCATTTAGGCTGGTTCCATATTTTTGCAATTGCAAATTGTGCTGCTCTAAACATTTGTGTGCGAGTGTCTTTTTCATATAATGACTTCTTTTCTTCTGGGTAGACACCCAGTAGTGAAATTGCTGGATTAAATAGTAGATCTACTTTTTGTTCTTTAAGGAGTCTCCATACGGTTTTCCATAGTGGTTTTTAATAATTTTTGCTCAAACAAGTGGGTAAATGCATGGGAAGAAATCAATCCTTACCTTACTCTGCACATAAAGTTAACTTGAAATGTATCACAGACCAAAAAATAAAAGCTAAAATAATAAAAGTCCTAAATGAAAAACATAGAAAAGTTATTTTCTCATTGGTGTTAGCAACATTTATTCTTGGCTAGAACATTAAAAATCATAAAAAGAAGAAGTAAAATAATAAAACATATCTTATCAAAATAAAAGATGGACAAAATGTTTGAATAGAGACTTCACCGTAGAAGACATACAAATAAATGCTTAATGCATATAGAAGATGACATTCACAATCATTACCCATCTGAGATATACAAATCAAAATTACAATGAGATACTAGTATACACCATTAGAATGGCTAAAATGAAAAACTTTGGTAATACCAAGTATTGGCCAGAATGTGAACCAACTGGAAGTGTCATTCACTGATTATGGGGCTACAAATCTATAAACATTTTGGAAAATCACTTGGCAGTTTCATAAAAAGCTGCATACACAACATACAACCCCATCTTTCTATGCCTATGTATTTACCCAAGATAATTGATATCATATGTCTGTCCAAAGACTTGTGCATAAATATTTATAGCAATTGTATTTACAAAAGTTCGAAACTAGGAAAACTGTTTCCACCTTCAGTGAATAGATAAACAGTATTTAATATTTTGTCTAATGGAGCTCTAATACTCAGCAATGAAAGGAATAAACTACTGATATATGCAGCAATATGGATTAATCTTAAAATCATTATGTTATGGAAAAAAACCCAGAGATATGAGAGAACATTAAGTATAATTTCAATTATGTCAATGCAAAATAAACTACAATGACAAAAACCAAATCAATGTTTGCTTGCAGTCAGGGTTGAAGAGAAATAGAATGCAAAAGTGCTCTGAATATCTTGTGAGGTGATGAAAATATTCTGTATTTTGATTGTGCGTCAGTGGTATCTCTAACTTGCAAAACTCATTAAACTGTACAATTTAAAGATATATATGAATTATTCCTCAATAAAATTGACAATGAACAAAATAGGAGCTTGTTTTATTCAATAAGATATGTAATTAAATATATATATTTAAATATATATTTATGTTTAATTAAATGATGGAGAGTATGGCAGAAACTGGTTAATTGCTCATCAATCTGTTCCCCTTCTCTCAGCTGAAAGAAAACTATAATTCCAAAGCAAATGTCATACAGCACAATGTAATCTGTATACTGAGGTATAGAGATTAATTTATTAATTAATGCAATTAAATGAATTAAATGTAATTCAATTAATTTAAATTCAATGAATTAATTTATAATTAATTTTTCTGTACTTCAGTATACAGATTACATTACATAATGTAAATTGTATACTGAGGTACAAAAACAATCAGGGAACTTATGGTACCACAGAATGTGTTCATTCATGACTAAATTTTCTGACTATGATTTCACTTTTTAGTGTGAAAATATACTATGTACAAAAGCAAAAGAGGCATGTGCGATTTTTTTATAATTCCTAGAAAAATAGTTTGAAAAGAGCAGTGCGTGCTATTAACAATAAATTAACCAGAAATTAAATAAGTCAGAGGACTCCACTTTCTAAAGGAAATTATGCCATGAGTCTCCAACCACACCTTGAGTATTGTGGTTTTGCTATTCACTCAAATAAGGAAAGGTAGTGGGTGTTTCCTCCTCAACCCAAGCCAAATGAAATAAACTCTTAATAAAATCTCCTATAAATCCTGACGAGTCTGGCCCTTTAAACTCTGTTGGCAGCTGGCCAAGTTTCAGATCTGCATGACCCTCTAGTGTGGTGAGCACAGAGTGACACTTTGTAAAGGAGTTCTCAGGAATGCCTAAAATGCAGGTATCCTGGAGCGTAGCAGAATATGTGAACAGAGAGACTAGATCCTACTACCTGCTCAATAAACTTGAACATTTGCCATGACTACAAAAATAAGATAAAAGGATTACATTTTCTGCTACCATGAAGATATTTTATAGAAGAAATAGGGAAATGCAGGAAATAAGCTAGCTTTTCCTCCCTGGGTCCAGTCTTCCTAAATATCCTCAGGGGAGTTTCCTCCAGTAAGTCCTTACTGCTTAAATAGTCCCTTGTGAAAAATTTTGAATAAACTATTGTAGTGTGTACATTTCCCTGGGGTAGTCAGATGCTTGTCCATGTGCTAGCTATAAAGTTCAGAATGTGTCTCAGGTTGCTAGATTTCTCTTCAGGCCTTGGGAAAGAATTCAACTATATCAATATTGAAGCTGCTTTGACATTCTTTCCAGAACTTCAATTTGTATGCAAGTAAATCATGTGATATTTAAAGATGTAATTAAAAGTGAATGCTTTCATATTAAGATTGCTATTCCTATCAGGAAAGCTTTCTAAAATATTCCAGATGTGAATTAAACTCTCCAAAGGAAATTGGTGTTGTTTCTTGGTCTGTCACAGAATAAAATGTCAAAGGAAAGAGGATAAGGAAACCAATTGCTTAAGATGATATATTTGGCATGATGGAACTTTGAGGTTTTTATCTACACAAACAGATTAGATCAAATTGGAGCAAAAAATTCTGATTTAATTTGTCCTGCCTTGCCTGTCTAGAGACAGACTTATGTGGACCCTCCACTATTCAATGGCCTATAAAAAGGATAGTATAAAGCTTCTCTTTTCTACTTCATCTCCAAGGTATGATCAATAATTTTCCTTTAGGTACTTTCTGGCTTTCAAAACAAAAATTCTTCAGTCTGGTTTGGTGCCATGTGTATGCCTAATTTTTTTTTTTACATAAAAAAGGAGAAAAAAATTTTGCTCAGATAAAATGCTACTACCACTTGTTGCCCCGATGCTTAGTATATCTGAAAAAAGGTTTTTTTTTTCCCACTGAATATCCTATCACCCCATCTGATAAGCAGTGCAAGCATCTTCATTATTTAAAATTGCATCAGTGTCAATATTATATACAAATTGGATAGAACATTTCAGATTCTTTCACTAAATTTATATTGCCTTTTAAAGTAAAATAAGTATTAAAAATGATTAGAGTTTGACCTCTTATGAATTGAGTTTTGTTTGTCAACTATGTATGGTAAATAATTTTATGCATGCTATGTGTGCCTTAATGCAGAAAAACATGATTTTAACTATCAATGATTACTTCTGGAAACCTATTTGCATATAATTATAGCAGCAAGTATACACAGATCTATTGACACATATGAAAACTTTCAACAGGAAAGGTAATTTTTATGTTCCTATACCCTATAGGACATCTTTATTATACTCAATTTCCCCCAAATTATAATTTCTCAATGTAACAGAGCAAAGTTAAATTCAGCGTAACTTTTTCATGAGTAGGAGTATGTTGAGTAGAAATTATTTTCACTGAAATTCTTAAAAATATTTTGAAAGAAACATTTGTTGCTATAGGTGACATTTGAAATTTGCTGTTTTTTACAGTTTTGGTATATAGGGGTTTTGGAAATTTTTAAGGTTTATATGGGAAAAACCTTATTTTCTATACTTACATATAGAATTTGGCATTATTTTCCATACAAGATTCAGCCCATCTGAATCTTCATCAAGGAAAAAAATGATGTAGCAATATTTCCTGCGGTATTTTTAATAATAATGCAAGTTGATTGACAGTAAAAGCAGAGAAAGAGAAAATGCTTTCCGTTTGTGTAGCTTTGAAATGAATTTTTATTGCATGCTACATCTTTCTAAAAACACTAAGTAAAATGTATATTGCAATTTTCTTTTACTGTAATAAAATTCAAAGGTTTTCTACCCCAATTATATGGTACTTTGGGCTTGGCTAAATAAAGAGGAGTCTTAACTTTAAAATACACCTTTGTATTTATTCTCAAATAGTGTGTAATTTATACATATAAATGTTTTTATTAGAATAGGAAAAAAACAGACATTGAATGTGACAGCAGATTGTTTTCTTGAGCAAAGTAGGTGAGAATGGTGAAAGGCTATGAGAAGAAAGTGCTGAGAACATGCCTTAGAGCCAGATTGAGTCATTAAACATATTCTGAGTTATGATAACTGTGACATGCCATTTTCTATACTAAATTATTAGTATTAAGCTACCTTACTGAACCCATTAAGAATTTTAATAGTAAAAATGAAAGAAAAATAAGTAGCTTGGAAATATAGGAACGATAGAGAAAGTGGACTGAATCATGTAACGTTTAGTGGGATCAGTGCTATGATTCCTGACAGAGAGAGATAAGAGCAAAGAAAAAGCCCTTATAATCATCTCTTCTTTCATCCAGATGTGTATTGGTTGCATAGTCTCATGATGGGTATCTATTGGGTTTACTATTGATTTTTTTTATGGGAAAAGAAGATGGGTTGATTTCAGTAGAAACTAATTCCCTTCTTTGAGTAACTCTTAGTAGCTATAGCTGCCATAACAAAATACTATACAACAGAAATTATTTCTCATGGTTTTGGAGGAAAGTCTGAGATTAGGGCGTTAGCTTGTTAGTTCCTTCTGAGATCTCGCTCTCTGGCTTGTAGATGGCCATCTTCTCCCTGTGTCTTCACATGATTGTCCCTTTGTATGTGCACACAGCTGTGCCCTAATTTCTGCCTCCTATAAAAAGACCATTCATATTTGATTAAGGCCCACCCTAAGAACCTCATTTTAACATACTTACCTCTTTAAAGACCTTATCTCCAAACACAGTCACATTCTGAGGTACTCAGAGTTAAGATTTCAACATATGAGGAGCCCATAACAATGATACAGAGTCTTTTTCAGAGGTGGCTTCCACACTCCACTTGTGTGTTTCTGACCAGAATCACAAATTGTATGCTCCATTGACTGTGATTCATACTCCATCAATTGTGATGTATTTTCTCCCTGATCTAGGAGAATCATTCCTCCTGCATTTTTAGTTGGCACTGAATGGGGGAGTGTGCGAATTTTCTTCCCCCTAGTGATGATGACACTTTACAAATGCAAATGCAGAGTTTCCAGAGAAGCTGTTCTCTGCCAGAGAAAGAAAGGCATCTGCAGTGAAAGAAAATAAAAATAACATACATGCAGATGTGAGTAAGGGTGAGAGGCCTAGAGTCCTGACAGCTTTCCAATCCCTGGAGGAACTCCGCCCTGCTTTTGTGTGTGTGTTTTGATTCTGAGAACTAATGAATTTTTTTTTGGCTTGTTTTGAGTAAGTTAATATATAGTGTCCAACACCCATTAATAAGCATTTAAACTATATAATCCTGTGTGTATTAACCTTTTCTCTTTTTCAAAATACTGGAAGGATGTATTATATTTAGTAATAATCGCTCACGCTAGCAGTGCAAAATAGGACAGGGCCCAAGATGGCATCTGACACCTTTATGACCTAGGACACGTGGCTTCCAAATGCTCTGGAATCTTTTAATTTTACCTCCAAAGAGAAACCGACCTATCTTGGGTTAAGTTGGAAACCAATTCATTCAAAGTTGTGTATTTTGGGGCAGAAAATATTATGTATTCACCATAGTCACAATATACAAAATATCTACTTAATCTAAAAACAAAATGATTGAAGGAATACGGTAACTTACATAATAAAAAAATACCATGCAGTAAAATATGGAATTTCCCTCTCAAATATTATATTGAATTTATGTATATATAACAGCAACTTAGAGGGTTTTTGAAAAAATATTGTGATCTATTTGCCTAGCAGAGCAAGGAACAAGGAGACTTAATTTGTTAAATCTGTTTTAATACTAGACCTGAAACAAATGTCACATTGTCTCTTTAATTGATATATGAATAGTATATATAGATACTAATATGTATATAGAGCTATAGAAATATACATTTATGTGTGTATATACATTTACATATAATAACTATCAAAGGTTCTCTAGAGAGGCACTATGAACATTTTGATCTAGATAATTCTTTGTTGTCCTACGCATTGTTGGACGTTAGCAGCGTCGCCAAATGTCCAAATGTCCATCTCCAGCCATTGCCAAATATCCCTGGAGACAAATCTCCCAAGTTGAGAAATATATGTGTGTGTTTGCATATATATTATTTATCAGAGCTATGATTCAATAAATATCCATTACCTTTTTATCAAATATTTTATACCCATACAATTTCCACTTTCTTTTTTTTAATTATATTTTATGTTCTGGGTTACATGTGCAGAACATGCAATTTTGTTACATAGGTATACATGTGCCATGGTGGTTTGCTGCACCCATCAACCTGTCACCTACATTAGGTATTTCTCCTAAAGATATCCCTCCCCTAGCCCCCCCCTACCCCCCGCAACCCTGCCCTGACAGGCCCTGGTATGAGATGTTCTCCTCCCTGTGTCCATGTGTTTTCATTGTTCAACTCCCACTTATGAGTGAGAACATGTGGTGTTTGGCTTTTTGATCTTGTGATAGTTTGCTGAGAATGATGGTCTGCACAGCAAAAGAAACTATCATCAGAGTGAACAGGCAACCTCCAGAATGGGAGAAAATTTTTTGCAATCTATCCATCTGACAAAGAGCTAATGTCCAGAATTTCCGCTTTCTATACCCATTTCTTAGAGAGATAGGTTAAAGTCCGACACATTTTTTCCTCTATTTTTGGTCTGTTTTTACTTTACAATTTTGAGATATTATTGGAAATATATGTTTGTGATTGCTTTGTCTTGATGAATTTTTTGTTTGTGTATATGTTACTCTTTTTATCTTTAATGATATTCCTCTTTTACATATATTTACGTGTGTACTTATAGTGAAATATGCATTTTTAAGGTTTTATAATGTTTATATCAGTTATTTACTTTGTGATATACCTAGCCATTTTTGACAAATGTGTATCTGTACACATCTAGAGATAGATAGATGATAGACAGATAGTATGCCATATATTATTTTATCTATTCATTTATTTTTGCTTCCTCAGAACTACATAAGTTCCCTTTACCTCATGCAACAAAAATGAAACGAACAAATGTCTTGTGACCCAGCAGCAAAAACAAAGAAAATTCTTATTTGGGGATAAAAGTTAAGGAAAAGAGAGAACAAGTTGTAAGTACTTTGTACTTCAATTTGTTTTCTCAATATAACATTTTCCATCAATTAATTTGAAAATCCAACTGAAAATGATGAGTTTATATTTCAGTAATGTTGCCTTTGAATACAGTTGGAAAGAGAATATACTACTAATAATAGAACAAATTTAAAAGCTTGTAAAATTCTCTTACTCCCAAGCAACAATAGAACCAGATGATTTTACATGGCAGCAGCATTGCAGTATGGGTTACAAATCGGTACTAAGGGACCATGCATAGCTTAGATAAGTCTCTGTTTTATTTGTTAGGAACATAAAGCTTTATATAAGTGAATTGGTGTTCAGTTACTTATTGTTATATAACAAGCCATCCCAAGATGTAATGGGTTTAAATAACCATTTTATTTTATCTATGTTTTTGTAAGTCAGGAAGTTGGAAAGGATTTGTATGGGAGCTTCTTTCCTGATCCACATGGTACCTGCTCGATAACTTGGGGATGGAGGATCCACTTCCAAGTTGGCTTCTCCCCTTGTTTTCCAAGATTAGACAAAATTAGGTAGAAAAATAAAAAGCTTATGTCAGCTTTACTTTATGAACATTGATGAAAAGTCATAAATAATAAATAGTTGCATGTGTAATACACATTTTGAAATCATAAATAGTGAATTAATGTATTTATTTCAAGAAAGTAATAATTATCTAAACAATCTTTACATCTCTATTAATGTAATTTTCAATAAGAGTAGAGAGGAGAAATTTAATATCATCATGATAGATGCCCAAGAAGGATTAGATGTAATTTCTAAATAAAAGTAGACAATATAAGAATAAAGGAGTATTTCTTTACTTACTAAAGGGTATCTAACTGAAAGCCATGTTAAAGAATACAGAATAAAACAATATAAAGCCAAAGTTTTCATATATAAACTTTAGAGTTATTAACAAAGATGCCCAGCAGCACTACTGTGATTCATAGCTACTGGAGGCTTTAACAATCTTCTCTAACTTCCCCCATCTATTATCTGGATTAGTCATGTAAGCTACCAGGGTTTAACTATTCAAGCCTTGCTCTTTCAAACCTTCATGTGCTTATCTGGGATTACCTTTTCTGTTTTTTTCTTAATGGTGACCTTCAAATCCTCTTTCACCCTCTCAGCACAAGTTTAACCCTTCTGTAAAATTTTCCTTGACTCCGTTAGAGTTAGTAAACTCATTCTCTCTGCTCCTTTTCTACATTGCTTTTGAAATTGAATTGTATTTTTAATGTTAACTTTTTCCCACCAGAATAAGTGTTATTTGAGTGCAAGAACAAAACATTATTCGTTGTATTTTTTGAAGCGAACACAGTGATTTCTGAAATGTAGAACATAAATACAGGCTTTTAAAATGATAAGTAATAAGTGTTTACGTGCATTTAGAGCCTTGCTTTTGTTCTCCTCACAATCTTGATACTGTTTCTAAAATTATATGGCATATTCTCTCTCTCTCTCTCTCTCTCTCTCTCTCTCTCTGTGTGTGTGTGTGTGTGTGTGTGTGTGTGTGTGTGTAGTGATTCTGATATTTTAGAGGTATTCTAAGGTTAGACATTTTCTACCATGTCGTAATGGGAAAATTGTCCTTCTGGAAGTCAGTCGTCATTTTGGTTAGATCACTTGCTATTCCCTACATTATTTAAAATATATTAACATAGCAAGATGGTTTCGAATAAACCCAATTGAAAAGGTAATAAAAGTCATCTCTAAGGGTACCACATGAAGACAATACCATGTATTCAGAGAGATGTTTGGTACAAAATGGTTTGCAAAATTGGTTTGATAGAACATCCTTGATAGTCGATAGTACTATATTATGTATACATAGATTTAACTATTTATATAATAAACTACATATTATATATAGTGAAATACAGGCTGGGTGCGGTGGCTCACGCCTGTAATTCCAGTACTTTGGGAGGCCGAGGTGGGCGGATCACGAGGTCAGGAGATCGAGACCATCCTGGCTAATACGGTGAAACCCCGTCTCTACTAAAAATACAAAAAAATTAGCCGGGTGTGCTGGCGGCCTCCTGTGGTCCCAGCTACTCAGGAGGCAGAGGCAGCAGAATGGCATGAACCTAGGAGGCAGAGCTTGCAGTGAGCCGAGATCACAGCCTGGGTGACAGAGCAAGACTCCGTCTCAAAAAAAAAAAAAAAAATATATATATATATATATATACATAGATTAAACTATTTATATAATAAACTACATATTATATGTAGTGAAATACATAATGTTTATGCTCTATTATATATAATGTGATATATATCATATATATTTTTTACATATGTTGTAATATACATATAAGTGCATATACTTATATATACACTCACTTATGCTACTTGAAACAAAGTTTATTTCGCGTTCTGGTATAATATTACATTAGGTTCTTTCTATGTTGTCTTCAAATTTTGCTATGTAGCAATTAACAATAGCATTTAGATAGGTAAGATACCTCAAAGTGGATATCCAGAATGTTAAAAGTGAAGAAATAAGTAAATAAAATTGAAAATCTGGTCAGGGATTCATAAGTGAGAAGATAAAGTAAGATCGGCTATGTGAAAACAACTGATGAAGCTGAGTTTGCCAGATGTTCAGGTTTTGCCCATTTGAGCTTATTTCATTGCAGCACTGTTTTCTGTGCTGATAGAGCACTGATAGAGACACTGCCTCACACTGTGACACCTTGGCAGTAAAGCAGCTGCCCCCTTTTCATTTTACAGCACCTCTGTACCTGTAGCTTAATACAAGCAAGCTTAAAATGGCACACTAGACATATGAACATGGTGCAAGGTTGTATATTCTTATAAAGCATTATTTCTTCGGACATTAATGCATTATCAGTTTTCAGGCATCACTGCAAAGAACAATATTCCAACACAGATTTTCACAGCTTTTCACCAAGGTGGATATTTGCTTAAATGATTTTTTCATTGAATATGTACAATTCTTATATTGTGAACTATGTATTTTTTCTTCTTATTTTAGTACAAAAATTATTTGTGTCATTTATGTGACATGTGTAGATAAGGACAGTTGCTTTTAGAAAAATACTTAAAGTAGAAAAACATATAGGACTATATTAGTCCCTTGCAACTTGGAATTTGCCCTGATCAGGTTTGAAAATCTGACAGTTTCCACCTCTTCTAATCACTGTAAACGTTATGAAAAGAGCAGAAAGAGAAGATTATTAGAAGGCTCAGAATAAAAAGGCATTTTAACAGTTTATGTTTTTATAGAAAGTATGGGCATAAAGTTAGATACCAGTAAAGTGCGGTATCTTGTACTACGATCTTGAACAAAATTTCAAGAATGCAAAAACACAGTCTTCAGGAAAATAAGCCATAACAACTCTATACATCTTATTTCCTACTTCAAAAATGGGGGTAAAAAGCATTGTATTCACACATCCATTGCCTACTAAAATATTGCCAGATCTACCTAGGTTTTTATTTCTAAGATAAATGTGCTTTATAAGTAATCTTCCATAATATTTGCAAAATAGGATTAAATAATCAGCTATTTCAGGGGCTCATGTATCTTGATTGAGGAAACTTTGTGGAATGGGATACTCTGATCCTTTCTGGGTTAAATAGCCTAGGACAGCATAGGAAAAACTAGAATTAACATAGAAATGCTTTCTTTATATAACATGGGAGCTAGAAGTGCCCCCAGGCCTTAATTTGTATTCATTTGTTTCCAAAAAGATGTGTGAATTTAGTATACATCTAACAGTTCAGAGAATAAGACATTGATTTGGATTGCGTCTTATGTAAAATATGCAGAAATTACCTTTAAACCTCAGCAAAGTTAAAGTAAATGCATAAATGTATATTGACAACCTCCTGTAACTCTCACTAATTCACTAGAGTGATAGTTATATGATGCTAAAACTAATAGTATGTAGGTAATACTTACTCTTATAAACCTTTAAGTACCATTCCAACTGAAACAAACCAACCAACAAAAACTATGCATGAGAAGAGTAAGTACACTGAAAGGAAAACATGACTTCCTAAAACAGGCTATTTTCAGACTTTAACTTGGGTGAATGAAGGCTAGTTTTTGTTAAAAAAGTGATCTATTTTTCTTTGTTCTTTCTTATTTGACATTTTAAAATCATAAAATTATAATAAATGATAACTATTACATCTCATGCAAACTTTGAGGTGGTTGAAATGGTTTACTGAAGAATAATTAACCATGAGTGATAAAGATTAAAACAAATTTGAAACTATATAGCTGCTCCTCTAGTTTGCAATTGAAGAAATAGAGAAGCCTGACACAATCCTAGAGGAAATCCCATTCATCCAGGATTACAGCAGAAGGTCTTTACCTGCAGAGAGCAGTTGTTAAAAACTGGAAGAGGAGGCTGGGCATGGTGGCTCATGCCTGTAATCTCAGCACTTTGGAAGGCCAAGGTGGGCGGATCACCTGAGGTCAGAAGTTCAAGACCAGCCTGGCCAACATGGTGAAACTCCTTCTCTACTAAAAATACAAAAATTAGCCGGTTGTGGTGGTGCACACCTGCAATCCTAGCTACTGGGGAGGCTGAGGCACAAGGATTGCTTGAACCTGGGAGGCAGAGGTTGCAGTGAGTGAGACGAAACTGGAAGGCAGAGGTTGCAGTGAGCAAGACTCTGTCTCAAAACAAAACAAAACAAAACAACAACAACAAAAAAAACTGGAAGAGATGACTTCGTCTCCACATTCTCAGACATCAATGCAAGGCTGCAAGGATCACAAGGTATCAGGCAAATGTGACAGCACCAAAGGAATCTAATAAAACTGTAGTAACTGATTCTAAAGAAATAGAAATCTATGAACTGCTTGACAAAAATTTAAAATAATCATCCTAAAAAGTTCAATTAGCTGCCAAGACTGCAGAGATTGACAACTAAACAAAATTAGGTAAATAATACATGAACAAAAGTATTCCAAAAAGAAATACATATCATAAAAAAGAATGAGGCCAGGCGCGGTGGCTCACGCCTGTAATCCCAGCACTTTGGGAGGATGAGGTGGGTGGATCACCTGAGGTCAGGAGTTCGAGACCAGCCTGGCCAACATGGTGAAACCCCGTCTCTACTAACAATACAAAAATTAGCTGGGTGTGGTGTTGCATGCCTGTAATCCCAGCTACTCAGGAGGCTGAGGCAAGAGAATGGCTTGAACCTGGAAGGTGGAGGTTGCAGTGAGCCGAGATCGTGCCATTGCACTCCAGCCTAGGTGACAAGAGTGAAACTTTGTCTCAAAAAAATAAATAAATAAATAAATTAAATAAAAATAAAGCAGACATTTTGAAACTGAATAATAAAATAACTGAATTGAAAAACTTAATGGCTTTAACAGCCGTTTAACACCTTTGGTGGTTTTCAAAAAAATTAAAAACAGAATTTCCATTTGATCCAGCAATCCCACTTTTGGATATATAGTAGTCCCCACTTATCAACAGGGGATGCATTCCAAGGGCCCTAGTGAATGCCTGAAATTACAGATGTGCCAAACTATGGCTAAGGAAGGCCAAAGTCACCTTTTCACTTAAAGGAAGAACTTTATTACTTCTCTTTGCTTCCAAATTGCCAGCATCACTACTCATGGGCTTTGGGGCCATTAGTAAGTCAGATAAGGATTACTTGAACACAACTGCCATACCAAGGTAGTTGATCTGATACCCTAGACAGCTACTTAATGACTAATGAGTAGGTAGTATAGACAGTATGGATATAGCGGACAAAGGAGGGATTCACATCTTGGGTGGGAGAGAGCAGGATGGTGCAAGATTTCATCACACTACTCAGAATGGTGATGCACAATTTAAAACTTATAACTTATTTCTGAAATTTTTCATCTAACATTTTCAGACTGCAGTTAGCACAGAAAACTAAAACTGCAGAAAATGAAACCATAAATAAGGAGCGCCTCCTGTATATCCAAGTAAATTGAAATCTGGATCTTGAAAAGATATCTGCACTTCCATGGTAATTGCAGCATTATTCACAATAGCCAAGATATGAAAACAGCCTAAATGTCCATTGACAGATGAACAGATAAAGAAAATATGGTACATACATACATACAATAGAATATTATTCAGCCTTAAAAGAAGGGACTCTTGCCATTTGTGACAACATTGACGGACCTAGAGGACATTATACTGAGTGAAATAAGCCAGCTATAGAAAGGCAAATACTGCATGATCTTATTTATATGTAGAATCTAAAATCTTTACACACAGAAGCAGAAAGTGAAAGGTTAATTTGCCAGGAGTTGTAAGGGAGGAAGAAACATGGCAGAGTTTCAGTTATATACAATAATAAGATATGGACATCTACCATATACACGGACCTATTATTAACAATTGTATACTTACAAATTTGCTAATAGGGTTGCTCTTATATTAAGTGTTCTTACCACAAAAGGAAAACTAAACTGAACTAAAGGCATGGGAGGAAAATTTTGGCAGTAATGGATAAGTTTATGGCATTAATAGTGATGATAGTTTCATGGTTTTATGGATGTATAATGATCTCTAAACACATCAGCTTACATATACCAAATATCTACAGCTTTTTTTTTGTCAATTATACCTCAGTAAAGTGTTTTTATTTTTAAAACAGAAGATAGGAGGCTGAGTTTTGTTATTCTCTGAAGTAATGTTAATATGCCTCAAGATCAAGATCAGCCTCTGTTTTAGCATAAAGAGAACTCAGACTGCTTGTAAAACAAAGCTAGAGAACAAAAATGCTTCCTGGAAAAGAAAAAAAATTAAATAGAATAAAATAGAATACAAATTAAGACATGGTAGGCCCAAATGAATAATTTCTTGACAATTTATTTTAATGCCTAACCAGAAAATTAGAAGAAAAATAGAAAAATTCATACAGAAGGGCGCTATCATACACACAAATAAGAAGTAATATTGGTTAAATAGGAAAAGTTGACCCGTCAAGCTGAATGTATATTACGTTTTTTCATAAACTTTGCATAAAAATGAAGAAATTCAGACCCACTTAACTTTGAAGGAATGTGGTATTTTCATCTTACAGAAAGCAGTCAAGAATTGTCCCATGGAACAATTTGTCTACATAAAAAGTCGGGAAATTCCGGTTTCCACCCAGTTTACAGAGAGCTGGAAAGAGCAATGTTCTCACCTAGGCAATAAGAAAGATGCAGGTAATCTGGAAGGTCATATTTTTCTCAAATCCTTCAGAGAGATTAGGCTCCAGAGCACACAACTAATCTGAAACTGGAGAAATGACAGATGTCTTCAAAAAGAACCAGGATGCACACACGGGCTTACCCTTGGCAGAGCAAAGGGGAAATTGTGGCTGGAATACAAGTGGGTAAAAAGCAATTCAGATAAAATTTTTAACTAAATACTAAAGGCCAAATGTGGGCTTACTCAAGACAAAGTAGAGCAGATAAAGGGGAATTTGCACTCAATTACAAGGCTATGGACTTTCCTGGGTGTTGAGGAAGGTGCTTCCTGAGATTGAGGGCAGGGCTGGGCACTGGAGAAAATTTTCCTCGGTGGGCAGACCTACAGGAGGATGTCAGCTGCCAGTGAAGGAAATGCTGAAACCATGCTTAGACCCTTTCCTTACAGGCAAAAGCCTTAAGGTAGCCCTTGTCTTTCTCAGGGCACGGGTGAAAACCTACTAGTGACAGGGGAAAGGAAAAAGAAGTCTATCCTTGAGACAGTTCCTGTAGAGTTTCTTGTGATTTTAGTGGGAGTTGTCTTGCCAGAAATGTTTTCTTGGTGTGTCTGCTCCATCCCTGATGTGTTAGGGTTTTGCTGTCCACCTTCACCTCAGAATTCTCCCTTCATGCTCACTTCTTTCATCAGTGGTCTTGCTTGTTACTTAGGGCTTACTGGCCTGGTGGGAGGAGGGGGCCACGGGGATGGGGAGCACAGACAGATTCTTAGGTGCCCAGGTCTCAGGGTTAGGGCTTTCTCCTCTATCTGCCCTTCCTCTAGCGGAGGTCCCTCTAAATGTTTGCAGCTTAAGATGAAGGAAGTGAAGGAGTTATCTCCCTGGAAAAAAAGGTGTTCTAGACAACAGGAGCAGTCAATTGGAAGACCTGAGGTAGAGATTTGAGTGGCATATCCAAGGAAGAGATTTGACTGGCATATCCAAGGTACAGCAAGGATGTCAAGGAGGCTAGAATGGAGGAAGTGATGTGGCAAGCATGAGAGATGAATCAGAGAGATAACTGTGCAGCTGTAACATGTAAGACTTCAGTTTTCACACTATAAGATCTTAGACACTGACTTTGAAAGAAAAGATAAGTGTTGGAGAATTTTTAAAAGAGAAGTGACTTGACTGGACTTTTGTTTTAAAAGGATAATTCTGGCTGCTGGAAAAGGTAAAATCAGGATGATTGTTTAGGAGGCTAGTAGTATAATCCAGGTTGGAGGCTGCTAAGAACAGGGTAGTGGCAGAGGGGGCAGTGGATATATTTTGAACATAGAGCCAGCAGGATATTCTAATTGATCAGAAGTGCAGTGTGAATATAATCTGTATTTCTAGAACTACTCAAATAATGCATTCTTAAAAACCAGCACAAATGAATCAATGAAATTGTACACATTTATTTTTAAATGCAAGGAAGAATAAAATAGCACAAAATAAGATCCAGGAGTCCTGTTTAAAAATTGCATGGAAGCTGGTGAGAAACATGAGGCAAAATGTATCTGTTTTATGTAAACATATTAATCCCTTTTATTAACATACTCTCCAACTTTATTCAAGAAAATCTAATTATATTATGTTAGTAGTACACCCACTAAAAAAGAAAGATGTGAAAAATATGAAAATGAAGAAAGATGTATCAGAAAACTACAAAGTTTAAACAGATGTAGCCTTAGGTGTACTAAACAAAGAATAACCCAGGGCAAAATTAAGAAATACAGCAATATGACATAAAAAGTTTAATTATGATACTAATTAAAATAGCAGTAATTAAAATCCAGAGAAGATATTGTAATAATAAAACTTTCAGCCTGTAATGATTTCATGCAGATGTAAATTTAAAAATAAAGTTGAAAGTTGCAGAAATATTATCAATACTAAATTTGTCAAATAATTATACAAAAATTATAGAAAATATGGATAATATAGTCTCAATTATAGATTAAATATTTTAATCTACAGAGCATGGACATCTTTTAAATATATATACAGTATTTAAATATGTATACAATACCTAAAAAATGGTTAAAGCATGCTACAGAGAAAATCTCAAGTTCTTAAAACACACACAGCATAAACCTCATTTTCTGATCACAGTACAAAAAAACTAGAAATTATAATAATTGATACCAGAAAATCCACCAAATCTGAATAGAAATTGTCTACTGAATAAATTATTGAATTATATAAATCAAAACTGTAAGAATATTTAAAAATTATTAAAGTGACATATATACAAAATGATAAACTATGGTACAAATGTACATGGCTTTAAGACTATATTTGTGAAACTAAGTGGTTTCATTTTTTATTTGTTATAAAATTAGGGACATATATATTAAACCTAACAGTAAACATATTGGATAATTTGGAAAAATTTGGAATCTTAGTACTAAATTCTTCAAAAATAAGCCCTCAGTAAAATGGTAAAGTCTTTAGTAAATATGTTCTAGGAAAAATTAATAACATTATTATATTAGAAATAAAAGCAAGATTTTAATGAGCAGATATAGTGGTTGATTTATTAACTTTATATTAATAAGTTGACAATCTACAAATGGGTAATTTGAAGGACAATATAAACTATCAAAATTATAATAATATTAACAAATGTTTGAGCCGATTCATTACACTGGAATAATACCTTGAGTTTTTTAACATACTTTTTTTTTTTTTTTTGGCAGAGGTCAAATAATAAATTTGTACCTACAAACTTTAGGACAATTGGAAGTTCTCATTTCATATTTACTGTTCCAACATTGATAATAACATTAAAAGTTACAAAATTCATTTTAGAAGTTTGCAAGCTCAAATAACCAAATGAATTGTAAGTGTAATCCATGCTTGCAACAAACAAAAAATAAAATGTGCAAATCCTGGAAACATTAAAAAATCTCAGGGGCCTAATTAAGATTAAAGAAGAAATGTTTTGTTTTAAGCAGGAGTCTGGAGCAAACATCAGCTAAATCTCTCTCTTCTGCCTTCTCTTTGCTCACACAGGAGCCCCTGAGGCCCCTCCAGTATTCTCAAAGGCTGGCCAGGTCCTAGTTTGAAAAGACTATTAAAGATAAATAAAAAAGATCAATTTGGTTTATTTTATAAACAACATTACTTTGAATGGTCTGTTAAGAATTCTATGAAATAATCTCAGCAGATGTTCAAAATGTCATTTAAAGCAATGCTCCATAAAACATATTTTAGACAATTTGAAATCAAATTATATTCCTTAAAAGTAAAATATATCTAGTTTAGATAAAATCAAGTACGATACATACTGGATAAATAATATAACCTCAAACATAATCTCAATTTCATTTTCATTTGGTTTTGATGAAATAATTCTGAACTTTTTCTGAAGGGATAAAACAATGAAGAATAATATTTTGTTATAAAAGTTTGTGGGGACTTGCCAATTAGATCTTAAAACATTTAATGAAAGAAAATACAATGAAAGAGAGTGACCCTAATGCTACAATTAACCAACAAATTATTAAAACTTCTGGACAGAACATATATATATATATATTTAATATGTAAAAGATAAGAAATCAAAATAATAAAAAATTCAATTCAAAAAATTTCAAAGGGAAAACACTTCTACAATATTCCAAAAAAGTCCAGAAGCCTTTGATGAAAAAACTGAAAGCACTAAAACCTAATGTTCATATAAATGTTATTAAGGTTTAAAATATATTTGGTGCTTAATTAAAGTTGAGCAGTGATGTTCTGAATACAAAAGCGTGAAACCATAAAAAAAAGGGTGAAATATTTGTTACACATTACACATTAAAGTCAAACAGCTTTTATAAAAAGAAAAAAAAAAGAATTAAAAACAAATGAAACAAAAACCCCCAAAATACAAGATGATCAAAGATTAATGTCCTAAATATATAATCTATAGTAATCAAAACATGATCTAAAAATAAATACAATGTAAAAGAAAAAATATCCAGACAGCATACCAAATATATGTTCAAAATCACTAGCAATCCAAGAAATGCATCTCAATGTTGTCCTGTCATGCATGTCCATAAAATTGCTAATGATATTAATATAATTATATATGCATATATATATGCACATATATGCATATATGCATTTTTCTAATGCGAGTGTGGTTGTACTGTGTAAACTTTGGTATACTATTAGAAGGCATATAAGTTTGTGAAATTCTTCTAGATTGCAATTTGAGACCGTGAGTCAATATCCATAACATGTTCCTACCATCCTGCCATTGAACACAGTATTTCCACTGCTTGGAATCTCTTACAAACCTAACATGGCATACAAAACAATTTATACCTGCAGATGTTCACTGAGACATTATTTGCAAAAAAAAATTAAGATTAAAACAACGTGTATGTTTAATGACAATAAGGTGGTAAAATAATACATGACATCTCTATGTGTTTATAGGATGTATTTTATACATTTTATGTATTTTATAACAATGTAAGAACTTGTTTAAAAACATAGTGACATAGAGAAGGAAACGATGTATTCAATAACTAGAGTAGAAATTTTACAAAGGAAACAATGTATTGAATGACTAGAGTATAAATTTTACATGTAGTACATTCATTTACTATTGCTGGTTATAAATTACTAAAACTTAGCAGCTTAAAAAAATTTACATTTCTTTTTTTTTTAATTTCCCTTTTATTTTAGGTTCAGGGATACATGCGCAGGTTTAATATATAGGTAAATTTGTGTCATGGAGATTTGGTATAGAAATTATTTCATCACGCAGGTACTAAGCCTAGTACCCATTAGTTAATTTTCCTGATCCTCTCCCTCCTCCCACTCTCTCCTCTCTGAGGCCCCAGTGTGTGTTGTTCCCCTTTACGTGTCCATGTGTTCTCATCATTTAGCTCCCACTTATAAGTGAGAACATATGATATTTAGTTTTTTGTTCCAGCGTTAGTTTGCTAAGGATAATGGCTTCCAGCTCCATCCATGTTCCTGCAAAGGACATGAACTCATTCCTTTTCATGGCTGCATAGTATTCTATGGTGTATATGTGCCACCTTTTTATTACACAGTATATCATTGATGGGCATTTAGGTTGATTCCATGTCTTTGCTATTGTGAATAGTGCTGTAATAAATGTACACATGCATATGTCTTTATGTTAGAAAGATGTACATTCTTTTGGGTATATATTCCTTTGGATATATAGCTATATCAATAATGGGATTGCTGGGTTGAATGGTATCTTTTTTTTTTTTTTCAGGTCATTGAGGAATTACCACACTGTTTTCCACAATGGTTGAATTAATTTACATTCCCAGTAACAGTGTATAAGCTTTGCTTTTTCTTTGCAACCTTGCCAGCATCTGTTATTTTTCTGACATTTTATTAAGAGCCAAGGAATTTACATTTCTCATCTCAGTTTGGGTCCAGCTAAACTCGGTTCTGTTCTCTGAATCTCACAAGGCTGCAATCACAGTGTTGGCTCAGCTGTGTTCTTTAGAGCTCAGGGTCCTCTTTCGGGCTCAGATGGTTGTTTCAGAAATTAGTTTCATTTAGTTGTAGGACTGAGGTCCCCATTTCATGCTAATGGTCAGCCAGAGCCCACTCACCAACTAGCAGCCCCTGTAACTTGTCATACGGCCCACTCACAGGCCTTGTTACAATATGTCAGCTTACTTCAAAGCCAGCCAGAGAATCTCCCATGCAGTCTGCCAAGACGGAGTCTCATATAACAACACAGTCATGGTAATGACTTTCCTTCACCTTTGCCGTATAACATAACTCATTAAGGGAGTTACTATCCCGTCACCTTTGCCATATTTTATTGGTGAGAAGCAAGTGATAAGGGAGGGAACTGTACAACAACGTGACTCTTTGGGGGTTATGTTAAAATTATGCCTCCCACCTATAGTGTGGTATTGACTTTTGTAAATATGACTGTTTGCCTCTGTATGTGTATATAATTATTCATACAGAAATAATTCTGAGCATGCGTATCAATTGAATTAATCAAATATTTTATGTATTTAAAATGATTTCTCCTCTGATTTATAGCCAACATTTTCATGACCAATATTAATGCACCTGTTCAACTAATCATCATGGTAAATACACTAGTATCGTATATTCTGTTCTTCAAAAAGGGTATGTGATTTTATAATGCTAATTATTTTTATCTTCTGTGTAGAGAACTAAATTTAAATGCCATCAAATATACAAAGAGCATATTATCTTACAATGCCAATTATCTTCATGTGCTGTATATGGAACAAAATTTAAATGTTATCAATATAGATCAAATGCAAAATATAATTATATATATATATAATACCATGTGAGGGAGTAAATAGCACAAATAGATATTATTTATTACAGCTGGAAGAATATCTGGGTCATATGATCAAATAGGAAGCGTTCTAAATTTTGTGCCAAAACATCAACAGAATAATTACCTATGTAGCTAATGTAAGTTGAAATATGTCCTACAAAACATTCATGTATATGCACATGTATACACACAGATGCAGAAATAGCTTCATCTTACTTTTAAATAAAATGAATCTTAAATCTTTCAAAATTATGAAAATATAAATTAGAGCTTTTGATGTATTTTAGTTGTCATTTTACAATTAATTTTAAATATATGATTTAGTTGAGTATAATATTACAATGGAAATGAAA
This sequence comes from Homo sapiens, assembly GCF_000001405.40. NCBI lineage: Eukaryota > Metazoa > Chordata > Mammalia > Primates > Hominidae > Homo > Homo sapiens. Next base: position 121,484,523 of record NC_000005.10, on the reverse strand, counting down.
TTATGCATCAAAATATAATTCAGTGCTTGTAAATTTTGTTGTCCATTGTTATTGCCTACAGAGATTCTTGAAATTTCAGTTCTAGCTCTGTTCCCTTTTATCCCCCTCTTAAGCACACAATAAATTGAAAGTGTTTCATTTCAAAAGGATTCTTTTAAACATCTTAACCTGGAGGTACTTATTTATCACTGACTTGTAGATCCCAGGTAAGCAGTTGGATATGTGAGTCTGGGATTAGCATACAGGCAGATATAAATTTATGCTGCTGAATGAGGGCAGGTTTCAGGGGAATGGTGAAGACTAGTTAGATTGGATTGCAGATTTTATGAGAGGAAGAATTGGAGAAATCTGCTGGAAAGAGATATGTAGGACTGAGTTGGCCATATAAAGTGAGAAATTAATAATATGAAAGTGTAAAGCGATAACTGAAAGAAAAAAATATTTGAAAAGGTAAGAAAACTGGAATTCATGTCCAAGAGGGAAAAATATTTTTGGCAGAGAACTAAATATAATTTTGGAATAATGAGGGAATTCTTCACTGATAGCTTTATTACCTGAATAAATCACAAGGCAAGTCATTCAATTTCCATTTTTTAGTAAAATATTGATAATGCTATCAATGCCTATTAATGTCTCTGGGAATCTTATGGGGGTTGAAAACTAAGTATGGTATTCATATATTAGCGAAAAATTTGGTAAATTTTAGATACCAGTAGGTAACATTACTGGGAAAGATCATGGAATTAAAGTCAAACCGGTCGTGGTTCAATTCTAAATTCTATTTTTTATTAGCAAATTATATGAATTCTCTGAATGCCAGTTTTAAACTCTAAAATGGCAAGTAGGATGTATGGCTTAGATTATAAAACACTTAAAAAAAAGCCTGGTACATAATAGTAGCACACAATAAATGATAACTCTTAATTTTAATACCTCTGTTAGAATATTTTTGGGTAAATATGGTTTCTTTTAAATATGTGTAGAACAGTGGAGCATGTCTACCCAGGCCAGGCTCTACTTATGGTGGATCTCAGCAATGCAAGAGGGCAAATTGAACTATGTAGAATTTGAAAGCCTGTGCTAATTGTCACATCTACTAATATTTCATTGACCAATCCAAATCAGAAAGCCCTATCCACTATCAGCGTTGTGAGAAAAATGCTCCACCCACAGTGGGGAAGCACTGCAAAGTTACAGGGCGAGTGTTTAATAACTTACAGAAAGAGAAAGAAGGATTAGGAAAAGTGATCCAATTTAAATGCATCTATCTAAACTATCTGCAGGTCCTGTATCATAATATACATATTAGCCAAATATTAAGAAAATTGTTTTTCAAGTTGCAAAATGGAAAACAGACAGGGCTTGTAATTTGGACTTGTAAATATGAAACTCAAGTTTGATCTAACTAACTCTTTGATTTCTATGTCCTGTTTTCTCACCATTAAATTGGGAATAATCATATTGCCTGTACTGCTGTTAGTTATTTTTTGTTTGTTTGTTTTTTGCCTTCATCTTATGCTCTGAACAATTTAAAATACTTTAAATACTTTACTTTTTTACTTTTTACACACTTTAAAATGATTGCCTTGGAGAGGAAATAAAACTAAAAGGCTTTTGTTCCTAATCCCTAGACTTAAAACATTTATTTGATTACTGCTTCTGGAAGAAGTGTTATTTAGGCAGTATATTTTGCTTAAAATGTGCTTTGCTGGAAATGTCACTGGTCACACACTTACATTCAGGGATAAAAGTTGGCCACAGATGTAATCTGATAAGGCCAACTTTTCTCAGCTTCAATATCACCTTCATTTCCCATGGCAATTTGTTGAAAATCTCACATTTTTCAATTTTTATGTTAGTGCTTTAAAAAGCATCAGTAAATAGACATATTAATTGATGGAACAACATAATGATTTATTATATTAAACAGCATAATGACATTTTAGCACTTATGAATTCATTAAATTAACTCTTCATAAGAATTTAAGGGAGAAGTAGAACAGGTCTAATTTGAGATTGAATGAGGGAACCAGAAGGGCCTGGGCAAATAGGCTTTTAGGAAAGATGCTTAGGAATCTTAAGCTTCCAAAGATAATGAGGTCAGTGCAGAGTGTTTAAATGAAAACAGGAGGGACAGGAGAATAATTTGTCTGCCCACAAATATTTAACTTCTTCTAAAAGCTAAATTGTATTAAACATTCTAAATCAATATATGGCACATACGGCCTTGCATTGTCTGACTCTGGCCTACTTTTCCAACTGAATCTTAGTCCTCTCTCTTTTCCTTACTTCATCTAGACTGGTGATTTTTGGTTCTGTTCCTCTGATGTTCCAAACCCTTTATAGTCTATTGCTTCATACGTGTTGGTATCCCTACCACTCTTCATATGGGGCACTCTCTACTCTTTCTTTGAGCCTCATAATGTCCTCTGAAGAAAGACTATTCCTGGCCCACAATCTAAATTTGTGTCCCTCACACTTCTCTCAGACTGCATTTTTGTAAATTTTCTTTTAAAAAGTATTTTAAAAATTTAAAAATATATATTGTATTTGTTTTACTATATCTTAGATTTGTCTATCCTATTAAACTGTAAGCTGTGTTTCCTGAGTTCACCTTCATATAGTCAGTGGTGACCTGATTAAATAAGTAGTTAATCAGTATTTGTTGAGTGGGTGAATGAGAATATATTTAGTGGGGTCTGTTAAGTAAAAAATATTTCATGGGAATTAGAGATACATAAACCCAATACTACCACTTCAACCCTGTGATAAAGTTGAGGCGAGTTTGAGTGATAGATGTGGGGGAAGGGTGGCCTGACTTGGACAAGACCAGATTGTCATCTCATATCTATCTCTGCTTGTGAAATTGATGAATTAAACCTAACTTTAAATGGCCATAAGGTATTTGCATTTACATTTTTCCAAGTTAATTATTTGACTGATATTTTAAGTTCATTACAAAAACCAGTGACATATAATTGTAGGTCTAAATGAATATCTGCTTCCAAACACACTTCTTAACCAATGCTTGATCATTCTACCTTATCATGAATTGCCTGAGGCATATACATCTGTGAAATGTGAAGAAAAATACAGTTGGTCCACCATATCTATGCACTCTACCTGCACAGATTCAACTAACAGCTAAAAAAAGTATTCAGAAAATAAAATAACAATACAATAACATAAAAATAAACAAAAAATAAAATATAACAACTACTTTGTTTATTTTTGTTTTTAGAGACAGGCTCTTACTCTGTTGCCAAGGCTGTAGTGCAGTGGTGCAATGATAAATCACTGCAGCCTCAAACTCCTGGTCTTGAGGGATCCTCCCTCCTCAGTCTCCCAAGTAGCTGGGACCACAGGTATGAACCACCATGCCTACTTATGTTCTTTTAAAATTTTTGTAGAGACAGGGGTCTTAGTATGTTTTCCAGGTTGGTCTCAAACTCCAGGCCTCCAGCAATCCTCCTGCCTCAGCGTCCTAAAACACTGGGATTATAGGAATGAGCCACAGTGCCTGGCCTATAACAAGTATTTACATAGCATTTACATTGTATTAGGGATTCACAAGCAATCTAGGGATGATTTAAAGTATACAAGAGGATATGCATAGGTTATATGCAAATCCTATGCCATTTTATATAAGGGACTTGAGCATCTGCAGATTTTTGTATCTGTTGGGATCCTGGAACCAATCCTCCACAGATACTAAGGGACAACTGTACCTCTTGATAGATGACTTAATCTTCACTTTCTCCAGAGGACAAATTCTTTTAAATTTGTTCTTTGGCTGAAAAACACAAACCAAGCCAGAATAAGGGATCGACAATGCAGAATATCTTTGAAGAAAGCAAAGCTCAAAAATTTTGAGATGATTCTGCTAACCTTACATAGTATTTTGTTCCTAAAATTCTGTCTATTATTTCTGATTTATAGAAATTCAGTGGCAGCTATTATCTATTTTATTATCTATTATCCATTTGATTGTAGCTATTTTCTATTTTAACGATACCCTATGAAGCTTTACAATTAGTTTTAGGATAATCTCTTAAACATAGCGAGGGTAGAACTTTTGTCTGTTTGTTTTGTTTTGTTTTTGAGACGGAGTCTTGCTCTGTTGCCCAGGCTAGAGTGCACTGGTGTGATCTTGTCTCACTGCAATCTAGTGAGGGTAGAATTTTTTAAGTGTATAATATTTTTGTTTTTTAATAAAAGTGGTTTGTCTTTGTCATGTAAAGTGCCTGCTTACAGTTAGTGCCCACATTTTCACCAGATCTCTGTGTTGCACAGATTTGATGATATAGGTAAGACTGGAGGCTATAGTAAGTGCTCCAGTATGACATGGTATTATATATATTTATGGGAGAATTAGGAAGGCATTCTGGATATTCTAATGGATATTATCTTTGCTGGAGAAATTTCTCATTTAAAAGGAGAAATGACCAGAAGTTAGGGAAGGGTCATTTGCTTAGTATCTTTTATCAGCTAGAGAGCATTGTTGTTCTGTTGATCTAACTTAGTCATGCCAAAGGTAAAAAAGCTATAAGAAAACAAGAAGTGCTATCCAGGACAGGAAAGTGTCTTCCTCCAATCTTTGTACAGAAAATTTACAAAACAGTAAATTATAAAAAGCTGCTACAATAATGACAGGAGACTAAGGTCATTTTACTGAAATATCTCTCTCATCACCTTACCGAATTAGTGAAAATATTAAAAGTAGTCAATGAACTTACTAGTTACAAGACAAACAAGTTAAGTATACAACCTTAAAAAGTAAACATCCAAGGAGGGTTGTGAAATAATAGATAATACTGTCATGCATTGGCAAAGAAATATAGAGGTGAGGAAAATAAATGAAATGAGAAGAATATGAAAGACTTACTAAACCCATCCACTGATAGAAAGGCTGATGGCATATTGAGCCAGTATGTGATACAAACACTGTGCTCTTGGAAGGCTGCATAATGCCTGGCTCCCATGTACAGCCTGAATGGAGATGACATAAGGATCTTAAATGGGAAGGTGTCAAGAAGAATCTCCCCACACTATATCAGAGCAAATGGAAGAAATGAACAGAGTTGCCAATATCAAGGCTGTAAATAATAAAGAGAAATGTAAGAAAAATTTGGAAACATATTAAATGCAAAATGTGTGTATATGTATATATGTGCATGTGCATGTGTGCACAACCTAAAGGAAATATAATTAAAAAACAAAATCATCTCCCAACCCAGAAAATCTCTCCATAAAGTTATTAGAGACAGAAATCAGTCATGTTACTGAATAAGCATTAAACCAAAGTGTTATGTGCATCACTGGCCATCTGCCCAGAGATGCAAAGACAGAAAGAAATCTGAATCTTTTATCTAGGCAGAAACAACTAATTACATACAAGTTTTTAAGCTAAACAGTAACTAGTCCTTAAGTAGGAGGACTTGAAGGTTGAATTTGCTACACATAGTTCATCCTAACCTTACATAGCAATTGGAGTGACCATCTGTATTAGCTTATTGGCTTTATTAGAGGAGAAATAAGCTTGTCATATGTTTATAACAGAAGGTAATTTTAGAACTTTAAACATGTTGCCCACCAAAGTCAGATTCCTGCTCTCCAGCAAAAACTGGGTAAAAGGTGCTATTTCTTGATGTTTACATTTCAAAGAGATGGCTGCCGGGCTCTGGAGAAAGACATTCCTGGGTCATAAAGTCGACAAAAGGCCTATTTTCTAAGGTAAATCCTCCTAATGAAAGGGGAGAAGTTTCTTTCCTTATTTTGAACAAGCAGAATTCAGCCTTTTATTTTTAATTTTTGTTTGTCTTTATAGGACTTACGTGTATGTACAAAAGATAAAGAATTTTGTCTGGAAGAAAACAATCTGATACTTCCTAGAATATCTAAAAAGTAGTATTAACATGAGTCAGGATATAAATATGGGTAGGTCATTCATGGGAAATGTGTTTCTGATATTTCAATGATGGATTACTTGATTCAGACTAAATTTAATACATCAATAAAGATAGGTATAAACTTACTATTTATAGTTGTGGGAATAACTGACTATGTATACCTAAATGCATTTACCTGTGGAGAATGGCAAGGAAACATAAAGATATCTGTATCTAGAATTTGTATAGAGTCCTGAATTGCACAAATCATTTTCTTATTTGTGACCTTTTTCCATTGCTGAGATTAGTTAGTCTTCTTATAGAATTTAGACAGTATCATTCCATTTCATTCCACTTCATGAGACATTTTGGTAGAAATGGAGTTATCAAAAATATTACTGAAGAAGAGAAGCTCATTGCTGGTGAAAAACTGTTGCTTATTTAAGTTTTTATTAGTGTTAGTAATTCACTTTTAATGTGTTATAAGACTGTGTCTCAGGAAATGAAGTACTGTTAGAGAACCTGTTTTCAAAGGAATCTAGGTTATTTATAAGATGGCAACTTAATGGCATTATAGCCACTGAAGAGTTCTCTATATATTTTTTTCAAGTTTTAGAGCACTTTTCATCCTAAATTTGCATTTAATTTGGTATGAAAGTCACCTGAAGTTGCTCTGGTCCTTGCCATTTGTGGGTTTTATTATCTTGAGCAAGGCCCTCAAAATTCCTCTCTCAGTTCCTCTTGCTTATGTGACACTTTTTCATTCTATGAAAGGTAGCTAATGTACCTGAGATTATACAAGAGGAAGAAGGAAGGAAAGGACAACAGACAGGAGAAAGACTAAGAATGAGAGAAACAGAAAGGCAGGGAGTGAGACTGAGAGAAAGTTGTATAGAGACTAACAGAGAGAAAAGTAAAATATATTGAGGCTCTTGAAAAAGCTTTTTATCTCCTCTTGATTGCTGCCTAAATACTTGGTGGCGGCCTGCAATGGACGGATTTTTATCCCTCTGAAATTAATACGTTGAAATCCTAACTCCCAATGTGACTGTATTTATAGACAGGTCCTATAAGAAAGCAATTAATGTTAAATGAGGTCACAAAGATGGTCCCCTGATATAATAGTATTAGTGACCTTATAAAAACAGGTGGCAAGAGAGATCGTGCTCTTTCTCTTTCCTTGCCATGTAAGACCACAGCAAGAAGGCCACCATCTGCAAGCCAGGAAGAGAGCCTTCACCAGAAGCTGAATTAACTGGCACATTCATTTTGGACTTTCCAGCTTCCAGGGCTGTGAAAAAAAGAAAAAAAACTGTGTTTAAGACATCCAGTCTCTGGTATTTGTTACAAGAGCTTGAGCAGACTAACACAGGGCCCCAAAAGGGACACCCAGTAGAACAAAAGATGTAGGCTCTGTTATATTTGGAAAATGTAAGGAAAACTATAGATATGCTGCCATACATTATTAGAACTTTTCCATGTCTCTATTTATATTTGAATTACACAACTAAATTCATTATTGTAAAAATAAACTATCATATGGAGAAATTAAAAAGCTAGAAAACAATTATAAAGGACAAAATAAATACAGGGCAACATACCTATATAATAGCTCACTTTCTAAAAACTTGCTGCATTTATTATACTTTTATTTGGAGCACTGCAAAAAGATTTTAATTAATAATCATTACAATAAGTTAATTTATATACATAAATGTTAAACATTTGTTAACATTTCCTTTCTACCTACTATAAATAAGATCCTTTTATTTAGTAAAATAGATGTAGGAATATCAGATTGGTAAAGATAAAATAGCTTTATTTTTATTTATTTATGTCATATTTACCATAGCCACATTGTCTCAAATATTTTTAGTGGCTCTTGTGTTGACTTATTTTCTATTTTCTGTAACACTCAGTAAATTTATATCTTCTGTATTTAAGGTTTGTTCTTCCTTTTCTCTCTGGTTTTCTTCCACAGACTTATGCCAATTTTGTTCAATCCTACCCTGTATAATGAAACAGTTATTCTGAAATGTCATTTTCTCCTTTTTAGGACTACATTTTTCTAAATTGAAAGGTATAGCAACAACTTATAAAGCAATCTTTTATGGCCCCTAGAGAGTTATTTTTTTAACATTTGTCATGGCCTCTGGGACCCTAAAATTATTTATTGATTAGGGATGAATGCAGTAGAAAATATAGTTAAATAATTATTTTGTATTTTTGTTGAATATAATCTTTTAAATGAAGTATTTGTCAGTGAATTAGTAAACTTGATTTAGTAGTATCAATCTATCAATGCCTTATAATCAGGGAATTGCAGAAAAATTAAAATATATGGTTTACCAAATTGCTATCATTTTGTCACTTCCTGAGGAGTTTGTGGTGTGTACTCAGCTGCAGGAGCCATTCTATCCAACCTTGGCATTTTGAGGCTATTAGCTGGTGATGCTATTGCTGTTCACTATGACTTTTGAAGCTGAGACACTTTGCTGAAATTATTGTATTAGTGAAGATGCTTTTGTATCACTGTGTCTGAAAACTAATTTGTGCTAGTTTAAGTGAAATCAGGAATATAATGACTCACATAACTGGGAAGGCCAGAGGTTAACCTGGCTTAATGAGTGAAAGAGTTAAGGAACCAAACAATATGTGATTGGTCTATTTCAAAAAATCCCTCCTGCCTCTGCATTCTTCTGTGTAGAGAGAGCTTACATATGGCTAGAGAAAAGGGTTATCAACTAGTTTATACATACATGATTCTTATAACTCAAGGCCAACAAAGTGGGCTTCTTTGATTTTTTTTTTTTTTTTTTTCTCTGGATCTCAGGACTCTTCTCAACCATACCGGTAGTAGAGGTAGGCAGAGGAAAAAAAAAGTGCATTTTATTATGTTACAGGCAAAGAATCACTGGGAATGCAAAGCAATAGGTGCCTATTTTAGCCACTCTGAAATATAGTATTAAGTATAAATCTTTAGATGTTTGTGATGCCATCATTTAATAGCACATTTTCTTGAAACAACAAAAGAGTTATGGGAGTGGGTTTTTTTTCTTTTTTTTGGCTTAAAATTGGAATGACTGAAGAGTTGCCATTGTGTTAATGAAGCTGAAAAGAAAGCAATTAAAAATCCAAATGTCTGAAAAATGGCATCCATTAAACCTGCATTATACTGCTATTAACTAAGAGACCCTATTATGTCGTACAATTGATATTTGAGATTATCAGTTCAGAAAAGATAAAATTGCCTTATTTACATGTATTTATTTTTGTCATATTAACCATAACTATCTTTCCGTAGTTTTTATAAAGCATATTAATCACAAGATGTACTAAATTTTGTTGTAGAGTACTAAAAAGTTTTTATAAAGAAAAGTACCTGTAAACATTCAGAAATTAGTAGCTCTTTATTGATAGCAGTATATACAGTTATATCTATAATTTATTCATTTTTCATGCTTAAATTTAATGTGATCACTGTTCTAACTTCCCTTAGCTTAGCTGAATTAGAATTGAAGGGAAAATGTGAATATTTTAAAATTCTGTATTAGCTATCAGTACCTATCTTTAGACTAAAATGAGATTATTTAATTTTTGGTAGCAAATAATATACCTTATGAAAAGATTATGTGCACTACAATGAGACTATTATCTATGAAGCCAGACAGTGAACTTCAAAAATAGTTGGAAGCAGAAAGGCTGTGTTTAATTTTTCAGCACATTGAAAGATATAAACTATTTGGCTATAAAGATGGAGGTTGTAAGGACATATCGATTTACAACACTGGGATATATTGCTACTGCATTTATCTCTATTTTAAAGGAAGGACACACTTACAGATTAACTATCCAATTTAGATTTCTTTCTTTTTCCTCTTTCTTTATCATCTTATCTCCCCTAACTCTGTTTTTAACTGGGTCAGCATATCTTTCTTTAGACTTTTACTAACCATTCTCCATAATTATTTCTATACTGGCAGAAAGAAATGTACAATGCTGCCATTAAATTTAAGAAAAACCTCTTTGAAAGGAAGATGCCTTGCCACTATTAGAGAAGTTATTTTATCTTGATAATTCTACACTACTGATTATTAGAACTATTTTACAACTGCTATGGTCTGCCTGAAGGCAGTCAAATGTACAAATTAAGTGCATTAGATTTGGAGTGACGCAGACTTGGGTATTTACCAGTGGTCTAATATTGTGTAAATTCCGTTACATTTCTAATACTTTTTCATATATAAATAAGTATATGTTAGTACAACTAGAACATCACAGAGATGTAAACACCTAACAATTAATAGCTCCACATTAATAGCAATAGTAGTATTTCTTTTCTGCAGATTAGGAATGCCCAACTTTTAGAGGTACCGGCAGGAAGTGTATGGATCTTCAGCACCATTGCCTAATGTTGCCAGAATTAAGATGCTTTGTTAAGCAAAACTAGGATCCAGAGTACCATGGAACCGTTTAGAAGTATATTCTATCACATTTTTTTGGTTTATTACCAAACATGCAGAAAATATTTAATAAGTATTTCTTATATATTCCATTTATTTAATTTTCTGTAATGATTTATTGCACAGAACTAAGCTTCTTCATTAATCGTTACGCCCTGTTCTTCCAAGGAACTCAGTGCAATTTCCTTCTAAGACTTCTGTCTTATACCTAATACCAGATCCCAGTGAAGAAGTATTGACATTCAACCTGTCCACTCTCAGTTCCCTTTCCAAAGGGCTATGTATGCTTCTCAAATTTGTAAGCACTGCTTAGATACCGATTTTAAAGACACATATAGCTCAAGCATATAACGGAGCTATATAAAATATTCTACATTATTGCATTACAATGGGTGGTTTTTCCATGACCAGCTTTCTTCTCTACCCCACTCACACAGACAGATTCAAACATGGGCCATATCTACATACTTTGTTGAGTCTTTTGATATCTGGCAAACCTTAATGAAATTTACTCTCTGTGACCACATTAGATTTTACAAGATGGGTCTTATGGTTTGCTCTGGAATAATGACATTTGTCTAAGATCAAATTATCCCCGTACCTCTTCCAAAATGTATACTATGAAACAAGGATAAACATAACCTACTTCTACAGAGAAACTAGATGACAGAGAAAGCTATAAAGCTTAACATGGTTTAGGGACCATCAGATTCAGGGTCAATTTACATGGAAGTGCTGTGAGTCTGATCATATATGCACAGAAGAATAGAGAGTGCAGCAAAGCTTTATGTCAGTCCTGTGAGGCTGTGATAGAAAAAATACCATAGAATGGATAGCTTGTAAATAACAATTAATTAATTAATTAATTAATTATTTTGAGACAGAGTCTCACTCTGTCACCAGGCTGGAGCACAGTGGCGCAATCTAAGCTCACTGCAACCTCTACCTCCCAGGTTCAAGCAATTCTCCTCCCTCAGCCTCCCGAGTAGCTAGGACGACAGGTGCGCACCACCACACCCAGCTAATTTTCGTATTTTTAATACAGACGGGGTTTCACCATGTTAGCCAGCATGGTCTCGATCTCTTGACCTTGTCATCCACCAGCCTTGGCCTCTGAAAGTTCTGGGATTATAGGTGTCAGCCACCACGCCCAACCACATAAATTTATTTCTAACGGTTCTGGAGACAGAGAAGTTCAAAATCAAGATGCTAGCAGATTCCGCGTTTGGTGAGAACTGCTTCTGGCTTCATCGACAGCAATCTAATATCAGCTCCTGGGGGATTAGGATTTCAACATATAAATTGTGGGGTGACATAAACATTTAGTGCATAACAGCTTAGTTATGGAAGAACCCAGATAGGTACAGCAAATGTTCATTCTCAGAAGAAGGCCTCATTTAGAAAGGGAACTACTGAGCGTGTCTCTGAGAAAGCAGAGCTTAGAAATGTTGCAATATGGATGAAATGAAAGGAAGATGCGTGGCAGTTCTTTAAGGAAACATGGAGAGACATGTAAAACGCCCCCTCCTCTACAACACTCTTCCTAACAGGTTGTTTAGAAAAAATATATTTCAATATCAACAATGCAAATGAAATATACATTTTATATATTTCATTAATATTTATAATATATAAATATATAATACTAAATCTTATATATTTTATAATATACTATAGTTTATAATATAGTATATTGTATATTTATAATATTAACCAATCTATAATATATATTATAAATATAGTTTATATTTTATATATATAGATAAAGACACAGACCCAAAAATGGAGAAAGATTCAGAGGAAAACAAAATCTTGGAGCAGTCAATTAGCTTTTCTATCAATCAGGTTTTTATCCTAGGTTGTGTTACTGGATTTTAAACAGTACAGTGCAATAGACAATAAAAAGGTATGTGCTGCTAAGAAATAAAAGCACATCTAGAATTACCATTCAACCATAAATGACTTAAAAGTGCACAAAAATATATAAAATAATATTTTTGAAGTATTGGACATGAGACAGCACAAAATTGTTATCCTGTGGAAGTGGGAAAAGGTGAGGTCAGCCCTACAATTGTTTTTGCTTACAGCAGTTTCTGAGCTGTAAACAAGAGAGGGAACCAAAACAAAGACCAACAGATTTGAGTTGGATGAGCCTAAGGTGGCTAGAAATAAGGGTCAGGTTTGAGTGAGAAAAGTTATGCAGAAAAAGAGTTCCAGAAATCTGTATAAAAGTTCACTTCAGTCTCTGAATACCAATACGCAAAATCATATGGTAAAACTCCAGAAGTCCAGGCAAAGAATAACTTCTAGTTAAAGAAAAAATTGGGCGAACTTTAAGTAAAATAATTACCAGAGTTCTCACAGGGATTGCAATTTTTTGAGTTTCCACCTGTCAGAGTGACCTTGTTGAACACAGCATATTCAGTAATGACCCCAGAAGGATCACAACTTAGTAATGAGGGCAAACTAAACCAAACACCGCATATTCTCTCTCATAGGTGTGAATTGAACAATGAGAACACATGGACACAGGAAGGGGAACATCACACTCTGGGGACTGTTGTGGGGTTGGGGGAGAGGGGAGGGATAGCTTTAGGAGATATACCTAATGCTAAATGACAAGTTAATGGGTGAAGCACACCAGCATGGCACATGTATACATATGTAACTAACATGCACATTGTGCACATGTACCCTAAAACTTAAAAGTATAATAATAATAAAATAAAAAATAAAAAATAAAAAAATAAAATAAAATAAAATAAAATAAAATAAAATAAAATAAAATAAAATACTGAGTAAGGCTGTTCTGGACTATTCCTTCAAAAAAAACCTGAAAATGAATCTTGAAAGTATCAAGCTAATTTGTAAATAACTTCTGCCAGACCAAATCCCACATTTAAAGTAAGAAAATCCAGGCACTAAACAATGTAATATTACTGAGTCCAGCAGCCAATAAAAATTTACTAGACCTATCAAGACATAAGGAAATTTGACCCATAAAAGTCAAGTCAATCAAAAACAGAAGCAGCAATGACAGAGATGTTAGAATTTGCAGACGTGAACTAATATAGTAATTTTATATATGTTTAAAATGCTCGAATATCAAAAGAAAAACATGAATATAATGAGGTAAGATGTAGGAAATATAAAGAAAATAATCAAATACAAACTCTAGACAGGAAATATACAACGTTCAAAATGAATATCTTAGTGGATGACAATAACAGCAGGTAAGTGTGGTAGAAGAGAATGTCAGTGAATTTAAGCATATAAGTATAGAAACTATACTAACTAAAACACAGAGGAAAAACAGATTTTAAAAACATAAAGAAAAAGGTTAGACCCTTGGGGACTTGTACAATAATAACTAGCTCTCTAGCATGTATGTCATTGGAGACTCAAAATGGAGAGTGAGAACAAGGGAAGGAATGTCTGAAGAAATACTGGCTGGATGTTTTCCATATTTGATGAAAAATATAAACCCAGAGATTAAAGACAATCAAAAAATTCCGAATAAGATAACACAAATACACTAAGCCTAATATTAATAAAATATCTTAATATGAATGACAAGAAAAAATATTTACAACACCTGTAGAGGGGAAAAACAAACCACATGAGACAGAGGAACATAGATAAGAATTAATAGACCTTTCACCTGAAATTATAAAAGCCAGAAGAAAATGAAATTACATGTTTAAAGTGGAAAGAGCAACTGCCAAGCCATATTTTATTCTAGCAAAAATATCTTTCAATGTCAATAAAAAAATACTTTCGGCAGATCAAAGTAAAGGGAATTGGTTATCAACAGACCTGAAATTTAAAAGAAGTTTAAAGAATGTTCTTTAAGTAGAAACAAAATGATCCCTTAAAGGACTTAGATCTACATGGACTCTGAATCCAATCATTGTTCTTATATAAGGAGACGGACACACAAAGATACAGAGGTGACGGGCATGAGAGAAGGCCATGGAATGATGGAGACACTTTGGGGTGAGTTTGTCTTTAATCTCTGAGTTTATACTTTTCATCAAATATGGAAAACATTCAGCCGATATTCCTTCAAATATTCTTTCTTTTATTTGAATGTTTGCTTAAAAAAATCAGCAAATGTGTATTTCAATTAGCAAGACAAGAATTCGAGTGCAACAGATTTATGCAAGCACAGGATCAGATCCTTCATTTAAAATTCGATATTTTGATCATCATGTAATTATTTTGCATTAAAATTTATTTTTAGTATTATTGAGTTAAAATATTTATCCCGAATACTGAGCTTTTATACAACCTAACTTTTTTCGTTCTTCAGTGCTAACTCATATTACTCTATCATAGTCCTATTTATTACCAAGATTCCTTAACAAATTAGACATATTCACTTCATATTATTCTATAGTTTGCAGCTAAAATTGAAGAGGATTTATGATCCATGAAAATACATTTTAAAGATAATTTTTCATTCTTGTCAGCATCAAATTTTTTGTAACAACATATTGTGGCTTTTCTTCTGATGACCTTCTAGTAAAATGAAATCAGAGTAAACAAAAAGAAAATAAATTGTCTTTCATGAGTACTCTAAATATGTAATTGGAAATTATTTCTATCTGATGCATTTTGCTTAAAGAGAAACCTCATTTAGTTGTATAAAAGTTGCATTTTTATCTAGGATGAACTTTTCAAAATCAACAAAAATCTAAATATCAAGTCAATTTTGTATTATAATGCCACAGATGTTTATAAGAGAAATATTGCTTTAAAACTATTACCTGTAATTAAACCTAACATTTTCTAGTGTGTTATTCATTTTAAAAGGCTACTTCCCTATTCTGTTGCTTATTTGACCAGGCTTCCCATAAGTGTGGCAACAGAAATAAAGTAATGAGAATTTAATATTCAATAAATTACATGATGGGTTTGTCTGTACTGCTGGGGTGATGGCGAGAGAAAAGAAAAGCAAAAAATTGTACTATAAATAAGTGTTTATCTCTTGGATTTGAAGGTTTGTAGTTGTAGTTGTGCTTAGAAATATATAATTACTAAAAGACCATGCATAATATGCCTGTTAGTTTTTACAAGTCTGAATATTATGTGATTTAATGTCAATGTTATTTTATGCCATATATTGCTCGGGTTTACTCAGTAATTCCTAAGTACATTGGTATTTTTGTAGCATTTTTAATCCTTGAATATATATTTTCAAATATTTTACATTTATAGCTGGAAGGATTCCATGGGCAAAGCCAATGAGAGGAAAACAATTATATCAAATAAAGAATGATTGAATTCTATTTCTTTGAGGTAATGTTTGGTATATTTGATTCAGTCATAGGAAATCATTTAATACTTAAGTGAACTATACAAGTGAAAGTATGTCTCTTTAGCATCCAGCTTTAACAGCTCTTATACGAAATTGTGTGTTCATGTGCTTTTCTTCTTTTTTTTCTAGTTTTTCTTTTTTTATTATACTTTAAGTTCTAGGGTACATGTGCACAACGTGCAGGTTTGTTACATATGTATACAAGTGCCATGTTGGTGTGCTTCATCCATTAACTCGTCATTTATATTAGGTATATCTCCTAATGCCACCCCTCCCCCATACCCCCACCCCACAACAGGCCCCAGTGTGTGATGTTCCCCTTCCTGTGTCCAAGTGTTCTCATTGTTCAATTCCCACCTATGAGTGAGAACATGCGGTGTTTGGTTTTTTGTCCTTGCAATAGTTTGCTGAGAATGATGGTTTCCAGCTTCATCCGTGTCCCTACAAAGAACATTTTTTATGGCTGCATAGTATTCCATCCCCATCAAGCTACCAACGACTTTCTTCACAGAATTGGAAAAAACTACTTTAAAGTTCACATGGAACCAAAAATGAGCCTGCATTGCCAAGTCAATCCTAAGCTGAAAGAACAAAGCTGGAGGCATCATGCTACCTGACTTCAAACTATACTACAAGGCTACAGTAACCAAGACAGCATGGTACTGGTACCAAAACAGAGATATAGACCAATGGAACAGAACAGAGCCCTCAGAAATAATACCACACATCTACAACCATCTGATCTTTGACAAACCTGACAAAAACAAGAAATTGGGAAAGGATTCCCTATTTAATAAATGGTGCTGGGAAAACTGGCTAGCCATATGTAGAAAGCTGAAACTGGATCCCTTCCTTACACCTTATTCAAAAATTAATTCAAGACGGATTAAAGACTTAAATGTTAGACCTAAAACCATAAAAACCCTAGAAGAAAACCTAGGCAATACCATTCAGGACATAGGCATGGGCAAGGACTTCATGTCTAAAACACCAAAAGCAACGGCAACAAAAGCCAAAATAGACAAATGGGATCTAGTTAAACTAAAGAGCTTCTGCACAGCAAAAGAAACTACCATCAGAGTGAACAGGCAACCTACAGGATGGGAGAAAATTTTTGCAATCTACTCATCTGACAAAGGGCTAATATCCAGAATCTACAAAGAACTCAAACGAATTTACAAGAAAAAAACAAACAACCCCATGAAAAAGTGGGCAAAGCATATGAACAGAAACTTCTCAAAAGAAGACATTTATGCAGCCAACAGACACATGAAAAAAATGCTCATCATCACTGGCCATCAGAGAAATGCAAATCAAAACCACGAGATACCATCTCACACCAGTTAGAATGGCGATCATTAAAAATTCCGGAAACAACAGGTGCTGGAGGGGATGTGGAGAAATAGGAACACTTTTACCCTGTTGGTGGGACTGTGAACTAGTTCAACCATTGTGGAAGACAGTGTGGCGATTCCTCAAGGATCTAGAACTAGAAATACCATTTGACCCAGCCGTCTCATTACTGGGTATATAACCAAAGGATTATAAATCATGCTGCTATAAAGACACATGCACACGTATGTTTATTGTGGCACTATTCACAATACCAACGACTTGGAACCAACCCAAATATCCAACAATGATAGACTGGATTAAGAAAATGTGGCACATATACACCATGGAATACTATCCTTCAAATATTCTTTCCCCTGTTTTCACTCTCCATTTTGAGTCTCCAATGACATACATGCTAGAGAGCTAGTTATTATTGTACAAGTCTCTGAGGGTCTAATCGGGGACATGTGAGAGCTCCCACATATTTGCCATTTCTGGAATTATTCAATATTTCTATTATTCAACATATATATTACTTCTTTTATTTATAAAACCATTTAAACAATGATTGTTTAAAATGAGTTTAAGTGATTTCACTGCACAGTTTTTGTATATTTTTGTGTAATTTTTGACATATGTAAAAATAAAATGTATATAATAGAATGAGGAGAAAATGAAAATACGGAGTATGATTTTTTACATAATATTTAAGTTTGATTTAGAGACGTACTGTGGTAAGACAAAGAGGTATATTTAAAAACCTGTGTTTAAATAAACAGATGTTAAAATATCATGGTGAGAAATACCATGCAAACATTAGTCAGAAATCTTGTGTGGCTATATTGATATCAACCAGCGTTTGTCTTTAAATCAAGTTATATGACCAAAAATGCAGAAGGCCATTTAATGTGAAAAAAAGCACCTATGAAGTAGTCTTTTATAATGGGTTGAATTATGTCTCTGGAAAAGATGTATTCAAGTCCTATCCCCTCCTATCTGTGAATGTGATTTTTTTTTTTTTTTGAAATAGGGTGTTTTTGCAGAGGCACATGAGGTCATATTGGATTAGGATTAGGATGGGCTATTGAGAGTAACTGATGAATATATCAAGGAAGCATGCAATCCTTAAAGTTTTTGCAAATAATTATAAATCTTTAACATATTTAAGTAAAACCTGATAGAATCAAATAAATAAATTCACAACTTTGGAGATTTTCACAATACTCTCTGAGTAATTGATAGAACAAATAGACAAAATTTCATTAGGACATGCATGATTTGAAAAATATTATTAAGTCAGATTAATCTAATAGACATGTATAGAATATTATGCCAAAGATGGAAAATAGACAACCTTTCCAAGCACATATACAGCACCAACAATAATCCATGATTCCAATGTAAATGACACTGGTAAATAAATAGAAAGAGTCAAGCATTCATTTACTTCATCACAAATATCTTCTACTGGGCAATGAATAGTATAAAGCATTATTTATTATAAGAAATATTTGAAACACACATACATACATATACAAAATGATAAAATTGGTATATCACAATTTTGCAACTTACATTGAATTAAGAATCCAGATATCGATCATCAATTACTGCTACTATTACGAAGAGAGGCAACGAGATACAATGTACTTAGTGATGATGAACAAGAGCACCTATGAAGTAGTCTTTTGTAATAGGTTGAATTATGTCTCTGGAAAAGATGTGTTCAAGTCCTAACCCCTCCTATCTGTGAATGTGACTTTTTTTTTTTTTTAATAGGTGTTTTTACAGAGGAACATGAGGTCATATTGGATTAGGATTAGGATGGGCTATTGAGAGTAACTGATGCTCAATATCAATATGACCTCATGGGCTCTGAATCCAATCACTGTTCTTATATAAGGAGACAGACACACAGAGATCAGAGGTGACGTGCATGAGAGAAGGCCATGGAATGATGGAGACAGAACTTGGAGTGATTGATAAGCCATGGAACACTGACACTTGCCAGCAACCACCAAAAGTTAAAAACAGCAAGAAGGCCGGGCGTGGTGGCTCATGCCTGTAATCCCAGCACTCTGGGTGACCCAGGCAGGTGGATCACAAGGTCAGGCATTCGAGACCAGCCTGGCCAACATAGTGAAACCGCATCTCTACTAAAAATACAAAAAATTAGCCGGGCATGGTGGCAAGTGCCTGTAATCCCAGCTACTCGGGAGGCTGAGGCGGGAGAATTGCTTGAACCTGGGAGGTGGAGGTTGCAGTGAGCCGAGATCGTGCCACTGCACTACAGCCCGGGCAATAGTGCACGACTCTGTCTCAAAAAAAAAAAAGCAAGAAAAGGTTTTTCTCTAGAGCTCTTACAGGAAATCAAGACTGCCAACAACTGGATTTGGATCTCTGGCCTCCTGAACGGTGAGAGAGTAAATTTCTGCTATTTTTTTTTGTCATCCAGTTTATTGTAATTTGTTATGGAAGCCCTAAGAAACAAATACATCTTGAAAAAAAAATCAAACTGGATTCAATTAGGCCTATAGATCCAATTAAAAATTCATATATTGAAATTCAGAGTACAGAGGAACATGCCAAGTACGAGAATGTAGTCAGCAAAATTCAGTTTCTTCAATAATAAATAGGGAGAAAAACAAATTGTGAGAAACTTACAAACAGAAAATTAAATTCTAATTTTAATGATACACCTTAGTTTATGAAACTATGAAGAAAAGAAGTGATTCCATAAAATAAGAAATAGTAATAATTGTTACAGAGGTCAGAGTGATTTTTTAAAGGCAAGGTCTGACAATATTCTTTTATGTGGTGGAAGTACAAAGGCAGCCACTTAATAATAATGTATTGATCTGTATGCTTGCTTAATGTGGATTTCTGAGCACACGTTAGACTTAAAATATAAAGAATTAAACCTGTACTGAAGATATTGGTCAATGAAATTAGAAAAAAGAAAGCAAATAGATGCATAAATATTGTAGAGGAAGAGATAAAAAATATATAGCTGTAAAGCTGAAAGAATCCATTGAAAATATGCTACGATCATAAAAAAATTAGTAAGGGAGCAAGATATAAAATTAACTTAAAGAAATTTGTTAACTATTTTCTACTCTATCTTTAGGTATACAAACACTATCAATTAGAAGACATAATGGAAAAGAAGACCTGATTTTCTATATTAAAAAATATGAAATACAACAATAAGAAACATGTCAAACTTACATGAAGAAAGTGGTAAGCAGCTGAGAAAAACAGTAGGTTCTAGCAATGCTAGAATAACTGGGTAACGCCTCTGAAAAAACTACTAGATACTGAAACAAAGATGAAACCTCAATAATAAAATCACTGTATATGGCACAGGTACAGGTATAGATGAATGGAATGGAATATAAAATCCATATAGAGAACTCAGTATGTAAGAAAAAATGTTATGCAATAGAAGTGGCATTTCAAATCAGTGGGAACAGGGTGGACTTTTAAATAAATTATGTCGAGGCAACTGAACAAATATTTGTAAAATGTTACCTCACATTGTATCTATGATAGGATCATTTCCACATGGGTCACAGATTAAATATAAACTTAAACCATACAATTTTTAGAAAAACATTTGTTTAATTTTTTATAAACTTGAGTGGAAAAAAATTTAGTTATGATTCAAATTCTAGAAGAAATACAGGAAACTATTTTGGTTATAAAATTAACCAGTTTTTATAGAAAAGCAGAAACATAAGCAAAGTTAAAAATAAAAATATAGGAAAATAATTTCTACTTACACAACAGGTAAAGGCTAATCTGATGAACTCATTACAGCCTCTTTGAAATCAGTGTTTTAACAGCCAAAACTCCAGATATAAATATGGTAAATGACATGAAAAAAAATCACAAAGAAATACTAATAACATTTAAAGCTGTGAAAACAATGTTCAGATTTACCCTGGATAATAGAAAATCAAATTAAAACAATACTGAATATGTTTTCTCACCTCTCAAGTTGATAAAGATCAGAAAGTTTGACAACAAACTTACAATGAAAGAGATCCTTTCATTTATCCCAAATGGAGGGGATTTGGCAAAATCTTGTTTATGAGCAAACATGTTTTCTCGCAGCTCTAAAATCAAGTTGTATGTTGTGTATGATTTCATCTTTTTCTTGGGTAATGGGTTGGTCATGTTCTAATTATCACTGCCTATACATGTCAACCTATTAATAGGTTTGTTTTTCTTCACCTAAATGAAGTTGCTTGCACAGTTGGTATTGTACATGTTGGTGTTGCATACCATCCGATGCTACTGAAACCAAAACATTTGCCAAATTTATCAGTAGAAGACATTTAAAGCAATGATTGGCTGCAGTGACTGACTTATTCACACATACATAAGAACTATCTTTAAAACTGTGCACATCAATTTGTCAAAAGCTTCCTGATGTAGAAATTTTAAGAATAAGGAATAATGCACTTGAACAGGTGCCAATAACTTGGAAGAAAAACCCGGAGATACTCGCATCATTTAAAGAAATACTGCAGCCGGGTGCGGTGGCTCATGCCTGTAATCCCAGTACTTTGGGGATGCTGAGGCGGGTGGATCATGTGAAATCAGGAGTTTGAGACCAGCTGGGCCCACGTGGTGAAACCCCATGTCTACTAAAAATACAAAAATTAGCCAGGCGTGGTGGTATACACCTGTAATCCCAGCTACTCAGGAGGCTGAGGCAGGAGAATTGCTTGAACCTGGGAGGCGAAGGTTGCAGTAAGCTGAGATTGCACCACTGCACTTCAGCCTGGCGATGGAGTAAGACTCCATTTCAAAAAAAAAAAGAAAGAAAGAAAGAAAGAAAGAAAGAAACGTTGTTTTCCCCACATAACAGAAAGGACAGCATAGAACAGAACAGGAACAATATAGCCTTTGATGACTAAGTTTAAAAATGATTCAGAATAACAAGACTAGGAATATAGAAGGATTTAAAAGTAGCTTAACTAAATTATTTTATGTGTAATTTCTCTTTTATATAAGCACACTTGTGAGTGATATAGGCTTTGAAAATGCATGTGGAGATCTAATTTTTTTCAATAAACAGAAGATAATGTAAGTCAACATGGTGCCTAAGGACAAAAAGAAATGTGAAAATATCTTAAGTTTCTTTCCCCAGTATTGCTGTTAATGATAATATTTTATGGTCATTTTGAAACTATTTTATTTATGTAGTATTAAAAGCAAATAATTATATTGATGTTTTTAGAAATTAAATTTCTAGGTGAAATAAAATAAACATATTAAAATAATTAAAACCAGGTAATAGAATTAAGTTATATTATAGTTTTCAGTCTGACTGCCAAAAGTGTCTAGAAGCAATAATACCCATTGACAATGAACACTATAATCTTTAAGAACCATTAAATCCCACTCTTTATTGAGAATAACCAGAGCTTCTTGGAGATTTGGCACACTCTAGTTCTGGATAGGGAGTATATGAAAAAGGCCTGGAATACCTCACTGTGAGAAAAGCAAAAAGCCAGCAAACATAAATGTGAGGGTGCGAAAAAACACAAAAGCCAGCTTGAACCCCTCTTTATTGGCCAATTGTAGAATTACTTGAGCATCAAAGAGAGGACTCCTGTAGTTCCTTGGAACACAATAAATATATACAAATTCAGGAGTTTATAATAATATTAAAAAAGAGAAAATAAAAACAAGCCAACAATGACAAGAAATACCTATTTGCCGTCATTAGAAATGAGTCTTCCTCTCTGAAAGTTGGTAAAGGGAAATAATTACACACTAATACTGCCTTGCCTGTAGGAATTATTTTCAAGGTTACAAACCATGCAGTTGATTAGGAAAAGCTCTTCTTTACTGAAGAATAGCAGTGAATAAAAGTACATAGAGAAGAAATTTTTCAAATTTTCTATTTTTTAACATCTAAAATATTGATTTGGGAAGGATCTTTAATGTATGTTAAAATCATTAGGTAAAATGTTGATGTCAAACTCTTAGTGCCTAAGTACAGTCTCATCATCAGCTTACTTCCTGTGTTGGGAGTTATGACTGTCGATACTTTAAGTCAGAGATAAATCTTGGCATCACTAATGGTGGTACAACAAAGCACGGCAAATCTCCTGATGTGATGCAATCTATACAGCATCATGTCTGAAGTAATCTTGACAAAATTATTTTAGCATGATCCAATTGAGCCTTTTTGTAAAGTCCATTTTTGCAGGTAACAAAAGGTGATTGAAAAGTCAAATGCCACCTTGAGAAAACAGTCAGATTAATGCAGAGGGTAGGAAAAATCCACAGAACAAATGGCATCCCTTTTCAACAAAGCATTGCCATGTCAAAGGAAAGACTCTTCTAGATTTAAAGAGGCTTAAGAGCTGTGGCAGCCAAAAGCAAGATATATGCTTTCTTTCGAAAGGATGATTATCCATTCAACCAGTAAATGATACTGAGAAAATGGAGAAATATAAATATAGATTGGGTATTAAAAACAATTAGGGAATTATTGACCCTTTTGTTAGTGTGATATATAATGGTTATAAAAAGAGTTTCTATTCTTTAGAGATTTATAGTGAAGTATTTATTATTGAGATGCAATGATGCCTATAATTTACTTTAAATTACTTTTTAACATAAAGACTCTTTGAAGCAAATACTTCTGTTAACAATTCTCAGCCGGGCACAGGGACTCATGCCTGTAATCTCAGCACTTTGGGAGGCTGAGGTGTGTGGATCACCCTGAGGTCAGGAGTTCAAGACCAGCCTATGCAACATGGTGAAACCCTGTCTCTATTAAAAAATACAAAAATTAGCCAGATGTGATGGTGCGTGCCTGTAATCCCAGCTACTCAGGAGGCTGAGGCAGGAGAATCGCTTAAACCTGGGAGGCGGAGGTTGCAATGAGCCGAGATCTCGCCACTACACTCCAGCCTGGGAGACAGATTGAGACTCCATCTCAAAACAAACAAACAAACAAACAAACAAATGAACAATTCTCAAGTCAAGGTAATGTTTATATAACTTTTCATTTTACTATTCCTTATATTCTGTTTGTTTTAAAAGTTCTGTAATTAAAAAAGAAAAACAAATGGAAAGATTCTTTGTGTTTCTTACGATTCCCTGCACCTTCCTTCCCACTGCCACATAAATTCCGGATGGAAGGATTCTGTACTCTTTCCATAAAGACAATTATTAGAAACCATAGAACCCACAATATATCATCAAAATAAAAACATTTTATAATTTGCTAAAGCAAATTAAGAATTTAATGAACTCAGAAATGCAAGTTTTTATTGAAGGAAAAGAATAATGTAATACTATACATATATAGTATATGTTATGTATTTTCATAAGGTAAAAATATTAATGAATTTTAACTGCAAATTAGTATGCAATGAATAAATAATACTGGGATAATTGTATAGCACATTTAGATCCATATCTCTTATATAAAACAATATCCAGAAGGAACTAATATTTAAATGCAAACAAATAATAATGTAATTTATTTTATTATGCTAGAGTAACAAACATCTTCCTATTTATGTCACCTAAGCTATAAGAAATATAAGAAAATAAGAAGAAAATGGTTAGCAATTGACTTGGAATCTAGTCTCTTCCTTTACCAGGACATTGCCCCCAAGAAATAAAGAAGGGAAGTGAACCAGATAAATCTTGAAAATATCCCAATGAAATGCCTCCTAGCAAATAAACTAATGATATTTCTGTGATACAGTCCTTATGTATAGTAAGAATTTAGCAGTGTATAACTCGTCTATCTAGAATAAGGTAAAGAAGCTTGGAGTTTGTATATTTCTGGATCATATAACAAACGTAATTTTTACTATCAGGATTCAAAACAGTGATATGCTTTGCTTCAGATGGCTTCCTTTTGTGTGAATGATGTGATCACATACATAACTTGGAGACCTCAGATATTAATTAATCTGGCCCGGAGAGTATATTAAGAAAAGACCTGGTATTGTGTGTTGAGGATCTCAAGTACTTCCTGCTGTTACTGAGACCTATGTCTTCCCATATTCTTAAAATATGGGAAGTATACCTTAGTATACCTTGATACTGTGTAAAATCTCAAACGTGTACTTGTCTGGGATTTGACAATCTAGTCCTCACCCTTGGTAGGACATGAACTCCAAATGATCTCCTCCTGTGTCTGAGACACTGTCCAAAGCGATGCAGGGTTTCTAGACCACCTCTGCTGCATCAGCTAATTCCCACTGTGCAAAAGTGGTGCAAAACACCTTATTCATTCATCTCTCTGGACTTTTTTCTTCTCAAATATCTTTTCACTATCTTGTTAGTTAGATGATGTTTTTATGATGTTTTATTTTATATATAATCTGGTGTTTTTAGGTTGCTTCAAAGAGTTTGTAAGAATTTTCCCACCCATCATTTCCCCAAACAGAATTTTATGTCTTTCTAATGCCAAAACCTACGTATTTCTCCTTACATATGATGGAATTCACTGAAGACAAATGCTTACTCTTCCTCCACCCTGTCCAATGTTTATGGCTGACATAATAATTAACACCAATGCATTTTTCTACCAATCTCAATTGCAGTTTGCAACACAGATAAAGAGCACTTTAACACAGTGCTTCTGAAAGCCCTTACTAATCTATAAAGGTCAGCACTCAAAATGAAATGTATTTGTCATCCATAATTCTACAATAATGTCAACCAGGAGCAGTGTTCCCAGTGGGGACACTGAGCATTAGAGATTCAACAAAATGCTGGAGAAGAAAGCCTGAGGATATGCCTAGAGTTGGAGAGAAGTAGTGAGTCAGTGGCACAGTCACAGTAAAAATTACACTTAAGTCAAAAGAAATAGAAACACTTTAGTTTGGAGTATTTGGGAAGTATTTTCCGTTATGTGGTGGTGACTATTTTTAGTATACTATATCAGCCTTTCATCAACAATCCAATAACGAAAATAACATGTGCTCAGCAAAGGTGATCCAAAATTCCTGGCTTACATCTCTGATGGTTCAAACATGGCTGAAAATGTTTTCTGCAATTCTAACAGATAAGTTTTATATGTATACAGCTGTATATTAAAATACATTTACCATTAGCCCACTATTTATTAACATGTGCCTTGTAGGGTGGTGGCGTATGTTTCACAAGCACTCCCTCTAGGTAAAACATCATAACTGCTAATTTCATCTGTATTTTATATAAGGATTCTGGGTTTTATTGTTTGTTTGCTGTGTTCTTAGTAATTTGAACCTTTTTAAAATGGTATTTGTGCCATATTAGTCTACTTCAAAACCTAAATACAAGGTTGAGTGCAATGGCTTACACCTTTAATCTCAGTACTTTGGGAGGCTGAGGCAGGAGGATCACTTGGGCCCAGGAGTTTGAGACCAGCCGGGCAACATGGCAAAACCCTGTCTCTACCAAAAATACAAAAAGTATTCAGTCATGTTGGTGTGCACCTGTAGTTCCAGCTACTTGGGAGGCTGAGATGGGAGGATTGCTTGAGCTCAGAGGTCGAGGCTGCAGTGAGCCATGATTGTGCTACTCTACTCCAGCCTGGGGGGAAGAGTAAGACCCTACCTCAAAAACAAAACAAACAAACCCCACCTAAATCTAAGAATCTGGTGACTTTTCCACAGGAAAGTTTGATTCAGCCAGGTAAAGACACAGGGCTCTTATGAGACTTGGGTGGCATGGGCTATATCAAACACTAGTCCTGTTTTTGGAAAATGATTTTTGTTGTCATTGTTGCTTTATTTGATTTTTGGTTTTGTAAGAGAATGGACTGCATCAAATACTGAACTTCCGTAAAATTTCCTCTGACAGTGTGCTTATTTATGGCCGAGTGCTTAAACTAAAAACAACAAAAAAACTTCTATCCTATTTCAAATGTTCATTTCATGCTGAGCCAAATCTTGAAGTGCATGGAGAAGATATATATATATATATCTTTTTTTTTTTTTTGAGGCAGAGTCTCGCACTGCCACCCAGGCTGGAGTGCAGTGGCACAATCTCGGTTCACTGCAACCTCTGCCTCCCGGGTTCAAGTGATTATCCTGCCTCAGCCTCCCAAGTAGCTGGGATTACAGGCGACCACCACCACACCTGACTAATTGTTGTATATTTAGTAGAGGCTGGATTTCACCATGTTGGCAAAGCTGCTCTGGAACTCCTGACCTCAGGTGATCTGCCCACCTCGGCCTCCCAAAGTGATGGGATTACAGGCTTGAGCCATGGCACGTGGCCACATGAAGAATATTTATAACAAAATCACTAACATATGAATACACTGTGATTAAAAATGAACATAACCCTAAGCATAAAATATAATGAAGTAGAAATCTCCCATGATCTTTACTCCAGCTTCAGCAGCCTTCTTTCATGTCTGTAGGTATCCTCTTCTTTTTCTTAACTTACAGTCTTTGCTACTTCCCTACTTCTACCTGGAGAAAAGCGGGATTGACCCCGGAGATGTATTGGGGTTTCCTGGCAAAAAGCTACCTTGGAAAGAAGGCACTCCTTCTTTCAAGTGATTGTACCTGAATTCAGTTTTCCACAGAGCTGGGCCCCAAGGTGTTGGGCAGATAGCATTTTCAGCATTCCCCTGTATAGCCTACTTAAGCTTAGACTGCTTGGTGTTCCAGCAGTCTACTTCTCCTGCAGTTATAATTATTCCGGCATGGTGGTGAGCACCTGTAGTTAACCCCATATCATGGAAGCACAGATATGGGGTTAACTCTTGTTAATACCTGTAGTTAACCTGAACACCTGTAGTTAACCCCATATCATGGAAGCACAGATATGGGGTTAACTCTTGTTAATACCTGTAGTTAACCTGAGCACCTGTAGTTGACTCTTGTTAACCCCATATCATGGAAGCACAGTGAAGGAGCAAGATCCTTCTGATAAAACCCAGCTCCACAACACTGCATACCATTTTGCCATTCAAGGTTCAGAGAGAATAGGTGACTGTGCATCACTGGATCCTTCTGACTTGCTCCATCGGCACAGGTGTTAACACTGGTTTTGCCCCAGGACCTTTGTATAATACGCTGCATGAGTGCATGAGAATACCCACGCTCACAACTTATTAATTCACATTCACTGTTCGGATCTCAACTCCAATGCTGATTTTTTGAGAAAAGGCTTTCTTAGTTTCCTTAGTTAATCTCAGTTGGTATTTACACACTTTCCTAGATCCCTACACTTTTTGTTGGTGTGTTTCTATGGTGCTCATATGCTCTGAATGTGGATATTTGTGTAAGTACTTGATCAATATTGACTTTCCTCATAGGATGTAATATATTGAGAGCCGGAACAGGAACCTTTTTGCTTCCCATTGTATACGCACAGCCTAGCAAATATTAATTATGAAATAAGTTGTTGTTACATGAAGGCATGTATCAAATATAAATTAAAGCACAGAGATTGCATAAGTATTATCAGTTTCTTTTAGAACAAGACTTACAGTTTATTTTCAAAATTTCTATTCATATGGATTTGATAGATCATGAATTAAGGAGTTGACATACTCATATTTAAATTCTGTGGCTACTTGTTAATTGCCTTTTATGTTTGAGGCTCTGTTCTTGACCCTGAGGATACAGTGGTGAGCACCACGCATAGTTCTCCATGTAGCTTGCAGCTCTGTGTACAAGATTGACAATAAATAAATATACCAATAAATACTTTATATTAATATTCAACTTAGGTACATGTTTTGTGGGATATTTAAGGATCTAAATTGCAATATAATGGAATGTTAATGATGAAACAGTTTAGAACTGAGACTGGTTATTTAATGTAAGACTGACCCCAGATCATGAGGTTCAGTTACTCTAATAAAACTGGTAGTGTTGGGGGAAGGTGGAAAGAGTGTTTAGGGAATACTTATGAAGAACAGGTCAGGCCAGGCGCGGTGGCCACGCCTGTAATCCCAGCACTTTGGGAGGCCGAGGCGGGCGGATCACGAGGTCAGGAGATCGAGACCATCCTGGCTAACACGGTGAAACCCCGTCTCTACTAAAAATACAAAAAATTAGCTGGGCGCGGTGGCGGATGCCTGTAGTCCCAGCTACTGGGGAGGCTGAGGCAGGAGAATGGCATGAACATGGGAGGCAGAGCTTGTAGTGAGCCGAGATCGCGCCACTGCACTCCATCCTGGTCCACAGAGCGAGACTCCATCTCAAAAAAAATAAAAAATAAAAACCATCAAAATCATTATTCTGCCAGGCAAAATTCATTTTTGAAATACATTGTTTCAATTTTCATAACAATTTTATCAGAGAGAGTCATAATCAACTAATCTGTGAGAAATTTTTGAATTGACTGTTTAATTATTCAGACATCTCTAAAATTCTCAAATACCATACATAAAATGAAAATTCAATTGATGTTTCTGTTTTTTGGATTTACTGGTTTAAGACTCCCAATTCTAAAACCTTCTCTTTTTATTAGGATATCAATGAATATACCATAGAAGGTGAATAGTTGTGTTACATTCTGAATATTGTATTTTCTCAGACAATGTAAGACATGAGTATGTGGAAAGAAAGCTCAGCAGTCCTGTTTATTGTTGCCTACTGAATTGGCAGCATTTATTTTATCATAATGAAGTAGGCTAGTTCTGTCATAAAAACATAGCTACTTTTAATATTTACAATTCAACTAATATATTGAGGAAGAATGATGGCATGCATTTCTGCATGTAAGTGAGAATAGCAGTTAAGATATACACACAAAGGGTGCAGTGACTCATGAGTATGGTAGTATTTAGAACAAAGAAAGTACAACCTAGAAACCATAAAAATAGAAAATACATACCAGTCATAATTTCTCTTTAAAAAACAGAGTGGAAAAATTTCATTGTCTCTATATAATTTTACCTGGTTTACTTTAATATTTGGCATACAATGTGACATTGAATAGACATAATCAAAATGTTTTAAGATGGACTCATTAAGGAGAAAAGAAATGGGAAAATGGTAGAAAAGTCCTGTATATCTGTAGTTTGTATTGAAAAGAGACTGTAAAAGAGTGAACGTGAAAATTTTTATCAGAGAATAATAATGAGAAAGTTGGCTAAATTTGAAAAAAGTAGTCCATGTTTGTTGTGCATGCTGTCTATGCAACCCGAGACCCACACTGGGGCTGAGATTGTGTATCCCAGCTGCTGCTCTTGACTGACAGTTTTCAGTTTTCAGCTCTTCAGAGAGCTTGACTTAGCTGAAGTGAGACATCTAGCCCAAAATCAAGACCCTTTTCAGAGACAGCCTGCATACAATGACTTTTTGATACAGGAGCCTAAAGGCCCAGGCCTCAAACTCGAATCATGACAACTCTGAGGGGTCATTGTAGCATCAGAGGTCACTTCAGAGTTGACAGAGACCTTGCTGGGACTTCATTGCTTCATCTGCACAGTCCAGAATCTTTCTTCTCTCTTCCATGGATGTGGCTCCTGAAAGCACACTCTGATAAACTTAAATGGAAATCTCAGCAGCAAGTCAGCTTCCCTGGAAACACAACCTTAACTTTCCCCAACCTGCTGTTGTGAACATATTGTGTAATTAAGTTACTAGTCCCTACCCAGCCTCGTTCATTTTCTCTTTGCTAATATATCCATGTTCTAAGGTGGGCATAAAACAATTTGATGGTTGTCATAACAAAAATCACATAAGAGTTTTGTTAGATATTTGCAATAAAAACTATGGGGAAGACATTATCAGAGAAGAAAAGGATATACATACCACATTGACGTTTTATGCATTGGAGGAATCTAGTAGATAACTGATTTTAGTTGGATGAAAGGGGCCTTCTTGTTGTCCTTTGTATTACTTTAATTTGTGTGACATATTATTCAGCCTTAGTGTAAAATGTATGCTATTAACTTCTCATGACAGAATAATTTCCAGATATAGCTCTTATTATCAGTCTTTCTTCTAGTCTACTTTTAATTTCATAAGTCTTATTAACTTATCCAAATATTTTTTCATTCCTGTTTGTAATACTAGAAGTCAAGTAAAGAAATTATATTAGAGATAGAATCTCTTATACTAGACAATCATCTATATAAAGATATTTTTTCATATATAGTCAATTGGATACCTTAATATAGTGTCACTCCCTCACCTATTTGAGCTCTTATCATAAAACAGTATTCTTTTATTTTAGCCTTAGTGAACTTTACAGAAATAATAGTTATCTACCAGCTCATTTCTTACTTTTACTGATGAAGATATGTTTTGTGAATAAAATAAAATTAGGAATTGCCCTGAGCTCTCCTCAAGATCTAAGCAGTTCTTTTCCTATGAGAAGGATCATAATTGTGATTTTCTCCCACTTACAGGAAACACTCCTGATATTGATCTGCACACTGGATAATCTTGAACTTAAGTGCAATATCAATTGAGTCTTAGTGATCTTCTCACTTAAAGGCCTTATGCTTTGCCATTTCTTGCATGTGATTTTTTTATTTTAAATTTTAATTTTTTTATTTTTGTGGGTACATAGCAGGTGTATATATTTATGAGGTACATGAGATATTTTGATACAGGCATGCAATGCATAATAATCACATCAGGGTAAATGGAGTATCCATCCCTCAAGCATTTATTATTTGTTACAGAAATCCAATTACACTCTTTTATTTATTTTAAAATGTATAATTATTATTGACTATAGTCACCCTGTTGTGCTATCAAATACTGTCTTATTTATGCTTTCTAATTATTATATTTGTGCCCAGATATTACCCCCCATCTCCACCCACAACTACCCTACCTAGTCTCTGGTAACCATCAGTCTGCTCTCTATCACCATGAGCGTAATTGTTTTGATTTTTAGATTTCACAAATAAATGAGAACATGCACGTTTGTCTTTCTGTGCCTAGCTTATTTCACTTATAATGTCCTCCAGTTCCATCCATGTTGCTGCAAATGACAAGATCTCATTCTTTCTTATGGCTGAATAGTACTCCATTGCATATAAGTACCACATTTGCTTTATCCATACATCTATTGATGAACACTTAGGTTGTTTCCATTATCGCAGCTGTTGTGGACAGTGCTGCAGCAAGCATGGGAGTGCAGATATCTCTTTGAAATACTGATTTTCTTAATTTTGAGCATATATCCAGCAGTGGTGGCTCTGTTTTTAGTTTGTTGAGGAAACTCCTAACTGTTCTTCGTAGTGGTTGTACCTTATAACAAAGAGAGGACAAGGATTCTCTTTCCTCCACATTCTCGTGAGCATTAGTTATTGCCTGTCTTTTGGATATAAGTCATTTTAACTAGGGTGAGATTATATCTCATTGTAGTTTTGATTAGTAATTCTCTGATGCTCAGTAATGTTGAAAACCTTTTCATAGGCCTGCTTGCCATTTGTATTTCTACTTTTGAGAAATACCTATTCAAATCTTGTACCCATTTATCATTAAATTATTAAAATTTATCCTATAAAGTTGTTTGAGCTCCTTATGTATTCTGATTATTAATCCCTGTCAGATGAGTAGTTTACAAATATTTTCTCCCATTCTGTGGGTAGTCCCTTGACTTTATCGATTGTTTTCTTTGATGTGCAGAAAGCTTAGATGCTTTTTAATTTGATATGATCCCATTTTTCCAATTTTGCTTTGGTTGCCTGTGCTTTGGGGGCATTAATCAAGAAATTTTTTTTCCAAGTCAAAGGCCTGGAGCATTTTCCCAATGTTTTCTTGTAGTAGTTTTATAGTCTGAGGTATTAGATTTAAGTCACTAATCCATTTTGATTTTATTTTTATATATGATGAGAGATAGAGGTCTAGTTTCATTCTTCTGCATAAGATATACAATTTTTCCCAGCAAAATTTACTGAAGTGACTGTCTTTTCTCCAATGTATGTTTTTGGCAACTTTGTCAAAAATGAGTTCACTGGAGATGTATGGATTTATTTCTGTGTTCTCTATTATGTTCCATTGTCTCTGTGTGTCTGTTTTAATGCCAGTACCATGCTGTTTGTGGAGTATAGCTCTGTAGTATACTTTAAAGTCTGGTAATGTAATTCCTCCAGTTTTGTTCTTTTTGCTCAGGATAGGTTTGGCTATTCTTGGTCTTTTGTGGTTCATATAAATTTTAGCATTAATTTTTCTATTTCTGTGAAGCTAGTCATTGGTATTTTGATAGAGATGGCATTGAATATGTATATTGCTTTGAGTAGTATGGACATTTTAACAATTCTGGTTCTTCTGATCCATCAACATAAAATATCTTTCCATTTTTTGGTGTCCTGTTTAATTTCTTTCATCATTGTTTTATAGTTTTCATTATAGAGATTTTTCACTTCTTTGGTTAATTCCTAGGCATTTAATTTAGTTTGCAGCTATTATAAATGGGATTACTATTTTTTTCCAGATTGTTCACTTTTGGCATGTAAAAATGCAACTGATTTTTGTATGTTGATTTTGTAACCTGCAATTTTACTGAATTTTTTCATCAGTTCTAATAGTCTTTTTTTTGTGTGGAGACTTTAGATTTTTCTGAATATAAGATCATATCATCTGCCAACAAAGATAATTTTACTTCTTTCTTTCCAATTTGGATGACTTTTATATCTTTTTCTTGTCTGATTGCTCTAGGTAGGATTTCCATTACTATGTCAAATATCAGTGGTGAAAGTGGTCATCTTTGTTATGTTACAGATCTTGGAGGAACGGCTTCCAGTTTTTCCCCATCTAGTATGATACTAGCTGTGAGTCTATAACATATGGCTTTTATTATGTCGAGGTATGGTTCTTATACACCCAATGTTTTGCAGGTTTTTATCACAAAGGGATGTTGAATTTTATCAAATGCTTTTTTGGCATCAATTGAAATGATCATATGGTTTTTGTCCTTCATTCTGTTGATATGATGTACCATATCAATTGATTTGCATATGTTGAACCATCCTTGCATCCCTAGGATAAATCCCACTTGGTCATAATGAATAATCTTTTTAATGCATTGTTGAATTGGGTTTGCTAATATGTTGTTGAGAAGTTTTGCATCAATATTCCTTGGAGATATTGGCCTGTAGTTTCCTTTTTTTAATGTGTCTCTGTCTGGTTTTGGTATCAGGGTAACTGGCCTCATAGAAGGAATTTGGGAGTAATCCCTCCACCTCTGTTTTTTTGAATAGTTTAAGTAGGATTGTTATCAGTTCTTCTTTAAATGTTTGGTAGATTTCAACAGTGAAGTCATCACAACCTAGTGTTTTCTTTACTAGGAGAGATTTATTACAGCTTTTATCTCATTTCTTGTTATTGGCCTATTTGAGTTTGGGATTTCTTCATGGTTCTTGGTAGGTTGTATGTGTCTAGGAATTTATCCATTTCCTTTAGATTTTTCAATTTATTGGCCTGTAGTTGCTCATAGTAGCCACTAATGATTCTTTGGATATATGCAGTATCAGTTGTCATGTCTCCTTTTCCATCTCTGAGTTTTATTTATTTGGGTCTTTTCTCTTTTTTCTTTGTTAGTCTAGCTAAAGTTTTGTCAATTTTATTTAACTTTACAAAAAAAAAAGCTTCTTGTTTCAATGATATTTTGTTGTTTTCTTAAGTTGAAATTCATTTATTCCTTCTCTCTTTATTATTTTCTTTCTTTTTTTTTATTATACTTTACATTCTGGGATACATGTGCAAAACATGCAGGTTTGTTACACAGGTATACATGTGCCATGGTGGTTTGCTGCACACATCAACCCATCAACACATCATCTACATTAGCTGTTTCTCCTAATGCTATCCCTCCCTTAGCCCCCCACCCCCTGACAGGCCCCAGTGTGGGATGTTCCCCTCCCTGTGTCCATGTGTTCTCATTGTTCAACTCCCACTTATGAGTGAGAACATGTGGTATTTGGTTTTCTGATCCCGTGTTAGTTTGCTGAGAATGATGATTTCCACAAATTTTGGGTTTGGTTTGCTTTTGCTTTTCTAATTCTTTAAGATGCATCATTAGGTAATATATTGTATTTCTTTTCTTTTCTGATGTAGGCACTTGCTGCCTCACATAGGCTTTAGTATGCTGTATTTTCCTTATCATTTGTTTCATGAAATTTTTCAATGTCTTCTTAATTTCTTCATTGACCGACTGATCATTCAGGAACACATTGTTTAATTTCCACATGTTTGTATAGTTTCCAAAATTCCTCTTGTTATTGACTTCTAGTTTTATTCCATTGTTGTGAGAGAAGATGCTTGGTATTACTTCAATTTTTTTGAATGCATTAAGACTTGTTTTGTGACCTAACATACGCTCTATCCTTAAGAAGGATCCATGTACTAAGAAGAATGTGGATTCTGCAGCTGTTGAATGAAATGTTCTGTAAATATCTATTAGTCCCTTCATTCTAAGTCCAGTGTTTATTTTCTGTCTGGGAGTTCTGTTCAATGCTGAAAGTGGGGTGTTGTCTCTAGTTATTGTAGTATTGAGATCAATTCCTCTTTATAGCTCTAACAATATTTGCTTTATATATCTGGGTGATCCAGTGTTGGATATATATATATATATATATATATATATATATATATATATATATAAAATCATTATATCCTATTGCTTGACACCTTTATCATTATATGATGACCTATTTTGTCTCTTCTTATAGTTTTCGTCCTGAAATCTATTTTTTTAATATAATTATAGACATTCATGCTCTCTTTTTCATTTCCCTTGGCATGGATATCTTTTTCTATCCCTTTATTTTCAGTCTGTTTGTCTCTTTATAAGTGAAGTGTGTTTCTTGTAGACAACACATCATTGTATCTTGTTTTTTCATCCATTTAGCCACTGCATGACTTTTTATTGGAGAATTTAGTCCATTTACAGTGTTATTATTTATAAAGATTTATTCCTGCCATTTTGTTATTTGTTTTCTGGTTGTTTCATGTTCTTCTTTTCCTTTTTTCCTTACTTTATGTCTTCCTTTTTGTCAAGGTGATTTTTCTCTGGTGGTACTATTTGATTCCTCGCTTTGTGTTTTTATGTATCCCTTGTATGTTTTTGATTTGAGGTTAACATGAGGCTTGCAAATACTATCTTATAACCTATTATTCTAAACTGATGACAACACTGATTGCATAAAGAAACAAACATGTAATAGAAAACTCATAAAAATTCTATATTTAAATTTCATCCCCCTCACTTTTTAACTTTTTTCCTCATTAGGTCAGATTATACTGTCTATGTCTTGAAAAGTTGTTGAAGTTATTATTTTTGATTGGTTCATCATTTAAATTTTCTACTTAAGGTAAAAGTAGTTTACACGCCACAATTACAGTTTATAATATTCTGTGTTTTACTGTATGCTTACTATTACCATTGGGTTTTGTACCTTCAGATGACTTCTTGCTCATTAGCATCTTATTCTTTCACATCGAAGAACTCCCTTTAGCATTTTTTTGTAGGACAGGTCTGGTGAGGAAATCCTTCAGATTTTTTTTGTTTATGAAGGTCTTTATTTCTTCTTCAGGCTTGAAGGATATTTTTGCCTGATGTACTATTGATGATGTATGTATTTTTTTTCCTTCAGCAATTTAAATATATCATGCCACTCTCTCCTGTTATGTAAGATAACCATGAAAAGGCTGATACCAGATGTATTGAAGCTCCATCGTATGCTATTCATTTCTTTTTTCTTGCTGCTTTTAGAATACTTTCTTTGTCCTTAACCTTTGGAAGTTGGATTATTAAAGACTTTGAGGTAATTTCTTTTGGGTTAAATCTTCTTGGTGTTTTATTACCTTCTTGTACTTGAATGTTAATATCTTTCTCTAGGTTTTGGAAGTGCTCTGATATTATTCATTTGAATAATCTTTCTACACTTATCTCTTTCTCTACCCCCCTTTAAGGCCAATAACACTCAGATTTACCCTTTTGATGCCATTTTCTGGATTTTTATGTGTGTTTCATTTTTTTTCTCTTTTTGTCTTCTTTGATTCTGTGTTTTCAAATAACCTGTCTTCAAGCTCACTGATTCTTTCTTCTGCTTGATCAATCCTGCTATTAAGAGAATTTAATGAATTCTTCAGTATGTTAATTGCATTTTTTGCCACTGGAATTTCTGCTTTTTTAAAAATTATTTCAATCTCTTTGTTAAATTTACCTGATAGAACTCTGAATTCCTTCTCTGTGTTACCTTGAATTTATTTGAGTTTCCTCAAAACAGCTATTTTGAATTATCTGTCTAAAAAGTTACATGTCTCTGTTACACCAGTTAGTCTCTTGTGCCTTATTGGTTCATTGGATGAAGTCATGTTTTCCTGAATGATCTTGATGTTTGTAGATATTCATTGGTGTCTGAGCATTGTATAGTTACGAATTTATTGTAGTGTTCAGATTCTGGGCTGGTTGTGTTCATCCTTTTTGAGAAAGTTTTCCAGGTATTCAAAGGGACTTGGCCCCCAAGTCCAATAATGCTATGTTTTTTGCAGACTCATAGATATACTACCTTGGTGGCCTTAGATGAGATCTGGAAGAATTGCATTGATTACCAGGACAGACTCTTGTTCATTTCCCCTTATATTCTCCCAAAGAGTCAGTCTCTCTCTCTCTCTTTCTCTCTCTCTCTCTCTCCCCCCTAAGCCCACCTAGAGCTGGGAATGGGGTGACATAAGCACACCAGTGGCCAACACCACTGGGACTGTGCTGGGTCAGACCTGAAGCCAGCACAAAACTGAATCTCACCCAAGACCTGTAGCATAGCGCTAAGTCTCACCCAAGGCCTAGTATCTTTGGATAAAAGACTGTAACCACTATCTGCTACCACCTGTGTTTACTATCTGGCTACTACCTAGGCCCCTACAATTAGCAGGTAGCGAGGCCAGCCAGGTTTACATCATACCCTTCAGAGCAGTGAGTTCCCCCAGGACCAAGGCAGGTCCAGAAATGCTGTCTGGGAGTCAGGGATTAGCGTCAAAAATCTTAGAAATGTACTTGATATTCTATTCTACTGCAGCTAAGCTGGCACTCAAACCAGAATACAAAGCCCTGTCTGCTTTTGCCTCCCCTTTTTGCAGGCAGAGGAGCCTCTCTTTGTGGCCACAGCCACTACTGTCCCACAGAGGGTTTTACCAGGTCACCACTGTTGTTCACTTAAAGCCAAGGGCTCCCCATTCAGTGCAGTTGGCCCTCCTCTGGCCCATCGCAGGTCCAGAAATACTATCCAAGAGCCTAGGCCTGGACTTAAGGACCCCAAGGGCCTGCTTGTTGCCCTATCCACTGTGTTCAGGCTGGTACCTAAGGTGCAAGACAAAGTCCCCTTTACTTTTTCTTTTGCTTCTTTCAAACAGAAGGAGTCTTTCGGCATAGCCACCACAGCTGGGCATATGCTAGGTCACCCCTAAAGCCAGCACATCTCAGAGCCCAAGGCCCATGGCATAATACCTGGGTATCGCTGATGGTTATTAGGGGTCCAAGGGCTCTTTAGTCAGTAGGTGATGAATCCTGCTAGGACTTGGTCCTTCTCATCAAGGCACTGGTTTCTCTTTCGTTCCAGGATGTGTCTTGAAATGTCAGTGACCTTGGGCCTGGAATGGGGGCCTCATGACTTTGCCCAGTTTCCTATCTTATTGTGGCTGGGCTGCTATTCAAGGTGCAATACAAAATGGTTTTTACTCTTTGCTATCCTCTCCTAGAGCAGAAGGAAGTTGTCCCTATTTTTTTCTTTTATTCTTCTCTTTTCTTTTTTTTTTTTTGCTTCAGGCTGCACTGCCTGAGGTTGGGGGAGGAATAGCACAAGCACTCCTTTAGCCTCTCTGGCTGGTGACCTTCTAGGTCACGTGCTTCCTAGTCCACTGGCTCTAAGCCCGGCCCAGCACAAGAAGTTGACTAGGAATTGCAATCCTTACATTCTAGACTGCCTGTCAAGTTTACCTAGGACCCCAGAGCAGTTTGGCCTCTGGTACTGATGCCTGCAGAAACTCAAGGTCCAACCACAGGGGTGGATGATTACCATGTGGCTGGATCTGGTCCAAATGCTCCCTCAGTGCATGGACACTGGCTGGGCCCAACAATGCTTTGTTCTCTGCTATGACAGAGCAGCACTGATTTCGAGGTAAAGTCTACTAGTCGCTGTACTCTCCCTCCCTTGAGAGTGCATAGACTTTCTCTGTACCATACAGCCACTTCTAGAGGACAGTGGAGTGGTGGCATTGGCGATTCAAGACTGTCCCCTACCCTCTTCAATGCCTCTTTCAGTGATATAAAGTTAAAACCAGGTACTGTAATTGCTCATGTGATTTTTGGTTGTTGTGATGGTGGTATTCTGTGTGCAGATCATTGTTAAAATTTCATGTTTCTACTGGGAGACAAATGGTGTAGGCTTCTATTCTGCCATCTTGCTCTGCCCTTCAATGTGATTTCTTAATGAACTACAAGAGCCAAATGAGAGCATTTCTTAAATATTACCTACATTAAAATGTGAGCAAAATTCAACACAAAACTATAGTTTCTGGTGCATCCTATTCAATTTGGGGAAAGTATATTCAGATCTGTCACATTCTCATGAGACCAATTTCTGGATGCAAGACTTTTGAGCATATTCTGTTTCTGCAACCACGCATACTCTCTCGGATGAACCAAGCTGATTATTTGTAAAGCACAACAGGATAATATATTAGGAGCCAATGCTAAGTAAATAAATTGCTCAGTTGTGCATCCTTTTCAAGGATTCATAAACTTAGCCAAAAAAAATTGTGTTTCAGTCAGTGTTCTAGATGTTATAGTTATTGGTTGCTAGATCTAAGATTAAAAAAGATACTGTCCTCAAGGCTTGAATTTAATAAAACTAAGAATCAGAACTCAAGAATTAGAACAACTCTGACAACTCCAGATTCTAGAAAGAAGTTGGTTTCTCTGTCACTGTGGCTTGCTCTTTCTCTAGATTTGACCTGACATAGGATGAGATGAAATGTAAAACAAAGATAGATCCAAGAAGAGTTAGTGTTATTCTTCAGTGAAGAGCATTTATATTTGTCATTATCCCTTTTATTTGATGTAGAAGGATCATTTGAGATTAATTGTTATCAATCTCAGTGCCCCCAATTCATGGTGCCTCTTTTGAGAAAATATTTTCCATTTTAGTTCTTCTTTTGGTTATATATTGAGAAAAGGCCCCTTCAGAGAAGATGACAAAGATTGAGCATGCAAGTTAGAGAATGAAATTGAGGGAACAGCTGAAGTTTGCCAACATTTTTCTAAGAAATGTACAGATTGGAGAACTGCCTTCAACTTGTTCAGTAACTAACTGCTTTTGTGGGGGTATGCTGTGGTTATCATGCAATTTATTTTCCTTTTCAAAAAGATATCTAATCTGAACAGGTGGTAGAAATTGTCTCTGTTTAAAAGCTTTTTATAAAAAATGAGGTCAAACAAGAAAGATAACTACTGCATCAATCAAAACTCTATTGTTTACCATCTCCAATTTTCTCTTAGGCAGAAGGAAGAAAATAACTACAAGGTTGATAGATACTTCCAAAGATCCAAATCTCTAACACTTATTTCTGCTGCTTAAAATGCATTAATCTAACATTGTAACCCTGACCTTGTACAAGCCTTAACTCCTATGTAATATATCCATGTAACGAAACTGCACTTGTACCCTTTAAATTTATACAAATAGAAAAAGAAAAATGTAATTTTCAAATAAAATTACTATAACATGGTTTCAGTAGTAGGTTTACAGATTCTTTAATTTACGTTCAGTTCTAGAATTTCCTTTGCCATTAACCAATAATGCAAAATTGTTCACTTTTACATTCACTGTCTAGGAGCACATTGTATCTTCACATTTCCCATTTTCTAACTCACTCTACCCTAGAGGCATAATATAATTTGACCTGCAATTCCTAACACAGATCTTATTTTAGATATTCTTATCATCAGGAACATAAAGACTGAAACTCTGAGAAATGTTCTAATCATACTCTTTTTTAAAAAATATGGGTACATA
The DNA here is from genome assembly GCF_000001405.40 of Homo sapiens. Lineage (NCBI taxonomy): Eukaryota > Metazoa > Chordata > Mammalia > Primates > Hominidae > Homo > Homo sapiens. Next base: position 121,443,546 of record NC_000005.10, on the reverse strand, counting down.
GCAAGTATATATATGTGTATATATACACACACACACACACACACACATATATATATGGGGTACACGAGATATTTTGATACAGGCATACAAGACATAATAATGACACTAGGGTAAATGGGGTATCCAGCACTTCAAACATTTATTATTTATTTGTGATACAACAATCCATTACACTCTTTTAGTTATTTCTAAATTTACAACAAATCATCATTGACTGCAATCACCTTGTTGCATTATCAATTACCAGATCTTATATGTTTTAACTATGTTTATGTACCCATTAACAGTTCCCACTTCCCTCTACCCCGCTATACTTCCCAGCCTCTGATAACCATCATTCTACTCTCTATGTCCATGACTTCATTTGTTTAAATTTTTACCTCCCACAAATGAACTAGAACTTGCAATATTTGTCTTTCTGTGCCTGGCTTATTTTAGTTAACATAGTGACTTCCAGTTCTATCTATATTTTTGCAAATGACAGGTTCTTGTTCTCTTTTCTGGCTGAATAGTACTCTATTGTGTATATGTACCATATTTTTTTAATCCATTCATCTGTTAATAGACACTTAGGTTGCTTTCAAATCTTAGCTATTGTGAACAGTGCTCCAGCAAACATAGGAGTGCAGATATCTCTTGAATATACTAATTTCCTCTTTTTGGGGTATATATTCAGCAATGGGATTGCCAAATCATATGGTAGCTTTACTTTTAGTTTTTTGAGGAACCTCCAAACTGTTCTCCGTAATGGTTGTACTAATTTGCATTCCCACCAATGGTGCATGAGGGTTCCCTTTTCTCCATATCCTTGCCAGCATTTGTTGTTGCCTGTTTTTTAATATTAACAGGGTTGAGACACCTGATAGTAGTTTTAATCTGCATTTCTCTGATGCTCAATAATATTGAGCACCTTTCAACATGTCTAAGTGACATTTGTATGTCTTCTGAGAAATGTTTATTCAAATGTTTTGCCTATTGTTTGACTGGATTATTAGACTATTTCCTATAAAGCTGTTTGAATTCCTTATATTTTCTGGTTATTAATCCCTTGTAAAATAGGTAGTTTGCAAATATTTTCTCCCAACCTGTGGGTGGTTTCTTGACTTTGTTGATTGACTTATTTGCTGTCCAGAAGCTTTTTACCTTAGTGTGATCCCATTTGTCCATTTTTTCTTTGGTTGCTTTTGCTTTTGGGGTATTAATAAAAAAATCTCTGCCCAGACCAGTATCTTGGAGAGTTGTCCCAAAGTTTTCTTTTAGCAGTTCCATAGTTTGAGGTCTTAGATTTATGTCTTTAATTTATTTTGATTTGATTTTTATATATGGTGAGAGATAGGGGTCTAGTATCATTCTTCTGTATATGGATATCTAGTTTCCCCAGTACAATTTATGAAAAGGACTGCTCTTTCCTTAATACATGTTTTTGGCACATTTGTTGAAAATTAGTTCACTGAAAATGTATGGATTTATTATTATATTCTCTATTCTGTTCCATTGGTCTTTGTGTCTGTTTTTATGCCAGTACCATGCTGTTTTGGTTACAATTGCTCTGTAGTATAATTTGAAGTCAAGATACATTATTCCTCCAGTTTAGTTATTTTGCTGAAGGTGGCTTTAGCTATTATGAGTCTTTTGTAAGTCTATATAAATTTTAGGATTATTGATCATAATCTCTTGATGTTTGCACACTCAAAGGAAAGTTTTTCATTGAAGCAACAGAAGATTCTTTTCTCTCTCTCTCTTTATATATCTATGCAAAATATATAGATATAAAATATCTATATCTGTATTTATATAGATATAAATATTTTGAGATGGAGTGTCACTCTGTTGCCAAGGACGGAGTACAGTGATATGATTAAGACTCACTGAAGCCTCAACTTCTTGTGCTCAAGTGATCCTCTTACCTCAGCCTCCCAAGCAGCTGGGCCTATAGGTATGTGCCACCGTGCCCAGCTTATTTTTGTATTTTTTTTTATAGAGATGGGGTTTCACCATATTGCCCAGTCTGGCCTAGAATTCCTGGGCTCAAGTGATCAACCTGCCTCAACCTCTTAAAGTGCTGGGATTACAAGTGTGAGCCACCACATCTGGCCTATTTTATCAATATTGATGCTATATTGATTGTTTATGATAAGTTAGTTGCCATGCATTAGGGACAAAGCAAATGATCCAAGTGTGGTAAATATTATAGGTGATGTACAGATAGGTAGAAACTCAGGAAAATGGGTCTACACATTATAATTCTACAGAGAACCAGGGAGTTCTAGTTTGCATGGTGGTCTAGGCTATTCTTGCATTGCTATCAATAAATACCTGAAACTGGGTAATTTGTAAAGAATATAAGTTTAATTTTTGCACAGTTCTGCAAGCTGTACAGGAAGCATGGCACTGGCAGTTGCTTGGCTTCTGGGGAAGCCTCAGGGAGCTTTTATTCATGGCAAGAAGGCAAAGCAGGAGCAGACAGGTCACATGAGAAAGGCAAGAGCAAGCAAGTGTGGAGGTGCCACACACTTTTAAACAACCAGATTTCATAAGAACTCACTATTGGGAGGACAGTACCAAACCATGAAGAATCTGCCCCCATGATACAATCACCTCCCACCAGGCCCCACTTCCAACATTAGGGAATACATCTTAACATGACATTTAGAGGGGACACACATCTAAACTATATTACATGGATAGTATGGAAATTATCCCCAGTGATATTTATAAACACCATTCTCTCACATGCATGATCAAATATAGAACATAAAATTATTTATATAACATAAAATACTATTCTGTAAATTTCTTTAACTTTTTGCAACCTAACAAAAATACTAAATAATTTTCTAGAACATTCTTTATGGGTATGCAATTAATAATTTTCACTCAAAGTTATCTTTCTCTGAATTTAGAAATACAGTCCTGTCTTCTGGCTTTTATTTCTCATAGAAGCTATACTGTATTTGTTCTCCTTATATATACAACATAAAAAAGAACTTTGAAGATCCAGTGGTGCACTTATTATAATCTGGTACCTGTCTATTTGGTGCTGTTTCATTCTTTTTTTTTTTTTTTTGAGACAGAGTTTCGCTCTAGTCACCCAGGCTGGAGTGCAGTGGCGTGATCGCGGCTCACTGCAACCTCTGCCTCCCAGGTTTAAGTGATCCTCCTGCCTCAGTGTCCCGGGTTCAAGTGATCCTCCTGCCTCAACCTCCTAGGTAGCTGGGATTACAGGCGCCCACCACCACACCTGGCTAATTTTTTTCATTTTTAATAAAGATGAGGTTTCACCACGTTGGCCAGGCTGGTCACAAATCCTGACCTTAGTTAATCCACCTGCCTCAGCTTCCCAAAGTGCTGGGATTAGAGGCATGAGCCACCACGTCCGGCCATAATAGTCTCACAGTAAAGAAAAGTTGAGGACCTATTGGCTTCACTGCTGAATTCTACTAAGAAGAACTAATACCAGTCCTACTGAAACTATTCTGAAAAATTGAGAAGGAAAGAATACTTCCATACTTATTTTATGATGCCATTATTACCCTGACACCAAACCCAGAAAATGACACACACACACACAAACTACAGACCAATATATCTGATGACTATTGATGCAAAAATCCTCAGCATAATATTAGCAAACCAAATTCAACAATACATTAGATAAATCATTCATCATGACAAACTGAGATTTATCCCTGAGATTCAGGAATGATTCAACATATGCAAATCAATTAATGTGATACATCATATCAACAGAATAAAGGATAAATCATAGGATCATTTCAATTGATTCTGAAAAAGGATTTGATAAAATTCAGCATCCTTTCATGATAAAATTCTTCAAAGAACTGGGGATAGAATAAACCACCTTAACATAATAAAAGTCATTTATGACAGAACCACGCTAGTATACTGAATGGGGCAAAACTCAAAGCCTTTCTTCTGAGTTCTAGTACATGACAAAGATGCCCGTTGTCACGACTGTTTTTCAACATAGTATTAGAAATCCAATGAAGAGCAAACAGACAGGAGAAAGATATATAAAAGGCATCCAAATTGGAGGGGAAGAAGTCAAATTATCCTTGTTTGCAGATAATCTGATTATGTATTTGGAAAACCTAAAGACTCTATAGGAAAATTATTAGAACTGATAAACAAATTTAGAGACATTGCAGGATACAAAACCACCATAAAAAAATCAGTAGAATATCTGTATGCCAAAAGTGAACACTCTGAAAAGTAAATTCAAAAACTAATCCCATTTACAATAGCCACATCTAAAATTAAACATGTAGGAATTAACTAAACCAAAGAAGTGAAAGATCCCTATAATGAAAACTATAAAACGCTGATTAAAAACATTGAAGAGGACACCAAAAAAGAGGAAAGATATTTTATGTTCATGGATTGGAAGAATCAATATTTTTAAAATGTCTATACTACCCAAGGCAATTTACGGATTCAATGCAATCTCTGTCAAAATACCAATGACTTGCTTCATAGAAATAGAAGGAAATCCTACAATTTATGTGAACCACAAAAGACCCAGAATAGCCAAAGCTATCCTGAGCAAAAAGCACAAAACTGGAGGAATCACATTACCTGAATTCAAATTATGCTATATAGCTATAGTAACCAAAACAGCATGGTACTGGCATAAAAACAGACACAACCAATGGAACAGAAGAAAGCGCCCCAAAAGAAATCCATACATCTACAGTTAACTCATTTTCAACAACAGTGCCAAGCACATACACTGGGGAGAAGGTAGTCTGTTCACTAAATGGTGCTGGGAGAAGTGGATATCCATTTGCCAAAGAAAGAAACTAGACCCCTGTCTCTCACCATATACAAAAATCAAATTAAAATTGATCAAAGACTTAAATCTAGGACTTCAAACCATGAAACTTCTATAAGAAAACATTGGGAAAAATCTGTAGAACGTCAGTCTGGGCAAATATTTCTTGAGTAATATCCCACAAGCACAGGCAACCAAAGTAAAAATGGACAAATGAGATCACAAGTTAGAAAGCTTCTGCACAGCAAAGGATACCATCAATGAAATGAAGAGACCACTCACAGAATGGGAAAAAATATTTGCAAACTACCCATCTGACAAGGGATTAATCAGCAGAATATATAAGGAGCTCAAACAACTTTATAGGAAACAATCTAATAATCCGGTCAAACAATGGGCAAAAAGATTTGAATAAACATTTCTCAAAAGAAGACATACAAATGGCCAACAGGAATATGAAATGGTGCTCAATATCACTGAGCATCAGAGAAATGCAAATCAAAACTACAATGAGATATCATCTTACCCCAGGTAAAATGGCTTATATCCAAAAGAGAGGCAATAACATACATTGTTGGTGGCAATGCAAATTATTACAACCACTATGGGGAATAGTTTGGAGGTTTCTCAAAAAACTAAAAATAGAGCTACCATAAGATCCAGCAATCCCACCGCTGGGTATGTACCCAAAGGAAAGGTAATCAGTATATCAAAGAGATGTCTGCAGTACCATGTCTGTTGCAGAACTGTTTACGATAGCTAAGATTTAGAAGCAACGTAAGTGTCAATGGATGAATGGATAAAGAAAATGTTGTACATATACGCAATGGAGTACAATTCAGTCACAAAAAGAATGAGACACAGTCATTTTGAACAATGTGGATGGAACTGGAGATCATTATGTTAAGTGAAATAAGCCAGGCACAGAAAGATGAACATTGAATGTTCTCACATATGTGTAGTATCTGAAATTTAAAACAATTGAACCCATGGAGATAGAGAGTAGAAGTATGGTAACCAGAGTCTGGCAATGGTAGTGGGGGGCTACGGGAGGGAATAGGGAATGGTTAGTGGGCACAAAAAATAGTTAGAAAGAATGAATAAGGCCTACTCTTTGATAGCACAACAGGGTGACTATAGTCAATAATAACTTAATTGTACATTTTAAATTTCTTAAAAAGTGTAATAAGATTGCTTGTAACTCAAAAGACAAGTGCTTGAGGGGATTTATACCCAATTTTCCATGATGTGCTTATTTCACATTGCATGCCTGTATCAAAACATCTCGTGTACCCCATAAATATATATATCTACTATGTACACACAACAATTAAAAATAAAAATAAATTTTTTAAAATCGTCCTGAGAAAACTGGATAATTATATCCAGCAAAAAAATGAAACTGCACCTATATCTCTCAGCGTATACAAAAGTCAACTCAAGACGGATTGAAAACTTAAATGTAAACTAGAAACCATAAAACTGCTTGAAAAATAGGAAAACTCTTCAGGACACAGGTCTAGGCAAAGATATTAAGACCTCAAAAGTACAGACAACCATGCCTGTAATCCCAGCACTTTGGTAGCCCGAGGTGGGTGGATCATAAGATCAGGAGTTCAAGACCAGCCTGGCCAAAATGGTGAAACCCCGTCTCTACTAAAAATGCAACAACAACAACAACAACAACAACAACAACAGCCAGGCACGGTGGCAAGTGCCTGTAATCTCAGCTACTCAGGAGGCTGAGCCAGGAGAATCACTTAAACCCAGGCAGCAGAGGTTGCAGTGAGCTGAGATCATATGCCACTGCACTCTAGCCTGGGCGACAGAGTGAGACTGTCTCAAAAAAAAAAAAAAAAAAAAAAAGGAAAAAGAAAAAGAAACAACAACAACAACAACAAACAGACAAAACAAAAAATAGAATAATCAGACTATATTAAACTAAAATATTTCTGCATGGCAAAAGAAACACTCAATAAAGTGAAGAGACATCCTGTTGAATCAGAAAAAAATATTTGCAAATTATTTCTCTAACAGGGACTAATATTCAGAATATACAAGAAAGTCAAACATCTCAGTAGTAAAAACAAAAGAAAATAACAAAATAATCCCATTGAGAAATGAGCAAAGGACATGAATACATATTTTTCAAAAGTAGACATGCAAATGGCCAACAGTTATATAAAAAATGCTTAACATCACTAATCAGGGAAATGCCAATCAAACCCACAATGGCTATCATCTCACTGTGGTTAGAATGGTTATTATTAAAAAGATAGAAAATAACAGATGCTTAAAGATGTACAGGAAGGGTAACTCACATGTGTATCATGACCCTATTCATAGAAGTGAAGATATGGAATCAATCTAAGTGCCCATCAATAGATGAATGGATACATATGTGGCATATATACACAAGAGAATACTATTGGGCCATAAAAAGAATGAAATCATGTCATTTATAGCAACATGTGTACACTGGAGGTCATTATGTTAAGTGAAATACTCCAGGCACAGAAAGACAAATATGTGTTCTTACTTAAATGCGGGAGCTAAAAAGCTTGATCTCATGGATGTAGACAATCAAATGATGAATACCAGAGACTGGGAAGGATGAGCGTGGGAAGGGAGAAAATGAAGAGAGGTTGGTTATAGGTACAAATGCACACAGTTAGGTAGAACAAACAAATTCAATTTCTTTTTTTGTATTTGATCTTTATTTTTATTTTTTTAATTTTATTTTAAGTTCAGGAGTACATGTGTAGGTTTATTACATAGGAAAATGTGTGACATGGGGGTTTGCTGTGCAGATTATTTCATCATCCAGGTATTAAGTCTGGTAACCATTAGTTATTTTTCCTGATCCTCTCCCTCCTCCTGCTTCCATCCTTTGATAGGTCCCAGTGGGTGTTGTTACCCTCTATGTGTCCACATGTTCTCATTATTTAGCTCCCATTTATAAGTGAAAACATGTGGTATTTGGTTTTCTGTTCCTGCATTAGTTTGCTAAGGATAATGGCCTCCACCTCCATCTATATCCCTACAAAGGACACAATCTTGTAGGTTTTTTTAATGGCTGCATATTATTCCATGGTGTATATGTACCACATTTTCTTTATCCAGTGTATCATTGATAGGCACTTAGGTTGATTCCATGTCTTTGCTATTGTGAATAGTGCTGCAATGAACATATGTGTGCCTATAGCACACATATATAGTATATACACATATAGCACACACACTATATAGCAACAATATTATGCATATTTCAAAGTAACAAGAAAATAGGTCTTGAAATGATACCAACACATTAAAATGCTAAACACTAAGGTGATGAATACCTTAAATACCCTGACTTGATGATTACTCATTCTTTACATGTAATATACACTCACAGGTACCCCATAAATATGTAAATATGTATATATCAATAAAAGGGCAAATATTAAACATAACTCTACTAGCACTATAGTATTTAAATTGAGCATTGTTTTGAACAACTTTAACTCCGAAAATGCCCCAAATCCATGCAACACAGGATGCAGAAATATGGATGGAGGTAATTTACAGAGGCAGTTCTTCATTAGAGGATGATCGAATTAAATTACTAAGTTTAATATATAACTCAGTATAAATTAAAATTACTTTGGATTCATGTACCTAAACTAGACTCCAAAAAGAGGGGCAGTTCTGGTGTTTGGTGAGAGTCTGATTTCCGGCTTTTGGACACCTGCCTTCTAGCTGTATCAGAGAGGGAGAGTAAGAGGGAGAGTGCATTCTTTTTCCTGTCTTATCTCTTCTTATAAGAGCACTAATTCTATCATGAGGGCTTAAAACTTGTTACCTAATCACCTCCCCAGGACCATATCTAAATATCATTTTATTGGAGATTAGGGTTTAATATATGAATTTGGGAGGGGACATAAACATTCAGTCTATAGCACTTGAACATTTGGATACCATTTTATCTTATTTTATATAATTTGTCCTAAAACTATCTAAGTCTAAAATAGTATAGCTTCACTAAGTAATTTGTTTTTGATTCGCTCCTTTTATGTGATATTTAAAATTACCTCCTAATTTCCCAACTGGAGGAGATTTTGTCATTAATTACCTTGACCTTCTACAGAAAGATAAATATCTTTCTGTACTTGTTTTCTCATTAAAATGGACAGAATAGTCCTGTTTAGTGTAAGCTAATTAGTCTTGTACACGATTTTAAAAAATTACTTAGCAGTGCGATTTACTATCCAATAAATTATTTACCAATATACTCCCATCAGAAAATAATTTTAGAGATATTTTGTGGCAAGTGCGTTTCTGCACATCCTTTGTTGATTATGGTTAGTGATGGTGAATCCAATACAATTTTGAGTCCTTTCTCTACTTGTATAAAAAGGAAAAACCAAATTTCCCAATTCTTAAAATAATTCAATGTAAATTAAAACTACATAAGGCAAACTATTTAGGCACTTGCTATAATACTCTATGCTTTAGAATCAGGCCTAACTAAGATGAAAGGCCATATATTTTTTTTACAAATATATAATGATTGTACATATTTCTGGGGTACCTGTGATGCTTTAATATATGCACACAACATGTAATGATAAAATCATATTAATTAGGATATCTATATGGCAAATATTTATCATTCTTTGTGCTGGGAACACTCCAAATCTTTTTACCAGTACCTTTTTTAGTATTTTTGTCAAGCATCAATTTACAGAACATTTTTTTCTACAGTGTCAATATCAGATAAGGTATTTCGTTACCTAATTGTTAGTAGCTTCTTTTTGAATATGTCAGACGCTCTCAGATAATACAAATTTTTACAAATAACCTAAGCACTACATAATTATGGAGAAATACAATATGTTGCAACTTACTTTAAAATTAATATTGCCAATATAAAATAGAACAGCAGAACCATGATAAGCATTGAAGAAACTATGGAATAACAATCATTGATACTTCTAAAAAGTGTTCAGAAAATGGTACACAGACCAGAAAAAGCTTCCTATAAAATATGTGTCCAGGTTTGCAAGAACCGAGTGCAACATTGAAACATGAGAAGTTTATATATTAAGGAGATTATAGATAACAAGTGTTTAAAATTGTCTTAATGATCTCACTGAGTTGTTAATAAGATTAGTATTGAGGTGTTCAATTAACAGTTCTTTTTGCTTTGATATAGTCTGCCTGGCGAAACTTACAGTTAAGTTGCTAAAAGTACGCACATTTTAAAAACTCCTGAGCCATGTTTTTAGATGATTAAAAATAAATGGATTGGTAAAATATTGATAAGACCTTTTGGCTCACAAATATAACTATTTCCCCTATGTACGCTATTTTACCAACTCATGGAAAGCTTTCCAGTATTTTCAGGATTCCTCAAAGGAAATAGCTTTGAGAAAGAGAAAATTTTGAGAATGCTTTTAGCCCACACATATTTTTCACAACTGAAATTGATCGTCAAAGTTTTTGTGTTTTTTTAAATCAAGGTATTTCTGTAGTTCCATCTGTTAAATGTGTCCCTCTCTGTTGTCTACTTTTAAAAAAAATCATTCTTACCTCAGTAGGAAATTAGTAAGATTCATGTGTTGTAAACTATTTCTTTGTTTTTCTATTTTCTTCAGTCTCTCCTATTAGAATTATAATATGCCTCCATTAAAAAAATAAACTTGGCTATACTTGGCTATCTTCAAATCTAAACACATAATCACACACAATGTTATAAAACTTTTCTATGTAGGAGTATGGCATCAAAAATTCTAAAAATTCTTCAGGTGTTTTTCCAAATATAAGATCATGTTATCCACAAAAAGGATAATTTGTCTTGTTCCTTTCCAGTTTGGATGCACTTTATTTATTTCTCTTGTCTGACTGTTCTAGCTAGGATTTCCAGTAGTATGTTGAATAATAGTGGTGAAGGTGGGTATCCTTGTCATGTTCCAGATCTTAAAGAAAAGGTTTTCAGTTTTTCCCCATTCAGTTTAATACTAGCTGTAGGTCTGTCATATATGGCTTTCATTGTATCAAGATATGTTCCTTCTATACCTAGTTTTTTTGAGGGTTTTTATCATGAAGGGACATTGAATTTTATCAAATGCTTTTTCAGCATCGATTGAAATAATCATATGGTTTTTGTCTTTCTGTTGATATGTTGTATCAAATTGATTGATTTGCATATGTTGAACCATCTTTGCATCCATGGGATATATCTCACTTTGTCACGGCAAATGATCTGTTTAACGTGTTTTTGAGTTTTGCTGGCTAGTATTTTGTTGAAGACTTTTGCATCAATGTTCATGAGGAATATTGACCTGTAGTTTTCTTTATTTTATCTTATTTTATTTTATTTTTGAGGTGTCTCTGATTTTGGCATAAGGATGATACCAGCTTTGTAAAATGAGTTTAGAAGTATTTCCTCCTCTACTTTTTGGAATAGAGTAGAATTGCTATTAGATCATCTTTAAGTATTTAGTAAAATTCAGCAGTGAAGCCATCTGTCAGAATTTTCTGGAGTTGTTATTTATGAGAGTAACTTTGCTAATGCACCCACCTGGTCATTTTCTCCAGCTGTGTGTTGATTCTCCTCTGAGAATTATGAGGGATCTTGTATAGAACAATGAATATCAAAGTTGGCTCCAAATTTTTTTTCCTAACTGAGGTATTGTTCTTCCTAATCACTTTAACTCTCGCTGTTAAACTTTTACCTACTAGTTGTACTAGGCTTCCAAATACTTAATACCAAAATGTTTGAAAACTAAAGTATAGGATGTATATTGTATGACTCACCTGCTCATGTTTTAGAATACAAGCAGCAGGAACTGTTATCATTGTTATTAGATAATTAATTTGGGAAATATGTTTTATCAATAATTAGTGTAGCTTAAATATTAATATGTAGATATCACTATATACTTAATTTTACATTAAATATGAGAATCTTATTTCATTTTTTACATTCATAATATAGCTTGCAAATACTAATTATGAATTAAGTATACAACAGGGGCTATGAAAAGTGCTATATAATGTGGCTAGGATATTTTCTAATATATAGCCCTGTCAATATTGAATTGTTAAAGATAACATATGTTAGTTATCTGCCTAGCTTAGGTTAGTATCTAATGTAGGCTGTTTAGAATTCATATAAAATCTTAATGTAACTCTTATCTATGCATTTTAACATACGTTAAGTGCATTGGATTAGTGTCAAATCACTTGTTCTTTTCTTATTTATTTTCTCTTCTTCTCCCTTCAGTCATTAGACAGATATTTATCAAGTGCCTTTTATTTATTTACATAGAAAGTATCTAACATACAGTAAAAAATGAGACTATGCTAGATGTTAATTGTCTGAATTTAAAACACAAATTGCTTAAAATACATGCATAGGCTGGTTTACATGTAAACAGAAAAAAATACTATTTTGCTAGGGGGTTCTAATGTTAAAATTATATTATTTATATTCCAGAAAATAAGAGGATGGGGAGTTTCAAAAGTGTTATCTTCAACTAAAAATCATATAATCATCATCACGTCTAAGTGTTATTGATTGCTTACTATTTAATAGGAAGCAGGTTAAATTGAGTTAAATCATTAACATGTATATTTTTATTAAATGCTCATGACAACTCTGGGAGGCACATACTATAATACTCTTTGTTTTACCAGTGAAGAAGTGGAGGGTGTCTTAGTCTGCTTGTGTTGCTGTAAATACCTGGGGCTATATAATTTATAAAGGAAAGAGGTTTATTTTGTGCAAAGTCCTGCAGGCTGTACAAGAAGCATGGTGCTAGCATATGCTTCTGATAAAAGACTCAGGCTGCTTCCACTCATGGCAAAAGGAGAAGGGGAGCTGGCCTGTGCAGATCACGTGGCAAGAGGGGAAGCAACAGGGAGAGGAGATGCCAGGATCTTTCAACAACCAGTTCACATGGGAACTAAGAGTTAAAAGTCAGTCTCGTGAGAATGGCATCAAGCCATTCATAAGGGATCTGCCCCCACAATCCAAACACTTCTCACAAGGCCCGACCTGCAAAACTGGGGATCAAATTTCAACACGATACTTGGCTGAGCCAAACAAGTCATATCCAAACCATAGAAGAGGGAAAGATAGGAATGCCTTCCTGTATGAAACTGAAAAAATATTCTCTTATATGTATGTACACCTTTTCTTTATCCATTCATCTATTTATGGACATTTAGGTTGTTTCCATATCTTTGCTATTGTAAATAACATTGCCTTAAATTTGGGAGTGCAGCTATCTCTTTTAGATCCTTATTTCCATTCTTTTGGATATATATACCTAGAGGTGGGATTGCTGGATTATATGATAATACAATTTTTAATTTTTTTGAGAAAATTTTATAATGTTTTCATAGCAGTTGTACCATTTTACATTCCCACCAATAGTGCACAAGGGTTCCAACTTTTCCACATCTGTGCTAACATTTGCTTTTTTGAAGATAACCATTTTAACAAATGTGAGGTAATACCTCATTGTGGATTTAATTTGCATTTCCCCAATAATTAATAATGTTAAGTATCTTTTCATACACATGTTGGCAATTTGTATCCTGCCATATATGACAGCATGGATGAAATTGGAAGACATTATGCTAAGTGGAATAAGCCAGTCACAGAAGTACAAATACTGCATGATTCCACTTACATGAAGTATATAAAATAGAAACTCATAGAAAAAAAAATAGAATGTAGCTGCCAGGGGATAGGGAGAGGAGAAAACGGGAAGTTGCTGTTCCAAGGGTATAATGTTTCAGTTATACAAGATGAGTAATTTCTAGGGATCTGCTGCACAACTTGTGGCTAACAGTGCTGTATTGTACACTTAAGATTTTCCAGGAAGGTAAATCTAATGTTAAATGTTCTTTTCACCAAAAAAAAAAAAAAAAAAAAAATTAAACTGAAGATACATAGTTGAGTACCTTGTCTTGTTTTCCACATCATGTAAGGGAGGAGACATAGTGACTATTTAGTCAGTCTGAGACCAGGGCGTATGTTTTTGAGACCTCATTGTACTGCTTCAAGTTTCGGTTAATGAAGAAACTTATACTTCCTCATCCATTTATTTAAGTGCATTTCAGTTTGTCTAAATTGTTTCTTTGATGCTCTGCTGCTTATACTTTTAAAGGAAATATGTATTGCCTACCTTTAGGAGACACATATGTGTAACATTATAACTAGTGCTTGGTTGTTTTATCATAAAATCTCTTCAAATACCTCTGCCACTGCCCCTATAAGATTTGTAATTAAATAAAACATTTAGCTTCTAAAAAACTGGTTATTACTGCACAATTTTTAAAGGGACATTTTCCAAATTATTTAGGTAATCCCTGTTTTCTTTATGATCAGAGCACATCATCTTGGCTGGAGATCAGCTTTTTCTTTTCAACAAAGGAAGATAAATTTTTATCAAAAATGTCACAAATTACATTTTGTTTTTCTTCTTTTATTTTATTTTATTTTATTTTATTTTATTATTATTATACTTTAAGTTTTAGGGTACATGTGCTAAATGACGAGTTAATGGGTTCATCACACCAACATGGCACATGTATACATTTAGTTTTTCTAAAGTATGTGTGGTTTTAACTCTTTAAAATTTGATAGTTGATTCTTTTTAGCTTCTAGATTTTATATGGAAAAATCTCTTCTATCTTACCCCTCTCTTTTCTATGTTCTCATATACTCTTATTTTTTCTTTACTTTCAGAAAATAATTCTTGGTACCAGTACCATGCTATTTTTGTTACTGTAGCCTTGTAGTATAGTTTGAAGTCAGGTAGCAAGATGCCTCCAGCTTTATCCTTTTGGGTTAGGATTGTCTTGGCAATGCGGGCTCTTTTTTGGTTCCATATGAACTTTAAAGTAGTTTTTTCCAATTCTGTGAAGAAGTTATTGATAGCTTGATGGAGATGGCATTGAATCTATAAATTACCTTGGGCAGTATGGCCATTTTCACCGTGTTGATTCTTCCTATCCATGAACATGGAACGTTCTTCCATTTGTTTGTGTCCTCTTCTATTTCACTGAGCAGTGGTTTGTAGTTCTCCTTCAAGAGGTCCTTCACATCCCTTGTAAGTTGGATTCTTAGGTATTTTATTCTCTCAGAAGCAATTGTGAATGTGAGTTCACTCATGATTTGGCTCTCTGTTTGTCTGTTATTGGTGTATAAGAATGCTTGTTATTTTTGCACATTGATTTTATATCCTGAGACTTTGCTGAAGTTGCTTATCAGCTTAAGGAGATTTTGGGCTGAGATGATGGGGTTTTCTAGATATACAATCATGTCATCTGCAAACAGGGAAAATTTGACTTCCTGGTACCAAAAGAGAGATGTAGACCAATGGGACAGAACAGAGCACTCAGAAGTAATGCTGCATGTCTACAACTATCTGATCTTTGACAAACCTGACAAAAACAAGCAATGGGGAAAGGATTCCCTATTTAATAAATGGTGCTGGGAAAACTGGCTAGCCATATGTAGAAAGCTGAAACGGCATCCCTTCCTTACACCTTATACAAAAATTAATTCAGGATGGATTAAAGACTTACATGTTAGACCTAAAACCATAAAAACCCTAGAAGAAAACCTAGGCAATACCATTCAGGACATAGGCATGGGCAAGGACTTCATAATTAAAACACCAAAAGCAATGGCAACAAAAGCCAAAATTGACAAATGGGATCTAATTAAACTAAAGAGCTTCTGCACAGCAAAAGAAACTACCATCAGAGTAAAGAGGCAACCTACAGAATGGGAGAAAATTTTTGCAACCTACTCATCTGACAAAGGGCTAATATCCAGCAACTACAATGAACTCAAACAAATTTACAAGAAAAAAGCAAACAACCCCATCAACAAGTGGGTGAAGGATATGAACAGACACTTCTCAAAAGAAGACATTTATGCAGCCAAAAAACATGTGAAAACATGCTCATCATCACTGGCCATCAGAGAAATGCAAATCAAAAGCACAATGAGATACCATCTCACACCAGTTAGAATGGTGATCATTAAAAAGTTCAGGAAACAACAGGTACTGGAGAGGATGTGGAGAAATAGGAACACTTTCACACTGTTGGTGGGACTGTAAACTAGTTCAACCATTGTGGAAGTCAGTGTGGCGATTCCTCAGGGATCTAGAACTAGAAATACCATTTGACCCAGCCATCCCATTACTGGGTATATACCCAAAGGATTATAAATCATGCTGCTATAAAGACACATGCACACATATGTTTATTGTGGCACTGTTCACAATAGCAAAGACTTGGAACCAACCTAAATGTCCAACAATGATAGACTGGATTAAGAAAATGTGGCACATATACACCATAGAATACTATGCAGCCATAAAAAATGATGAGTTCATGTCTTTTGTAGGGACATGGATGAAGCTGGAAACCATCATTCTCAGCAAACTATCGCAAGGACAAAAAACCAAACACTGCATGTTCTCACTCATAGGTGGGAATTGAACAATGAGAACACATGGACACAGGAAGGGGAACATCACACTCTGGGGACTGTTGTGGGGTGGGGGCAGGGGGGAGGGATAGCATTAGGAGATATACCTAATGCTAAATGACGAGTTACTGGGTGCAGCACACCAACATGGCACATGTATACATACGTAACAAACCTGCACGTTGTGCACATGTACCCTAAAACTTAAAGTATAATAATAATAAAATTTAAAAAATAATAATAATAATAAAAAGAAAAGAAAATCCCATTTTCTGAGGAGAAATTCAAGTGAGCTGCATAAATTTGCATAAGC
Organism: Homo sapiens; assembly: GCF_000001405.40. Classification (NCBI taxonomy): domain Eukaryota; kingdom Metazoa; phylum Chordata; class Mammalia; order Primates; family Hominidae; genus Homo; species Homo sapiens. The sequence continues at coordinate 121,426,938 of NC_000005.10, read as the reverse complement.
AATGAGCAGCCAAATGTTAATCACCAAGACAATGGGGCAAATGTCTCCAGGACATGTCAGAGGCCTCTGGGCCTTTCCATCACAAGCCGGGAGGCCTGGAAGGAAATTATGGATTTGTGGGCCGAGCCCAAGGTTCCCATGCTGTGTGTAGTCTAGGGACTTGGTGCCCTGCATCTGAGCCACTCCAGCTGTGACTAAAAGCAGCCACGGTACAGCTTGGGCCATGGCTACAGAGGCCTTGGCAGCTTCCACGTGGTGTTGAGCCTGCTGATACATGGAAGTCAAGAATTTACATTTGGGAACCTCTGCCTAGATTTCAGAGGATGTATGGAAATGCCTGGATGCCTAGGCAGAAGTTTGCTGCAGGGGCGGGGCCTTCATGAAGAATCCCTGCTATGTCAGTGTGTAAGGGAAATGTGGGGTTGGAGCCTCCACACAGAGTCCCTACTGGGGCACTGCCTAGTGGAGCTGTGAAAAGAGTGCTACCGTCCTCCATGTGTGGTGGATCCACCAGCAGCTTGCACCATGCGCCTGGAAAGGCTGCAGACAATCAACACCAGCCCGTGAAAGCAACCAGGAGGGAGACTACACCCCACAAAGCCACAGGGGTGGAACTGCTCGAAAACATGAGAAACCACCTGTTACATCAGCATGACCTGGTTGTGAGACATGGAGTCAAAGAAAATCATTTTGGAGATTTAAGATTTGACTGCCCTGCTGGATTTTGGACTGGCATGGAACCTGTAGCCCCTTTGTTCTGGCCAGCTTATCCCATTTGGAATGGTTGTATTTACCCAATGCCTGTACTCACACTGTACCTAGGAAGTAACCAAGTTGCTTTTGATTTTACAGGCTCATAGGTGGAAAGAACTTGGCTTGTCTCAGATGAGACTTTCAACTGTGGACTTTTGAGTTAATGCTGAAATGCATTAAGACTTTGGGGGACTGTTAGGAAGGCATGATTGGTTTTGAAATGTGAGGACATGAGATTTGGGAGGGGCCAGTGGTGGAATGATATGGTTTGACTCTATCCCCAACCAAATCTCATCTTGAGTTCCCACGTGTTGTGGGAGGGATCCGGTGGGAGGTAATCGAATCATAGGGACAGGTCTTCCCCATGCTGTTCTTGTGATAGCGAAAAAGTCTCACAAGATCCGATGGTTTTATAAAGAGGAGTTTCCCTTCATAAGTTCTCTTCTCTTGTCTGCTGTCATGTGAGATGTGCCTTTTACCGTCGCCATGATTGTGAGTCCTCCCCAACCACGTGGAGCTGTATGTCCACTAAACCTCTTTCTTTTGTAAATTGCCCAGGCTTGGGCAAGTCTTTATCAGCAGCATGAAAATGGACTAATACAGTGTCTATTGAAAAAATTGTATTAAACTTTAGTTAAGTCTGGTAATTTAATTTGATTATTTAGGTAACTTAGGCTCTAATTGTCTGACCCATATGAATTCTTTCACAGGTTTTCACCTACTCATGTTCATTTTTCTTCTGTGTATGCGTAAATTAGATGTCTAATATTACCTTTGTGATAGAGGGTAAGTGGTGTTCTCTGATTCCTGAGGAGAGGTCTGGTCCTGTGCTTGTGGATAGATAAGCTGACCTTCTAATTGGAATGATGGCCACTAAGCTGTGACTGATGCCGCCTCTGGGTGAGGGTTGCAGAATGCTAAGACTAGAATAACTTTCTTTTTTCAGCAAAAACCCTCCCTTGTCCCCTGATGACTTGGCTGCATCTTAGCCATTTCATTTCTACAACATGTATGCCCTCAGGCAAGCATGCCAGACTACAGTCTTCCCCTCAGGGGCAGCTGGTGTCTGGTGAGAGCGTAATTCCTGGCATGTTAAATGTGAAGCAAGCAACCTCTGAACTTTTACAATTAAAAAAAGTATGTGCATTTAAAAAAAATATGTTTTTATGAAAAAATATATTTCAGCAATATTAAGATGTATAAATGTTTCTGAAGGACCATTATTTCAAGCAACTAAGTTTTTCTGTTTTATTATTAAATGTACTTACAAAGGTAACATGAATTAGAGAGTAAGGAAATTACGTTATTTGGACAATTAAATTTAAAAACTTGTTGGGAACATCCAGTTCTTTTGTAAAATTAAGATTGTCTCTTTTTTTTTCAGTTTGCATTGGAAAGCACTAGAATGTAATAATTTAGAACACTCTTTCTTCCTCGATTAAAATCCTGATGATTTCATTTAGTAGCTGTGCGATACTGAGAATGTTACCTAAACTCTCTCACCTTAGCTTCCTTGCCAAAATAAAGAGCATAATGACAGCTCATATCTCATAGGGTAATTTAGAAGAAAGAAAAATAATATCTTACAATATTAATTGGCACTTAATAACACTCAATAAATTGGTGCTTAATAACACTTTATAACACTCAATAAATATAAATATTAAAATTATAGTGTTCACTTCCATATTACTGACATTGTATTGAATCTAGTTTCTAATCTTCAAAATTAACCTTTATGAATAAATTATGTTGATTATTCTATAATAAATTGTTACTAATATTTTTATTTATATTAGTGGTTTTATGTGTCATTTCTCTTATCAGGCAAAAATTTTTTTGAAAATAAGTCAATGTAAAATAATAATAAATCTCTGAAAGTATTTTATCTCAGTCCATACTTTCCATCTTATGATATATCCATAAAAATATAAGGTTCTAATTCAGTTCATGCCTTGCCAAAAGCCTGAAAGGAGAAAAATGGAAAATGAAATATATAGTTTTAACTATGCCCATTTCAATCTATCTTCATTACCACCCCTACTGTCCTAGTTTAGTACCAGGCTCTCTTGCTAGTGCCAGTGCCATCATTTTCTAAGTGTCTATCTTTACCCATGCTAACCTCTCTTCCAAACTGTCCTGCACATTTCAGTCACAGTGATTGATTTAAAAGAGCAATTTTGGTCTTGTTTGTTTCCTGCTTTGAATCCTTATAGGGATTTATGTTACCTTGAATGTAGACAAAGCTTCTTAATATGAATGAATGAGTCCTACATGGTTTGTTCTCTCTCGAGCTTTTTAGCCTCACATTGCATGCCCTCTTTTATAGTCACACTGGTCTATCAATCCTTCATTATTTCAGTACCCTTTCTTGGCACTGATACTTTATAATAGCTGTTCTATTCTTCCTTCTCTCCTCTTTCCCTATTTAACTCTTTTTAAACTCTTATTCATCCTTTGGCTATTAGCCTATCATTTTTGAAATGAATTTTTGTCTGACCTACATAGCTGGATTAAATTTTCTACTTTTAACACTATAAACTCCTTACTTTGGAAAACTTTACACCAATGCCATGTCTTTTCATAATTCCCATTGTGAACCATGCATCTATCAATAAGGAAAACTATAGTCAATGGTCAATTACCAGTCCTCACCTTATTCAAATTCTTTGTACTATTTGACACTATCTTCTTGAAATAATAACCTTGTAATTCAAGACATCACATTCTCCTGAATTCCTGTCTCAAGAGTTTCTTCTCAGACTCATTTGCTAAATTTTCAAACTCAAACCCCTAAAATTTAAACCTCTAATATTTAGTATTCATCCAATGTATTTTATCTGTTCACTACCTAAGGAATTTATAACTTTTAAAGTTCTAAAGGGACACACACACACAGACACACACACATACATACACACACACGTTATTGTGTATATATGGGTATGGAGCTAGGGATATACATATACGCACACACACACGTATATATACATACACATATATAGATATAGATATAGATATAGATAGCACTCAAATGTATATCCTTAGCTCCATCCTCAAAGCTGAGTTTGAGCGTTACCCATTGCCTATGCAATATCTCCTCTTGAACAACTCATATCATTTCAAACTTTACAAACCAAAACTGAAACCCCAATCTTCCAAAAATAAATATACCCTAGTTTCCCACAACATCATTCTTAGAATATTTTAAATAAATATTTGGAAATTCGCTGCGACTTCTCCCTTTCTCTTAAGCTCACTTCCAGTCTATTCATAACTTCAGCTAGGATGCTTTAACTAGTAAGGATAAGCCAAATCTAACCATTTCACCCACCTCCACTAGTACCATCCTTGTCTAAGTCAACATAAGATCTTGCTTAGTATATTAGAATAGTATCCTAAGAACTCTTCCTGTATCTTATATTGCCTCTTTCAGTCTATCATCAACAAAACAGCTAAGGAAATATTTTCTGAAACATCAAGCCACATTATATCACCCTCTAATGGCTTCTCCTCATAGTTAGAATAAAGTGCCATGTTATTGCTGTGACCTAAAAGTTCCTGCATGCTCTGTCCCCTAAATCTATCTAGGCTCATTTCCTAAATCTCTATTTTTATCACCCTTAATAATTTTGCTCTGGCACATTGGAATTTTTGCTGATCTCAGTACAAAACAGCAGACTCCTTTTAGGTTTTTTCACTTTCTCTTTTCTCTATATAATATTACCTATATAATATTATCTTTCCTCAAATAGTTAAGTTGATCAGGTTGCTCTTAATACTACCTCCACAAAGAGAAACTCATAACCATTCTGTCTAAATGCTCTCCTTTTTATTGCCCATTTTCATGTCCTTCTTTACTTTTAATTACTCGATGTTACCTACCTATAAAAATAGCATTATATATATATATGTATATTTGGGCTGTTTTGGTTCATGCACCCATACTAAAATGTAAATTTTATGAGGACTTATTTAACTAAGTTATCTTTAGTACCTTGAAGAGTACCAGACATTTAGTAAGTTCTCAATAAATGTATATTGAATAAATAAATTGTAAGTGTTCGAAAGATACTTGGTGAATAAATAAATATATTTTAAAATGCATGCATTTTTTTCCAGATATGTAGGCATAGTTTGTGTCAGTCTTCATAGTCTACCACTGAAAAATCTGGATGTAATTTTATAAATAGCACATGAATATATAGGAGAAATACCAAAGCACTGAGAACAGGGTCCAAGATCTAGGAAAGATATTAAGTTTAGAATTGAGTACAACATTCTGAGTACATTTTTACTTTGAAGTGAAATGATTTCTAAGCTGAAATAGCCGGTCTAGAAGCCAAGTAGCTTAAATTATGTGAGAAAATAAAAGATGAAGAAGCACAGAGGAAATGAATAGGGAAGCAGAGAAGCTGAGTAAAAATTGGTGACTAAGACATCGATAGGCTGAGTAGAGCTGTAGACAATTTCGTGAACCTAGGAGTGAAGAGCATCCAAGGCAGATTAGCCAAGACAAACACCCCAGACTGTCCATTGTGATTCAGGAAGGGCTATTCATATGAGTTAATATTATCCAATAATAGCCCAGCTTAACAAACACAAAATCTTTGCATCAGATTAACATAATGCAGGACTGAATCAAAACTATCTGCTTCTACTTTATATTTATGCTAAGAGCAAAAGAATGATCCTCTCTGGAATCAGACAGTATCATCTAGAGTTTCAAATGATCCCTACAATTTTTATAATGTCTGACATTCAATAAAAACTTGACATTTTTGAACTCAAGAGTAAGTACCTGAAAAAAAATAGCGAAAAAAGAAACAATAAAAACAGACTCACAGGAAATCTATTCATTTTAAGTTTTAGAAATGTACTTAAATGTACTCATAAAAAATAGAAGACAAGATAGAGAATTCCAAAGAGGGTTATAACCTATAAAAGTTATCAAATAGAAGTATTGAATAAAAACACAATAAATAAAAATTTAGAATACAAAAGGAGTTTTGCAGAAGATTAAATAAAGCTGAAGACAAAGGATTGTACTGGAAGATCATCCAGTATAAAATTTCTGTACTATATTACAGAGGTCAAATAATGTTAAGTATAGCTTTAATAATATATATGACACAGTTAAAGGGTTTAGTAGGTGTATAATTGGGATACTAAAGGGAGATGACATAGATAATGAGACAGACACAATAAATAAAGGAACAGTAACTAAGATTATTCCAAAACTGTTGAAATATATCACCCCATAAATTCAGGAAATGTCATGAATCCCAAGTAGGATAAACACAAAGTAATCACTCAGAACCACATTATTATAAAACAGCTGACAACCACACACAATGAGTAAAAATAAATATGGCAGCTGAACTCTCAAAAGAAATAATGAATGTCTATTTAGAATTCTATGCCTATCAAAATATGATATCCAAAAATAAAGATAAGGATAACTTCAGACAAAATCTGAGAACATTTATCAATAAATGTTCCAACTTGGGAAAATTCTAAATAAGTCTTTAAGCAGAATGAATATGATACCATTTTAAAATCCAAATGCAAGAAAAAATAAGAAGTGACAGGAGGATAATCTAATTGAACATTGTTCAAAGTAATACTAATATCTTAGCTTAAATTTGGTATTATTAAAATGCATAGGAACAACAATAAAACAGGCAATAAGGAGGTAAGTAGAGTTAACATATCAAAGCTGCAAAACATTTCAAATATTTTAGATCTATTAAATTATGAATACAAATTATAATTTTTAGGATATGCCTTACATAAATAGTTAAAATAAAAGTATATCAAAAGATGTAATAGTGAAAAGTACTTAATTTGAAAGGAGGCAAAAAGAAATAGAAACACAGAAATATAGAGAAACTGGATAAATAGAACATGACTAGTTGGCAGATTTAAACTACAAAATATATCTCTTCTCGGTCTTTTGGCTAAGATCAAGTGTAAACTACCAAATATAGTAAAGATGATAAATCCGAACAGACAATTCCAGATAAAAGATAAAGACTTTCATGGGATAAAAATACAAAAATTAAAAGTTATATGAAGCCCACAAAACGCATTTTAAACATAAAGTAAAAATAGATTTTTGAGACAAGATACAGTGCTAGAGATAGAGAGGCAAATTTCACATAACAAACACTTTGGCTAGAAAACAAAACAATTCAAATTTCATGTATCTAATAACATATCCTGACAATATTTAAAGCAAAGATGGGGCCGGGCGCGGTGGCTCACGCCTGTAATCCCAGCACTTTGGGAGGCCGAGGCGGGTGGATCATGAGGTCAGGAGATCGAGACCATCCTGGCTAACAAGGTGAAACCCCGTCTCTACTAAAAATACAAAAAATTAGCCGGGCGCGGTGGCGGGCGCCTGTAGTCCCAGCTACTCGGGAGGCTGAGGCAGGAGAATGGCGTGAACCCGGGAAGCGGAGCTTGCAGTGAGCCGAGATTGCGCCACTGCAGTCCGCAGTCCGGCCTGGGCAACAGAGCGAGACTCCGTCTCAAAAAAAAAAAAAAAAAAAAAAAAAAAAAAGCAAAGATGGACATATAACTAAAAGAGAAATTAGCTAATTCAATACCATAGTGTAAAATTTTACCAAATTTTTCTCAGTAAATAATAGAAAAGCAGACCAAAAATTATAGAGGACGATGAATAATTCAAACAATACAAATGACATATGGACATAAGTGTCATACATAGAACACACAATACTGCAGAATTCCCGTTTTGACATATACACGGACATTTGTCAAATGTGATCATGTGCTTGGCTAGACAGCATGTCACACAATGGTCACAAGGTGAAATTATACAGTCATATCTGTGACAACAATAGAAAAATGCTAGAAATCAACGATAAAGATAACTATAGTATTCTGAGTATGGACAATAATTGTGGCCAAATGATTTTGATGTGTGCTAATTTTTCTAGGAGATAGAGAACATCACACATTTATATAACTTGTAAGTAGAGAAAAAGCATTCCAACAAAATTTTCATGTCCACCACATAATGTCCAAGTTTTCAGATGTAGAGGGAGAAGAATGGGAGCTAAAACTCACAACAATTGAACTCACAGACATAGAGAGTAGAAGGATGGTTATCAGAAGCAGGGAAGGGTAGTGGGGGACACAGGAATGGTTAAAGGAGTACAGAAAAACAGTTAGAAAGAATGCATATAAACTGCTATTTCATAGCACAACAGGGTGACTATAGTCAATAATAGCTTAATTGTATTTTTATTTATTTTTTGAGACATAGTCTTGCTTTGTCACCCAGGCTGGCGTGCAGTGGTGCAATCTCAGCTCACTGCAACCTCTGCCTCCTGGGTTCAAGTGATTCTCCTGCCTTAGCCTCCTGAGTAGCTGGGACTACAGGGGCATGCCACCATGCCCAGCTAACTTTTGTATTTTTAGTAGAGATGGGGTTTCACCATGTTGGCGAGCCTGGTCTTGAACTCCTGACCTCAAATGACCTGGCCACCTTGGCCTCCCAAAGTGCTGGGAATACAGGCATCAGCCACTGTGCCCAGCTATTATTGTACATTTTAAAATAACTTAAAGAGTGTAATTGGATTGTTTGTAACTCAAAGGATAAATGCTTGAGAAGAGGGATACCCCATTCTCCATGATGTGTTTATTTCACATTGCATGGGTATAAAAAGCATCTCATGTGCCCCATAAATATATACACTGATATGGTTTGGCTGTGTCCCCACCAAAATCTCATCTTGAATCGTTGCTCCAACAATTCCCACGTGTTGTGGGAGGGACTTGGTGGGAGGTAATTGAACCATTGGAGCGGGTCTTTCCTTTGCTGTTCTCCTGATAGTAAGTCTCACGAGATCAGATGGTTTTACAAAGGGGACTTCCCTGCACAAGTTTTGTTATTCTCTCTTGTCTGCTGGCATGTAAGACATGCCTTTTGCCTTCTGCCATGAGTGCAAGGCCTCCCCAGCCATGTGGAACTGTGAGTTCATTAAACCTCTTTTTTTTTTTTTAATAAATTACACAGTATCGGGTATGTCTTCATCAGTAGCATGAAAAAGCACTAATACATACACCTACCATGTACCCACAAAAATTAAGAATTTAAAAATTTAAAAAGAAAGGTTTACAAAATAAAACAAAAAAGAGAGACTCTGTAAAAAGGATGGAAAGTAGCAGAGGTCTCTGAAAAAAGCATCTACAAAATTACCAGAATAAAGAGAAAGAGAAACAGTAAGTGTTAGACTATTGAATACTGATAAGGACTTGTAAGTCACAGCACTGGCAACGAAGAAGAGGCTGGAAAATCTGCAGGACTAGAAGTGCAAGACTCAAAGAAGAATCATTGCTGAAAAAGAATCAGATGTATAGAAAAGGGGTGATACTCCCTGGAGACAAGGCAGTGAAGAGAAAGAAAGCAGAACCATCTGTGAAGGTTACTGAGCAAAAGAGGAGAAAACTGATAGAAGAGGACATTCTTAAATTGGGAATCCTGTATATGAATTAAAAATAGCAAAATACATGTAAAACTATTTTAAACCATCGGAAAATATAAACAAAAGACTTTCCGATTATGAAAGTTATTTTTCCAAAAAACAATGCAAAGCTGAATAACATTACACGTATCAGTTGAAACTGAATTGAATATTCTCAACTATGAACTTACAAAAATGGAAAATATCTTCTATCAAAATGATTAAAACCAAGAAGAGCATATTCTCCAATAGGAAGAAATAAACTAAAAGTTGACTGAACTCAGGAATGAAATCATGGAGAAGGAGGAGCTGAATAGTCTACGAAGAAAGTCCTGGGCTCACCCTGAGCTTTGCATGCATAAAACTGGCCCAGAGCAGTCTACTAACGGCTTTATGAACAAAGGTAGAGTCCCACCCAGAACAATAATGGATTTTGGGTAGCACATACATGGGACACACCTGAATAGTGCAGCAAAAACTTTTAAAATTAAACTATCATTAGAGCCAAAGCCCACAGAAGACTGGACTTAACTGGGTTTATTCCCTGACAAAACAAAAAACAACATTCTCCATAGGATCTCAAAAGGACTAAACTGTAAACATCATATTCACAATGTTCAAGTTGTAATCCAAAATTATTTGTAATACAGTAAAGCAGGAAAATCTCAATAACTTTAAAGGGAAAAGACAATCAGCAGATTTCAAACCTAAGATGACTCTGATATTGTTAGAATTGCCAGATTTTGAAGCAGATATCCTGAACATAATGCATGACGTAAGGGAAATCATGATATGAAAATTTTGACTTATCAAAAGAAAAATAGGTATTATAAAAAAATTAGAAAATTTCAACTGAAAAACAACTGAATTTTTAAAAAAATGTCATTGAATGGGCTCAAGAGTAAAATGGAGGAGACTGAGAAAAGTGAACTTGAAGATAAATCAATAGAAATGATCCAATCTGAAGAACAGAGAGAAAGATTTAAAAAAATGAACTGAGCCTCGCGGAACTCAAAGACAATGTCAAAAAGTCCAACTTTTGTATCATTGGTGTCCTATAGGATACAGGAAAGATATTAATGCATGCAAATATTTGAAGGTATTATACTGGAAGAGAATTTTCCAAGTCTCTATGATTTTTCTCCTCATTTTGTGAGCATAGATAGACACTGATAATCTTTGCTCTGGGTTAAATTTTAAAGGATATTGTATACTGGGCAACCTTGGAAGACAGAGATGGTGTCTGCCTCTAGAGCAGAGAGGAGTTTGTCTCTGCTCAGTATAATAAACCCATTTCATCTGGTAGTTTCCTAAACTCAAGACTCCTTAGCTTGTTGCAACTTTACTACCCTCACAGCCTCCACTTGGGCTGCTCCTCATTACCCCTGTGAGATTTGGGGCCAAGTGTAATTGATGTGAACATAAAGCTTATGCTGCTTGTTGTACCATAAGTAAGAAAGTTCTTTTTCTGACCCAGGCATCTAAGGTCTTCTGCCAGCACACATGAAACTACAGCCAAGTTCTCTTGTAATTTTGCAAGTAGGGTAAAATATCTGACCCTTCATAGTTCCTGACAGATTTTGGAGATGAGGATTGGATGCTGAGAGAGATGTGGTTTTGTAGAAGGATAGGGCAAGAGCCCCCTTGGGTCAGGTTACAGAATGTGAGAAGACTGGTAGTGAATGTTCTTGTCTAAGCAGTGGACAAGGAGGGGAGGTAAGGGAATTCTACTGTCTTACCTGTTAATAAATATTTAGAGACTGATCACGTGGTAAGGTTGAAACAAGCAACCCAAATAATGCTTTGGCTTTTACTCTCCTCTGTGTGAGAAGAAGAAAAGATATGATTATGATAATGAGGTGGCAAGTCCCATGGCTCCAGCTGAATTGCCATGTGGAGGTAGCTTCTTAGTTAAGGAGTCCCCAGTGATTATGTAAATGGTGTCAACAATGACAATATAGAGCTTTGAGAGGATAAAAAGTATTAGAATTTCAAATTGGTTGAGCTAAAATCAACCAGTGGGCCATTAACAATTCAGACAATATGTATCTTCCCACTCTTCTCTCTAAAGGGGACTGACAACCATGTATGCTCATCTGAGTATTCTGGGGAAAATTAGATGGAGGAGGGCTTCAGATTTCTATTGCTTTCTTGGAAACATTTGGTTAATTCACCATCCTTAGTTCCAGATTCAGCTGGGGATGTGGCATTCAATTTCAGCTTAAGGGCATTTGGGCAGAGTTCACAGCATGAAACGGAAGCCAATGCATTCTTGTGGGTGTGGTCCTTTGGCTAATTCAGTGTACTGCTCTTATTGATTTTATATATGAGTAAATAATAATTGATGTTTATAAACTGGTACTTTACCATGCTATAAGTTCCAGAGGGAATTTAGAGGGATTCAAAAGAGCTGCAGGTATACAAGTTCTAGTGGAACAAACTTTCCTGTCATTTTCTACATGTGGGTGAGTAAGAATTTATTACAAGTGGTTCTGCCCTGTGATTTCCAAAGCTTTCCTAAATGGCTGATGTCTTGTGAATTGACATATCAGATGCCTCAGCCTCTACTTCTCTGACTGTGATGTTATTACATCTCTGCCATCAGGGTGTCTGATAACTCTAAGAAAACAAATGGGCCTGATCTCCAAGTAAACTTTCTTGGGACCATATGGGGAATTCACAAAGTTTGAACTCTCTAGCAGTCAAGGCAAAACTGCTCTCTCTTCATGCTTCAACAGTCAAAAAAGAAAGCTCAACACCTCACTGGACCATTTGCTAGAGACAGTATGTGCCTCACTTGGACATTTTACTTGGTCCTTTATATCAGCTAACCCATATATCAGTATCCTTTAAGTTGTGCATAAACCAACAAGCTGCATAGGAAACTCTCCAGGAAGCCATGACTTACTTTTTAGCTTTAGGTACCACAATCCTAATGTCAGCTTTGAGCTGCAAATCTGTTAATGATTTTGACTGATGATTTTGCCAACTGGATTCTCTGGCAAAGAGATGCAGACTCTACCTAGGAATTCCCCTTAGGAGTTTTTACTCCTCGCTTCTCTGACTTGCACACAAAGTCTAACTTCGGAAAAGCAATTGTAGCTGGCTGTTTGCTTTTCACAACTAAATACCTGACCCAGAGATGCTTTTTTTCTCTCTATTATTATATTCCCATTTTGGGGTTGCTCAACTTAGACTTGATGGATAACAAGGAGAGAAGAACCTCACTTGACAAATGGAAGTAGTATATTAAGAAACTCATTGGCCTGGCTCAGAAACATCTCGTCTGTACATGGTAAAGTGGAAGCTGTTCCTCGGTGTGAATATTATTTCTCATTCTACTGCATTAAACAAAGTTAGGGCTCACTAGGTCCATGATTCGCAAAGATTCCTCCTAATGTCTATGCTGGGTTCACTGATGTTTCAGCTAAGCAGAAACAAAATGGTACCTACTGAACTACGATGCCTCTTCAGCCTCTGCATCAGCTCTGTAAGAACCAAAAATAGATGTGGTCGTGCCTTCCCACTGAGCAGAACTCAAGGTCATTCTGATAACTATGACCAATGCTCCCTTGTAAGAAACTGTTATATGTCTGTTATCTCTTGGGCTGTTGTCAATAGCCTAGTGATTGAACTGCCACTTGGAAAACCATAGCCTGGCATATTAAAGATCCCTTTCTTTGAAATAACAAACTGGAAACAAATCACAGTTAATGATGGAGACTTTTGGGTCTCTTATGTAGGTGCTCACTCCAGAGCATAGCCAGTCTACAACAGATTAGACCTAGAAAATTTAACACTTACCTATACTCACGTGATAATTTTGTGAAGGATTTTACTTCCAATCTCAACAAAATGGAGGATGGGGAAAGAGAAAGAGAAGTCCATAAGGTAAATAATTAACAATTTGTAAATCTTGAAAATATAAATTAGACACTCTTAGGTAACATCTGCATTTTCCAGTGAAAGTGACATTGACACTAATTTGTGTGTTATATTTCTAAGAAATTTTCTTTATTTCAAGATCCAAATGACTACTGTAATAACAAGAGCAGTTAAGTAGTTATTTGTTTTGTACTCTTTCAAATTGTGCATATTTTTATTTGACTGAATTGTTCTGGTGATTTTAATTTTAATGTTGTAAGGTTTTTTTTTTTAATGGAAAGATTTTTTTTCTTGAGGCTGGGAAAAGAGGTATTTGCTTTGCAGCATTCAAATATTTTTGACTATACAGAAAAATAATAATCTAAACGTACTCAACACAGAATGTAAAGTTTTAGTAAAATTAAAGTAAGACTTTTCAATATCACAGTTCCAGTCACAACAAGTGTGTTTATTTACAATGAAAATGTTATTAAAATGGCGTGCTGTATATAATATTATATGAGAACTTTTTTTTTTTTTTTGAGACGGGGGTCTCGCTCTGTTCCCCAGGCTGGAGTGCAGTGACACGATCTCGGCTCACTGCAAGCTCCGCCTCCTGGGTTCATGCCATTCTCCTGCCTCAGCCTCAGGAGGAGCTGGAACTACAGGCGCCTGCCACCACACCCGGCTAATTTTTTATATTTTTAGTAGAGACGGGGTTTCACCATGTTAGCCAGGATGGTCTTGATCTCCTGACCTCGTGATCCACCTGCCTTGGCCTCCCAAAGTGCTGGGATTACAGGCTTGAGCCACCGTGCCCAGCCTATATGAGAACATTTTGTGACATTATATATTTTTTTTTCTTCTTTTTTTAAATTATACTTTAAGTTTTAGGATACATGTGCACATTGTGCAGGTTAGTTACATATGTATACATGTGCCATGCTGGTGTGCTGCACCCACTAACTCGTCATCTAGCATTAGGTATATCTCCCAATGCTATCCCTCCCCGCTCCCCCCACCCCACCACAGTCCCCAGAGTGTGATATTCCCCTTCCTGTGTCCATGTGATCTCATTGTTCAATTCCCACCTATGAGTGAGAACATGCGGTGTTTGGTTTTTTGTTCTTGCGATAGTTTACTGAGAATGATGATTTCCAATTTCATCCATGTCCCTACAAAGGACATGAACTCATCATTTTTTATGGCTGCATAGTATTCCATGGTGTATATGTGCCACATTTTCTTAATCCAGTCTATCATTGTTGGACATTTGGCTTGGTTCCAAGTCTTTGCTATTGTGAATAGTGCCGCAATAAACATACGTGTGCATGTGTCTTTATAGCAGCTTGATTTATAGTCCTTTGGGTATATACCCACTAATGGGATGGCTGGGTCAAATGGTATTTCTAGTTCTAGATCCCTGAGGAATCGCCACACTGACTTCCACAGTGGTTGAACTAGTTTACAGTCCCACCAACAGTGTAAAAGTGTTCCTATTTCTCCACATCCTCTCCAGCACCTGTTGCTTCCTGACTTTTTAATGATTGCCATTCTAACTGGTGTGAGATGGTATCTCATTGTGGTTTTGATTTGCATTTCTCTGATGGCCAGTGATGGTGAGCATTTTTTCATGTGTCTTTTGGCTGCATAAATGTCTTCTTTTGAGAAGTGTCTGTTCATGTCCTTCACCCACTTTTTGATGGGGTTGTTTGTTTTTTTCTTGTAAATTTGTTTGAGTTCATTGTAGATTCTGGATATTAGCCCTTTGTCAGATGAGTAGGTTGTGAAAATTTTCTCTCATTTTGTAGGTTGCCTGTTCACTCTGATGGTAGTTTCTTTTGCTGTGCAGAAGCTCTTTAGTTTAATTAGATCCCATTTGTCAATTTTGTCTTTTGTTGCCATTGCTTTTGGTGTTTTAGACATGAAGTCCTTGCCCATGCCTATGTCCTGAATGGTAATGCCTAGGTTTTCTTCTAGGGTTTTTATGGTTTTAGGTCTAACGTTTAAGTCTTTAATCCATCTTGAATTGATTTTTGTATAAGGTGTAAGGAAGGGATCCAGTTTCAGCTTTCTACATATGGCTAGCCAGTTTTCCCAGCACCATTTATTAAATAGGGAATCCTTTGCCCATTGCTTGTTTTTCTCAGGTTTGTCAAAGATCAGATAGTTGTAGACATGCGGCGTTATTTCTGAGGGCTCTGTTATGTTCCATTGATCTATATCTCTGTTTTGGTACCAGTACCATGCTGTTTTGGTTACTGTAGCCTTGTAGTATAGTTTGAAGTCAGGTAGTGTGATGCCTCCAGCTTTGTTCTTTTGGCTTAGGATTGCCTTGGCGATGCCGGCTCTTTTTTGGTTCCATATGAACTTTAAAGTAGTTTTTTCCAATTCTGTGAAGAAAGTCATTGGTAGCTTGATGGGGATGGCATTGAATCTGTAAATTACCTTGGGCAGTATGGCCATTTTCACGATATTGATCCTTCCTACCCATGAGCATGGAATGTTCTTCCATTTGTTTGTATCCTCTTTTATTTCATTGAGCAGTGGTTTGTAGTTCTCCTTGAAGAGGTCCTTCACATCCCTTGTAAGTTGGATTCCTAGGTATTTTATTCTCTTTGAAGCAATTGTGAATGGGAGTTCACTCATGATTTGGCTCTCTGTTTGTCTGTTATTGGTGTATAAGAATGCTTGTGATTTTTGTACATTGATTTTGTATCCTGAGACTTTGCTGAAGTTGCTTATCAGCTTAAGGAGATTTTGGGCTGAGACAATGGGGTTTTCTAGATATACAATCAGTGACATTATATTTTTATGAAAGGTCACAGAATCTATAATTTATTTTCATAACAGTCATTAGTAGTATTTACTTAGAGCTTTAATAATACTCTTTATTGGATTTAAAAGTGGGTTTTATCTGATGAGATATACCAATACCCATCAAGTGATAAATGGATGGAGATAGAGATTACTATAAATCAGGCTTTTGAGAACATACATTAAATAATAAGAAAAGGAAAAAGAGGAGTAACACAGAAGAATCTTTAATGCTTGCAGAATAAGTGGAGCTAAAATTTAAGATTTTAATTTAAATCTGTAGTTAATGTTCCTGTCATCTTTATTTAGAGGTTATTGAGCAGTCTTTGTTTTTTGAAATTATACTAATTGTAGACTGCTGACTAACTCTGTGTGTGTCTCATACAAAGCAAGCATTTGTTATACATTTCAGAAATTAATGAACTGCTATGCCAATATTCATTTCACATGGCTGGTTTATTTAAGAACATTTGCCATTACTGATAAGAGAGTATCCCTGACCTCTTTTCTCTCCTGATCTGATGATACATAAGCAATCTTTTTCTCTAACATGTCTTATGATCTATATTCATCTTATGTTATTGCAGAAGATAGACACTGATATATTTTGCCTTTATCATTTGTCTAACTACTGAAAAGTAAACTGTAGCTGAATCGTAGCCAGAAGTGACTTATTCAAAATATTTTTTACATATTTACATATATATACACATACATATGTGGATATATGTGTATAAACATAATGTACATGTTCATGTCTATATGACGTAACCTAATTTATCTAACAGCTAAAGGATTTCGATAAAGGGTTAACAAGAACATTTGAACTCATCTTAATTCCTGAAACTACATTTTGGTATCTTTTATCTTTTCTGGAAATATCTCCTAAAAATAGCACTTCCTGGGGTTTTCTTTTGTGAAAAGTTTGTATCTACAAGTTCAAATTATTTAATACATTAAAGAATCTTCTACAAGCTTCTACTATAATGTGTATCTTTCAATAAATTGATACAATACATGTAATTGAAAAGTTTCTGTTTATAAATTTCTTTGTAGTATTTTTAAATTATATTTCACTATTTGCAGTGTCTCTCTTCAAGCAACCTCCTCCCCAAAGAGATGGACTGCTGTAGGTGTTAAGTGCATGGTCCACATTTGGCAAAGGAAGTATAAGGCAGGTCTTGTATGCCTGACCCAAAATTTGATTTGACTCAGCAATCTTGACTATCCTATAGACACACAAACTCTTACAACTACTCTGTTGTTCTAGAATACAGGCAGGATTCCTGTCCTTCCCCAGAAGTTAATCTTTGCTTTGGTAGAGGGCTTTGGACATGTGCAGGTCTCTTCTCCTGTCCCTAGTGACAGAGAGCTTTTGCCTAGTATATATACTGTACCTAGTATATATGCTGTAGCATATTTTACATTTATGAGTGCAGAAACCTTGTGGCCAGCAGGTCTCCTTACCTGTCCCTGGTGACAGATAGCTTTTGCCTAGTATCAAGCAGCATGTTGGACAGGTGGGCCTGGACTCCTCAGCTTCACCCTCTCCCTGGAATCAGCCAATCTCCGCTTATGCAGGTCAAGGCCACAGACAGATTTCCTACCCCTACCCAAGGGGCAGTAAACATCTTCCTGGGTTCAGATCAGAGTCCTGGTGTGGGAGACTTCCTGTTTTTTCCTTAGCAGTATGCAGGTTTTGTCTCATGTCATGGGAAGTTACAGTGTAGGTCTTTTACCTGTACCCAGGGGCAGATGAAAACAATCTTATACTCACGTGGGGCCTATAAAGTGATTGGGATCCTCAGCAATCTACTAATCCAACCTCAGACCTAAAACGGTCCTGCACACCTACACCACTGAACAAGGCTCTCTCAAGTCTTCTGCCCTGGTCCCAGTCTTTATTGCTTGGAAGTTGCTCTTGGAAAAGATCTGGCAAATGTGTGCAAACTCCCTTGTATCCACCACTACCTGAGATTGTGCACTGTCACACTAGCTAGCATTGTTATTTAAGCAAACTCCTCCCTTGTGGAAACTCCCTTTTGTCCACAGTTATCTGAGATTGTGCACTGTCACACTAGCTAGCATTGTTCTTTAAGTGAACTCCTTTGTGCAAACTCCCTTTTGTCAACAGTTACCTGAGATTGTACACTGTCACATTAGCTAGCATTGTTCTTTAAGATGTGTTTGAAAATATACCTATTTTCATATTTATTTTCAAGGTGACTACTTTTTTCTGCCATGTTCTGTCAAAAATAAAATGGATTGAGTGTCACATCTTTCTTCTGAGATGTTTGTCACTCTGGTTTACCTGGTTGCTTTGTGACATCATCTACAGGATGCCTTTTAAAGAAAAAGTTAATTTTTGTCCCCGTTCTCTTGCTATAGTGGGAGCAATATTCCTTGTGACTATTTATATTCTACACAGAAGTGGAACTTCCTCCATAATAGATTTGCATGTAAAAATTTAAACATTATGCATATCAAGGATATAGAAGGAGCTACTATAGTATTTTAGATGTTCTCTCAATAGGAAGTAATGCTCAGATTATTTTAATATGTGTGCATTACCATGATCATCTTTCCATATTTTTAAGTAAAACAAAAGTTTCCAAGAAGCACAAAAGTTTGTAAACAAAGCATGAAAGGCTACAAGTCCTATAAAAGCCACTGATTAGAAGAAAAAAAATTAAAAGTGATAAAGCATATTGAGAGTAGTTAATCCCTAAGAAAATGTGGCACATATACACCATGGAATACTATGCAGCCTTAAAAAAGGATGAGTTCATGTCCTTTGTAGGGACATGGATGAAGCTGGAAACCATCATTCTCAGCAAAATATCACAAGGACAAAAAACCAAACACCACATGTTCTCACTCATAGGTGGGAATTGAACAATGAGAACACATGGACACAGGAAGGGGAACATCACACACTGTGGACTATTGTGGGGTGGGGGAAGGGGGAAGGGATAGCATTAGGAGATATACCTAATGTAAATGATGAGTTAATGGGTGCAGCACACCAACATGGCACATGTATACATATGTAGCAAACCTGCATGTTGTGCACATGTACTCTAGAACTTAAAGTATAATAAAAAATATAAATAAATAAATAAATAAATAAAATTAAAATGATTATTAAAAAAAGAGAGAGTAGTTAATCCCTGTAAGAGGTAGGCTTGGCCATGCATATAACCTTCAAGTATATATTTTTTCTGTTACTGAGAAATTAAATAAAATAACATTGTTGTCTGTTGAAAGCTTGAGTTTCTAGCATGGTATGATGATTTTTACAAAATTAGAGAAACATCAAGTGCAATGCATTGATAGCAATTGTTGAATAATTTCATGTATTACCATGTTGATATAGCAATAACACCAGACATTTGAACATTTGAAAGTGATGCTTGGTGAGATAAATGTTTTGCTCAGGAAGTTAAGTTTCAAAGAAGGTATTAGATGATTTGAGAGAAATAATAGATGGAAACGCCTGCATACTTGGCAAAAGCAGCTTCTGTTGTAGAAGAACCACACATTCTAGGCACCGAATCTTTGGTAAAAAACAAAAAAAAATTATGTCATGCACACATTTGATAACTACAAATGTCATGACTATGACTTAAACACAAGCATCATATTTTGAAAGTCATTTACAACATAGCCTCACATTATCAGGAAATAAATAATCATATGTATATATACCCACATTAGGTATTTGAGTATGTGCATTCATTTTTATTTTTCCTTCTGATTGTCTATCTCTAATAGTTTTGAGAATGTGGTTGATCTACTTATTCTTCTGGAGTCTTCAGTGAAAAGATAATTCTTTCCACAATGTATTTATATTGGACATAATGAACTCTCAGGCATGTGTTGTTTTACTTATTACTTTATCAGTTTTCTCTTGCTCATCTTAACTTAAAACTAAACAGCAATGAGCTGGATCCTCTTCCTTACAAAGAAACTTCTCCTTAGGCAAATATTTAATAATAAATGTTTGTTAATAAACTGATTTGTTGGCTCATTTTGACCAAAAATAATTTCTATTTTTCACATACCTTTGATACCTTTTCACCATTTCTTTATTCTACAATAAATTATTCAATATCATTTGTGTGCAAAGAAACATATCTACTGATCAGTTCATTAAATGGTAAATAGTTAATGTTACAAATATTTTATATTATGCAAGCATCAAAAGTGCATTGTTATGTTAGTGATATTTGGGAAAACTTGATGTAGTTTAATAGATTAGAGATGAATTATTTTATATTTTAACACCTCAAAAATAAAATAGATTCATGCCATTTCAAAATGCGTAATTCAAAATGTTTTTAGGAACTCATATTTGTGTGCATATTTATATGTATATCATATTTGTATGTATAATACAAATGCATATCTATTTTATAAATATGTATAATGTACATACAAATGTACACACAAATACATATATATGTATAATGTATGAAAACTATCATGTGTTTTATAACAACCTCTTAAAAAATAAGTCTGATTATGTGTCATCAAAAGACACATTAAAGAGAATGAAAAAATAAGAAATACATAGGAGGAAAATGTTTGTATACAGACTAAATGAAGACTATCTTAAGAGAAAAACAACAGTAGATGAATCAGGTAGCTTAGGAAAGAGAATAACAAAATGGCAAATAAATGTATCAAATTATCCATAATTTCATTAGTAGTTAAGAAAATGGACAGTAAAACTAAATGAGATGCCATTAAATGCCCAGCAGATTCACATGATTTTACTCAAGTAAATATGATAAAGCTATCCATTGTTGAGGATTAGGAAAAGTAGAGTTTTCCAGAAGCTGTTTATATGAATATAATTTTGTTAAACTTCTTTGGAAAACAGTTTTACATTATATAGTGTAGTTAGACATTTGCATATCCTGATACCCAGCAATTCTACATCTTAGAATGTACCTTGAGTAAGCTCTTGCACTTGAGTACTGAGACTTGTACAAGAAAATTTATAGCAGCAGTAGAACTTAGCAGTAAACTAAGTTAAAGGTTATTAGCAGTAAAACACTCAAAACAATCAAAACAGGTATCAACAATAAATTTGATAAATAGTGGTATTTTCAAACAATACCATGTGAAACAATATTATTTGTGCAATTTTTAGCCTATTGAGTTGAATATCTCTTTAACTGAAACTTCATACTTCGAAAGCTCTGATCATAAGCTTCTGGTTTTACTCTTATCCCAGAGTAACTCTTACTCATTTTTCTGCAAGTCATTTACCGGCCCTAAAAACGTTGATGACTTTCAAATTTATTTTCTCTTTCATCTTCCATCTCATTCTCCATGTTGGTAGTGGTTAATCTCATTCATACAGGCAGATTTAGCCTCTATCTATTTTTAACTGAAAAATCTATACCTCTATTACAGATAGATTTCTACAGCTTCAGAGCCTTATACTATTTAATTCATCATTCAAAGTAAGATTTGTAAGAGTGAAAGATAGTGCTCCACTTAAAAACAGCAAGAATAAACCATCGCTGTCTTGATCAAATTGAGATGAATGTCCTACTACTTATATCAAACTACCTTTTGGTATTTCTATTTTGATTTCCCACAGTCATCTCAATTTCACATTTCTTTTATTGAATTTATCTTTTCTTGATTCACATCAGCTTTTTTCTTCCATTCCCTCATGGCAATTTCTACAGTAATCCACTTAAATCTCACAAGTCAGAAACAGGAGTCATCTTCAACTTGTTCACCCTCTCTTTCCACATTAAGTCAGTTGCTAGTCCCTTTCTATTCCACTTTTAAAACATCTTAGGGATATTTATATTTCTCTGTACTCCTAAATTTCTATTCTAATTAACTCTAAGCTTTAATTCTCTCTTATATTACCACAGTTCCATAAAACTCTTTTTTCCTGCTCCCATCCTTATATGCCAGGCCAACATTTGTACTACAGCTCTAAGCAACATTTAGAAACAAAAATCTGATCATATTTCTTGTATATGCTGCCCATTAGCCTTAAGGTGAGGGTTTAGAAGTCTTTTTATTATCTCTAAATATCTTTCTATGATTCTGTGTCTCTGCCTCTCTCCAATCTCACATTCAGCTTTAGTGGCATTCTGAATTCTTTTCAGAACAATTTATTTATTTTTTCATACTCCTCTTGTCTTTGCAGCTGCTACTCAATTTTGTTGAAACCCTTAACAGCATCTCCTTTCTGTTTTTCTAATTCCTAAACATCAATCATGCCCCAATGTGGACATCATTTTGTCCATAAAACCTTTTTTGACTCTTCTTTGAGTTCATTTGGGTTGTCATACTGAAATGCCATAGACTTGGTAGCTTATGAACAAAAGAAATTTATTTATCAAGGGTCTGAAGGCTGGAAAGTCTAAGATCAAGGTTCTGGGAAATTCAGTGTCTGGTGAGAGTCTGCTTCCTCAGACGACCTTCTTCTCATTGTAACCTCACATGACAGAATAGACAAGAGAGTTACATTGAACATCTTTTATTAGGGGACTAATCCCATTCTTGAGAGCTGTGCGCTAATGATTTAATCATCTCCCAAAGGCCCCACTTATGAATACCATAACTTTGGGAATTAAGATTTCAACATATGGCTGGGTGTGGTGGCTCATACCTGTAATGTCAGCACTTTATGAGGTCAAGGGGGGCAGATCACGAGGCCAGGAGATCAAGACCATCCTGGCCAGCATGGTGAAACCCCGTCTCTAACTCAAAAAATAAAAATTAGCCAAGCACAATGTCGCACACCTGTAGTCCCTGCTACTCAGGAGGCTGAGGCAGGAGAATCACATGAACCCAGAGGCAGAGACTGCAGTGAGCCGAGATCCACACTATTGTACTCCAGCCTGGGCGACAGAATGATACTCTGTCTCAAAAAAAAAAAAAAAAAAAAAAAAAGATTTCAACATATAAATTGTTGGGGGCATAAACATTTCATTCATTAAAACTCCCTAAGCCTCTTAGGTATTCCTTCTTTGTGTTCCTATAGCATCTTCATATTTTATACTGTCTCTTTAGCTTCCTATAATGTAAAGGTTAAAAGAACAGGACTCAGCCCAGTTTTGTATATTACAGTGCCTGACATAGCATATATGTTTAATAACTACTTGTTTATTTCTTTGATTTTGTCTTATTTCATATATTTAGTTACCTTAGAATTTGCATTCTCATTGTAAACTTTGATTCAGTTTAGACTGAAGACTGGTGTATTAGTCCATTCTCATGCTGCTAAAAAGACAGGGTCATTTAAAAAGGAAAGAGGTTTAATTGACCACAGTTCAGCCTGGCTGGGCAGGCCTCAGGAAACTTACAATCACGGTGAAAGGGGAAGCAAACACATCCTTCTTCACATGGTTGCAGAAAGGAGAAGAATGCAAGCTGAATGAAGGTGGAAGCCCCTTACAAAACCATCAGATCTCATGAGAACTTATTCATTATAATGAGAATTATGGGGTAACCACCCCCATAATTCAATTCCCTTCCATCAGGTCCCACCCACCACATGTGGAAATTATGGAAAATATAATTCAAGATCATATTTGGGTGGGGGCACAGCTAAACCATATAATTCTGTCCCTGGACCCTCCCAAATCTCATGTCCTCACATTTCAAAACACAATGATGCCTTTCTCACAGTCCCCCAAAGTCGTAACTCATTGGAGAATTAACCCAAACTCCAGATACAAAGACTCATCTGAGACAAGGCAACCTACATACTTGTAAAATTGAAAGCAAGTTAGTTACTTTTTAGATACAGTGGAGGTACAGGCATTGGGGAAATACACCCATTCCAAATGGGAGGAAGTAGCCAAAACAAAGGGGCTATATGCCCCATACAAGTCTGAAATCCAGTAGCGCAATCGTTAAACCTTAAAAATCCAAAATGATATCCTTTGACGCCATGTCTCACATCCAGGTCATGCTGATGCAAGAGGTGGGCTCCCATGGCCTTGGGCAGCTCCGTCCCTGTGGCTTTGCAGGGTACAGCCACCCTCCTGGCTTTTTTCATGGGCTGGTGTTGAGTGTCTGTGGCTTTTCCAGGAGCTCGGTGCAAGCAGTAGGTGGATCTACCATTGCGGGTAGTGGCCCTCTTCTCATAGCTCCACTAGGCAGTGCCCCAGTGGGGACTTTGTGTGTGGGCCCCAACCCCACATTTCCCTTCTGCACTGCCCTAGCAGAGATTGTTTTTATGAGAGTTCTGCCCCTGCAGCAGACTTCTGCCTTGACATCTAGGTGTTCCATACATCCTCTGGAATATAGGCAGAGGTTCCTAAACCTCAATTCTTGACTTCTTGCATGTTCAAGCTCAACACCATGTGGAAGCTGCCAATGCTTGGGGCTTGCGCTCTCTGAAGCAATGGCCTGAGCTGTATTTTGGTCTCTTTTAGACAGGACTGGAGCAGCTGGAACACAGGGCACCAAATCTCTAGGCTGCACATAGCAGGGGAGCCCTTGGCCTGGCCCACTAAACCATTTTGTCCCCATAGACATCAAGGCCTGTGATGAGAGGGGCTGCCATGAAGGTCTCTGACATTCCTTGGGAGCATTTTCCCTATTGTCTTGGTGATTAACATTTGGCTCCTTGTTACTTATGCAAATTTCTGCAGCTGGCTTGAATTTCCCCTCGGAAAATGGGTTTTTATTTTCTATTGTATGGTTAGGCCACACATTTTCCAAACTCCAATGCTCTGATTCCCTTTTAAACATAAGTTTCAATTCCAAACTATATCTTTTTAAATACATAAAACTGAATTCTTTTAACAGCACCCAAGTCACATCTTTAATGCTTTGCTCCTTGGAAATTTCTTCCACCAGATACTCTAAATCATCTCTCTCAAGTTCAAAGTTCCACATATCTCTAGGGCAGATGCAAAATGCCACCAGTCTCTTTGTTAAAATATAGCAAGAGTCACCTTTATTCCAATTTCCAACAAGTTCCTCATCTCCATATGAGACTACCTCAGCCTGGACTTCATTGTCCATATCACTATCGGCATTTTGGTCAAAGCCATTCAACAAGT
The DNA here is from genome assembly GCF_000001405.40 of Homo sapiens. Classification (NCBI taxonomy): domain Eukaryota; kingdom Metazoa; phylum Chordata; class Mammalia; order Primates; family Hominidae; genus Homo; species Homo sapiens. Next base: position 121,401,956 of record NC_000005.10, on the reverse strand, counting down.
CTCTAGGAAGTTCCAAATTTCTTCACATCTTCCTATCTTCTGAGCATGCCACATCTCTCTGAAGTTCCAAACTTTCTCATATATGTCTTTTTTTGAGTCCTCAAAACTATTCCAACCTTTGCCTGTTGCCCAGTTCCAAAGTTGCTTCCACATTTTCTGGTATCCCTGTAGCAGAACTCCACTCTCTGCAGTAACAATTTATTGTATTAGTCTATTCTCACGTTGCTAATAAAGACATAACCAAGACTGGGTAATTTCTAAAGGAAAGAGGCTTAATTGACTCACAGTTCCACATGGATAGGGAGGCCTCAGGAAACTTACAAACATGGCAGAAGTGAAATCAAACACATCCACCTTCACATAGCAGCAGAAAGGAGAAGAATGCAAGCTGAGTGAAGGGGGAAGCACCTTATAAAACCATCAGCTCTCATGAGAACTTACTCACTACCATGAGAATAGCATGAGGGAAACCACCCCGTGATTCAATTACCTTTCCCCAGGTCCTTCCCAAAAATGTAGAGATTATGGAAACTACAATTCAAGATGAGATTTGGGTGGGGACACAGCCAAACCATAGTAACCGGTTTAATATTTGTTTATATATTTCTGAAAGGTTATATATTTTGGGGTAGAGGGCTTATATTCTCTCTGTTTGGTAGTTTTTGCCCAGATATTTTGTGACTTTGTTGTCCACATCTCTATTTTTTCACTCAATTTCTACCTTTTCACAGAGGCCATCCCTAATCTCTCCCATTATTCTTCATCCACATCTATTTTCCTATAATTCTCTTCATATCTACTATCTAACATAATAATCAATTTATTATTTATTATCTGTCATTCTCATTCTTTCTTTTCTTTCTGACATCTGGAACACTTAAAACAGAAGTTACTAGCTCTTTAAACTTTTTTTCATGAATGCCCCTTTTTTCTGTTGCTGTATTTAAGCTTTCTAATTTTTATTATTGTCATTTAATAGTTTTTTGATATAGGATATAAAAATTATTACACTGTTATGTAAAAATTGTCTTATTGTTCAATTGCAATTCACTTACTATCACTCTTTCCTGTTTAGAAATTAGAATGCTAAAAGATTTTAATTTATGTAGGTGTCTTGTTTTATTTTTACATGCTTCTAGTAAAAATTATTTATCTGTGCATCAAACTTTTTTTGATCTATATCTAGATCTGAGATTCAATTTATTGATTTTGTCTGAAACACGGTGACAACCTTCAGTTTTTCTTCAGCTGTAGAATATTTTTTATTTATTTGGTAACTAGCTTTCTTCTATTCTCTCTTATTTTCAGACCTTGTCCATTTCTCTATTTTCTTTACCTGTTCAAGCATTTCTTTATGTCACTGATAAATTCAGACAGCATTGATTAAAACCATGCTTACATTACATCTATGGTGCTTTGGTGTCCTTGCTCTCCTTCCTTATCATATTCATCTTCATCTTAAATGTAATTCTATGCCTGTTCCTCCTCAGAATCCTATCTATTCATATTCCAATGGTAGCAATGCACTAATTTACAGAAATTTTCTTGCAGTAGATTAATAGGACTACATATTGAACAATCTGCATATTTTGCTCTTTAATATGTCCTGTCATAATTTTTATAATCTTATGATTACAAACTCTATAGTTTCTGTACTCACACGTGGCCAGTGCCAGCTGAAACTCAATGTGTCACCACACAGAGTTTGCCTTTGGCTTATTTTTCTCATGATAGACAAGCTAGCTAAATAGCCTTTATATATTTTGTAGGGCAAACTGAGATACCTGACTCAGAGTTTAATTCCCAGTTCAATGCAGTTTTATCCTTCTCATCTAGCTAATTCTGTGACATGTGAATAGATGATTCATATGAAAACTGAAATTCTCAGCGTGCATGACCACTAGGGTTTTTTTCTCTCTATTTTGTATGAAGGGAATACAAATAACAGAAGTCACTTCACATCCATGATGTTTTTCTTAACTTCTTGTTCAGTTAGTTACTTCTGAAATGTTTCAGAATGTGCTTAATTATAGTAGTTGAAGGTAGGTTCATGGACAAAACCACTGTATCATTTCTCAGTTTGTTTCAATCTTGAAGCAAAGCCAAGAATGTCATGAACTAAAGGGTAAGTGCATTTTGCTGAGTTCTGCCCTATTTCTTTTATAATATCTGTCTGTGTCCTCCATATTTCTACATTATACTATTTGTTATTCCTAGATCTTATTCTTATTAAGTTATAAAAATAAAATATATTCTCTATTTTCCATGGCAATATTAATGAAAAATTGGCACTTTAAGTACGGTTAATATATTTTGTTTTTATATTAATACATGTTACAAGTATAGAAAATAAGTGTTAAGGGGTTACTATTGATCAAGATTCATACATATTTGAAAATAAATAATTATTTTCAATTTGTGTTTTAAGTTCAGGGATAGAAGTACAGGTTTCTTACATAGGTAAACTTATATCATGGGGGTTTGTTATACAGATTATTTCATCACCCAGGTATTAAGCCTAGTATCCATTAGTTATTTTTTCTAATCATCTCCCTCCTCCCACCATCCACCCTCAGAAGGCCCCAGTATGTGTTGTACCCCTCTGTGTGTCCATGTGTTCTCATCATTTAGTTCTATACATGATGGAATACTATGCAGCCATAATAAAGAATATCATATCTTTGCAGGTAAGTGAATGGAGCTGCAGGCATGTTCTCACATGTAAGTGGGAACTAAATGATGGAAAATAATTTTTCTTTTTTATTTTATTTTATTTTATTATTGTTATACTTAAAGTTTTAGGGTACATGTGCACAATGTGCAGGTTAGTTACATATGTATACATGTGCCATGCTGGTGTGCTTCACCCATTAACTTGTCATTTAGCATTAGGTAAATCTCCTAAAGCTATCCCTCCCCCCTCCCCCAACCCCACCACAGTCCCCAAAGTGTGATGTTCCCCTTCCTGTGTCCATGTGTTCTCATTGTTCAATTCCCACCTATGAGTGAGAATATGCGGTGTTTGGCTTTTTGTTCTTGCGATAGTTTACTGAGAATGATGATTTCCAATTTCATCCATGTCCCTACAAAGGACATGAACTCATCATTTTTTATGGCTGCATAGTATTCCATGGTGTATATCTGCCACATTTTCTTAATCTAGTCCATCATTGTTGGACAGTTGGGTTGGTTCCAAGTCTTTGCTATTGTGAATAGTGCCTCAATAAACATACGTGTGCATGATTTATAGTCCTTTGGGTATATACCCAGTAGTGAAAATGGCCACACTGCCCAAGGTAATTTATAGATTCAATGCCATCCCCATCAAGCTACCAATGACTTTCTTCACAGAATTGGAAAAAACTACTTTAAAGTTCATATGGAACCAAAAAAGAGCCCACATCGCCAAGTCAATCCTAAGCCAAAAGAACAAAGCTGGAGGCATCATGCTACCTGACTTCAAGCTATACTACAAGGCTATAGTAACCAAAGCAGCATGGTACTGGTACCAAAACAGAGATATAGATCAATGGAACATAACAGAGCCCTCAGAAATAACGCCGCATGTCTACAACTATCTGATCTTTGACAAACCTGAGAAAAACAAGCAATGGGGAAAGGATTCCCTATTTAATAAATGGTGCTGGGAAAACTGGCTAGCCATATGTAGAAAGCTGAAACGGCATCCCTTCCTTACACCTTATACAAAAATTAATTCAAGATGGATTAAAGACTTAAACGTTAGACCTAAAACCACAAAAATCCTAGAAGAAAACCTAGGCATTACCATTCAGGACATAGGCATGGGCAAGGACTTCTTGTCTAAAACACCAAAAGCAATGGCAACAAAAGCCAAAATTGACAAATGGGATCTAATTAAACTAAAGAGCTCCTGCACAGCAAAAGAAACTCATCAGAGTGAACAGGCAACCTACAAAATGGGAGAAAATTTTCTCAACCCACTCATCTGACAAAAGACTAATATCCAGAATCTACAATGAACTCAAACAAATTTACAAGAAAAAAACAAACAACCCCATCAAAAAGTAGGTGAAGGACATGAACAGACACTTCTCAAAAGAAGACATTTATGCAGCCAAAACACACATGAAAAAATGCTCACCATCACTGGCCATCAGAGAAATGCAAATCAAAAGCACAATGAGATACCATCTCCCACCAGTTAGAATGGCAATCGTTAAAAAGTCAGGAAACAACAGGTGCTGGAGAGGATGTGGAGAAATAGGAAAATAATTTTTCAAACACTTGCGTGTTAGATATTATATTTTCATTTAAGATATAAATAAATAGAACACAAATACCCAGTATTCACTTTCTTTATATTCACTTTCACAGAAAGGTGAGATATTAGGATATAAGAGATGATTCTAGTATATTATATGGCCAGACAATTCAGATTGGTAGTGACAGTGGTTGTGTCTGTCTAGATAAAAGATTAATTGGCTGTAATTAAAGTGTGTGGTCAGTGAAACTCACATTAAAGTTATGGCAAAAATAAGTATGATTGATATGAAAGAATGCTAGAAATGAATGTAATAAAAATTTAAGGGCAAAGTAGGAAAAAATAGCTCTTGAAGTTTTTTTCTAAAAGTCTGCATTCAAATGTAGTTCTCTGATTTTTAGTGGTGATAAATTCAATTAAGAAATTCAGGCATGGAAAAACTACCACGATTATTAATTAATGAATTAAGCTTTATAGTGGCATAATTTTCCTTTAAAAATTCACCAAAAGTATACAATTCAATGAGTTTTGAGAAATGTATACATTCATGCAACCACGATTGCAATGAAGATATAGAGTTTCCATTGCCCCAGCAAGTTTTCACATACACCTTTACCATCAATTCCAAAACTCCTCCTCTTCTAAGGTTCACACAGCCACTGATTGTTATAGTTTGCCTTTTCTGTTATTTCACATGAATATAATCACAGTATATAGTTTTTATAGCTGACCTCTCTCACTGTGACTAATACTTTTGAAATCCACTCACTTTGTTATATCATTAGATTGTTCCTTTTTAGTGCTGAGTAGTATTGAATTGTATGGGTGTACCAGTATTTGTTTATCCATTTAACATGTGAAAGATGTTTTAGGTTGTTTTTAGGTTTTGACTATTATAAATAAACATTGCAAACATTACAGTATACTTTTTTTCTTTGATACCTTCCTTTCTGAGCTAAAGATACCTTCCTTTCTTAGCTCAATATCCAGATATTTTACTGCTAGGATTTGCTGGTCTATGATAAATATACAGTTAACTTTAGGAATAACACTGCTAACTTGGTTTTTAAAGGTATTGTACTATATCTGCATTTTTGCCAGGAATGCATGCAAGTTATTCACATCCTCACCAACACCTGCTATTGTTCATCTGTCAATAAAATCCACTTAGTGGTTAGTTAGTCTGTTACTATTAAAGAGTTTTCAGTCAATATCTTACAGTGACTTTAATTTTCACCTAGTGGCTAGTCTGTTACTATTAAAGCCAGCGTAGTTGGTATCTTATTGTTGCTTTAGTTTTTATTTTCCTAATGATTATTGATGTTGAGCATATTTTTACACTCTTTTTTGTCATTGCTGTTAGTGTATCTTCTCTGTTGAAGTGTCTATTGAAAGTGTTTGCCTATTTTTATTGGATTGCCTTCATATTGAACTGCAAAGGTGCTTATATATTCTGGATACAGGTCTTAAATCAGATGCATGTGTTTTTCAAGTGTTTTCTCCCAGTCTGTGAATTGATTCTTATTTTCTTATTGGTATTTTTTAATTTTGAAGAAAAACAATTTTTTAAATTTTATTTTATATTTTCTGCTTCTTTTGCTATATCTGTGAAATGTTTGCTTAAAACCCAAGTTCACAAAAATTTACCCCTATATTCTCTTTAAGAAGTCTTATAGATGTATCTATTACATTTCAGTTTAATTCTATGTAGGGTTGGGGTCAATTTTTTACTCAAAAATATTCTATTATTTCAGCTTCATTTATTGAAAGAACTATCCTTTCACCATTGAACTATCTAGACACTGTTGTTGAAAATTAATTAAACATTAATGTATAGGGCTATTCTGGAATTTTTTTCTATTCCATTGGTCTTCATGCCAATTCTTAAGTCAGTACTATACTATGTATTTTAATGGGGATTTATAGTAAGTAGCAGAATAATGTTGTGTGAATTCTTCCACTTTATTCTTGCTCAAGATCCTTTGGCTGCTTTAGATTATTTGGATTTGCTTATAAATATTAGAATCAGCTTGTCAATTTCAGGAAAACATCTGCTGTAATTTTGAATAGAATTGCATTGAAGTTATAAACCAATTTGGGTAGAATTACCATCTTACCAACTTTGAGTCTTCAAATGTATGATTACATATTTCTATGTAATAAAGTATTATTACATTTGTCACTTTTTTACAATTTTCACTGTACTTATTTTACATATTTTTGTTAAATGTATTCCTAAGTATTTTTTATTGTTTTTGTAAGTTGTATTTTCAAATTTTAATTTAAAATTGTTAATTGTTAATACAAAGAAATAAAGCAGATTGTTTTCTTGTATTGATCTTTGGATCCTGTGACCTGCCTAAGCTTACTTATTTCAGCAAGTTTTTTGCTTATTTTGTAGGGTTTTTGGCTTAGGTAAAAATGTGATTTGTTAATAAAGAGAGATTTACTTTTTTCTTTCAAATCTTTTTATTTATTTATTTATTGTTCTGCCTTATTGAAATAGTTTGGATCTCAATATAATGTTGAAGATAACTAAGTTAGGGTAAATCTCCTTGCCTGTTTTCTCAGTGTCAAGGCAGGAAATACGCTCTTTTACCATTAAGTGTGGTAGTAGGTATAACTATGTAAACAGAATGAGATGGAAAATGTTTTTGTCTCTTGCTTTTTCTAGAAGATTGTGGATGTCATTTTATTTCTTCCTTGAACATTTTTAAGAATTTATCAGTGAAACCTTCTAAATCATTTTGGTAATCTGGCCCTGGAGTTTCTTTATGGTAATGGTATAATTACACATGTAATTCATTTAGTAGAAAAGGGGGTATTCAGCTAGCCTGTTTCTTTCTGGGTAACCTTTTGTAGATTTATTTCTAAGAATTTGTACATTTAATCTAAACTGTCAAAATTTTTGTGTAATGTTACCCACATCATTCTTTTTTATTTTTAGTTTCTGAAAGACCTGTGTTATTATTATCTGTTTTTCTTCCTAATATTGGTAAATTGCATCTTTTTTTTTTTTGGTTTCTTGATAAATGTTACTAAAGGTTTATCAATGTACAGTGCCAACTTTTGTATTCATTGATTTTCTCTATCTTTTCTTAATGTCATTGATTCCTGCTCTTTGGTATTTCTTTTCTTTTGCTTATATTGTGTTTTGAATCTGTAGATTGCTTTGGGTAGTATGAGTATTTATGCTTATAACTTTTTAATTATTTTATTAATAATTTCAGGGTTAATAAACTTCAGAAATATCTTAATTATAAATTATGAAGAAATGTGTTCATATATGCCCTTTTATTACACTTACCCATCTCATCTGAGAACTTTCTCCTAGGGGCATTTCTTCATTTAATGTCCTGTGCCATCCCCTTCCATCGGGGTGTGCAGGTGATCTCTTTGTGGTTTGCTATGAAAATATTTTATACAATAGACTGAGTCACATGTTGATTTAGAATTTATTTATATGTGTTCAGTTTTCTATGATAAGCAGTTGTAAAGCTGTTTGACATCTAATTTTGAAATTGGTGTGGATCTTTCTTAGTCTTATTACAACTTCCCTCCGAATATAGAATATGCTGCAAAAAGGTTCTCTCACACTAACCAAACTAGACTTTACTCTCCAAGTAAGGAAACCTTAGATTCCATATGCTTAACATATTTCTGTACTCTGTGCATCTGTAAATTTATGTTTGCTTTACGTGGTCTAAACTTTCTTATATTCATCAGCAATTCTAAGTATCTGTGGTCTGAGATGTCACTATTTCTAATTAATTAAAGGTATCTTTTCCCCTTCATTCCTTTTTATAGCTTAAATTGATTTTTAAAAAGGGAATGTCATTTGGCTTTATTCCATTTTCCCCACCATCTTCTGTCAATTTATTATAATACATATTGTATTTCAATTTGATTTATTGTTGCCACAGATGTAATTCATGCCTTGAGTTTGAGCTCTTATCCTCAACTTATGAATGGAAATATTACTGACAAAGAAGTTGAGTTTATTAATCTATGACTATATTAACTTATATATTCATCTTTTCATGTGTGACAGATGCATTATGGATCATTCTCATTTTGATGCTTAATGTGTTATCATTTTTCATTGAAAAACAAATGATGTAAAATTGCATGTTATTAATTATCTACGATTGTTTAATTTATTTCCCTTGAGCAGAGAAAAAGTGTAAAATGGGAACTCATTCAGAATAATAGTGCATATCTATGAAATTAATAATTAATTTTCAATGTGTCCATTTCTCTTTTATAATAGATGTCATTTTCAGTGAACACTTTAAATCTGTTAAAATCTTGGAGTTGTATATAGGTTTCAATTCTCACATATTATTTTAATACATTCATATGGATTTTTGATATTTTTCTGAAGGCAAAAAAGTATATCCTGTGCTTCTATTTATAAACAGAATTTAATATAATCTCTACATTGTATCTTTTAAATGTATTTTTATAGTTATATCTTCAAACATGAGCAGTTTTTTAGAAAAATTTTCTGCCAAGCACCCCATCAACAGTGAGCTCTGGTAAATTTTAATAGTAGCAATAGCAATGTACTTTCTGAAGCCTTGCTTAGTCTGCATTATATTAGCAATGACATTGACAATAGCAATTATATTAACAATAGCTCTTCTCAAGTGTAAGTAGGTAATGAGTATAAAAGAAGAACAGGGATATTGAAGAAAATGAGTAGCAAACTTGAATGAATATTCCATATTCAGATTCATACGATAAGAAATACAAGGATAATAACTTTACTGTGAATGAAGGATACCAAGTTAGGTAAAGTTCTAATTTAACAATGGTTACTTTACATGATCTTGTCCCAGAGTATTTGCTCATATTAATCTTCCTATATTGAAATGTCCATTTTTCTGTACTTTCCTGGCTCTTAGCCATTCCTCCAGGTCCTACTGAAATATTTTATACCTTGGAAATTCTTTCCAGAAATTAGTCGTGACCCCCTTCTCTTTAAACAACCTGTGCTATATTGATCTTTTGCCTCCATGTTTGGTTTTCTTAACTAGATTTCAAGTCCCTTTGTGGGCAAGTCTGTAAATTATATATATTTATATATTTCACCAGCCCTTCATAGAGTAAATACTATTATAATATTAATCGTAATAACTAGCTTTTATTTAACTCTTATTATATGCCAGGAACTGATGAAAAACAATAGTCAATCATTATAAATGTATAATGTGAAAGGACACTTATTTCTGAAATGGATAATAAAAATTAAACACTTGAATAACTTCCAGGAATTACTAGTTAGATTTTTATGGATACAGCATGCATGTGTATGAAAACTAACAGATCAAATTTAATAGAAAATAATATGATTTTCTTCCCTATGTTGCTATTCTGGCTGAATTAGTTGGCTCACATAGTTCTGCAGTCTCTACATATTCACGTTCACCAGCTGTCTATCATTTATCCAGATCTTGGATCAGAAAATTTAAACCTCATACATCACAGACAGAATGTATGATTTAATTTAAATTGACTTGCCAATGTTCCTTAGTTTGAGCTTCACCACATCTTTTTAACTTTCACACTCTGGCCCCTTTCTTTTGTGCTAGTAATTGTGGAGCCTCTTCTATTTTCTGGCAGTTATGCCAACAATTTTTTACTAGTGAGAAATTTGTTGAGATGTTTTGCTCACAAGAGACCCTGATGATCCTGTGTCTTCAGTTATGTATATATGCACAAGGAATTTGCCTTTCCTTATCTGACAGCCATGCTCATGCACCTTAAGCCAGCCATAAATCATGCTTAAAGACTACAGGAAGGTAATTAGACATTAAATAGAGGTTAGAGTTCTACCAGGTTTGAGGTCAGGTTTACTAGAACCAAAGGGAGTGTAGATGATGAGAAGATTTATTTATTTATTTATTTATTTTTTTATTTTTTAAAGAAGAATAGTATAATTTCAGAAAACAAAACCATCATTACGGACAATGAGAGTGAATAGAGAATTCAGTCAAGTTTCTGCTTTGACTTTGTTCTGTATTAAAAAAATTTAAATGTCATATTCATACTTGCAAATTTGAAAATACATAGTCTGATACATTTAAAGTGGCTGACTTCCTTTTTTATTATTTGGCCACTACAGTTTCTTTCCCTCTTTGAGGCACAAAACAAACCAAGATCCCCTGGCTCTAGCTCCTGGTTGAGTTCCTGTTTGCATTGTGGAGTGTGGAGGCTGGCTTTGTGGTGGCCACCAGCCTGCCTTAGATGATGAGAAGATTTAAAGGAAAGTATAGACAACTGCCTTACTCTTGGTTAGGCTTAGCTTGTTGAAATTAACCTACATCAGTCAGATGAGCAGAATAAAAGGAAGCAATTGGGCTTTTTCTTCATTAATGGATCTAAGCTGTGTTTTACTGTGCGCAAATGCTGTGCTTGCCTGGTATATACTGCTCTGTTTTGAGTATTTAAAACAAAGTTACTTTTTCTCCCATTAGGAAATAGTATTGAAATCTGATATTCTCACTCTTGGAGAAAGATTAGACTAGTGTGATAATGTTTTTCCAGATTATTTCCAAGTTCTCAGATCATTTCTAGAGGCATGCTGTCAAAAACAAGGAAAATTACCAAAAAATATTCTATAGAAAACATTGTTACTTTTGTTTTGATATTCTACATATCTAATTACAAACCAGAATTCTACATTATCCATTTATTTGCCTTGTTATATAGAAGTAATAAGATTTGTACACAAGGGATTTAATTACAAATAAGTTAAATTTATTGGATATTTAATATCAAATATAGCTATAGTTACTAGAGATAAAAAATTAATAAAACATAATCTATGTACTGAGGAAATTTACAATATATTGAAAAAGACAAGATATTTAAGCCATTTAATAATATACTATAGTGATGAATATTTTCTTACTGGTTGACATTATGTATTATATTAAAAAATAAAATCATGTTAAGCATAGCGTCAAATATGAAATATTTCCATTTTTATTTTTAGATTATTTTCTCTATATATTTAAATAGAAAAAATAAGGTGACAGATGTTACTTTTTGTCTAAAGGCAATGATTTTTAGAATTAAATGTTTTCTGTTGGGATTTGTCCATTAGCAGTGAAGTCTAAGGTCAAGTTTCCTTAATATTTTGTTATCAAGTGTAATTATAAGAAAAATTTAGTACAGTTATTAACTCATTTGATAATGATTTATAATTTCATAATTATTGATTTTTTCGATTTGAAAACTACTAGCCTGTCTACAAAATTTATAATATTAAATAAATGTAAGAGATACAAGGATTACTCATTTCACAATGTTGCCAGGCCTAAGACATGTTATTGAGTTATAACCATTATTGATTTACTTCTAAATAAGATGTAGTATTAAATATTTTAATATTCTATTGCTGTCTCTTTAACTCAAGACACTGGGATATTATATTAGTGAATAATTGGATACTGTCCCAGAATACTTCAGAAGTAACACGTAACTAAAAATATCACCATGGCAACTTTGATAATTAATGCTTAGAAACAAATTTCACAACAACTACCTGTTTTATATGCTTGTCATTTTCAAATACATATTTTTTTCTCAAATGGCACCATTTTTGTAATATTATGTGTCCTACCTTGCCTATTCTGCAAGATAAAAATGGTACATTTGTGAGATATATTCCCTGTAGTATATTGAAATTGCTGATTGATTGTTATGGTCACTGTATACAATTTTGGTCCGTTATTTCTAAAATATATGTCACTGCTCTTGTCCCAGGCTTCCTCGTCTTGGTAATTACTAATTAGAGACATGAATGTAATCACAATATATCAGCTACTGCTGATATATATATCTCCTGCAATATATAGCTTCTGCCTCCTTGCATGTTAATCTTTTTACAGGTTTGTTTGTTTTCTCTTTTGACAGAAAACTTCCCTTCATCCCCTTAAATATGAAACATTGTGTCAGTCTCTTGCCACTGGCACAGGTTAGGTGTAGAAAGACAAGCACATTCTGTGTCTCTCCATCTTCTCACTTCTTATCCACAGCCTATTGTAAGTGTTTTCCTCATTCAGAATTCTTAAATGATTCTTAAATGATTTTGTGCTCATCTATGAGAACAAAAGACCTGAAAGACGACTTGAAAGCCACATGTTCTCATATTCTAAATGTCTAAAACCAAGCAAAAATAAAACACTTTGAAAGCATTTATTTATTTATATTAGTCAATGCCAAATGTAAGTATACATTAATAGTTTAGGGTTAAAATCTTGAGTCCAACACTTGTGTAACTTTGCATGAGTTGTTTAACATTTCTGTGCCTCATTTTCTTATTTGAGAAACTTGGATGAATAAAAGTACCCATTTCCTTGAGTTTGTGTGAGGGCTAAATTGATCAATAAGTGAACACTTCTTAGAACAATGCCTGGTACAGAGAGGGGTATATACATTTACTATTATTACTATTATTTATGTACTAAGTATAACAAATCACAACTGCATAACCCCTTAGACCTGTGTACAAAATGAGGCTATATGGATGCATGATGTTTATCTTCAAGAATGAAAGAAAAAAATACTTTCTTTTGGTCTTTTGATACTTAACAAAGAATCCTTATGCCACCCCTCCCCCACTCCCACCCCCCCAGTTTGGGCTCAGTACCCTTTTTTCCCTTTGTTTTTTGTTTGTTTGTTTTTAAGATTATCCATTCTGGGTTCATCACTCATGACTGATGTTCTTGAGGTGCTACAAGTGCTACTGCTTCTGGTGGTAAATACAGAGATTTGTTGAACAGGAGACTCCCACAGAGCTTGTGGATGCTACAGCTATTTAGACAGGGACTTTATGATACATGGCCTCAGAGGAACACAGTGACTACTGAGATTTCTTCATGAATTCCAGGACTGGGGCACATCTCCTCTGGTTTCCCCAGGAAGTCAAGTTTGGCAAAATTAAATAAACATATCCTTCCTACTCTGTGATACATTCAGTGGAAGTGGCATTGGCCTCAAAGTGTTTCTTCTTTTTCAATTTTTCACCTAAATTACAACCACAGAGCTAGCGTGAACAGATTGTGATAAGTTTAGAAGATTATATTCATGTATGAGCCTTCATCTAGAGCTTCTCCTCACTACTTAGACTTTGGCACTAAATTCATACTCCAGATTCCTTGGTGGAAGATTTTCCTCCTCAGAGATCTGAAATCCTTTCCTCTATGGTGTGTTAGATATATGCTTATACCCTTGGAAAATCAATAGTGATTCCTGGGTCAGTTTTTTATTTCTTTGGGAACAATTAAGCCCAATTTCTAATTTTTTCATAATATTAAAGTGCACTATATCATTTTACTTTGAGACATTTGATGTTATTCCATATCTAAGCTTTATCTATATAGAATATTGTCAAAGAAAGAAATAAATGTTTTAATATCTTACAATAGGTATGACTAGAAAAACCTTCAGGTGTACATAAAATTCAGTATTATACAGTAGTAATTATAATGCAGCAAATTTACATGTATTAATGTGAAGATGTTATGATGTATCCAAAAAGCGTTTGGTACTAAAAAGTAGATACAAATAATTCCATTTATTATGACTTAATGATAGGCATAGAAATTTCTGGTAACAACAAAAACAAACAGCAATAATAAGCACCCATGTGCCAGACACTGCATGAAGCATTTTACATTGTTCATGTTAGTCAATCTTGATCCTAACTCTATAAAGTGTTAGGAGTAAAATAAATCCCAATATGAATCAGAAAGACTAAATAACAAGGACATCAAGCTATTAAGGTGGTAAAATCAGGACATAAAGAGGCACTCAGATATCAGGGCATGTGCTGTCATCAAGTGTAGACTAAAATATGCAGAGATTTTCATCGAAGGATGAGGTTATCTAAGAATTTACACTTATTTTTCTCTTCAAATATTCTTTTCTATTTTTCATGAACTTGTATCATAACATCACATGCCTTTTTCACGATTCTGAGTTCTAAGAATTACTGTTTTTTTTCCAGTGTTCACAAATAATTCAATTATTTATTTATTCTCGAACTTAAGCTAGGATCGAGATGAAGCTGTTCAAGATGCAATTTTACAGTATCTTGTTTTATTCCTCCTATCAACATTCCAAAGTACCTTCCATTCATGTATGTAAGCATACATTCTTTCATCAGAAAGTATTTATTATGCACCCAGTAATGTCAGATACTCTTCTAGGAAATGGACACAGCATAGTTTACAAAACAGAACAAGATCTCTTCTCATGAAACTTCTAATAGGAGAAAATAGTAAGCAATTATGCAAATTATATATATAGATATAGAAGTACCTATAGATTGGTTTATAGATGGATATAGATCTTTGGATATTGATCTACTCATAAATCATTACATTAAGAAAAATGAAACACAATGCTGTGATAGAGGTTGACTAGGGTGAGCTAATTGGGTGGTTGAGGAAGCCTTCTCCAAGGTGGTGATATTGAACAAAAAACTGTATATTTAGGAAGACCGGGCCACACAAGGGCCTGGTGAATGAATGAGCATTTTAGACAGAGGACTGAGCAAAATACAATTATCTCTTAGGTAGAAATGAACTTGGCAACATTGAGGAGCAGAACTAATCTCTAGCTTTCAGTTTTTCAATGCAGAAGCAGTGAGAGATATTAAATATTTAAATGGCCTCAGTCATGATCTAAAATGTCTATTTATTAAAAGTCTAGGGTTAAGACAAATATAGGGCTGTTAATTTTCTGCTTCTTAAAGAAATTAGTTCTTCCCACATTTAAAGGAGAAAGAAATCCAACATACGGAGCACTCCGCATTAATATAAAAAACAAAATTCTGGCAACGCATCAAGAATGATAAAAATTAAACAAAAGGAAAGCGTGTAAAAGCTGTCCTCATTATTGTTGTGCATTAATTATTTTCTTCAATTATATTGGCAAAAAAGGCTTTCAAAACCAAGCAGTTTAATGATTCTAAAAGTTTAATCTCCTTTATCTTCAAACTATAGCCTCATTCTGTGTTCTGCCTCCATCTGGTCTTAACTGCTTTTTATGTTATTATTTATCATTACGTAATGAGCATTTAGTTATTTCAGTAAGAAACAATTCTTTAGGAAACAATTTACGGTTGCCAGCACAGTAAAGGGAAAACATGCTCAGTTCAACTGAACCTTTGATGTTTGCTGTCCCTTTAAAGTATGGGTTTGCAAGTGTAATCTCACCTGCTTCTTGTAAGGCTCCATTTGATCCTCCTCTAATATGATCCTCTTTATCCTACAGGCAGTTTTCTGTTTTCTAACTTTTAACTTAAGGACTTCCACATTCACCAACCTTCATGCTAGTCAGCTCTGCCTATTTTTGATACAGAGTATTTGAATTTCTCCATGGTTATTTTAGTCTCAGGCATTAAATGTTGTTTTTCTTACTCTGTATAATATATGGCATTTATGGTTATTATTTTTAAAATTTACTGGGCTGTAATGAGCCCATCTTTTTGTGATAAGCTCAAAATCAGTAAGAAAGTCCAAAGAACTAGTAAAAGATATTGAATGACAAAAATGGAAATAGGCAAATTTAATTTACTGAAAGAGTCATACATTTCCATCATGAGTCTGTACTGACACTATTAACCTCTGCAGTCCCCTTTGCTAACTTATTAGGTTGGGAGTAATTACTTTTGCACCAACCTAATAATTTTACATAAGCGTTCCCGTATTTTTCATTTGTACAATGTCACTTCAGCTTGCAAAAAAATAAGGCCATATAGAACCGATCCAGTATATAGGTAGGCAAGGTTCTGCACAATTCCATTTTCATTGATGTTTAATAGATTAAATGTTCATTAATGAATGGTGGTACCTTGGTTATATTTTCATTGTTCTAATAGTTATACTTCCCGTTTCACTCAGTAGATATTTATTGAGAATCTACTATGTATCTTACAATGCGCAAACATTTAGGGATACAATGGTAACCAAGGTAAATTTCCTTTCTTCATGACCATCAGGCTTAAAGTGTGCATAGGCAAGTAAACAGGCCCTTAGAAAGTGAGATGATTTAAGGTAAAATTTGAGTAGGTACTTTGCACACAAAAGGGATATGTACTCTAGTTTTGGCACTAAGTATTATTTAAAATAAGCCTGAAGGAAAAAGTCATAGATAAAGAAGGAGCAGTTGTCAGACCTCACATTGTCATTTTGCATTGAGGCCCAAAAATTATATAGCTGGCTCTGTCTAGGACATATTACAAATGCAGAAACCAAGATCAGAATCTCTGTCTCCACAATTGAAGTCAGGGGACCTCACTGGATTAGCACAGAGTGGCCCAGAACAAAGTTTATAGAAAGGAAAGGTCCTCATGAACCCCAAAGGAGGACTCACAAAGCAGGAAGTAGAAGTTTAAGCTGAGGATTTAGACTCAAGAAAAGAGCCAGTAAGTTGGTTACCTTCTGGCTTAGAGTACAAATAAACCTGCCAGGGTTTCTGGACTTGGCTATGCTGTCACAGACCCTAGCTTAAAACTTAAAAACTGGCTGAATGTATGATATGAGTATGACCTTAATAAGTGGAGTGTCCCACAGTGCCTGTTTAAGGACATTTCTACAGCAATTGCTCATCAGCCTCTTTGAAATTGTTTTTTAAAGCTACAGCATGTGGCAGTGATGGCAACAAAGCGCTAATGAACAATATATTGAACATATTGCAAATCAACACATTGAAATTCACAGTTATCTCTTTCCCACATTAGGGTTTAGGGCTTTTGAAGTATAACTCCAAAAGTAACTGAAGCCTTCTGATGTTTTTATATCATTCTGTGAGCAGAAGTCTCAAAGTAGAGATACAGATCACCTGTAAACATTCTAGTTAAGGACAGAAGGAATTAATCTGAAGTTAATTATAAAAGAAAAAAACTACATTTATATGCCAAGCTTATGTTATGGGTTTCTCCAGATACATATTGACATGGTTAGGCTTTGTGTTCCCACCCAAATCTCATCTTGACTTGTAATTCCCATAATCCCAATAATCCCCATAGGTCAAGGGAGAGACCAGGTGGAGGTAATTGAATCACAGGCCGGGGAGAGACCAGGTGGAGGTAATTGAATCACAGGGCGGGGAGAGATCAGGTAGAGGTAATTGAATCAAGGGAGAGACCAGGCGGAGGTAATTGAATCACAGGGGCGGTTTCCCCCATGCTGTTCTCATAATAATGAGTGAGTTCTCATGTGATCTGATGGCTTTATAAGGGGCTCTTCCTCCCTTTGCTTGGCACTTCTCCTTACTGCTGGCTTGGGAAGGTGGCTTGTTTTGTCTTTGCCTTCCGCCATGGTTGTAAGTTTTCTGAGGCCTCCCCAGCCATGCTGAACTGTGAGTAAATTAAACCTCTTTCCTTTATAAATTACCCAGTCTTGGGCAGTTCTTTATAGCTGTATGAAAACAGACTAATACATGTATAACATATATATTACTTTTTATCTTTTCTATAAGTTTATTGCCATTAATAAATTTTCACTTTTTTATTTCATTTCTCTGTGTAGCAGAATTTTTTTGTTTTGTCTTCTAATTTGTGGATTGTTCTATGGCAGGATCCAATATGTTTAAACTTTCACACATTTAACAAAAATAAATTACGGTAATTTCCCTAAATAATGTTTCCATTCCATTGTCATGACCTTCCAGTTAAATTGCATAAATGATTAGCTTCTTAAATTTCTTTGAAAATAAAAAAGGGATTTTTTTAAAATGTTCACATTGTTTCTTGTTGCCAATACAAACAAGGAAACAATTTTGGTCCTCCAATTTATTTTACAAAATATTTTGAATTTTTTGTTTGCTCACCATTCTTAGGAAATTAAGTCTTTGTTTGTCTAGAATCATTACTTTATATGGGTTTTTAAAGATCATGGTGTCCCTACGTAAGTCTTTGAGATACAAACGAACGAAGAAAACTTAAGAGTAGTTTTACTTTGTTACGTCAGAATCCCAGGTGCCAATGAAAAGGAATAATGGGCTGAAGTATATAGACCAAGTATCTTTTCCTCTGCTATTGAGAGATTTTTCTCCTTGAAGAAGCTTAAATTAATTTCAGTGTCTACTTTCTAACTGGCTTACCTGCCTTCATTTAGAATTATCTTGCTACTGCCTTCATAAGATCTAGCCAACCATTGTGCATTGCCAAGGCCCTACAATCTTAGTCTGAGGTGTCTGAAACATCTCCTATAAGCATGAATGGGGTGGTAACTCCAAAATATCAGTCAACCTTAACCTGTTTTCTTCCTCCAGTCCCAAATTCTCTGAGTGGAGAACATTTCAGCGGGTTGTTTGTGTCTTCCACTTATTACAGAAAGGAAGTTTCTCTAAACATGAGGTAATTCACGTCCTCTTTAATGCACTTCAAGTATTCTCTTTCATTTGTACACTATCTTTTGACATTCCTTTAAGTATCTCACATGCAAACAACCTTTTTCCTTTCTGGCATTGATTTCTATTTTCTGTTATATTGGCAATTCTTTGGTTGTTTTCTCGAGAACCTGTAGGTTGGCCAGCATTATGTGCCAGACTGGAAACCAAAGGTTCTTACCTTTTAAAATTATCATTACTATACTTGTGAAACTTTGCAATAATACACTATTGTTACATTGAACTGATGTATCAATTTCATGGAAACCCTGCCTAAAAATGCTAACTTAATATTGAATATTACTTTGTAAATTCATAAGGATTTTCACAAATTCTTAAAGATATATAACCGACATAAATTTGACTTATAAGATGTGAATGACACCTCATACAAAGAATAAATATATTGTTTACATTAGAATGTATGTATTGCATTATTTTTATTTTGTTATAAGTGGGTCTAAATAAATGACACTAAGAAAGCAAATAATATTTGCAGTTATACGATGACACTTTCATAAAACTTTCCAGTAAAGGTAGCAATTACGTTACACAGTACTGAAGAAATGAGTCCCTAACTTATGTAATAAATTACATTTTTATTAAAGATTAATGAATGGGTAGAAAATTGATATTTATACAATTAACAAAGTCCCTCAGTGGTCTTAATTCAAAGCACATATAATTTTTTTTTTTTTTTTGTGAAACAAATGTTGAGTCTATTGCTTGAGCCCGAGAGGTCTAAGCTGAAGTAAGCTGTGGTGAGTGAGACCCTCTCTCATTAAAAAAAAAAAAAAAAAAAAAAAGTTGTCTTTAAATAATTTATCTTCTATTTCTTATTTGTAAAAAAAAAATATAAGTTTGGGGCATTATGTAGGGAATCAGGATCTTTTTGAAACTTCCTGAAATAAATTTTGTGACTTTGTTAGAAAACCTGATCAAATATTATGTTCAACTTGAAGTAAACTGACATATAAGTCATTAGGGAAATACAAATCAAAACCACAATGAGATATCACTTTGTACCCTCTGAAATTGTTATAATTTTCAAAAGGCAGACAATAAGAAGGCTTAGTAAAGATGTAGAAAAGTTGGAAACTTCATATATTGCTGGTGGAATTGTAAAATTGTACAGTCACTTTAGAAAGTAGGTTGGCATTTTCTCAAAAACATAGAGTTACCATATGATTCAGCAATTCCAAAGAAGGTAGATACAAAGACCACATATAATATAATTACATTTGAAATATACAGAATAGAAAAATCTGTAAACACAGAGAGTAGATTATTGGTTGTCAGAGGCTGGGAGGAATATGAAAAATGAGTGACTGCAAATGGGTCCAAGGTTTCTATTAGTGGTAATGAAATATTATGGAATTTCATACTGGTGAAACTTGCAGAATGTCGTGAGTATAGTAAAACAACTTATATACTTAATAAATGTTATGCTTTTGAAAAATATGTAATTGTTAGGTGACTATGGGACAATTGCAAACAGTATATAAGTACATAAAGTAATAAAAGAAACCCTCCTTCAGGAATTTAATGTATTCATTTCCCAAGAGATAATTGATGTTAACATTCTGTTATATAATTATATTTCCATAATTAAATACAGAGTAGGTGTGTGTAGCTACATATGTAAACACTCAAATCTGTTAGGTTGGCAAAAACCACAATCACTTTTGCACCAATATTATCCTTTGCACTTAATATTATCCTTTAAAAAATTAAATAAAAATAACTTGTTCTGTGACAGATTTTTCACATACTTCTTGGAGATTATGCTGTATCTTTCTGCATATGTATACATACATACATACATACAAATACTACATACATATACTGTCAGAGATATATTCTGATGTAGATATAGATAGATCTTCATTCTTTAAAACAGTAATTTAGCAATACCTCTTACAGGTATTCATAATTTTTATACCTACTTTTCTATGTATCCCCATTTACATTATTTTCAATTTTTAGTTTTATAATGCTTCAATATCCTTATATATATTTGATAGGTTTAGCTCTGTGTCACCACCCAAATCTCACCTTGAATTGTAATAATCCCCATATGTCAAGGGTGGTACCAGGTGAAGATAATTGAATCATGGGGGCAGTTCCCCCATGCTGTTCTCGTGATTGTTTCATGTGATCCAATAGTTTTAGAAATGTCTGGCATTTCCCCTTCTTGCATTCATTCTCTCTCCTGCCATCCTATGAAGAGGCACCTTCCACCATAATTGTAAGTTTCCTGATGCCTCCCCAGCCATGTGGAACTGTGAATCAATTAAACCTCTTTTCTTTATAAGTTACTCAGTCTCGGTTATTTCTTCATAGCAGCATGAGAACGGACTAATAAAATATTTTTGTTTAATTAGGAAAATATATTTAAATACTGATATAAGTATTTACTATCATTACCCTGAAAATAAATCTATTTGCATTGAGCCAGTTCATCCTGAAGTTATGCCAACTAACACAAATTTTGCTAATAGTAACAATGTCAAATATTATGAAGAGCTTATTCTCACGTCGCGTAAATGACTCCTTGTGTAAGTTTTCTATATCTTATTAATTAGCACTACAAATATGTTTCCCTTTTATTGATATATAATTATTTACAAATTTAAAGGGTAAATGTGAGTGCTTGTTATCTGCAAATAATGTATAATGATCAAGTCAGGGTAATTGGGATGTCCATCACTTTCAGGGCTTATTTTTGGCATCATTTCAAGTATTCTCTTCTAGTTATTTTGAAATATACATAATATTGTTGCTAAGTATAGTCACACTAGTATGCTATTAAAAATTAGAACTTTTTTCTTCTAACTCTCTCTCTGTACCCATAATCAACCTCTTTTCCTCTCCTTCTTTCCCCTACCTTCCAGTCTGTGGTATCTATCTTTCTGTTCTCTATGTCAATGAGATGAAGTTTTTTAGCTTCCACGTATGAGTGAGAACATGTGGTATTTGTCTTTCTGTGTCTGACTTATTTCACTTAATGACTTCCAGTTCCATCCAAGTTGCCAAAATGACATGATTTCATTTCCTATTTATGATCAAATAGTATTCTGTTGTGTATATATATCACCTGTTTAAACCATTTTTTCATTGTGGGCACTTAGGTTTATTCCATATTGTGGCTATTGTGAATAGTGCTGCGATAAACATGCCAGTGAAAGTATCCAATTGATATACTGATTTTTTTCCCTTTCAATAGACATTCCATAGTGGAGTTGCTGGGTTATACAGTCATTCCATTTTAAGATTTTTGAGAAATCTAAATAGTATTTTCCACGTGATTGTAATAATTTACATTCTCACCAACAGTGTATAAGAGTTCCTTTTTTTTCTGCATTTTCACCAGAATGAAATTTTTATCCTTTAATAATAGCCATTCTGTCTGGGATGACATAATATCTCATTGTGGTTTTGATTTGCATTTCCTTAATTATTAGTGATGTTGAATATTTTTTCATATACGTGTTGGCCATTTAGTCTTTTGAGAAACATCTATGTCCGTTGCCCATTTTTTAAAGGCAGTTTTTTTTTTTTTTAAAATGTTGAGTTGTTTGAGTTTCTTGTATATTCTGGATACTAGTCCTGGATGAGTAATTAGTCAGATGAGTAATTTGCAAATACTTTCTTCCATTTAAGAGGTTGTCTCTTTATTTATTGTTTCTTTTGCTGTTCAGAAGCTTTTTAGTTTAATACAATCTCATTTGTCTGTTTTTGTCACTTGTGCTTTTGAGGTTTTAGACATAAAACATTTTCCTAGACCAATGTTCTAAAGAGTTTTACCTATGTTTTCTTCTAGTAGTTTATAGTTTCATATATTACATTAAGTCTTTAATCCATCTGGAGTTGACTGTTGTATAAGGTGAGAGATAGAGGTTCATTTTAATATTCTGTATATAGTTACTTTGTGGCAACTGCACCACAGTGCCTCACAAAGAGTGAAAGGGAGTCCACCCTTTGTTCATGAGCTTTTGAACAGAGGCCATGCTGCCAATGGAGGCATAGTCACTACTCACAGTTCAGGTCAGAGAGCTGTCTGGCTCACCTAGCCCAGCTTCCGGTGGCAACAGTTGCTGTGCCTGCAGGTATGTGTATTAGGGGAGAATAGGTCTGGCTCTCTACGCATGTGCCAGAGCATAGAAGCCACTCTGCTGGTGGGAGGGGATCTCACTCTCCCCCTGTGGGGCTGAGCATAGAGTTGGTGCTGCTGCTGGGGACAGAGTCACTTCTCACAGCCCCAGGCAGGGAGCTATTGGCTTTTGGAAAGTACATGCTTTGGTTTTCTTTGTCCTACTAGCTGTTACTTTGTGTACTGCACAGTCCATTTTCCAGAGAATATTATTCCCTGTCACTAGAGTTCTGGGTACTCCACAGCCTCTTTGAGTCCAGCCAGCACCTTGCTGCTGCAGTCATCCAGGTGGACTCTGGGCACTCATGGGATATAGACATATGGGAACTATGGTTTCTAGGGCAGAAAGCAGTCCTGTGATGAGTGTGCTCCCCCAGGTGCCCAGCTTCAGCCACTTAGATATTGGAGGGCTGAGTAACCCAGTACAAGTTCCCTGTCCGGAGCAGTGAGCAGTGCCCTCACAGGGTCTACAGATCACCAGTAATGCTAGTGTCAGGGTTTCTGTGGCTAGAGGAACTCTCTGATGGTTTGGAATCCAGAAGTCCATGGTGGAAATGCAGACAACTTAAGTTCTCTTGTTTATTCTTTCCCTGCAAGACTGAGCCCTTCTAAGCTCCTGGCCAATCTTGGCCAAGCTATATACTCAGTTTCCTCTCCTGTGTTTGAAGTGCTTTAAAATTTGTGTATTTGTAATTTTGGTTCTTTTTTTTCTGGAGAGAGCAGGTGTTCAATGTCTCCTGTAAGCCATCTTGAACTGGAATCTTATTTAATAAAAAGAAAATAAAATCTCTTTTCCCTTGCATTCAGTCTGAAATGTGAACAGAATTCTCTCAAATCATGGTTCTGCAGGCTGTACAGGAAGGATGGCATTGTCATCTACTTGGCTTCTGGTGAGGGCTTTTGTGCCGCATCAAAACAAGGCGGAGAAGGCCAAAGAGGAAGTAGGTTCATGCAAAGAGGATTGATTAAAAAAATTGTCTGTGCAGATCAAACAGATATAATTTACTGACCTTTAAGCGCAACTCAACATGAAAGCAGATACCAAATTCACTAAGGTTTCTTTTTGTTTGTTTTTATTTTAGTTTGTTTTGCTTTGGTTTCAGTTTGAAGAAAAATGTTTTGATTCTTTGAACAAATGTTTTTTCCAAAACTATTTAATACAAAAAAATAGCAATAATCTTCAGTATAAAAAAGGGAAATTATCCCAAAACTATAAATAATCATTATTTAAATGCTCATATGTTTTTCCAGTACATTTACATGTACAGACCCATTCACAATTATACACGCAAATGTGTCTCATTTTTAAAAACAGGTTATGTTGCATTTTTGTTTAACACCATGTTTTTAAAACATGTTTCTAAATTATATTTTCAAAAAGAAAAAATGTACTCTTTGAAGAAATCATTGCATGTCAGGGTCAGAAAATGTACAGGAAGAAGCTGGCATATTTTGCCAAATTGGAAAGCAAGGAAGCAATAAAAGATTACTGGGTTAGTGCCAAAAGGAAACAAGAATCCATGTGGGGGGTCTGCCAGTGTCCATATTTAGAGAATATGAGCTTCCAAAAGATTAACGAGTGCAGTAGACTGAAAAACACTGAATTTATAAAAAAATCCATGAGATAATAGTGTTACTAGAAAACAGCTTTAATCTTTAGAAGAAGATAAGAAACCAACTCATTCCACAGAAATTTACCATGCATTTCTAAAATAATTTCTAAGTTTCTGCTGAAATTTGTAATGTTGTCTTTTACCTGCCAATATATTTTGGATTGGTACTTAAAATTCTGTATCAGATATTTCAATATCTTAATTCTTCTAGGTCTTTTTTTAACTGATTCTGATTAATGCTCTTTTTCTTCTGCTATTCCAGAAAATGTTTGATTGTAAGCTAATGTCACATTTAAATAATTATTTTTGGAAATATCATAAGACATAGGATTATATTATTTCTCTTGAGAGATGGTTCTTACTTTCTTCAATTCAGTTTTTTTTTTTTTTTTTTTAATACGTTGTCTCACTCTGTTGCCCGGGCTGGAGTCTCGGCACACTGCAACTTCTGCCTCCTAGGTTCAAGCGATTCTCCTGTCTTAGCTTACCGAGTAGCTGGGATTATAGGCGCCTGCCACTATGCCCAGCTAATTTCTTTTTCTTTTTTCTGTTTTTTTTTTTAAATTTTTAGTGAAGACGGGGTTTCACCATGTTGGCCAGGCTGGTCTCGAACTCCTGACCTCGTGATTTGCCCTTCTCAGCTTCCCAAAGTGCTGGGATTACAGGCATGAGCCACAGCGTCTGGCCTTCCATACGTTTTTCTATAGGTCCTACCATGAAATATTACCTTAATCTGATTTCTCTGGGACACTCAGATAACTCAGAGCTACTGTGAGTGCTACCACTAGTTTTTCTTCTTACTGTGCTAAGCTATATATTGTATAACTCCATCTATATAATGTTTTTTTAAAGGCAAATTTATAGTGATGAAGAACAGTGACAGTCAGGATTTAGGGGTGAAGGAAAGCATGTGACTATGTAAACATTGCAGTTATATAGGATGTAGGAATTAAAGTTATAGAACATTTCTTACCTGGATTGTGTTTATGGTTGCACAATTCTTTACATGTATTAAAATTCATAGAAACTTGTATATTTTCAAAAGGGGAGGGATTTTACTTTATGTAATTTAAAAAGTAAAATAAAACAATGAATTTTGACTTGCATTTATCATTTTTGTATTCCGTTTGCCTCATATTCTTTTAACTCTTTCTTGCCTTATTTTGGATTGTGTGTTTTTGTTTTTGTGTGTGTGTGTTTCAATTTTTCTTTTGCACTAGATAGCAGGAATAAGTTTGAGAGATCTATTTTCACAGCACAAAGACTATAGTTAATAGTTATATATTGTAAATTTCAAAATTGCTAAAAGAGTAGATTTTAAATGTTTTCATTTTAACCTCTATTGTTAATTAGCTAAACTTTTTGTTTATTTTTAGTAGTTGCAGTAGACTTTAAAGTATATGTTTTAATTTATCACCATTTAACATTAAATTCACATATAAAAGCCTTACGGCCAGGCGTGGGTCCCACACCTGTAATCCCAGGACTTTGAGAGGCCATGGCAGGTAGATCACCTGAGGTTAGGAGTTCAAGACCAGGCTGGCCAAAATGGCGAAACCCCGTCTCTACTAAAAATCCAAAAAAAAAAAAAAAAAAGAAAAGAAAATAGCTGGGCATGGTGGCACATGCCTGTAATCCCAGCTACTCAGGAGGCTGAGGAAGGAGAATTGCTTGAACCTGGGAGGCAGAGATTACATTGAGCCGATATCACCCCACTGCACTCCAGCCTGGGTAACAAGAGCAAAATTTCGTCTGGGGGAGGAAAAAAAAAAGAATCTTAAAATGATACATTTCTTGCTTCCTGGCCTTTGTGCTGTTACCATATATTTTATTTCTACATATAAGTCTCACAATACATTGGTATTAGTGTTTCCATAGCAGTCAATTAACTTCTAAGGAGATTTAAAACATTATTTTTTAATTTACTTGTGTATTTACCATTTCTGGTACATTCATTCATTTGCATAGATCCTTATTTTGTTCTGCCATCATTTGGCTTCTGCCCACTTCTTTGAACATTCCTTGTAATTTAGGTGCTGACGGTGAATCATCTTTACCTATATTGTTCTAAAGATGTTTATTTTGTCTGCATTTTAAAAGATATTTTCACTAAGTTTGTAGTTCTTGGTTAACAGTTTTTCCTTTGCTTCTTTAAAGCAGTTATTTCATAACCTGTATAGTTTCTGATAAGAAGTCTGTTTTAATCCTCTGCATAATCTTTTGTTCTCATGCTTCTTTTCAAGTTTTTTTTTCCTTCCTGTAGGTTTTCAGGCATTTGATTAAAATGTGCCTGGTTGTGGTTTTATTTACATTTATTTCCTTTAGATTCATTGAGCTTCTTTAACCTGTGGATTTTTATCAAACTAAACAATATTTAAGCCATTTTCTTGAATAATTTTTTTCTGTCCCCCTCTCTTTACTCTGTCCTTTTGGGACACATATTACATATATTTTAGACCTCTTGATTTAGTTTCTCAACTCACTTGGGCGCTGTTCTCGCTTTTTAATTAATACTCTTTTCTTTTTGTGATTCATTTTTTATGGTTTCTATTAGTATGACATTAAGTTCTCCAGTATTTTTTTTTTATACTTTAAGTTTTAGGGTACATGTGCACAACGTGCAGGTTAGTTACATATGTATACATGTGCCATGTTGCTGTGCTGCACCCATTAACTCATCATTTAAGTATATCTCCTAATGCTATCCCTTCCCCCTCCCCCCACCTCACAACATGCCCTAGTGTGTGATGTTCCCCTTCCTGTGTCCATGTGTTCTCAATGTTCAATTCCTACCTATGAGTGAGAACATGCGGTGTTTGGTTTTTTTGTCCTTGCAATAGTTTGCTGAGAATGATGGTTTCCACCTTCATCCATGTCCCTACAAAGGATACGAACTCATCCTTTTTTATGGCTGCATAGTATTCCATGGTGTATATGTGCCACATTTTCTTAATCCAGTCTATCCTTGTTGGACATTTAGGTTGGTTCCAAGTCTTTGCTATTGTGAATAGTGCTGCAATAAAGTCACCTGTGCATGTGTCTTTATAGCAGCATGATTTATAATCCTTTGGGTATATACCCTGTAATGGGATGGCTGGGTCAAATGGTATTTCTAGTTCTAGAGCCCAGAGCAGTCGTCACACTGACTTCCACAATGGTTGAACTAGTTTACAGTCCCACCAACAGTGTAAAAGTGTTCCTATTTCTCCACATCCTCTCCAGCACCTGTTGTTTCCTGACTTTTTAATGATTGCCATTCTAACTGGTGTGAGATGGTACCTCATTGTGGTTTTGATTTGCATTTCTCTGATGGCCAGTGATGATGAGCATTTTTTCATGTGTCTTTTGGCTGCATAAATGTCTTCTTTTGAGAAGTGTCTGTTCATATCCTTCACCCACTTTTAAGTTCTCCAGTATTTTCTCCTTTATTCTAATATGCTTTTAATCCTATCCAGTACATTATTTTATTTCAGAGATCAGGTTTTTTTCTTTTCTGGAAGTTCAATTTGGATCTTTTAAAATAAATTTCATTTATCTCCTAATCATCTTTGTATATTTAAATTCTTAAACGTATTTGTAAGATTTATAATAGTGTTTAAAGATTCTTGTCTAACTAATTCAATCATCTGTATTTCTGACTGATTCTATGATTGATTTTTCTCCTGCTTAAGGATCATGTTTTCCTGGCATATTTCATGCCTAGTAAGTTTTTATTGTTGAATTTTGTTTTTTTAGGTGATAGATTATATTCTTATAAAGAAAACTAAATATTGTTCTAATGTGTAGTCAAGTAAATTGTGAATCAGTTTGGCCCTTTTAAAGGCTTGCTCTTAAGCTTTGCCATGGTGTGTCTACAGTCTTTATGTTGTAGCTAAGTTAGCACAGCTACTAAGATTAGATCCTTCTGAGGAATCTATCCAATACCTCAGGAGGGGTGGGCCTCTTCTCCACAGCTGCTGACAGCAAACTGTTCCTAACCCTTTGTGAGCCATGCGAATTTTTTGGTCTACTGATGACTGGTAGTTCTCCCATCCACGCCCAATTCAGTAAGACTTTACAGTTTGATTTTTTTGGGATATGACATAGAAACTGCTTCCTGCCAGTAAGCGACTGCAATTCTTTTTTGAGGGATCTGAGTCTTATGAGGCCAGTTACCCCATGCCTGAAACATTGCTAACATTGCTTTATATTTTTTTCCTGCTTTTGGTTGTTTAATGAGGAGAGGGACATTCCTATAGTAGTCAATCTTTCATGAGTGGAGCTTTGTTTATTTTAAACTGTAAAAAAGTGTACTGTGAGCTCTTGCAGGAAAGGACAATAAGGTCTTTGGAAATCTGGTGTTTCAAAATCGATTACGGTTAGAATATGAATGGTGGTAATTCAATTATGTTACAAATATGTGCATTTATGGGATTATACACAACATATATAAATGAGGACAAGATTTATTAATAAGCCTAGATAAATGTTTTTGACTGTTTTTGCGTCATCATTACCACACTAGTGAAGTATCTGCACCGATTGAAATCTCAGGGTGATTATGTTTTGCTCCAACAGAGAACATTTAAGCTTGATACGCATCTTTTAGTACTGTCATGGCAATATTCAGTTAATTTTTAAACATGCACTTTTGCATCTACTGTGTGGAAATTCCATTTATATGAAAAACTGAAGATTCAACCCATGTGAACACAAAACCATGTTTATAATACATATTCCTTGTTTGTATCCTGTAGAATATTCTTTCCTTATAGTATTGATAGATACTTGGTAGCAAAATTCGTGAAGTATGTGGTGAACAAATGTGAAACATCAAAAACATCAAAACAGTGTTCTGAACAAGAACTTTTATTTATCGATCTTTAGAGATGATAGACGAAGATATATGTGGGAGAAGGCAGAAAAGGTCTAGAATGTTCTAAATAATAAAGTAATTGTACCATCATAAATCTGAATAAGGAAGAAGAGAGGAGAATCAAAACAAGTTTGGAGATATGACTTTTCAAGGAATTTTAGAGAGGAACAGGGGAGAAAACTGGTGCCTCCATGTGGAGTAGGATTCAGAGATTTATATAAGTAAAGTTATGTTATTTTGTATCCCCATTATCTATGTCTGCAATAAATTTTTACTAAAGGACTACTACTTTCTAATGTTTTGAGTGAGATTTTCTTTGTTCTGTCTTCATGCTGAGATAAAATTTAAATTAAAATTTAATCTCAAGAAAGCCTAGCTTTATTTGGGTTATACAACATTAAACAGTAGGATTCTAGAAGCCTGTAATAAATGAATGTATACTTTGAGTTTCCAAGAGGAAATAAATGGGGATATCCAGCCTATCCCCATTTACTTAACTATAGAACCCTTTCCCCAGGAGAATTTTATGAAATTATTTTCTGAAGAATCATATTGAAGAAGAATGGCTTTAAAACTTGAACTCATTTAATTTCAATCCAAATGAAACAAAACTTTAAAGTCCTATATTAGTCAGCTCATGCTGACATAACAAAATACCATAAACTTCATGGGTAAAACAACATAAATTTATTTTCTTATAGTATTCAGGATGGAAATGCTAGGTCAGGGCACCAGCATCGTCTGGTTTTGGTGAGAGCTTTCTTCCTGGCTTGTAGAAGGCTACCTTGTCTCTGTGCGATCAAATGGCCTTTCCTGAGTATGCACATGGGGGCAGAGACAGAGTGGAGATATCTTCCTCTTCTGATATGGCCAACAATCCTATTGAACTAAGATCTCACATTTATGAACTCATTTTACATAGTTACCTTGTAAAAGCCCCGTCTCCATATACAGTTACACTGGTGGTTAGGGCTTCAGCGTATACATTTTGGGAGAACAAAATGCAGTCCATAGCAAGCATCATGGGCAGTACTGTTTATAAAAATATAATCATTATTTATGGCTTTCATTTTTACCTAAAATTAGTTCATGTGTGTGCTACTACAGAGATTTTAGTTATTAGTTTTAATTCTACATAATATTAGTATTTTTTTCTGAAGATTTTCAAATAAACTCGCACAATTGATATTTTTAGCAGGCACAATGAAGTCATAAGTAAGAATAAATAGAGAAAAGTTAGAAGGCAAGCTAGAAGAGGAAGAGTCATATTAATATTTTGTAGCCTACTAGGGTATAGATAATGACACCTCGTTAAAATAATAAAAATATTAAATTTGTAGACTAGTTTTTTACAAATGTTCATAAAAGTGAAAGGAAACCTAGCAAAATAGCAAATAATTTTATAATTTGTAAATGATAAGATGTTTTAAGATGTGGATTCATATACATAATAATATACACTATATTTGGATCAGGAAAAATGTAAAATAGGTAATAACAGAGATAGTATCTCATAGTTTTCAATGGTAACTATAAGAAATTTCAATAGTTTTAACATAATTTTAATGTTACAGGAATTGTCTCAACCAATTTAGACTTTTACACAGTAAAAAAAGGAAAAGTCAGTATTATTGAAGTAATTTGGTTAAAATAACCATATAAGCTTAGAATTCACCTCTAGAAACATTCACACTGTGAACTATGAATATTAATCTGCCTACATTTTTATCATGCTATTAAGCTATTTTAATGGATTTAATTATATGTAGGCAAAATAATTTTCAGAGACTATTTCAACCAACTAAGTAATGAACCCTCAAAATGTTACAAATAAATAACTTTATTTTTATTATTGTTAAAGGTAACACATATAGTTAAAAATAAAATAGGATACCTAAAGATGTGCAAATGCAAAAAAAAGTTAGAGGTTTCTAAAACAAGACGCAGACAAGTTGGTAAAAAAAAAAAAATTTCCTAAGCCTGAGGAAAAAGAATTACAATGAATACAAACAAATATGAATATTTATAAAATGAATTGTCTTTTTGGTATTTAGTTACACGTTATTTACTATTCTCCAACAATTTTGTAACAAAACATGCTATTTTATTGGAGTTTTGTTCACTATATCTGATGAGTTGCTTGAAATCTCTGTAAATTAATAAGTTCTAGTATTACAAAGAAACCATTTTAGGTTATTAAAAATCAAAGATTAAATTATATAGCTTAATTCATTAAGTAAATTCCTTAACCATGGTTAAAGAATTGGAATTTGTAAGGAAGGCCACAATAATCAGTTATTCCTTTATCATGCTCCTTTTTTTTTTTTTTTTTTTTGCAACTTTTCTGATTATCTGATCAAGTGTAGAGTCTATTTTTACACCCTTAAAACTAGGCTGACCCTACAACACATAAAGAAGGATTGAATAGAGCAAATATGAAGTTTTGTGACTTTTGAGTCTAGCTATTAACAGGCCTCTCACCCTCTTGGGATGTGGCACTTCTGGGTGGGAAAACTCAGATTCCTTTATGATGAAAGACCACATGCAGGCCAGACATGGTGGCTCATGCATGTAATGCCAGCACTTTGGGAGGCAGAGGTGGGTAGATCACCTGAGGTACGCAATTTGAGACCAGCCTGGCCTGTTGGCGTTCAATCAGGCTGGTGGGAAAAATATTAGAGCTAGCTATAGAGGTAGACATAAATCTTCTTAGAAGGCCAAGAAGTTTGCATAACTTCGGTAATAGATCTGGCTGAAGGCAGCCTGGTCCCTTTACCTTTAGTTAAACAAAGTAGTAACAAAGAAAGGCAGAATAGTTTACCTAGATAGCTTGTTTATTAATGTGGTCTTATGACTAACCTTTGATGCACCTTTGGTGCTTAAGTGCTTTTTACTTGGGAAGTCCACAATGTCAATTAACCTCTAATGGTGTTGACTCAAGCCTTTCTTAATTAATCTAACCGAATAAATGTGAGTCTCGCTGATGGAGGCCTTGGTTGCAACTGTTTACAATACTCAACAAGGAGTCTGTAAGAGGCTCGGACACCCTCAGCTGGACTGGCAAAGCAGAATATCTGTATATCACTGTACGTTATTCATCCCTCGCTGGGTCAGGGATCTGCAAGGGACAGACCCCCCACAACTGGTGCTGCTGCACTGGCCAACATGTTGAAACCCTGTCTCTATTAAAAATACAAACAATTAGCCGGGTGTTGTGGTGGGTGCCTGTAATCCCAGCTTCTCCTGAGGCTGAGGCAGGAGAATCGCTTGAACCTGGGAGGTGGAGTTTGCAGTGAGCCGAGATGTGGCATTGCACTCCAGCCTCGGTGACAGAGCAAGACTCTGTCTCAAAAAAAAAAAAAAAAAAAGACCACATGCAAAGAAAATCCAGCCTTACTAGAAGAAACTGGCACTGGATATGAGGTAGTGCCACTTTTATAAACAAATTTGTGGGGAAGATGACTGTATCTTCAAGAGTAAATTAGTAAATTCAGCCCAAATTGCCAACTCATTAGGTCAAGAGGAAATAAAATAATATTTTTTAAGACACTACTATTTGGGAGGACAGTCTGTTATGCAGCAATAAATAAATGGCACAGAAATTGGAATCTAATGCTGTAAAAAAACACTAAAATACGTAGCATTGGAATGGGGTTCAGCAACAGGAAAGGCTAGAAAAGTGGTGAGGAGGCTGGGAACAGATTGAATAGCAAGTAAACTGTTACTGAGACAGAAAAGACAGAGAAAATTATTTGAGTCTTCAAAAAGAGCAAACTGAACTATATAGTGGCAGAAAAACAAAGGCAAACATATGACCTGAGGAATGTTGGAAGTTTAAAAAGTTCATTGGAAAATTTTTTTTATGTTAATGAAGATATATCTAGAATGTTGAAATGCCAGTGGGTTATTCTAGCTGAATATGCTAAAATAATTCAAGCAAGAGCTAAGAAGATACTTGGAGTACAAGCAAAATTTCCAGGAAATACAGAATAATATAGATTGTTCAAAATATATAAATATAATCTAAATAATATAGATTATTCTATACAGTAATATAGAGTATCCAAAACTTCAAAAATTTCTCAAAGAAATACACTAAGGTAAAAAATCAAAGCTTTGGTTGTAACAAAAATTTGTTCAGAAATAAGAATGGCTGGATGCATTGCTTATGCACTCTTACTTGGACAAAAGGGGTCAGGAGAATCTTAAAACATTGTCCTACACAGCAGGCCACCACACCCAATGTAGAGAGAGATAAATCTCAGTAAGGATTGCAGATGTTAATTTTGGGACATAGAGATTTATTTCCAAAAATAACATTTTTAAGAGGCTTGTCCTGGCCAAAGCACTACCAACTTGGCCTCTTCAGGGCCCAAGACAGTTCAAAATGAAAAATAGGCCTGAAATGCCAACTTCCTACAGCCAGAAAGCAGGCTGAGAAGACTGCCCAGTCCAAACATGGGCTATTTCTCATTGAAAAGGAAGATATTCTCAGATGGCTTGCCAAGAGATGTGGAGAACAGTGCATTAAGGGAACAACTTCCAGGTAGCAGAACTGGGCCATAGTCAAAGAACATTCCTTGTGTTTGAAGGAGAGAGAGCTGGACACATGTGCCCAGATGGATTTCAGTACTACAGTGAGCCAAGGACTCTTAGGTCTTTCCTATTTCTTTCTTCTTTGAATGCAGTTATCCTGTCAGTTTCACCAGCATAGGTGGGTGAGAGGTATAAGGAGAGGAGAATGGGGTTAGATAACTTTGGGTTTTGGTGTGAGTCTGGAATGCAGATGAACCCCTTGGGGGAAACTGTAGTCTAGTGGATTTTTTCACATCTGTACTAGGTAAAGATCATGAAATCATGCACTTTAATGCAGGAGCACATGGCTTATTGAGGGTGTACTCAACAGAATTAAACCTATAAGATAGTGATAGAAGGATAGGGAAGGAGGAGGACCCAAGCACAAATGTCATCTTAGGTATCCTTATCCACCATCAGTCTCTGAAGTGTAAATCACATCACAGAACTTTTACATCTTAAAGGATTATCTGCAAAAAGTCTGCCAATAGCATCTAACCTACAAGCAGCTGGGAAATGGTTTACTTTCCAGGAAAACAGGTCCTGAGAGAGGCAAAGATCTTGTACTCCAGGTTTATAATTTGCATTGCAACGTTGTTTGTGTATCTAATACCTATCAGAAACTGCTTCTATGCCTTGAGAATACAAAGCTGGATTAGATACAGTCCCTGCCTTAATAATAATAATAATAATAATAAAAAGCTCAGAGCTTAACACCAAAGACTGACTTGGAAGCACATCATTGTAAAAGTATTTTAAATTGTAAAGAACTGTTCAAGCTTATAGAAAATTGAGTGAGAAAAAATGTTATTAACCATAATATCAATATATCCAATCAAAACCATTAGGTTTTTAAAAACTATTTCACCAAATGCATGTCAATATGGAAGTAGAAAAATCTTTTTGAATAAGATTGTGTTTGCATGATATGCCACAAAATCACTTTTCTACTAGTAATCAGTTAAGCTTAAAGTTAAATTAATGTTGGCTGCATAAATGGTCAATCAACAATTAGAGCAAATGCTAGAATCCAGGATTCAATGAAGATTTTTGAATAAAATGTTAAATATTATTAGGTGTTGGCACTGACTTAGCCATCCGATTGAAAAAAAAAAGATTGGAATGCAATATAGCAGAAAATGATGTTTGTGTCAGATGACTACAACTACTACTGGTTTATATATTTCTACAAAACAAAGAATACGTATGTCTGGGGTCCTCAGTGAAGCTGACTTCTCATTTTTGATGCTATACTGTAAGAAAAAAAGGCACAAAATCATGGGGGATTGTAGTCACACAGGCTTGAATGTAGGGCATTCAAGATTTCTAGAGTACTATGATTGTATGAGTCATATGTGACTATGCAGTAGCAACATAATCTTAGTAGGACATGCCCTGCTTATTGACAATGATTTACATTCTTTCATAGTGATGCCCAGTTCTGAGTATATATTAACATTTCTTGTGAAATTTGAAGGACTTCATGCTTCGCCTGGAAATTATTTGCCACAGCTCGTAAAAATGGAAATGTCTTAAAGGGAATGATCTGTATTTTTCTCTCTTCCACTGACTTATTTTATGCTGTAGTCTAAAATGTCATCTGTATGTAAATTTTAACTCCTTTATTCATTTATTAACCACCATCCATACCGTATCTTAGGAACATATCTGAAGTGATTTTAAAATAAAGTCTTGGTAATTTTAATTGATCACTTTGACGGCATTCCCACCCACCTACTTGATGTCTTATTGAAGTCATTGATGATAATCAAAGTGTAATTATCAAAAGCACCAAGAGGAGTCTACAGTGCTTGATGATGTAGTCAGACAAAACTGGTAACAATTTCACAGAGACAATC
The DNA here is from genome assembly GCF_000001405.40 of Homo sapiens. Lineage (NCBI taxonomy): Eukaryota > Metazoa > Chordata > Mammalia > Primates > Hominidae > Homo > Homo sapiens. The sequence continues at coordinate 121,366,249 of NC_000005.10, read as the reverse complement.
ATCTTGGCTTCACAGTTGTGAGAGCTGAAGCAGGACATCTTGTTCTTGCAAACATCATGGACAAATGTTTTGTAACTATGTCAAGCTCATAGCTAACAAATTGCTTGTAGAATCAAACAGCAAGTTTCAAAATTTACAGTCATTTCAAACATAAAGTGTTCCCATGCTTATATAGATTTTCTTTCATTACTGAATGACATGAACTGTTTTGTCATGTCTAGGCTAACATTTCTGTTGATTTTATCAAAGTGCCTAGAAATTAATATAATGTCTGCCAATCTTAAAATACTTTAGGGCTTCCAGAAAGAAAAACCAAAAGGAAAAAAAAAAAAAAACATGGGATGAGATAGCCAGGAAGTTGCAATATTAATGGGTACAATCTTATTTTTGTAAGAGGGCATGTAAATTCAATAAGTGCATAATAGACTTCACTCTATTCTTTATAGATCTTTCATTCACTATCCAGGAGAAATAATCTATGAGTATTCACGTAAAACTAGATGAAAGTGTGGAGGAATTGGAACCATCAATTTTTATTGAACCCTAAAATAGTACTGGAATACTAAGCAATTGCAGAAAATAAGATGAAGGAAACTATATTTATGAATATTCTCAGAGGGTGAGTATGGTTGCAGAAAACCCTCTGATGAACCTATTGGTATAGTATTCACAAATTTGGTTCACACAATAGAGCAAGTATATCTCTCTTCATCATTCTCACATGAAGTTCAATTTATGTAATAAAATATTTAGAACACATTTTGCAAAGCATAAATTTGAATGCATGCAAAAATATTTGCCTTTAGAGAACTCAATCCAGTTTGGTTTCCACAATAAGTAGTCAAATGATGATCTTTCTCTAGACTATATTATACATTTATTTTTAAAAGAAAACATTTTGTGAAAATATAAACACGTTTTAAAATATTGTTCTAGCTATAGTTATAAGTCTCATAACTATTAAATATTAGAGTAGTTTTATAAATCTATACTGTGATAATTAAAATAGATAACAAAATACCCATTTCCAATAAATGTATTTTAATAGATAACAAGTATTATGTGTTACATATAGATATATAAGAAGAATACATTTCCAATAGATTACAAATGATTTATTACCAATCTAAATCTCATTATTTTTAATAATCTGTATAATGAATATGTAAACAAGTCATAAAATATATGTAACATCAGAATTGAAGGGTTTCTAGTCCTCTATTTCTGGGAGAAATGTGAACAACAAGTCTGACAACCTACTACTAGGAGCTAACATCTAAAAAGGCATTTCGCATCCTACAGTTGGCAATGCATGAGAATTCCACTTGTTCTCTGCCTTGTCCCACACTTATTAAGGACGTCTTCCCCCTCCCATTCTAGTAGATGTGTAGTAGTGGTATTTACTTCAGGTTTAATTTGCATTTACATATTGACTAACGACATTGGGCATCTTTTTGAGTGCATGTTTGCCATTAAAATGTCTTCTTTGGTTAAGTGTTCAAGTTTTTGCTCATTATTTATTAGGCTGTTTTTATTACTGAGTGTAAGAGTTTGGCATACAGTTTGGATAGTCTGTCCTTTATCAGATGTACTCCATATATTTTCTCCAAGTATTGGATTAACTTTTCATTTTGGTAAAAATGTTATTAATTAAAAAAACATTTTTCATTTTAATGAAGTCTAATTCATACTTTAAAAATTCATTTGTGATCTTGATTTCCAACCTAAGATATTTTTGTCTAACCCCAAAAAAGCTACAAAAATTTTCTAATATAATTTTTCCTAGGAGTTTTATAGTTTTTATTTACATTTAGGCCTTCGAGCTAATTTGATTGGATTTTTGCATACATATATATATATATATATATATATATATACACACACAGTATGGGAATGGCTGAGGTTTGTTTGCTTGCGCTGAATTTTGAAGTGTTCCAGAATCATTTTTTGTAATTACTATGTTTCTTCATCCTATTATCTTGACATCATGTATATGAGAGTCCACCTCTGGATGCTACATTTTGTTCCATTGATTATATATCTATGTTTATTTCAATACTACATTGTCATGATTATCCTGGTTTTAGAATAAATCTTGGAACCAGGTAGTGCAATGTTCCTCAAATTTGATTTTATTTATTTTTCAGGTTTGCCTGTATTTGCTTTTCCTTACACATTTTTGAGTCAATTTATTTTTGTATTTTGCTCTTGTATCCTGTGATACTAGTAAAATCACCTATTTTTTCTAATTTCTACATTGTAGGTTCTTCGGAATCTCAACATTTCATCTATGAATAAAGACGGTTTTGTTTCTTTCATTTCAATCTTTTTTTAATTTATCTTTTCTTGCCTTATAAATATAAATTTAAAATTTATGTTATAAATATAAAAATATATAAATTGGTTAAGTTCTCCAATTTAAATACTGGATAAATATCACTGGAGAGGATATCTTTGTTTCGTGATTTGTTTTGTTGGAGTTGGGGCCTGGAGAATCATTTGACATTTTTGCTTTAGTTATTTATTTTTTTTCTAAGTAGATGTCCTATATTAGATTGAAGAAGATAGAATCCTCCTATTACACTTAGTTGAGATGTTTTTAGCTTGAGATAGTGTTATATGTTGACAAATGTTCTTTCTCTATATATCAGTATAATCATGAATCTTCTCTATTACAGTGTTCTCAGTTATCGTCAAGCCACAATCTTAGGAAGGTTTTATGCACTTGGGGATTGTGAAGGCTCTTTTGTCATTCCTGACACTTGGCACTGCATGGCAGCTATTTTCTGCTTTCAATCTGTGACAGGCTTGGCAAGAGTAAGTTACCTTCCTCTCTCCACACCTCTAGCAAACTTGTTTATACTGGTACAAGATCCTAGAAGAAGAGATATTTCAGTCCCACTCGCAAAGGACAGAAGACTTCTATGTCTACCATTCCACGGTAGCATTGGATCTTTGCCTGGATCTGGTGACTGGTAATATAATTTCCTACCTCTTACCTGGGTGAAGTAGCCCAGGAGCTGGAAGGTTTGCCTTTCTTTTCCAGTGGGTTAAGGCTTTTGCTTCATATAGTCAAAGAGCTCAGAGAAGTGTGCTGTGTTTTGTGTGTTTCCAGTCAATAGAAAATTATTTCCGTGGCTTTCCTCTGCTACAGAGGTGAGCTCTCTGGTCTTTTCCCCTGAGCCGATCTTTCTTGTAAATAATCAGTGGAGGTCTTTGGAGAAAAGTGTATGTGTCCACAGATCGTCTTTGTATCTTGAAATCCCAGGTAATCTAAACTGATGCTGTGTCCAAATGCAGCTTTAAAAAATTATTAAAATTAGAGTTAATTTTTTCTTATCTGCTTCTACAACAGCTACCTCTTCCTTCTGTGATCTGCCAATGGTAAAATGGCTCACGTGCCTTACATCTCAGAAGATTATGCCATTAGTTGGAATTCAGTTCTCTTCACTGCCTTTTGTCTTTAGCTCTTTGATGGATTCAATAAAAACTGTGGCTTTTTAGATTATCCAAATTTTACTCATTTGTTAAAATGGGTGTAAGATTCCTTTCCCACTTTCTACGTTTCAAGCAGAAGAGAAACTCTGCCAAGGCAATCTTAAAGAAAAAGAACACAATTAAAGGACATGAAACTGATAAATATGAAGACTTATTGTAAAACCACAATAAATAGAAGAGTGTGGCTTTTGCACAAAGATGAATAAAACAACAGTATAGATTGAACTGTTAGAAAATAAATGCACACATTATTGTCACTGATTCATGAGAAATAGATCTAATCTAAAACAAAGATATAGGAATGAAAAAGAAGAGGTACAATATGCAAACTAGACAAAAAGAGCTGATGTAGCTATGTCACTACAGATATAATTTTTACATAAAGGCTTTTTAGAGATATAGATGAATATCATATAAGAGTTTCAGTTCATCAGAAATCAATTTCTAAATTATAAAAAAAAGAAAAAATCATATAAATACACAAAGAATACATCAGTCAACAATCATAGTAGAAGATGTTGAACATATCATAGGAGCTTATGAAAAAGAAGGCAAATGCTTTGAGGAGATAGAAGTATTGAAGAATATAATTAAGAAACCACCTAATACATACATATAGAATGCTGTACCCTTGGTATTGGTATTGTACATACCAATTTTGTACATACCAATTGGTATTGTACATATCAATTTTGGTATGTACATTTTTTTAAGCCAACATAGAGTGTTTATGAAGATTGATTATATATTGACCCATAGAGCAAGTCTTAACAAATTTCAAACACTGATGTCATATGGAAATTTTTCTCCACCCACAGTGAAATTCAGCAAAAATAATAATAACTATAAGATAAGTAAAATTTTCTTCTGTCTTTGGAAATGAAGAAGCACATTTCTACATAACCCTTAGGTCAAAGAAAAAAATCACATGCTAAAGAAAATATTTGGAACTTAATTATTACAATATAATATAAACGTTATGGAATGCATTTAAAACAGTATCTTGAAGGCGAAATCAGAGCTCTAAATGTAGCTGTTGGGATGGCAAAAGATAGAAAATTAATGAGCTAGCCACCCATTTTTAAAACACAGAAAAATGACGTAAAATAAACACATAGTAGTAAGAAGGAACTAATAAGATAGAAATTTGTTCATCATTTGTTATAGAGAGAAAGCAGAAAGTAATATCTGATGAAACTGATCATAGAAAAAAGATGGAAATATGAATTTTATAAATATTGTAGACAATAAAATTATGGAAATTTTCATGCCAATAATTTGCAATCTAAATGAAATAGACAAATGTCTTAAAAATCCAAACTGGCTCATGAAGACATTGTTAAATGAATGTATCCATCACAGTTTAAAGAATTAAATCTGTAGTCAAAATGCTTTAACCGTGAATTATGAGACCCAATTTTTAAAATGAATGCTTTATTCATTTTATAAATATTTATAGAAGGGTTATCATATCTGAGGCAATGTTGTAGGTTCTTATACCAGTGAAAAAACAATACTTTTCTTGCCCCAGTGAAATAGAATATGCAGATATTAAATACTAAACAGGTGAATACATATTTGTAGGTCACTTTGCTACAAATGATGAATGTTATGAAAAAATGTAGAACTAGAGTAAGCAAGACTTAAAGTAGTGGATACATGGGGCAAGGGCGGTAGTTAGAGTGGGCTTCATTGAAAACATGTAATTTGAGCAACAACAAGAAGTTGAGGGACTTTTTGGAGAGAACATTCAGGTAAAGGAAGGGCTAAGTGAAGCCACTACAAGTTTTATAGTAAAATAGTGACATCAGAACTACATTTTAAATTGTCTCCCAGGCTATTATGTAGAAAATACACTAAAGCAGGTTGGGCAAAAATTAAAGCAATGAAAACGTGGTGGTGGGATGGCTATGGCATTAGTCTGAGTGTGATATCATGATGAAACAGACCAAGATGATGGCGGTGTAGACATGGGTTTCAGATTACGAAAACATTTTGGTGATAAGGTCAGTTGGATTTCTATATAGATTAAGTGTAAAATGTGAGAGGTAGAGCATGGTTAAGGATAACATAATTTTTGTTATGGTTAACTAAAACATTTACTTTTCTATCATCTGCTATCAGGAAGGCCATGGAAGGAGGAGGTTTCCAACATAAAGTGGGCTGGGAAAGAAAAATGCAAGTGGGATAAAAGGAAATCTGTTAATGAATACAGAAAAGCATAACTCATAAATGAGATGACTGGGAAATAGAAGTATAATATAATTAAGAAAAATAAAGAGCAAAAATGCAAGCCCTGAATCAAACAAATTATTTTCAAGTACACACACACACACACACACACACACACACACACACACACAGATTAGTATTCATAGTAAGGACATAATATAGATTCAACTAAAACTTTTGATAATACCTTTTGTGGTTTCTTTGTGGACCCATGTGTGATACATAAGTGTGCTATTTAATTTTAAATATAGAAGAATTTTTTAGATACCTCCCTTTTGTCTATGTCTTATTTAGTCCCATTGTAGCCAGAAACAACATTGGAAGATGGGAAGGTAAATTTTATCAGCTTTATTTTTAGTTAGGTATTGCCTGTAAAAGATTCTAATTTCTAAGTATCCACTCTTATTTTCTAATTATTCTAATTTTAGAAAGAATAAGTGATGAATTTTTATATTGCAAATGCCAGCAAATGCTAGGGGCCAAGTTGGTAGGTCTATTCAAATTTATAGTTTTGTTTATTTTTTCTATTACCAAATCCTTAAAAATATTATATTAAAATATACCATATAAAAGAATATATGTGTATATAGATACAGATATAGTTAAGTTAAAATAATATAAATTGAATGATTTATTTAAAGATAAATAGTGAACACATCAGCATCCACTAGATTTTAAGAAATTGAGTGTTATTAGTTCATTTGAATTGTTC